>NC_000017.11:33185980-34435980 GCF_000001405.40 Homo sapiens
ATTTTCTGTAAAGGGACAGAGAGTAAATATCTTATTAGGTGAGTGCAAAAGTAATTGCGGTTTTTGCATTGTTGAAATTTGCCGTTTGATATTTGGAATACATTCTTAAATAAATGTGGTTATGTTCTACACCATTTTTTTTTTCTTTGAGACAGAGTCTCGCTTTGTTTCCCAGGCTGGAGTGCAATGGCTTGATCTTGGCCAACTGCAACCTCCATCTCCAGAGTTCAAGTGATTCTCCTGCCTCAGACTCTCGAGTAGCTGGGATCACAGGCATGTGCCTCCACACCTAGCTAATTTTTGTATTTTTAGTAGAGATGGGGTTTCACCATGTTGTCCAGGCTGGTCTCGAATTCTTGACCTCAAATGATCTGCCCAACTCAGCCTCCCAAAATGCTGGGATTACAGGTATGAACCACCACCCCTGGCCTTATACATCATCTTAATGGGCATTTCTCGCTTTATTTTTTGGCTAATGACTTATTACTTGCTGTTTATTTTATATTTATTTCAGACTATGGAAATGATGTTAGACAAAAAGTAAATTCGAGAGATTTTCTTATTTAAGCTCACAATGGGTCGTAAAGCTGCAGAGACAACTTGCAACATCAACAACACATTTGGCCCAGGAACTGCTAATGAGCGTACAGTGCAGTGGTGGTTCAAGAAGTTTTGCAAAGGGGGCGAGAGCCTTGAAGATGAGGGGCATAGTGGCTGGCCATCGGAAGTTGATCATCAAAGCTGATCCTCTTACAACTACACAAGAAGTTGCTGAATAACTCAATGTCGACCATTCTATGGTCGTTTGGCATTTGAAACAAATTGGAAAGGTGAAAAAGCTTGATAAGTAGGTGCTTCATGAGCTGAGCAAAAATTTTAAAAAATCATCATTTTGAAGTGTTGTCTACTCTTTTTCTATGCAACAACAATGAACCATTTCTAGATCAGATTGTGATGTGCGACGAAAAGTGGATTTTATACAACAACCGGTGATGACCAGCTCAGTGGTTGGACTGAGAAGAAGCTCCAAAGCACTTCCCAAAGCCAAACTTCCACCAAAAAAGGTCACGGTCACTATTTGGTGGTCTGCTGCCAGTCTGATCCACTACAGCTTTCTGAATCCCGGCGAAACCATTACAAGTGAGAAGTATGCTCAGCAAGTCTATGAGATGCAGCAAAAACTGCAATACCTGCAGCTAGCTTTGGTCAACAGAAAGGGCTCAGTTCTTCTCCATGACAACACCTGACCACATGTCGAACAACCAACGCTTCAAAAGTTGAATGAATTGGATTATGAAGTTTTGCCTCATCCGCCATATTCACCTGACCTCTCACCAACCAGCTAATGCTTCTTTAAGCAACTTGACAACTTATTGCAGGGAAAATGCTTCCACAATGAGCAGGATGCAGAAAATGCTTTCCAAGAGTTCATTAAATCCCGAAGCATGGATTTTTACACTATAGGAACAAACAAGCTTATTTCTCATTGGCAAAAAAATGTGTTGATTGTAATGGTTCCTATTTTGCTTAATAAAGATGTGTTTGAGCCTAGTTATAATGATTTAAAATTCACAGTCCAAAACCACAACTACCTGCACCTAATAGAATGTATGGGCCACATGCTTCTGTCTCAACTGTTTAAGTCTTCTGTGGTAATGCAAAAGTTGCCACAGACAATATGTGAAAGAATGGCTGTGGCTAGTGACTGTGTTCCATTAAAACTTCATTTACAAAAACAGAAGGGGGCTGGATTTGTCCTGCAGAGTATAGTTTGCTGATCCTTGAAAGAAACCAAATTGTTTCTAAGTAACTTAATTGCATCCCAGGACAAGGCCCCCAAACATTTAAAGGAACTGAAAAAATGATAACATCCAACAACATGACATTCATAACGCCTGACAGCCAATCAAAAATGGTCAGGGATGAAAAAAAAAAAAAGAAAAAAAGAAAAAAGAAAAAAAAGAAAAAACAGAAAACTATGACCTGCAATGAGGGAAAAAAATCAATCCACAGAAATAGACATCGAAATGACACAAATAATCAGTTTAGTAGTCAAGAACATTAAAACAGCTGCTATAATCATATATTATTTGCTCAAGAAGATAGAGAAAAGTGTGTGTGAGCATGCTAAGGAGACAATGGAAGACATAAAAAGGACCCAAAGAAAAGTTTTAGAGATTAAAATATATCTCAGATTAAAAAATGCACTGGTTGGAATTAACAGCAGATTAGACACTGCAAAAGAAAAGATCAGTGACATTAAAGACACAGTGATAAAAACTATCCAGAATGATACACAAAGTTAAAAGACAAAATAAAAATAATGGAGTATCTGTGAGCTGTGGGACAATATAAAAAGACCTAATAGTCATGTGGTTGGAGTCCTGGAAGAAGGGAAGGGAGAGAAAAATATTTGAAGAAATAATAGCCAGCATTTTTCAAAATTTGATAAAAATTTAAACCCATATAGATGCAAAGAAATCAATGAACTGCAAATATAAAAAACATGTAGAAAATCACATCAAAGCATATCAAAACCAAATTGCTGAAAAGTACTGATAAAGAGAAAAACTTAAATGAAGCCAGAAACAAAGACACATTATATGCAGAGGAACAAAGATAAAAATGAAAGCAGACGTCTCAGAAATGAAAGCCAGAAAACAGTGGAGTGATAGCTTTAAAGTACTGAGAGAAAGTAACTGTTAACCTAAAATTATATATCTGGTAAAAATATATTTCAATAACAAAAGTAAAGATTTTTTTCAAACATACAAATAATGACAGAATTCATCACCAGAAAACAATTACCACATGAAATACTGAAATAAGTCCTTTAAGCATAAAATAAAATGATACCAGATGGAAGTTTGAATTTACATAAGGAATATGTGAGTAAATATAAAATATTTTTTCTTATTTTTAAAGTCTCTTTAAAAGATTATTTTAAAAAGTAGAAATAACAATGTGTTGTGGGGTTTATAGCATATGTAGAAGAAAAATGTATGACAAAAAAGATGGGGTGTGGGAGAGGGAAGTACACTTTTGTAAGTTTCTGATACTATACATACAGTCGTATAACATTTGCTTGATAAGTTAAAGATTTATGCTGTAAGCCTTAGAGCTGTAGTTTTAGGAGTGCTCCCTGGGGATATCTGTCACAATGTGTGGATGGGTATTACCCACATCTAGTGGGTAGATGCCAAGGATGTTGCTAAACACTCTGCAATACACAAGAGAACCCCCCACCCCCTAACAAAGAATTATCTGGCTCAAAATACCAGTAGTGCCAGAGCTGAGAAACCCTGTTCTACAGCAACCACTAAAACAGAAAGCGAAGAGATGGGACAAAGAAGTCAACAAAGGAGATACAACGGAATCATAAAAAATAGTTCATTAATCTGAAAGAAGGCAGGACAAGTAAGTGGAAAAGGGAACAAAGACCAGATGGGCCAAAAGGAAAACAAATGAGTTGGCAGGTTTAAACTCAACATTAATAATCACATTATATACAGTGGTCTGCACATCCCAATTAAGGGCAGAGACTGTTAGATTGTATTGAAAAATGCGAGACCCAACTATAGGCAAGATCTGACTTTAGGCATAAAGATAAAGATAAAAGTGAAAGGATGCTAACACTTAAAAAAGAAGCCTGGAGTGGCTTTGTTAATATCAGACGAAGTAGATTTCAGAGCAAAGAATATGTGTATTACAGGTGGAAAGAGGTTCATCTCATAATGATAAAGAGGTCAATTCACCAAAAAGATATAATAATAATAATAAACCTGTATACCCTTAACAACAGAGCTTCCAAATATGTGAAGCAAAAGCTGATAAACTACAAGGAAAAATAGACAAATCTACAGTTATAGTTGGGGACACCCCTTTCTCAACAATGTTTATAACACATAGGCAGAAAATCAGTGAGGATATAGAAGACTTGGATAATAATGGTGAAAGGGTGAATGATCTTCCCCTACGATCAAGGCAAGGCAAGGATGAGACAAAGTGTCTGCTCTCACCACATGTATTCAGCATTGTAGCAAAGGTCCTAACTAGTGCAGTAAGACAAGAAAAACAAACAGAAGGCATATAAATTGGAAAGGAGGAAGTAAAACTGACTTTTTTCACAGATAAAATAATCATCTACATAAAAAATCCTAAAGAATTTATTTAAAAGTTACCAAAACTAATAAATGTGTTTAGTAAGGCTGAATAATATGCAATTGAAATACAAAAATCAATTGTTTCAATATAGTATAATGGGTTCACTATATAAACGGTTGGAAATTAAAATAAAAAACCATTTACAATAGTATTATATTAAAACTATGAAACAGGGATACATTTTGACAAAATATTTGTAGAGTCATACACTAAAAACTACAAAACATTGCTGAGAGAAATTAAAGATCACATATGTAAATACAGAGAAATGCCATGCTATTGACAGGAAGATTAAATATTGTTACATCAATTCTTACCAAATTGATTTATAGATTAAATGAAACCCAATGAAAATCTCAGCAGGATTTTTAAAAAATAGAAATTGACAAGCTACTACTAAAAATTATATGGAAATGTGAAAGACCTAGAATAGTCAATTTTGAAAAAGAACAATGTTGACGGACTTACACTGTCTAAGAAACTTAGTGTAAACTATAATAACCAAGACTTTGTGGTATTATTATAAATATAGACATATAGATCAATGGAACAGAAAGTCCAGAAGTTGATCTACATGAATAACATCAGAAGTCATTAAGGAAATGCAAATTAAAACCACAATGAGATGCCACTACACTAAGCACCATTATAATGGCTAAAATGATAAAGACTGACCATCCCAAGGGTCAGGGAAGATGCAGAGCATTTAGAACTTTTGCACATGCTGCCAGGGATGTAAAATGGAACAGTCACTTTGGAAAACAGTTTGGCAATGTCTTTAAAAGTTAAGTGCATACGTACCAAAGAACCTACCCATTCCACTTGTTAAGTATTTACCCAAGGGAAAGAAAGCATAAATTCATGCAAAGGCTTGTACATGGATGTTTATAGCAGCTTTATTTGTAGGAGCCCCGAACTGGAAACAACCCATGTTTCCATCAACAGCCTAAAAGATTTTTTTAAAATGGTATACCTACACAATAGAAATATGTCTCAGCAATAAAAAGGAATAAACAACTGACACATACAACAACATGGAGAGGTCTAAAAATCATTATCCTCAGTTAAAGAAGTCAGACAAGAAAGAGACAACATTGTATAATTCCATTCATATAACATTCTAGAAATTGCCAGCTAATCTACACTGACAGAGACGGATCAGTAGTTTCCTTGGTGTGGAGATGGAAGGAAGAATTAATTACAAAGGGACATGGGGAACCTTTGTTGGGTGGGGGGTAATGGAATTTTTTTCTTTTTGGGTTGTGTTGATGGGTTCACAGGTATATGTATTTGTCACAACTCATCAGATTAAACACTTTAAATATGTGCATATCATTGTATGGTGATCATACCTCAATACAGCCATAAAATGTTAAAAGAAGAAGAAGAAGGGATAGAAGGAGGAGGAGGAGGAGAAAGAGAGGGAGGAGAAGGAGGAGGAGGACGAAGAGGAGAACAAGAGGGAGGAGAATGAGGAGGAGGAGGAGGAGAAATAGCCACCAGTAGGGTGGCAACAGGATCCACGGCCCTCTACACCCTGTTATTCACAGTGCTGGATTTCTCCTAATGCCCCATGTGATTACAGGGTAGCTACTCACAATCCGTCTTACAAACTTCCTTGTTCACATTGGTAGGAAGGAGAGACAGACTTCACAAAGCTCCCTCTTAAGACAGAAACCAATCCCCCAGAATCATCCAGCAAACTTCTCTTCCTATCTCATCGGCCAGAATTGTGCTACATGCCTTTTCCTCAATCCTCCATTAATCAGATCTACCCCATTATTCAGTGGAAGAGGGTGCTTGGATGTTGCAGAATTTAACTGAAGCTGTTTTTCACTACACCATGAAAACAGATCTTTCTGTTTTCTACTCCTTCCCCACTTCCTCCTTTCCTCTTTCTTCTCTCTCTCCCTCCATTTTCTTCTTAATAAAAATATATTATAAGCAGAAGCTATACATGGATTCAAAAGAGTGCTTGGACATTTATGAAAGATGGAGCTGTAAATGGAGACAAGATCCTGAGGTCAGGAGCTCAAGACCAGCCTGGTCAACATGGTGAAACCTCATGTCTCTACTGAAAATACAAAAATTAGCCAGGCATGTTGGTGGGTGCCTGTAATCCCATCTACTTGGGAGGCTGAGGCAGGAGAATTGCTTGAACCCAGGAGGCAGAGGTTGCAGTGGGCCAAGACCATGCCATTGCACTCCAGCCTGGGCAAGAAGAGCAAAACTCAGTCTCAAAAACAAAACAAAACAAAACAAAACAAAACAAAACAAAACAAAACAAAACAAAACAAAACAAAACAAAACACAACCAAAAAAACCAAGACAGAGTTTGCTCTGTTATCTGCTATTAATGGTGACATTTATGAAGGACTATTGACATCCCCTGCTGGACAGGCAGGGAGCAAGGAGGTGTGGCTGCTCTAAGATCCCTCACCTCCTAACGTCAGCCATTCACCAATTCAAATCTTGTGAAGAAGCAACCATGGTCAGGCAAAAGTTGACTTCTTTATTGTGTAGCAAACTCATATTCCATCCAGCCCCATGACATGGTCTGTGACTTGATTTTGAGAGGAGAAATCGGAAAGCTGCCTCTCTGATGCAATTTCTCATAAGTACCCAGATATTAGTTAATATTTTATAGGCTAAAAAGTAGTATCCAATTTTCTAATTAACATTTTCTTAAATAATAAAGCTGATATATTGTTTTAAAAATACACATTTTTTTCCGCCATGTGATTAAATATAGCTATTTTTGGATTGAATGGAAAAAATACCTCTGGCCATACATATTTTTACTTTTCCTGAATTGGCCATTATTCAAGAAGGATTGCTCACCACCTGTGGTCTGGAGGGCAGAAGCTTGCTAAGCAACTGAATTGTTCACCCTGGGTTTCGGGGAAATGTTTAACCTACTTGATAGAACTAACGGATTTGAAAGTCCTTTAATGGCACCATTTACATGTTAATGTTCTAATGACAAAGGTGTTTTATCTGTTCATTTGAAGCAGGGAAACCCTACTTAACTCAACTTAGAAGCCTTTGTTAACACATGATAAGTGTCAGGAAGTGATACAACTTTCCCCAGGATGAATCCAGAGATTAGGGACTTAGTTTGCAGTAGGTCCCTTTCTCCAAGGCCTCGCCACCCTCTCCCAGTTGACTGCCTGAGAGATTTGTGCCCACAGGTCTTGGGCTGAATAAAGAATGTGGAAAGGAGTCTGTGCTGCCATCAGGCTGCCTGGGTGGTCAGAGTCTATATATAGCGCTCTGCTCACATCCCTCCGGAGGCTTTACCATTTTCCTGTAAATGGCTCCAGGACTGGTGCTTTCATACTTAATGGCCAGCTTCTCTGTTGGAGGCCTGCCCTCTGTCTGCTGGAATCTGCACCCACCATGCAGAAGGCTGGAAGTACCTGGGAATTTACATCCCCCTGGGGAGCAGTCCTGAACCCATGACTGACAGGTACAGCATGTGGAAGTACTCCAGCTCCCTTGCCACTTATTGGGACAACTCTGAGATCTGATCTAGGCCTGGGGATCTTGTTATGATGCAGATTCTAATTCAGAGAGTCCGGGCTGGAGAGGAGGCTCTGCAATTCCGACAAGCTCCAGGGTGGTCGCTGATGTTACTGATCTAGGACCACACTTGGAGTCCCATGGGTCTACACTGTCTTGGGAACATCCCTGTGGGATTATGTAGTTTCTGCCGCTGGTAGCTTACTTGGTTGCCTTCCTTGGCTTGGCCATCTTGCAGGTCTCAATTTACTACTGGCCATCTCTGGGAATACTTTCTAGTATATTACTTTCACACGATTCCTTGTCTCAGGGTATTCTTCTGGGGAGCCTACCCTAAGACACCAGATCTGCAGCACCTTGGCAGGGGGAGGGCCGTATTCAAGATGCACTGTAACTGGGCACCAGCCTCCAGGGACCATCCATGCTCATCTGCCACTGCCTTCTCAAATCATTCTAGGTGCCAGTCCCATCTGATTATCCATGAACTTCCCAAGCCTCCTGACTTTTTGCTCATGCTTTTCCACGAATCTGAAATTATTGCTTTCACTTTTCTGCACGCTAAAAAGCTCCTTGTTTTTCAAGGCTTGTTTCCAATGCCATTCTGACCAAGAGGCCATTGCTGATCTCCACATTCAAAAGCAGCCCCTCCTCTCTTGTGTCTTCCTAGCATGTTGCTTATGTCTTGGTTTCCCTGTCCAAGTAATGGGTACACCAGTAGTTGCCCTTGTCACTCTCAGAGTTGTTGTGATGATCAAATGACAGGATAGATATGAAATTGCTCACTAAGCCGATATGATGATGATGATGATCATGGAGGAAAAATACAGCACCTGTGAACTTCCATATGTAGAGTTTTTCTAAAATAAGGAATTACTTCTTCTTTTTAAAGATCTATACATGAAATCTTGGATTTGCAGCACTGGAATGTAGGGAACAAATTGATTATGTACAACCTGAAGCCATTACATTTCCAGATTGGGATATCAATCTGTTATTCCCAGATTGGGAAATCAATCTGTTATTCCCAGATTGGGAATCTCTTGCTGTTGACTTACAGTACTGCAGCTCAACTCTATCACACCCTGCAAAACCAAGACCACTGGCAAAGAAGGTCAATGTCATTGTTCTGACGCTAAGACACGTGGTGAAACCCAACTTCTGGGATACTCAGAGGGACACTCAGGGCCATCAGTTTCCCTCACCAGCACAGTGAGCTGCAAAGCCTATCGCAATAGGCAGAGTGGGAAACTTTGGGGAAAGACAACAAGTTTAATGTTTGCCACTTCTTAGGGAATGGTGACAGCACCAAGGCAGAAATATCTGGAGCTCAGCAGGATGTGTGAAGACTGGACTGAGAGAGGTAGGAGGTAGAAAGACGGGTGTGGGAACAAGCTAAGTCGGGCTCCTGGCTTGACAAATTATTATTCAGCTGGCTTGCCTGAATTGTGACATATTATTTATTAAAATGGAAGGAAAATTTAAAAAGTGAGATGTCAGCCCCAACCCCAACCTCCCTGAGCACAGGCAGCTGGCACAAAGCAGCCAGCACAAAGCAGCCTCTGCACAGCCTAAAAACTCAACATGACAGCAGTGTGGGGAAGAGAAAGTCATCCCACCTATTTAGAATCATACAGACTCAGGGGAAAGCACTCCATATCTGCATGACCTTGAACAAGTCCTCTACCCGCTTTACACCTCAGAATTCTTATTATAAAACAGGGATAATCATATATTAGAGGGTCATTGTCAGGATTATGGGTGGAAAAGCATTTTGACAAAATTCGATTTTGTTATAACTATTATTGTGAATGAGGATCATGATAGTGATTGGGTTGAAATTGTACAAATTTTTATTTAATTTTATTTTTTGATCATGTATAGTAAATGGTTACTGGCCATCAACTTTTTTACATTAAGAAATAAACCCTGTCCTCAGGAAGTTAGCATGTTATCAGAGTAGACAGACTTATAATCCAATAATTAAAACATATTACTTTGGGTCAGAGGACACACACGATCATCTTCACTGTGCAGACAGGGAAACTGAGGATCAGAAGGCCAAATGGCTTGCCGAAGGTCATGCAGCTAGGAAGCAGGGTCATAGTTCTGGCCTGGTCTTCTGATCCTTCATTCTACCTCCAGAATGACTGCCCTCCCCTCCTCACCCTCCTGGGTCATAGAGTGGGCTGTGGCACTCCTGCTTACCTGTTGGGTGAGTCTGGATCATCAAGGAATTCCTCTAAGCCTCAGTTTCCTCCTTTTGCCATTAAACCACAATAACTTTTGCACCAACCTAATAAAAATGTGGCAATTACACATGCCCTGTCTTACCTCACAAAGGTAAGATTGTGCTGTGTGCCGGATACCCCGCCAGTCACTTTACATATATCAAAGGGATTAAGGAAGCAATGCTTACATGCCAGATACCTGGCACAGAGTGAGCCCTCAGTGAAAGGTCTGAGCAGGTTGAGTAGCTCATTTCATCGTTCCTAAAATTCCTTGTTAGCCCTATTTTGCAAGTGGAACTTGGAGAGGTTAAACAATTGAATGGAGGTCACATAGCTATTAAAAGATGGAACTGACATACAAATCCTGATTTTAAAACTGTGCCCTTTCCACCTTTTAAAAGTACACGAGACGATGATGATGACGATGATGATGATGATGATGATGATGATGATCACTTCTAGAAGAATGTCAAGGTAACCTACAGCAAAAGATGCTCCAGCCTCCTTCGGCCACCAAGAAGGATAAAAATACATGGGGTACCTGTGAGGCGTCCTTGCAGTTATCTGCTGGGAGCCTCCCAAAAGTCCAGACAGGAAGGTGTAGCCAGCTGAAGAGCATACATAGAATTACAATGGCCTGTCCTGGTGGAAGCAACTTGCCATTGTCCGAGGCATGAAGCTCCAAGTGCAGGGCCATGGAGCCTGGGTCACGGCAATGGCACCATTCACCTGCTTATGTCTGATTAGGAAACACTGTTGGTGGTGGCAGTGCCTCATGTCAGGAACAGCTCAAGTACTAGGCATTCCCCTCTGGGCTTGAGACAGAGAGGAACTGTGGAAGAGGCTAAAATTCAATTCTAGCAGGTGGGAAGTGGCTGGATATAAATATTTTAAGACAACAAATATGATTCAGAAAGCTAATTGGAACTCGCTGACACCACCAAGGGCTCCTGGCAGCATGACACACAGATGGGAGTAGGAATCTCCGCCTCGGCATTAGAATACATACTGTAAATACCATGGAGGAAGCTGTCTGTCCCCTCCAGGGACACACGTCTAAGTCCTCAATAGAAAGCTGGTACATGGGACAGGGAGAGGAAAGGTGGAGAAGATGGGCACTGAACAGCAGCCTGGCTTTTTGTCTTGGATTTGTCTAATTTCCTGAGAAAGTCACTTAACCTTTCTGAGCCTCAGTTTCCTCATCTATAAAATGGGTAGAGAGTGAAGGTGGTAGTGGGCAGGGATTAGACTCAATGATCTTTAAATTGCCTAGCTCTTTCCCTGCTCTGGCACTGTGAGATTCCAGGAATCTATAGCCACCTCTTGGATTTCATGTTTGGTTGTTGAGCAGCAAGATAGCTTAGGGGGTTTAGCACCTGGACTCTGGAGATGGACAGCCTGAGTTCAAACATCAGCTCTGCCACTTATTGCATGGTACTGGCAATATTACCCGTATACATAGGTAAGAGGGGCCCTGCTCTGGGCCCCACACTTTCCAGGGTGTTTCTCTGATCCTCTTCCATCTGTACCCTTCCTTACAGGAAGCAAGAGGACATGTCCACCAGGCACTCATATTCTCAAACTAGACCACACTCTGGGTCCCTGGAATTCTCTGCCTAAATGACTCCAAGCCAGCTGACAGGGCCCAGATGGGCCTCACCTTTGGGTCTATCCTCTCTAGGGTGGACCTTGGCATTGATGAATGCACCCTCTCCTCCCAAGGGGTTGCAGTTTGATGTGGAGTGTCCAGGGGTTGGATGTGTGGGCTGGGGTATCCATGTGCATGCACAAAAACTCCCTTACAGTTTAAGACACAGCTAAAATAGAAGGACAATTCGGGAGAGCTGTGGGTCAGGGACCCCTCTCCCTGGGTACTGGTTCTGGTCTGGGATTCCTAAGAGTTGCAGAATTCTGAATTCAAACCGGGCTTTGTAGTCATTATAAAGGTCTATTTTTCAAGCAGAATGATAGAATGTATTTAATTTAACTAGTTGTTGGCTGGATTCAAAACTTGCAAATATTTAGATATGTGTTACATGGGCTTCCACTGGCACTCTCGTCCTGGGCCTCACAGATGTTAGTGGGGAACCTGGCTCCTGGGAACATTATTTAACCTTGTAATACTGGGTTTCCTCCTTTGTAAACTGGAAATAATATTAAAACTAACATCATAGACTTGGTGTGGTGGCTCATGCCTGTAATCCCAGCACTTTGGGAGGCCAAGGCAGGTGGATTACTTGAGCTCAGGAGCTGGAGACCATCCTGGGCAAAATGGTGAAACCCCATCTCTACAAAAGATACTAAAAAAATTAGCTGGGCATAGGGGCATGCACCTGTAGTCCCAGCTACTAGGGGACTGAGGTGGGAGGATCCCTTGAACTCGGGAGGTCCAGACTGCAGGGAGCCATGTTTGCACCACTGCACTCCAGTCTGGGTGACAATGTGAGACCCTGTTTCAAAACAAAACAAAAAACAAACCTAACATCATAAAATTGTTGCATGGGTCAATCAGTTGACTCACATAAACTAGTCCTATGCTCAATTCAGTAGGGCATTAGCTGTTGTTATTTTTCTGTCACTCAGACCTGGGATGATACCCACAAATGCCCTGCAGACTTCTTGGTCTCCCACTATAATGGTTTCAACCTGTCCTGCCACCCTGCACATGGTGACTGATCCAGGTAGCCTGACTACAACACTGCCTGGCATACTGTTACCTTTTGAGGTCACCTTCAGCCTGTGTAGCACCCCCAGCCTCTGTTCTCTGCTGGGAGCTCTCCACCCTGGGGAAAAAAAGGACTCATTCCCTGTGTGGCTAAAGCCAGCAAATGAGACATGTGCAGTGAGCTGTTTAGAGCCAAAGGAAATAGGCAAATAAAGGTTTCTTCAAATGTCACCATCCCAGCTAGGGTAAGATGCATGGGAGCTAAAATACACAATCTTCTTCTTGGTAGCAAAAAAATAAGTTTGAATTCAGGGATCAGGCCTTGACCATGTCATTAACCGTCCTGCTTGGAGACCTGGCTCATGATAACAAGCTGGTGGGAAGAATTGCTCTTTTGATTTAACCTTGCTATCTGTCATTAAACAGCCTTCTGTAGTTTCTCTGATATGCTTATTTTATTTTTCTGGCATCACGCCAGTTAAAAGTAGGATAAATGATAAGTCTGTTAACGAATACCTCAGTTAATTTTATGGCAGAGATTGCAGAGCAGGGAGCAGGTGAGACCATTCCTGCACTGTGGGCTGATAACCATTTCGGGCATCAAACATTTATTAAGGACCAATAATAAAAGCCCTTGTGATGGTGTAATGGCTCATTCTAAATGCTTCCTGCTAATAAAATGAGCATTGATTTGAAAGGCAATATTTAAATTCCATCCACAGCATGTCAAGGAAAGGACAACTGTGTCTGACGCGTGAGAAGCACTTAGCCAACTTGTTTAATCATCAGATGCTCTGTAAATTGTGTGTGCTCTTGGCAGGTGGGAAAATGTTCCCTAGGAAATGCTTCATTAGGGGAGGTAACCACAGAGCAGGGTTCAAATCCTAGCTCCCTACATTTGGGCTGGGTGACTTTGGACTGGGTACACAAACTCTCTTAGCTTTTACTGGCTCCTGCATAAAACAGAGATATTCATAACTTTCATGTGCTGTGGCTTGGGGAGTTAAAGAAGTGATTACATAAAGTGATACAGCAGCATCAATACATTTTAAGCTCCTTTCCCCTTTCCCTTAAGCTTGAACATGGCCCTGCTCTGGGTAAACACATTTCTAGCTTCAGGTAAATTACTGTGCCATGAACAAAGTAACAGGCTCAGAAATCGATGGGCTCCTCTCTCTTGTAAAGACTACTTCCTATGTGTACCTTGATCGCCATTCCAACCTGGATACATGTCACATGTCCATGCTAATCTTCTGATTGTTAATATAGCGAACTTGATCATGACATTCACATGAGAACAGTCTTTCAGTGGTCCTGAGGACAAAATCCACACAAGCCAGCACTGCCTCTGAGACCTGTCTCCTGCCTCCTTGCGTTCCCTATCCCCTGGAGCCTCACCGTGCCCCCTTGCTGTTCCATGGGCACTTACCATTCCAGTCCCATGCTCTGTCCCAGCTTCCTGCCTTTGCACATGCTGTTCCCTCTTCCTGGAATATCTTCCACCACTTCTTCCTGAATAGCTCCTTTTACCCTTAGGGGAAGCTGAGGGGTCCTCTCTAGAAGGACTTCAGTGTTAGCTTTCTCTAACCCCCGAGCTTCTCTTCGCTAGCAATAACTGCATTACACTGAAATGGCTTTTTCTTCTTCTCTCTTGGACTGAAGGCGAGTCTCACATCTGTCTGTCAAGCAGCCATCACAGTGCCTGGCATCGAGTCAACATTTTATGAGTTTGTTGACTCAGCTCTCATTCCTTAGGAAGGCTCATCCAGTCTCAGAGATTTAAAAACAATCTGTATGCTGAGGACTCACGAATAAATCTGGCTCAGCCCACTCCCTTAACCTCTCTACACACAGACACCCAACTGCCCACTTACAAATCTCACTCGGATGTTCAAGCCTGTCCAAAACTGAGATCCTGATGATCCTTCCCAAACCGGCTCCTTCTCCAGTCCTTCTCTTCATTGCAGATGGAAGCTTCATCTTTCATTGTTCAGACCAAAAAATCTGATGTTGTCCCTGTTACTTCCCTTACATCCTATATCTGGTCTGGCTGTGATTCTGTTGGCTCTAGCCTCAAAACAGATTCAGAATATGGCCCCTTCTTATCACCCCCATTTTCACCTTGATTATTGCAGTAGCTGCATATGGGCTATCTCCCTGTTTGCTTCCACCCTTGCCCCCTGCAGTTTATTCCCAGCACAGCAGTCAGAGTGATCCTGTGAAATGACATCACTCCTCTGCTCACAATCCTCCAATGACTCTCCATCACCCTCAGAGTAATGCTAGATTCCTTACCACTGTGATAAGGGCCTACAGTCTGGCTCGTGCTACCTGCCAAGCTCACCTCCACTGTTCTTTGGGAACCCCAGGCAAGCCCCTGCTGCAGGGCCTTTGCATTGGCTGTTCCCTCTGCCTGGAATGCTCCTTCCCCAGAGTCACATGGCTAGCTTCCTTCCTCCAGGTCTTTCCCAGATGCCACCTTCTCGGAGAGACCTCCTCTGGCCACCTTACCTAAAATTTCACCTCCCAACACATATTCCCTTCTCCTGATTTATTTTTCTTCTTAGCACTTGTTCATCATACTGTATGTTTTACTTATGTATCTTGTTTATTTTCTATCTCCTCCAAGCAGTGAGGACATGGATTTTGATCTGTGTGTTAAGTTCTGTGTCCTCTGTTCCTACAGCAGTGCTCGATCCACAGTAGGTGGTCCATTAAACACTAGTTTGTTGGCTCAATGAATGAACGAATGTCTTCTTCAGGGGAGAAGCCAACTCCGGCAGCCCTCCAGTAGCCTGGGACTGAGGGGGAGGTGGGACTCAACTCTGGAGGCAGGGACTTGACTCTAGACCAGATTGAAGACTAGCTGAAACAGCAAAGAGGCAAAAGCACCTCTCCATGAGACGTGCCCACCAATGCCATGTCAGTTTACTGTTGCCATGGCAACATCTAAACGTTACCACCCCCTTTCATGGCAATGACCTAGAAGTTACCACCCCTTTTCTAGACATTTCTGAATAACTCACCCTTTAATTTGCATGTAATTAAAATGAGTATAAACATGACTGCAGCCCTGCCTCTGAGCTTCTACTCTGGGCACACTGCCTATAGAGTAGCCCTGCTCGGTAAGGAGCAGTATATCTGCTGCTGCTGCTCTATGTGGCCACTTCAATAAAAGCTGCTGTCTAGGCTGGGCATGGTGGCTCACACCTGTAATTCCAGCACTTTGGGAAACTGAGGCAGGCAGATCACTTGAGCCCAGAAGTTCGAGACCAGCCTGGGGAACATGGTGAAACCTTGTCTTTGAAAAATTATAAAAACAATTAGCTGGGCATGGTGATGCATGCCCATGGTCCCACCTACTCAGGAGTCTGAGCTGGGAGGATTGCTGGAGCCCAGGAGGTGGGGATTGCAGTGGACCAAGATCATGCCACTTGGTGACACGGTGAGACTGTCTCAAAAAAAAAAAAAAAAAAAGAAAAAGAAAAGAAAAAAGAAAAAAAAAGGTGCCGTCTAACACTACTGGCTTGCCCTTGATTCCTTGAATTATTTCCTGGGTAAAGCCAAGAACCCATCCTGGGCTAAGCCCCAATTTTGAGGCTCACCTGGCCTGCCTGCATCAGAACCAGCAGGTGGCACAAACACCAACGATGCGGATGGGCTCCACAGCGAGCAGCGAGTAGTCTTTGGCCACATGAGCAATAATGGAGCTAACTCCCCACAGGGACAGCTGCGGGTTCATTATGCGTGATGAGTTTGGGAGGGAGAAAATGGGCTGTTTGGAGTCACTGGGCTGCTAGAAGAAGGAATGGTTTTCTCTCTAGGGAAGATTTTGAATAGGATTTCAGAGCAGGAAGATATTAAGTGTGAGATGGGAAGCAGTGTGTGTAGGGCTCAGAGACCTCATCCCCCTAGAGATTGTCCGCCCCATCTGGGTGCACAGTGTGGCCAGCAGGTCAGCACCTCCCGTGGGGGTCCATCAAGGGGTGCAGCAGGGCTCTTGCTGGACTTGGCAGCTGGACTAGGACTTTGCACAAAATGTAAAGCAAAGTATGCACCCAGAAGCCCATTCTTCCATTAACTTATAGATATATTTAAAAACTAGATAAGAGTTGCTATGGAGAGCGAACGTGACTTTAAGACATAATTGCAGTTCATTGTTATTTTCCTAAATAATGCGGGTGTCTACATGGCTCCTTCCTGCTTTATTTAGCTTCATCTTTCCAGCTGGAGCTTGCTCCTGGATGGGTGGGGGTGACCTTCATTGGCCTCTCTCTACCCTGGGGGATGGTCATGTCCTTCAGGAGTGGGTGGTGGATAGGCTCTGTCTTTGTTTTTCTCCGGGGACCACCCTGCTCCATGGACACATAGGATAGAGCTGGGCACTCACTCCTCTGCGTCCTGCTCACACAGCACTTCAAACGCCAGAGAGAAAAAAAGCAACAGGATAGCCCTTTGATTCAGCGAGAAAGGTGGCACGTGGTGTCTGCTCCAGTGAGCCCAGAAAATTTGCACGTGCTAAACCAGAGACACATTGGCCCCTTTTGGCTAAACACCTAGGAGCCCATGGCCCCTTTCATCCTTACCCATAGCTCCACTAGTGCCTGTATTATGTTGTGTTAGAATCCATGTCTGTCTCAGAAGCAGCCCGAAGGCAGGGATCACATCCAGTGGATTTTTATAGCCCCAAAGCTTAGTCCTGCCTCTGGCGCATAATAATGCATCTCTGTGTAAAACCATGTGCTTTTTCAAAGCTTATTTTTTTAGGCATTCTGGGTAGCAATTCCTCTGATCCACCCAGTCTGGGGTTCCACCCTGAGTCCAGCCCACACAGTTGGAGGACTGACTGGAGCCCTCATAAGAAGAAACTGGACCTCTGTAGAATGATGCGAAGAAATGTTTTCCTTCTCTCCCCACGTGCCCACTCCCATTAATAAAGAAGGGAACTTCCTCCAGCACTTCTGTCCTCTTGAAGCGCTGAGGCTGGAGTATCTACTCCTCTGCCCGCCTTTTTATTCCACTCAACTGAGGCGAGATGCTAATATGATGGGGGAATGACCATCAGTGGCCTCTTTATTCTCGGGGTTGGCAATGTTATTAAGGAGTGGGTGATGGACTCTACCTTTATTATTTTTCTGGGACCTGCCCTGCACATAGTACAGGCTCACTCCTCAGGTCCCTGCTCATATAGGGTGAGCACACTGGAGTGGGATCCTGGCTGCGGGTGGCTTGCCACTCTCTCTCTGAGTATGTGGGGCAGGCCAGTGTCTAGCTGAGTAGGGTTTTCACAATGTGACTGCCCCAAGCAAAGTCCAAGTTCTAAGTTAGGGGAGAAGGTTATTAGATACCTATTTCGTCCTTAGGTAAGTCATGTTCCCTAATCTGGCTCAGGCCAAAGCCCTGCATTTTGGGAGGTATTAAACATATACCTGGCCTGGAATCAAGCTGCTATTTGGTTGGCATCTAGCTCGTGATCCTTGTGTCTATTTTCTAATGGTGAGACCTGGAGGAGTGGTGGAGTGAGGCTTAGATTCCTCTTACCTCTGAGAGTTGGGCTTTCAGAGAGACCTGCACTCAGTCATGTTTTCCCTCACCAATGTGGGGTCTTTCTCTTAAGTCTGGTTATTGTCTGGTCTTTTGTCTCATGAATATCAAAATCCCCTAGAAAAATGTAGCCTGTCATTTTCCCAGGCAGGCCCTACTTGTCTCTCCCCTTGTCCAGCTCTGGTCACTACGTTCTTGTTACCTGCAGGCTCAGCCCATGTCCAGCTGCTAAGTCAGTGAGAAGCCAGCCTGGCAGAGTATGAGGAGCCCTTCATGCCATCTGGGCAGGATGAGAAGATCAGCTGCTGCCACCCCCGGGAGTCAGGCAGGGAGACAGCCTGTTGTGGATATTTGTTGTGTCTACTGCCTGATATCCATTTCACCCTGCTGGTAACTAGTCCCCAGTTTTCCTCTTGAGGGCTCGCCTGTCCCACCTCCACCCATCTCATGTGCTTCAGATAAAGTTGACTCTACCCAGACTCCAAAAGTGGCAACCATGAGTAAGCCACACTGACCAGTGCATTTCATCCTCCAGCCAAGTTGGGTCAGACATGAGCATGTGACCCAAGTGAGGCCAATTACAGCCAGTGAAACTCAATTCTAGCACATGTGTGTGTGCATGTGTGCATATGCGTGTGAACATGTACATGTCCACTATTAGAGAAGTGGGCTTTCATTTCCACTGGATGTGAAGCTGAAAGGATGCAGAATAGGGAATTTTTAGCAGCCATCATGAAGAGACAGAAGGGCCATGAATGAAGCCAACACTGAGGAAGCAGAGCCAGATGGAGAGACAAACCTTATCCAGGTGACAGCATTTGATCCCTGGGTTGAGCCATGCCTGAAGTCAGAAGAGTCTACTTGAATGGACTATTCAGTTACATGACCTGATAAGGTCTCTTGTTTACTTAAGAAAGTTTGACTGGCATTTTCTCACTTGCAACCAAAAGTGCCCTCACCGATACAGAGCCTTTTGTTGCCACCTGATCACCATGCAGTAGCCTCTCTAAACCTTGCTCTGTGGAGTCTGCAGTTTCCTCTCTCTGTTTTCAGTTAGCCAGAGCCCCTGCTGGAAAGAGAGCCTGGCCCCACAGGCCAGATGCTTGGCTGGGCTCTCTTGTCAGTCCTCAAAGCCACCCTGTGTGCCCCTTGCATCACCTGATTCTGAGAACAGCACAGCCAATAAGCCCCTGCCTTGTGCCTCTGGAAATGCTGCCAGCCTGGATCAGTAATTCCAAAAATATGTTCTGGGGAACACTGGTCCTTTTGGATGCTCTTTGGGAGGACAAAAAGGTTTTCAGTTTTAGAAATTGACAAAGCCCTGTACATATATATGTATCCTTCTTGGAGATCCACCAGCAAATTTACTTATCAAAGGTTCTAATAAGCACTGCTATAAAACACAGTGTTCAACATATCATAATTTAGCATTTGAAAACAGATTTCACTATGGAACAAACACTTTTTTGGTTGTAGGTATAATACCTATAACAACCTGAACATACTTGGGGAAACGCTTGACTAGAATTTGCAGGAGTTCCTTGAACCTGGCAATTTGTACAACTGGCCTCTTGCTGGAGGCAGCCGGCCATTCAGTTCTGGTTGGGTCCTGACACCTTTATCTTGGCTTGGTGATATGACATCATTTCTTCCCTCCAGAGCTCCCGGCATGCCGCAGGGCTGGGACTGCGCTGGCTGTGCCGTTTCTTGGCATACGGTTCCCATGCTGGTGGTAGCAGGAGATAATTTGATTGGGCTGACAACATTCATTCTTCTCTGGGCCACAAAGACCCCCTAATTCCCCATTCTGAGACCACGGTTTGGATCTGGCAACAAGAATGCACATAGTTACATGTAAACAGAAAGCTCAACACTAAATTATGATTGATGTTTCAAATAAAATGCTCTCAGGGTCAGGATGGGAGATGAGTTTCCAGGAAGTAGCACCTGTAATGAAACTCACCAGAGTCATAAAAATGCAGGATGGCCACAGGAGGCCACCTGGAGACTCAAACCTAGATGACAGGAGAAGAGCTAAATTTTAATATTTGTTTGCTCTCAAAACAGCAGCATCATACTTCCCACGAAACAGAAATGCTTGCTTGGTATCATATTGCCTCATAAATCCTCGGGACCCATTTGGTGATGAGGTCGAAGGAGCCAGCTGGCCCAGGTGTGATTACTTCTGGGATTGGAGGGAGGGAGGGAGAGGGAAGGCCACCACTTGTTGGCTGCTCTGCATTCATGATCCTTTTCAGTCTTCCTAAAATCCAGTGAGGTAAGCAGTGTTTCTGTTTGGCTGGGGAGGAAACCAAGATCCAGAAGGGTGAAGCCTTTGGACTAATGGAGGCACTGGGATTTGAACCAAGGTCAACCCAAGGTCAAGCCAAGCCCAAAGCCATGCCCAAGAAGGGATTTCTTACTGATGAATTATGAGTATAGGCCTCTCAGATGTGGTTGGTGGTGTCCCGTGACTCTGCTTGGATGGGGCTGTCTTCCGCTTTCTATCCCCAGACAAGCACTCAGCTGTGTGTCCAAACCAAGGCAGAGTATCCTTCCATGGCCCTGGTCTCTGATTGGGGAAGGGAGGCTCTGAGGGGATACAAATAAAGTGGCTACAGGGTGAAGTTCCAGGGTTACCCAGACACCTCTAGATTGGAGAAGCTGTTTTTAAACTGATCCTGGATGAGTTACTGGAGATCAGAATTGCCAGAAGATCAGCAGGCTGGTTTGCCCCTAGGAAACATCAATATTTTTGTTCGATTTTTGAGTGTCCCCACAATGGTCATTCCAAGGTGGTAGTGGAGAGCTCACGGGATGGGGAGCCATAGGATCCTCCTTCTGGCTCTGTCCCTTTCTAGCAGCATCACTCCCCTGCCCTTTTTCTGAGGCTTTGTTTCCTCATCTGTCAATTGTGTTTAATAATTCCCGCCCTGACCATTTCACAATGACAATGGATGTGGGTTTTGATTAAATGCAACCAGGATTTACTGAGCATTAACTATATGCCAGGCACCCTACTCAGTCTGAGGAGAAGGGCTTATAAAGGAGAATCCCACAATATCCCCGTCCTTAAGCGATTCATTTAGTGCGAAGAGGACGGACGGAAGTGGTGAACGGCGCTTTATCCTAGCGCTTTCTCATTCTTTGTTTCATTTAAAGCATTGATGGCTGTCTGAAGTAAGCAGAACAAATATTCTTATTCTCATTTGACAGATAGAAGAAGCTAAGGCTGTGGCAAGTAAAGTCACTTGCTGAATGATGATAATAACATCTAAAGTCTATACCCACAATTCATTTGCACAGGGTTTTCATATGTGTCATGTCATCAAATCTTCAAAACATCCCTGCGTGGTAGGCCTTATTACTATTAGACCTGTATTGTAGACAAGAAAAGAAACAGGGACAGACTGTCGGTTCCTGGAGAGAACAAACCAGACCATCTTCATCTATGTATTCTTAGCACCAAGAATGGCATGAAGCAATAAAAGCGGCTTGTAGCAGATGCTTTCAGTGTCCTGCCCATACCGCCTTGGACTTAACCATTTTAGTGCACACTGGCCCCGTTTCCAACCATCGGCACCTGCATTTCTTTATCCAAGGGCTCTCTCTGACAGCCAAGAGCCAAGAGCACTTGTTGGCCAGAAGTGCTAGAAAGTAGGTGCCTCTCAGGAGTTGCTCTCCACCAAAGACTCCATCACCCTTCAGGTGGGAGAACTCCAAGTGCATGCTCCACCCTGGCTCCTGGAGATCCCAGTGGGATTAAGTCCCAATGGCCCATGGTGCCAACTTGATTAATAATGTACCTGGTTTTGGTTGTTTTTCTTACCTGTCTTATTTCCCTGTTTCCCTATCTGTGTTTCTTGGGATCATCTCCCAAATAAACTACTTGTCCTTTTTTCAGAGTCTGCTTCTAGAGGAGCCAGACTAAGACTGGTTTCAGTGATGGCTTATGGGGTGAGTGGATGAGTGAATGGAGAAGTGAGAGGCTGTGTCCTATCCCCTGACCCCCTGACTGGGGGAGGTAAAGGGAAGGGTGTTGGTTATAACCTTGATGTGTTTGTTTCATGGGGACTGAGGTGGGTTTGGGAAGGTGCATCTTACCTGCTGGTGTTGGTGTGAAGATGCAGAGGAAAAATACTACAAATCTGTTACTGAAGGTTAAAGTCAAGAACATGATTCCAGGTGGGGTAATCAATCTACAATGCTTAAATCCCCTCCCCTGGCCATCTAGTTCTTTTAGAACAGAATGCAAGCTCCTTACTCAGGGCTTGCCACCCTCCCCAACCCATCCCAGACTCGGTGCCGCAGTCCTACATCTTCTGCTCCCTGAACACCTGGAGCACTTCCCTCCCTTGGGACACCTTCATTCTTGCTGGCACTTTGCCTGGAATGCTCTTTCCCTCAGAGCTTTGCTTGGCTTACTTTTTCTTTTTCCTTTAGGTTTCAGCTTCAAAGTGACCTCCTTAGAGGTTGGTTTGCTGACCAACAAAGTCAGTCACTCCCTATCTAATCACCTTATTCTATTTTTATCATAAAATTTGTATTTGCAGAATATTTGCTTATTATTATTATTATATTTATTATTATTATTAACTTGTTCTCTATGTAAAATGCAGGATCTATGAAAGACATGATCAGTCTTGTTGACTGATGTAGTCTCAGCCCTCAGAACAGGGCCTGGCACATAGCAGATGCTCAGTAAATATCTGTTGAATGGAAAAAATGAAGGATAAGCTAAGGAGATGACAGTGATGGGCAGAGGTGTGGAGGAGTTCCAATTGTCCATGGTGCCGACTTGATTCATAGTGTACTTGTTTTTGGTTGCCTTCCTTTCCTGTCTCATTTCCCGGCCTTCTCTATATATGTTTCCAGGGCCAGTGCATTTGGCTGCCTTCTAATGCTCTGGTGTGTATTTATTTGGATCAGCTGCTTGTCTTTATGAGTTGGTGGCAGGTTATGTGAATGGCCCAAGATCACTCTTAGAGGTAGAAGAGCCAGAACTCAAGCCTCGAAGCCCAGGAAGCCCATGCTGTTAACTACCATCCTACATGACATCCGTTAGGGTTTACTCACTAACCCTGAGCTAAGACTTTCTGACTCTTTCTCCCAGTCTTCTGCCATGTCACAGAGATAGAGGCTATTATTCTGGTTGCTGGGATATTTAAAACTTTATTTATAAGTTGTTCCAGTTTTGTTTTTTGTCAACTTATGAGCAAGTCTATAGGTCAGCCATACAAATAATTTGTCCTTGTGGGGGAAAAAAAAACCCATGTTGCATAAAAAGGAATGTCCCACCTTAAAGCCTCTAGACCATGGTTTTTCAGTCTCAGCACTATTGACATTTATAGCCAGATAACTCTTTGTGACAGGGGACAGTCCTGTGCATTTTAGGATATTTAGCAGCATCCTTGACCTCTATCCACCAGATGCCAGTAGCTTCCCCTACTTATGACAAGCAAAAATGTCTCCAGGCACTGCCAATTGTCCCGTGGGGGCCAAAACTGCCACCGCTTAAGAACCACTGCCTTGAGCTATAGGAAGGCAGGTGCCATGTTTGTTTTGCTTATGATCATATCCTTAGTGCCTGACCCAAGTTAAGTGCCCCATAAATATTGGTTGGGCAACAGCATGAATACATGAGTGAATAGTGAATGAATAAATGAATGCATGAACATAGCCAGTGTCCTTAGACTGAGTTTCCTGAATCCCCTGACCTCACCAGCTGCTCACTTCCTCTGTTTTCCAACATCACGTCATCTGCTGACCTAACTGACCAGTCACAGCTCTGGTGTAATTATTCACCTGGCTTCCCATAAACTATGTCCAAATAGGGAACAACTCCTGACTTGGTCTGTTTTGGTCTTGAGCACAGAATCCAGAAACCTCTAACTTTAACCCCGAAGTGGAAGAGGGAAAAGAGACAGAGTGCAGGAGTGTAAGCAGCAAATGCCCCCACCCACTGGGGGTCATTTACAGTCTCTGGGATCCAATTAACAAAGAAAGTTTCTGAGTGGCCACTTTCCCCACGTCGCCCATGTTTCTCCACCTCACAGACACCAGTGGAGCCAGTACCCATTAGGCAACATTACTCTGCATAATGAAACAACTGTACTCAAATCCAGAATAAGAAAATGGGAAGCTTCTATGAAGACTTTAAGCTGCTCAAGTTCACTCAGCTTCAGCTAATGAAAATATGAGCCGCCTCTGAGCTGAGCCTACTTCCTCATGTGGTCCAGTAAATATCTTAATATCTCCAGATTCCTTCCTGCCTTCTAAATTGTGTGCATCACATCTGACATTTGCAAGTTATCTATGATGTCTGCAAGATTAAACCAGCATGAAAACTCTCCATCTGCACTCTCATCCCCTCCACCCCCCAACCCAGGCTGCCAGGCTGAGCTAGAATGCCTGAGACTGTGAAAGCTCAGCCCATATGGGTGAGACTGGAGGCCAGCTGCAGACCTTTGAGGGTGCAATTCCCCACCATCTCTATTTGCATCGCACATGCTGAGGGATTTAATTTCAAGTCCTGGCTGAGTGAGCACCTTCTACTTAGCAGGGAATATGGGGGCAGACAACGAGGAGGGAGGCTTGGCCCTGCCCTCCAAAGGAAAGCCTCACCCTTCATAACAAAGGGCACACCCATCGTGTGCAGGACCCTGCCTAGATGCTCCCTATATACCCTCCCAGGAATTCCTCAAAAGAAAACAGGCGTGGGCGGGTACCCTTGTTTCCCACTTGAGAAACTAGTGGGCTTTGAGTCAGTCATGAAGCTACTACTTAGAGGGATTTGACTCAGGCTAGACTCTTCCCAGAGCCAGTATGTGGCTTTCAGTCTTTGACCAGGAAGACAGACATTTGATGACTTAGCTGTCTATAGCAAGGCAGGATGAAAGAAATGCCAAATAAAGGTATAAGCAATGCCCTGTCAGGTACAGAGAAAGAGGGGATTAATTCATGTGGTGGACTTAATGAGTCCAGGCTTGAAGAACAAAGAGGATTTTCAGTAGTGGAAAATGGGGACAGTTCCAGGGGTGACGGATAGCATGTGTGACAGCGCAGAAGTGTGTGGCCCTTCCACGGACCAAGGGGTTTGTGGAGAGAGTAGTTAGTAGAGGGATGAGGCTGAAGGTGATGCAGCTGTGTATTGGACCCAGCTTGCATAAGCTCAGGTGAGCTGTGCTCACCTTTCCCAAATTGGTGTTTGGTGATATCATGTTGATGGCTTCAAGTCAGCCATGGAGGGGGCATTTACATCACGGAAATGGGCACTCAGGACTCCTCCCCTCCCTGAAAGCTGGTCGTTAAACATTAACCAGCGCACGCTAGGTATTGGGGGACATCACCACCAAGGTGACCCCAGGGATCTGAGGAAAGTAAAAATGCCTTATCTGAATAAAGATAGGATAAAGTAAACATCTCTTTAAATGAAAAAAAAAAAAAAAAATCAAAGTGAAGATCTGACCTGCTGGGGATTCTCAGCAGGGAAACAGGCAGAGCAGGCAGCCCCGTTCATCTATTCCCAATATTGCATTATCTCAGACTCACTTATTCAGAATTCTCTCACCACAGATCAGCAGTTTGCCTCCTCCATTACCAGCTAATCCAGATGGACCTGGTGCTAACTTAATTTCCAGGATAATGGAGTCCTGATCTGTTTGCACAATTGGCTCTTGCATCCCGAAAGTATTTGCTGAATCCTTAAAATCAATGAGGCTGTGCTAGACCACCATACCCTCCTTCCCAGTGAAGACGGGTTCCAGGATCCCCCTAGTGCCTGGCTGCCTACATTAAACACCTACAGTACACCAGCTCCATGCTGGGTGCCTGGTGTGGATCCTATCGATCCTCACTATGGCCCAGGAAGGGTGACTTCCATTTTACAGAAGAGGAAACAGGAGTCTCAGGAAGGGCAGAACTTTGCCCAAAGTTACACAGGTAGCAAGCGCCAGAGCTAGGATGGGACTCCCTGTCTGTCTCTAAGGCTCCCAATCTTTGAATTACATTTTGTTACTATGAGTGGTAGGCTGGATAACTGTCTGCACAGATATCCACGTCCTAATCCCTGAAATCGTGAATATTACCTTATAAGGCAAAAGGAACCTGGGAAATGTGATTAAGGTAAGCTCCTTGAGATAAGAAGATTATCCTGGATTATCTGGGTGATCTCAATGTAGTCCTGAGGGTCCTTGTAAGAGGGAGGCAGAAGGACATGTGACCACAGAAGAGGAGATGGCACCTACGATGGAAGCAAAGATTGGAGTGATGTGGCTACAATCCAAGGAATGTGGCGGCCCCTAGAAGCCGGAAGAGGAAGGAATGAATTCTTCCAGGGAGCCTTCAGAAGGGGCCAGCCCTGCTCACACCTTGATTTGAGCCCTGCAAGACTCCTTTCAGACTTCTGACCTCCAGAACTGTAAGAGAATAAGTTTCTGTTGTTTTAAGCCACTAAACTCGTGACAGCAGCAATAGGAAACACACACTTTCCAAAGCAAGAGGAAGAGAAATGAATCAAGACATCAATATGAGAAAGGAATGGGGTATGAGAAGCATGTGTCAAGGGCAAGAAAGGAATGGGCTGGCCTGCAGGTGTCCTTGGCTCTCTCTAAGCACAGGAGGTCTGAGCAGGGGCCTCTGCTCCCTCCCCTTTCCCTTATCCTACTCCTCCTAGCCACATTGACTTCAATTTGAACCAATGCATTCTATAATTAGGACAAGCATTCCTTTGCCCCCTGATGGAAGAAAAGGAGGTAACTGAGTGATAGAGGCCAGCACAGGCTCAAGCACTGGAGTTCTGTCTCAGCTCTGCCAGCCACTTTCTCTGTGATCTTGGATAAAACACTTTATTTCTCTGCAAGTGTCGTGACTTCTCAGATCCCGCCCCCAGATTTTTATATCTATGTGCTAAGCAAACTAATCGTATAAACACAGTTTGGGTAGAATATTGAGCCCATTAAAAGAGCATCCAAAACACACTCTGTGCAGATTATTTTCATTCAGCTTTTATGAAAGCAGGTCTTGAGGCTCCTTGTGTTGGCCTCTCAAAGCTGCAGGCTGGATAACAATCCCACAGGGGGAAGCTCCAATGCACATTAATATGGGAAGATTTCTCTGGCTGCCAGGGCCAGGAGGTGGGCATAGACTGGTCCTAAGAACTGAAGGTGGAAAAAAAACCTTGCTTGGAAAGACCAGAAACAAGCCCTGGTGGTTCGTAGATCTGAAGGCTCTGAAGATGAGCTTGCAGGAACAAGAGGGGCTGGCAATTTCAGGGAAGAGAAGGAAATGATGATGGGTTCAGCAGTGGGTGTGTTAGTGGCCAGAACTCTCAGAGTTTTCATGGGCCTGTTCTTTTAGCCATTGGAAGCTGGGCCTTGCAACAATGATGAGACAAGGCCTGGGAGTGAAGCTCAGTGGCTGTAGCATGGCTTAACTGAAAGACCATGACCTAGGTTCCTGATAGCTTAGTCCCTAGTTCAGGTCCTGTTACCATCGTCCTGCGGTCTCTAAGTGTCTTAAATGTTTCAACTTTAGCTTTCTGATCTGCCAACTGGGTGAGTGATAATAGCTCTGTGGAGCTGGTGAGCTCCCCTTCTTTCCCCCTTTCCCCTTCTTTCCACCCAGGCTGGATGTTCCAGCTGCCAATCTCACCGATTCTTAGTTTGTGTCTCTGGAAAATGGGGTTGCTCATCAGAAGGTTGACGCAAGGTTTAATGAGACAGGATAGGTAGGTGGTCCAAGCCCTGGAATACTGATTCTCTCCCTGGCCCCTCTGGGCATTCTCACAAGTTGAGAGAATAACAAGATATGATCAATAACCCAGAGATATGACACCCAGAGGTGAGTGTGCTGCTGTTATTCTTTCTGAGGGGGGCTGAGCCTATGTGGCAGGCGATCCTTGATGGTATAATGTGCACACTTCCCTGAGCCCACCTGGTTGTTCTGCCAAGTGTGGGGTTAAGTTCTTGTCCATCTCTCGTGCCCAGGGTAGCATGGCATGCACAATGACTGGGACCTAAATGGCAAAAAGCCTGCTATCCAAGCTCAGAAACATCCCTGGCTCCCATCTGAGGCCTCTGCCAGCAGCTCTGGGAACCCAGCAATAAATTAGAATGTCAGCATGATATGGGGTCAGGTGCTACATCCCACCAAGACTACACCCTCTTACTTGTACCCTTGGCTGTCTCCTCCCCAAGATGCTCCTCTTTTTCAGACACATAATACAACACTGGGCTGATGGCCTGAAGGCTGACTTCTCAGTGGCTGCAGCCTCCTGGGCTGACTTCTAAGGGAATAGGTGAATCTGCTCATCCTCTCTGTCCTCTGGAGCTGGCAGACATTGTGTATGTGTGGATGAGGTGGTATATTAGAGCTCCCTGGCACCAGGCTCCTAAATCTATCCCTTTATCCTTCAATTGGTGCTGGTTATTGTGTCTGGGAAGCATACCATCATCTTCAATCTCAAAGCCTAAATCAGAGTGCCTCAAACTTTACTGTACATATGAGCTACTTGGAGATCTTGTTGAAATGCAGATTCTGATGTGATAGGTCTGGGGTGGCCTGAAACTCTGCCTTTATAAGTTCCCAGGTGATGCCGATGCTGTTGATCCCAGAGTCACAGGGACCTAAGGGGTCACCTGGAGGGAATGACAGAAACCACAGAGCTCAAGAAGAAGGAAACTAAAATTGCATGTCTGCTGCATGCCAGCTGCTGTGCTAGGTGGGTGAAAGTAGCCACCTTCTTAATCCTCCCAACAGACTTGCCAGGAAAGGATTAGGATTCTAATTGCACAGACCAGAGAACAGAAGCTCAGGAGCTACAGACATACACCCAGAGTCACACAGCTGGCAAAAGGAGGCAAGGGTTGAATTCTTGCATCTGGCTCATGCTCACTTTCTCTACTAAGAGGCTTCCCTATACATGAAGACGAAGCCCTGTCACAATTCACAAATGAGGAAATACACCAAGAAGTAAACATATGGAAGATGCTTGGTCTCACACTCTTCATCCAAAATGAAAAGCAAAACAGTGTGAAATGATCTCTCACCAGTCAAAATAGAATAGATACTTTAAAAGAATGATTGCATGTGGGGAAAAGTATTGTAAAATGGGGATTCTCATACGATTCTGGGGAGAGGGTACATTTGGGCAACTGATTGGAAAACAGATGGCACCTATCAAATGCCTTAAAAATGTTCCTGTTCAGTAATTATGCTTTTGGGAATCTATCCTAAAGAGTCTTGAAATTATGTATCCTAGCACTATCCAGGATAAAGAAGTAGTAGAAACAATTTAAATATCTGACAGAAGAATGAGTTGTAATTTATGAAACATCCACACAATGGAGTTTTATGTAGTCATTGAATTATGGGTATGTAATACCATGAAAATGTTAATGTTATAAAGGAAAAAAGTGGCTTGCAAAATGATACACAGAGAATAATCTAAAATTGATATTTAAAAAATCTAAAACATTAAGCCTAGACAGAGAAAAAAGCCTGAAAGAAATTAAACCAGTATATTAGTGGTTAGGTTTTGTTTCTGGAATTAGGAATCATCTTTTAAATGCATTTTCCCAAATGTTTTAAATATACATGTGGCTTTTTTTTTTTTTTGAGACGGAGTCTCGCTGTCGCCCAGGCTGGAATGCAGTGGCGCGATCTCGGCTCACTGCAGGCTCCGCCCCCCGGGTTCACGCCATTCTCCTGCCTCAGCCTCGCGAGTAGCTGGGACTACAGGCGCCCGCCACCTCGCCTGGCTAATTTTTTGTATTTTTAGTAGAGACGGGGTTTCACCGTGTTAGCCAGGATGGTCTTGATCTCCTGACCTCGTGATCCGCCCGCCTCGGCCTCCCAAAGTGCTGGGATTACAGGCGTCAGCCACCAAGCCCGGCCACATGTGGCTTTTATAGTGATTTAAAAATAATGTCCCTTCAAATAAACTTAGGTCTACAGCACTTAATCCAATGACCTAAAATTCAAACGTACACTAAAATTCCATAAACTATTCCTATTTTCTTATTGAATCACATGATAATTTCAGGAGACAAGTGACCTTCACTTCTGATTGACCATTGATTGGCAGTAGTTTCAGTTTCTCTGTCCTCAGCTTCTGTGATTATTAGGTCGGCGCATCAACCTAATAAATATGTCATGATGTCTAAGCAAAAACTCTAACGTCATCTAGAGAGTGATACATTAACGAAACCGTATGAGGGATAATCCATTCATTCAGCTGGCTGTGCTCTATGGATGCTGAGATGGAAGGCAGTTTGCAAGTGGCCCACAGTCTGGAAGGGGAGAGAAACCAATCAACTCTTGCTGTCTGGAGTGAGCAGAGGCTTTCAGGGCTGATCAGCACAGAGTGTGCTGAAGCGGACTTAGAAGATAAGATGTCCTGAATGACGAGGAGGTGTTAGGCAAGGAAGGAAGGAAGCTGATCCAAGCAGGGTTTGCAAAGACTTGAAGGGGAGACATTGACATTGAGAGCATGGTGGTTTCAAAGAGCCACCCCAAAGTGTGGCCTGGCATGAGGGTGCTATGCTTGGGGGAGGAAAGAAATGAGTTGGGAATGGCTGGGATCATCAGGGACTATAGATGCCATGTGGCAGGGTTTTCATTTTATTTGAAAGGTGATGGGGAGCCCCAAGAGGGTTTTAAAGAGGAGAGGATCATGACAGAATTAGACTTTAATGAGGATCACTCTGGCTGCAGAGTGGAAGTGAGACGGTGGGTGGTTCAATTGATAGTGTGGGTGAGCATAGAGAGAACCAGTCAGGGGGTTGTTTGAATAATTGAGGTGAGAAACAGTGAAGGGGTGGCCATGGAGAGAGGGAGGCAGTTGGGAGGGAGATTTAGGTGGTAAATCAGTAGCTACAGGTCTTGAAAATTAATTGGATGTGGAGGGTTAGGGAGAGGGAGGAACTCCCAGTGACTGTCAGAATATTTGTCATTGCTAATTTATGTGTTTTTGCTGGCTTGAATGTTACAGTAAATTAAAGGGTAGTTTGAGTGAACAAAATATAATTTAGACTTTGGGTTTGTGTGATGAGAGCCCCTGCTCTTGGACAGCAAAAGGCCCTGTTTCCTAGAGGCACTTCCTTCTGATGGATGGTTACCCCAAATGGATGTGGGATATGAAGGGTGGCAAGTGAGAGAGCTATAAAAGTTCAGTGGTTTCTGGGAAGCTCTCAGGGATGTAAGGCTGAACGTCTTTCTGCAGGAGACCTTCCCTCAAAAGGCAAAGAGAATCGTGATATTGTGATTTGCTTTTGTATATTTGTGAAATGCACACACACACAAACACACACGCACGTACTCATTTTGCAGATGAGGCTCTGCACGATTGCGTAGTCTATTTCCCATCATGACACTTGTTATGGCTGAGCGAGCCCGGAGCCTGAGTCTTTGCCTCTTGAGTACTTGCCCTTTCCCATAGGCTGTGCTGAACGCCTTTAAACATTCTGTGTCCACCACTCCCCCGGAGTAGCACCTTGTAAACCAAAGAAAGGAACTGACAGCTTGGGTCGTAGAAAGAGCCCAGACTAACTCCAGTCAGAGCTGAATCCAGGTTCCCTCTCATCCTGGTGACTCTGGGCTTGTCCTGTTTGAACTTCAGGTTTCTTCTCTATAAATCAGAGATAACAGCATCACCTTGTAAGCCTGGGAGGATTAAATGAGATAATGCAGGTAAAGCACCAAGTACATGGTAGGTACTCCATGCCTGTTTCTCCTTTTCTTTCTCTGCGGAGACTTTTAGAGCAGTGAGGCTCTCCCTCTGGCTCATGGGTGTGCTAAGTAGCAGCTCCCCTCTGGGTCTTGAGAAAAGGGACCCAAAATGACAGGTCCAGCTCTGTCTGGCATTCCACACTGTGCGCAGAAGCCCTCTTGGCGTAACCCAGCCTTGTGATATTTCTGTATAGTAGTATGGTAATTTCTGCAGCAAAACCTCCCGTAATGGCAAAGACAAAGTCTTCTTTGCTACGTAATGCAATTCATGCTTTTAAATGTTTTTATTTAAAATAAATCGGCCGTGCTGTTGACTCTGGCACAGAACTGTGGGCTGTGTTCTCAGTCTGCCCCTCTGCAGTGCAACGGCTGCCTCGGAGGGAAGTTCACATCCCATCCCTGGGAATCTAGAAGCCTGGGTGGGGCTTCTGATGGTGGCTTCCTGATGCTGCGGGGCAGGCCCAGGTCTGAGGTGCAGAGAATTGGGCTCGACATGTGCTCTCTCCTGCTTTTGGGAAAGCCCTCTGACTGTTCTGCTCAGCTGACAGCCTGTGTTCTATTCATCTGAGCATTCTCACATCGAGCCCAGTGCCCGGCACAGTGGAACTCAAAGTCTGTTGGGTGAATAAGTCTCCGCTTCACCTTCCCTAAGAAGTGAGTAATAACTCCTGCCTTGAAGGACTGCAATAGAGATGCAGAAGAGAATATGCCAAAGGCTGTGCCTGGTTCATAGGACATGCCTATTAAGTGGGAGCATCCACTATCATTCTTATCATTATTATAAGTTGAGCATTGCCGGGGTGGGGGTGGGAGCAGGAGCATGACTCTATCCTATGGTTTGTGGCAGCAGCATGCCTCACACACAGTAGGTGTTCAGTCAATGAGACTGGACTTAAAAACCCATTTTCCCTTTTGCCTCCAGCAGGGACGGTAAATCCGATCAGGTTGTTGCTCGGGGCATCTCTCTTCCCTCCTCACTCCTTCCACTCTCCTCTCCTTACCACTTCACCCCTTCAGGGGACACAGTGATAACAGGGCGGGGGGGCTACTGTATTTGATGACTCAGGATCTGCCACGCATGTTTTCCAACCACACCCGTGGAAGGGAGAGCTGAACTGGGCTGGGCGAATTATTTTTGGTATTTTCTCCAGCTATTCTGATCTCTAACATTTTGCAGTGGGTGGTTAGAGCTGGTGATTTTCCTTTCTTTTGTGCAAACGAGACCAGAATAAACAGCATAGGGTGAGTCACTTCAGATTCTTAGTGCTTCAATTACTTAAAAACTCCAGGGCCTGATGAAGCTTAGAATGTCACCTTCTCCAGAACAGCCACAAGCAGATGGGAAATGTTCCATATTCTAAGTAGTTGATGGCTTCCCGGCACAGGAAATCTGCTACTAGCTAGCTACTAGTGCCCAGAGAGAAGAGGAAGAAAGGCAAACCAGCATTCAGAAGGCAGCCCCCCTTGATGCCAAGCACTTTACACACATTACTTCATATCTTACTTCAGTTAATCTTCACGATGACCTGATGAAGTAATACACTTAATGCCTATGAGGTAATAAATAACAGCCCCAATACATATTTCCTGCCTCCTTGGTAGACAACAGGTCCACTCTCAGCATGTTATATCCATTATCTCCTTGAAGCCTTCCAACAACACTATGACAGTCATTGCTGTCTCCTCTTCATAGATGAAAACACCGAAGCTCAGACCAGCAAATGAGAAAACCAAAAATTGAACCTGAGTTCTTCTGCCTTTAAAGCCCGTAGTCTTAAGCCCCTGCATTTCCCAAACTGTGTCCTGCGGGACTCTGGGGTCTTCTGAGATGCTCATGGGTAGTATCAGAGATGGGGGAAAAGTTTCGGTGGTTCAAATGGCGTGGGAATTTTGGCTTGCATAAAATCCCGCTACCAGAGTGGGCACACAAGTTCCTTTTGAAGGGCCCTGGGTTGTCTATGTTAGAGAAAATCGTTGGCTCTGTTGAGCCTAGTCAAGTCTGACTTGCTAGATCATGCAAGCCATTTGTTCATTCCCAGGATGTTCTCAGGGTCCCCTGGGCTCTGCAGAGCAGGGTCATGGACATGCCACATTCTTCCCTGCCAGAGGACCCACAGAACAGTGCAGATGTCCCATGGGGGTTAAGTCTCCAGGGGAAATATTCAATCAATAAAAAGCAGCATTTAAAAAATTACTGTCATGAAAAAGGAACACCATTTTCTTGACTACCCCTGCTAACGTCTAACAGTCCTGCTAATGTCTCATATGGCACTGTTAGTGGAAGAGACACGAAGAAAACCCCTAGTTTAACTCTAGAATAGAGACCAGAGCCTTTGCCCCACCCTGGCCTCCCCAACTGATCTTCCAGCCTGTGTTTACATGCCTCCAGGGATAGGGAGTTGGCTACCTCACAAAGCATTCTGTGCTACATAGAAAACAGCTGTTGGAAAGGCCTTCCTTCTATTGACATGAAATATACTTCCAGCAGTTTTTGCACAGTGGCCCCTTTTGCCTCTGAGAGCTCTAAAAAAGTGTGAAGGCCACTGTCATTTCCCCTAGAGTCTCCTGTTCTCCTTGCTAACCATCCCCACTTCCCCATTGACGTGGTTTCCCGCCCCTTGGGAGAAGTGAATACACCTGGAAAGGACAGGAGACTCGAGGCTTTGGGTCCAAATCCTGGATCTCCTAACTATTATAGCATCTGTATGACCTTGGGCAATTCATTTAATTTCTCTAGGTTTCAATGTCTTTATCTATGGAAAAATATATAACTGGGTAGAATTTTTTGAGGATTAAATAAGTTAATGTATACAAAGCACCCGGCCTAATTCCTGGTCAATACATGTTATTGATCTCACCTCTCCATCTCTCCACTTCCTCCAGCTTTCTAGTACTCTCCTCTGTAGAAGTGTGTTACTATCCCCCATGAGATGCTTAAAGAATTCCAGATGTAGGGCCAGGCGCCGTGGCTCATACCTGTAATCCCAGTACTTTGGGGGGCCGAGGCGGGAAAATTGCTTGATCCCAGGAGTTTGAGACCAGGCTGGGCAATATGATGATACCTTGTCTCTAAAAACAAAAAATTCAAAAATTAGCTGGATGTGGTGGTGCACGCCTGTAGTCCCAGCTACTCTGGAGGCTGAGGTAGGAGGATCACTTGAGCCCAGGAGGAAAAGTTTGCAGTGAGCTGACTTACACCATTGCACTCCAGCCTGGGCCACAGAGAGAGAACTTGTCTCAAAAAAAATAAAATAAAGTAAAATAAAGAATGCCAGGTGTAGGCAGACCCCTGGAGTGGACAGTGGCTTCAATTCTTTCATTCTAGAAGCCAGTTCTAGGCCTGGCTCTGTTGTAAATCCAAATGAGATCTGGGCCAAGTCACTTTCCCACTCTGGGTTTCTGTTTCCTACATCTGAGGAACAACTCTGCCATTCTGGGGTGCTTGTGAATGTTCAAATACCCTTCCATATTACCGAAAAATAAAAAATTAAAAATTCAGCAAATGATCTGGCTTTCAGAAACAATGGTATAAAACATTTTTACCCCAAACAAAAGAGGTAGAATCTTCAAGGACCAGGAACCAACATGACCGTTGTTTTTGTTTCCTGACTGACTTGAACATTTGAGTTTATCTTCAATTGACCTCAGAATAATAAGAAATCTAACTGATGAGAGTTTGTGTAAAGATTTTAGGCTTCTAAATTCTGCTCCTACCTGGCACTGACAAGAAAAACAAAGTTATTTAAGATGTTTATTTTAAAGAGGACCCAATGAAATGAATTCACTCCTTTCAGATCTGACTTCATAAAAGAGCCATAATGTGCATTATGAAGAATTTACTAATTGGGCTTTTTATAGACCAAATAATTTAATTTTTGTTTGAGCTTTAAAATATGTTTATTGTACAGGAAAATCGTAAGATACTTTTTTTTTCTGAAAGGTCATCTTAAAGGTAATTATTTAGAATTTAGATTTAGTTTATTCATGAAAACAAAGTTATAAATGGTGATCAGATTCCCCTGCTAGCCCGATAGATGTTTAAACCATTCATAGCTATTGATCATTTATACTTCACCGATGATTGATTTGTATTTTCTTATTGTTACTGCCTTCTGTGGTCCTCCCATCATGCTTCAGGGCTCTATTTTGAATCGAGTGTGTTTGGGAAGGCTATCCTGGAAACTTAACTATTCCCTAGGATTAGGTGGGTTCTCTGTAGTGCAACAAAGAGAGAGTATGGTGGCTTGATACCTGGGATGCTTTTTGTAGTTAAAAGGGAACATAGTGACTGGGGGAATTCTTGTGTCTTTAGTCACAACTCATGGCTTTCCATCTACTGCAGTAACAGTTAAGCAACAAAACTGATGAATAGTTAAATAAAATGTAATATATCCATATAGTGGAATATTATTTAACAATGAAAAATGAAGTACTGATATATGCTACAACATGGATGAACCTCTAAAACGTTATAAGTGAAAGAAGTCAGACACAAAAGGTCACAGGTTGTATGATTCTTATAGGAAATGTCCAGAAAAGGCAAATCTACAGAGATAGAAAGTAGATTAATGAATACTTAGGGCTGTGGAGAATGGGCAGTGACAGTAATGAGCATGGGTTTATTTAGCAGGGGGTTGTTCTAAAATTCTGTTACTGTGATAGATGCATGTCCTTGTGTATGTTACTACAAAACATTGAATTGCACACTTTAAATGGGTGAATTGGCATGCAAATTATATCTCAATAAAGCTTCCTTAAAAAGAGAATTAAGCAGAGCAATTGAGAGGATATTTGTCTCTTGCCTCTGCTCCAACAAGAGCTTTCTCCACTCCCCTGGCTTAATGCTGGCCTGCTGTTCACATAAATAAACAGGAATGTTTGTAGCATGGGGATTTGTAATCTAGTCAATATATTTATATGTTTCTTAAAAGAGAGCATCTTGTGCAAAATACTATTCAATGAAACTACAGTCTAGCAGTACTCAATCAATCAGTTCATCAATCAGCCATTCATTCATTCCTACAACAAACTTTTCCTGACCACCTAGTCTATACTAGATAGCCAGTTCACATCAGGAATCCAGGATCACACAAGGGAAAACAATTCTAACCAGAAGCCCAGTTTCTTACCAGGTAGCCTTGTTCTCACTAGGGAGTCAGGTTCACATCAGGGAGCCGGGTTCATACTAGGAAATCAGATTCTCACCAGAGAGCCATGTTCAGAAAAACGCTTTGATGTACTAAAAGGCCTAATTAACCCTATTTTAGATGCCAACCTGTTCTCACAGAACTGAACCAAAACACAGACAACCATCTCCTTCCCCCTTTTCTTTTTTTTTCTTTCTTTCTTTTCTTTTTCTTTTTTCTTTTTTAGAAGGAGTCTCTCTCTGTCACTAGGCTGGAGTACAGTGGCGTGATCTCGGCTCACTGCAACCTCCGCCTCCAGGGTTCAAGTGATTCTCCTGCCTCAGCCTCCTGAGTAGCTGGGATTACAGATGTGTGCAACTATGCCTGGCTAATTTTGTATTTTTAGTAGGGACGGGGGTTTCACCATGTTGGCCAGGCTGGTCTCAAACTCCTGACCCCAAATGATCTGCCCACCTCAGCCTCCCAAAGTGCTGGGATTACAGGCGTGAGCCACCATGCCCGGCCCCCCTTTTCTAATGTATGTCCCTTAAGAGCAGATTAGTTATTTTTAAAGGAAAAGTCAACAAGCATCCAAACATTTGAGGTTATCAACCAAATTAATTAGTGTACTTTGTGAAAAGAGTTCCAGCATGGCTTCAAAAAGGGAATCTGACTGGCGCATTTAAATATTTCCTTATATAATATTTGGTATCAAGCCAAAGAGCTTTGAGACAAAGGAGCCTAAAATGGAAGTGTTAAGGTCACCACCATTACGGCTCTCTTAGAAATGGGGTGGCAGTATTGCAGAGAAGACGGACAGTGCGAGTGAAGCGCAGCACCCCAAATCTTACTAGGAGCCTCCTCCATGCCGGATGCTTTGCTAGGACCTACATGGGGCCGGGATCACAGAGAGTAGAGACCTAGACTCTGTCTTAGAGGGACAGGGTTTGCTGGGAGAAGATAAGTCAAAGGGCAATGAAGTCCTGGTCACAGACACCAGATTTTTGCACATGACATTAGAAAGGACAGGGATCTGCAGGCACCTCCATTTGATTTCTTTTCAAGGATTTTACTAATAGACCAGCTTCTGGGAAAGGGCTCTCATTGTGGACTACATGAGGCTTGGACACGTTGTCTCAATATGGAAAACAACTTCAGATGCAAGCCAAGAACACAGGGTCAGGTGTTGTGCATGTAAGCTTGGCAAATCCTATCATAAAACCAATGGGGCTGTGTTAGAATTGGCGTTCTCTCTGTCTTGTGTTAATTATTATGCACTTGCTTTCTGGGCTTTGAATTATTCATGAGGCCAGATATAAAATACGATGATTATTGGTAATCTCCAGCTGTGGCACCTGAATGTGCAGAGACGCCACATCTGTTTCTGAAAACTATGGTCTGGGCTAAGGAACTTAGTGTGCTTTGGAGGAGCAGAAGGTGGCAGAGAGGGGAGGAGAGTGGTCAGAGGAGTGAGATCAAGAGGAGAAAGGTAAAGTGATGTTGCTCTCAGAGAAGGTGGAAGTGTGTCGATCAACAAATTGGCTAAAATATAGAGAGCAAGAATACGGATCTAACTAGAAGGAAGAGCTGGATCAATATCGAATGAATGAATAAATGAATGAATGTATGCATGTGGAAACAGGGAGGAGGGGAGGAAAGTGCCTCCTTTGAGCCATTTTATCGAATTCTCACTGCCATTCAATGAGGCAAGGAGAAAATGGACGCACACCTTGTTCCATTTAATCCTCATGACTTATGATATGGGCATTTGCATCAGTGCTTGACAGTGTTGGCAGCTGGGGTTGCAGAAGAGGCCTGCAGTTGCTCAGTTATTAATGGGGACTTCAGATCATGTTGCCCTATACCCACTGGCCAGACATGATTTGGGGTATAGGTGGGCAAAGCTATAAGTATCAGGTACTACTGGTGGTAGGAAGTGATCCAATGCCTTCCTTCCCTGGGAGAAGGAGTAACTCTACAGAGAATGCTGCCAGACTGAGTGCCCAGTCCCTTGGACAGAGTCTGATGGGGAGCTGATAGATGCCTCTTGTCTCTCCACCCACTCCCATCTCTGCTGCTCTTAATGGGAGACCTGGCATAGAAAAGGCACCTCCTGAGTATGAACAGGTCAGCCTTTTTGGGAGGGCAGACCAGCGTTCTATCAAAATGAAAAACCCTTGATGGCTTTGATTCAGCAATCCTGGGGAAATCGTTGCATATGTTGAATACCAAGCCTGTGCTGTGGCAATGTTTGTTATAGCAAGAAACTGAAAACAATCCACGAGTGCATCAACAGGTGATGGTTCAGCACAATGCCCTGTACAGAGAGGTGAGATATTGATCCCATCTCTGCCATTTACTGTCTGCGTGATTGGAGTAAGTTACTAACATTTCTGAATCTCAGTTTTCTCGTCTGTAAAATGGGGATGATAACAGTAACTTCCTCACAGGGTTATTGCAAGGATTAGTATGTGTAAAGTGCTTAGAACAGTACCTGGCATCTAGTCAGAAGTTAGTAAATGTGAGTAATTAACAATGCCCCACAAATACAAAATCATTAATAAGAGTAAGCCCTCTGATACCTAGGTTTTGCCCTCTGGCCCAGTGGCTATCTAGTCATTTCTGCTCCCAAGGGGTCGCTGACCCCATGGAGGTTAGGGGGACTGGGACTGTGCCCTAATCTTACAGCTCAGAAAGTGAAAAGGGTCACCAGATCAGTACAGCTCTGAGCAGCCAGCCAAGGCTTGGGTGGGAGCCAAACTATGCAGGCAGCCTGACCTGGCTCCTGGGGCTAAGGCAACACTGGCCATAGTCTTTGGTCTCAGCCACCAGCAGCCAGGAAAGGTGAGGAGATATTGGAATTTGTGTTCCCTGGCACCAAAGGAGGCCATGGAAGAGACATTTCCTTAGCCCAGTCACTAATATGGTTACCCAAAACCTTCCTACCATCATCACATTAGACTTTCTTTCCTCTCTCATTTTTTTCATTCATTTATCAAAAATTGTTAGCTCTCCTACCATGTGCCAGGCAGTATCATAAAGATTCTAGGCACTCAGAGACAAAGATGTCTCCCATCTTTTGAGGCACTTGTGGTCTACTAGGAAAGACAGGCAAGTAAACAAATAATTACTTGCCTGTGTGAACCCCACACAACAAAGACATCATCTGCTTTGTTATTGGTTTCCAGCCTTAGAAATTGCCTAGTAACAAACCCAATTGGTTTGTTATTGGTTTGTTACTTGTTATTGGTTTGTTATTGGTTTTCAGCCTTAGAAAGTGCCTAGTAAGTAGTAAGCTCATGCTAATATTTATGGAATAGAGATGCCCAATAACATAATCTGTACAAGGTACAGAAGTACTATACACTAACTCTGTTATGAAGGCAAGAAAGTCTTAGAAAGTGATGTATAAATAGGGTTTTGGAAGATGAATAGGAGTTTTTTAGGTTAACACAGCCTGCAGTTTAAGATGTCTATAACATAGCTAAAATTATAATTTTGAGGCCACAGAAAATCACTATGGTGCTTGTTCTCAGATTAATGAAGGCAGAAGCCAGCAAGGAAAAGAGGTTATGAATGTCTCTCCTCTTCTTGACCCCCCAGTCACTCTCGTCATTTTTTTCATAAACCTTGGCGCAATTATATATAATCCACTTATCTGTTTATGTGTTGTTTGGGTCTCTGTCTCTCCAGCTCTTGTAATGGTGTCTGACTTATAGGTTAGTGCTCAATAAATTCTCACTGAGTAAATGAATAAATGGGAAAAGGAAGAGAAGGAAAGAGTGGGCCCTAAGTATCCACAGCCAGGGGCTCTTTCCCTGCCTGGGTAGATCTGAGACAGTGCTGTCCAATAGAAATATAAAAAGAGTCTCATGTGTAATTTCAAATTTTCTAGTAGTCCTTAAGAAAAGTAAAAAGAAATGATAAAATTAATTAATATTATATTTTTCACTCATTACATCCAAAGTAATGTAACTTCGACATGTAATCAATATACAAAAATTACTGAGATTTATATCTCAATAATATTATTGAAAAAAAGGTCAATAACTTTTTTTTCAAGCCTTTCAAGCATTTGAAATCCAGTGGGTGTTTTTTATTTAGAGCACATCTCAGTTAGGATTGGCCACAGTTGAAGTATTCAGTAGCCACACATGGCCAGTGGCTGCTTGGCAGCGAGGCCCAAGGCCTCCTCCACTCTGTTGCCCAGCATAGACTGTCAGTGGGGCAGGCCTGGGCTTAGCACAGAACTTGCCACCCTAGTTGGAGGGGCACTGGAGGATGTCTGATGAAATGGGAATAAAGTCTTCTAGAATTGTGTCATTTACCCTTTTGCCCCTTCTCCATGTGGCCACCCTGGTATGCCACCTCTTCTTGTCCCTGGCATATGGAGACATTCCCAGGCCCCTCCTGCCTGCAGCTCCAGTACCTATGTTTCTCTTTTGTGCTCTCCCCTTCAGCTTGGGGAGAATTTAGCATTTCCACAGGGATTTGCATTGATCAAGTGTGACAGTGAGACCCAGTTCCCTTGGACATTTAAAATATCAGGACAAAGGAGAGTGAGGAACTGGGCTGTAACTGTGAAGCCAAGGACACCTGGATGCTGTTAGACCTCTTCAACTGTCCTTTCCAAAGCGAACCTGACCTCCAGGCCCTGTAGTTAAGGAACAGGTGGAAAGTACCACAGGCCACAGTACTTAAGCCATCCCAGGCATTGTTCTAAGAGCTTTGCATATATTACCTCATAGAAGCCACATAAAAACCCAATCTGATAGGTGCTCTTATTGATCCCATTTAACAGATAAAGAAACTGAAGCACAAAGGTGTTAGACAATTTGCTCCAGGATTCAGCTGGTAAGAGGCCAGCCCAGGATTTGAGCTCAGACCATCTTGCTCCAGAGTCTGGCCCTTACCTGTTGTGCTCTAGGAAAGGTGCATATGTGACTCTCCGGGAACTAGGAAGAGACAGAGATCACTTCTCACTGCAGGGGAAGAAGGAAGTAGAGAGATGAGAGAGGAGAGATGAGAGAGTATGGGGTCCAGCAGATAGGTAGGAACTTTGAAAAGGGACTTGAAGGAATCTACAGAGATGACAGGGACAGTGTACTCCACATGGGGTCCTTGCTTTTCTCCTCTGAGGCACTCTTAGTGTTGTCAGCACTTGGACAGAGCTAGAAAGCCTCCTGTGCTGTCTTATTGTTTGGGTGTAATTTCAAAACCCAGATAGAACGAGAGCTTAATGGGTATGAAGTCTCCTTTTGGGATGATAAAATGCTCTGGAACTAGACAGTGGTGATGGTTGCAGAACACTGTGAATATACTAAGGGCTACTGAATCGAACACTTGAAAAACGATGGTGAATTTTATGCAACGTAAATGTTATCACAATTGAAAAAAAAGAAGGGGGGTAAGAGGAGATGCAACTTTCACCAGGAAGAAGGAAGAAAGCAAAGCCCATGAGAAGATGAGGCTGCAGGTCCTCCCGAGGAGGCAGGCCCATCTGCACGAGGGTGTGTCACATCCACGTGCGCATGGCACGTCCATGTGGTGTGAGTGCGTGACATCCATGAGACACATGATAGCCACACAATATGTCTCCCACTCATGAGTGTGTAGCACCCACCATCCCAACAAGAAGTCAAGTCAGTCTGAAAACTTCTAGCATGTGAGAGTGATTGTGTATCACTCGGAAGAGAGTATGAGTGACAACTCAGCCAGGCTGCGTCACGTGTGAATGAGCTGGAGTCAAATGTTGACATCGGCCTCCTGCCAGTTACAATCTACATGCACTTCCACTATCCTTCCCTGTACTGGAGCCAAGGCCTGTTGGATCCACCAGCTCTTTCCATTACCCCACCCAGGCTCGTGCCTCCATCCTTCCAGGAGGAAACAAGGACACAAAGGTGGCACACCTGCCTCCCAAGTTCCTCCCTGTCCTCCAGGAGCTGGATCTCAGAGCTGCTAAGACAGAAGCCAAGACACTTGCATGGGGATCCTGAGCTGAGGTTGGGGAAGAGAAAGGTACCCAGATATGCTCAGCAAGTTAGGCAGAGACTGAGAAGTTTCATCCAGAGGAGGAGCCATTCAGGAAGTGGGCACAACTAGCCTCGACATTTCCCTTGAGACTGGAAATACAGGAACACGTGAGACTGTTTAAAGTGGGGTGGTTTGGACAAATCACCTAGCTTCTCTGAGATGGAAAGAGGTGTACCAAGCAAGAGGAGAGCTGAGATGGAGGAGGGGATAGGAAATGCGGGGGGAAAGTGGAATGAAAATGGAACAGAGCTGATAAGCCCTACGGAAATTACAAATAGCCTTCCTGGCTTATCCAGGGTTCATTCGTTCAATCATTCATTTGTGTATTTATTCAAAAAACACCACTGTGCTGAGAGCTGGGGAAGGGTCTGAGGACAGATATGAGGAATGTGGTCTGAGCATGGGGACAGGTAGAATCCAGGGTGACAAGTGCCCTAGCCGATGTCTGCACTGGCTACACGCAGGGCAGAGAGGAGGGCAAGTGTTTCCACCTGTGGGAGGACGCTCTTGGGCAACATTTCAGGGAAGAGAAAACGCCTGAGCTGGACCTTGAAAGGCAGATGTGTTTTTCCATGCAAAAGGGAGAGGGAAGATACAGTGTGAAGAGCATTCTGGGAGGGGAACAGGGTGAGCACACACATGGAGACATGAAACGGTACAGCTCATTTCGGGAATTGAAATATGGCCGGAGCCTGGGACGCATGGGAGCCAATAAATAGACGTCTCCTTGTTGCTGGTCTAGCTGGCTGACCTTGGAACAAGCTGCTTTTCCAGTTTTGAGCATGTCTCAGTCTGTACAATGAGCGAATCAGATTAGATGTTTCTCAGGGGACTTTCCAGCCCTGGCTGCTCCTGGAGGGAGTGAGCTCCCTATCAACCAAAATATTCAAGTGGAGAGCAGGCAACCACTGGTGGGATTCTAGCCTTTGATGGACATGTGAACTACGTAACCTTGAAGGTCCTTTCCAGACCTGAGTTGTCCTGATTCTGGGATTCTGGAGCCCAGATGGGGCCTGTGAACTGTGCCAGGCAGCCAAGGATGGTTATGCAGGACATCTGTTCCCTCCCCTGCATCCCAGGTGAGACCCCTGCTGTTTCATGAAAGTCTGATGTACACACACAGGCTGGCCATTGAATGATTCATTTTCTGGGGTGAGGCACAGGACTACCTTCCACTCTGCCTAATAAATGGTCAGAAGCCCCCATGGGGCTAAAAGCTGGCAGCTGGCCACTCTAAAGTGATAGAAGCCAGCTATGGGCTCTGACTTCTGCTATATTAACTCAATATGTATTGGAGCCTCTACTTTGCTGGGCTCAGAAGTTGCTCTGGTGAGACTGTCACTCTTTGGCAGAAGCCAATGCTCAGTGACAGGTAATGAGCTATCCAGGACAAAAGGAAGGTGACCTGCCCACCAGTCAGAGACCATGACCAAGGGCAACACCTGCCACCACTTTTGTCTTGGTCACTGCTCACTCTGGCTGCAGAACCAGAGGCAAGTGGTGTGAAGGTACAGAGCAGGGTTGTGGACTGAGGGGGCCGGACTTCCAGCTCAGCTCTGCCACTTCCTCAGCTTGGGTATGTGGAAGAACCATGTCTTCTCCATAAGCCTCTGTTTTCCTTGCTGTAAAATGGGGATAATCATGACTGTATGTACCAAATAAAATAATGGGGTCAGTATTGTGTAAGCTGTCACACACAGTGCGAAGGGGGTAAGAAGGGGGGTAAGAGAAGATGCAACTTTCTCCAGGAAGAACGAAGAAAGCAAAGCCCATGAGAAGATGAGGTGGCAGGGCCTTCCAAGGAGGCAGGCCCATCTGCGCAAGGTTAATGCTGGGCTGGGGTTAATGGTGAGGTTCCCACTTCAAGGTGATACGCAACGAAAATACGTTCTATATGGTTTCAATATAGGCGTCTTTAAAAAATTATTGATTTAAAAATTATTGATTTGTGAATGACTTTGCAGGAATATATCTCTTGTATCTTGTGCTTGGGAGAGAGAAACAGAGAACCTTTTTCTGTTAAACAGAGGAAGAACTAATAAGCTGCCCAGCTTTGGGAGCCTAAGACAGGGCTCTCTTGTCCTTAGGGAGCTGAGCATCGAGGTGCAAAGAGCTGGACAGAGGAGTTGTCTCAGGATCAAATGTCAACCTGTGTGCTAACTATGCTGCCCAGCATGAGGGGAGAGGTGTGGCACCAGGCACGTTCTCGCTATCAGGGTCAGGACATGGCATCAACTGGCTAGGTGTTCATCTTCCCTGCCTTTCAGAGTAAATGTATCTCCATGCCTCCCAGGCCTAGGCCTAATATCTGTGGGAGTTGGCACCCCTTGGAGAGGGAATTCCAGATTGCGGGTACCTGGAGTCTGGTCTGGGGAAGGGGGAATGCTCATGGGCATGGCTCAAGGACTGCTCATGCTATACAGAGGTGCATGGCTGGATGGGGGCCGGAATGGGGCCCCGTGAAGCATGGGGTCTGGGTCCTAGGGTGTCTGGTTGCCCCTAGCTTGTGACGGCTTTCTCTCCTCATGGCTGGACCCTGTTGCCCTGTCCCCAAGGCATTTGCTGAAGTCCCATCCCAGACTTGATGGGCCCTCACTGCTGATCCCCACCTCCAAACTGACCCTTAGGTGCTGAGTTGGAGACCCATCAGATCGAGGCCTGATGGGTCACTGTGATCAGGGTTCTGGAACTGCTCCCTGACCCCATTATTTCTCAGGCCTAGAGAAATAGGCCTGGGCAGAGGAGTAGCTTCCCAGCCTGCTTCTCTGGTTAGGATCAAGTCTTGCTTCAGCATTTCTCAACAATGGGGTCTTATGCTTTGCTGGCATCACTCTGCCAGCAAAACAATGTTTGCTCAAAATTGAGATGAGCAATGGGGAGGGGGTGAGCAGGGAGCCTGTCCTCTCCTTTATATTCATTCATTACTTTTCTTTTTATCCAACAAATATTTATTGTCTGTGATATCTCCAGCACTATGTTAGATACTTGATCTGTGCTCTTCACAGTTTATGCTGACACACTCCTAAATAAATTTGGAACCTTGGGATGAACTGAATGTTTGCCTCTTCCCCTTCAATTCATATGTTGAATTCCTAGCTCCGGAAGTGATGGTATTTGGAGGTGGAGGCCTTGGGGGATAATTAAGTTTAGGTCAGGTCATGCGGGTGGAACTATCGTGATAGGATTAGTTTCTTTATAAGAGGAGGGAGAGAGAAACTTCCTTTTCCCGTGCCATGCAAGGACACAGTGAGAAGGAGGCCCTCTGCAAGCCAGGAGAAGAGCCCTCACCAGGAACTGAATTGGCCAAAATGGATCCTTAATCTTAGCCTTCCCAGTCTCCAAATCTGTGAGAAAATAAATTTCTGTAGGTAAGACATCCAGTCTATGGTATGGCAGCCTAGGTATGGTATGGAATGGTATGGTATGGTATGGTATGGTATGGTATGGTATGGAATGGTATGGTATGGTATGGTATGGTATGGTATGGTATGGTATGGTATGGTACGGTATGGTATGGTATGGCAGCCCAAGAAAACTAAGACACACCTCAAACATTTATAAACAGCATCTAAATATACTTTGTTTTGTATTTGTGCTTTAAAAATATTTTCACTACAACTTCGGGCTGCAAATTTCCCTTGTTGAGTTTATGTAAATTGTCAATCCTACAACCTAAATGGTAAAGCCATCATCATTGTCAGGCCAATCAGCCAATTCAGAATCTTTTTCAGCCAAAAAGTCTGACATTTTTTCAATTCAAATAAACCCATTAATATGCATCTCTGTGGCCACTTCTGAACGCTAAGAGAGGAGAGAGATGGACACAGGTAATGCAGAGTCCTTGGCACCTGGCTGCCCTCTTCAGTGGTGCTTGTATTGTGCTTTGTCCTGGGGGTCTTCTTCCTCTGGAGCGATGCATTCTTGTATGGCCCCTTTGGTGGGCACCAAGAGATGCCCACCCCTCAGGGCAATGTCCCCTAGAGGGAGTGAGGCCTGTCTTTCACTTGTGAAGTGGGGGAAGGGGGCTTTGGAAGGGAGACCTGAGAAGGCCTGTCCTGGCAGACTCCAGCTACGTGCCCTGGAGACCACGTGGAAACTGACAGTCTGGGAATGGATTCTTTTACCACTTTCTGTGCCTGTGCACCCCTTGGAAATTCCTCATATACCCTCAGCGGTCTGGGTAAGCCATCAACTTCATCAGTTGAAGACAGCTACACTAGATGATTCCCAAAGCTCCCTTCTAACATACTAGGATTTGACATCTTGAGCCAAAGCCTATGTTGAGGCTCCACCTAAATCCCAAATCCTCTTTTCCCAACCCCCACACTGCCTGGCTGTGCGACAGTGCCCTCATGCGCTAGGAGGTTTTCCCTCTAGCAGCAGAAAACTCACACACTACACCACCGTGTGTGTCACTCTCTCCTGAGTTGAATTCTACTATCTGACACAATTCACATACACACGAACTCTTTCCAGAATTTAAAAACTGAAATGACACTTGAGGTTACGGAATTGGAAATTCACACACACACACACACACACACACACACACACACACACACACATGGCATAAGCAGCCATTCAGGTATTCTGTACACAAAAGTCTCCACATCTGCCTTTCAACTGGTTTTTTTTTTTCTGAACGGCATCAGGCTGGGTGGATGTAGGCCACACATGCTGTGTAGGCTGACGTTGCTTTCACAATAATGATTAGAAGGTCTCAAATTCCAATGTCAGATGACTTGAGGTGCTAGCTCTTTAAAAAGAATCCCTCGTTCTACAGAAAACACACACACAGACACATAAACAGACACACACACAGATACACACACTTATTTTATTTTATGAAGCAGATTGTCAAGAGAAACCTCCGGTGCACACGCTTACCAAGTGCTGCTTCTGTACTCTTGGTTTTCTTTAGGCGGGACAGCCCTGCTGAGCCCTGGATGCTGTATTGTAAAAGGGAAAGTAGGTCATGGCCACAGGCTGTCAGTCCTCAGCATAAATCAGTTGCAGGGAGATAAAACCTGTCACCCACAAGGAAGTAGGCACGTGGGCACCCACATGGCCACCCTGTCTTCTTCTCTAAGGCTGAGACAACCCATGTTCCTGGGGAATGCATTTTATTACAACCACCAGAATGCCTGGAGCGATTTTTTTTCTTTGAAGTTAGCAGCTTTTTAAAGGAAAGGTGAAGTTCGTAAAAAGCCATGGATGTTATATAACTACACCATCCATCTTTTATGAGGTTCAGGGCAGGCTGAACACCTCCTTGTAATTTACTAAAAGTGGGGACCCCAGAGGCTCTTACTAGGTTTCTCAGCTTCTCTGTGCCTTAGGAAAAGCCGTGGATATGTGGCCCTGGCTGGGCCCCTGCAGAGTCCGGCTTGGTGGTAGGCTGGCATGGTGGCTTGTGGGTGATGTGTGGAAGTGCAGCGGCAGACCCTGTGGTGGGAGGTGAGTGGTTTCAGAGTGGCCCTCTTCTCTGCCCACAGGCACTCATCTCCTTCATCTCCAGGGTATGAGGAGGGATCCAGTCTTGGATGCTAATTGTCTTGCAGTTCGTTCAGGCTGCAATAACAAAAGCACCTTAGACTGTGTGGCTTAAACAACAAACATTTACTGCCCACAGTTCTGAAGGTTGGGAAGTCCAAGATCAAGGCACCAGCAGGTTGGAAGAGGGACTGCTTCCCATTTCCTAAATGGCATCTTCTTGCTGTATCCTCACATGGTGTAAATGGGAAAAGGAACTCTCTGGTGTCTCTTTTATAAAGGTAATAATCCTAGTTGTGAGGGCTCCACCCCACGACCTAATCACCTCCCAAAATCTTCCACCTCCCAATGCCATCACATTAGGGGTTAGGATTTCAACATATACATCTTGGGGAGGGGGACAACAAACATTCAGACCATAACACTATGCGTGCCCCTGAGTTCCTCTGTGAGTTCCCCTGTGGGATCTGGCTGAGGCCAGACACAAAACTGCGGCTGCATCCTTTCTGGTCTTCTCCTGCTTCCTTCGCTCCCTCTCTCCCACAGGCATGTGGCTCTGGTCCCATTTTACTTCTTCTCCATTGCACTTGCCTATAGCCCTCTGTTCTGGAAAGCAAGGTTCACTGCTGGACCCTGGGGCATGAGACATAAGACACACACAGCCAGAGATGCAGGCAGCCACAGTGGCTCATACATCTTCAGTCATAGGAATAACCATATACAAAAGCAAAACCAAACTAGGTCAGTGTGCACCTTCTCCCTCCCCCTTCCCAGGATCAGGTAGTCCATTTTAACAGGGGCAACCCACACACAGGGCTCCACTCCTGGCCTCCCTCCCTGTGGGGCTGACGTGGGAGGGAGTTCTCTGGTGCTGGCAGTGTTCTAGACCAGGCCAGAGGAGAGCTGAGCCAGGATGAGTCATGCATGGGCTGGGAATTGGTGCCTTCCAGCTCTGAGAGTCCCTGCTCTAATTCCACCTCAAATCATTTTTGTAATGAGTCACAGTATAAGTACAAATTATTTAAACATAAGTGGTTATGGGAGGAGTGACATGCAGACTAGGAAAGCCCGTGGGTAACCATAGCTCAGCTCCCTCAGGTAACAGATACCAGCCGGGCTTCTCAGTGAGTGTTCAGAGGAGCCCTCTGTGCTGCCCTGTCTACGTCTTTGCAGAAGGAACCTGCCCTGGACAGGCCCAGCCTTGGCCTCCATGGAGGCAGCCCTGAACTCTTCTTTGGTGCCAGATTAAGATGAATTTTGCCCCAGGATGGATCAGACCCAGAGTCACACCCATAACTCATTCATTCAGTGATGAGATTTGGGGCTTTTTGAGCTGATGATATATCATTATTATTATTATTTTTTTTGAGACAGAGTTTCACTCTTGTTGCCCAGGCTGGAGTGCAATGGTGCAATCTCAGCTCACTGCGACCTCCTCCTCCCGGGTTCAAGCGATTCTCCTGCCTCAGCCTCCCGAGTAGCTGGAACTACAGGCGTGCACCATCACACCCAGCTAATCTTTTTATTTTTAGTAGAGACAGGGTTTCACCACGTTGGCCAGGATGGTCTTGATCTCTTGACCACATGATCTGCCTGCCTCGGCCTCCCAGAGTGCTGGGATTACAGGGAGTTGATGATATTTAGACAAGATTTTAGACTTAGAGGTGATGGGTGCTAGAATGGGTTAAGACTTCTGGGGATGTTAGTATGGGGTGAATGTATTTTGCATGAAGGAAGGATGTGAAATTTTGGTAGGCAAAAGGGTCGGCTGTAGTGAGTTCAATGGTGTCTCTTCAAAATTCATGTCCACCTGGAACCTTGAAATGTGACCCTATTTAAAATTAGGGTCTCTCTCTTTTATTTATTTATTTTTTTTGGAATAGCATCTTCCTCTGTGTTGCCCAGGCTGGAGTGCAGTGGCACAACCACAGCTCACAACCTTGAACTCCTGGGCTCAAGTTATCCACTAGCCTCAGCCTTCCAAGTAGCTTAGACTACAGGTGCACGCTACTACACCCAGCTAATTTTTGTTTTTGTAGGCATGAGGTCTTGCTATGTTGCCCAGGTTGATCTTGAACACCTGGGCCCAAGTGATCCGCCTGCCTCAGCCTCCCAAAGTGCTGGGATTACAGGTGCATGCCACCATGCCTGGCTTGAAAATAGGGTCTTTAGAGATGTAATTAGTTGAGGATTTTGAGACAAAATCATCCTGGATTTAGAGTGGGCTCTAAATTCAATGATGGGTATCTTTATAAGAGAAAACAGAGGGATATTTGGACACAGAGAGAAATGGGCCACGTGTCAATGGAGGGAGAAATTGCAGTTATACTGCCTTGTACAACTCAAGGAACTCCTGCAGCCACCAGAAGCTGGAAATCTTCCTTAGAGCCCTCAGAGGAAGCATGAGTCTGCCAACACCTCGATTTTGGACTCCTGGCACCAAAATGTGAGACAATAAATTTCTGTTGTTTGAAGCCACATGTTTTGTGGTAATTTATTATAGCAGCCCTAAGACAGGAGATGAAGGGTTCACTGGCATGCCAAGGACATGATGCAGGGACATGTGAGTGTGTGGTGGTGTGTACCTGTAATCCCATTTTGATACAGGGACATGAAGAGTTCATAGTCATGCTGAGGACAGTGCTGCTGAGAAGTCCATCATCCGGGCAGGCCACAGAGCACCATCAGAGCCAGAAGAAGTTATTGTTGGCTTCCAAAAAAGTCCCAAGTGGATGTTAGTGAGGCACAGAATGAGTGCCATCTAGGGCTGGGCCTGAGGCTGCAGAATGGAGGCCACAGCAGGGTTTGTGGTGGGAGAAGGTATTGGTCTCTGCAATTAGGTAGACCTGACATTCCCACTTAGTAGTTTTTTTTTTTTTTTAATACGGAGTTGTGCTCTTGTTGCCCAGGCTGGAGTGCAATGGCATGATCTCAGCTCACCGCAACTTCCGCCTCCTGGGTTCAAGTGATTCTCCTGCCTCAGCTTCCCAAGTAGCTGGGATTACAGGCATACACCACAACACTCAGGTGATTTTGTGTTTTTAGTAGAGATGGGGTTTCTCCATGTTGGTCAGGCTGGTCTCGAACTCCCGACCTCGGCCTCCCAAAGTGCTGGGATTACAGGTGTGAGCCACCGCGCCCGGCCTTAGTAGATGTTTGACTCTGGGCAAGTTCTTTGCTTTGAGCTTCAGTTTTCATATCTCTACAATAAATGCAATGTATCTATGTGGCAGGGTTGAGGCAGGATTAAACGAGGTATGCAAGTGGCACAGGGTGGATACTGCACTATTAGTCTCAGCCCATCCTTTGGTGTTGCTATTGCTAATGCTAACTGACATGGCTGGGGTAAGTCCACGCCTTCTGGGAGTCTCAGTCTTCTATGTAGCCATCACTCTTGCTCCATCTCTCACTAACCACCAACGAGAACTTTTCCTGTGCCTCACACTGTGGTCAAGGACTTCTCATACACTATCTCACTAAATCCTTCCCATGGAACTGGGAGCTATTGTTAACTCATTTTACAAACGACGAAACAGGATTCAAACCCGGTAGGCCTGTGTGGTTCCGAAGCTAGAGCCACTCAGCAATGTAATAAAGGCGGCTGTTGTTTTCATGGTCACAGGTTTTGTTTTTATTTTTGTTGAAAGCACCATTTCTCTACCTGATTTCATTACCACTCGGGCCTGAAGTCACGTGCTGGTGAAGGATCCCACAGGTGAAATCGCAGAGGCTGTGCTGGAGAAACCCTGTGAGAGCTGCACGACGGCACTGCAAGATTTTTGGACTACGAGGCTGCTCCTTGGATTCACTCACCCGGAGAGACGAGGAGGCTCTGGGACTCCAGGGAGGCTGGCAGTGTGGCCCAGAGCAATGTTGAGGCTTTGGCTGCAGGGAGCTGCTTCCTTACTGGTCTCCTGCTTCCTCTGTTGCTGCCCTCTGGGCTATTCTTGACATTAGAGCCAGCAAAGGCAACACGCTGCTGCTTGGCTCAAAACTTGCCAGATGTCTCCCATTTCATGCCTAGTAAAGCTGCATGCCTACAACGGCCTGCCATCTCTGTGAGATTTGACCTCACCTCCTTTTCCATCTCCTGCCCTGTCAGCTCTGGCCAGACTCTCTTCCCTGTTGTTGCTGAACACACCGGGCCCACTCCTGCCTCAGGGCCTTTGCGTTTGCTGTTCCCTCTGCCTGGAATGTTTTCCCCAACACGGCTCCCCCAACCAATATCCACAAGGCTCACTAATTCCCTTTATTAAAGTCTTTGCTCGGCCGGGAGCGGTAGCTCATGCCTGTAATCACTTGAGATCAGGAGTTTGAGACTAGCCTGGCCAACATGGTGAAACCCCACCTCCACTGAAAATACAAAAATTAGCCAGGCATGGTGGTGCGTGCCTGTAATCTTAGCTACTCAGGAGGCTGAGGATGGAAAATCATTTGAACCTGGGAGGCGGAGGTTGCAGCGAGCCAAGATTGCACCACTGTACTCCAGCCTGAATGACAGAGAGAGACTCTGTCTCAAAAAAACAAACAAACAAACAAACAAAAAGTCTTAGTCCCAGCACTTTGGGAGGCCGAGGCAGGCGGATCACAAGGTCAGGAGTTGAAGACCACACTGACAAACATGTGAAACCCCGTCTCTACTAAAAATACAAAAATTAGCTGGGCGTGGTGGCATGCGCCTGTAATCCCAGCTACTCAGGAGGCTGAGGCAAGATAATTGCTTGAACCCGGGAGGCGGAGGTTGCAGTCAGCCAAGATCGCACCACTGCACTCCAGCCTGGGCAACAGAGTGAGACTCCGTCTCAAAAAAAAAAAGTCTTTGCTCAAATATGAACCCTCTCCTAAGAGCCCTGATTAAAATTGTAATCCCCCGGCCCCAGAAATCCCTGCTCCCATTTCCTGCGTTTGTTTTCTACATAACACTGATTCCATCTGATAGTCTGTATGTTTCACTTATATATTTGTTTACCCTTATACTCCTTATGGCTTAAGTGAAAACTCTGCAGGACAGAGAATTTGTTTTTTGTCTCTTTTGCTTTCTGCTATACACTCTGATGCCTAGAATACTGGCACACAGTAAGAGTTCAATAACTGTTTGTCAAATGAATGAATAAATAAATGAGGATTCTTAAGATCATACAGGGTAATTGGCCTGGGTGCTCAGTGAGTGTTATTAGCCTTCCCACCCTGCCCCCCACACAAAAGTGATTACAAATTTAGAAGAAGGTTTGCTGAGATCTGGGGAGAGCCATAGAGACATTTGCAAACCATCCCAAATTCAAATATTGGGTGGTATTCAGTGTCTACTTACAGTCAGCACTGTGCTTGCTCCCTCCATAAGTTTTCTTCTTTCTAGACTCCAGGCCTTTGCACATGCTGTTCTTAAATGTTCCTTCCTCCAGGAAGCCTGCCCTGACTTCCCAAGACTAGGTTAGGCCTCCCTTATCCTTACTTCCCCCCACGCTGCTGCAGCACAGCATTGTTCTGTATCTGCCAGTTGACTTGCCTGTCAATCCTACTAGACTGTAGGATAAAAGTGAAATCTAAATCTGGCACATAGTAGGTACACAGTAAAGGTTTGTTGGATGAGTCTTCAACCCAGGAGCCAAAAACCTTCCCAAATGGACACAGCCTAAGATAGTTGATCTGGATGCTTTGGGCTTATGAGTGCTGGTCCCATCCCTGCCCTGACCTGAGTCTACAGAGTGAGGGATGCTCCCAAGTTGTTTTGGTGGAGCACAGATGGCTATCACAAAACACTGCCTCCCCTACTTCATTCCCAAGATGGAGGTCCCAGGCCAGAGCAGCTTCACACATCAGACCTGTGTGAACCTACAGGTTTTTTTTTGGATCTCAGCTCATTCCAGAGGAGTTCTTTCAAGCCTGAAATTGCTAATGCTCCTCCTTCCAGACCCTCCAGCCAGTGGCTGCCTTTTGTTGAGGTTGGATAGAGAAAAGCTTCTCTAAGAAAGCGGCCTGCCAGAGAGATGGGAGATGCTTGGATGCTAGGCAACTGGTCAGAAAGCAAATATTGGCCTCATCTCCAGGGACCCTGCCAGGCACTGTGCAGCTCAGACGTGGAGTTCTTTGTCTGGATGAGAGTTTGCCATTTAATTAGATTCCCCACCTGATCTGCCTGTGGGGCCATAACAGGCAACGAGAGGCTGTCAGCATCCCTACCCCAGGCAGCCAGGAGCGGGAAGGAGCTGTAGCATTGGAAGGTAGGGTGGGTCTCCCATCTCCCAATCCTGCGGGGTCCGTGCCCTGCTGGTTCTTGCTCCACTCCCTCTGGGTGTCTTCCTCCATAAATCAAGATGCTCTTAGGGACCTATTCCCTGTCCTCTCCATAGCCAGCCCTTCCAAGCAAAGCAAAGCAAACAAACAAACAAAAAAACACCTCAAAGGCAGGATCGTGGCATGCCAATATCTGGTGTTTTTAGCTCTTCAGAGAATTTTACCGTTTATGGAGTGCCTATTACATACTACAAATGAGGCATTGGCATGTACATTATCTCACTTATCACCCAGACCTACCCTGTAACATAAAAATCATAGATCACCTTTCATAGATCAGGACACTGAAGCCCAGGCAGCATGAAAGCAGCGTTCATGGTCACACAGCTAGTCAGGGGCAGAACTGTATTAAACCCATGTCTCCTTCATTCCAGTTTCTTCAGAATCAAACCACATTGTTTCTCTTAAATGCCACCCTGTTTTATGAATGGGTTAACTGAGTATTGGGTACTTTATTAAGACTTACAGGATATTGGTTCTTGAACAGAGGTAGATCCAGGAAAACACAAGCAAACCAATAAGTAAGCTGACTCTAGAGAAGGAGATGCTACCTCTATTCCTTTGCTATTTCATTCACGTGGTGGGAGTTCCATTCATGCAATATTCAGCTTTTCTCCTCAACCCCCTTCCTTCTCTGCTCTCACCACATGGGGAGGGCTGTTCCAGCCCTGTGCTGCCTATGATTGCAGGGGGAGTCCACAGAATTCTGGCATTCACTATTAGGTTAGGAAGATCATTTCCTCATAGATACAAACCATGCCTCATAGAGACCTTATTAGTCATAAAGATAACATTTTGGCCTATATCCCATTTTATCTTTTCTTGTTTTTCAAATGGTTCCAAACCTGGGCAGGAAAGAGGACTGTATTTATGGGACATTCTTGAAGACTGTAACAATCCTGTGGCCTAATTCCACTGGATTCTACCCAGGACACATGCTCTATGAGCCCACCATGCACACAGATTGTGCCTCTGCCAGTGGAGATATCTAAGGAATGCATGGCCCCTGTCCTCCTGGGCTTCACAACCAAGCTGGGGAGACACAGCCAAGCCACAAGATGCACCTGGCAATTCTAAGGCAGCGTACTGGAACACCTTCATGATGCCAGCAGGCAATCGTGGAGGGATCCACTTAAATCAATATTCTAGTTGAGATTTGCTATATATAAATGGAAAACCCAATCTCAAAACACTGGAGTACAGTAATAAGTATTCTCCACTTTAACTCCGAACCTACACAAAATAGGATTTATTCTGGCCAGGTGCAGTGGCTCACGCCTGTAATCCCAGCACTTTGGGAGGCCGAGGCAGGCAGATCACGAGGTCGGGAGATCGAGACCATCCTGGCTAACACGGTGAAACCCCGTCTCTACTAAAAATACAAAAATTAGCCAGGCATGGTGGTGGGCGCCTGTAGTCCCAGCTACTCGGGAGGCTGAGGCAGGAGAATGGCATGAACCTGGGAGGCGGAGCTTGCAGTGAGCCGAGATCTCGCCACTGCACTTCAGCCTGGGGACAGAGCGAGACTCCGTCAAAAAAAAAAAAAAAAAGATTTATTCTCTCTTCAATGAATCAGAAAGTCTTCCATGATCTTTCAGAAATTTAGGAAAATCACAACTGCCTGTGTTTTATAGCCCAGCACTATGACCAGTTCTTTCCTAGTTAATCTTCAATGCAACCCTGGATAGAGGATATTATTATCCCCATTTCACAGATAAAGAAAATGAGGCTCCAAGGACTTAAACAACTTCTCAGGATGACTTAAATAGGATTTAAACCCAGTCTGTGTGGTTCCACAGCCAAGTACATCCTAGCACTCCTCGCTGCCTCTCGATAAACATAAGAGCCTTAAGCCCTTGACATTCATGAGAGTAATCCCGAGACGTCCGGGAGTTTTCAATTTACAAATTCCACTTTAGTGTATAATCGCCTCCATAAAACACCTATTTTTCTTGCTGAGGCCCATACCTTCTCAGTCCTCCTTACACTTCACCTATTTCTGTTTCCATCAATGGTGGTTAAGGTTCTTTCCAGGGCACTTTGCTTATTTTGTGGGGGTTGTTGTGCAGGGAAGGTGGGCAGGGAGTAAGAGATCTGGATCGAGAGGTGATTGCTGGACTGCCTGCTTGGTTTACCTGCAAGCCACACCCTCACTCCTGCACACCAGCCCAGCTCACTGGAGCACCTGGCAGAAATCAGAAGCACATGCCATTTCTGTTGCCGTGGCCAGATGGACATGATCCACTGATGAAAACCCACATGTGTGTGCACACATCTTCCACACTCACACACCCCTGCATTTGAGGCAGAGATACCATGCAGGGCTCTTCCCAGGAAACCAGCAGCTGATGACAGAGTTTCTTAGAGGATGAAGTTGTACATTGATGGACACAATGTTTTCTTAATAACTATGCATTTCATAATGATTATTAGAATAAGTGTAACTAGTACATCAAACCCAGATTTCACAGATAATATGACTGATCTTCCATCAATAGCAATGACATGCAGTTTTCTCTGAAAATAGATTGAAGTAAACAAAATGAGTCAGCTCAAAGGAAAATATTTAGTAAATCGTAGGACTGCAGTACTTGGCAATGGCAAAAACCCTGAGGTGGTCTGTGGGTGAATGAAGTTGGGGGCACCATGGCTGCCAGGGTATGATGGGTAGGAGATGGGGAAATGTGGGTAGAGAGGAAACCTGAGGCCGGTTCCCAGGGGAACTTGGAGCTTCAAAGAAGGGAAATCTTGTGTTCTGGCTGGTAGACAGAAGGAAAAAAAATCCAAGCCTGTTTCGCCATCAGTAATTGTGTGTGGAATAGACTGTGTGTGATGTTGAGGGAATTCAACATACAGGAACGATCCCTCCGGGAAGATTTAAACACATCTTCTTTGAAGACGTGAATATAAAAACAGGACCCATTCTTGCTATGATCAAATACTCTTCTAGGGCTTTTTTTCACTTAAAAATACTTTTTAGTATGAAAAATTTCAAACAAGTACAAGTAGAGAGAATTGCATGAAGAATTCCATATACCCATTTCCAGCTTTTCCCTGATCATTTTTAATCCTCTGAAAGAAGGACAATCTAACCGGGAGTTGGGAAAAGCAAGTGCTAGTTTGGCTTTGCCACAAATTGGCTGTGTGACCTTGGGCAAGTCACTTGACCTCTCTGGGCCTCTGTTTTCCCTTTTTCAATCCTGGGATGAATTCAATCTCCCAGAAACCCCTTGTCCCCCAGCCCGCTTCTATATGCTCATGAGATAGCAACAAATGCACATCGCTAGGCTAACTGTGGTGCTGAGGGAATTAAACTGATAAGGTTTTCTATTCTTTCATTCTTTGCATAACCTTTCCTATGGAGACAGCCTAAGGAAGTGTAGGGACATGCTAAGTGATCCTGTTAGATTAGATGAGGTCAAATACTTCAAGATATGTCCCCATCTGAAACACTTTGCATTGGCAGTATTTGGAGACAACTGTGTATTTGCCTGCTATTTACATTGGAAAGGCAGGTTAGGTGATCATCCATTGACTGGAGAAAACCATGTAGACAACCGGACTGGAAAATGAGGCCTCTAGGAAGTGCGTGAAATCCTGATTTACATCATTTGGTGATCTTTTTGGTCGAATTAATCAGATCACTGTTTACGTGAGCCAACACATAAAATGCTTAGCAAAGTGCCTAGAATAATATGCATTAGATATAACTTTCATGATTTCTATTTTCCATGCAGATGTTTGACTAAAATGTTTACGCAGACACAAAGCTCACACACAATCAGCTTTGGTAACAAAGGCAGGATAATCTACTTTACCACGAGAATCTATGCTCCCACTCAGCAGCTGTCATTCCCTAAGAGTGGCTTGTCCTGGCCACACCTTGCCCCACCACGAGACCCTTGGCTCTTAGAGGATCCTTGCATATAGGGTCTTGTGCTTTCAACACACAGCCTTCAGCATTGAGGACAAGGCGTGGTCTGACCACTAACCCTGCCTTTTTCACTCGTTCAGCATCTCTGCTCAGGCGAGAATGCAGAGGAATGAAACTCCCCACGCACCTGTTAAAACAAGGTGGCACATGTTGGGAGTAAGAGGAACAGGATAGGGAGTGAGTAGCTCTGAGTTCTGCTCTTGGGTCTGCCACTGTGTGATCTTGGGTAAGACCCTCCTCTCAGCACTCTTGGTCTCATCCACATAACAAAAGCGTTAAACTGGGTCACGTGGGGGTGTTTTTAGCATTAACATAGTCTATTCTGTAATAACGATCACATAATAATTATACTAATATAGATCATAACATCATCATTATAACTGTATGACAACCATCACATGCATTATAAAGACTCCCTAGTGGCCATGGCTCCTGGGACTGCTCATCATAGTTCTAGTTACTCCTTAAACACATTTTCACAGGGACATGGCTGCTGTCTTTGAGAAACTCATAATGGAATGGAAGAGATGAGGAAAAGATCAATTAAAGTGCAGTAGGAGCTATTACGGAAATAGGAACAGGTGCTTGGGGAGTCCAGAGGAGGCTGCTAGGATCCTAAAGGGGCTGGAATTTCAGCTCATCTTTGGGTTAAACATCTGCTCTCCCATCTTGAGTCAATATGGAATTTTCATTCATTCAACAGCTGTTTGCTGAGCATCCACTGAGCCCCGGGCACTGTGCTGGCTGTCTATGAGGGCTGAGCACACAAAGTCCATGGCCTGTTGGAATTACTGACTATGAAGAGGCAGACAATGCACAAATAAACTAAAATGTGGGTTGCAAATTCTGTACAGAGCTATGAAGGAAGCTCAGGAATGATGTTCAGGAATGACAGGAACTGATATGCCTTAGAGATCTGGGGGTCCTCCTTGAGGCAGTGGCTGCTGAGCTGGGGTCCTCTATGTGAGGAGCTGGAAGAGCATCAGAGGGTAACATGAAAAAAGGGGCAAAGAGCCTGGTGGGCTCCTCAAGAAACTGGGAGGAGGTCAAGTGCCAGGAGCACTGAGAGTGAGAGATGAGGCCATAGGCTAAGGCAGATGCCAGAGTGTGCAGGCCCCATAAGGGGTTTGGGAGGAAGCACTAATGGAGGAAGGCAGAGAGTGAACTGATTTACCAATTTTAAAAGCACTCTGGGCCAGGCACAATAGTTCATGTCTGTAATCCCAGCACTTTGGGAGGCCAAGACAGGAGAATTGCTTGAGGCCAGGAGTTCAACTGTCTGGGCAACATAGTGAGACCCTCCCTACCTCTACTTAAAAAAAAAAAAAAGTCACTGTGGATTCCTGGTAGAAGATGAAACACAGGAAACCCTGTGAATTTAGAAATGCTGGTTTGGAGGTGTACCATCCAGGCAAGAAGTCAAGTAGCAGTCATGATGGAGCTAGGTCTGTGGGTTCAGAATAGATATTGATGGTGGAGTTGGCCTAATTGGCTGGGGGATAAGATGTGGTGGTGGGGGGAAGGGAGAGGGAGAAATAAAGAGCGACTCCCAGGTTCCTGGCTCAAGGTATGGGGCAGATGGAGTTGCTGTTTGCAGAGAGGGCGCAGGCAGGGAGAGAAACAGAACACTTCTGGGATGACAGGCTTCCCTAAGGATGAAACGCCATGTGTAAAGAGCGCCTAACACACTGTGCTCTCCATAAATGCTGACCCCTTCATCCCCTTCTTGTATTTAAAACGAACTTCAGTGCAGTAGGGCAACTTTAATAAAGCCCAGGTAGGCCTGGCAGCCAGATCAGTAGAAAGAATGGGGTCGGGGAACTTCTGGGCAAATAGGCGCTGTGCCAGAGAGCCTTGCAAGGGCGCGGCGGGGTTCACCCCTGCTCAGGAGGAAATAAGGAATCCCTCCTGAGCTAAGTGCAAGTGAATTCAGCCAGCAAGGCTGATAAAAACAATTGCCTAAATGAGCAAGTGCATAGTGCCTTACTGTTTACAAAGCACTTTTGACATACGTTATCCCATTTGATTCCTATAGTCACATAGAAGCAGAGCCATAATCCCAATTTCAGGGAGAGGGAAGCTCAGGCTTAGAGTGCATTAGGGACTTGCTCAAGCTCACACAGTGAGTCGGTGGTTGCCCCCAGCCTTTCTGATTCTCATTGAGGGTTCCCCAGCACAGCCAGTTTGTCCATCAGCCACCACTGACAAAGGCCCTAGGACCTAGGAGGTTTTTAAGAGCCAACAACAAGAAGAAAATTGGATTTGAAAAAAGATGTAGTTAGCTCCAAAATACAAAAAGAAAAGGGCAGGAATGAAATGAATAAATGTTTATCTACATTTCCACCACATGTCAACTTCTTGCCATAGCACCTTCATTCATTGTTCGATAGAGCGTTTATTAAGGTTTCATTACATTTGAAAATAATGTGTGAGCCACATTCTCCTCACTTTGCAAGAATTCCAGAGTACATGGGGTGGGTGTTCAGAAATCATAGCCAGTGGTGAGTTAGGTGGTGAGCCAATTTCTAGTCAAATAACCGCAAAGGCAGGATTTTAAAATCCTTTCAAAGTATTTTACAACAAAAAATTATATATTTCGTGAAATAAGTTCTTTTTAGTGTGTTTGATACAAAGTGAGGTGTGGTTTCAAATACAAATGTTGAGGGCCTGAGAGATCTTAGGTGTCCATCTGGCAGCTCTTCAGCTCTCCTTCGGATCTCTTTTCTAAGTTTATTTGGTTTTCATGAAACTTTGTGAATCCAAAAAGAAAAAAAAAGAAAACCACCTAAAATCGTCTCTAGTTTTGAACCTACCAGTATTTTTGGAGGAAGCGTTTCCAGGGAACAGAGACAATGGACAAAGAGAACAAGGTAGCTTTCAGAAAATCAAGGTAGAGAGAGTCTACCCGTGTCTACTCTCAGCCAGGAGGCCAGTAGAGAACTGACCCAGCAGAAGGAGCTTCCTGGAGCAGGAGTCAGTTGGCTAAGCCAAGAGTAGGTTCCTCAGTGGTTGTGTAAGGACAGGAGGGCGAGTCTTCCCTAAGAACAAAGGCGGGTAAGTTTTGGTTTTATAGCTCATGCATGCACTCATTTTTCTGAGCATCTCCTCTGTGCCAGGTGCTGCTTTAGGTACTTGGAATAAATCAGTGGGCACAAGAGACAGAGGTCTTTGTGTCTCAGGGAGCTTAGACTCTGAAGTATATGTGTATGTACGGGACAGCCAGAAAACAATGAACATAATAAAACAGAATATATTTGATATATATTCGAACACAATATAGCATGTTCGAAGGTGATAGAAGACTATGAAATAGCAGAGGTAGATGAGTAGAATGGGGATGCCAGGGGAAGAGGGGGTGTGGTTTGCAGCTGAAACTGGGTTGGTCATGCTTGGTCTCACTGAGAAGGTGAGATTGGACTTGACTCTCAACTTTCAAGACTGCAAAGTGGTGAAGGAGAGAACCTTGTGGCTATCTCACGAAAGAACATTCCAGGCAGAGGGACCAGCAAATGCAAAGGCCCTGAGGTAGGTGTACGCCTGGCCTGTTCAAGGAACAGTGAGAAGGCCAGTGTAGGTGGAGTGGCTGAGTACGTGATAGTGAAATAGATCAGGGTAGTAATGTGGGCAAGAGCATTTAGCCACTGAGATGCCTGCAGCTTTTCGTTGAATGAGAGAGGCAGCCACTGGGTGTTTTTGAACAAATGATTAATGTGATCTTATGGATGTTTAAAATAATGCAGTAAGACTAGACTGTAGGGGAGTGCATTAGTTTCCTGTGGCTGCTGTAACAAATTACTATAAACTGGATGGCTGAAAACAACAGGAATTTATTCTCTCAAAGTTCTAGAGGCCACAGATCCAGAATTTGTTTCACTGAGCTGGAACCATTGTGTCAGCAGGTCCACACACCCTCTGGAGGCTCCAAAGGAGAATCTGTTCCTTGCCTCTTCCAGCCTCCGGTGGCTCCAGCATTCTTGGCTTGAGGCCACATCACTCTCATCAATCTCTATCTCCGTGGTCACATTCTCCTCCTCTCTGTATGTGTCAGTTCCCCCTCTGCTGCTGATAGAAACATTCATGGTGATATTTAGGGCCTACCTGGATAATCCTACATGGTTTGTCCATCTCAAGTTCCTTGACTTAATCATTCCTGCAAAGAGTCTTTTTTTCCAAGCAAGGCAACATTTACAGCTTCCTGGGGTTGGTACTTGGTATTTTTGGGGTCCATGACCCAGCCTCCTACAGGAGAAAGGGTAGATGTAGAAAGTCCTGCTAGGGGGCTTCTGGAGTCATCCAGGTAATGCATAGTGATGGTTTAGATGGGATGGGAACAGTGCAGGCTGTGAGACATGGCTGGTTTCTCAACATATTTGAAAGGTAAGGCCAATAGGATTTTCTGACAGACTGGAGGTGGGGTGAGAGAGAAAGAGAAGGGTGAAGACTGGCCACAAGATTTTTCACTTGAACAACTGGAAGGATGAAGGTGTCCTCACCGAGATACAGAAGACTGTGGGTGGAATAGGTTTCGGGAGTAAGAACAGGAGCTCAGTTTTAGAAATGGGGGCGTGGTGAGATGTCTAAACATCCACATGGAGATGTTGAGTAGGTAGCTGGGGAGAAGAGCCCAGGGTTTGGGAGGAAAGGCTGGGCTGGAGATTTTAATAGTGGAGCATAGGCATGGAGACAGTACTTACAGCCATGGGACTGGAGGAGATGAGCAAGGGAGCGAGGGTAGAGAAAGAAGGGAACTGAGGACTGAGTCCTGAGGTCCTCCGACACTAGGAGGTTGGGGAGAAGAGGAGTCTCCGCAGGAGTGAGCCCTGAGACAAAAGAAGGACCAGGACAGGGTCCTGTCTAGGAATCCAAGTGAATAAACACGTCAGTGGTGGGAGGTATAACATGGCCTTCACGCCAAGACCGAAATCTCAGCCAGGGCTGCAGCCCTGCCTTCTAACTATCCTTCCCTCTGGGCACATGTGGCAGGTGTCTGCTCACTCTGGAGGCCTCTTGGAGCTCCCAGGCCCCAAAGCATAACTTTTTGCAGCGGTTGCATAAACCTTAGTTCCACCAAAGGCAGGGCGGGTGGGGAAACCATTCACTCTGTAGGTTGGGGAAGCTGCTGAACACCTCTCAGGATTCATGTGCCATAGGCTTGGGACTTACTGGCCTGTTAGCTAGGGAGTTGGGATCATGGTGGGAGGAGAAGGTGGTCCCTGAAAAGTGAGTGGGGCCAATCCCAAAGGTATGGGGTCTGACTTCACAGGCCAGGAGATCAGGAAACAAAGAGGGCATTGGGAATCAGGGATTCTTGGGGCCAGACACTTCTAGGGAGTAATCCTGCTTCTGACAGTTCTATCTGTGTCGATCTTAGGCAAACTGATTCTCTCTAAGCCTCAGTTTCCTTATTTGTAAAATGGGGCTATAAATACTTGCTTCCTAGGAAAGTAATACTATACTGTGTTTAAGCTACCAGGCACATCATAGGTGCTCAAGAATTTTGGTCATTTTCCTTGTGTTGATTTGAAACTATTTGAGTTAGTCCTGACATAACACTCACCCAAAGGGAGATGTCCCTTTTTCGAGGAGCTGGGGTGTGGGTGGCCAGCCCGTGGCCCTGGAGGCCACAGCCGGGAGCCTGCTCCTAGTGTGGGGCCATAGCCCAGCCCAGCACTTCGCTACCATCTTGTAAATGTGTGCCCAGCAGGGCCAGGGAAGATCATGCCACCAGCTCCCAGAAAACATTACCTGTACACTCAAAAAATGTCCTCTGAGTAGAACAAGAAGAGGCCTTGGCTGCGAGTTCTGCCCCCAGTCCTGCCGCGCTTATCCCATGCGCCATGTTCTCGGGCAAGTCACTGCTCCCCTATAAGCTTTATTAATTCAATTTGTAAGATGAGTGGTTTGAACCACATTGGTCATTTCCATATTTTTGTTTTATAGGAAAACATTCTTATTAAACAGAAAAGCCTTGCATAGAACCCCAGTGTTTTAAACAAATGAAAGATGCCCTGGTTACAGTGCGGAGGGGAGTCCTGGGCACTGAGGCTTCCTTATCTCCCCCAAGGGAGCCCAGGGACCCTCTATGGAACCCTACAACTCTAAGGAACAGGCTTAGAAAAATTCTGACTAAAGGCAAAAATTGTGCCTCTGAGTTTAAAGCTATATGTAATCGGCATTAGATGGCTTGATGCTGATGAATATGTATTTCAAACAGTTATGTGCAAAAACATATTTATGTGTATACTTTATTTCCATTTTAAACCTGCAGATAGCAGGCCAAATTCTTAATGTTTTATGCCTACTTGTTACTTTCCTGATGTCAAATTCGCTGCATAGTTATATTCAAAGAAGGAATTGACTTAGTATTTGTAGTAAATTAAAACTGCTTTGACTATCAGAGAGAGACAGACAGATCCTGGGCTAAATATTTCTAAGTTCTCTCACAGCTCAGAAAAATCTCAAAATTATAACTTTTTCTTGCAGTTGATCTCTACAGTTTCATGAAGTGGGTTCTAGGTTACCACAAAATTAAGACACATGTTGTTGTTCAATAGGGCAGGAAAGAGTGAAAACCAGCTTTAGTTGAACACCTATTACGGATCAGCTACCATCTTATCTTATTTATTTATTTTTGAGACAGGGTCTTGTACTGTCACATAGGCTGGAGTGCAGTGGCACAATCATAGCTCACTGCAACCTCGAACCCCTAGGCTCAAGTTATCCTCCCACCTCAGCCTCCCAAGTAACTGAGACTACAGGTGTATGCCACCATGCTCGTCTAATTTTTTATTTTTGTGGAAACAGGGTCTTGCTATGTGGACTAGGCTGATCTTGAACTCCTGGCCTCAAGTCATCCTACCGCTGTGGGCTCCTAAAGTGCGGGGATTACAAGCATGAGCCACCACACTGGCCTCAGGTACCATCTTACAGTTTATTTTAGTTAACTTTTAGACCAATGTAATGAAGGTGCAAGTACCAATTTTTCCCACTTTGCATATGGGGAAACTGAGGCTCAGAGAGGTTAAAGTGGCCTACTCAATGTCATACAGCTAATAAGATGATAGTTTCAGGATTCAAACTCAGATCTGTATTCAAAGACTGTGCTCTTCCCACCCCAAGTTGTTTCTAAAGGCAAAAAATCCCTTTGATTTCAGGAGACAGTCCTTGAATTGTACTAAGAATGATCCCTTGTATTGATTGGTAAGTTCTTGGTTTAGCTCCAGCTTTCCCATCTACATTACTCATGCTGCTCTCCCATGAACCCTGTGAGGTAAGCAGGCCAGGTACTATCATGTCCGTTTTTCAGATAGGAGAATTGAGGTTTGGAGAGATGGAGTGACTTGCCTAAGGTTGTGCAGAGCATGAAGAACTGGGGTCTTGCTATTCCCTCCTGAATCTTCTCCCAATCAAGAGTGTGAGCCATATACCATAAGGCTATCTTGCTCAGATAGTTCATGTCCCACCCTCTTTAGGAGAACTCATTTCATTTTCAAACTGCACCGAGTTCTTTCATCATTGCAGCTTTTTCATTTATTAGGCGTTCAATTTCCCTTACATTCATCATTTATTTGCTGCTGCTTTTCATTTTTTAAGAGGTGAAGGAAATGCAAATTAGCAAATGAATGTCATGCATAATACAGCCGGCCCTGCTACAAACAGCTTTTGTTAGAGTCCGCTCTGTTCTAGGACAAATTGGTCTACAAGGACCCGATACACCTCTCTGGATGTGTTGACACAGACGCAGCCTGCCAGGAAAGGACAATGGCAAAAGCGTGCTTTTGTTTGGTCTGCCATTCCCGGGGTTAATATGTTGGGTAATATCTTCAGCATTGTTTCCCCGAGCCATAGGAAGGTGTGTGCCCAGCCCTGCGATGGGTGCACAGATGCTCCAGTGCTGTTCACGTAGTGCAACTTGGTGCAGCCCCCTCATTCTTGGCCTTAGTTCTTGAACTACCTGATCTCGTGTGTCCCTTGCACTTGACTCTATTTCTTGGCAATTCTTGCTGGAGTTCTGCCACTCACCCTTCTCTTACGCCTTTGCCCAGCATCTTTGGCTTATTATGTGTTCTCTTCCCCTCATCCAAGAACTTGGCTTTTCATTGGGCTATGGCCACATCTCTCCATTTTAACAACATACTCGCAGACTGCCTTGGCCTCTTAGATTTATGGAGTACTGTCCTATCCTCTATCCTATGCCTCTATCAGGTCTGATTTGTTCTTGTGGGTAGAACCCAGATCCACCTGGATTCCCAGGGATGAAATGTTTTAATACATGAGCTTAACATTTGTATGTTAAGCTCCAATCGAAATAACATTTGCCATTCATTGCATGCTGGACACCGTGTTAATGCCTTTGTTTGCTAGGTATCATCTCAGTCAGTACTCACATCCCTATAAGATAGTTATCACAGTAGTCCCACTTTGTAGATGAAGAAACAGAGAAGGTATACAACTTCCCAAGATCACACAGCTCGCAGGAGACAGAGCTGGAGTTCAAATGCAGGTCCACATAGTGTTTTCAGCTATGTGCAACACTGCCTTCCAGCCAGTATGAACAGCTTCAGGAGCTCAAGACCAAACAGATATATTACTGACTATGGTTTTGAGCTAGATTTTAGTCATGAGTGTACACAAACACAATCATGTGTGCATGCACGTATATGCACACCATGCCTCATTTGTCTCGCTGGGAGTTATAGGAGCTAGACCAGAGCTGAAAATGAAAAATTACTGCTAGGTCAGTATTATTAATGCTTCATGGAAAACATTCCACTTCCAAACAATTAGGTAGACAGATTTTCTTGCATTTCTTTTCTTTTTCCTACTTATTACTACAGATGTTTACAAGAAGAAACAAAGGTTTCTGCCTCTGCAGCATTGACTAGCATTTGCTGGCAGATAGGATCCTCTTTGGATGGCCCAGGCAGCCAGAGGCAGAAGGAGGATTTGCAGGTATGAGTGACCAACTAACTCCTGAGACTGGTTTTCACGAAAAGAAGAGGAAAGTGAGGATCTGATTTTAAAAAGAGGATTTTTAAAATAAAGGCCATATGCAAGGCTTTGAAGAGCCTTGGATTTTCCAAGTATAAAATGTGGAAGTGGCCTGATCTTGGTGGATGTTCCAGCCCCATGATGCCGAGACCATCAGACTGGGGATAATTAGGTGAGGAAGCACCCTCCAACCCACCCAGGCTCTCTACAATTAAACCATCTGTTGAGTTCTATAATTTTGTGGGTTCCCAGGATCTTGTTTCCTCTGAATATTTTTTGTTTTGTGAACTACAGGTCACAGGGGACAGCTGTAGAAGAGAGGAACCTATTTCTTGATGCAAGTTCTCCAAAACCATTTCCATCAATTGCTAATGGTTTCATTAACATGCACTCTGGGGCTTGGAGGTGAAGTCCACCAGCTAAGAACATCAGAACTGCTAAGGAGGCTCAGGCAACTATTCCAGAGGTGGCTCTGGGCTGCTGAGGAGAGCTGGGTGGATTTTTAGGATGTTAAACTCAAAAGGTCAGGGAACACTGGTCCAGGACTTTCTATCAAACCTATAATCCTCTCTCTACCTCCAGTTGTGCCTCCCCTGTCCCTGTCCTCATACTGTCACCAATGTGATCATCTTAAAATGTATATCTCGGACATGATCATACCATCTTGGCTTCCCTTCTTGGATGAAATACTTCAGTTGGGACAAAAGTGAAGTTCTTTAATCTGGCTGAAGCCTTTCCAATAACTATATACCTCTGCTACCCCAAACCAATAGGCTAGCACCGTCAAGCCTCATGCAGGCTTTGGATGCACCCAGCTTCCTCTTACCCCCAGGTTTTTGCCCATACAGTTTTTGCCCATAGCCTGGTAGACCTATTTCCCCTCTTCTCCATCTAGTTGACCTCTATTCATCCTTCAGAAGGTATCACCTCCTTCATGAAGTCTTCCCTGATTGTCTCTCCCACTTTGTAGGCATGTAAAACCTAACCTAACTTAAAATTTTTAAAATTACCTTCAAACTTCATATTTTAAAAGGATATTTGATCCACAGGAATAATGCTTACATTGTAATAGTAAGTCAAGAAAGCAGGATGGAAGAAAACATGCTAAATATCCTCATTTTTGTTAACTAATCCCCACACAGACACGTGCATGGGTGCACAGCAAACAGAGCCAAAGAAAATACACCAGCATGCTAATAGTGGTTACCACTGGTTGGGGAGTTCTATGGAATTTTTATTTTCTTCTTTTATGTTTACAAATTATGTACATTTTATATGATTATCTAATTAATAATTAGACAAAATGCTATTTAGAAAGAAATCTTTTTTTTTTTTTTTTTTTTTTTTTGGGACAGAGCCTCGCTCTGTTTGTTGCCCAGGCTGGAGTGCAGTGGCACGATCTCGGCTCACTGAAACCTCCACCTCTTGGATTCAAGCGATTCTCCTGCCTCAGCCTCCCGAGTAGCTGGGACTACAGGTATGCACCACCACACTTGGCTAATTTTTGTATTTTTAGTACTAGCAGGGTTTCACCATGTTGGCCAGGCTGGTCTCAAACCCCTGACCTCAAATGATCCACTCACCTCGGCCTCCCAAAGTGCTGGGATTATAGGTGTGAGCCACCATGCCTGGCCAGAAAGAAAGAGTTGTGCTAAATATTGTATGTGAATGTAAAGAAACTGGAAAAAAAGAGAGTGGTTAGATCTCTATCTGTTGACACGCGATAAGGTAAAAAGTGTAAGCTTTAGACTAATGCATATAGTTTCTGATTAAAAACACACAAACAGGTGACTATATGCTTACATATGTGTGCGTCAACAAGGAGTATGCTGTGGAAATGTTCGCATCAGGCTGGTAACACTGGTTACATCAAGAGGAGGGGGGATCGGAGGGACGGGGGGGTGGAGGAGTCAGATAATTTATTTTGCCTTTATTGATCTTTGTAGTGTTTTATTTCACTTCCCATTGTAAGCATGTGCCACTATGGTAAATTCTCAGAAATCAAATAGAAAACGAAAGGCTCTAAATAGCAGGATGGACTAAGGTGTTTATAATTAATAATATAAGATTTCAGGCATGTCAAAATGTTATCCTCAAACTTGATTTTCTGGATGCTTCACTAGAGTAACTTATTAACTCTTTTAATTTGGAAATTATCTTAAATTTAGGGAAAAGTTGCAAGAATGCTACAAATAATGGGACAAAGAACACCAATATACCCTCTACCTAAGTCACCTCTTATTAATATTTTCCTCCATTTGCTTTATTATTTGTTCTTCAGCACAGTAATGTTTAATTCACACTAGGAAAAAAAACGCATTACAGATTCATACATCACTATTTATACCAGACTAATTACCATGGATTTGAGTGGTCACTTAAAAAAATACTTGCTATTTCTTAAGCTACAGATATGCTGCATGTGTACAAAAAATCATATAGACAAGATCGTTCTTTGAAAACTGAATACCACCAAAGGGTCTGGCCACAGCGATTAGTAAAATACATGATAGTGAGCCTATATAAGGGCTTGTTACAGAGCAATGAAAAAAACAATATGGATTTGTGTGAGATGATAAGAAATAGGTTTGAGATACATTAAGTAAAAGATACAGAACAAAATGTGTAGAATATGAGCCCAGTGTGCAAAGAAAAAAAAGATATGCTAGAAAGAGACACAAGAAATGATTGGTTTACTTTTAGGAAGAGTGCTGGGGTCTTTTTATTATACTTCCTATTATATTTTTTTTACACTCTGCATTTTTTAAAACCATGTGCATGTATGACTTTCATGATAATAGAGAAATGAATTGGCATAAAAAATTTTACTGTAGGGCCAGGCACGGTGGCTCACACCTGTGATCCCAGCACTCACACCTGTTTTTCCAGCACTGAGGTGGTGTATCACCTGAGGTCAGGAGTTCAAGACCAGCCTGGCCAACATGGCAAAACCCCATCTCTACTAAAAATACAGAAATTAGCCAGGCGTGGTGGCACGTGCCTGTAATCCCAGCTACTAGGGAGGCTGAGGCAGGAGGATCACTTGAACCTGGGAGGCAGAGGTTGCAGTGAGCCAAGATTGTGCCACTGCACTCCAGCCTGGGCAACAGAGTGAGACTCCATCTCAAAAAAAAAATTACTGTAAGAGAAAAGCTGTTTACCAGTTCCTGTTGGTTTTGGAATATGGGAGGAGGCCATTTCCCCTCCCCACTGGGTTCGCTGGGAGGTGATAGTCAGACTTAAGCCTCCTGAGGAGTCATCTCCCTAGCAGCAGCTCTCCCTATTCCCTACAGCAGGTGCAGGTGCAGAGATGGTGGACTGCCAGGCCCCTGGGTCTAATGTATCCCACAAATGTGCTACCTCCCATCCCAGAGTGCTCTGAAATTTGTGTCAACATTGAAAAAAATGGAGTGATTTTACATAACAAATTCAGATTCCCAGCCTATCTGCAGAAATCTGGCAAAACCAGGGCTGCGTTTGTAAGCACAACCGTGGGCAGCAGCCAGGTATGGGCTGCCTTTAGCAAGTGAGGAGGCCTCACTGACCAGGTGCCCTCCTTTACAAAGCCCATTAGAAATTGACTCCCCTGCTCCGATGTCTCATGGGTGAGGCCCTGCCCCGCTGATGGAAGGGAGATTTGAACATCTCTCCATTGCTGTCTCTCAATCAAGCAATATTTTCTACTGGAGGCTGTCCAAGCATATTCTAAGAAATTCCACAGTGAGAGGAGGGTTGTTATTTCACACTTTTAGTATATAGGCGAAGTGGCTGTGGCTCAGAAAAGTGAGGTAACTTATCTAAGGTCACACAGCATGTTAGTTTCAGGGGCAGGACAAGAGCCCAGAGTGGCAAACTCCCACCCCTGTGCACGTTCTTCTGCCTTATGTGGCCTTCCACAGGCTAGCTCCCAGATTGGATGATGGCTGAGAGTTGAGGGCTGGGCTCTCCATGCACACAACCTAGCCCTTCCTTCTCAGGTACCATCTCCTGAGCAAGGCAGGTGTGTGGTATCAAGGTCCTGTGACATTCAGAGAACACAGGTACAACAGCAATGACAACCACATCTTCCTTCACAGCACTCATGTCCCAAGAGGCAGGATAGGCTAGAGGCTGAGAGTGTAGCTTAGAACTGTGGCTTTAGTACTTCCTAGCTGGGTAACCTTAGGTAAGTTATTTGTCTCTCTGTTCTTATGTTTCCTTGCTTGCTAGGTGGAGATTACATTATAATATTAGCTTCTACCTGATAGGATTGTTTTCAGCATTAACTACATTAGTGTGTGCAAGGTGCTTAAATCATGCCTGGCACGTTGTAAGTGCTTGATAAACAAGTTATATGATTTTTTATGTGACAGGAACCATGCTGAGTATTTTGCATGCTTTATCTTAGTCTTCCCAACTGTAATCAGGTAGGTGTCATTCACGTGCATTCATTAATTCATGGGATTCACAGCATTCATTACGTGAATTCATTAATCTACTCGTTCACAGCATCATTAATTCAACGGATCTTTAGGAGTATCTAGTTACACTGGGTGCTGCCCTTGACGTTGGGGATATGGGGTCAAGAATGCAGAAAGCTTACATTTCTGCCTTTATGAAGCTTACATTCTACTGAGGGCTGGGTGGACACAGACATTAATCCATCAGTTAATCAAGAGTCAGGAGTGATCCATGCTGTGGAGCAAAATAACACAGGGTAAGGGACAGAGAAGGAGGATGGGTAGGGAGTTGAGTGAGTAATTTGGTGCCATGAGGTAAGGGAAGGCTGCTCCCAGGAAGTGCACTGGAGCAGAGATCTAAATGAAGTGAGGGAGCGAGGAGGCAGATGAACACAGGAGGAGTATTCCTGGCAGAAGGAAGGAAAAGTACAGCGGCCCTGAGGTGGTAGTAGAGGTGAGTTTGTTGCCTAGAATGTTTGTGGAACACAGAGGAGGTCTTAGTGGCTGCAACCATGAGCAAGAGGGAGTAGAGCCCAGACGTGGGTCAGGGAGGAAGCCAGAAGTCAAGACATATACAATGTTCTCTGATTTGTAGAAGAAGAAACTAAAGCTCAGTGAAGTTAAATAACTTCCCAGAAGTGGCCCAGCTGGTAAGTGGTAGAACAAGGGATTTGAACCCAAGACCATCTGGCTTCAAGGCATATGCTCCTAACCACTAGGATACATTGCTATGAACATGCACAGTGGAGGCCGGGACATGCACATATAGCTATCCCAGGTGGTCCTGCTCCAAACTGTCTGCTGGGAAATTAGACAAAGAGTAAGGAGTAAGGCATAGTGAGAGAGCGAGGGTGTGTGTGGGGTGAGGAGTGGGGAAGAGCAGAAAGGAAGGGGTTCCTTTTGTCCTGGCATACTCATATTTGCCTTAGCAGGTTGAGGCAGCCATTCCGGGTAATGGTGAGGGCTCAGGGTTGATATGAAAAGTGGCATTTGTCTAAAACTTGTCAGTTCTTGGGGCATCTCGGAACGGACAGTTTTGAAACACCAAAGGCACTTTAAAAAATAAAAATAGCACATTTCTAAATGCAACATCCTCTTTGGTAATGATATAATGATATATTAGGCCTCCATCGCTGGTGGCATTATCTTGTACAGCAATATATTGCACTGTTACAATTCACGCCATCAGTCTGCAAAACCAGGGTCATAAAACCCTGTAATTTATAACAGAATCTTGTAAACCTATGTATTATACATGTGTAGATATCATTGCCTGGCATTCCACATGCAGTAACTACTTGGTTCAGAAGTCAGGGCCAAAGCACCTCCCACCGCCCATTCCTCAAATGTAGGGCTCACCAGACAAGGTGTGCATATCATTGCCAGGCCCCCTTTACTGAGCAGTAAATTAAGCAACAGGCTGTGTCTTGGTGGTAGAGGAAAACAAAGATACCAAAACAGCAAGATGTGATGCAAAGAGGAGAGAGTGACAGCCTGAAGACTTGGTCATTTATTTTATGATGCTCCTTGTTCGTATGATCACACGATCCCTAGTAGGTGTCATGCACCCAGCTGGGAATAGGGATGGAAGTAAGACGCAATCCTCCTTCTGGTCTCATGTTTCTTAAACCTTAGTGTGTATTCACATCACCTGGGAATACTGTTGGCTCACAGATGCTGGGCTCTAACCCGAGAATGCTCTGGTTTGTGGGTCTGGAGCCTGAGACTTTGCATGTCTAATGAGTTCCCAGGGGATGCTGATGCTGCTGGTCCTGGGGCCCCGCTTTGAGTCATTCTGCTCCAAGTGACTTTGGGACGCTCTATATTAAAGATGCTGAGGGATATTGGCTGAGTGCGGTGGTGCACGCTGGCAGTCCCAGCTACTTGGGAAGCTGAGGTAGGAGGATTGCTTGAGCCCAGGGAGTTCAAAGCTGCAGTGAGCTATGATCATACCACCGCACTCCAGCCTGGGCAGCAAAGTGAGACCCTGCCTCTAAAAAAGAAAAATGCAGAGGGAGAAATGAGCTGCCCCAGTGAACACAGGCAGGGGCAGATCTGTGGATAAAGCCTGGCCTCCTGGCCCCTGAATCCAGGACTCTTCCACTGGGCCACACTGCCCATTTCCTGGCTTTGTCTCCAAATGCTCTCCAACCACAAAAGTAGCAACAGGGAGAGGGGTGCCAGAAAGATGGCAACCAGACGCATGCAGCTCACAGCAGAATCTGCGGGCACATTAACTCTGCAGGGGCCAGTTGGAGCACTCAGCAGAGGCCACTCTGAGCTTCCTAGGGCTCCCCCAAAGGTCAGACAGAATCATCTAATAGCTTCTTGAAGGGAAAATGATGGTCTGGTGGTTTTTTTCCCTGCTGAACCTCATCACCTCCAACGGCCACACTATGGATCGCTGCCGCCAGGGGGGCGGGGAATACGAGGTCTTTGCTGTATTGCAAGGCAGAACGCTTTTTCTCGAGAGGTCTTAATGACTTATGGGATGAAAGGTGGCAAGTGGGGATGCCATGCCCGGCTGAACCCTGCAGGCCAGAGATGCCGTGATAGTCACCTCTCTCCAACCCAGTGCTGGGGCCCCATGCCTGCTTCCTTGGGACAGCCCCCGTCCCTTCCCAGGGGTGACCTTCTCACCACCACCCCTTGCTGACTGGCTCCTCACACCGTGCAGGTGCAGCCCCAGTGCGTCTGCATGTAAATGAGCTTGGGCCGACCAAACGCTGGCCTCCTGCTGCCACGTAGCATGATTGCAGACATTTTATTGCCAGGTGATTGCTCTTCGATAGGAACCACCTCTTCAGAACCCTTTTAAGCCTCTCCAACAAACATTCTGATTTCATTCCTTATTGCCCTAATCCAGCTGCAGACCCTTGCGCTCCTGATTTGACTGCAGACTTAGAAATAAATATCCCAGTGTGCCTGTCCTAACCAAAGGACTATTGATAGCAAGTAGCAAATCCATTTGCCACCCAAATAGTATCCTGGTTTGCCATCAGTAATTTCAGAAATGTGATTCCCAGCATTATGCCCTCTCCAAACTAGCTTTTTGCCTCTTATTTCCTAGCTTAGTTATCAGAATTTCCACCTACGCTCTTGAGCAAGATGGGACACTCACAATAAACACTGTCTCCCATCTTCCCCTCATCACCCACTCACAACATCATTAATTCTAATCCTCCTGTTGTTTGTGGATTAGAAAACAGCTGTTTTCTGAGCTGCTATGTGTCCCTGGTGCTAGGTGCTGGGTCCTTGTCCTCATGGAGCTTCCAGGGAAATAGGGGAAACTGCAAGGAAGCACGGAACTATGCTTTGTCATGGGCCTCTGGTGACCTGGAGAAAGTCAATTAACTTTTGATGAGTGACATGTCTGGTTTCTATCCCCAAGGAGTTCATGTGAGAAGGGGAGACAGTCACACAACCAGTTCTTTGCAGTAATCATAACAGCTGAGAGGCACACAACACTGATGGTGTCTAAGAGCTGTATATATGCCAGCTTATTTAGGACTCATAACTGTCCTTGGAGGCAAATACTATGATTATATGAGCCACACAACAGAGGAGGAAACTGAGGCACAGATAAGTGACTTGCAAGCAGTCAGCTGGGATTTGAACTCAGAAAGTCTGCTCCAGAATCCATGCTTTCAACCCTGGAATCCTAGTCACGACGAGGTGAACGTGGGGGGTGCTGGCTGCCTTCACTCCAGAGGCGTCTCCTATCCCAGAGGAGGCCAGCTGGCCTGCCTGGTCCCTCTTGGCCTCCATCTGGGTGCCGTGGCCTCTTGCTGTCACTGAAGTGTGTGACTACCAGGGCCAGAAGATGCTTCTGTAGGGCTTGGGGCCCGCTCCAGGGCAGCATCTGGAGACAGGAGTAATGAAGGGTAGCTGGCGCACGACCGGGTTGTCAGGCTGGGGACTGAAGGGTGCTTCCTTTGAACAGTCTGTGCTCGGCGCCATGTAGGCTCCACTGAGCCATGAAAATGTCTGGCCCTCCCAGTGCTGCTTCAAAAGACTGCCCGGATGACCACCTGTCCCTGGAAACAGGCTTACCAAAACTCACCTGCTTGCTTCAAAATTCACCACCCCTCCATACCCCCAAGGATCTCTTTCCCTTTCTTTCTCTAATTTTCCTATGCACAGGAGGGAGAGAAAATAGGGAAGGGAATGGGGAGAGGGAGAAAGGGAGGGAGGGGGAGAAAAGGAGGAAGAGGGAGGGAGGGAGAGAGGGAGGGAAGAAGAAAGGAAGAAAGGAGGGAGGAAGAGAAGGAGGGAAGGAGAGGAGGAAGGGAGGGAGGAAGGGAAGGAGGGAGGCAAGGTATGGAAGGGAGGGAAAAGGAAGGGAAGGATGAATATATAGTCTGTAATTGCTCAAATGCCTATAGTATGTTTCTCTCAGACTGTTATTCCAAGCCCACTGTATTCTGGGCCCCAAGCACTTTCCAAACTTACCTATCAAAATATCCCAAAGGGTCATTCACACATAATCTATGTGTCCAATAAGGGACAGATACTCTGCTAGACTGTGGTTAAACCTTGTTGAGTGTGACAGATGGTTCTTATCCTCTTAGGGCTGATCATCATTAAACTAATAAATAACGCAAATAAACATGTAATCACACATTGTGCTGAGTGCTATAAGGGAAAAGAATAAAGTACTATGAGAGGGAAAAGGAGGGTCAGAATGGGGTGAACATTCCCAAGCCACAAGAGAAAGCCTCGCCCATGTGTAGATGAGGAATGTTGAAGTGAGGGCTTAAGGCTGCCGTGGAATGAGGGGTAGACATGCCACGTCTCAGCCAGGCAGGTGGTGCCCAGGGCTAATGCAAAAAGATGCGAGAAGACTTGAAAGAAATTCATGGATGTTTGCTCCGTAAATGAGCTCTTTAGAGGAATGTAATGAATGCTGCTTCATTCATTAACTGGACTGTGAGCTCCCTGAGGGAAGGGCATCTGTTTGTTATCCATCTGGGCATTTTCCGGCCCTAGCTGAGAGCTTAGTATTAATTTATTTATATGTACACCGCCTGGTTGCATAAAGACAAGCCGGGGACCTCTACAGTGGCAGATGCTGGAGGAACTGTGTTTATGCTACATGATTCACCCGCTGTCTCTCTAAGCTGTGAGGACAATGCATCTCAGAAAGGACCACTATCTGCTCACTCTCACCATGGGCTGTGGCTCCTGGCTGTGAGTCCACGGGCCTATTGCAGGCTGCAATTGTGGGTTTTTTATGTTTTGATTAGTAAACCAAGCTTTTCTCCCTAGAAAATGTTGGGCATAAATTCTCAATGTGAAATTGACAAAAGCAGAGATGCTAGCTGGTGCTGAGCAGGGGAGGAGGCGCTGGAGCCCCATCCATATATAGCAGCTGCTCCTCCCACTAGGTGCTTCTGACAAACCCTGACTTTGACCTTCTCTGGAGATGGGGCCTCCCCTCTGCGGCCCCATGAAGACTGCTGTGCTTGCTCCTGCTCTGCCTGGGCTCTGGCCTTCAGTGAAGGCCATTTCAGAATGAAGAGTTGGTGTTCTGCAGCAGGAGGAAGTGTGCCTTCATTACCCAGCCTAGGCGTGTCTGGGCTGCACAGATCTGGGCATATGAAAGGGGGGCCCACCCGCTGCAGAGCTTGGTCTTTCCCCATTCTGCTTACAAGAAGAATTCCTAAAGCATGGTGCCCGGTTCCTCTCCATGCTCCCCTTCTGCGCGGGACAGAGGGTGGAGCCTCGTGAGTCTCACATGATACCGGCTAAGTATCAATAGGTCCCCAAGTCGCAGGGCTGGGAGCCTGGGAATAGATGAGTGGTGGTAAGTGGAGGGGAGGGCAAGAGCTTTGGGCTGGCATCTCAGTCTGCCTCCTGCCAGCTGTGTGACCTTGGACAAGTGACTGAATCAACCTGGGCCGGCCTTTCTGCATCTATAAAGCCCACCTCACAACGTTATCGTGATGGTTGAGTGACACAATGTGAGTGCAATCAATCTGCAGAGGCACAAGGTATATGCCAGGCAGCATGACATCTGCCAAACACTTTACAAGCCGTGATGTCACTACCACACACAGATGTAGAGAAGCGCCCAGGATGGTGCCTAGCACATTGTGGGCACTTCCATGGCAGCTCTTACAGGGCCTAGAGATGAATGCTATGGCCCCACTCAGAGCCATGAATCAAGCACTCACTATGTGCATGGCATGACTGCAAGTGCTTTGCATGGATTGCCTCAGTGAATCCTTACAATAATCTTGTGGAGCAAGTATGACTATTCTCATTTTACAGATGAGAAAACCAAGACACAGAGAGGTGAAGCAAATTGCCCAGAGTCACACAGCTAGTAAACAGTGGCACAGGGAATGAAATGCAAGCTGCCTAACTCCTTTCCTGTGATCAGAACCACTGCATCCCATACCAGGCCACGTGCATCTCTCACAATGTAAAGTAAGGGCGGCAGCTGAATTTCTCTCATCTCACTCCTGATGAAGAACTGTTTCCCAGAACAATGTCAGATCAAGAGCCAAGCGATCAGTGCTTTGGTCCCCCTGTTTCCACCTGAAAGCTCTGTGGGTTGGGCTAACTCAGTTCCCTTCTCTGGGCTTGGGTTTCCCCAACTCTAAGACTGTTGGCAGGGGTGAGGGTGCTGATAGCATGAAATCTGGTTCATCCTGGCTTTAGGGTGTGAGTCTAGGGTTCAAACAGTTACAGGGAAGGACAATAGTTGGGAAAAAGTATGAACTGAATCAGAACCACATGTGTTGGGGGAAAACAAATATTTCTGGCCCAGCTGGATGTAAACTCTGCCAGAGCCTAGCATCAGCCTAGCTAAGAACAGTTAAGGGGCTTTGCCCCTGATTATGTGGCTGTGGCCACCTTCACTGGAGGAGAATAAAGAAGGAGCTAAAGGTGAAGAACCATATGCTGTGTGGCCTTCACTGAGTTTCTTGGCCTCTCTGGGTCACATGACTCCAGTTCCAATACACTCCCTGTAATTCCCAGATGGGCCATTTTCTTACAGGGCTCCTTTGCCTAGGCTGTTTTCACTGCCTGGAATGTTCTCTTCTGCATCACCTTATCTGCCTCAAGATTTAGTGTGGGGCAATAGCAAAGGCATGGAATCAACCCAAATGACCATCAGTGATAGACTGGATAAAGAAAATGTGGTACATATACACCATGGAATACTATGTAGCCATAAAAAGGAAAGAGATCATGTCCTTTACATGGACATGGATGGAGCTGGAAGCCATAATCCTCAGCAAACTAACATAGGAACAGGAAACCAAACACCGCCATGTCCTCACTTACAAGTGGGAGCTGAACAATGAGAACACATGGACACAAAGAGGGGAACAACACACACTGGGGCCTGTTGGGGGAGTGGTGGGAGGGAGAGCATCAGGATAAATAGCTAATGCATGTGGGGCTTAATACCTAGGTGACGGGTTGATAGGTGCAGCAAACCACCGTGGCACATATTTACCTATGTAAGAAACCTGCACGTCCTGCACATGAACCCTGGAATGTAAAATAAAATAAAATTAAATGAAAGAAAAAGATTCAGTGTGGGGGCCAGCTCTCCTAGAAAGCCTTCTTGGATTGGGTGTCTTCGCTCTGGCTCTCCCAGTCCTGGGCTTCCTTCTACCCAGGGTATTTTTCACTAGATGGCCATTGTCTATTCATTGTTTTGTCTTCCTCATGTGGCAGGGAAGATCTCTATGTTCAAAGTATATTGACCCTCTTCTCAACCTCATCTTGAGTTTCTCATAACATGGAAACTGAAATCCAAACTCCTGACCCTGGCCTGTGAAGCCCACCTGAGCTGGCCCCACTCCTCAGTTCACCTCCTGTCCCATGGCCATGGTGGTCTTGCTGCTCCTTGAACACGTCCAGTTCCTTCCCACCCAGAGCCTTTTCACTAACTGTCCTCACTGCCAGAGTGTTCTCCCGGGAAACTTTTCCTGTTTGACACCTTGCCATTCAGACCCCACAATGCTATTCTCCAGAGACACCTACCTTGACCACAAAACTTAACACAGTCACTCAATCACCCTTCTGCTACAACCCCTGTTTGAGTTCTGTATACAACACACATGTGTTTTTATCCTCCCCCCATCCAGAACATAAACCCCAGGGGGCAGCAACTGCTGTGACGATCTTCTTCCCTGCCATATCCACAGCACCAAGAGCAATGCCTGACTCAGGGAAGGCATTCAATAAATATCTGCCTGATGAAAGAATGAAAATGAAGTTCCATTTTGGCACAAACTATTTGTGATGAATGAAAAACAACAGATTCCCAGTTTTTCATTTGGGTCAAAAAGAATGTCTGCCCCTGCATTTAGTTTAAAAAAGCAAAAGAGAGTAGAAAATCTTTTTTCTTCTTCTTCAGGAGCTACCTTCCCATCCCCACCCCCCACCCCCAGTTGCAGCACATGTGGCAGACCCTGCTGTCCAGTAGTCTGAGCTGTGACCTAGCTTTGAACTAGTCCCCCATCCGCACAACCGTGGCTGCCCCCTTACACGTGCATCCCCGACGTTTGGAACCAGACACTAAGTGGATGATCGCTATGATTAAGCTGCCTTTTAATTATTCAATGAGATGTCAATGGTGCATGCCATTGTGACATTATAATGGACTACAACTCCCTCGCAGATGTCAAGAAAGGCAGGGGGCCATTACCTTGTCAAAATGTTGGCTCCCTGTGACTTTATTTCCAGTACACCAACTAATTTTTCATGTAGCACAGAACAGCAGAGTGAGGTGGGGTGCTTGACAAGGGAAACTGCTTGGAGCGATTCGGGTGACACAACGATTTGGTTGATTCTGTATTAACTCAACAAATTCTCCACTTTTTGAAATTCACTGACTCTCAAAATTAATGAAATTTTAGGGGTAATCAGTTGACATTTCTTGGCTGTTCACTGGGCAGAGGACTTTAACATGGGTAGAAGTTTGGTTAAGGATGGGGCAGGAACAAGAAAAAGAACATACTGGTGACATCCTGGCAGGCCTTTGTTTCATTAAACAACCACTGACTGCACTCACACACATGCCCACATAAACACACATGCATGCACACACTCACATGCACCCCTTACCCCCCCCAGGAAGCAAGGAGTGTTGGTTTCCATTGGGAATAGTAAGAGATGGCTTTCTAAAGTTGTCTTTAACTAGTTGTGCAACTTTGAATAAGTCAGCCCTTTGGGTTCCAGTTGATTCACCTCTTAAAGAATGCTAGGCTTGAATCATTTCTAAGGTATGATGATACAGCTGATGACTGAATCTGATATAATCTGACTGTATTAGACTGATGACGGTAATGATTCATGCCACACACTCTCGAGGATCATTAATTGCCTTGCATTCATCAGTCACTGACTCTGAACCCAACACTGTGCTAGGACAGAAGCTAAGTTTGACAAGTTTTCTGCCTTCGGGAAACTTACAGCAGAGCCCAAACCCCAAAGGTGAAGCAGTAAACAGGCTGCAGTTAAGAATAATTCTGGCATTGTGCTGATGGCAAGGGCAACTGGAGTTCAGGGAAAGGAGAGATGAGCGTGGGCTTGGAAAGCTGCACAGGCATCTTGCAGGAGGTAGGAAGTGATGGTGCTCCGGGGAGGGACAGGATACCCAGAAGTGGAGGGGACGGGAGAGTGTGGGGTGAGTAGCACATGAGGGAGGTGGCAAGGGGCAAATGAAGACACAATCCCTGGTGTTTCCTTGAGGGAACTGAAGATTACCCATTCCCTCTGATGTGGGTGGTGGTTGGGTTCTGAGCACCTAGCAGCTATTCTCTCTTCTTTTGGTCACAAGATCTTAATTTCTTTTGGGAAATTATCGGTTCCTCACCGTGCATGCGTAAAGGGCTTATGAATCAAGGGACATGTGACCCAAGATATATCGACAAAGGACTTTGACTTTTGAAGGCAGTTGGTCCTGTGCATGATAAATGCCTGGTGTTCATTCATTCCAGGGACAGCGCCCTGACCTGACAGAGGAGTGATTATTGCCCCTGTATATCATTTCCTGCTTTTTTCAGTCTCATTTTCCAGCCTTTCTATTGATTCTATGAGCAATCTGATGTCTTTCCAATATAATCCCTTTTGCTTATTTTAGCCAAGATCAGCTTCTATTGTTTACAACCAGCAAACCCTAACTGATATCCACCCATCATTTATCCACCCATCATCCATCCATCTTTCCATCATCCATCCATCCATCCATCCATCCATCCATCCATCCATCCATCCATCCATCTATACATTTATCCATTCATCTATTCACTCATCCATCCATTCCCCAGTCTACTAGAGTATTGAGGAGCAGTAGGAAATAAGTAAGGACAATCAAAATACACAAAGTTAAATGGAACTTCAAAAGCCAGGATTTGGAGTTAAAAAATTAACTCTATAACAATAAGAAATTTAGTGCTAAGTAACACAACACAGGTGTTCCAGTAGATAAAGAAGTCATCAAGGTCAACTGGGACTTGAGTGGGCACTTTGGAGGGGATTTTTTTAAGAGCAAAGTTTGAAGGACACTAACACATATAGAGCACCTACCACCGTCCCAAGCACTTTTACCAGAGACATCTGCCTCATTTCCCCACCATCCTACAAAGTAGATGTCCATGATTCCATTTTGTGGATGGGGAAACTGAAGCTCAGAAAGTTTATGCCGCTTCACCTAGTTCACATCTACTAAATGACAGGACAGAGATTCAGAATCAGGTCTTACCACCCCCAACACACTTGCTCTTTCCTCCAGCCCACACTTCCTAACGCAAATACATTGTGTGACCTTGGGCAAGTCAACACCCCTCCTTGGGACTTCATTTCCATCTTTACAGAAGGAGGGGGTTGGATGAGACAGGTGCATTCTAGCACTACATTTAATGAGCATATGAACAGGTGTGACGTTGATATGTCTTTCTTCTGTGCCTGCAGGAAGTGCATTGTGAGGAGTGCCCTAAAAGAACTATCCTGGGTACTTGCTTTCCTGGGGCCCCATATTACCCCAGATTCAGACCAGTTTTTGTGTTTAATTTTTGACTTGAGATTCTTATGCCACATGGGTAGAGTAATAAATCCAGATCCTACACTCACACATGATGGAGGCTTGCAGACTTTAGTTATTGTGGGAGATTTGTCTCCCTGACCCCCCGACCTAGAACCCCTGGGAGACACCTAGCTTCCTTGGGCTTCTGGATGGAGTTTTCTACTCTTAACAGAAATGATGTATCAAGTGGTGTCCCATCGGGGGGAAACACAGAAATGACACCCCCATCAATAGTCCTTTATGCAAGGACCCTCTCTTGGGGCTTCAGGTGATCATCACCCTCCTCCATCCCCCAAACACACCAGCCTCCTGGCCTGGAGCCTAGGACCTGGTCCCACAGGCCCCCAGGAAGCCAGCTGTGTATTGAACACCATGGTTTTTAAGGTCTTTCATTGTTTCTGGAACCTAAGGGCTCCTTCCCTTCCTTCCTTCCTTCCTTCCTTCCTTCCTTCCTTCCTTCCTTCCTTCCTTCCTTCCTTCCCTCCCTCCCTCCTGCCTGCCTGCCTGCCTGCCTGCCTTTCCTCCCTTCCTCCCTCCCTCCTTCCTTCCTTCCTTCTTTCCTTCCTTCCTTCCTTCCTTCTTTCCTTTTTCTAGTTTGTGCATTTAAAAACACTAGGAATGGTAGTAAAACTAGTTTCTGTGTTTGGTCAGCTTAGATCACCTCATTGCTTAAAGTTCAATCACTTCTTTAGGGAGAGCAGAGGAATAGTTCCGTATCTGAGCCCACTGCCTCCAGCCATGTGCTTGGTCCCAGCAGGCTCTGTGGGCCAGCCCAGATGCCTCTCTGCTCCATCCATGCAAGACTTCTCTTCAGTTGAATGAGGGAAGCCTCCTGGGCCCCTTCACTTAGCATTCACTCTAACTAGACACTAATCTCATTTATAACTTTTACTGTCTACAATGAGCGATTTTTTTGAATCAATAAACTAATTCATTGCAAAGTCAATTGGTTAAAAATTAATAGCTTACCTTTTTCTCCGACCACCCACCTAGTAAACCCCCAGGTTGGCAAGTTATTTCCATTAAAAGGAAAAAAGCCTTTAATCATATAATCATCTTTACATTTTGAAATGATAAGCCTCCATACTGATTATAGAGCTAATTATGTTATAATCAGCCCATTTCCTCATCCCAGTCCCCTCTCACCTGAGCACAGAGTTCCCTGGCTTCTCTCCTTGCCTTGGACTAGACCTGCACCCCCTTCTATCCTCTCCCTGCCTTGCTGCCAGAGTGGTCTTTCTGAAATGCAAATTTGATACTGTCAATCCATACACCCTGTTTAAAATTCTTCTCTGGTCTACCATCATCTAAATGGAGTCCCAAATGCATGTGAGCTGTTCTGGGCCTGAGAATGGGTTTCATCTAGCCTGCATGGAGCTTTAAACATTTTAACCTAGGATGCCTCTAGGCTGGGTGTGTGTGGTCCAGCCGGCCAGTGGTGTTACTGCTCCTATCCACTTCTACCTGTCTGTTTCTTATATCACCTGTCTGAACCTTAAAGACAACTTCATTTCTAACCCTGACAAAGGCTGGATTGCCCAAATGAAATCTTCCCTTCCTAACCTGAGCCCTTCTGTAGTGTGTCTTACTGACGATGACTCTACTCACTTGAACAGTTTCAGGAAGAATACAAACAGCTTCTGTTTATTGAGCACCTACTCTATGCCAGGCCCAGTGCTAAGCACTTTAAAGACAACATCTTGGATAAACTGCACAATAATGCTACGCAGAGGAGGAAGCTAAGGATCCAGGATGTTAGAGCTTGGTCAAAGTCAGAAAGCCAAGAAATGGCACCACCAGGACCTGGGTTTAAGTGCATTTGGTTCCAAAACCTATGCTTCCAACCTCTACACTGCACAGCCTCCTGCTTCTAAACAGGGGAGAAGCCTGTCCTTTGTTGGCAGCTTGCTGTTGCACAGAGCTGACCACGCCCCATTTGTACCCTTCTCCCTTGGGTCAGTGCCCTCTAGATTTCCCTCCTACCTCCTTGACTGTTCCCTCTCACCCTCCTTTGCCTGCTCCTTTACTTCCAGACCCCTAAATGTTGGCGAATCCAGGGCCCAGTGCTCAGCCTGCTGCTCTTCTCTGTCAACACACTCCACTTATGCGATCCCACCCAGTCCCACTGACTAAATGCCACTATTCCACCATGACTTCCAAATCCCAATCTCCTGTCCTGACCTCCTCTGGAGCTCCAGGCTTATGTGTCCAACTACTTACTAGGATACCCAATAGTTACTTCAGTCTCAACAGACCCCAAACATTGAATTCGCCTCCCACCTCTCTCAACACCCATATCTAATCTCCCCCAGCCTTCCATTCTCAATTCATGTTACCAGGATCAGCCCAACAGCTCAGGCCCACAACCTGGGAGTTATTCTTGAGCCCTGCTTTTATCACCCTCTACTACCAATCCACCATGAAGTCTCACTGGACCTACCTTCAATATATGCCAAATTGGACCATGCTTACCACCTCCATCACCAAAACCCTAGTCCAGTCCACCAGCATCTCCCATCTCAAGTATTGCATCTGCTTCCTAACTTGTCATCCAGCCTCCATTCTTATCCACACTCATCCAGTCTCTGAAGTCAGAATGATATTCTTGCAGGGTATATTAACTCATGGCACTCTCATTCCTAAGCCCTCCAGTGGCTTCTCACTGCAGTGGGAGTCATCTCCAAGTTCAGCCCAGCCTACAAGCCTTGGCATTTGGCCTGCACCTACTATCCAACTTCAGCTCATACCACTGTCTTCCTCTTCTACTCTGCTCAAGACATACAGGCCTTCATTCTGTTTTTTGAACAAACCAAGTTCATTCTCATCTCAGAGACTTGGCACTGTATCTCTTCTGCCCAGAGCACCTTGCCTCTAGGTCTTCCCTTGATTGCATCCCCCTATCATTTTGATCTTGGCTCAAATGCCACCTGTTCATGCAGGGCTTCCTGACTACATGAGCTAATGAGCTAAAGCATCTTACAAACATCCATTTCCATTTCTGTCTATCCTATCATCCTATTTTGTTGTCTTCAGAGCACTCATTATCATCTGAAATTATGGCATTTGTTTATATGTTTACCATCTACCTTTACCATCCCATTCCATCCCATTGTCTTCTAAACTATAAGCCTCATGAAGGCAAGGACTGTGTCTGTGTTGTTTGTTTGCTGTAGTCCAATGCTAACAGGAGCTAGCACACAGTAGGCACTCAATTAACTCTTACTGAATAAATGACCTAAACCTCTGAGAGGTAAACTGAATTCTGAAGTAGATTTTAGGTGAACAGTTCTTTACTGAGCACCTATTTTTTGTACATAGAGATATACAAGGCTCTGAGGAAAATCCTCTTATCACATAAACCCATGAGCCCTGCCCTGCACATGGCTGTATTGTCATCATCATCATCATCACCATTCCTCCATCATCGTCATCGTGAGCATCATCACCATCACCAACATTGTCATCACTATCACCAACATTGTCATCACTATCATCATCCACCATCATCACCATCATCATCATTGTCAGTAGTAGCAATAATCTCCAACATGCTTATGATGCTTTACATTGAACAAAACAATTTTTTATAGATTATCTCTTTGGTTTCTCAGAACATCCCAGTGAGGGAGGTTTGTCACTATTTTTCAACAACTTTTTACAAATGAGAAAACTGAGCCCTGGGAGGAGAGACACTTGCCTGAGATCATTCAGCTCCACGATACCCTTGCAAAGTATCTTTTTCTTTTGACTGAACTGCCTCTCTCCACGCCAGCCTCCTTTTCCACCTGGAGACAGGTGATGCAAACAGAGTCCAGGACTCACTCCTGTTTCACCAACACTTAGTTAAGAAATTGCCCCGAGTTTGTACATTTTCATTCTGGCAATGTAGGAGAAGAGATAGCTTTTAAATTGTAATCCATGGCCAAATTTTATGACTGCTAAGGGGGAAAAAATAAAAGCTTAAGGTGAGTTTAGGAGGACTTTTTTTGGTTGGTTAAAGAAAAAAATTACAAAATTAAAAGAGTAGAAAAAAATAGATTACTAGTGACTGTTTTTACTGCGTGAGCTTACAAGCTGGAGTGGAGAATTAAAAAGTTATATAGCTGGGGTTTCTAACCATGACTTATCGAAGATGAATCCTTCATATTTATAGCTTTTTCTGTTTTTCCCATCTCAAGATAGTAAGCAATCCCCTGATATAGGGTTGTTACTCTCTGCCCAGGAACCCTGGGGGCTGTGTGTACTCAGCAGAGCTGTCACAGCTGACAACACAGGAAGGACCTGGGAGAGGGGCTTGTTTATTGTCCCTCTGCCTGGAGGGATCCCTCTCTTGTTCACTCAACAACCACTGAAGGGGGTGGAGGTGGGGAGTACTCCTTCATGCCAGGACCCAGTGAGGAGAAGGAAGGCCTTAAAGAAAACAGAACAATAACAGCCAAAGTTCCACACCAGAAGCCATCCTCTCAATTCATTTCGCCCTCACAACTGCAAATACCACCATTATCCACATTTTACAGATGGGGAAATTGAGGCACAGAAGGATTAAACAACTTGCCCAAGGTCACGCTCAGTGAACTGCCTCTCAAGATGCCAGTCCTTGAAAAGTTTAAAAAGTTGGGGGGCCGGAGAGGGGCAGGAAGAAGAAAGACTAAAGGCAGAATGGGAGAAATGACTGGGGGAGGGGGAGGAAGGAAATATTAGTTGAGCCTCTGCTTTGTGCCAGGCTCCACAAGTTCTGCCTGGTCATCATTTTTATTCCTTGCAATCACTCTGTGGGAAGGCAATGGGTGGTACTTACGTCCATTTTACAGATAAGAAACTGAGGTGCAGAAATGTTAATGAACTAGTCAAAGTGAGTTTGGAAGTGACATTGATAGGATCTGAACTGACATCTGTCTGTTTCCATTTCATACTGTCTGGATGGCCTTGGGCAAGTGATGTGACCACATTGAGCATCTGTTTTCTCATCTATGAAAATGGAATAGTATTCTCTACTCTCAGGCTTATCTCAGGCTCTGGATGGGAAAATGCTTTGTAAACCAGGCAGCATTGTGAAACCAAGTCTGCTCCAACACCTACTTGCAGGTAGGCAAGGGCCAGCTGCTTTCTCATTAGCTGGGGATGAGGAAATTGAGGCCCAGGGAGCCAACACTGACTTGCCCATATCACAGAGCTAATACAAAAAAGGCCAGAAGTGAAGTCTCCTGTCTCCTAGCGTATAGTTCTCCAACATTCACTGGTAAGAGGAAACTTAACTGGGGAGAGACAGTACAAATAATCCAGCAAGTACAAATAATTGATAGCAAAAATCTAAACATGGAAACACATGACCCTGGACCTCAAGGTCACTGACTTGTTACTTTTTTTGACAACACAGGCTCCTAGAATGTCCATCCTAAGAAAGACTGCATATATCAGTGACTCCAGCTAAAAAATACCCATGCTTGGTTTGACCCCAAGCCAGTGAAATCAGAATCTCTGGGGGTTGAGCTTGGGCTTTAGCATTAAAAAACAAAATTTCCCCAGATGATTTCTAATGTGCAGCTAGAGTTGAAAAATCCTGACTTATGATCTCCCTTATTTTCTGGATGGGCACTAGAGGCCCAGAGCGGGCAGCTAAAGAAACAGGGTTGTCCAGGAATTAGTGGTAGAGTGCAACTCTGGTCTCCTGGTTCCTAGCTTGGGACTCTTCCTCCACTCTCATCACTCATCACTCGGCAGTTGTGGTCAAAGTGACCAGATGATCCTGGTGCCCCCTAGTACCTGAGGACAGACACCACCCCTCCTCATTTCTCCCACTCCCCATGCCTCCTCACCAGAACCTCATGCCCCTAGAGAGAGCTCAGGGTACCTGGGAGGCCCAGGCTGAAAAATGTTCTGCAAGTCTGCACCTGGGCTGGTCTACACACTGCAAAATGAAGTGGTGAACTGAGGCAATTATCCAACGTATTAGCAAGCCTGTCCCTGCGGCACTCCTGCGAGCCAAAGTAATAAATACAAAATGGTAATTTCTCTCTGGAAGCCTGATCCCCGCCTCCCACACAATTCCCCTCCCACCCAGAAGTCATATACCACCTCCTGGTTGTCCTCTCCTGGATGGGGTGGCAGTAACTGAGTTATTTAAATATCTCAGGCAAAACCTGCTTTTTCGAAAATCTGAATCTTCGCACTATAACCTCAGTTCTCCTCTGCAGCTTACTTGTCTGGCCATAGCAGATCCTTCTAGACTTCAGTGGAAAGTAATAAAAACGCCTACAGGTATCAATTAATGACTCCCAGTGGCTAACGTCTTCTTTGTGTGTGTCGTAAACTAGCATCGGCCCTGGAAAGGGAGTGGGAAGAGCTAGGTTGTAGCTTAGACCCGGACTCTTGCTAGGTTTGTGACCTTGAGCAAGTCACTCCACTTGCCTGGGATTTGGAACTCTTTTGTTACCTTTCCCTAGAGTTGTGCAAATCCAAATGGAGAATGGACGTGAAACTGCTTGCAGACTTCCATAAAATCTGTCTATGGAAAAGTGAAGACTTAAACTCAGGTGCCCTTACCCTTACCCACTCCACAGTAATCTCTCAGGGCATCAGTGGTTGTATGCAGCACAGGGAAGACCACGGGGTTGCAGGACATTCCAGACTGAGGGAAGAGCATATGGAAAGGCTGGGAAGAACATGATAGATACAGTGAATCCCAGCAGCTCGACATGGAGGAATGCATGTGTGGGGGTGACAGTTGAGATTACCTGGGTGCTTGGCCTTATCTTGTAGGCAGCACGGAACCACATGATAATTTTAGGCAGGGAAGGTTTTCAGGCAAAAGATAAATGGCTGGTCCAGTTTTTCAGCACCAGACTGGAGAGGCCATTGAGGGGTCTAGTTTGTTGACTGGATATAGGATACTATGGGAGCAGGGGAGATTGACTTGATGACTTGGAGTATATTCACTTTGATTCCTTAGAGGCTGGCACAGTGCCTGGTATATAGAAGGTACTCAATAAATGTATGCATTAGTAAATGAAGCTGTCAATCACTAAATAATAATAAATAAATATTGTCAATCAATAAATAAAAGAGTAAGCAAAGGAATGAATGGCTGAAAAAACAAATGAGGGTATGAATGACTTAATTGAATGAATAAGCTAAGGCATGGTTTGCAAACAGCCTTAGCAATTCTAACTAAAGGCCTTGTAGCGACAAAAGTGAAAGCTTCTAGCTGCATTACCTAGAAATGCCCTGTTATTGGCACGGCTCCCTTAATTGAAGACTTTCTCGCTCCTAAGTAGCAATATGCTGCTCAAAGACAAAAACTGATTACTGTGATCAAGCCAGAGGCTCTCCTTGGATTCTCACCTGTCATTGTCACATTTACTGATATCCACAAAATCAGAAAAGGGAGCAGAAATATCTAGCAGCTCATCCTCGCAGGAACTAACTCCTTTTGGAGGTATGTGACTCCGTTGCCATTTCTCCGTTCACATGGACTCCCTCAATGGCTTGTCATTTCAGTATCATATAAAGACAAAGGAAAGAGTTAACTTAATAGAAACTTAACAATTGCTGTGCTGTCTGCACATCTAAGCAGCAGCAGCCTGACGGTCTAGCCTGGGGGAAGCCGCTTTGCTTCTCAGAGCAGGATTCAGGACAAGGTGGGCTTTGAACTCTGTCCAAAGGATGATTTATTGTAACAGAATAAAATGGCAGGGTTGATATGCACTCAGGTCTGTCTGGGGACAGAGGCCCTTCTTTCTCTTTTATTCCATCCTGCTTTTGCCTCCAGACTTGTACATCCTTGCTACATATAATGTGGTCCCATGTACCCGTGGTATTGATGTCATTTAGGAGCTTGACAGGAATGCAGAATCTCAGGCTCCACCTACTAAGCCAGAATCCGCATTTTTGCAATATTCCCAGGTGACTCTCATGCACATAAAAGTTATTGAAGTTTGAGAAATTCTGTCTATAGATGACCCAGGTGGCACTGTGGGCCCTCCAAGCCAAGGATTCAATTCCCTGTGACCAGGTTTCACAGTGCTCTCCATTGGGATCAGGGAAGACTTCCCCTGGGAGGTGACACTGACTTTGAGACTTGGAGAAGGACACATATTTAAACTCCCAGTGGCAATTCACCACCATGAGTCAGGGAAGTTCTGGAATAGGAGTCAGAACCGACCTGGCTTTGGTACCAGCTGGGTAACCTCGGGCAAGTCAATTCTCTTCTCTGGGCCTTAGCTGCCCCATCTGTAAAACAGGAACAATTCAATTGGCTTTACTGCACCACATGGTTATCATGAAGATAACAGACGTGAAAGATGTGCAAGTTCTCTGCGGAACACAATGCCAGGGAAAGGGCCTGTTTTTGCTGTGGGCAACCAGCCATCCTGACCTAACGTTTTGGAGGCTGAATGAGGAAACTCTATCTGAACATCAAAGGCTTAAGACCTTTGCCCTGGTGAAGATTAATCAGCAGAGGAATGTGGTGCTAATTACCCAGAATGGAATACTCCAAAGAAAAGGGCCTGGCTCAGTCAGTCTCACCGAGCTGCCCTTAGACAGGGATATGTGATTGGGTTCCTCCTGCTGCAGTTTTTTCCCATTCACTTGGAGTTATTTTTTGAAGGAAAGTTCGGCCTAAGGACCTAAAGCTATGTTACATTAGCATTCCGGAGGTCAATATTTCCAGAGCTGCTAGAATCAGGCTGTTCTTTCATACTGTGTGGGCGAGAGAGGCAGCCACATCTTGGAAGGAGCCAGATGTACCCACAGTACAAAGAACAAGCGAATGAGTGACTGGAATTGGGTTTTCCAGTGTGGGAAGGAAGAAGACAGATCCTTCCCCAACTCGGGGCCTTTGGTTGGCTGTTACCCTGTTTGGAATCCTTTTTCGGATCCCTGCATAGTTTCCCCCTCTCATCTTCCTGATCTCAGTGAAGATGTCACTTCCTCAGAGAATCGATCCTCCCCTGCTCCCTGGCTTCAGGCAGCCCCTGCTGTTCCCTATCAGATGCCCTTATTCATTTTTTTTTTTTTTGCCTTCACAGCATTTATTCATATTGGAAGGAGTCTTGTTCATTTATTTGTTAACTTACATATTATCTGCTCCTTTACCCCCCAACATACAATGTTTTTCTAAAATCCTTAATCACCTGGGGGTGTCTGTTAAAAATAGACTGACGTAAAATCAGTTAGGCATGGTGGTGCGTCTCTGTAGTCCCAGCTACTTGAGAGGCTGAGGCAGGAGGATCACCTGAGCTGAGATCATGCCCCTGTACTCCAGCCTGGGTGACAGAGACAGACCCTGTATCAGAAAAAAAAAAAAAATTGATGGGCTTCTCCCCTATAAATTCTGATTCAATAGTTCTGGTTTGGAGTGAGGGATTTTTTAAATCAGCCCTTCCCATCGTTCTGATCTTTGGGGAGACTTGGAAAGCACAGATCTGGATGAGAGCTCTGTGAGGGGAGGGTCAGCTCCATTTCCCTCTGTATCCCATATTTCCCGGGATCCCTGGCCTATGATCGTTTGCCATAACTCTTTATTGAATGAATGAATGAACGAATGAATGAGTCCACATATATTTTTTTTTTTGGTGGAACTATCCTTTTTCCTGTTTCGACAATTCAATATTCAGACAGGGAACTTGTCACTTACAAGGCACAGCGTTAGGTGCTGGGACAGCTACAGGATAAAGCCAGACATGGCCCTTGCCCTCAAGGAGATGACAGCTGAGGAAGGGGAACCTGACTCAATGCACGGGATTGCAATAAAAGACCGAGAAAGGAAAGGGTCATCAGAGGGGCATAAACAAAGTGAGTTTTGCGTGGTTGAAAGGGTGGAAAGCATCCCTTTGCCTACAGATGATTTATATGGAAGAGTGGCCTGAGATAACCATAGAAGAGATGAGATTTTTAGAAACAGTATTTTTCTTTTGTCTTATGCGTTGATTTGTTGTAAGTTATACACACGTGGCTAAAAATATTCGGGTCATAGATAAGGGTGAAGAGTGAGAAGCAGGGCTCCCTCTCTCTTTCTGCACCCCATCTTCCAGGCCTCTCCTCAGAGACAGCCTGCTATCAGATCTCAGGCATCCTTCCAGGCATATTCTGGGCATATCTAAGCACCCAGTTGTCTAGAATAGACAGGGCATCAGAGGCAGAGATGGTGAATCAGGGCATCCAGGGGAAAGGAAGTAAGGACATGGAAGCTGGAAAATTCTTTGGAATAGAGATAAGCAGCTCACCAGTGACTTAGCTTTGTGACTTTGGGCCATGAACTCATAAATCCAGGAGGATGGGAAGAGGGAGGTCGGTCAAGGTATTAGGTGCTTTCCTGGCTTGTTGGCTGGTTAAAATTCTTGGAACGTGGAGCACGAGAGAGAGGCAATGGGAGTGAGGTAGCCAGGGGTCAACATAAATTAAAAATTCCAGTCTGGCCTGGTGGCTCACACCTGCAATCCCAACACTTTGGGAGGCTGAGGTGGGAGGACTGCTTGAGCTCAGGAGTTCTACACCTGCCTAGGTAACGTAGCAAGACCCCAACTCTATAATTTTTTTAAAATTAGACAGTTGTGGTGGCGTGCATTGAATATTCCAAATGCTATATTTTAAGAGTGTGAGATGCAGATCCTCATCACCACTTTTTCTACTAACCTTCTGAGCTTCGGTTTCCTCATTGGTAAAATGGGTATAGCCCCAGAGTGTTGTCCTGAGGATTAAAGAAGATAACAAATGGGAGGCACAGAGCCATGTATATAGTAGCCTTCCTTTATCCCTCTCCCGTGTCCCACTTCCTGGCAACCCATTCCACCTAAGTTGCCAGACTTGCCTTTGTAGAGATCTCAGCTACATCATTTATTAGCAAGGCCACTTTTGGTGAGCTGACCCCTCCTCACTCCTGGCACATAGCGGGTGCCTACATGTTCCTGCCCCATTTTCGTCTTTCCCCAGCATCATAGCCCACCTAAGAGCGTAGGAGACATTGCTCTTGCTGTTCCAAAGACATGGCAAAAGATGAAAGCCCGAAACACTCATCCCCGGCCGGAATTATAAAAACAAAACTACTTGGATGTGAAAAATGCAGTCATGTTTCCCCGGCTGGTTAAAATATTTGATGCTCATAGAATATTCAACAACAACAAAAAAGGCTCTCACTCCATGCACCATCAAAAATGTAATGTAATTATAGTGATGTTAAATATCCCCAGCTGTTCTGAGATATTTGAATCTTAAATCAAGCCTGCCTGTATACATCCTGCAGTTGCAGCTGGAGATCCACACCAAGTACCATACAAACATAGAGCTGGGAAAGTTCAGACAAGAACTCTGGGCTAGAACCTCCACATCTGTTTGTTAGAGGCTGGGCCTGACCCCCAAAACTGGTATGAGGATCCCCCAACCCGAGATGTTGGCAGCCATGTGCCTCAACAGGGCTATGCAATCTGACAGGTCATAAGCATTTATCCAAATCATCTTTCAAATCCATGTGCAGGGAGCGTAAAGAGATAGTGTAAAATAAATGGTAATAAAGTGAATCAACATGCGTCTCACTCCAGAGCCTTTGAGGTGGTTCTATAAATCAAATTCTTTCCATAATTTTCTCTGTGAGACTGTGCTGAGAAGCAGAATCAAACCTCATCTGCTTTCCTGAGCAGTAGACTTAGATTTATGGATGTGAGTTCACAGTGGATGCCCGTGCCATTTCAAAGTGGCAAAATAATTTTCACTGGGAGGGGTTCCAAGAGAAGATTAAACCCTTCACTTTCTAAGATCAGAGTATCAACAACTTTCAGATCAGATATGCCATCAGAATCAGATGGGGATGGCCAGAATACATATTTTGGAAGAAGAGAGAGTTTACAGAGGAACAAACTGATATTGCTGTGATACAAAAGTGTCATCTGTAGGCTTAAGAATGAATCTCCTTACAGTCTATTTCAAGCTTCCCAGTGACCTGCGGTGTGACCTTGAGCAACTCAATCTCCCTCTCTGATTTTTAATTTTGATCAGAGTACTGAATGGGGAAGAAACATAAAAGGGCTCTGACCTACCCAGAGAGGTGTGATATGAAAATGACATAATGTTTCTTGGCTAGAATTGTAACAATATACAGAAGGCCATTGAAGTCTACTTTTGTACGGCCTTAAAAGTCTTTCTTGGAAGAATTGAGGGGAATCACCTATTTTAATGATGATAAGGATGATGAAGATAATAGTGGTAGCTCACATTTATTTAGGACCTACACACCTGTGCTGTGCTTTTACATACAAGAGAGCAGGAACAGTTTCTGTATTTACACTAAACATTTATCCACAAACACTAGCCTATGGCTGGCTCTCAATAATAAAGGGATTAACATATGATTTTTAAGTTTTGAAACAGCCCTACACGAAAAGTATGGTCTGTGTTTCGCAAATGAGGAAACAAAAGCTTATACTAAAACATATCTTGGATTTGAACTCAAGTCCTCATGACTGCAAATGTGCATGCTCTTTCTGTAGCTACATGAGGAAGGAATGCATTGGTGCGAGGCAGGGTGTGTCTTAGGAAGTCCAGTCCACCCTCCTCTTTGCCTTGAATGGCTGGGTGACTTAGGCCTCAGGATCCTCCTCTGTAATATGAGGGCATGAACCAAATGAGTCTCAGTAAGGGTAAGCAGCTCTCTAACGGCCACCCAGCCAACATAATACCTGGCAAAGCTGGGATTTGAACTTGAGTCTGTCGACTCCTGAGGCAGTCTCCTTTCTACTCCCCCTAACCACCTCCTTTCTAAGTTTCTGGAGTCCAAATTCCCAATCTTGCATTATGTAAGTGTGGTTAAAATACTCCCAAGCTATTTCTGAAACTAGATGCATGTTTGTTACAAATTCTTTCATTTTTTTGAATTTTGGACAGATTCTGCTTCAAAATTACCCAGCCTCGTTCACTAATGTGGATTCAGGTCTGTAATAGAAAGTGTTTTGTACATCAGAAACAAATGAGGCCTCTATTAATTTCCAATTCTTGCTGTAACAAATTACACAAACCTTACCGGCTTCAAACAACATACATTTATTACCTTATAGTTCTGGAGGTCAGAAGTCTGAAATGAGTCTTACCAGCTAAAATCAAAGGCCGGCAAGGCTGTGTTCTTTCTGGAGGCTTTAGGGCAGAATCTGTTTCCTTGGCTTTTCCAGCATCTAGAGGCCATCCATCTTCCCTAACTTGTGCCCCCTCTTCCATCTTCAAAGCCATCAATGTAACACTTTCAAATCTCTTTTTCTCCAACTCTGTGTGTATGTGTGTGTGTGTGTGTGTGTGCTTGTGTGTGTGTGTGTGTGACAGATCCTTGCCCTGTTGTCCAGGCTGGAGTGTAGTGGTACAATCTTGGCTCATTATAACCTCCGCCTCCCAGGTTCAGGTGATTCTCCTGCCTCAGCCTCCCTAGTAGCTGGGACTACAGTTGCCTGCCATCAGACCCGACTAATTTTTGAATTTTTAGTAGAGATGGGGTTTCACCATGTTGGCCAGACTGGTCTTGAACTCCTGACCTCAAGTGATCTGCCGCCTCAGCTTCCCAAAGTGCTGGGATTACAGGCGTGAACCACCACGCCCGGCCTCTTTCTCTCTGACTTCTGCTTCCACAGTTCCATCTCCTCTCACTCTGATTCTCCCACCTCCTTTTGTCACTTTTAAGGACCCATGATTACACTGGGCCCATCCAGATAACCCAGGATATTCTCCCTATCTCAAAATCCTTAACTTAAAAATCACATCTGCAAAGTCCCTTTTCTACATAGGGTAATGTATTCACAGATTCTAGGGATGAGGTCATGGGCATCTTTAAGGGGCCATCATTCAGCCTACACATGGCCTTTGCACTTTGGTTTGACTGACACCCCAGCTAGGCCCTGGCCCTCTGTTAACCCTGCTCTGGTGTGGCAGAGGGCTTCCCCCAGAGCACTGATGCTTCTGATATTGCACATTCTCTTGGGTTCACTGGGGAGCCCAGCATCTCTCCCCAGGCACACTTATTTGCTTCACTTTAGGATGTTCATCCCACATGCACTTTTATAGATCCAATGAATCGGTATGGCTGAACCACAGGGATCCCTCCTTATCAGCATTCACAGGGCTTCCAGGAGCCCACAGCCCTGTCTCTCAAAGCGAGTGTGGTTTGTGGACCAGCAGCATCTGTACCACCTGGGAGCTTGTTAGAAATGCAAATCTCAGGCCTTGCCCCAACCTACTGAATCAGGGTCTCTGTTGAGGGCCTAGTAACCCGGACATGCTCAAGTTTGAGAAGCGTAGCCCCCTTAAGGACTTTGCAACCGTCCATTGCCAACTGGAGTGTGGTGCAACAGTTTAGTACCAGTTCTTTTCTGCAAAGTACTCACAAGCCCATCACTTTTTCCCTAAGAACATCTTCCAGGGCAGGTGAAATCTCAAACCGACACTGACCAGCAACAGAGGTGCTGGAGGAAGCAAAGGTATATGGGGCCTTAAGAGACCTTAATTCAAATGCTGGCTCTTCTTGTATTCCTGTGCTGAGTGACCTCAGGCAAGTCACTCCTACCTCTGGAGTTAGGCAGGCAATAGAGTGTAATCAGCATCCTCCATTGCTGCAGAGATAGCAACGTACATTATCACATCCTATCCAGGTATAATAAATTAAGCTTCTGCTGATTACAAATGCAGGTTTGTCTGGCCAAAGCTGCACCAAGATCTTTTTGTGGGAACAATTGTGATGCAGTGCGTTGACTTTGGAACCCTAAGTCAGGGCTTCTGTGACCTTGACCAAGGTACGGAACCACACAGTGCCTCAGTTTTCTTTTTGGTATCAGGGACAAAAGAATACGTTTTTGTCTGCTCTGTTGTTAGCTGAAATAAAATAATGAATGTAAAAGTGTCTGGCAGAAAGAAGGAGCTCAATAAACGTGTGTGGAATCGGAGGAAACAATTTACAAGGCAAATTAATAGTATAAACAATGGTGTCAGGGGAGATATTTGACATGCTCAGAACAAACTTCCTGAGTACGTTAGCAGCCTCTATTTGTTTTACCAACAATTCATGTTCCAATTATGAGTGAGTCATCTATTTGTTAGCACAGGCCCGAGCTGGAACTCAGTTTGGCACCATTTCCTCATGCAGGACTTCAAGTTACCAGTGTCCTTGAAAGAATGAAAATAGTGATTTAGTTGAGGTTGTGGCACAATTAAAACTTTTTTTCACAACTCCTAGGCAGATTCTCCTCCATAGATCTACTTCTCTTCTGTTTGTCTGAGGGCAGAGGAGGATGCAAATTCATTACTGATCTTGTCCTCTTACGAACCGTCTTTCCTTCTCAGGGTTGCAGGTCTTGGAACCCAGGATGACTCTCCAAAGCCTACAGCAACTTGCAGTGAAAAAAACTTCAAGGCTTGGAAGATTGTGAGTGGTACCCTCTATGAAAGGATTTGTTCTTATCAGCATCTCTGAGTGTTGGCAGAATGGAGCCATAGGAAAGAACATGGGCTTTGAAGCTGGACTGATCTTTCGTTGAATCGTGACTCTACTACTTCCCAGATGCATGGCTTTGTACCTCCTTGAGCCTCGGCTTTCTCATCTGTAAGCAGGGTTCCATGACACTCATTCATGCTGTTAAAATTGAATGTGACTGTTTATGTAACAGGTACCCAATACAAATCCTAGGCTGTTTCATTCCAGCCCCACTCCCTGTATATCAGGAAGCTCCTTTTAGACTCAGTCACTCCGATGAGGCACATTGACTGTTGCAAGCCTATTTACCAGAAACAGATCAGACTTATGGTCATCTTGGTGACTCAGTGCCTGGCACACAGTAGGTGCTTAATGTGCATTGACTCCAATTGACATCCAATTGAGTCAATGAAATTTACTCAATTTCTGAGTAGTTCATCCAAGCAAATCACTTAGGAGAATGAAGGCAACCGACCCGCGAAGCAAATGTCCTGGCTATTTCTCCAGCCCTTCTCCATTGGGCAGACATTTGATTGATGCCTTCGTGACTGGCCAAAGTGGCCCCAAAATAGCCACTATCAGAATCATCCTGATGTTGGTCATTTTGGATATCTGCAGACCTGAGTGGAGTTTACATTTGATTCCCTAAACTAATTTCCCCGAAGTCAAATAACTGGTGGAGGTCTTTTCATGTTCCTTGTATAAATGTCTATTTAATCACCATCCTGTCTCTAGCACTTCAATAACTTGTACATTTCCCCCCTTAATTACTGTTTCAGCTCTGCAAAGAAAAGAAATGGTTGGCTGAAAAACTCACGCCATCTGCACTATTTGAGCTCTCCATTCCCCTGACTGCCCACTTGAATACAGAACTTTTCAGCTAAATCCCGTTGATCATTTGGCTCATGCCCTCATATTAAACAGGAGAATCCTGAAACCAAAGTCACTCAACTAGCCAGGGCAAAGCTGAGGTTGGGCTGGACTTCCCAGGACACACCCTGCCTCCTACTGATGGACTCCTTCCTCATGCAGCTGCAGAACGTGCATGTACCTTTGCAGTCAGGAGGACTTGGGTTCAAACCCAAGCTTTGTCACCTGCTGAGTCTGTGACTTTAGGTGGATTACAGATGCTCCCAGCACTGCAGTTCACCCATTTATAAAATGTAGATTTTCACACAGTCTTCCAGGGTTATTGCACAGAATTGAGATGACATGAAACATGCCCAGCCAGAGTCTGGCACATCACAGCTGCCCAATGCTATTTGCCTTTGTCCTTCACTCAAAATTCTCACCGCAAGTCATAATAATGGAAATAGCTCACATTTCCTGAGTGCTTACTTAGGGCCAGGAATGGGTCTAAGCACCTCACATGTATTAGCTTATTTATTCCTCTTTCTCTAAAGACAAAAGTATCTTTCTTGATTCCCTAAAGCTATCCATCCTCCCAACTACTGGACTGCCTGGCCTAGTGCCATTTCAACAGAGTTAGCTGATTTTAAACAATATGTTGCTGAAATGATTTCTTGCTTTCTGTCCTGGCAAGTAGCAGCCAGCTTGTCTGATGTGACAAAATGTGATGAAACTAAATGCTGTTTTCTTCGCTTTCAGTACATATGAGTGGTCCAAAATCTGAACTCAAGGTTAACTCTTGCAGAGGGGGTTGGGCAATAGTGAAGGGTGCAGGGAGGAGTGGCTTCTCATAGAGTTAGGAACAGGGTGGCAGCTGGGGTGTTTGGGACACAGATGAGGTCTCTCTCCACAGTCTAACAACCAGTAGTGAAAGAAGTCAGAGTTTTGCTGCAAAGTTCAAAAACTTTAGTTTGGTCTCCAGGCACCCACTACATAATTGCATCGTCACCCCTCAGCCCAGCTCCCATCTCAGCACATCCAGTCCCTCCCTCCAGCCACCCTGAACTAGGCGCGGGGCCTAGAATGCATGTGTTCAATCTCATTATTTCATGTCTCTGAACTCTTGCAATGGACTCCTGTCCTCTCACCCTGAAGTCCTCTTTCTCTCCTTTTCTACTTTGGAGCTTCTACTTATCCTTCAAGATTTAGCTGAGATACCACCTCCTCCAATAAACCATCGAAGATCCCCAGTCTGATCCTTGGAGCCCACACAGCACCTCTGTACGCTCCTGGTATCTATTCACACACCTCTGTCCTCAACATCACTGAGAGCTCCCAAAGGGCATGTACCAAGCCTTATTTAATTTTATACCCCCCAGCAGCTAGTACAGAAACTTAGTATATAGTTGACCTTCAAGAGACATTGGTCGATTGAATGAATGAACTGGAAAATGAGAAAATGAGCATATATCTCTACTCAGGTAAGTGGTCATAATATGATATGATAATTATATGAATAGTAATTATGAATAGTAACTATGAATACTATGAATACTATAGTAAATATGAATAGCAACTGCTACCATCAGATGTCAAGACACTGAGCTGAGCACTTTATCCACATTATGATAATGGCTCTTGAATATTGAGCACCTACTGCTGTCCAGGCATGTGCCAGTTATTGCTCATATGTTATCTTCACCTCAGATCTCCGAGGCAGGAATTATTACCAGAGGCTCATGGAGCAAAGTGTCTGTCCAAGGCACAGAGCTAGGAAATGGCAGCACCAAAGACCCACGCTGAGGTCTGCCTGGCACTCTCCCCTGAACCATGCCATCTGCCAGAGAGAGAGCCATTGCTCCTTGTTCCTGCAGAGGACCTCAGATTGGCCTCTGTTGGTTTCTGTTCCAACCCCCTGGTTCTTCTTCCAAAGCCCCAGTGCTCAGATAGCTCTGCCTCACTGTTTTGCATCCCACCCAATTACTGGGAAGGCTCCCTTCTTCTGGCCCAGGAAACCCCAGAAGGGCCAGAGTGTGCAGAGCTCAAGTCCACAGCTGATGCCAGGGAAACAACACAGGCATTCAGAAGCCAAGCTGCTTTATCTGACTGCTGAGAGATTAACTCTTGCACAGCTGCAACAAAGAGAGGAGCTGCAACTAAACACATCTCGAGTGGGCCTAGAGGATAAGACCCAACAGACACCCCCCTCCCCTGCCAGGTTTCTTTCCAGACCATGGGACTAACTGGCTGAAATGGGACTTAGGGACAGCTGGCACTTCCCCCCAAAGGCCTCCTCTAGAACTCCATCTCTCACCTGTTGCTCTAGTCCTCTTAGGATTGGGGAGCACAGGTGTCTGGGGAGTGCTTGGCATCTTGTTTTCTACTTTCCCTTCTCTGTTCCCAAAAGGAATAAATGCCCAGAAGTGGCCTGGTTCTCACTGAAATACATTTCACTGGTGTTCTCTAGAGGAATTAAGCCAGGAGCCTTGTTGCAGGCTACACAAGACAACAGGGAATGTTGGGGGTACCTGATGGAGGTATGCATTCCCCAGTCCTTTCCTGTCACTACTTGTCAAGCTGTCTGTTGGGTGCCGGAGGCAGCAAGTACATCAGATATGATTCCTACTCTGGTCTGGAGGGGGAGACAGGCACAGTCTAACAGGTGTGATGACATGTGCCTGTGTGAGGATTGACATCTAAACAGGGTGGAAGAGGGGCAAGAAGGGGAAGGCATCAGTTGTTTGGTGATGTGGCATAGATGCAGCAGGTGGTCAGGAAAGGCTCCAAAGCAGGAGAAACCCCAGAGCTGCCTGTTGAGCAGGCAGGTGTCCCCCAGGCAGACAAAGCAGCATGAAAGGGGAGTTACAGCAGCAGCGGAAACCAAACCAAGCAGAGGGGCTTGAGGAGCAGGGATTCAGCTGTTGGGAGCTGTTCTGTAGACCTTGAGTATATGGTATGAGGGAGGGTGTGGCAAGAAATAAAGCAGGACCAGGTGGAGGGTCTGAGGAGCTCAGGTCTTAATCTGAGGACAGCTGAACCACTGAAAGGTTTGAAGAAGGGAAACCATGTGCTTTGAGCAGTGCTTTAGAGACTACTCTGGCTGTAAAGCAGACAATGGGATGCAGGGTGTTGGCTGGGACAGAGCTTGAGGCCAAAAGACCAGTTAGGAGGCTGATGTGATTGAAAGGAAGCATTTCTATAGGAGCTCAGCAGAGTTTTCAGAGCTCTCTCTGACACACACACACACACACACACACACACACACACACACACACACAACTAATATGGTGTATACAGTATTGTTATCTCCATTAGATGATTTAGGAAACTCAAGAATAGAGAGATTAAGTCACTTGCCCAAGGGCACATGGTAAGTGGTAGACTCAGAATTTGAGCCCAGTCAGTGCAGCTTGAGAGTTCATGTTCTCAGCCACTACACTTTGGTGCCACTCCATCAAAGATGACAAAGGCTAGAGACAAGGCAGTGTGGTTAGAGGAAAATATTCCTGACAGGCCTGCTGTATATTTGGGGCTCCCTGAAATAGCTTCTGGCTTCTACAGACAGAGGGGTGAAGCCTTTAATTCTGAGGTCCTTGGAAAAACCTACAGCATGCAACTTTAAGGGGCTGGATACTCCCAGGACTGGGCCATGATAGGAAGCCACTAGGGGTCACCTGAGTCTCCAGGAACACATACCTTTGGGGAATGGAGGTAATACTTTTGCTTGGATGTGTGTGTGCCTGCAAACTCTTCAAACGCAGGGACTCAGAGTACAGGGAGGTAAGAGAAGGGTGTGCCCCAGTGGGAAGGACCTTACTGTCTTCAACTCCCTAACAATTGACCCACACAACTCATGGCCATGCCTGCTGCAGAGGTTGAAGTCAGGTGGCTCCTGAAGGGACTGTGTCCTCTGCATGCCACAGGGACATGTTGCCAAGACTCTGATGACCTGGGCCACATGGGGTGGCTCCACTTTCCACTCTCCCAGCTCCTAGGAGGGACAGGATTCCTAGGAGTAGAGGTGGGGGAGAGGGCAAGAGTCCTGTGTAAGTCCTCTGAGAGAAGAGAGGCCCAAGGTCAGAGAGGAAGGGTACCTGTGGTTTCTGTGTAATGCAATTAGTGGTATGCAAAGTTGGACTTTGAACTTGCTGGCTCTGAGCATTGGACAGCTTTTTAGAGCTTCATTTTTCTTATTTTAAAAATGGGAATAAAACTCATTAACGCAGGGCTGCGGTGAGTATCAAAAGTGCATAGTGGCTGTTAGAATGCAATTCCACACACTTTGCAAAGCAATAGTCAGATTTTCAGAATTACATTTGATGGGCCATGCTGTAAAACTTGGAGCAGGAGCGAGGGCCTGTTGCTACTTGGATGTAACCTTGAACTTTAATCTAACTCTTGAGGCTGCTAATTAGTGATCAGCAAAAAAAACAATAAACAACAAGAGATCGCTGCCCTCATTCCTTCAGCTTCGTGGAACTCAGAATTGTGCTTGGAGTCCTGGAAGAAATCACTTAGAAGCATATGTTAACAGCATCTCCTACTTGCCAAAGCAGGGAGCCATCAGGTAGATATTCTTTAAAAGCCAGCTGAAAATCTCAGGAAATAAGGAATGTTTTCGGAGTGGATAATTCAGGGCTACTAAATATACAAGCTTAAAGCAAAGCCAGCAGGACAAGATTGAAGCCAGGATTGCCTTCCTAGACAAGGAATAATCCAATCAGCCAATGAGAGACCTGGTCTGACCGGCATCATGCCAACACTTGTTGGAACCGTGGCATCTCTTTACCATCCCAAAAAAAGCTTTGTCAGAAATGAGGATCTCAGGAGTGATGAATCAGATCTGGTAAAATCACCATCATAGCACTACCAATAAACACACACACCAACCTTCCCTGCACTAGTGGAAAAGCCCAAACCCACCTAAGGGACATTTACACACGAATGGCTGGACAGGCATGCATCATGCTGGGGCCTGGCACCAGAACTCCTCCAAGGCAGACTGCACAAGGCAGATACCTTCTGTCCAACAGCTGCGTTATCCAGACCCACAGCGTGGGGGAACCGGCACAGCAAATGGTTTACAAACCCTAAGCACAGCTTCTCCTGGCCGCGGCTGTTTGCATCCACATGCCTGCTAGGATGCTTTCTCAACTCCGGAGCAATCCTCCAGACCAGAAGACCCACACTTACATTTTATGGGGGACGGAGGCCAGGTGAAGGGCCCAACCCTGGCGCACCACTGCTCAGTTCCGCTGGATGCTCAAGACTCCTGCATTTTGAAAAAGTAGCCAAAGCATGCTGCTGCCTCTCCCACCAAACTGTCTACAGCTTCAGTGTTGGTTTTCTGGGAGTTTCCTCACAAGTTCTCCTAGATTCTAAGTGTTTGGGAACTTTGAAGACATAAGCTGCTTCGGATCGTAGGCCTGCTTAGGGACTCTGCGTGATTCCCCTGATGATCCATTTTTCAAGCGCTTCCTTTTTTTTTTTTTTTTTTTTAAGAGCCGTCTATTGGTTTTCCCAAAGACAAGAAGTCCGCACTTAAGAGATCTACACTCCAAACACAGAGCAGTTTCTTGGAGTCCTGAGGGCCTGGAGTTGAGGTCGGGAAGAAGGAGGCTGACTAATATTCACAGACGGGACCATAAGGAGTAGAATGAGGGCTTTGGGGGCTGACACTGGAAGGAGGGGCTGGGACAGGGGAGCTCCCACTGGTGGGAGGCGACTCCTCCTACAGTTAAGTCCAAGTTCCCACAACCTGCAGGAGAAGACTCAGGGGACCCAAGAATGGGTTCTGCCTTGGCATCGTGGAGTGGTAACACTGCAAGAGGCCTGGGGACAGCCCCGAGGGGGCGGAACACCAGGCCTCCTGACTGCCGGGGAGTGGGGCGCAGAGGGAGCGGGTTCGCGCGGAGGGCAACTCACGGAGGAGAAGTTGTGCGGCCCGCAGAGCTCGCCGCGGTACTTGCAGGAGAGCAGCATGTCCTCCAGCTGGTGGCCCAGGCGGTCCATGAAGGCGGCGCTGATTCCCTCGAAGTGGCGCGGAGGCAGGAAGAGGCGGAAGTCCGCCAGCTTGCGGAACCACTGGCGGCGCGGCTCGTCGCCCCGCAGCAGCTCGCTGACAAGCGGGCGCGCGGTGCGGTTGGGCAGCAGCAGCCCGAGCCAGTGGCCGGCATAGTAGAGGTCCCCCTTGGAGAGGCGCGGGAAGCGCAGCGGGTTGTTGTTGCACACAGTGACGGCGGGGAAGGGTAACTGGCGGCTCCACTCGCGGTGCACCCGCGTGTGTGACGGGAAGCTGAGCCAGTAGAGCAAGCGGTTCGAGGACCAGGACAGCAGCAAGCCGAAGGATGTACAGAAGGCCAGCACCCACAGCGCCCGCCGCTGGAAGGAGCCCCCAGCCGCCGTGCGCCCGGCACACATGTGCCGCAGCCCGTGCAGTTTAGCGCGGCTCAGCGATGGCCGCCCCCTGCGGGCGACCCCTGGCCCCTGCAGCGCCCGCTCGCCGCCTCTGCCGCCCCCGGGCTGCCCGGCAGCCGCCAACGCCGCGGGCGCCGGCTCCTCGCGGGCCATGCGGAAGCGTCCCGGGCCGGTGAGCGCGGCTGCGGGCAGCCCGGCTCCGCCAATCCGGCTCATTCATTCAGCCCGCGGCTGGCGGCAGCGGCGGCGGCCCCGGCCGGGCGGAGCCGCCATGGGAGTCCGCAGCAGCAGTGGAAGCAGCAGCAGCGGCAGCCGCGCGCAGCCCGCGCCAGGGAAGCGTGCGCCCGAAAGGAGCTCCGGTGGCGCGGCATGCCCGCCCGGCGCCGCCGCTGCCGCCTCCGCGGGCGCCCGCCCGGGGCTGAGCGCCGCCTCAGCCCGCAGCCCCTGGCAGTGGCCTCTCCCGAGCGCCTCCCAGGCTTTCCCGGCCCCTGGTCTTCCTGGAGGATGCCCGGCGCCCGGCACTACTTCTGGAGGGGTCCCACTGGGAGCCGCCTCTCCAGTCCCTGGGTGCTGCGCCCGCCTTCCCTCGTCCTGGACCTCGGGGGACCCTGAGCCGAGTCCCCCCTGCCCCGCCTAACCCCAGCTTTTACGCTGGTCCTGGGAGAAGGGCCACTCGGCCACCATGCCTGATCTGGACATCCCCAGGGACCCCACCAGCCCGGCCCGTAGCCCAGCGGTGCTGGGACACGGGAGAGAAGGCGCCAAGGAACGAGCGCCCCCAGAGGCGCACCGCGGCTCCTGGCTGGGCGGGCGGGGTGGGTGTGTACGGGGGTGAGTGGTCGCCTTGCCGGCTGCCGCCTTCTTTCCCTTCCCCTCCAGGACCCTTCCTTGTTACTGCTCCCTGGGCTGCGCTCGGCAGAGACCTGCTTAGGCTTCCCCAAGTCCTGCGCCTAAGTCCTGCCAGGCGCCCGCTCTCGCCTGGGGCTGAGAGCTTCTCAGGGCGTCCTGCGGGAGGCTGTTCGCCGCCGGGGTCCTTCAAGGATGCTAGCCGCAGGGAAGTGTCGCTTCTCGCCTCGGCTCTCCCAGGTGCCTCGCGTCTCCAGAAAAGCCCAGCCTTGCTGTCTCTCGCGTCTTCTCTCTGCCCCCGCGGCGACAAGAGCTGGGGACTGCGGGGACCCGCCAACACCTCCCGGGGGTGACCCGGACTCGCTGCTCCGCGCGCCCTTCTCCTCTCGAGACTCCGAGCTCGCGGTGGCCGTGACGCCGGCTAAGCTCCTTCCCCGGTTGCCCGGGAGAACCCTCTTTGGGCCCCAGGCGAACTTGGGCAGCGGCCGCGCGACGCTGGCGCGGCTGGGCTCCGAGCACCTGCTCCTCAGCTCGCTGGCCCCGCGGCTCCGGGCGGGCGGGGCGGCGGCGGCCGTGAGCGCCGTGCGCTCCTGGAGACGCGGTGCTGACGCGCCCGGCTCCTCCTCGCTGCATTTTAATTCCTGGCCACTGTGGCCGCTGCACACCGAGCGGGAAGCCTCTTGCTGGAGTCGGCCGGGTGCGGGGGTGGGGTGTGGTGGGGAGCGGGATGGGGATGCGCTGTACAGATGTGCTCAGGTGTATGGGCTTGTGGGAGAGATAAGTAGTATAACCATTGTGCTGATGTGGCCCCAGTGTAGACAGGGGTGAGAGGACTCCTGAGGGTGTGAGATGGGCTGTAGAGAGAGCGAGTTGCTGTGTAGTGTGGGCATTTGAACACGATTGCGAGTGTGGTGCCAAGTATTGGGTGTGCGTAGGATGTGCATTGTGTATGTGTGAATGGGCATTTCTGTGAAACTCTTGAATGTGAGCATGTCTGCGGGTGGCGTGCTGTGGCCATTAGAGTGTGGTGCATGCAGGATGTAGTGTCTATGGTGACGTGTATGTTCCGTGTGTGTATGTGTGCACTTAGTGAGTCCTGGGTTTGAAATGCATGTGTTGATGTGTGGATGGATATCAGGGTTTCTAGATGTGGTGTGTGGTTGGTGTGTTTTGTGTGTGTGTGTATGTGCATGTGTTGTATGTAATGAGTATGTGTGTTGAGGCATTGCGAGCAGGGTAGGCTCAGTGCGACAATCCTCCCCTCAGCCTCTTAGGGACATCCCATGTGTGTCCCAGCCCCTTCCCTGGAAGTGCCTACTGCTCAGCCCTGGCCCAGTCTGCCAAGCACAGCTCTCCAAGAGGGTGGGAAGGGGGAGTAGGACTTCCAGGGACAGGAGACTCCATCTTTCCCATTCCCCTTGCTGGGACAGGGAACACTTGGAGCCCCATTACTCCATGAGATAAAGGGGTTTTCCAGACATTATCCGGAGAGTAGAATTTGGTGGTGGAGGCAGTGTGAAGGGACTCCAAGGGTGGGAGGATGCTCCAGTGGAAGAAGGACCAACGTGTGTATCCTTTGGGGAGAGGAGGCTTGGGGAAGCAGAGATTTGGGTGTGGAGAGGAGTTTTACCGTCTTTGTAATGATGAATTAGGGGCAATTTGGCCAGATCTGTTGAATGAGCTGTGGGTTTCCAAGCAGGAGAGAAGCAGTGCTGGGATGGGCTTTCCCTCCCCACTGACCTGAGGGCACCCTTACAGCGTGATGACTCCCTGCATCTGGTCTCTGGAGAAGAGGACCTCTGAGCCCCTCATTTCCCACTCACCCACATACATACATCCACACAGTCACACATGTACAAGCACACATATACACAAACACACACACACACTACACATACAACACACATATACATGAACATACATGTATACCAACATATACACTTAAATGCATATATACCCAATGCATACTGCATACATACATACACACAACACACATACATATACACAACACACACACACCTGGAAACCCTTCTCACTCATCTGGGGAAAAAGCTATTGCAGTTGGGCATTGATGACAGTTTGCTTTGGGTTTGGTTGCTTGAAGATGTCTGTTGCTGGCTTTGAGGGGAGGGTTCTGAAGCTGCCTGCTGTACTGGGGCCTCTACCAAAGGCTCATACTCCAGTGCTCCCAGCCTGGTCTCAAGGGTCCTGGAAATGCCACAGTGACCCGTGTCTTGGCCAAGGTGGGGTGACCTAGTGACCTCAGTGCAGTTACTGATGAAGCAACCAGGACAAGCATGTGCCATCTTCCAGCATCATAAATCTGGAGTGGCATGAAGCTCTATTTTATAAAAGCCTTTAAAACATTTTGGGTTTCTGATGTGTTCAGCTGTTGTGGGCTTGCTCTTTCCTAGCTATTTCCCCCTTGAAATGTACATGTGCTACTTTTGATTGACCAACTGTCTTCTCTGCCATGGGATTTCCTGTGAATTCTCCAGATGGTAGCTCTTTCAGGGAGAGGAGGGGTATCCTGCTTAGGCCTCAAGGGGCCTTGACACAGAAATCTAGAGAAAGACACACGGGCAGCTAGTGACTCCAAGCAATGATTGATGGCTCTCTTTATGGCACATGTATGCAGCACATTCTCTATGCAACTTGAAATACTCCCACCCTCTTCTCTGACCAGTTCTTTGACCAGCCCAGTGAAATTCTGTTCTTTCTTCAAATCACAGCTTATGCATTGCCTCCTAGGTCAAGGTTTCCTTGATTCTCCCAGACAAACTTGGGTCATGTTTTTCCTATGATCCCAGCATACCTTGGAAGATTGATACCTCTAGGATAGCCCTTATCATTGTTTGTGTCCAAGCCTTTCTGCTGGACTATGACCCGTTTGCAGACAGGGACTACACCTCCTTCATATTTGTATCCCTACCTCTTAGCACAGTGACCTAGCACGTTGATGAAACACTGTTACCGGGGAAGAGGAAAAAGGAGCTAGTATTTCTTGAACAACTACTATACGCCAGGTACAGAACTAGGCACATAAATAAATGTTATTTAATTTCTCACTCCAACTCTGCGGGGGAGGTATTTTGGCCTTTTTTATACACTATTTGTTTTTTAGGGATGAGGGTCTTGTTATGTTGCCCAGGCTGGTCTTGAACTCCTGGGCTTAAGCTGTCCTCCTGCCTCAGCCTCAGAGTGCTGGGATTACAGGAGTGTGCTACCATGCCTGGCTATTTTTACCATTGTTGATGCAAATCCTTGGTGCATGCACAGGATTTGAATCCAACTCTAACTCATTTCAAAGTGCAGGGCTTCCCCCCTCCATCATACTTCCTTACAAAATTATATTATTATGATAATAATATAAATGTGGGACTTCCTAAGTGCTAGGGCCTCCTGTAAGTGTTTTACACTAAAAACAAGTATCATACATGCTCTAAGTGTTTAATCCTCAAAATGAGGCAAATACCATTTTTTCTCTACTTTAAAGAGGAGGAAACTTTAACCACAGAGAGGTTAAGTTACTCACTTTAAGCCACACAGCTACCAGTCAGGAGAGCAGGCTTTGCCCAGGTAGTCACTCCATCCCTGTGTTCTCCAGCCCTAGTCCACGCTGCCTCAGTTCTCAGAGGTACTTGGACACAATAGCTCCTGTGGATTAGTGTTACCATCCTGGAAGACTCCCTTGGCCAGAAAAACAAATTCATGAGGCAGAACAGGGGTGACCCACATAACCTCTCCACCAAGAAATTAGCATTTAGCATTGTGATGTGCCAATCATAAGTTTTTAGGAAAATTTCCCTTGTTTATCTCTGAAACATCTGTTCACCATGCCTGGTGTTCTGGCATTCTGTGTGATGTTGTGTGCAGTGGCAGGAAAGTCTTCTGGCCAGCCTGCCCTCATTCTGGGGTATAACCACCACCACCACCACCACCACTGATAAGCTGTTTTCTCTCATTAAATGAATCTGTTGGGAGGGGAGATCAATGTAAGTGAACACGGTTTTCTGTTTTTGTAATACAATTTTCAGAGCTGACACTTGTGTGGCTTGATCAGGTTTCACTGGATCCCTCAGTGTTCCTGTTTACCTGCTACTCAGAGGCTCAGAATTGGAAAGTATCTGAGATACTACCTAAGCCTCCTTCCTGCCCACTGTAGGAATCCGTTCAATACATTCCTTCAGTGACAGTGTAATCAATTCTATTCTGGAACATCTTGCTGTGTTTAAAGCTTCTTCCTTTCATCAGATTGAAGTCTGTCTCCATGTGAATTTCTCCCATTTCTCCTAATTTATCCATGGGGACCCACACAAAAATAACTTTGGTATTTCTTTCACATGGAAACTCTTCAAACTCTTTATAGAATCAGAGCACGTTGATGCTGAAAGGGGTCTAGCAGTCCACCTGCTAGTGAAGTCCTCAAGACCATCCTTTCTTCTCCAGGCTAAATGTCACCAGTTCCTTCAACTGTTTCTCCTGTAGTTTTTGCTCTTGAGATAGGCTCTTGGGTGTGAATCTCCTCGCAATGTGATCCTCCAGCCCTGTGGAGTATAAGCCTACCAACCCTTTTACTCTTGATCTGGTACTTCTAGCTCCTGATATTTCTGCGGGTGGTTGGGGGCTCTTGACCGTCCCCTTGCTTCAGGAATTTCATGGAGGTGGTGGGTGGAGAGATGAAACAGCAATGATGGGTTCTTGGTGTGCTGCTTAGAATGCTGTATGCACTTTCTTTTAGGGCTGTTATGCAAATGGTGATAAGAGCCACATTACTTTTAATATTAAAATTCACTGGCCAGGTGCAGTGGCTCACGCCTGTAATCCAGCACTTTGGGAGGCCAAGATGGGCAGATTGCTTGAGCTCAGGAGTTTGAGACCAGCCTGGGCAACATGGCAAAACCCTGTCTCTACAAAAAACACAAAAAATTACCTGGATGTGGTGGTGCACGTCTGTAGTTCTAGTTACTCAGGAGGCTGAAGTGGGGGGATCCTGAGCCTGCAAGGTCGAGACTGCAGTGAACTGTGATCATGCCACTGTACTCCAGCCTCGGGCATCAGAGTGAGACCCTGTCTCAAAATAAATAAATAAATAAATAAATAAATAAATAAATAAATAAATAATAAAGTTTATTGATGTTATGAGGCACATGGGCTTTTGTGGGGGTAACTGTGACCCTAAATCAATCTCTTTTTTCCCCTTTCTCTGCCTTTTTTTTTTTTTTGGTCTTATTTCTGTAGTTTTCGTGGCTCTGTGTCAGTCTGCCTCCCTCTCCCCTCCTGTCTTTCCCTTCTCTTCTTCTCTTCCCTTTTTCTCTCTCCAACTCTGCCTGAAGCTAGGGGTGCTCTCTGATACCTTTTTATTATTTATTTATTTATTTATATTATACTTTAAGTTTTAGGGTACATGTGTACAATGTGCAGTTTTGTTACATACGTATACATGTGCCATGTTGGTGTGCTGCACCCATTAACTTGTCATTTATATTAGGTATATCTCCTAATGCTATCCCTCCCCACTTCCCCCACCCCACGACAAGCCCTTCCTGTGTCCAAGTGTTCTCATTGTTCAGTTCCCACCTATGAGTGAGAACATGCGGTGTTTGGTTTTCTGTGCTTGTGATAGATTGCTGAGAATGATGGTTTCCAGCTTCATCCATGTCCCTACAAAGGACACAAACTCATCATTTTTTATGGCTGCATAGTATTCCATGGTGTATATGTGCCACATTTTCTTAATCCAGTCTATCATTAATGGACCTTTGGGTTGGTTCCAAGTCTTTGCTCTTGTGAATAGTGCCGCAATAAACATACGTGTGCATGTGTCTTTATAGCAGCATGATTTATAATCCTTTGGGTATATACCCAGTAATGGGATGGCTGGGTCAAATGGTATTTCTAGTTCTAGATCCTTGAGGAATCACCACACTGTCTTCCACAATGGTTGAACTAGTTTACAGTCCCACCAACAGTGTAAAAGTGTTCCTATTTCTCCACATCCTCTCCAGCACCTGTTGTTTCCTGAGTTTCTAATGATCGCCATTCTAACTGGTGTGAGATGGTATCCAAATCATGAGTGAACTCCCATTCACAATTGCTTCAAAGCGAATAAAATACCTAGGAATCCAATTTACAAGGGATGTGAAGGACCTCTTCAAGGAGAACTACAAACCACTGCTCAACGAAATAAAAGAGGACACAAACAAATGGAAGAACATTCCATGCTCATGGATAAGAGGAATCAATATTGTGAAAATGGCCATACTGCCCAAGGTAATTTATAGATTCAATGCCATCCACATCAAGCTACCAATGACTTTATTCACAGAATTGGAAAAAACTACTTTAAAGTTCATATGGAACCAAAAAAGAGCCTGCATCCCAAGTCAATCCTAAGCGAAAAGAACAAAGCTGGAGGCATCACACAACCTGACTTCAAACTATACTACAAGACTACAGTAACCAAAACAGCATGGTACTGGTACCAAAACAGAGTTATAGACCAATGCAACAGAACAGAGCCATCTGATACCTTTCAGTCAATGCTACTGGTGGCATGTGGGGCCCTAGAGGTGGCCAGTGTTATAGCATCTAAGCAAATGTCCAGGAGTCATGATGGGGACACCTGTACTGGTGGAAGGAGAGAGAGGACTTCTCCCCTGCGGTTTTACTCATTGCACATGGATATTCCTACACCCTTCCCTTCCTTCCACCATGGAACTGGCACTGGAGTTGTTGTTCCTTCCTTCCTTTCATGTGCTTCAGCATCTCCACTGCCTTTCTCCCTCACTCTGTTTTTTTTTGTACACGCTTGGCCTCACCTAATTCTCTCTTTTTCTGGGGTCTTTTTTAGATGCACCAAGTGGTTTTTTGCCCTTTTAGTCATTCTCATTTTACTTGACTTCAAGCTCTCAGCTCCCTTTCTTCTATCACAAGCAATTCCCAGGTATAAGAGGTCAAAGAAGGGGCCATGACCACCAAAAGAAAGAACGTGGGCTAGAAGGACCAGGTCCAGAGTAAAAGGAGCTAGGAAGCTCATGCTCCACAGGGCTGGAGGAAGTGTGGCTGAAGCGTTGTGGTCCCTGCTTAATGGAGAACCCTGTGAAGTGGGAGCTGGGTATAAAATATAATTTAACCCTTTCACTTTCAGCGGAGGAAGTCAAGGTCCAGAGTTGGGAGAGACTTGCTGTAAATCACACCGGTTGATACTGATAAAGGGCACAACCAGAATCCAGGTTCCAACTTCTAACTCATTCTCTGCTCACCCTATGAGAGGATCTTTAAAAAGAATCCATTTTGAAATTGGTAACATATTCACATGTTTCAAAAAACACAAAAGAGTATCTAGTAAAAAGTTTCTCCACCCCATCCCCAGCCCCCACAGCCACCCAGTTTTCCTCCCTGGAGGCTCCCAAAGCCATCAATTTCTTGCGTGGTCTTTTAGAGATACTTTATGAATATACATAAGTGTACATAGTCTTTATATGCCCTTTTTTTCTACACAAATGGTTGCAGTCAGTGAATGTTGTTGACTAAAGTAATTGTATTTCATGTTCTTCACACCTTTTTTTTTTCAGTATTTTCAGCTAGTTTATGGTTGCCTTCCTTTGGCACCTCATTTCAACTTCTGTTATTTTCCTTAACTTCTCATTTCCCATTATCCTGTTTTCCCATCCAAAAAGGACAGCAGGTCCTATGACAAGGTGGTACACAAGCTTGTCATCTTATGATCAGATTTTCCCTTAACCCTTTGCTAGATACCCTAATGGATGAAAGCTCTCATGTGGATAATCTTAAACAGCAGGTTATGCAGATATTTCTGTTTGCCTCTGAAGTGCATTATGTTGTGTATTTGCATAAGATTTAATTTTCTTGTCATATTTTTCTCAGGCTAATTATAACACACGCAATTGAATGTCCTAAGCACACAGCTCTTCTTGGTCTAGGAAGATGGTCCAAACATGCCTTGGTTGGCAGAGAGATCCAGTTTAGGATTCAGAAGTTTCTGTAACTAACATTTAGAGTGGGTAAAACATAACAGGGAGAGAACCAGAAGGTGTTAGTGCAAAAAGTCATCTTAACGAGCATGCAGTTTAACTAAGATAGGAAATTGAGGTAAGTTTAGTGACTTGTCCCTGGTCACTGAGAAGTTGACATAATGAAGATGATGAGGATGATAATGATATTTGATAGTTGACATTGATTGAGCATTATCTGTAAGGCACTGTGCTCAGTGAACATGATTTAACTCATTCTTTTTATTCATTTATTTATTTATTTATTTATTTATTTTAGAAAAAAAAAATGATGTCTCACTCTGTTGCCCAGGCGGGAGTGCAGTGGTGGTGATCTCGACTCACGGCAACCTCCGCCTCCTCAGTTCAGGAGATCCTCACACCTCAGCCTCCCAAGTAGCTGGGACCACAGGTGTGCACCACCATGCCTGGCTAATTTTTTTTTTTTTTTGTATTTTTTGGTAGAGATAGGGTTTCACCATGTCATCGAGGCTGGTCTTGAACTCCTGAGTTCAAACAATCCTCCTGCCTCGATCTCCCAAAGTGCTAGGATTGCAGGTGTGAGCCACCACGCCTGGCCAGACTTAACTCATGTTATCTTCACAGCAACTCTATGAAGTATGTCCCACCATTATAGCTCTTTAACATGAAAGGAAACTGAGGCAGAATGTGGATAAGTGACTAGTCTGTGGCTGGGATTCAAACTCAAGTAGTTTGGCTCTAGAGCATCAGACCTTAATTAAGGTGGCTGGAAATTAGCTGAAAGTAATGACTATAGTGGTTATTTATTGAGCAGTTAATGGATGTTGGGCACTGTCTTTGATGTTGAGAATACAAAGTCCACTTAGATGTGGTCCTTGCTTTAGCTCTCAGTTTAGTGGGGGACATGAGAAAGAAAATATTAAATATTCATATGAAATGTTAATTATTAAAAGGCAATTTAAATAAAGCATGATAAATGCTTTATCAGGGATGAGCACAGCATGCTGGGAGGGTCCCAGGGAGAGGTCTTTTTCCCTCAACTGGTCTGAGAGCCATTGCCATGCACTTTCTCTGTTTTCTCCTGAGTTTCTCCATTCATTCCCATGTTCTCACATCCACTAACAGGGAATCCTGTTACCTCTGCCCACGAGGCTCACCTGGGAGCCAGGATCTGAGACAGGCAGAGGCAACAGCAGCACAGCTTCTCCTTCAGATGTCCAGACCCTCTTCTTCTTCAACAATGTCCATGTCCTTCTCCTCACAGGGGTTTGGTGTTCCTGAAGGTGTCTTGTTGACTGGTGGCATCTACTTTCTAAGTTCGGGCCACCTTCATAATTAATGTCTCCTTCCCTCAGCATCCCTTGCCTATCATTGCTTTATTATCAGTTTAGATAACTGAGTTTTGGTTGCAGCATTGGCTGTGGTCATAACGTTAGCAGAGAAATGGAGTCTTTCTTGCACACTTTTCTACCCAATTTGCTGTCCCATACACATAACAAAACTCTCGTTAAAATAGTTAAGCGTAATAACCTTCTCCAGCAGTAACCATCCACTCATGTGACGAAAAGATATGCAGCTAAAATAGGATTTAATGAAATATAAAACCCAAGGTAGAATGAGGCATTTTATTCACAATTCCTTTACTGTCCCCTTAACTGTCTTCAGTCATGACTTAATCATGGCTCTCACCTGGCTCTCACCTCTGCTTCAGGGAGCACTCACTAACCAGCTCCTAATCTGTCTTGCATACAGGCCCTCTGCAGTGGCTTAGAGATTTAAGGCCAAGCTGATGTGTCAAAAGCCTCCATTCAGGCTGGCTGCATTTCCTCCTAGCCACAGCTCTCCTGTCTCACCCACTAAGGGGTTGTTTACTCTCTTTCCCTTGTAAAAGACCTGGCCAAACCACTTCCTCTGGTTTCTCTACTCCTAGTTTATCTTCCCTGTCTACCCACAAGAAGAGCAGAAAGGAAGAGTTAATATATTCTTCTGCAGTCCTGTGGACCTGTGTGATTACCCAAACAGAAGGGAAGGGGAAGAGAAGGCAGGGGAGGGAAGGAAGTTAACACAGAGTACAGCCAGGTATCTACCAGGTACTATTATGGGCATCTTGGAGTGGTTTCTCAGGACAACTCTGTCAGTTGAATAATATTATCCCTGTTTTACAGATGAGGACACAGAAGCTTTGTCTTTCCAATTCTATTCTCTCTGATTCTGGTTTGAACATAGATTAAATCGTAATGGCCATAATCCCATACTCTAACCATTCACTAAGCACTTACTAGAATCCAGCACTGAATTAACCCTCATTTTTCAGGTGAAGGAAATGAGTCTCAGAGAGGTAAAGTTAACTGCCTGGGGTCACACAGAATGTGCCACCCAGGTGGCAGAGCCAGGATTCCAACTCAAGTGTGATTCCAACATATTGGTAATTATTAGAAAAGCAGAACACCCAGAGTTTAGAAAGAGAAAAGACAAAGTGGGTGGTGGCATAGTTCAGAGTTTTGCAAAAACCCTTGGGGGAGATGAAGAAAGTGAAAGCAGAATTTTTTGGGGCCTGAAGTGGGTTCTCAGTAATCTGCTGTAGATCTGGGAGCTATGTTTTTCCGAGCTTGGGTGTAATGTCACCATCGGGACAGAACTAAAACTATACGAGCCCACTTGTAGGGAAGAGGTTCAGGGAGGTACCCATAGGTTCAAGTACCAGGCTTGGCTAAGTAAATTGCAGAAGGCCACACAAAAACATTTCCTCTTTCAACATCGAAGTGACATTACACACCGACAGCAACTACATGGCCACAAAGTAGGAACACATCTTTACAAACCACAGGGTTTCAACCTAGCCCCCTTTGTCTCCCTTCCTCCATTCCTTTCTTTTCCTTCTCCCTCTCACTTTTCTCTTTCCTTGCTTGTCTCCCTTCCTTTCAGTTCTTCCTCCCTTTTTCCCTCTTATTTTCCCATCTACCCTCCTTCCCTTCCTTTCTTCCTTCTTTCCTTCTTCTAGACTTCAGCCTTGCTTTCTCCTTTTAAATCAATACTTTCCTTTTCCCAGCAGTGCTTACGTTTATTCATTCAATATTTCTCAGCAGCCTATGGCACTAAGACACAACATTAGATTCAAAATGGTTTTCTGAAAATTCTTGGAGTTATAAAGGCAAGTGCCTAACATTGGTAAGTAATAAGAGCTATGAAAAAAAACAGTTCATACCCTTTGACCTAGTGATTCCATACCCTAGGGTTCCCCAAGGAAATAACCTCAAAGCAAAGTAAAAGTACAAAATAATTCACAGTAGAGCTTTTCATAATAGAGGGAAAAAATAACAAATTGAAAACAAAACATTTCACAGGTCCAGTAATAGAGGAATGGCCAGGCAAATGATGGTGATACCACGTCATCTGGAAATTATGACACTTTAAGAAAAGAACATGACAAGGATGCCAGTGTTTTGCATTAGATATAAAAAGTACTGAGTAAAAAAAGATCTGAGTCCAAAGAGCACATCCAAGCACATCACAACTTCAGTGAAACATTTCTTTGAACATGAACAATGGTCAGAAGAGAATTTAGGCGAGACAGGGTTTAGTTACAAATAGGTTCTTTGGGTAAAGTTATTAAAATTTTAGGCAAACAAACCAAAATCCAAGCAAGCTTACCAGGACCAAGTTAGGAAAGGTACTTTGGAATTAGAAGACTTTTCTGTCTCTATAAAGTGTTCTTACTGTAATAGGGGCCACTGCATCCTCGGACCTTTTGGTTGACCTGACTGTCCTCCCCAGCCTGGCACTGCCCACCAACCAGTAAAAGTGAGCCACAGATGCTGCTGCCTGATGTGGCTGACCTCATTCCCCCTGGCCTTTGCCCATTCTAGTATGTTTCCTCCTGGCTTTTGACTCCTGGATGCCCCTGCCTTATGAAGCTGTACCAGGATCCCCGCCTTAGTCTCAATCCATTTTAAACACAAAACCCAGCAATGAGTCACATGGTAGATACATGACCAGAGAGTGACCCATAATAAAAACAAACTCAGATGCGAAACTGTCCCCAATCAGGTGGTGTTCCCTTGTGTCCTTTCTGCTTGTAGTGCGTCTGCCGTCTGTTCTTAGTCTCCGCCTGGAGACCTGGTTTGGTGCCCTTGACCCTTGGCTGGATCTCCATAGCTTGAAGGGCCTGAGCATTTTCTCCAGTTACAACTGTGCTTCCATCTTTAACTACGGTTCGAATTTTCTTTGGTGTTAGCACCCGTGATGTGTTTTATTTTCAGTTGAGCGGCAGTATAAGGAGATAAGAAAAATACCCTTTGAGGAATCAAAATGCATGTCACAAAATCCATACTATTAATAGCTTTAATTAATTGAGGCTAGTAACGTGGCAGGCATGGTGCTAGGAACTTTGCATGCATTATTTCATTTAACTCCCACGGTATCCCTAACAAAGTAGATGTTGTTTTTATTGGTACCAAGGAAGAATCAGGCTCAGAGATATCAAATGGTTTATTTCAGATTAAACGCAGATTTTGCTGATATCAAATCCTCTTCCCCCGGCCTCCTGCATTACATGATACAGCCTTCCAGGCACCAGGGATTCCACAGCATGGTTTAAGCATGAGTGAGCCCTTGTATTTTCATGGAGCCTACTTACTCTTACTTTATGCACGATCATGATAACATGCTTGGTTATTTGTTTTTCACACTTTCAGCAGAATAGAAATACTATGTTATGAAAACAAAAAGGCTTAAGACGTAAGAATACTGGTAGCTAGAATGTATAGCCAACACCTGACAACAAAGAAGGCAAAACAACTAAAAAACATAAAAAAGATGTTTAAAATGATGTCATTTAATGTTGGGGCAAACTCCACACATTTCAAATAGTCCCGAATCTTTTAGCCCCAAACAATAGCTGAAACTCACAATGATGATCTTGGGCCATCAAGATTACATTTTGTTCTGTATAATCCGCGTAAGGATATAGGAAAGGACAGGATCTATTGCAGAAGGAATTTCAGCCAAATGGTTTCATTAAAAAAAAGTTGTGATGCTTAAAGGAATAAATAAATCCTTAATTCTTGGACACATTGGCTATTCAGAAAAATGACACTTCTTTGTAAGAGAGTCTGAACAACAATTTCATTCTCTCATTGGCCAATTGTTTCAGCAATCACCATAGATAAAAGCTTCCCTATAGCCATTTTTTCTAATGAGCAAACAGTTATTATTCGATACATGGCTCAATATTCAGAATTGGTTACATTGCAGCCAGTTGGGTTATGTTGTCGATATTTAGTCATTCTATAAAAGGGAATTTCATGGCATTTAAATGTTTCTCTCTCTTTCCTGTTTCTTAAACTAAAAACAATGACAGACCAGTTTTTACCACATTTTTTTCCCTGAAGGAATAAACGATAAAAGAGAAATGGAATTCTATTTGAGAAAACAGTTCTAACGTTCATGCCTCTATCAGAAACATTTTAGGGTTTTGTTCCATAGGACTTGGAATTCTCAGGCGGTAAGTGACAGCAGCATTCTGACTTACAGAGGATGTCAGAAGCTAATGTGTCCTGTCTATTAGCTTCCTGAATGCAAACTTCTCTTGGAGTGTTTTTTCCCCCTAGCCTGTTTTTTTCCATTTCACATACCCACACATTAATACAGAGAAATGTTAAATGTCTGCCCTGCTTTGTGGAGTATTGACAATGTATCCTTTTAAATTTGGAACTGCAGTTTTACTCGTGGGAAGAGGTATTTTGGTCATGAATTTGAAGTCTCTTTTTTATCTAGAAAGCTTGGACTTATCCTCAACTAAGCCCTCACTTCTCCCACATTCCATCCATCACCAAGGGCTGTCGATGCTCCCTCCTAAATCATTCTCAAGTGCATGGCCTGAGATCCATTCTCATCGCTACTACCTTGGTTCAGCTCTTGTTGTCTACAGCCTAGAGCTTACTCTGTTATTATAGCTCTTAACTGGGCTCCTTGTCTTTGATTTCCTTCCTCTCCAATCCATTCCCCACTCTGCCATTGTAATTATGTCATTGCTCTGCTTAAAATCCGTCAATGGCCCTTCATTTCTTACTGTACACATTCATAATCTGTGTGCTGTGTCACACAGTGTGTTACAGGAAATGTAGGTATTGATCCTCACAGCTTTTGGGGCAACGAGGCAGGCTTGGGGCATCAGGAGCCCCAGGGACTACTCAAGATTGCAGCCCTGTCCTTTTGCCCCAGTGTACTGTATATATCTATATATTATATATTTTCTTCTTGAAAAAACTCCAGGAAGTTCTGGGAAAGGCTAGCTTATAAAGCCCTTCTCACCCTGGCCCCATCCACCTACAAGACTCTCATGGGACTTCCTACCCTACAAACGCTTTGCCTCAGCTAGTAAAGCCTCTTGCTTTCCCAACTTAAATCCACATCACATTTTTACAACACTATGACTTTGAACTTGAGGCCTGGATAGTGTTCTCCTTATTTCTTTACCTGGTGGTCTTCTCCTTCTTCTTCTTCCTCCTCCTCCTTCTCTTCCTCCTCCTCTTCCTTCTTCTTCTTCTTCTTCTTCTTCTTCTTTTTCTTCTTCGTCTTCTTTTGATGGAGTCTCACTCTGTTGCCTAGGCTGGAGTGCTATGTCATGATCTTGGCTCATCACTGCAACCTCCACCTCCCACATTGAAGTCATTCTCCTGCTTAAGCCTCCTGAGCAGCTGGGATTATAGGCCCTCACCACCAGTCCTGGCTAATTTTTGTATTTTTAGTAGAGACAGGATTTCACCATGTTGGCCAGACTAGTCTCGAACTCCTGACTTCAGGTGATCCACCCGCCTCAGCCTCCCAAAGTGCTGGGATTACAGGCATAAGCCAGCACACCCGACCTTCTACTCATCTTCTTAGACCTTGCTCAACATTCCCCTTCTCTAAAACTCTTCCTTGCTTCTGCAGACAGGATTAATCACTCCTTCTTTTCTTTTCCATTGCAAGCTGGTGGGGGAACTTGAGGAAGGTATTGAAACTCTCTGAGTCTTAATTTCCTTATTTGAAAAATGGAGATAATAATACCTGCCTTGCAGGGTCAGCATAAAGATTAAATAACACATGTAAAGCATAAAGCACAGAGCCTGACATATAGTAAGTATTCAGTAAATATTTGTTGAATAATAAATGGTGGTTGTTAATATTCACTACCAATCTCTTGCCAGTGCACTTATCTCATAATTGTGCAACGGTTGTTAGCTCCTGTTTTAAGATTTTCTTATTCATCTCAGTGCCATAGGTTCTGCTGTGCTAGGATGTCTTTTCCATGAAGGAAAGGATCTTGAGTTTGTACACTGGTATGTTCTAAATACCTCAAACAGTGCCTGGCACATAGTAGTTCTTTTATAAACAAATTGATAACAGAACTGATAACAGATTTCTTGCCTGGGATAGAAAACTAAGCTAATTAAGGAGAGTGATTCAATGGCCTTCAGCTTATTATTTCAGAAATCTCTAAATTTATGTTTTCTTTCACTGATGGCAAATTTCAATGACCATGCATGATTCCTTTAAGCCACTACATCTTCCTCCTCCCCTCTTTTCAAGGGGAAGAAAACCCTCCCTGAAGTTCAAGGCCTAGGTTCTATATAGTGGACTTGCTTCATCCTGCTTCCAAGACTTTCTGTGTTATGCTCCTTGCTCTTCTACATCTTCTCTTGCCTTAACCAAATCATTTGGACTTCATGGTGGAATCAATGAATCAATCCCTGCTGTACTGTCTTACTATCCTCTCCTCATCTTGCCTAAGACCAGCCCAGCCAGAAACCAAATTCTGGTTCTAGAGCCTTGTTCAGTGCGTGGAATACTGTAGGTATTCAATAACTTTGTGTCATCACTGAACAAACGAATGAATGAAAGATGAATGAAAAAAAGGAAGGGAGGTAGGAGGATAGACAAAATAATAGAAAAGAACAACTCTATTCTTCTGATAGATTTAACCTAGATGACACACACAAAACATTGGTTGAGCTGGTTTATTTCTGGCAAAAGGCAGTACTGCCTACATACCAACAACATTATGAATCACTTTCATAATTAAGGTAAAGTGCCTTTTTTTGTGAAAAAAAAGATGGAATAGGTCACTTCATGGAACTTGTCAATCCGTTCAATGATAACTATCGATCTCCTTTGTCGGGTAGACAGGGTTTGAACTGGCTACCATATGGGGGTTTGGCATTGAGGTAGCCATGTTCTACGTATGTTGAACAGATTTCTCTGATTCCAGGCTGATAAATGCTTGCCACACTGCAACTAGGGATAATGAAGTGGCAACGGACCAATTCTGTTTGATTAAAAAGCTTTCTTCCATTCCCAACGTTTCCTGATTCTGCTGCTACAACTTGGATCTTTTCTCAGATCTTTTTTCTGCCACCAACTCCTTTTTTTTTTCTTTCTTCTCTTCCTCTTTATCTTCCTCCTTTCTCCTCTGCTCGTAGCTCAGATATTGACTTTCAAAATTCTTGGTCAGATGTCGTAGATTGTCTGCAGACACACATCTCTTTTTCTTCATATACCCCATTAAAATGATAGTAAAAGAAGAAAAAGGAGGATTCTTTTAAAGACAAAGATGAGACATCGGTAGATTCAATATTTCAATCCATTTTTGAAAAGCAGAACATAAATGGCAGAAGAGAGGAGCTATGCACTAAAGTGCTGCCCAAGGGAGGTTCCTACAAAACTGAGCCTGAGACAGTTCACATAACAGAATCCACATACCTAAGATGCTTTCTAGGCTGTTGAACTTAGTCTGTCCCAAACTGAATTCATCATCTTCCTCCTTATCCTCCTCTACCATCACCACCACCTTCACCTTCACCTCCACCTCCACTGTCCCCTTCCTCCTCTCTTCTCCTAATGTGTTTTCCCCTCTTGTGGCCTTTATCCCAAAGGATGGCAATACTGTCCACAAAGCTGAAGTACATCCCCGTGTCCATCCCTTAAAACCCCTTGTGTAGACTTCTATTGTGGTACACATCATTTCACAGTGCAAACATGTGCTCCTATATCTGTGTCCCCAGCAGACAGTGTGATCTTAGAGCACATTTTATTCTTGACAGTAATCTTAAATTTGAACACAGTGCTTGGCAGGTGGTAGGCATTAATTAAATAAAGATTTGGTGAAGAAGCTCTTCTATCTGGAGGTTATTTTGTATCTAGAATGCCATGACTCCTCCCCTCCACCCCATGGAGTCAAGCAAGATGATGTATTTATCAGTCAAAAATGGTTTCAAAGTTGAGTAATAGAATAATATTACTACCATGGTATCCTATATTATCAAAGTATATTGTATCCCTGTAATATTAATACTCCGTATTATTGTTATACCATTATTTGATGCTTGTTCATTGAAGCCTGGGTGTTTTGATGTCTCTATGCTACCTCTTAATCCCTTTGATATCCATTTGTATGGCCAGTCTGTGGTGATAAGAGTTGACATTTATGCTTGGGGGCAGGGCAAAGTGGTACTTAGAATACCATCTGGCCTGGGTATCAGGATCTCTAGGGTCATGCCCCAACTCTGCCACTAACTTACTCTGTGCCTTTGTCTCTCCAGGAATAGGTCCCTCATCTTTAAGATGACATAATTTGACTAGATGACCTCTAGGGTTTGTGTTTCTCTAAGACTTATACACATCTAGGCTGATCATTAACCTCAAACTAGAGCAGCTCCAGCCTCGTCTTCAGAGAGACCTTGAGTGCCAAGATTGCCTCCTTAATTCAGGAGATGAATGTGCATTGACGAGGACAAAGGTTAGGGACTGTGGTGCTGATCTGAGGGAATAGCCTGGACTTTGATCCTTAGGCTCAGAACCAAGTAAAAAATGCCTCTGAAGAAGTTGGACACTGACTGTGCAAGGGTTTGATCCTTACCTTGTATCTTCTGCTGTTCTCTCTTTTAATGTTTTTTCTAGAAGGGGAAAAGTACTCATATAGAGTCCAAGACACAGCGTCTTCTCTTGGAACATGCACCTGCTGATTTCAGTGATGTTTGCAGTACACAAGATTACTTGGGGGCCAGGAGGAAAACTTTTCTTATCCAAATATATAGATAGATATAGGTAAGAGATAGAGATACATAAATGTATATCTATGTATATCTATATCTGCCTCTATATCTATCTACATATAGTTGCATTTTTATCTCAGTATAATCTGGTTCAAGGGCTGGAGCTTTCTTGGGAATCACAAAGCCTGATTTTACAGCTTTGGTTAGAGATGCAGACCTAGGTAAACACAGACCTGCCAGAGCCCCTCTGGGTTCAAAAGCCCTGAGGAGGAATGGTACAAAGCTCAGACCCTCTGCAAGACTCCAGTTCCATCCTAGGCTGGAAAGAGAAAGAGAGGGAGGCAGCGCATCCTTAGTTGGGCACCTGCTGTGTGCAAGGTGCCACCCTGGCTGCTTTGCATCTCATCTGATTTTTTCAACCATGCTTCTAGGTCTCTAGGTATGACTGGCCCATTTCATAGATCGGGGGAGTGACATTTAGAGAGTTGAAATAACTTGCTTAATGTTCCACATTAAACCTGGGATTTAAATTCAGGTCTACCTGACTCCAAAGACTGTGCTCTTTCTACTAGATGATGTACCACCCCATGTACATTCTGGTTGCTCCTAGCAATTGTGTGTGTTTGTATGTGTGTGTGTCTGTCTGTCTATCTGTGTGTGTGTGTGTGTGTGTGTGTGTGTAGATGTGTGTAGGTGGTGGAGGAATAGTCAGGGTAGGGGAATGCAGGGCAGCCCAGTTTCTTCTGAGCATATATTCAAATCACAGGTAGGAAACTGCTAATTCTTCATGTACCTGTTTGCTCTGCTAGGAGCTGAGACTCTAGGAGTTTGGGAGATGGAGAGAGAAGTTCTTCTCATCCATGTTTGGGAAGCACAACTCTATGTAGCAGCCCAAGGTGCAGGTAGGAGTGGGGTGGCAGGTATCCCAGAAGGAAAGCTAGAGGTCTCCTTTGAACACAGAGAGGAGACTCTTCCTTGCCATCAGCTCATCCCTAGGCTTCTTTCTTAACCCTGCTTCTTATTTCACATATTTTCTTTGGAGAATCATCTATTTCCCTGGTTTCGACTCTCATCTTTTTCTCCCAAACACCTTCCTCTTGAGTTTCTCAGCAAATGGCTCCACCATCAGCAAATGGCTCCACCATCTCCCCAGCTTTATGTTGCTGCCATATTGAAATACTAAAGCAGTCTTTTCAAGTTCCCCTTGGCCTTCAGAATAAAGTTCCAACCCTGCAGTGGTCTCTGGGAGTGCTGTCAAGCATATAAAGACCTAGGTTTGAATATCGATTGTGCATCTTATTGCATATGTGACCTTGGGTGAGCCATGCAATCTCTCCTGCTTTGTCTCCTTATCTTTAATGTGGAGTTAATAATATTGATACTGTAGATTTCTGTAAATAATGAAATAAGTGAGAGCAATATAGGTAACCTGTTAAACCTGGTGTATAGTGCCTGGTGTATAGTAAACAAGCTTTGAATGGTAGCCATTCTTAAATGGCAGCATTCTAAACTGTTATTGGGACTTTTAGTGGGGTGACACAGGAAGTATCATGGTGTCCAGGTTTCTCTGTAATGAGAGAATTTCATTTCACCATGGATCCAAGTTAGGAAGTGACCTTTCTGCCAAATGTAGTCTGTTGTTCTTCTCTCAAAGCACAGTAGAGAAAGCATCGTGGAACCCACCCTTAGAGCCAATATGGCAGACATCAGAGAGGACCCAGATGCAGATCACTTAAGGTCCGCAAGATCAAGCACAGCAGAACTGGCCAGCCATGCTATGAGTAAGAAGAGGGATGAGCGGCAAGGGCTGCACCTACTTAGCTTTTTGGAGAGAAGTAAATATATCCATAAAGATCACCAAGAAAGAGTCAGTGTGGGCCAGGTGCGGTGGCTCATGCCTGTAATCCCAGCACTTGGGGAAGTTGAGGCAGGTGGCTTACCTGAGGTCGGGAGTTCGAGACCAGCCTGACCAACATGGAGAAACCCTGTCTCTACTAAAAAATACAAAAATTAGCCAGGCATGGTGGCGCATGCCTGTAATCCTGGCTCTTCGGGAAGCCGAGGCAGGAGAATCACTTGAACCCAGGAGGCGGAGGTTGCAGTGAGCTGAGATTGCACCATTGCACTCCAGGCTGTGCAATACAAGTGAAATTCCTTCTCAAGAGAGTCAGTGTGGAAGCAAAAACTCACGATCTTCCATATTGGTGAACAAGAACCTAAGGTGAACAGTTAGCATAAGAGCAGCCCTGGGCTGGTTGCAGTGCCTCACACCTATAATCCTAGTACTTTGGGAGACCAAGGTGGGAGGATTCCTTGAGCCCAAGAGTTCAAGACCAGCCTGGGCAATGCTGAGCAATATAGTGAGAGCCCCCATCTCAACAAAATTTTTTTTTTAAAAAATTAGCCAGGCATAGTGGTGTGTATCTGTAGTCTCAGCTACTCAGGAGGCTGAGGTGGGCAGGGTTGCTTGAGCCCAGGAGTTTGTGGTTTCAGTGAGCTATGATTGCCGTCACTGCACTCTGCCCTGGGAAACAGAGCGAAACCCTGTTTGAAAAAAAAAAAAGAAAGAAGGAGAAGAAGAAGATGAGCAGCTCTGCACACTCTGGGAAGAATCCTGATAGGACTCAAAATCTTTCTTTAACCACAGTGTTTAAGAGTTATTCTTTTCTTACCCTTTAAAGGAATTGGTTGTTCCATCATCTGGTGTCATCATCCGTTGTGTGGTTTATTATATATAATTAGGTCCAATAAATGTTTGTCTTTTTCATCACAGGAATGTGGACTTTATCATTCTCTACAAATCCCTGTGCTTTCTCCACAAAGTTCAGAGCTAAAAACTCCTCTGGTTATTATGACATTTGAATAACTGAACGATGGGCCCCTGTGTGACATTTGCTAAGAAATCCCTTCTCTGGAAAGCTGATTGAATCTCTGCTCTCATATTTTCTTTCTTGTACTTGCCCATTACACATGCCGTTTGAAGAATTCCAATTGTTCCCTGGCGGAATCGAAGTAGAAAGGGACACTTCCGTATCCGGACTAGAATAGCTAAGTGAGGAAGGGCCATCCAGAGAAGCCAGAAGTGATGGTGGCAGAGACTTGGCCTGACAGAGATGGGAAAGTTCAGACAAGCAGAAGGTAGGGACAGATGTCATTGGTGACCCCCTTCTTCATGGAGTTCTCTCACAGAGGATGTGTTATTTTTTGTTTCCTTAAGGTTGATTAACCTTGATTATACTTTGATTACTCAAGGTTTTGCTTCCTCTGTGGTTATGTGTGGGTGGCACTATCACAGAGAGGAAAAGCAATGGGGTCTGGAGCTAGAGACGTGGGCTTGCCTTTGTGTCTATACTCTTTGTTATCTGTCAGGACCTTGGGCCAAGCATGGGACAACTCAGACCCTCTGTCTTTTCATTGAAACCTTGCTGAAAGGCTGCAGGGAGGATTAAGGGAGCTAGCATAGGAAATTCTCTGTACTGTTTTTAACATGATACTATTAATTTCCTTCTTCCTTTCTCTTTCTTTCCATACCAGACCATGAGGTGGGGACTCCCTAAGTGCTATTATCTAAGACTGCTGAGCTTTCTCAGGACACAATTCCTTGTTGGCTGAGCATGCATATTTCCAAGAACTTGGGTATTCTTGAGATGCGGATTCCAGCAAAAGAATCCATCATTCCATCCCTGGTGGACAGGGAGAAAGTGAGATGTACATCACTGTGCAGAAGAATTCCTAGTACTTCAGTTCTGAAATGTTCTCACTGAAGTCTGCCCTTCTGGGGATGGCTGGGAAAGTAGGGGTTTATTATATAACATGGATTTGATGTCAGGATTTTCACATTGAGTTTTCATTACCAGGCCTCATAAAAAGCAGAAGAGCTCAGTGTAAAAGGTTTAAAAAAATATATTTTTTACAAAGATAGGCAAGTCAGGGGCTCTGACACATCCTTCACTCTGTGGTTCTTAAGAACAAAGACAAATGGAAAAGAACGATTCTATTTTTATGCTTTGAAAGCACTTACTTTAGGTCAGGAAAATAGCCAGTGTGGATGTTTAGTCTTGTCAATATAGCTTGGACCAGACCTTTCTTTTTCTTCTTCTTCTTTTAATTAATTGGGAAGCTGGCAATGTAGGGAGGTAGGGAGGCTGCATGAGACACACAGTCTTGCCTCATTTCAAAGGGATTAAGGAAATTGGACCTCTTGTGGCAGAGAAAAAAGTAAATAGGCTTTGGCATCAGAGAAACTTCAGTTGAAATTTCATTTCCATTCCTTATTATCTGTGTGACCCAAGGCAAGTCATTTAAATCATTTAAGACTCTGAGCTTCAGTCTTCTCATCTGTATAATGGGGGTAACACAAACTACCTTGCATATTAGAGCAATTAAATGTGATGTGGTATGTCACAACAGTGTCTGGTATCTAGTGGGTACTGAATGCACAATTAAACAAATAGCTAAAGCATGTACCAAAAATGTGCAGAAGAATAATGTTGCTCTCTGCAAGCACATCTCAAACAGAACCCAGGGAGGGAGAAAACATGGGCCTGCCCGCTATGGCTATTATTCTGAGATTTATTCAGAATAAAGACATGAAAGAAGAATCAAGTAAGTAGAAAGCACATTTTGTGTGATTATTCTTATAAACCCTGCATTTGTATTCCAAAACGCTTTGGGATATCTTAAAATAAAATATAAGGATAAAATCAAAAAGGAAGCTCAAAGATGGGAAAGTACATATCGTGATTGGGCTAACAGAATAACTGAGTTCGGAGCTTCCTGGTAAACAAGTCAAGTGGAGAAAAGAATGGGTTAAATGATTCTCATTATCTGAGAAAGCACATGATCCTGCTGTTTAAGGGAGGAAATTTTTTCTTGGCATTACATTCCCAAAGGAATTTATTACAAACTCTTAAGAAATGTATAATGCTTCACTTGATACTTGATGCATATCATATACAACACAGGGAATGATGTCTTCCACAATGACCCTCTTACAAGTGTGTTTCTTTTGACCTTTGCCATACTGACCCTTGAAGAAAGCCAATGAGGATCAGAAACCACAGTGGAGTACTGGCTTTGACATCAAATAGACTTGGGTTCAAATCCTGGTTCAATCACTTTCTAGTTGCAAGACCTTGTGAATCCATTGACTCTCACTGAGCCTTATTTTCCTCCTCTGCAACATGGAACTGATAATAGTGCCCTCCCCCTTCTGTGGTATTGCTGTGTGCATTGAGTGAGCACACAGGTGTAAAACACCGAGCTTGGAGCCTGGTACAAAGTAGATGCTTAATAAGTTGGATCAATTTTATTCCCCTTCTTTTTGCTAGAAATGTAACCTCATGTGGTTTTTTCCTGGGAGTGTCTAAACTAATGAGCTAATTTACTTTCAGCCTTACTATGTTTAGTTTCATACTCTCTAATCCTCCACTGGCATCAGAGAGATGGTTCTGAAATACAGACCTGAACATGTCTCTCCTTTGCTGAACACGCTACAGTGTCTCTCCGTTGTCTACAAAATGAAGGGCAGATTGCTTGGCTGGAAGTTCAGATCTCTTCACCCCAACTCTCTCTGCTGTCTACAGCCACTGCTCTCCAACAAGTGCTCTGCGTTCTAGGCATTGCAAACTATTGACCTGTCCATGCATATATAATGCCTTTGCACCACGCCAGGCTAATTTTTGTATTTTTAGTAGAGATGAGGTTTCGCCATGTTGGCCGGGCTGGTCTTGAACTCCTGACCTCAAGTCATCCGCCCATCTTGGTCTCCCAAAGTGCTGGGATTACAGGCATGAGACACCACGCCTGGCCATCTTCATGTTTTAAGAAAGCCTTTTCTTCCATCCTACTCAGTCTGTTAGCCCCAGTGAACTAGAAATTAAAGATTTATGTTACTGATAACTATTTTTAGATAAAATTTTGAGGGCAAAGCTTTGCTGGAAATATACACAGTAATTGTGTTTACTGATCATCGCCACTCCCAAACAGCAATTCACGGTATAAAACTCAAGTAATTAGAACAATAAGCCCAGGTTAATTAAAATACTGGGTAACATTTGGGCAAGAATAAAATCCACTTTGGAGATTTTCCAGACACACATTCATTTTGTGTGCACTTAATTCACCCTGGGAGCTGGTGCTGACAAGGTACTACACTCTGTGCTAATCAGCACTGGTCTGCCTTTAATCACGCCCTGCACATTTCTCTTTCCTGGCTCCAGGACCAGCTTCAGAGACCTGGGTCCAGTTGCCGGGAGAACAGCGCAGCAGTTGCTTAGGCCCGATCTTGGGTACCATTCTTGTGTTATTACTAACCATGCCACTTGCCTTAACAGTTATAGGCTGGCTAATTAAAGCAATTAATCAAGTCCTCAAGAAGTTTGCATGCTGTTTGGAGTTTCTTCTGCCTTTGCCCCTACATCTGGTGCCTGAGGCCTGCTTCCCTTGCAGTGCTGTGATTCCCATGTTTGTCAGAGTACCAGGCATGCTGTGAGCAGTTCCTCCTGCTGCAATCAAGGGTTCATGTGAGCTCTGAGGGTAGACCTTAAAGGGCAACCCTCCAAAATGCTCTCCTGCGAAACCTCTGCCTCCAGGTTGGGTGAGCATCTCCTGTGCCATTCTTCATTGCTTATACTTGCATTGTCAACATCCTAATAGATGTCTTTGAGCTCTGTATGGTCAGACTGGTGTTTTTCACTTTGTATTTTCAAAGCTCTGTCCAAGACCTTCATCTAAGGGACACCCAATGAAAATTCCTTCTCCTTTTTACAATTCCTTTCCACCCAAATGACTTTCAGCTTAGGAGAATAATAAAAAGTCGACAGATGTTTTTCAAGGCCAGGTACTGTGCTGAGTACCATGTGGAATCAGAGATAAATAAGACCTCACTCTTGTAGGCAAGAAGTTTACAATCTAGTAGGGAGATAAAACACATTCACCGATGACAGTAAGACAAGAATCCCATAAAAGAAGGTCAGAGAAGATACCACAGGCTCTCAGAACAAGAGAAAAACACAGCTGACTAGGAAATCCAAGAGGACTTCACGGAGGAGATGGAATTTCAGCTGGGCTTTTGATTTTTGTGAAATGGATTTGGACGTGTGGAGATGAGTGTGTGTGTGTGTGTGTGTGTGTGTGTGTGTGTGTGTGTGTAGGATATGTTTATATATGAGCTTGTAGGTGGGGCAAGGAGAAAAGATTGAGAAGCTCCTAGGGAATGAAACCTCCAGCATAAGCAAAGTCACCGTCTTTAGGAAAGAGCTGACGGTCGCATTTGGGTAGAGTCTGACATTCATTACAGAGATTAAACATCGTTAAGGCAGCAGCTGGCAGCCTCCAGCGACATTGCGGGGTGGGTGGATTTGGAATTTAGCTTCCCCTTACTGCTTTCCTCTTTCTCTTCGAGGGGGCTTGCCCTCCTCCCCTTCCTTCCCATTTCCAGACATGCTCTTTGGGTTTCCAGGGCCTTCTTGCTTTCTTCTCTCGTCTTTAACAAAGCCTATTCTTAGGAAGAGATATAATCTTCTCCATTTGCATGTGAGTTTGGGTTCCAGGCTGCCTGCTACCACTGAGCCTGTCTTACCATGGAACTGATTTCGCCTACTGCAGAGCTGTGATGAGGATTTGGTGCCAAAATAAGGTCCTAATCTGCACTCAGCTTTCTTTCACTCCTAGAAATTGATGACAGTAAGTGGGTTGCCTCCCTGCTGCCCTCCCTCGTTTGGGTGACACACCACAATTGCACAGCCAAATAGTTTTCCAGGGGAGAAGCTTTCTAAGCTCCTGCCCACTGAGCAACAGGTTTTGTTTCTCATGACTTTAATTAAGGGAGTAAATAAATATAGCAGGATGACTTGCTTTTATTTTCCTTCTTTGCTCTAGTGAGAGTTCTCACCGTGAGGAAGGTAAATCCCCTGAGATCCTGGAGGTGCCCTGTGGAGGGTCGTGTGTGTAAGGCACCCTGGGGATAAATGGTAGCTTCCCATCTCTTACAATGGTTGGGGACAGCTGCATTGAGCAGGAAAGAGGACACAAGAAGGCCCTTTTGGTTTTGAAGTTTGAGCGGGAAAAAGCTGTTCCTTTTCTGGAGAGAGCTGATGATTAGGGAAGGAAAGTGATTCCAGGTCCTCAAAGAATGGTCACCAGGAGCAAAACTGGGGCAGCCAGAAAGATGGAGAAAGTCTGTGGGAAGGACTAAAATGGCAGGCCATTAAAAACTATGCTCACGCCTGTAATCCCAGCACTTTCGGAAGCTGAGGTGAGCAGATCCCTTGAGATCAAGAGTTTGAGACCAGCCTGACCAACATGGCCAGGTGTGGTGGCACATGCCTGTAGTCCCAGCTACTCAGGAGGCTGAGGCACGAGAATCACTTGAACCCGGGATGCGGAGCTTGCAGCGAGCCACAGTCACACCACTGCACTCCAGTCTGGGTCACAGAGCGAGACTCCGTCTCAAAAAAATAAACCCCCAAAAACTAGACTTTCATGCATCCATTGGGGTAGTTCTGGACATCTTCAGCACTGAGGGAGTGGCTCTTCCTGCTTCAAGGGTCCATAGTATCCCACATCAGGATTGGGACACGTAGCTGCCCAGGACAATCTATTGGTCTGAGAAGGACCAGCTGATGACAACCACACCCTAGGACAGCCAGTGATGGATGGGGAAGAGTTTGTGTTTTCCCTGTGTTCATGTGGGATTCAGACCACCCTCCTTTAAAAAAGTTTTAATTTTTAATTTTTATGGGTACATAATAGATGCATATATTTATGGGTTACATGAGATATTTTGATACAGCCATACAATGTGTAATAATTATATTGGGGTAAATGGGGTATTCACCACCTCAAGCATTTATCCTTTCTTTGTATTATAAACAATCCAGAAGTAGCTTGGACTACAGGTGCACACCACCACACCTAGCTAATTCTTGTATTTTTTGTAGAGATGGGGTTTCACCATGTTGCCGTAGCTAGTCTTGAACTTCTGGGCTCAAGCAATTTACCCTCCTCGGCCTCCCAAAGTGCTGGGATTAGAGGCATGAGCCACTGTGCCTGGTCTCCATTAATTACTTTTAAATGTACAGTAAATTATTGTTGACTATAGTCACTCTGTTGTACTATCAAATACTACATCGTATTCATCCCTTTCTTGGTCTAGGAAAACTCTAGGATTTGGGGGAAAAATCTTTGGGGAAGGAGCTAAGAACAACCAAGCAAACTCAGGGCCTCCAGAGGAAGTAATTCATGTGCAACCTGGGATGAATCCCTGGGATGAGTCTAATAAGGAGCTCGTGGAGCAGTAAAAAGCAGGAGTTAATAGAAGCCACACCAGCCTCAGCAGCATCTGACACCCATACCAGCCCTGCGTGTGAGAAAATGTTTGGATAAAATCAGAAGCTGAACATCTTCCAAACAGACATTTCCTCCCTTCTAAGAGGGCTCTCTATAAAATCCTCTTGTAAATTTTGAGGTATTTTTTTAAGGAGAAGCTCTGTTACTGTCTTTTTTATTAATGTTGTTTGTTGAGGCATTCTTATTTCAGCTGGTGGGCTTAGCACAGCCTGAGTCTTTCAAGCTTTAAAGGGTTTCATTTTTATTGCGATAGCTCTTGGTGCCTCACTCTTACGGAAGGAGTTAACAGGCTTCCCACACTATCTCAGCCCACCCTCTGGTTCTATAGACAACAAAACAGACCTAGGGAAGGTGGTGGGATTGCCCGAAGTCAGGGAGCCAGTTGGAGACAGAGCTGGTGCCAGTGCCAGGTTAGTATGGAGTTGAGGTGGACAGTATCCTGTTTGAGGGTTTTGTTGTTATTGTTGGTTGCGAACACATCATCTCGTCGGCTCATTCTGAGTTTAGAGTTGGTTGGATTCCATAAGTGATTTGCTTTCCTATGTGGAACTCTTAAGCCATGATGTGTCTGTTCTCTATTGGAGCTACAAACACCCATCTTCTCTCTCCTTGCTTTTCCTGGAAATGCAGACTTCATGACCACTCAAGTTTCTCTCCCCTGAAAATCCTATCCTGTCACCCCAGGGAGTTCATGGCTCTCTGTGCCCACTGCACTCTTATAACTGATTTTTTTGTGGGTGTCATAAAGTGCTTGCCATCCTTACTCTACCCTGAGGTCCTGTAGGCAGTACCATTCGTTCTTACTGTTGTATAGTATTCTACACTACAATTTATTTATTCATTCTGCATGGAAGGTCACCTCATCACTTTTCAGTCTGTGGCTACTAGGAATAGCGCTGCTGTGAATATCCTTGTTCAAGGCTTTCGGTGAACATATGTATCCACTTCCGTTGAATATATACCTGGGAGCAGAATGGTTATGTCACAGGGTAGCCACATGTTTCACTTTAGCAGGGTCGTGCTTGTATGTCTGTATCTCAGCACCTAGCACATAGCAGGCATAAAGTAACTATTAGTTGAATAAATACGTGTGCCATTATTTCCTCGAGCCTAAGTGTAATATTTTACATTTAATAAATGGATGATTAGTTTTTGCTGCAGAGCTACAAAAACCTTAGTCTTGCACATTCTTAGCATGTTAAAGATAGAGGGGACCATTTAAGTTCACCCATTCATTTTTACAAATGTGAAACCTGAGGCTCAGAAAGGAAATCAACTTACCCAGGAATGCACAGCATTTTTGTGTCAGAACTAAAACAGAAACCAAGCCTCTGTAAAAATATAAAGGCCTGCTTATTGCTTCTGTGCCACAGTTTAAAATGTTTATCATTTAGTTGCATTAAAATACTTATTCCTATGTAGTACCTCTGGGCACATAAAAGATTAAAGATTATATTTCTAGCATTTATTATTATTATTATTTTGCTTCTTCCTAGAGGGAACCATTTTGCTTCTTGCTGGAGGTAAGGATTAAAAACAGCTTTTTTTAGTCATCAGAGGAAACAGGTTGTGATTACCCTGTATCAAATTTTTGGTAGAAATGATTCCTTCTTACATGGATCAAAGATACATACTAAACTTTCATTATGCATTTTCTTTTTGCTGAGTTTACAACCCCTTAATGTGAAGCATGCTGCCAGCTTAACTAGAGCATTGAAAATGTGCAGCTCTCCTTCAAGCCATTGGCAGATTGCAGGCAGGCTGGTTTGGACCAGACATTTCACAGCATTAGAAGTTAAACTGTAGTGGGAACAGTGGTGGTAACATCCAGTCTCAGTCTACCTGAGACGCCATGGCTTCCCTGTCAGCTGTCTGGATCCTGGGAAGGACCACAGTGGATCCATGGCTCTGTGTTCCACCCCTAGAGAGTGACACATAACAGTGGTGGAACCGGTCCAGAATGAATGAACCCTCTTGTGCATCTGCTCTTGAACACGTGGGAGTGGAGAAGGTGGGTTTGTCTTCATTTCCATCCCCACTATCCTAGCTCTTGAACTTCAGATCTTGGGAGATCAGAGACTGAGGCAGGCTGAAAGTGGAGCAAAGCCAGCTCTGTGTGTGGGTGAGGAATGAGTCTGAATCACCCCGGTCTGCCTTCCGAGTGACAGTAGCAAAGCCAGTTGGAAGGAAGATCCAAATATTGCCAAAATCCAGCCGAATGAGAGCCTTGTTTTCATGGCCCTGCTCTGGTGGTTTGCCAGAAGAGTCTTCCCTTGAGCAAGTGGAGGTGGTGATTTGTAATTCCCATCGGTTCATTGCAGCATGCTTCTATTAAGTGCCTGCTGTGTGCCCAATTAATCCACCGATAGGTACAAGAGAATTAGAATTCTTGACCTCTGCCTTCAATAAACTTAACAACCAGTAGAAAGATTCATTCATTCATTCATTCATTCATCCATAATTTTCTGAAAGCCTACCTTGAGCTGTATACAGAATTAAGTACTGAAGACAGAGATGGTTCAGACCCAATACCTCCTTCCAACAATGTTACTGTCTAATAGACTGATAGGGGAGATGGGTGCCAACAAAATGAATAAGATGGACTGGGAGAGCAGGAAGAGCAGAGGGAGCAAAGAGAAGGAGCATCTCACCCAGGCTGGGCACGAGTTGGAGGAGGCTTCTCGGAGGAGGCTTCTCAGAGGAGGTAGTACTTGAATAGCATCATGAAAGATGAGCAAAGATTAGTGGGAAAATGAGCTGATGTGTGTACAGTGCTCTTTTAGGAGTCAGAGATATCTGAACAATTAGAATTTAGTACATGGTATGATAATTCAAGAGAACAAGGGACTGGAGTATTTGAGACTGTGACTATCTCTTATACTTTCTGAACATACCCACAAATAACCAGAGAATAATTTAACAAACAAGACATAACTGAACTCTCACATGCTGCTGGTAGGAGTGCAAATTAGTACAACTGTTTTGGAAAACTGGCAGTATTTGCTAAAGTGAAACATATGGCTACCCTATGACATAACCATTCTGCTCCCAGGTATATATTCAACGGAAGTGGATGCATATGTTCACCGAAAGCCTTGTACAAGGATATTCACAGCAGCACTATTCCTACTAGCCACAGACTGGAAAGTGCTGAGGTGACCTTCCATGCAGAATGAATAAATAAATTGCGGTATAGTCATACAGTAGAGTACTATACAACAGTGAGAATGAATGATCCATGACTACAGGCAACAATATGGAAGAGTCTCACAAATCTAAGGTTGAGTGAAAGAAGCCAGACACAGGCGGGCACGGTGCCTCACGCCTATAATCCCAGCACTTTGGGAGGCCAAGGTGGATGGATCACTTGAGGTCAGGAGTTCAAGACCAACCTGGCCAACTTGGTGAAACCCCTGTCTCTACTAAAAATACAAAAATTAGGCAGCTGTGGTGGCAGACGCCTGTAATCCCAGCTACTTGGGAGGCTGAGGCAGGAGAATCACTTGAACCTGGGAGGCGGAGGTTGCAGTGAGCCAAGATTGTGCCACTGCACTCCAGCCTGGGTGACAGAGTGAGACTTCTCTCCCCACCACACCCCCGCCCCAAAAAAGAAATAAACCAGACACAAAAGTGTGTGTACTATATGATTCCATCTTTATATAAGGTACAAAAACAGGCAAAGCTGATCTATGCTATTATAAGTCAGAACGGTAATTATAGTTGTAGTTGGCAGTGGGAGTTACTAGAAACAAGCGTGGAAAGTGTTTCATTGGTGCTGGTAATATTCTTGTTTTTGCTTTGGGCATTAGTAACATGAAGGTGTTCACTTGGTGAGAATTCAGTGAGCAGTGTACTCTCTTACATATATATTATACAGCAATCAAAAGTCAAAAACCTTCTGTAATCTTGGGTTAGACTCTGGGTCAGAGGCATATTGTAAGGGCTGTAGGAATTTGGAGTATGTAAAAGATCTCGATGGTGAACTGGGTCCTCCTGTGTTAACCATCTCTCACAGAGAAAATTGGGGGCTCCTGAGAGGTTTGGTGCCCTTGTGTCATTAAATCAAGCACTGTATTTTCCCTCAGAGAAGACCTCTTCTCATTAATTTGGCCTTTGCAGTGGATGTTACTATTTCAGAAGCAGAACAAGGTTATGGACAGAGCAAGGGTTTTTTTTTCACATGGCTAAGTGTCTGTGCATTATCACTGGGCAACTTGACTCTCTGCCCCTCAATTTCCACATCAGGTGAATGAGGATAACAGTCTGGGGCTGGTGTTCTGACAGTGCTGTTCTTATGATTCACTCCTAACCCCATTTATTGCCTGCCTGCTGGACTGTAGCAGGATACAGTATATGACAGAGCCCTGCAAATATGAGGAGGCATTGTATTCTGACCTGGGGCTGGGAGGCAAGGGATTCCCTAACCTACCTAGATCTGTGTGTACAGAATCAAGACACCAAGACTGGGTGCCTGCTGCTTCCCGAGGAAGCCTTCCACTGGGATATCATTGCTCTCATCTCAGCATTTCCTGTCATCCCTTGGCCAAGTCACTGAACCCACCTTTGTGTTCTCTTCTCCCCATTAAGAGAGGAGCCCAGGGATCAGTCGTTCTAACAGCATCTTTGACAGCACAAAGACTGTTTCTGTCTCCCAAAGAAAAAAACCATGGGAAAGGAGATATGAAGCCCATGCTAATCATTCCTACAGACTTCCAGCCTGCCTGCTGCCCTTCTCACTCCATTCACCAGGAATATCACAAGAGAACCACCCTGAAAAGAGATGTGACATAACTTGCCATTGTCCCTGACAGTCTGGGATTCCTGCCCAGTCCAGAGCCACAACAGATAGAGGAGAGGGGAGGGAAGAAGAGGGGGTGAATGCTGACTTCTTTCCGGGCTCTGTGCTTGATGCTTTCCGCCTGACATGCTTTCCATCATCAGGCACGTATCTATTGAGTACCTATTAGGGTCTGAGCACTGGTGATGCCACAAGAAACAAACAAACAAACAAACAAACAAGAAAGCTAGATCTTGGCTCTGTGGAGCTCATAGTCCAGTGAGGAAAGCAGACAATAAGCAGATATTCACACAAATAACTCAAAAAATGAACCTGTGATAACTGATAGGGAGAAGGAGAGGAAGGATGTCTCAGAGCACAACACAAGGTGACCTAAACAGGTTTGGGATAGTAAGAGAAGGCTCTGCAGAGGAGACAACTTTAAAGATGGTACCTGCAGGCTGAACAGAAGCTGTTGGATGGAGAATATCAGGGAAACATTCTAGGAAGAGAGGATGGCTTGCATGGAGATCTTGAGGCAGAAAGGACAATGGTGTTCAGAGGAACTAAAAGAAGGCCTGACTGGCTGAAGGGTGGTGCATGGGGAATGGAGAATGCCCTGAGAGCAAGACAGGAATGCAGTCAACATCAAGATCACAGAAGGCCTTGGGGGTGCGAAGACTTAGAAAGTGATTTTAGGAGTGATGGGTGGCGATTTAACTAGGATAATGGTACCCTTATACTTGTGGTTTTAAAAAGGTTACTCTGACCTCTCAATGGAGGACAGAGCAGCAAGTGGGTATGAGAAAGATTGGTAGAAGATCATGGCTATAATCCAAGCAAAGGATGTGGTGGAGTGGATTGAAGGAGGGGCAGTGGTGATGGGAAACAGTGGAGAGATTTGAACTATATTTTGGTGTTAGAATGTATAGGATTTGAGGATGGAAGGAATGGATGATTATGACTGCTAGGTTTTGGCCAGTGCAGTTGGGGGGCTGGTAACATCACTACTGAGATCATCCATTTCTGAGATGGGGAAAACAAGGAAAAGCTGATAGGTAGAGAATATTATAAATTCTGTTTTATCCTACTTAATTCTCAGGAGAGCCCTTCCTCTGTAGATAAGAAAATTGAGATCCAGAGAGGTTAAGAAACTTGGTCAAGGTCACAGAGCAAGTGGTCTAAATCTTGGCAGCAAGACATTTTTTGGTCATTTCAGAGATTGTATCTGTTGTGCATTCCTGCAGCATGTCACCATTTACAGAATGATTTCAAATATGTCATCCCATTTTGATTTTTACCAGTAAAACCCTATGAGGTAAACAGAGTAATCACCATTATACCCATTTTATGAGCAAGGAAATCGAGGTCATTAACTTGACCAATATCAGAGATCTATAGCTAATGTGAATAAGATTGAAACTCTGGGCTCTGTGACCACCAGTTCACGCATCTTTCCCAACTATCCCTCATTGTTATGTTTGTCAAATAGTGGAGTCAGATAAAATGCTTGACTGGCTAATGACAGGCAATTTATTTAACCTCTCTGAGCCTCAAATTCTTCACTTATGAAATGGAGAAAATAATATCTGCCTCCATGGTTTGTCATGAGAATTCAGTGAAGAGCTGAATGTAAGGCCCTTAGTACCTGACACAAGCAAGCACTCAGTTGTCTAGCAATGAAGCCACTGCTGAATATACACTTCTCAACCCAAACACCCCTTTTCCCTTGAGGAAAACCAGCAGCTCCCAGAGCTGGGGAGGGCCTGTAGAATTGCTGATGAACTTTTTCCCCAAAGGGCCTCCTATTTTCTTTATTCGTATTCAATTAGGACTTTTAGCACAGTTTTCTCTGTCTCACTGCCTTGTCCCCATTTCCAAAGTCAGTCCATTGCTGACTTTTGGCAATTATTCCTGTGTAATTTCTTTTACTTTGTTCCTTTCTTCCACACCCACAACACTGCTCAGTGTAGATCCCATTCCCTTCTTCCAGACCCATCACAATAACCTTTAAATGTTTAACTCATCTCCCAAGTGCTTGCCCAATTTGGGCATGTACAAATACTTCCCCATATTTTCTCATTTTCTATATAAGAAAGCCTAGACCTCTTAGTCAATGAGTCAGGTATCATTACAGTTACCTATCAGTTTCTCTCAAACTCACCTCCCAGTGCTATTCAACAGGGAGCCTTCTCTTCAACCAAAAAAGCCAACCCATCATCTTCCTTGTATCACCCTCAATCCCTCCACCACACTTCTGACCGTATTGTTCCTCACTCTCAGAATATCAGCCTCCTTCCTTTCCAATTATCTTCCCATTTCTTCAAGGCCCCACTCAAGTCTTGCCTTCTTTCTGAAGCCTCCCTAATTTTCCAGACTTGAAATGTCTTCCTCCATTGATTCTCAAAGTGCTTAGTACAGTTTCCAAGGCTTGAGATTTGGGATGGCCTTTTATTCTCTGTTGCAACTAGAGTGCCCAGCACAGCATCCTATACATTGGATAGTCATAAATATACAGTAGTTACCTGGTATATGCTTTAAGTCAATGAAAATCCAAGAAATGCATTTATATATTATTCGTTTGTTTGATTAACCACAATGAAATGGATTTTCCACCTATCATGTACTCTGCACTGCACTGGGGATGTCAGAATGAATGTGACCAATTCCCTACCCTCAAGGAGCTAGTGTATTAGAAGACATGGTGTGTAAATGGACATATATATTCAACGTAATACATGTTGTAGAAATATAGGATGCCAAAGTCGTTCATTAGAAAAGACTCCTACTTCAGACTGAGGCAAAGCCAGGGGTGTCATGAGTATAATTGTGCTCCCTGGAAACATATGTTGAAGTCCTAACTTCCAGTAGCTGCGAATGTGACCTGATTTGGAAATAGGGCCGTTGCAGACGTTATCAAGTTAAGATAAAGTCATACTGGATTAGGGTAGGCCCTAATGGCTGGTATTCTTATAAGTGGAGAGAGGCTTGGAGATACACAGCATATAGGGAAGAAGGCCACATGACAATAGAGGCAGAGAATGAACTGGTGCAACTCCAAGCCAAAGAAGACTGAGGATGGCCAGCAACCACCAGAAGCAAAGAAAGAAGCAATTCCTTATTTCTTAGGGCTTTCAGAGGAAATATAGCCCTGCTAACATTTTGATTTTTAGATTTCTATCTCCAGAACTGTGGGAGAAGCCATTTGTTTTAAGTCACTCAGTTTGCAACATTTTGTTACAGCAGCTCTACTAGGAAATAAGTGCTGATGGTGACTGAGGAGGAGAATACTGAGTTGAGGAGAGCCCCTTGAAATGACATCCATCGTGTTACAAAAAGCACCTGGTTGTTCTGGGCACAGTGAGTTAGGAAAGTGAGAAGTCTGGGTTCAGCCAACCGGGGAGAATGGAGGGTGCTGGCCATGGTGCTGATGGAGCCATTGAGTTGGCAAAGGTAGCTGGGCAAAGTTGAGAATCACGAGCCGGATCAAAGCTACCCAGAATTCAGAGGGAGTTGGATGATCCTCACACTTCCTCCTTCTCTCTCTAAATTCTCTCTCTTCCATTCTCCTCTTCCCTCTTCTAATCAGGATGCTGTAGATCTTGATGCCCATCCCCCATCACCTGTAATCTATTTCTGCCTCTGGTGACCACGTTTCTGTGATAGAGACACAACCTCTTCAGGGGGTACATGCGATACTTGCTTTCTCTTTCATCCACCCTTTAAAGAACGTTAAAATTGCCTTCTCTCAGGATTTCCTCTCATCCACTCTCTTTTGCTTCCTGTCTCCCCTTTCTCATGCTGCAAGAAAAATCAGGCCAAAAAGCTAAAAAATAAAACCCTCGTCTCCATTTTATCTTTTCTTCAGCACAGTTGTTGTTTATGAAGTTTTTAAAATAGAAATTCAGCAAATCCCGTGATACTAACCAGATACTATATATACATACATGTATAAATTAAATTAGTCTCCAGGGGATACCCTGCTAAATATAGTGATTATGTGAATCTGAATGTTTTCAAACACCTTTCTCCTCTTGCTATATTTTTCCCCTTTCCTGGATCCGGAGATGGTTCTGCTGGAAAATCTGGGTGGAACCTTGGCTGACTGACTAAAAGCCTTCCTTATTTAAGAATACACTTCTATAAGAGGCAGGAAAAAAGCTCAGAATTCAAGGGGAAATAATGGCAGGAATGGCTAGGTGATAAGGTCAGAGACAGCATGGAGTAGTTGATAGAGTAGCTGCAGGTTCAAATCCCAGCACCATTACTTATTGATTGTGTGATGGTGGTAAAATCCTTTACCTTCTTACAGTCTCAGCATTCTCAACTGTGAAATGGGGGTATTAGGGTTCACTTTGAAGGATATTTTAGGACCAGGGATACATATATGCCTAGGAGATAGTAGGTGCTTGTAAAGTGGTAGCCATTAGTGTGATTAGACTGTGAATTCCTCCTTGGCTGGGAAGTTCATGACCTATAATTCTGTTGGGTTAATGAGGATAGCAACCTGCAGGGGATAAGGAGGCCTGAGCTAATGGGTGGAGGACCCAGACTCTGTGTTACAGCTGCTCAGACCTCCTTTTTCACAAATGAGAAAATTCATGCCCAAATTTCAGAAGTGGCTTGGCTAAGGTCAAGGTCATCACACAGCCAAGATATCCAGTTTGCCAGTAAAAGTCCCCATAGGGTCACCAGTTATATGGTGGCATTGTGTAACTTCTTTCTGAGGAGTATTTACATTTTACATACAAACTTGGATCAAGTTCAAGCCTTGGGTCTGTCCTTGACCTCTGTCCCTTAACCTTAAACAAATCACTTATCCTCTTTCAGTTCCAGTTTTTTTTTTCCTTCGCCTTCACAAGGGGGATTGTCATTATTGCCATGAATGTTTGTGAGGATCAGAGACAATGAGTCTGTGGAACTATCAAGAACTATACCCAGGTAGGTCATTGGATCTGTTCTTTTCTCCCAGGAGGAGAATGTCTTCAGCAGTGAGAAGGAGGAACCTACTTGGGGCAAGAGGGGAACGGGCTGTCCTCTCACCCCCTATGGTTTAGGCATGAATGTGCATTCCTAGATATCCTACCTGTCCCTGTAGGAAAAGGGTTGTGTTCTCATCATGGCTCTGTATCTGGCTTACTTTGTGGTCTGAGGTCACTTTCCCTCTCCTGTGTTTGTATGCATTTATTTTTAATATATGAAGGGTAGTGATGGTGGGATCAGATGATCTCTAAATTTGTGAGCATACTCTCCTGCTGCTGAAGTCAGTGCTGCTCATTCTGAGGGAAGGGCCTTTATCTTCTTGGGATTGAGACATTTAGGCTTATTCTAGACTCCTCACCCCATCTGCTTGGTGAGTCTACTGGAAGGGGTGTCTGAAACTAGACACCTACAGTCTCCCAAGTTTCCCAGCTCATTCTGTGCTTCTCAAGTGGCTGGACTTCTGGCCTCTTGCAGGACTGCAGGGAGGCTGCTGGGGACCAGCATCCCACAGAGTCAGTGACAAACCAGGATCAGAAGAATAAAGTCTGCGTGTATTGAGCCAGTCTCTGTACACAGACATTCACCACGATGAGTCCTCATGACACCTTCGGGCTCAGTCATATTGGCTTCATTTTACAGACAAGGAAACTGGAGCCCATGCAATCACATTATTGGACCAGACCACACAGCTCCTAAATAAGAGGCTAAGCCAGCATTCAGACCTGTCTCTACGACTCTAAGTCCATGCTCTTTCTAATACTCCTTTTTCCTATCCTTGCTGCTGGCCTCTCCTGCATTGTGCTCTTGCTGCTTCTAGTCCTCTTTCCCTGCACTGTCAGTTCTTTCTTTCTTTCTTTGTGGATGGGTTTATTCTATTTCATAAGGATTGAGTCATAAGAATAGACTTGCAAAGGACCTGTGGGGTCGACATCTTCATTTTGTCAATGAGGATCCTGGGGTCTAGAGAGAATCCTGACTGGCCTAGGGTTTGCAGGCAGTTCAGGACAGAAACAAACATTAAGATCCAGGTATTGTGCTCGGTGTGTTTAATGGACTATCTTAGGTAATCCCTTAGACCAGGGGTCCCCAACCCCTGGGCTACAGACTGATGCTTGTTATGAACCGGGCTGCACAGGAGGAGGTGAGTGGCGGGCAAGTGAAACTTACCATCTAGCTCCACCTCCTGTTAGATCAGCAGTGGTGTTAGATTCTTCTAGGAGCACAAACCCTATTGTGAACTGCACATTTGAGGGATCTAGGTTAAGCACTCTTTATGAGAATCTAATGCCTGATGATCTGAGGTGGAACCATTTCATCCCACAACCACCCACCCTGCCAACCCAGTTCATGGAAAAATTCTCTTCCACAAAACTGGTCCCTGGTGCCAAAATGGTTGGGGATCGCTGCTTTGGACAACACTACTAAAGTAGACGCTATTACTAACATTGTCCACATAAAGAAACTAAGGCTCAAAGATGTTAAGATGTTACATTTAAGGCTGCACAGGCTTAATTCTGCAGTCAGAATTCTTAGTCTGTTTGCTTTTGCTCTTAAAACCACAGCTATTTCATGCTTTTAAAATCATAGCTATTTCTTGTTTACTCTGTGGGCTGCTGCCTCAGTTTCTTCTGAATAATTAGTTTCTGAAACACTAAAAGCATAGAATTGAAAGACTTTTTATTCTGCTACATTTTTTGGGCCTGCACTTCTGCACAGGTCTGTGTTGATTCATGAGTAAAATATAACCCTTTGTTATGTCACATAATAGTAAGCCAAACCCATATGTTAAAAAGAGTAGCTAATATTTATTATGCATTTCTATATACCTGATAGTGTGCTAGGTATTTCTACATGGATAATATCATTTAGTTCTTACATCAACCTATTGTTATCCCTATTCTACGATGAGAAAATGAAGGTTTAGGAAAGGTAGGCAACTGCCCGTAGTCATTCTGCTAGAAGCAATAGAGCCAGGGTCCAAACTAGGCAACTGCGAATAGGACAAAACTTTCTTAACATTGACTGCACATGAACATCACCTGTGGAGCTTTTGAAAAATAGGACATCATACCCTTCCCTGGACCAACTGAATCAGGGCCCCTGGGGCATACATCATAGAACATTAGTGTTTTTTCAAGCTGATCAATTGGTTCTGATTTTAGCAGTGAAGGCTAAAAGCTACTGCTTTACCTGCAGAGGATTCTTTACATCTAAATGATGATGCCTAGTTGACCAAGTGGTGCCTGCATTCCATATACCCGTTCGTGTTATGAAGATTACCTTGGCCTCTGACTCCCTTCTTGGTGCCAGGGAGGCTAATACTAGAGCTACTTGCTACCAGCGCTGCCTTACAGAAATACAATGTGAGACACACATGCAATTTTACATTTTCTAGTAACCCTATTTTTAAAAAAGTTGAAAGAAACAAACAAAATTAATTTTTAAAACATGTTTTATCTAACCCAATATAGACAAAATAATAACATTTCAACGTGTAATAAACAAAAAAAGAATCACTAGGACCCTTTACATTTTTATTTTTTGGTATCGAATCTTGGCGATCTGGTGTGTGTGTTGTATCCTCACAGCATGTCTTATTTCAGACCAGTCACATTTTCAAGTGCTCAAGAGACACATGTGCTAGTGGTTATTGGATTGGACAAGGCTGCTTTAGATGACTATCTCTGGCTTTTGTTTCCTCTTCTAAAGTCTCAGATTCACGGCCAGGCATGGTGGCTCACGCTTGTAATCCCGGCACTTTGGGAGGCTGAGGCAGGTGGATCACCTGAGGTCAGGAGTTCGAGAGCAGCCTGGCCAACATGGTGAAACCCCGTCTCTACTAAAAATACAAAAATTAGCTGGGAATGGTTGTACATGTCTGTAGTCCCAGCTACTCAGGAGGCTGAGGCAGGAGAATCACTTGAACCCAGGAGGTGGAGGCTGCAGTGAGCTGAGATTGCGCCACTGCACTCCAGCCTGGGTGACAGTGTGAAACTCCATCTCAAAACAAAACAAATAATAAAAAAACAAAGTCTCAGATTCATACAGAAATTATAGCAGCATGCCTAGGAGAGGCCTTCTCTCATTGAATTTTTCTGGCCTTCCAGGTGCCAATCTATCTTGTAATCTATATGTAGCATGTTCAATCTACAATAATCAATCTCTGGTCTCCCAAAGGCCCATTGCCTCCTGAGGAAGGAATTGGCCTTGGGGAACCTTACTTTGGCAGGGTGATTGGAGACTGGCCATCCTTCTTCATGCTCCTGCCTTTGTTTGTTTGTTTTTAAAAGTAAAATGTCTTGAAGAAGCAATTTGGTGATATAAATCAGGAGATATAAAAAAATCCATTCACTTTGACCAAGTAATTTCACAAGGAAATAATCTGAAATATGGAGGAAGTTTCAGGCCTAGAGGTTCTTATCCGGGCCTTATTTATACTATAAAATAATTGGATACAATCCAGATGTCCAGTGTTCATATGATGATTCCAAAGGCTGTGGGAAATCATGCACCCATTCAAAATAACATCAGAGAGTTATCATAAAGAGAACTTCTTATGGTAAAATATGTGAAGAAAAGAGCAAGCACCAAATTGTTTGTGCAGAATTATAAGTATATAAAAATATCTCAACTCAGAATAACAGCAAGAGAATACACCAAGGAGTTTAAAGTAGTTATCTTTTGGTGGTATGGTGATGAGCAATTTCTTCCTTCTTTTTTTCTACTTCTCTGTGTTTTTTGAAATACAGTGAGTACATATTCCTTTCATAATAAAATAAGCTTTATTATAATAAATAAACAATGTTAAGGACAAAAAAAAGCAATTAAAAACTTTCCACTCTTGCATGTGATTAGAAAATCATCTGCCTGTGCCTATAGGCTCCAAGGGGAGGAGAAAGGGAGAGGAAAGAGGAGGATTATGGGTATAAAGGCTCCTGTCCCGCCAGGGACAGATTTGCATTTTGCACACTGATACATCATTTCTGACAATTTGGAAAGTCTTTCCCCAGACCCCTGGACTGGGGCTGCTCCTTAAACAAAAAGCCAGTTTGTGAGGAAGATGCCTCTTCAGTGGTGTTGGCACAACAAACTCTTTCTTCAGCCTGGGGCTGCAAAATGGATGCATTCAATGCCCTCAGGAAGGGACTGGACAAGGAAGCTGCTCAGTTGCTCAAAGTCTAAAATTAGGTGTCCCAGAAGCACAACTATTTTCTCTTCCCCTAAAGCAGCAGAATCCTTGTCTTAGGGGACTGAGTTTGAAACCTTCAGGACTTCCAGAGTCTACATGTTCCAAAAGGGGGCCTCCAATCTCTTTATTTCACAATAAGATTGGAGGAGGAAGCTTTCACTGAAGCAACTTATGAAAGAGGTGCTAATGTACCCATTTCATAGATAATGAAACTGAGGCTCAGAGAGGTTAAGAAAGTCATTAAAGGAGTGAGGGGCATCTGTGGGATTCAAATTCAGGTCTGCCTGGATCCAGAGCTCATGCATGTCCATTGTGTGACACTGTTTGCCTCCTCTTCTCCTACTTCTCTCTGCAGCGGCTTCAGGTGTGGGAAGAGCATCCTAGAAGATAGAAAACTTTGCTGTTGAACTGGCTTCCAGCATGGACCAACTGTCCTTTTGTGACCACAGCCATCTAGTCTGTCCCAAAGAGACCCTATCAGTAATGTGTCATCCTCAAGTTGAGAGGAAGTTTAACCAAAGAGGGCATTCTTACAGAAAGGGAGTATCTTTAGCTCTCACAGAAGAGGGGAGATAGGTAATGCAATTGGTCAGGGTTATTTAGAATGCAAGCAACTGCTCCTCCTTCCAAGATGAGCAACCCAACCCAAGACCACATGATGGCTTGTGTGTCATCCTCTCTTGACATGTACTGACAAAGGGTCCTGTGTATTCCACAGGTGATGGGGGTCGTCTTTTTGCAGGCAAGCGCAAGACTAATGATGCTTTCAGCAGAAGATGGAGGAATAACTAAGGCAAGCTGCAAACGTGCAAGCTGTCAGTGTGATTCACAGAGTAATTACAGCATAATACAGTGTAAAGTATTAGGAGATAATAACAATAAGTCAGGATTGACTCATCGCTTTGAAAACTTGGGGCTGATGAACCTGCCAGTTATTTGCTAGTTCTCAAAGTCTGTAAACCAGTGTCATGTGAGCCAATCCTGGCAGCTGGATTCAAAAGAGACAGGTCTATTATCCCTTTTTACATTAAATTGTGAGAATGCAGCAATGGGAAAATAGAAATGCAAGCAGTTAGGATAGCATTAGCGCTAGCGTCCAGGTAAAATGATAATTGTCAGGCACTTAAAATCCCCAGAAATGATATGCTCCCAGTCCACTGAAAGCTACAAACAAACCCAAGGCATAATGATGGACTTGCCTTGTTCTAACTAGAAGGAAAACAAAAGTATAGTAATAATGAAGGCTAGAATTGCTGAAGTGCCTACTATGTGTCAGGTAATTTACATATATTCCATTCCAGCTAATCCTCATAAAATAGTAGGTGGGAAAGCTTAGTCTCATTTGGGTTGAAGAAACTGTGCTTTAGATCATCTAAGCAGCACAGGGAATGTCGCAGAGATTGTAAGTGTGGGAGATGGGTTTCAAACCCAAATACAATGGGCTTCAAAGTATAGGCATATTCTACCACTCCAGGCTGAATCTTAGGAGGTAGAAGGGTGAGTCAATAAATCCATATGCGTGGGGACTTACAGGAGAACCTACACTTGTGAGGGCCTGCAAAAGGAAGCATTCCCCGTGGCTACCACCAGGGTCACCAAGTGGATGGCAGAAGCAGGTCCAAGCAGTGGTACCACAGCTGAGATGCTGTAGCCACATAGTCATGAACGTGAGGATGTCCGAGGTCAGAATCATTGCTCATACACTTGAGGAGCACTTACACCATGTTAGTACTTGGGGCCACAAGGGTGAATAAGACTCAGTCCTTACACTCCAGGAGCCCAGAGTTCAGCCTTCCAGCTCCAATCGCAGACACACAAGTGCTAATAGACTCACAGGAGGGGAAGGGATTAAGCAGCAGAATCTCCTTTGAATAGGGGTGATATTTGAGTCTCCATGCTTGATTTCTCTCACCCTCCCCTTCTCCCTCTGTCCTTCTGTTCAGCAACCCCAATCCTGTGGAGGGGTGAGGGGCTGGGGCAGAAGTGGTCTTGGAGAGTCACAGACCTTGGTCTGCCTCCTGGGTCTGCCTCCCAGATCTGCTGCTTGTTCTGCTTGGGACTTTGGATGCTCCCCTCACCCCAGGATCTCTGAATTATTTCAAAACTTTAAAAGGGGGTTTAGACTCTCAGTATCTCTAGGCCAGTCATTTATTCCATGACTCTCTTTAGCCTTCCTTCAGAGGGAAGAGGAAGGGGCAGTGTCAAGCCACATTGGAACCTGAAGCAAAAGGAGAAATCACTCATACTGATCCCGTCTCTATTTAAAATTTGGATGACCATGTTCATCATGAATTTCTTAACAGATTTTTTTTTAAAGTACTGCACTAAAATGTTGTTTATTTTCGTTGCTGAAATTTTTGGCACCCCTGAAATTTTGCGTCTGAGACAAGTGCCTTCCTCGCCTCACACTTTTTCCAGTCCTGCGGAAGGAAACTGAAATACATGAGCACCTACTGTATGCAAGGTAATTTACAGAGATTCCCCAGTCCCCTGTTGATCCTCACGACAGCTGTGTGGGGAGGGTATCGTTTAGTCCCATTCCACAGGTGAAAATAGTGAAGTTCAGAGAGGTTAGGCGAGTTGCTCAAGGCTGCCTGTGTCTGGCGGTGATCAGCATTTTCCAAGGCTCTGTCAGAAAGTTGAACACTTTCTCTCTCTATCTCTGTCTTTCTCTCTGGCTAGACTCCGACTGATTCTACAAAACCCGGCCCACTTTTGATTATAGCTTAATCTGTCAGAGAGGAGGGGGCGGGGCTTCTGTTAACTGATACAAAAAGGAGCTGGAGGGTCAGCTTTGTCAATGCGCTCGTGGCAGAGGACCCAGAGGCTCTGAATCTACACAAATGGCCTTGGTTCTTGAGGCAGAAATATTCCTAGAGCAGAGAAGGGGGATTCATCAGGGTGCCTGGGCTGCGTAGAAATATCTCCAGAGAATGTCCAGCTCCGTTTCTTCTAATTTGGGCTCTCCAAGCACCCTCCAGAGCTGGCTTTGTGCTCCTGGGGGTCCTGCCCCCTCACAGAGGGCCTTGGAGATAAGTGGCCCCAGGGTGCCTGCTTGGTTCTGACTCCATTTCCACTGTGTGGGAGCACACTGGCACTCCAGTGAGGTAGCACTGACAGAACCAAAAAGTGCTTGGACTCTGCATCTAAAAGACCTAGTTTCAAATCCCAGCTCCACCAATTAATAGATTAATAAGGGCTACCATTCATTGAGTCCTGCCTGAGCCACTTTATATACATCAGCTCATTGATCCTCACAAGGATCCTACATTTTACAGATGTGGAAACTGAGGCCCTGAGGAATGTTGTTGCCCAAAGGCATGTAATAGTGATGACAGGATGAGGATTTTAACCTTGCGGTGGTCTGAATCCAAAGTCCTTGCTGTGCTTCCTCCAAGCCCTGTGACCTGGTGCCATTTCCTTTACTTCTTTGAGCCTCAGTTTGCTCAACTGTTCAAAGGGGATAGTAATGCTTTTAGCATTCTTGTAAAGATGTAATGAGATAATTCGTTTGGCAAACATTCATTAGGTGTTTGCTCTGCCACTGGCACTGTGCTAGGCAAAGAGGGTGGAGATGTTCTGGAGGGGCAAGGAGGATGGAGATGTTTCTCTGAGATGTTCTGGAAGGGCAAAGAGGGTGGAAGTGTTCCTTCTGAGGTGTTCTGGAAGGGCAAAGAAAATGTAAGTGTTCCTTCTGAGGTGTTCTGGAAGGGCAAAGAAAATGTAAGTGTTCCTTCTGAGGTGTTCTGGAAGGGCAAAGAAAATGTAAGTGTTCCTTCTGAGGTGTTCTGGAAGGGCAAAGAAAGTGGAAGTGTTCCTTCTGAGGTGTTCTGGAAGGGCAAAGAAGGTGGAAGTGTTCCTTCTGAGGTGTTCTGGAAGGGCAAAGAGGATGCAGATGTTTCTCTGAGGTGTTCTGGAAGGGCAAAGAAGGTGGAAGTGTTCCTTCTAAGGTGTTCTGGAAGGGCAAAGAGGATGGAGATGTTCCTTCTGAGGTGTTCTGGCAGGGCAGGGAGGATGGAGAGGTTTCTCTGAGGTGCTCTGGAATGGCAAGGAGGCTGTAAATGTTCCTTCTGAGATGTTCTGTAATGGCAAGGAGATGGAAATGTTCCTTCTGAGGTGTTCTGGAAGGGAAAGGAGGATGGTGAGGTTTCTCTGAGGTGTTCTGGAAGGGCAAGGAGGCTGGAAATGTTCCTTCTGAGGTGCTCTGGAAGGGCAAGGAGAATGGAGATGTTCCTTTCCATTGGCCTCTCATGGAGTATTGGGTAAGACAGGGGAGACAGTAGAATTCTGGAAGAAGTGTATGGCAGAGGTTAGTGCTGGGCTTGTGGGAGGAACGGCAGAAGTGGGAGAATCAGGGGTGGCTTCCTGGAGGAGGTGATATCCAGCTTGGATTTTTAAGAAATGAGGAGAAGGTAATTCCAGGCAGATGGAGCAGCATGCAAATCACAGAGGGAAAAAGGAACAAGATGTGTGCGTGCACGAATGATCAGAGGTGGAATGGCTACAGCGTGCATTCTCAGCAGGAGGGAGAGCTGATAGCAGGACAAAAAAATTGTCTTTTGGGGTAAGAAGGTAAACGATCTTAGACATTCAATGATTTGTGGGTCTCCAAAGGGTTACAGTACACAAAATGGATAAGTAGTGTATCTGTGACATTAAAATTTCTTGGGTGGATAAGAGGAAAAAGCTGTCTAAAAAGACTATAATATAGATGAACCTTAAGAACACTATGATAAGTGGAAATAAGCCAGTCATAGAAAGAAAAGCACTGTGTGATTCCACTTATATGTAGCATCTAGAGTAGTTGAACTCATAGAAATGGAAAGTTGCCAGGGGCTGGAGGGATGGATCAATGGGAAGCTATCCTTTAATGGATACAGAGTTTCAGTTTGGGATGATAAAAAAGTTATGGGGGTTGGTTGTACGACAATATGAATATATTTAACACTACTGAACTGTACATTGATAAATGGTCAAGATGGTAAATTTTATGTCTTGTGTTTTTTACCACGATAAAAATTAAGTTAAAAAAAAAGGAAAGAAAAAATAAAGCCTTTGCAGGGGGCAACAATGAAGAAAAGGTTGAGAAACACAGGGCTGGAGCACAGGGTGTTGGGGAAGGTTGGCTTCACCCTCAGATGAGCTTGGGAAGGAGAGTGAGGCAAAGCCCTGCAAGATCTTGCCTCTCATGCTCAATAGACTGAAGTTTCAGTTCTACAGGTCTGGGGGCAGCAAACTTTTCACGTAGATATTTTTGGCTTTGTGATCCATATGTTCTACTCAACTCTCCTGTTGTAGAGCAACAGCAGCCCTTGGCAATATGCAAATGATGGGCGAGGCTGTGTTCTAATAAAGCTTTATTTACAAAGATAGATGTAGCTGCATTTGGCCTGTGGATCATAGGTTGCCAATCCCTGCTATTCCCTAGGAAAATTTCACTCAGGGAATTTTGTTTATATTTTAAAAAGTCACTTTGGCAATTTATGCAAAGACTAGATTGGAGAAAGGAGTGCACAGAAAGGGCCCGGCACGGTGTCTTGCCCTCAGAAAGGTGGGGTTTCCTTTTCTTCCCTCATGCCAGGCAGTGCCTTCTAAGTGGGAGTAGAATAAGTTGTCTCTCTGAGGCTGCCTCCTCTTTCTGACCTTGCACAAACCAAAGGCTGTGATGACTCCCTAACTCCTGACATCCCAGGAAAGTAGGAGCTGTACCACTTTGACATCTTTTTAGTTGCAGCAAAAAGAGATAAAACCAGATTTGGCAGTGGTGACACTTGGTTGGGTATCTGATACTTTGCTGTAGGTCATTTGTTAGCAAAATCCATCACCCGACCCCAACTGCTGCCTCTGACCCTGAGTCACCTCCCACACACCCCTGCATTTCATAGCTTTGATTCATTAACTCCAACTGCTGGAATTACAGGTAACACTCAGAGTTGCATTCTAAGTGGGCAAGGATGGCTGCTTTGAAAGTGGGCTTTCTAGAAAGGTTAATATTATAAATACATCTTAAATGCCTAATACATAACCAATTGCCACAAATGTGGAAATGTCAGCAGCGTTAAAACTCAGAAAGCAAGAAAGAAACAGGTCACCTTTGCTCTTGGTATATTGTATTTTCAACTGGGCTGGAGAAATGCCTTTAGTCTCTTGGAGCAGTGGGCCACTCCTGGAAGCTGGAGTGGGCCAGGAAGGAAAAGACCTCTGAGGGTGATGGGGAGTGGGAGCATGATGAGAGACCAGTCTCTTAAGCTGCCAGAGTGTTAGTTTCCTCAGATGCAAAGTAGGGATGATAATTATAATAAGGTCCAGAAAGTTCTTAATTAACTACAAATCTACCATAAATGTTGGATACTGCTCTCTTTTTTTTCTAGCAACTAGGTCAGCGCTTGGCACACAGCAAGTGCTCAATAAATGCTCTTTCCTATCGTTTTTCTTCCCATAAGCCTTGAGGTTGGCTAACATTAGTTTAGACAGATACGAAAATATCAGATATGACCTCCCTCAGGTGTGCTTGGGTTTTCTGGGAGATGATGTTAAAGAGAAACTTTTCTGAGATTTGAAGGAGAACTTTGAGTGTATCAGTGGTTTAGGGAGGGAGGTGCTTATAATCCTCAAATTAGACCACAGAGGGGGCTCCTGCATCATCAAACGGGCTCTGTATATGTGTGTCTCTGTGTGTGTTGGGGCAGCAGAGTGTGTGAGCAAGTGCTGTGTGTGAATGAATATGTTCACGTGTGTATGGATGGATATGCCAGGGCTAGTATGAGGCCTGCGAGGTGTCCAGGGTGCATCATTTAGGGAGGAACTCACTCTCAGGGAATGACCCTGTACTTGCATGAGCCCAAGAGTTATTGCCTCCTGGAATGTAGTATCTTTCACACCTCACCCTAGTCTCAGACTTGAGATAGTCATGTGTGGATAGAGAAGGGATATCATTTAAACTGCAGTTGACAAGGAAGAGCCAATCCCCTTGTCCTAAAGAGCCTTCCAAAACAAGGATGAATTTCCTTAAGTTTTGGATTTGCAGCGATCTTTAAGGTATCCAATCCAGTGGTAATCAAATGTTAGTGTGCATCAGAATCAACCGAGGAGCGCTTGTGAAACCTTCACATTCCCAGACCCCATCTCCAAGATTCTGATTTGGTCGGTCAAGGCTGAGGGACCTGGAATCTGCATGTTTAACATGAACGCTTTCCCCATTCCAGGTAATTTTGACATGGGCTGTCCAGGACCAACCATGGAGAAACTCTTCTTAGAATTGGAGTGACCACATAATTCATCATCCAATCCAAGCCACTTTGGAGAGTGAAATGAATTTGTTGTAGTTTAAATCAGGAGTTGGCAAACCGTGACTGTTTTTGTAAATAACATTTTACTGGAACACAGCCACGCTCATTTGTTTAGGCATTGTCTACGGTTGCTTTTAAACTACAATGCTAGAGTTGAGTGGTTGCAACAGAGACCCCATGACTTGCAAAGCATAACATATTTATTATCTAGTCCCTTACAAAAACAGTTGTCAACCTCAGGTTTGGATTATTATTCAGTAAATATTTACCCCCATACCTAGTAGCTACCTTAACTATAGTTTAATCTTCCTTTCACTTAGAAGGATCTTGAAGCCCAGAGTGGTTAGAGTTTGGGCAAGCATATTTTGGACAATACTTGGATGTCTCATTCTAAGTTGGGTTGTGGATACACAGTTGAGAAACCTCTAAAAGGATGCCTAGTGGCTGTTGGGATAAACTAGAGGGGGCTCTGAGGAAGGTTGGGTTAAGTTGAAGGTTTGCCCTGGCTACTGATGCCCCTTTGTCATTCTCAGACTGACACTCAGACCTACCTTAGACTGACATCTCTTGAGATGAATGCTCCCCACCCACTCCTGAACAAATAAATAGCAAGAAAATGCAAACAGAGGGAAGTCGCATCAAGAATAATTACAGAGCAGTCACATATTTTGATTTAAACTTAATGTTGCTTAGCAAAAGAGAATGTGCTGTGAACAAACAGAGATCAATTCACACCACTATCAAGTGGCAGGTGGTATTAGTAGAAGATGGCCTTAAACCTCTCTGGGAGCCTCAACAATACCACTCACATGGTGCAGAAGGATAAGGTCCCTCCCAGGAGGCTCCTCATAAGGAAGTTAGCAAAGGGGAAGCAGCCACTTGTGAAATCCTTACTCATTGTTAGGGCTTTGAACTGCAAATTGGCTTTTTGTGGAGAGTCGAGTGTGTGTGTGTGTACATGTGTGTGTGTACGTGTGTGTGTGTACGTGTGTGTGTGTGCTGACAGACACATTTGTGCAGGTTTATGTGTGTGTGTTTTGTAAGCATGTGGTTCTTGTGTGTTTGTAAGTCTATATGAGTTCACATGTACATACATGCATGTGGTATGTATATGATTATGTGCATGTGTGTTTTCTATTACCTGATGTTGCTAGGGCCTGTCTTCTTGCCTGCTGTGCTCCCAATAGCCTGACCATTCCTGGGGGAATCACATGATGGTCCTACTCTCCATTGACTAAGTCCACATTATGACACGACTGATTATTAACTCTCAATCCAGTCTGCTTAGCCCCCAACTCTGGTTTGGGGGCTTGCAAGATATGGAGGTCACCTTCCTTGATGCATGCAGCCTCATCGGATCACTTTTGCTTATCTGATGATGGCAGAGTTTCTGGGCAAAGCTCAGATCTTCTCCACAGCTGCCCCTCCACACCTCCTCATTCATTCCAGATTGAGTTTGCCTTGGTGGTTAATCCCCATGATGCTGTTCCATCATCCCCTTCAGGAATGGCCAGGATAGAGCCAGGTGGGCAGGGCAGGCTCTAGGGACTCGGTTGGATGGGCCTCCAATGCTACTCAGGTGGACCAGAAGCATGCACATCCAAGGGGCATATGTGAACTTTAGCTAAATAGGTGAGCTGAGGTCAGCATTCAGAAGTAGCTTCAAGCAACAGGTCTGAAGGATAAGAGGAAGGCTAAGTCTGGTCAGGGAATAGGAGCGAGCAATCCTCATTCCAAATTGTAGCAGGAGAGAGGCAAAGCAGACAAAGACAAAAAGCTGTGAGCCCCTCGGAGAGGCTGAGAGCCCAGATGGGTCCTGCCCAGGTGATCCAGGGCCAGGACAACCCACTTACACGTTCAGGGCTAGACCAGGCTGACCTAAAAGGCTCTCCTCCAGGAAGCTTCCCCTAACAAAGTCCCTTTATTCTTCTACACTCAGAGGACTTCTGCTCCCTCTTCTAATCCTCTCTGATGTAGTTCCGTGATTCTTAATAGATTCCACTGGCTTCTCCAAGAATTTGCCTAACTTCCTTGGACACTTCCTCGCCTCTGGACATTAGCTGCTTATGGTCCAATCCACTCCCTGATGCCTGTCATTGGCTTCCTCACTTTATTACTGGTTTTCGCATGTGTCCAAATCTTACCTCTCTAGCCAGACTAAAAGCTCCCCTGACATGGGGGGAGTCTACGGCTTGTTTTTTCCTATGCCATTCGCTTGTATGTACTCAAGCCATCTCTTCTAACTGGTGGGTTGACATGGCTTTGGGTATCATAAAGCCTTTCGTACATGAGAGACTTTCAGCCTCAGCCTTATTTTCTTCCCTCTGCATTTTCCAGTCTGTGTTCACTTCTGTGTTCACTTCCACTCCATGGCCCCCAGGCTCAGCCCTGCCTAATTCTTGAACCAACTCTGGCTCCTCTCATTATCACTACCCCCAATCTGCTCATCAAAATGAAATCCGATCTCTTCTCTGTGTGAAAGTCATGGGGGAATCCCCACAGAAGCCCCTGAAAAGCGACTGTGCCTTTGCCCAGACTTTGTCCCGTCTACCTGGACCGCCCTGTGTCTTGCAAATATTCACCATTTGTCAAGGCTTGAATTCATCACCTCCTCTTCGAAGCCTTCCCAGATACCTCCAGGCTGAGTTGCGTGTTCCAGCAACTGTCCTGCCCTGACGTGAGTCTCAGCTTCACAAAAGCACTTAGCACAACATGGCGTCAAAATTGGGTTAATGTCCAACTTCCCCAGCAGATAATTGGTTAGTTGAGGGCAGGGATCATGTTTCAACCATCTTTGTAATTCTCTGTCATGCATTCCCCAGTGCCCAATACAGGGTGGATGCTCAGTAAATATTTTGAATGACCCCCAGGACTGGTTGCTAGAGGAGGCCAGCTTTTCTCTGAAGCAGGGGGAGCAGATGCCTGTTGTCAGGTGGTCATTGGCAGGGACGTACAGATTTGGAAAATGAAGACTCTTCCTGCAGCAGCATCCAGGCACATACAGGCCAGTTGGCTGTCATTTTTACCTGGCAGGGAGCGGGGCACCAGGAATGTCTGGAGCAGATAGTAGCTTCCTGGGACACGACAGGTGGAATCAGCTTCTAGTGAAGGAAGAACCTGGTCAGAACAACTGAATTATAATCCTGACCTGGCCACTTACCACTGCATAGCCCCAAGCCAAGGATTTACTCTCCCTGGGCTTCAGTTTCCTTGTCTGTAAACTGAGGCTAAAAAGTCCCTGTCTTGCAGGGTGGGAATGAAAGTTAAATGAGATAGTGTGTTGAATCAGTGTTCACAGGGCTTCCTTGTTTATAGTAGATCTCTCTGTGGTCTCTCCTCCCACTTAACCCTGCTCACACATTTTTTCAGGTTATTAACCCACTACTTTAAGAATGTATATATTTATTTGCATCTGGGAGACAGGCCACTCTTTGGGGACAGAGACCATGTCTTAGCTCTGTATTCTTGGTGTCTGGCCTATATAGGGGCCAACATTTACTCTTGAATGAATGAATATAAATGGCTAGTTGGGAGAGTCATGCCACTATATATGCAACAAAACCTTGGTTTTTTTTTTTTTAGCTGGGGACAGCGGCTTGAATTAACAAACCAAAAGAACATTTCTAAAGCAAAACAAACAAAGTTTAAAAAGAACTTTCCAATTTATAAGCCACCACTGGAACTCCTGACTACCAAAATGTTTCCAGATAGAGGTCTTGCCAAGAAGGCTGTCATGTGCAGATAAGGCTCATTTGTAATTAGTAAGTGTCCATTTGCATTCAAATGCAGTAAGGGGCTCCAGTTCTTAAAAAGAATCTGTTCTCCAGAGTAGTCTAAACATGACCCATGCAATGTCAGAGATTAGCAGTTTTTCCCCTTAGTAACATTCTTTGGTGCATTTCTCCAATAAATATTTATTAAGTTCTTTCTGAGTGTCAGGTATGATTCGAGGCACTGAGAAAGTACCGATGGGCAAGGCAAGATCCCTATCCTCACATATGTTATGATTCAGTGACAGGAGATGGTCAATAAACAAATAAGTAAGAAAAATGTGAATGGAAAATATGGGGGGCCTATGCCTCTTCTTGGAGGCTGGGCTCCCTTAAGAAAAAAAAGACAATATGGAGCAGAGATTTAAAACAGGGTGATGTGCTTGAGTTATTGGGTGGCTGCTTTTGATTGGGTGGTCAGACCAGGAGAAGAGGAAATCCCAAACAGAGAGAAAATCTGGTACAAATGCTGTGAGGTGGAAAGAGGTTTACATATTCAAGTTGGGAACAAGGAAGAAGACAAACGCAAATGAAATTGGCAAGGAAAGCAAAGACTGAATCATACAGGGCATTATCATTCCTGGGGAACAGATTCTGGATATGGTTCCAAGGGCAACAGGTAGGTTTAAATGGGAGTGATATGATCTGACACGTCTTTAAAAAGATCTCTTGGGTGCTTGCATGGAGACCAGGAATGAAAGGCACCAAAAATGAAAGCCAGAGACCAGTTAGGAGGTAATTCCAGTAGAATGATGAGAAATGATGGTGGCTTGGAGTAAGGTGTTGACAGCAGAGACAGAAACAAGGAGGCCAGGCGTGGTGGCTAAACACCTGTAATCCCAGCACTGTGTGAGGCCAAGGTAGGAGAATCATTTGAGGTCAGAAGCTCAAGACCAGCCTGGGCAACATGGCAAAACCCCATCTTTACTAAAAATACAAAAATTAGTCAGGCATGGTCGTGGGCGTCTGTAATCTCAGCTACTTGAGAGGCTGAGGCACTAGAATTGCTTGAACCTGGGAGGCGGAGGTTGCAATGAACCGAGATTGTGCCACTGCACTCCAGCCTGGGTGACAGAGAGAGATTCCCTCTCAAAAAAAAAAAAAAAAAAAAAAAAAAAAGAGAGAGAGAGAAAAGGAACATAAAGACACCTATGTACATTTTCCAATGTATTTTGGAAGCAGAATCAAGAGCCTTTGGTGATTGGTTGGCTGGAGGAGAGGGCAGTGAGTCAGAGAGGAGTAGAAGGGAACTTCAAGATATTTAATTTAGCTTGTGTCAGCGTAACAGTGGTGGTATTTTCTGAGATAGAAAGAATCGGGTGGGGTGGATATTTGGGATTTTCTATGTGTATATGAAAATGCGTGGGTATGCACACCTGTGTATGTGTGTGCACATGCTCGTGCACATGTGCCTGTGTGGTAGAAACTGGAGTATTCTGGGATCAAGAGTTTTGCTCTGGCCACATCAAGTTTGAGATACCTGTTAGGCATCCGTGCAAAGATATCAAGCAGGCCACTGGATATTTGCAACTTGAGCTCAGATAAGAGATTAAAGCTGAAGATATAGATCTGGGAGTTGTTTGCATGTAGATTACTAAGGGAAATGAACATAGATAGGAAAGAGAAGAACCCCAGACTGAGCCCTGAGGTGCTTCAATATTTGGAGTTTCAGCAAAGAAGGAAGAACTTACAAAGAAGAGCAAGACCGAGGAGCCAGTGAAGTGGGGATGAGACCTGAAAGTCACCAAAGCCTAGAGCGGAAAGTGTTCCAGGAAAGAGCAATAGGAGGGGGAAATGTGGACAGTACAGACACCTTTTCAAAAAAGTTTTGCTGTGAAGAGAAATAGACACGGAGCAGCTGCTGAAGAGTTTGATGGAGTGTGTGTGCTTCATACAGATGATTTGGAAAGACCTTTGCACACCAAAGGAAATGATGCTAGAGGAAAGGAGGAATGGACGGTGAGTGGGAGGTGGAATTATAGAAGCAAGCTCTTGGGAAGGAAAGATGAATGGGAACCAAAACACAAGAGGAGGGGTGGCCTTTGAAGGAGTGGGGACACTTCATTCATAGAGACACGAGGAAAGGCAGAGAAGATGGATTCACATGAGCATCTTTTCAGTATGGAAATCTTAGAGAGTGTCTACCTAATTGCATTCAAGTATGTGATAAGGATCGTTGCTGTTGCCTCTGAGTATGTGTGTAAGTATTTTTGGGGGAAGGGTGCAGGAGTTTTTGAGTAGAGTAAAAGGTATGAAACAGTCGTTACAAAGAATAGGCAAGTGAACCTACTAGGAGAGTGTGTAGGATTGCCAGGCAACACCAAGTGCCGGTTTGAGTCTTCTGGCCATGAATTTAAAGTTAGACAAATAAATGTGTGTGGGAAAGAAATTCAAAGTGTTTGGTAGAGAGTGGGTGTTAGGACAAAGCATATGATCAAAGAAAGATTCTAAGAAGGGTCCTGGGGGTGAGATGTATAGGATCACTAATTTAAAAGCCCGGATGAGGTCTCAGAATTGCTGAAACAGAAACATCGAAGGAGGGTGGGGGCTGGTAGGATATGAAGTTGTCATCAGAGCAGATACTTAAGTCAACATTTTTCAAAGGTGATGCAGTCATTGGCAATGACAAGGTCAAAATTATGACCATGGGTAGCGGAGGCAGGGTGGGTAAAAATGGATTGTTATGCTGGGCATGGTTGTTCATGCCTGTAATCTCAGCACTTTGGGAGGCCGAGATGGGTGGATCACTTGAGGCCGGGAGTTCAAGACCAGCCTGGCCAACATGGTGAAACCCTATCTGTACTAAAAATACAAAAGTTAGCCAGGCATGGTGGTGCACACCTGTAGTCCCAGCTACTTGGGAGGCTGAGGTAGAAGAATCGCTTGAACCCAGGAAGTAGAGGTTGCAGTGAGCCGAGATGGCACTGCTGCACTCCAGCCTGTGTGACAGTGAGGCTCTGTCTCAAACAAACAAACAAACAAAAATGGATTGTTGGAGGAAATAAGGTCAACAAACTGAGAGGCCAAAGCATGGATGGACCTTCTACGTGGATTTAGCAGTCGCTGTGAATGATGATAGAAATATTAGGACCCAATGAGACTGGTGAAGGGGGCTTTGATCCAGGTAGAAGCAACAAGGAGTTCTAGGTGGTGGAAAACAAAGGCTGATGACACTAACTTCCAAAGAACTCTGCGTGTGTATGTGTGTGTGTGGAGGAGATATATGGTTAGGAGGCCACAAATGGGAGCAAGAAGCAGAACAGCAAACCCTCTTTAACCCTAGATTACAGGCACATGAGAGAAAAAACATCTCCACTCACGAGTTGCAGGTGATGCTGTTGTCTGGAATGGGCTTAGGACAAGAACCTGAAAGGAATATTCAGGGAAGGGTGGTAGTTGTTGGGGTATTTGCTGCCCGCAGATCATGAGCTTCAGAGGGCACAACACCAGGGTGAGAGGGTTAGGAAATTGGGTGAGATTAGGGTGCATGGAGCAGTGAGGGGATGAGGCTTTATGATGATGGACACTGAGAGGGCATGGGATGTAGTGGGGATCTCAGCTGAACAGAGGTGTGGGACTGATAGGATTGGGCCTGTGAGTCCCTTGGGAGAAGATGGGTTCAAGCTGGTCTCTTCTCTCCTGAGGTTGCATAGTGGTGGTCAAAGGGGTGGGGTTTAGGTGGTACCTTGTGCAAAAGGTACCACCTAACCTAGAGCAGGGATCTCATGTGTCCCCAGCCCAGACCACCGAGGTCAATAAGCAAAGCAGGCTGGGCCACGACTGTGGGAAACCTGATCGGTGCTTCCCAGTCTCCAACAGGCAAACAAATCCACTAGGGATCCTGTTTGAATGCAGACTCTTATTCAGTAGCTCTGGGATTGATCCCGAGATTCTGTGTTTCTGAAAGTGCTGGGTGACACTCTTATTACTGATCTATGGACCACACTTTGAGTAGTGAAGACTGGAGAGTCTGTGGTCTGCTGAAAGGAGCGGCTGCTTCTCACCTGTACCTATTGTTGTCATATGAGAGAGAAGGCTCACTATGGTCTTCTGATTTCTGAAGAGAAGCCAGAAATCTGGATTTTTATGTAAAATCATCCCATTTAAGAATATTGGCAAATAATTAAAAATGTAAAATGCTCTGTGGACCAAATAAAACATGTGTGAGGGTTGAATTCTGCTTATAACACCACTGCTTGTGATTTCTGATGGAGAGGAATCCAGGCAGAGTGAGTATCAGGTGAGCACTGGACTGGGGTCAGTTATTATGGGTCACAGAGTCAGCTTGGCCTTTGGCACTAGAGGTCACCATTCGTAAGGCACCTTGATGTTGAAAAACAGTTCTCCAGGCATGTGGGCTGATGCCCTACCAGGCCACCTTCATTCTTACCTCCCCAAGAACTTTGTTCTTCCTGCTCCCCTCATCCCGAATGCCCTCCAGCTCCACCCAAAGCCGAATCTATCCCACTGACTTTCAAAGTGGTTTAGGTGGCAGAGTGCCTGGAAGCTTCAGTTTTCTTTGTGAAATGCCATGAAATATTGACATATTTAATTCCATCACTCATACCAGAAATGATTTTTCTAGCAGGAAATACAGCTGTATTATATGTACTCAAGTCTCTGCAACTCAAAAAGAAAATAATCACACATAAAATATTTTGAAGAAAACACATTCCTGGTTTCCCATTAGCATTTATTCCCACTTGTTTCATTCTTTGTGTCACTTCCAGCACTGACTAGTAGATAAGTGGTAGTCGGCACTCAAAATTTAAGAACAATTTATGAAAAAAAAAGCCTTGATATAGAGAAAGTATCTATTCATTAAGCTAATGTGTTCTGGGAATTGGAACTTCTTTTATTCTATTTAGTGGTGAAAACTCTCAGTCTTCCTTGTGGGATGGTAGTGTTCCAAGAAAGACTGGGCCGACAATTTGCCCATGTCTTATCGGTTCTTCACAGTCGGTGGAGACCCACCTTCCCTATTGAGTCTCCTTGGATTCTACCTGTTCCTTTTTATCATCCATATGACTGAGGTGCTATGCCCCAAACATGTATTTATTTCCTGATTACATGTCATCTTAGGTCGGTGTGGCATGTGTCTATGCCTTGCTGCCCAGACATAAGCTCATGCAGGCTGGGACTATGTCTTGCCTCTCTGCTGAGCCAGCAAAGGGCAAATAGCAGCCTCAAGACTAGCACCCTGTGTTCACGATCCTTGGGCATTTTAGAGCTTTTCTGAATCACTTAATTTACTTAATCACTGGCCAGGCACGGTGGCTCACACCTGTAATCCTAGCACTTTAGGAGGCTGAGGTGGGTGGATCATCCGAGGTCAGGAGTTTGAGACCAGCCTGGCCAACAGGACGAAACCCCGTCTCTACTAAAAATACAAAAATTAGCTGGGCGTCGTGGTGTGCGCACCTGTAGTCCCAGCTACTCAGGAGGCTGAGGCACGAGAATGGCTTGAACCCGGGAAGCAGAGGTTGCAGTGAGCCAAGATTGCACCACTGCACTCCAGTCTGGGCAACAGAGCGAGACTCTGTGAGAAAAAAAAAGAAAGAAAGAAAGAAAGAAAGAAATATTTAACCACTAACTTCTCTCTGCATCTCAGGACCTCAGCAACACCTAACCTTCTATGAGTCACAGAAAAACTAAGAATCTGATGATCTTTTAGTTTCTTGTTGCAAAAAAAGAAAAAAAAAGCCCATTCATAGAAGATAGCATCATAGTATCAGTTTAAAAAAATCCCTGAATCTCTCTTTCCTTAGAACGATCTCCAGGAAATGTGATCTCTTTCTGTTCTAACATTTTGGGATTCCACAGCATTTCCTCATTTCCTTTCGTGTTCCATCTCTGTCCTGTCTTACCTCTCAGGGAGAATCAGCTAATTCTTTTTCTCCTTGATGTTCTTAGTATAAGGACTATCTAGCCTTTGGTGTCAGAAAGCCCTTGAGTTGCTTATCAAATATGTGACTTGACAAGGTACTTGAATTCTTTAAGCCTCAGTATCTATGTCAGGAAAATGAGGATAATACTAAGATCTACATCATAGAATGAATCTGAAGGATTCAATGGTATTTGGCCCCCCTCCTCCCCTCCTCCTCTCTGACTGCCCCTCCCTACTTCCAAAGGCCCCCTTTCTGTTTGGAGGCTGACTTGGTGTTGGCACAGTTCCAGGTCTAAGCACCATGAGCAGCCCCACTGTGAATGGATGGACAAGAGGTCCAAGCTGGCCTTAGGCCAGACGTTCATCTCTTCTCATGCTGCCACATTAAGCCATTCAGGAAACATTAGCTCCCAGGTTGAGATGTTTCCCCACAGGTCTAATGATTTCCCATCTTCTCTCATCAGATGTGTCCCTATTTACACAGCCCCCAGGTACAGAGCCCACTGGGCACTTTTCTCCATGGGATACTCCCTCAAAGTGAATCCCTACCTCTCAGCAGCATGCTCCTCTCACACATACTGTATTTAGGTCTCATGTTTTCCTACCTCCAAGCTGTACTCGTGATTATGAAATGCTTGATTGTGGTGCCTGTCGAAATGCATTCATAATGCAACTTTAAGTCTCACAGAAAATTTTCAGGGGAAATTAAAGCCTTGGGAAGACCAGCACCCTGTGTTTATGATTCTTGGGCATTTTAGAGCTTTTCTGAAGGTTTTCTTTATCCTTGCACTCAGAACAGGGAAGGAAGAGACATGTAGATGTGGCATGGAGTGCTGGGGGATGAGGATGGGGGAGTCGGAACCTCTTGGTTCTGGCCCTGCCACTCCCCAGCTGAGACTGTGTGAGCAGCAGCAAGTCTAATGACAGCTCAGGTTTTTAGCTGTCTTCTTCCTTCTGCATGCTCAGGACTCACCGCCTGTCTGATGTCTGCTCCTCAGCCTCCTAGATGGTCCTCCCCTTGAGTGTTTTGTCTTGTGTCTTCATCTCTTTGCTTCCTACTCCCTGGGTTAGCACCTCCACTCCCACAGCTACAAATGCCACCCCTCTGAGCATGGTTCCTCAGTCTCTATCTGTAGCTAAAATCTCCAACTTCTTCCATCTGAATCTCGACTTTACCTGGATACCTGGCAGGGACTTCAAAATCAACATGCCCAGAACTGAACTCACACTGCATCCCACTCCTTCCAGGTCACCCATCTTGGTGACTAGCCCTGTTCTCTCCTCAGGCACAATAGTCCAGATATCTCAGAAGTGCCCAGTGAGCCCCCTCCATGAGATGCACTTGAAGCCAGCCCATTACCCCCCAAGGCTGCCACCCCCTACATGGGAGGCCCTTCTTACCTTGTGCTTGCACCTCTTACTAATGATGAGGCCTGGGCTGACTAACATGGCTCTCCCTGCTTTTGTAAAATGAGAAGCTTTAGAGAAGATGATCTCAGAAGACCCTTCTGACCCTATCTGTCTTTATTTCAGTTATCATCCATCGAACTCTGTGGCTCAAAACCTTGCAATAGTCTTGACCCTGGATTGTCCAAACCACCCTCCCAACTTTGCAAGACTGGAGAAAATCCTGTGATGTTCTCCATGACTGACTCCTGCTGCCTTCCTTGCTGGCCTCCACACCACCCTCATGCTTTCAGTTTCAGTGTGCAAGGTGCATGCACCTCAACACTCAGCAGGTCCTCACGTTCACCTGCTGCCTCTCAGGCTCCATCCTGTGCAGTTTCTCTTCGGCTGTTAGAGTTTCTCTCCCTCTTTCCCTTCCTGGCCTTCTCTCATGCCCCTTACCTTCTCTTTCCCATGGTCTGTTGGGTGAACCCTCCCTCATTCTTCAAGGTTCAGATCAAGCCTCACTCTTCACAATACCCGACCCCAGAGCTAATATCTGTAGCACTGTTTCAGTAGAGATGCACCAATAACATTTACCCATCTGCCTCTCCACTGGATTCTGAGCTCCTTAAGCGTCCTGACTTTGCATTCCCAGAGCCCAGCACAATACTTGCACAAAATTCAGGTTCAATAATTGTATTGTGATTGAATGGCTCCCTAAATCTATAATATTCAATCTCATTAATTTGGCATTTTTAAGACTCTTTCCATTCCAGATCCACCAAACTGTTAGCTGTTTCCCTTAAAGTGCATTTTACTTAGACATTCACCCTTCCATAATCATGCACTGAACATGCCCATTGCCGTGGTGGGAACTTTTGACCCTCGACCTCTACCTGTCTCATGCCCATAAGTCTCTATCTATTCTTTTTTGTTTGTTTTTGAGACAGGGTCTTGCTCTGTCACCCAGGCTGGAGTGCAGTGGTGCAATCACTGCTCACTGCACCCTTGATCTGGGTTCAAGCAATTCTTCCACCTCAGCCTCCTGAGTAGCTGAAACTACAGGTATATGCCACTGCACCTGGCTAATATATATATTTTTAATTTTGTAGAAACAGGGTTTCACTATGTTGCCAGGACTGGTCTCAAACTCCTGGGCTCAAGTGATCCTCCTACCTCAGACTCCCAAATTTTGGAATTACAAGCGTGAGCCACCATGCCTAACCTTACCTTATTTATTCTTTAAGGCCCAGCCAAATGTCACTTTTTCCTCTTCCTATTCTGGATCCAGGAGTGACCTCTTCTTCCTAGGAGTCCCATAGGTCTTGGAACCATTTTTATGATCCTCAGTTCTTTGGGTGTTATAATAGAGTGATTCAGTCAATTAATTCATCTTTAAATACATGTTCTTCAGGGCTGCTCTGACCAAGCACAGGGTCTCCATCAAGGCTATACTTGCCATGTGTATCTTAGAGTATTAGCCCATTCTCTTGCTGTGAATAAAGACATACCTAAGACTGGGTAATTTATAAAGGAAATAGGTTTAATGGACTCACAGTTCCACATGGCTGGGGAGGCCTCACATTCATGTTGGAAGGCAAAAGAGGAGCAAAGGCATGTCTTACATGGTGCGGGCAAGAGGGCATATGCAGGGGAACTCATCTTTATAAAACCTTCAGATTTGGTGAGACTTATTCACTATCATGAGAACATCATGGAAAAGACCTGCCTCCATGATTCAATTACCTCCCACTGAGTCTGTCCCACAACATGTGGGAATTATCACAATTCAAGATGACATTTGGCTGGGGACACAGAGCCAAACCATATCACATGAGTCTCCTCAAGATCTCTACCAATGGTGGTTCATGACGGTCTTTAAATCCACTCATCCTCATGCTCTCCATCCCCACTATGAGCCCCCTGGAGGAGATCCCTCATCTCTCACCTGGACCAGAGCAATAGCTTCCTAACTGGTCTTCTCACCTCCACTGCAGCCAGCATGAAATATAACTATGCAAATGTGACCAAGCTATCCCCCACATAAGATCCTTCAGTGACTTCCCACTGCTCTTGGGATAGAGGCCTAAACCCTCAGCCAGGTCTATTCCACCAGCTCTCCCTGCAGCCCTACCCCCATGGCTTCCTGCTTGCTCTCTGCTTTCCAGCAGTGTGGTCCTTCTATGTGCTCTGGGTTCCTTCCCACTCCAGCCTGGGCCCAGGCTCTTCCTCTACTGGGAACATTCTTTCTTCAGCTTTCCCAGGGATCTGATGGGCCCCTACTCATCCTTCCAGTCTCAACTCAACATCACTTTTGCTCCTGGTTTCCACTCCTATGGCAGCTCCCCTGTTTATATGCTCAGCATTTATCCCAGTTTGTCAGCCTCCTAGGATGATTACTTGAAGGCAGAGCTCGTGTCCTTTTATTTACCATTGCCCTCTCCCCTCTGCCTCTGTCCCCACACATGTGCACCTATTTCCATGTCCAGCAGAGAGCAGGCACCCAGTACACATCTGCTGAATGCGTGCTGACATTCATGGGCTGCCCTTAACAGACTGGGAGCAGCCTGTGGGCAGGAGATGCAGCTTATTAATCTTGGTTGGAAACAGCAAGTTGTGTTGTGTCCATGTGTGTAAGTGTGGGTATGTGTATATTCGGAGTGCTAATTGGTGCCAGATAAAACAAAAAGCAATGTGGATCACCTGAGATCAGGAGTTTGAGACCAGCCTGGCTAACATGGTGAAACCCCAACTCTACTAAAGTTATAAAAATTAGCTGGGTGTGGTGGCATGTGCTTGTAGTCCCAACTACTCGGGAAGCTGAGGCAGGACAATCACTTGAACCCAGGAAAGGCAGAGGTTGCAGTGAGCCAAGATTGTGCCACTGCACTCCAGCGTGGACAACACAAGACTCCGTTTCAAAAAAGAAAAAGCAATGAAGCCCATGTACAGGAATGTGAGAATGTGAGAAACAGATTCAGAGAAGCAGTCTGGGGGTCAAAGCCCATCTGAGCAAAAAACAGTAAAGCAGTGCCTAGGTTTCCATTGCATAGTGTCCTGAGAAATTTTCTGGAGCAGGATTTGGCATGGGGGTGTTTAGATGGGGGCGGGGGCTTTAAAGACCCAGGCTCCTTCCTCCCTTTTGAATTTCTTAAATGCACAGCTTTTAAGATTGTAAATTATTTGATTGTAAGGAGCATATTTTATCTATCTTGGTTTCCTCTGTTCCCATAACAACCCTTGATAAATAGTAGAAGTTTCATAAATGTTTGCTGAATTGGATTGACTTTATCCTAATCATAGCCTGAGCCCTGGTAAGATCTGTTTATTCATTCAACATTTACTGTTTATCTACTATTCATTCATTCTTTCAACATTTTTTGCATACCTACTAATTGCTAGGCAATGGGGCTACAGCTGTGAACGAGGCAAAGTTTCTTGTTTGCTCAGAGCTTAAAGTGTAAGGGGAATTGAGACAGTATAATCAGTACTGAAGTAGGAATGATCAGGGGAAAAGGGATCCCAGAGAAGGGTAAACGAACCTAGACCTGGAGCTAGGGGTAGTGGTCAGGGAAGGCTTCCTGGAGGAAGTGACTTCCAAGATGAGGCCTGACAAATGAGTAGGAGACAACCCAGAGTAGGGGATAAGCGTGAAGAGTATTTAAGTCAGAGAAACAGCATGTGTAAAAGTTAGAGAACTCCACATCATTCACTGATTCACCAAGGCAGGTGTGAAGGATAGGGGTAGGGTAGCAGTGAGTGATGAGGCTGGCCCCTGAGTGACACCTGGCCTGATTATAGAAAGTGCTGGGCCAGGTACTTTAATTAATTCTTTTCTATTAAGGCTTCAGGACAACCCTATAAGGCATGGATCATCATTCCATTTTATTCAGATAGAACTCAAGAAAATTCAGGGGCTCAAGGAAGTTCTCCCAGTTGGTTAGCAGTGGGGCCAGGCTTCAGATCTATGTCCCAGGGCTTTCCCACCCCTGAACCACCTCCAGATTCTGAGGCTATGCAAGAGGAAAGGCATTCATGCTGGGCGGACATTGGACCAGAAACACAAGCACACCCCTCCCTGATGATGTGGGTGCAATCTGCATTCCTAGGCTCACTGGCTGGTCTCCACCATAATTACTATCTTCTGTGTGCCACCTGGATGGAGCAGGAAGGGGAACTAGAAAGGCCACCACTACAGACAGCACTTTTAACACGGAGCGTGTTAACCTCTTGTCTTAATAGTATTCAAATGAGGCCCCCAACCCAGTGCACTCAGGGCCAACACCTGGCTGCACAATTTGGATGGAGCGCCTCAGTCCCGAGGAGCATGAAGATCTCATTATGTAATTAGGTCTTTGGAAAATGAGCTATTATTCTTTGGCTCTGCAATCACGGGCTTGATGCAGCTTAGGGATCCAAGGGGATGCTGGGGGTGTGTGTCTGTTGCTCACTGCTGCTGCTGCATGAAGACTGTTACAGAGCAAGACATCTCCAGAACGTCCCAACCTCTGGGAGGAAGGAAGCGGGACTTCTTTCCTCATCTTCCAACAGGGAACAGCTTAGGGATTAGGGACCGTCTAGATCGGTGGTTCTCAAACTTCTTTGAGCATCAGAATCCCCTGGAGGTAGAGCCCAGCAACCTATGCTTTAACAGTTCCTCCAGGGAGTTTACTTCAGAAGATTGTAATTATGGTAGAGACCAGCCAGTGATCTGGGGACCGCACGTTGAGAACGGGGCCCTCTGGAGTAAACTGAGGCACCACCTAATCCCCAGCTTCCTCAGGAAGTCCCTCCAAGTCCTCACCATCAGATCTGAACTCCTCATTGTTCACATATGCACAGGGGGTACAGTTGAGCTTCAAAGTTTAGCGAGGGAGAGAAGAAGGACAGGTGTTATTCCTATTTTTCATATCAGGAAGCTGAAGCCCAGGTTCCAATGACTTAGAATTGGTAGAACTGGTAATAGAATCTAAGTCTTCTGTTAGCCATTGCAACAACTGGCCAGACTTAAATTTGCTCCAGTAGATCTTAGGCAGTTAGTTATTTCCTTGAGCTCAGGGCAGTTGGGACCACTATCTAGGCACCCAAATCTATATGCTTATCTTCTCCCTGGGCACCCAGCTAGACCACCTTTCCTGCCTTCTTTCTAGTCGGGTAAGGACGTGTTACCAATCTCTCTCCTTTGGAATGCAGTGGGAGTGATGAGTTCTTCCAGGCCTGGTCCATATAAATCTCCCACATGTATTACTCCTGATGCTCGATGGAATGTCAAATTCCAGGGTGACTTTGGAAGTTGTGAGAACCTGGAGCCCTGAGTATGTATGTGGAGGAGAGTCATCTGTGAGTGGAACAACTATCTAGAACTTTATATAATAAACTTCCATTATGCTAAGCCTCCTAAATTCCGGGGTCTATTTGCTATGATGGCCTAACCTGCTCTAATTAATATGGTTAGTTTCTTAAAGTATGATCTCAGGATGACTTGCATCAGAGTCACTTGCTTTCTTAAAAGTGAGATGCCCAGGCTTCATCCCATCCCTACTGAAATGGAGTCCTTGGCTGCAGAATCTGGCAAAGCTGTATTTTAACAAGTATCCCAGGTAGTTGTTATGCACACTGAAGTTTGACAATCATATATTCTGGATCTGGGGGTTGGCACACTATAGCCCACAGCCAAATGTGGCTCGCCACCTGTTTTTGTACAGTCTGTGAGCTAAGAATGGATTTTGGTTCAACAAAAAAATCAAAAGGATAATTGTATTTTCTAACGTGTGAAGAGTGTTATTGGACTACAGCCATGTTCATTTGTTTGTATATATTTTTGGCTGCCTTTTCACTCCAACGGCAGAAGAATAGTTGAGTCAGAGACGATATGGTCTGCGGAGTCTAAAATATTTACTATCTGCCCCTTCACAGAAAAACTTTGCTGACCAATGTTCTAGATCCTAAAATTTTACTTTGTAAAATGCCTCCTGATGGATAGTAATGTGTAGCAATGACATCATGACCTATGGATTTAGAGTCCCTTGTGACATGGACATGAGAGAACAAATATTATCATTCATTCATTCACGTATTCATTTTTGTAGTGGACATTTATTGGATGCTCTCAAAGTGCTGGGCATTGAGTTGCAAAAGGGAACATGATGAGTGCACAATACATAAGCTTGGCAATTATGCTTTTTCCATGACAATGAAACTCATTATTAAATAAGAGACTAAACAATCACTAATCTCTAATTACTGTATAAGAATGTCACATGTTATTTCACAGGGACTTTTGTAGAAGGTGTTAACAGAAAGGTTCATGCTAGGAGACAACTGCTCCTATTGAAGATCCTTCATTTTATAGTAATGGAAAATAGTAAAGGCTGAACTCAAAGCAATTGCAGAGAGTTAGGGACCTCTTTGTATTTTCTTCCTTTTAACACGGAATGATGTGAACCAGTAGAAGAGGTAAAAATTTCCCAAAAGACAACACCTCCCTTAAAGCTAGGTATAGCTAGTCATCTACAAATTTCTAGCCAAAAGAAACAAGATAAATCATGTGGAGAACTTTTAGAAAGGTTCCTTAAATAGCGTGGACTTAAGAAGGTGGGGAGCCTCTTTGCCCCCCCTTTCTCTTCCAGCAACAATGGAAGAGAAAGAAGGTTCGGAACTCCCTGAGATGACAGTTGGGAGAGAGATGATCTAGATATACTTGAACATCATGGCCTTGGCCACCTAGCAAGCTCTAGGCAGGTGGAACAGGTGAGCCAGCCAGAGCAAGTTGAAAAGATGCTAATGGGAAGGCCAAAGAGACATAGCTAACTCCCACATGATCCAAACACAAATTAATCTCTGAGAATTTGGTTCTAAGGTTGAAATGTAGGTAAGGTGCAAGAGGTTTCTAGGTAGCACTGATTCTCAGTATTGGGTATGGTCTAGCTTTTAGGTCAAGGAGGTATATCCAAGTCAATGAAATGAATTCCTGAAGAAGGATTCGATCTTAGAAGAAAGAGTCAATTGAACATGAATCCATGGTATGAGGCCACCACTACCTACTTGGTCAGGGGTTCATGGCCAAGCTCCAGTTCTGGTAGAAGCAGCTAAAAGTCAATAGCAGAACCAGAGCAAAAAATCAGACAAGCAGTGAGGCCAAGTAGCAATGCTCAGGGCTCAAGAGGTACCTAGAACTTAATTATCATCCATGCACCAAAAACTTCTCCCCTAAAGCTAAATATAGCTAGCCATCTAAAAGCTCTAGCCAAAAGAAATAAGAGAAATCATTTGGGGAACTTGTAGCAAAGTTCCTTAAAGGGCACTAACTTAAGAAAGTAGGGCACCTTTTTGCCTTCCCTTCCTGTTGCCTCCCAGAATACAGATGTGATGGGTGATGCTCCAGCAGGCATCTGGGGCTATGAAGTGACTTTGAGAAAGGAAGTACATGCTGGGATGGTGGGACTGAATTCCATGGGAGCCTGCATCTCTGTTAAGCCTGAAGCAGCCATGAAGCAGTCTTTGGTTTGCTTGTCTCCAGACTTCTTTTATATTCTATAAAAATAACTTTTTATCTTATTTAAGCCAGTTATTTGGGGTTTTCTGTTACATAAAGCTGAACTTACTCCTACCCAATACACCCCCTATCCAGGAGCATTTCCTAGTATGGAGTACATGTGTCACTGATAGTAGACAAGCCATCTTTAGATAGCATTAACTCAGATGAGCATGGATCTATGATTATGTATTTATTTTAATATATACTAGAGAAAATATAGCCAGCACTTCAAACTTGTGATTTCATGGATAAGGCTCATGCTGGTATTTACATTTAAAAAGAAAGTCAATTTAAAATAAATGGTTGAATAAATAATAGAACAACCAGCTTGCAAGAACGGCAACTGTAGTGAAGGTAGAATTTGAATGACTGAATGTTTGCAAGCAGTGCCATAGGGAATGATGGTGAAACTGGACCTGCCTTGTTGGGAGACCCAGTGCTTACCTTGCCTACAGCAGGGGCTCAGTAAATGTCTGTGGAATGAATGACAACGTACACAACTTTCTCCCTGAATGGGCTCCAGCTTCTCTCTGAATACCCTTGCCTCTGCCTGTAGCCCACCTCCTCCCTGCCTCTGGATAAAAGATCCTAAGCTCTTTCTTTGTGTATTTTTCTAATCTTCTAATATGCAATTGTTGTTTTCAAAGCACAAGTCAGTTACCTGCTCTTGGGGCTTTTACTTTTCAGGTTTTCTTAAACGGAACTTTTAGCCTTGGCCATTTCACAATTCTTTGTTTATTTCTTTCTCACACTGGCTCATTGGTTGGGCCCCATTTCATGTGGTTGAAATAAAAACAGAAACTGCCTCCCATATAGAAGATCTATGGCTACTTGTTTCTCTAGAGTATTAATATATTTTTCACTTGTGGCCACATGGAGCCCTAACTAGAACCTGTCTCCTAGGGATGGGAGGAAAGAGGAATTCCCTTGCTTTTAACCAGCTCAGCTACAGCAGGGACCTCCCACTGCAGAACCTCCCTTAATCTCAGCATTGTTCCAAAACCCATCAGAAGAACAGTGAGCCTGCCCTGGGTTTGCAGACCACTTTACAGAGCTTGGAGTGCTTTCAGATCTCTAATCTGAGTTTCTGCCTGTACAAGGAGACCTGGAACCCTTGTTGGTCTTCAGTCCTTTGGGCTCACTCGCTATTGCAAAAATCTGGAAAAGGCTGGGAGGAGCATGTAGATAAGGAGGACCCAACCTTGAATGGAGGATAAATGAAATGTCTAAGGAGGAATAATGATGTGCTGTGTTCCCATTAAGATGAACCATGACATTATGGGAACTGGGCTCAGGGAACAAAGGGGAAGCCCACTTGGGAATTCATGTGGGATGGTGGAGAGAAAGAGAAATGGTATAAAGGATGCCCAAATGTCTTGGAGAGCATTGAGAACCAACTGAGGCAGAGTGACGAGAAGTGGCTTCTGCAATGTGGACCTGATGGTGAGAGGTGGAGCTGTGGCTAGGAGAGTAATAACCAAATAGCCTTATGCACCTGCAACCTCTGGTTAGCTCCATTGGTACACAGAAGTAGGAAATATTAACAAGAACCAACTTCTGGAAGTCTGGTTTTTAAATGTTGGTATCTGTCAGTATGATCTGTGTTGGTGGTAACTGCCCTACCTGTTGTAATAATACCCAGCATCCTATCTAAGCTTTATGATAACAGTCAAGAAAGCAGGGCCAGGATGATATCCCCATTTTATAGTAAAAAGACTGAGGTTTAGAGAGTCTTACCGAAGGTCATACTGATGATGGGTAGCAGAATTTAGTCTAGATGCCAGGACTCCAGTTTCCTTTCCATCACCCCAGTGACTCTGCACTTTGTGATTCACAAAGTAAGACATATGGAACAGTTCTTGCCCTTGCTAATGTAACAATATCCTTTTCCTTGTAACTACTGCCACTTCAGCCTTCCTCTGTGTATCTGGCATCTCCAGTGGGTCTATATCTACTTGATTCTTCTCTCCTCCTTGACCTTCGCTTGGTTTTATGGTCTCTCCAATGACTTCTTTATTTCTCTTTTTTCTCTTCCAGACGAATTTAATTAAGAGAAAAATTTAGAGGTTGGCACTAGTTTCTGCTGTGTGTTATACCTCGGGTAGAACTAGTTGGGAGTGGTGGACACTCAACTTTTCTTCCATCCTTTCCTCCTACATAGATTGGCTGGGTGCCATGCTCTGTGTGGGAAGCAAGAGGAAACAGGAACAACTAGGGGAAACCTTACTTGGGCTCTAGACCTCTTGGAGAATCTGATGAACAATTTAGCCTCTCTCCCTTAAAATGTACTTGTCCCCATTTGACCAAGGTTTTTGCTTGAAATTATAGGGTTCTTGAATGCCTTGAAGCCTACCTGTAAATGCCAGAGACGTGTGGCTAAGAAGGGGTGGAGGGTGGTGCAGCTCTTGATGGGCAAATAGCTGGTGACACTGTAATACAGTCAGTGCAGAGAGGAAGACAAGTAAAGAGCTAGAGGAGTGCCTGGGTACTGCCAGTCTGAAACCAGGAAGGTCAGGTCTGCAGAGTAAGCTCTGGATGATGTTGGGGAACACAGTGTGGGGCAGAGGCCAGGAGTTTAAACTGGATCAAAGCAGAGATCTTGCAGGTAAGAGGGCATTTAACTGGGGAGTGTCAGTGCCTCCCTCTTGAAACGGTGGTGACAACATCTTTCTCACAGGATTCTTGGAACTGTGAAAAGATAATGGATAGGAGAGCCCTTACTCCTGCATTGTCTCCACTGACCCTTGTGCCTCTCCAGGGCAGGGACCTTGTGTTTTCACAAAATCCCTAAGATCTAGAACAGTGCCTGACATGAAAGAGACGCTCTTCAAATGTATATGTATTACAATCACCAGAGCAGGCATTGTTTGAGCATCTACTGAATAAGCAAATGAATGGAGGGAGGCAGACATGGAGAAAATGGTTTGATTCTATCCCAAGGGGGTGACATATCAGCTTTGGAATTGCCCATCTTACACAAATAAATGTTGTCCTAAAACTATATGTGTGTAAATTGAAGTCTGATAAGAAAAATCCTCTTAATGACTTTGATAATAATTTCAGAGAATCTTTGCTTCTATTTCCTCTTGATTTAAAATTGGCAGTTGCCTAATATATGGGCCCCAACAGCACTTTTTTCTATAAAGGAAGAAATGCCCAGAAAGTCAACTCTTAAGTGTACCAATAATGAGGGGGGAAGAAAAGAGGTCACTAGTAAACTTTTACATTTCAAAAGACTGCCATTTTCCAAGCAGAAACTCTTCAAATGTCTCAATTGACTCACCCACAGAACCAGGGGCAGGGGGAAGAGCAGAAGACAGCCTGCACCCAGCCTCTCAGAATTAAATTATTAGCTCCATTTTACACTTTAGAAAAGCATGGCTTAGAAAGGTTAAGTGACCTGCAAAAGCAAGTTCAAGGTGGAATAAGAGGCAGTGACTTTTCCGTTGGTTGCTGCAAATGAATGTTAGAGAAAAACTGAGATTTTATAAAACTGAGGTGACTCATAATGTAGAAAATCCTCCTCTCTGCTCCCACCTCTTTCCAAGCTTTGTTCATGAGGCAGTGTTTGCACAGGAAGGACAACAACAGCTGGACACACCTGGGTCAGAAACCTAGCCCTGCGTTCCGAGCTGCATGGCCTCTGCCACTGAACACCAGTGCGCATGTCCATTTACCACCCACCCTGCTCTGTCTGGTCCCCATTCACAGGTCAGTTGGGCCCAGCTCTGGGGGATGAGTGTTGGGAAATGAGGAGAATCCAGAGAAAAGTTGCCACGGCAACAGGGGAGCAGTGGTGGCTACTCTCTAAGGTGATCTATGGCTCCACACACGTCAGAAGGTTTGCTTGTTTGCTTTCCATCTGGACCCTCCAAGCTTCCGGGCACATTGGGGGAATATTAATGGCACTCCCTCCCTCCTCTCACCCTTTCCTGGGGCAGCCACCTGGGCTTTGGGTACCACCTGCAGCCAGCCTCCCGGAGACAGTCTGGAAAGCTGCTTTGGTTGCTAGTCTTCTTTCCTCACTGCATAATGGACACATCATGTCTCAGAGCTGGAAGTGATCACAGAGATCTTTCTGGCCCAATGCTCTTGTTTGATGTGTGGGGAAACTGAGGCTCAGGGAGGTACAGTGACGTGTTCAAAGACACCCTGTGAATAAGGAGAAGGGTCACAAGTGGAACTCATAGTCTAGGGCTCTTTCTGCAGCACCTTCTTGCTTCTCTGGGGCTAGGAAGAAAGGCTACTTAGAGGCAAGTTACCATAACCAACTGACTTTGGCCAAGACACATCCCTTCCCTGGGCCACAGTTTCTCATTCTGATCAATAAGAATTGGAATTTGTGGTTGATGATTCTCTGCACTGTTAATAGAAATGACATAACCTTTTTGAAGACTCAAAAAATGGGTCAAAATGGGACTTACAAACCAACTTCTGACTCCACTAATTTTTCTTGGTGTCTGACATGGTTTAGCTCTGCATCCCCAACCAAATCTCATGTTGAATTATAATCCCCAGTGTTAGGGAAGGGACCTGGTGAGAGGTGATTGGATCCTGGGGGTGGATTCCCCCTTGCTGTTCTCGTGATAGTGAGTGAGTTCTCATGAGATCTGGTTGTTTAAAAGTGTGCAGCACTTCCCCCTTCTCTCTCTCCTTCTGGCCTTGTGAAGATGTGCTTGCTTCCTCTCTGCCTTCCACCATGATCGTGAGTTTCCTGAGGCCTCCCCAGCCATGCTTCCAGTACAGCCTGTGGAACCATGAGCTGATTAAACCTCTTTTCTTTATAAATTACCCAGTCTCAGGTAGTTCTTTATAGCAACGTGAGAATGGACTAATATAATGTCTTTACAGAAGTCACGTCAGTTTCCAGGAGCTAACCAATAGCTTAGCCATGAATTCCCCTTCGTTACTGTGTCTGAGTACTGCACAGCCCTCCTAATAAGTTTCCCTGCTTCCAGTCCAACTCCGCAGTCAAGTATCTAGGTTGATCATCCTGAAACCCACATCTGGCCAGGCCATCCTCCTTTTCTTGCTTAAAACCCAGTCATGGGCCTTCAGGGTCAATATCAAGCTCTTTAGCACGGATATGAGGCCTTTCCTGAACACAGCATTATGCCAGAGTCCTTTATCATTACCCCTCTGCTTCGGTGTGACCACAATGTTTCCTAAACATGCTTGGATGTCTCCAACTTCATACATACAGAACCCTCTGCCTTTGTCCACCTCACCCCCTTTTTGCTCCACTTGTCCTAACTCCAATTCGCTCTTCAAGATCCAGCTTGGCTATTTCCCTGACACTCTGAAGTGTTCCTCTGTGCTCCCTCGGCACCTGGTACTTATCCCTGTTAAAGCTCTTCTCATGCTGCATAAGTATTGTATTTGTTATCTGCCTCTTTCATGAGAATGCAAGCTCCTAGGGTAGTAACTGGGTCTTGTTTTTTTTTTGATTCCCTAGTGTTTCCTGTAGAGTCTGACATGTAGGAGGTACTTAGGTTATACTTGCTGAATGGCTGGATAAATCTCACTTTAGAAGATTCGTTCATTATCAAGTTATAGGGAGTTGTCTAAAATTAATTCCAAGTTTAAGTCGTGAGTACCTGTTACACACTGTGTTTGTCAGCCTATCAATTCCTTTTACCACAAGAGGTCATCCATAAAATGTTCCTTGGCTTGAGTGTCAGAAGACCCTTAAACAAGTCTTTATTCCTGGGGATGTCACTTCTTCTTCCTGGCCATTAGCTATATAACAACAGGTTGGGCCTGATGACTTAAAAAAAAAACCTTACTTTATCCCCTTTTTATTTCATTTCCCATAATTCCAAGATATCCAATCAGCAGTCAACAGATAGCAAGTGTAGTAGCTGAGGTCAGAATAGGAAGAAAAAAGTCTATTTATTTAAAGTTTAATTATAGCTGAATTTGGGGAACATGGACATTGGCAAGGTAGGACTTGCCTAGAGGGGCCCCAAATAACTGTCCAGTTGAGCAGGAAGGAGTAGACAGATACCACAGATACAGTTCAGGTTGGTAAGCTAAGGCAGGTTGGAATAGCCAGATGGTGCCTGGGGTCAGGATCAGTGCCTGGGGTCAGCATCAGTGACTAGGTTGGCAAGGCTGCTCTAAGAACAGAGGCTGTTTGCTTCTGGCTGATGACCCTCCCATGATGCTATGAGTGGGGACAAAAGGCCAGCAGTGGAGCCCTGCTCTTGACTGGCACAAGGTCAAATTCATCATCATTGATTCTTAGAGATGATCTTAGTAACTGTCAATTCACTGACTTTATCTGAATAAAATCTGAAGTTTTAAGCTAGTTTTATGGTTGTATAATTCTGGAGAAAGACCAAACTCTTGGGGACAGCATTCAAAGTTCTTCACTGTCTTTCTCTCCGGTCTCATCTCCTTCCTCTTATACTCTCTTCCTCCCACTCTCTCTAGATGCTCTCAGCTCTTTGAAGGCACTCTACTTTCCCATGCCTTGCCTTGGTACCTGCACATGCACTGCCTTCCTCTTCTCTCGTCATATTCTCCTGGACAGCTCCTACTCATGACTCAAAACTCAGCTCAGCTGTCACCTTCTCCAGGGAGCCTTCTTTGACATCTTCTCCCTCAAATCTAGATCAAGGATCCTTTCTTATCCTCCCATGGCTTGCAGCGTTCTCTCTTATAACCCTCACTAAACTATTTGTTTATTTAATTGCTTTCCCACTAAGAACATGAGTTCCTTGAGGACAGAGATTCTTATTGCTGTATCTACAGGGCATAGCAGAGTGAAATAGTCAATGATTTTTTGAGTGAATAACTGTATTATAATTTTTTTAAAAAAGGAACTATAACCATCTAAGTCCATCTTATAACCATCTAAGTTATAGTTTTCTATCAGTATTGGACAAAACTGAAATTGGGCTTTAAGTCTTTGAGAACTTTGTACACCCTGTTAATAAATACTAAGAAGAAATGTTTGCAATGAGCATACACTTTGTTAGGTGGCAAATAGTTTCACTTTCAGTGTTTCGTGGACTAAGCATTCCCTTTGCTTATAAAACTTTGCAAAAATTATGCATGTTCTGCGTGCTAGGTGCTAGAATTCAGCCAGACAAAGGGTGTGTACCAGGCCCTGCTGAATTAGCATCTTTGTATGGTAATGAAGCGTGAAGAGTGGCCTTTTGCTGTTTCTTTGTGACTCTGTTCCTTCCTGCTGGTGCTTCCAGTGGCATTTCCTTCAGGGAATTCTATTAGGAAGTAGATTCTTCAGGAGATGGATTGAGCTGGGAGGGAGCCAGAGGCTCAGAGGTGAGTGTATAGGGCAGGCCTAGAAGAGGCACAGAGAGTGAAGTTGTGTAACATACAAAGTACTAAACTCCACGAACTCCCTTAAGGAACTCTGGTGTAGGGAAGACAATTGCTCAAGTGCTGGTGGCACTAACCCTCTGGCGTTTCACCTCTCCCTTGAAGTACTCCTAATTTGATCTTTCCACTGCTTCTCTCTGTAAAAGAATCTCACTAAAGAAAGATACAAAATGCTCCACAGCTAAGACAAGCTCCCCAGAGAAAGTTGCCAAGGGAGGGGCAACTGCACCTTTGCTGCCCAGAGTCTGCCTCCCCATGGGGGCTTACTCTGATACCTGCCTCCCTTCATGCCTGCTGTCAGGGGTACTCACTCTTTTTTTGTTTCTAATTCTGTTGTGAGCAAAATCAGAGCCTTCCTTTGGTTCTTCTCAGCATCATTAACAGGCTTGCTTTTCAGAAAGATCTTTAGTAAAAACTCAGGGCAATTGATAAAGATAAGACTGCCACCATTGTTAACAAGGACCACAAAACAAAACAATAACCTAGCTGAGATAGAAGAGTGCAGAGCTCTTGTCCATTATAACGAGGCCCCTGGAACTTGCTTTATTTTTCTCTAAAGGAATATGCCAAGCACCTTCTTTGTTCGAGCTTAGGTATTCTCTTCTGAAGTCTACTTTCTTTCAAGAAGAGGCCCAGTATTTATACCTTTATACTTCCACACAAACTGACCACTGTAGCATGAGACAGTACCACAGAGAGAAGTTGGACAAGATGGTAGACTATATTTTCCAAAATGGACTCATGGATATGTATCCCATTCCACAAGTTCTTACAGTGTGGCATGACACCTCTCCATTAAGAAGTTAAATCTATGCTCTCTCTTCTTGAACCCAGTGGACCATTGTAACAGCTTTGATCAATGGGATACAGTGGAAGGGTACTGTATGACTTCTGAGTCTAGGTCATAAAAAGTGAAATGGTTTCCACCTGGTGTCAGCATGCACCTTGGGAGCTGACATGTAAGAAGTCTGGCTACCCTAAAGCTGCCATGTTGGAGAGGTGGGATAGAGAGGCCACATGGAGACAGAAAGAGATGTCCATGGAGTTTGTTGTTGGAGTTTTCCCAGCCTTAACCACCAATGGGTGAAACTTCAGATAATTCTAGCCCCAAGCCCTGGAGGTTTCTAGCTGAGGGCCCAGACTTCAGGGATCAGAGAACAGACTTCCCTGTGGAGTCTTATTTGAATTCCTGACCCAAAGAGGGCATGAGTTTAATAGATGGTTGTCTTACACCACTGGATTTTGGGGAAATTTCTTATGCAGCATTAGATAATCAAAACAAACAAGGAGAGCATTTTCCCAACGTTAGCACTGAGTTGCGTGACTTAACCTCCACCACTTTCTACTTTCCATGTTACCACTGACCCCTGGCACTTTTCCCCTCTTGATTTCTCCCCCATTTAAGGCTTCATCTTGCCCCTTTATTTGGACTTTGCTTCTTTGGCCACCATCTTTCCTCTCTCCTCACCAATGATGGAGGTTCTGCTGCTTCTGCTGGCTTTCTTTCTCTGCCCTCCTTTCACCCGTCTTAGCTCAGGATCCTCTCCCATGCCACAAACTTTCCACAGGGAGGCCCTGGAGAGGGACATGGGTACCAGGTGCTGGATGGCTGGGGAAGGCAATGTCCTTGTTGGGAACCTCACTTCTCAGGTGGCATTTACTCAGATATAAACCCTCCAGACACAAGTCTGCCACCTTCCTGTTCTTGAAGATGGAGAAAGCAAGATGGAGTGAACATGATAAAGGCCCTCTGCTTCCCTATGAAGATTATCCTTGGTGGTGAATAAAACAATGGGAGCAAATGCAAAAAGATCCCAGAAAACTAAAATATCAAAGGGCAGTGAGTGTTCCAACCAAAGATCTCAAATTGCTGATAGGATTTCCAGGAGGGTCACCAAGAACCTGCCATAGACCCCACTTCCCTAAGAATAGCAGACTCTGACACATGGAGAGCCAGTAAGAGTTAAAAGCAGAGTATTTCTCTAGTACCTGAATCCACTTTGAGAATGAGCTGGCTGCCTTGAGAAGGTGATTTGTGAGCCTGAGTCACCTAATTGGAACAAGCCCAGAGGTAGCAATTAGACAATGTCAAGTCCTTGCTCTTCTCTTACTTGTTGTGTGACTGCTGACAAGTCACTTTACTTTTTTGAGGCTTCCTTTCCCTTTTTGTAAATGGGAATAATTCCAGCCTGCCTTGCCTCCTTCCAGGACTGCCATGAGGATAACATAGCATGATGCACAGGAAGACACTTTAATTGAAAGCATAGCACATGCCATGCTGGGTACTGGGCACTCTACTGATGTCATGTCACTTATTCTTTGTAACAATCCTGCAAGGTAGGAATGATTACCCCATGTTACAGAGGAGGAAACAAAGGGGCAGTGGGACTATATAACTCCCCAAGAGCACATGGCTAGTAAGAGGCAGAGCTGGCATTCCAACTCAGATTTTTCCGGTGCTGAAGCCAATATTCTTTCCATTAGAGCATGATTACTATTAGTGCTGTTGTTGTTATTGAGTTATGCCTCTTCTGTGATCCATTTCGAGAGCATATTCTTAGTATAAGGAACACAATGAGGTATTTGGGTCTCATGGAAGGGTACCTGCTTGCCCCCAAATTCTCTCACTTTTAACCCCATAAGCCATACTCCAACTAAATTAATCAGATTTCTGCAGCATTGTCTCCCAAAGAGGTCTGGATTCCTAAGACTGAGGTCCTCGGGGCATGCAGGGCCAGAGATGATGCAACCAATGATGTGGCTGAGAAGATGACTATTTCCAGTGCCTGCTGATGGCATAAGGGAGACCAGGCAGCATTCCCCAGGACAGCCACCTTAGGGACAGGCTGATGGGAGGCTCAGTTTCTGCAACCTACAGGGAGCAAAAATCTGAGCCCGCAATGCAGGCAAATCTAGCCTGGACAAGCTACCTGAATTGGAATGAGCAGGAGAATTTCAGCATGTTCTCCTCACAATGCTCCCTAAATGACTTTTCTGATCAAAGAACACCACCCCCAACCCCAACAAATGGGCAACCTCGCAGTACTGGGAAAATGAGCAGCTGGGCATGCAGACCATGCTCTGCTTTCCAACAAATTAGCCTAGAACATGTGTATTCTGCCTATGGAGAATCAACATAAGGGGAAATGTAAATGCAAGTGCAAGGCCTTCATTAAAGACAGCTCTCCTGCAAGCAAAGGCTGGAGGGGAGGGGTCTGGTTCTTTAGCAGTCAAAACCAAAGCAAGGTCTGTTACTCAAAGACCCTGGCCGTCTCTGGAAGCAGGGTGGAGGGAGGGGTGAGGAATTCCACACCTCCCAGCTGGAGGAAAGCTCAGAATGTACCATGCAAATTCTTTGATTAGCATTGGGAAATCATCTCCAGAAACTAGTTGATTCCCACTGGGATTCTCTCTAGCACAGCAGGGTACAGTAGGAAAGCAGGATTTGGAAAAGACTCCCAGTCATGCCATTTATGAGCCTGCCACTTGGGCAAGTTCCTGGCTCTGAGCATGTACACGTGTTACCGGAAAGGGGTCCCGATCCAGACCCCAAGTTCTTGGATCTCACACAAGAAAGAATTCCAGGCAAGTCCGCAGTGCAAAGCGAAAGCAAGTTTATTAAGAAAATAAAGTGGTGAAAGAATAGCTACTCCATAGACAGCGTAGGGTGTTCAGGAAAGTAAGAGGAGGAACACGCCCACTCTAGGTATAATGCTTCTTTATATACAGGATAACAAAAAAGTCATGGGGAGATGTGCTTTGCTATATCACAAGGGTTTGTGATAAAAGATTAGTTTTCTTTATTACTATATTTTGCAAGAATTGATATTATTGTCTTTAAAGCAAAATTAAGAATGCTTCTGTTCTCAAGATAGTGGGATATCAGGATATTCCTGAGTCTGGGTCTGTTTAGTAAATGTTATGAATCTGTCCCCTTAACTGTAAACATCTAGAGGCTAGGAATAGCTAACTTGCTGGGAATGTAGCCCAGCAAGTCCCAGCCTCATTTTTCCTAGCCCTCACTCAAGATGGAGTCGCTCTGGTTCAAATGCCTCTGACACATGTATGTGCTTGTGTGAGCCAAAAGAAAGCATTGCTGAAAGCAAGAGGCTCACAGGGAGAGGTCACACAACACATGGCCCAGGAAGCCACTGAAAAACTACAACAAAAAATAATTGAGCTCTTTGAGGCCTGATGGGAATCTTACTAAAACCTTCCTTTCCTCCTTGAGGCTTGATTTTCACATCTTGACTCTGCCACTGACTCATCTGTGTGACGTAGTCTTATTCACTTTCCCTTCACCTGTGGGATGGACATACTGGTGCTCATCAGGGCCAGCAGAGGAATTCAAACGATGTGACATGTCTGAAAACACTCGCAAACTATAAATATACTTTGGGATTTTTTTTTTTAACAGGGAGAGGGTGAAAATAAAAGAGAAAAGCAAATTTCAAAGCAGTGTGTGCTTCCTCTTTGTGTGAATGAGGTCTACTGGGACTCTAATCCTTAGAGATTGTTCTTTAGGGCTCTGAGAAGATTGGCTCCAGAGCCTTTAAAATGATTTGGAAATTGAAAAGAGAAAGTTAAAGCCATGTATGAATTTGTTTGTGCAGGGCATAGGAGCAGACGGTGAGGACAGGGGTATGTAGAAGATCACCACGTCATCCCAGGTGGAGGTGAGCTGGGGAGGCAGTGAGGGTGGTCACAATACTGAGTGTGAAGGCTCTAGCCCCAGAGGAATTCAGATAGGAATAACACTTAAGAAGAACTCCCCCAGACCCTCTCTGCCTCTCCTGAAGCTGGAGCTGCACTAGATGAAATGGCATAGGGGCTGAGCCAGCTCAAATACTTCCTGCTGCGAGTGTCCATGTTTTTAAGAACTGTAGCAGGGCTGGGCTCTCAGGGGGATCAGGGTGTGGGAAGTGGCAATCAGAAGGCATACAGATGTTAAGGAGGAGTGATAGGTAGCTGGTGTTAGCACAGAAGTACAGTGGGGCTTCTGGCTCTGCTGGCAGTGAAAAAGCAAGATCAGAAGGTGCTACATTGTCCTTGAGTGATCTCCTTTGTGGGTGGCCTGTGTTTCCTCACCTAGGACATAGGATCAAAGCTCTGCCTACCCCCTGGGGCCCGGGGGAATGAGACAAAGCAGCAGGTAAGAAAGGGTTTAGGGGCATGAAGCCAACTGAATGGGTGAGGGGCTGGTGGCCACCATCTGCAGGTGACCTTCTGGAACTACCGCCCTTCCCAGCATCTTCTCCCTACTTGGCTGCTGGGACCTCATTTGGACCTCACCTTGGTCTCCACATGGACCCTCTGGGCTCTGTAATGTTACTCTCCCACCTCCCACACTCTGGCCTCTCATGCTCTCTTCCTGAGTCCCCAGCCACATTCCCACCCCATTGGAACCGCTGGCCATTGGGATCTGGGCAGCCCATAGCCCCCTGGGAGGTAACAGCTCCCAGTGGTGAAACAGCTGTGATGGGGCTTCCACGCATTGTCTGCACCTCAGGGTGGGAGGTCCGTCTTGGCTGAGGGTAGATGCCCCTCATCGTGGTCTCAGCAGTGGAAGGACAGGCTTGGCCAGGCCCAGGAGGCAGGAGGGGATCTGTTGCCTGTTACAGGAGAGTTCTCTTTTCTCTCTCTGCACTTTTCTCTGACCTCACATCTAATTTGGGTTAGGGCGTGGGAACACCTCCATCAGTGATGCCCCTGGGGTTCTGATGCTTTGGGCAAGGGTGGGGACTTAGGATAAGCAGAAAGGGAATGGCTTTGAAGCTTTCAAGGCAGAGCTAAGGAATACTGTGAGTAAATCTGTTCCATGCCAAGAAGAGAACCCAGGAGGAAGGATAATATGTCCCTGGATCCTATGGCACTTATTTGAAATGGGTTCCATAGAGCATGTAATCGACCTGGTCAGAAATGCAGAGGAATAATATTTCAGATGCTAGGTGGGGACAGGGTGTTCTGAAACCACCTTTGCAAAATTATGACAGTAAGAGAAATCTGACATAGTTGATTCCATCTTGCTTCTGACCTCTAAGCTGTCCTTGGTCATTCCTGGGCATAGGCCCATTCCTGGGCAAAGGCCAAGCTAACTTTCAAAGGAATTTAGTTTATAGTTTAACTTATAGTTAAACAAGGATGATAATAGCTGCTTCCTAACAGTATTCCCCTCCCTGTTTGAGGGCTGTAACTGCCTTTGTGAAAACTAATGAGGGACCACAAGATTAGGATTCTGAGAGAGGCCTGAACTCTGCTAGACGTAGATGCAGTTTCTATAATCCCTTATTGCTCAGGAGTCATGTGGCTAGAGGTCACAAGATTTGTGACTTCCCCAATTGCTCCTGTAGATAACATCACTATTATAAAACCTAAGATTGGTCTTTTTTTTCTCTTTTCTCAGATGGAGTCTTGCTCTGTTGCCCAGGCTGGAGTACAGTGGCGTGATCTTGGCTCACTGCAATCTCCGCCTCCTGGGTTCAAGCGATATTCCCTGCTTCAGCTTCCCGAGTAGCTGGGATTACAGAGGCCCACCACCATGCTGGCTAATTTTTGTATTTTTAGTAGAGATGGGGTTTTGCCATGTTGGCCAGACTGCTCTAGACCTCCTGACCTCAGGTGATCTGCCCATCTTGGCCTCCAAAAGTGCTGGGATTACAGGCATGAACCACTGCGCCCTGCTGTTCTTTATTTTTTATTTATTTATTTACTTATTTTGAGATGGAGTTTCACTCTTGCGGCCCAGGCTGCAGCACAGTAGCATGATCTTGGCTCGCTGCAACCACCACCTCCTGGGCTCAAGTGATTCACCTGCCTCAGTTTCTTGAGTAGTTGGGATTACAGGTGCGCACCACCCAACCAAGCTAATTTTTGTATTTTTAGTAGAGACAGGGTTTCACCATGTTAGCCAGGCTGGTCTTGAACTCCTGACCTCAGGTGATCCCGCCTGCCTCCACCTCTCAAAGTGCTGGGATTACAGGTGTGAGCCACCGCACCCGACCCAATTGGCCTTTTGATTTTTAGACTTGCATTTTGGCAACTGTCTGACCTCATCTAGACCGGTGACTCATGACTCAATGGGTCCCGTGGCACCCCCAAGAGGTGGACTCAGTGCACGAGGATGGTTTTCCACACCCCTATGATTTCATCCACAACCAACCAGCAGCACCTATTTCCCAGCCCCTCTGCCCACCAAATTATCCGTAAAAACCCTAAGCTCTGAGCTTTTGGGGAGACTAATTTGAGTAATAACTCCCTGTCCTACATGGTTGGCGTTATGTCAATTAAACTCTTTCTTTACTGCAATGCTGTGGTCTCAGTGAATTGATTTTGTCTGTGCAGTGGCAGGAAGAACCCAACAGGTAATTACAGTTCTCTCAGCATAGTAGTAGACAGAGAAAGTGTGAGCGTGAGGTTATGCAGCCCAGACCAGGAGTCCAGGGAACAGGGTTCTTGCCTCAATGTTTCCACTTGGCACCCACAGGACCCTGAGCCTATTTTTCACTGATGAGGGAGGAGTGTCTGAATGGTTAAGTACCTTCTATATGCTTGACAAAGCACTAAGCACCTTTGTAGAGAGATGATCTCGTTTACTTTGAACCACAGCCATGAGAGTTATGGAGAATAACCTCTATTTTACCGACAAGGAAACAGAAGCCCAGGGAGGTTGGGACCGTCAGAGATTCTGCTTCACTAGGTCTCTACTGAGCCCAAGAATCTATTTTTTAAAGAAATCTGAGTTTTTAAAATGCTCCTTAGGTAATCCTGAGCCAGAATTATTAATTAATTATTTATTCATTACATAGTAAATACATAGTATGTCAGAGGATGATAAGTGTTACATAGAAAATTAGGCAGGTTAGGCAGGCAGAGAGCCCTGTGGTGGGGGTGTTTGCTCTCTTATCAAGGTTTGTCAGATAAGGCCCCACTGATGAGGTGACATTTGAGCAGAGACCTGAAAGAAACAAGGAAGTGAGCCATGTGGCTCTCTGAAGGAAGAATCTCCCGGCAGAGGAAACAGCACATGACGGGCTCTCAGGCAGGCCGTGCCTAGCATGTTCAAGAAGAGTAGAGAGGCAGTGTGGTGGGGGCAGAGAGCGAGGGGGAGAGTGGCAGGAGAAGAGGTCAGGGAGGTGCAGGGACAGGCTATGAAGATTCTTGCAGGCCTTTGTAAAGACTTTAATTTTGATTATGAAGTTTACGGCACACTATTAAAAGGCAGTGAGCAGATACGTGCCAGGGTATGGCTTGCGTTTTAAAAGGATAGTTCTGGCTGCTGTGTGGACTGACTACAGGGGCTGACAGTGGACTGACTACCGGGACTGCAAGGGAAGAAGCAGACAGACCAGTTTGGAGGCTCCAAAGTCATCCAAGGGAAGGTCACAGTGGCCTGAACCCTGGTGGATGCAGGGGAGGTGGTGAGAAGTAGTCAAAGTCTGGAAATATTTCTGAGGGTAGAGCTATTTGCTAATGGAGGTAGCAATGCAAGGTATCGAAAAGGACAGGAGCCAAAGATGAATTCCAAGTGTTGTCCTGAGTAACTGAAAGTGCTCAGGAAACCTGTTGCCTGAAAGTAAGTGAGTAGCAGCTAACTAAGGTGGGGAAGAAGGAAGGACATGTTGGTTTTGGGGGTGGAGATAAGAACTCAAGTTATCGACACAATGAGTTTAATATGTCTGTTAGACATCTGAATGGAGACGTTGAATAGGCAGTTAAGTTTATGAGTGTGGAGCTTGGGCGATGTGTGGACTAAATATATAAACTAGGGAATTGTTAGTATATGTTTGGTATTTAAAACCAATAGACTGGAAGACATACCCTAAGGATTAAAAAAAGATGTCTGTGCCTTGGGACACTCCAGTATTTAGAGGCTGGAGAGATAAGGAGAATCAATATGATTGAGAAGGAGTGGCCAGTGAGTAAAAAGACAGTCAAAAAAGAATACAAATACAATAAAGAGTCAGGAAAGAAAAATACAGCTGGGTGAGAAATGAGCTAATGGGGTGCTCCTTTGAATCACATTTTTTCCCCATCAAATTGTGTAAGTCATCCCCAAATTGTCCATTTCTTTTTTTTTATTATACTTTAAGTTTTAGGGTACATGTGCACAACATGCAGGTTTGTTACATATGTATACATGTGCCATGTAAATTGTCCATTTCAAGCTGCTTTTCAAAGTGCATGGAATAATCAATCTTATCTTAAACTTATTGAGAACTAATTCTGTGCTGGGCATTCTTTAGGTGTTTTATGCATATCAACACATTCAATCCATCGCAATTCTGAGAAGCAGGCACTGTTACTACCCCTGAATTAAAAGCAAGGAAATTGGCAAAAAGAGAAGCTAAACTACTGCGAAAGTTCACACAGCTCCAGAATCCATGATCTTGACCATTTCACTACCCTTCCTCTATAAGCAGAATTCTTTAACCAACTTATCTGAGCAATTATCCTTCTCCTCCTGCTCCTCTGCCATTGCTGCCACTTCTTCATTTTCTTCCTCATTACATTATCATCATCATCATCATCTCATGTAGCGGTTGTTGGGCACTAACCATGGCCTTGGGCACTCTTCTACATATTCTATACAAATTATTTTTCAATTCTCACAATCACCCCGGAGAGAGATTTGAGGATCCCCATTTTGTAGGTGAAGAAATTAAGGATCAAAGAGGCTAAGTAATTCATTCATTCCCTATAATCTTTAAGAAGAAAAGCTGGGTTTCAAATTCAGATCTGCTAGGATAGAAAGTTTTTTTTGGAGGGGGGGAGCGGAGATGGAGTCATGCTCTGTAACCCAGGCTGGAGTGCAGTGGCTTGATGTCTGCTCACTGCAACCTCCTCCTCCTGGGTTCAAGTGATTCTCCTGCCTTAGACTCCTGAGTAGCTGGGACTACAGACACTTGCTACCACATCCAGCTAATTTTTGTATTTTTAGTAGAGATGGGGTTTCACCATGTTTGCCAGACTAGTCTCAAACTCCTGACCTCAAGGGATCCACCTGCCTCAGCCTCCCAAAGTGCTGCAATTACAGGCGTGAGCCACTGTGCCCAGCTAGAAAGTTCTTTATTTAGATAAATACAGCTGGAGAATACTTCTTACAAGTGAAAGACTTTTAAAATGGCTGTAATGGCTCCTTGAGAATTTCTCTCTTCTAAACCTAGCTCTCACTGGCTTCTCATTGCCAATCTTTTATGTCCAATTTCACAATGGCTTTGACCCAATCGCATTCATCTTATACTGTCCCTTCTCTCTGCCTTACCCTCCAGGCAAAGAGGAGTACTTGTGATTTCCCCAATATAATTCTTATCTTCTGCAACTTGTCCATTTTCTTTTCTCCTCCTGGTCCCTAGTCCTTTTCCATGCATTCTGCAATCTGGATGACATCACACCATTCTTCTAGGCTCAGCTCAAACAATTTTTTCTCTGTGAAGACTTTTTATGTCTTCTCAACCCCTAGCTCCTCTGACCTTCATCTCCTGTTTCTGATTGTGGAGCACATATGACTCAGCCAGTTCAGATGCTGGCACCTTGGTCAAGTCATTGCCCCTTTTTGGGCCTCAATGCAAGAATATGAAAGAATCCAGAGATCACTGCATGCTATTTTATCAAAATATGAGAATAGGACAGAGTGGGGCTCCATAAGGCCACTGAGCAATACCAGTTCAGCAGCCAAATGGGTTGCCCTGAATAACAGGTCCCTTCTCACCACGACTGCTCAGCAGATACCCCCTGGTAGGCACAAGGTGGCACTGGATAGCACTCTCTGCTCTATGCATGGCATAGAGGCTGTGAAGCCAGTAGATCTGGGAGTCAAGTCCACTTACAGCTGCGTGATCTTGAGCATGTCACTTTTTCCAGTGCCTCAGTTTCCTTCTCACTTTCTAAATTTTGAATGATAGCTTCATCAGAGATTGTTGTGATCATATGCATGACACATATACATGTTCTATACATGCTCCTTCACTGCCTTCTCTGCTAGCTAAACATTGTGGCCACCAGCTTTGCTTGAAAGGCAGGGAAGCCCCCTGTTCCTCTGATATTTAGTGAATTCCTAGACAGAGAACATCTGGACTCTAAACCCCAGAGGCTTCCTCAGCTGGTTCAGAGGGCTAGCAGCTGCAGGCCCTCCCATGAATGATGGGTTTGTCTGCAGGCCCAGGGAAGTGGGCTGTCCCTGCAGGCCTCCCCTCCGCCTCACCCATCCTTCCTGCTGGCTCCATTCTGGGTGGTTCATGCTCTGCCCCTTGACACTCTCTGATTCCTCAGTGTGGGTAGAATTGCCTCAAGAAGTAAGGTGGTCAAACTGACAAAATATGTAGCAAATTAGATTACGCAGCAGGCTTTTGGTGAGAGGTGATTTTAAAGATGCCAGTGATTGGAAATGAACTGGCAGGAAGGCAGCAAATCTCAGAAAAATGTTAGATGGTGGGGATTCTTCATATCAGTGGATGTTTCTACTTAACTGTGGCTGTGCCACGGCTTCATTTCTTAGGCCTTGATGTTGTCCACCTGAAATGGAGCTGAGCTTTGGATCTGGACAGGAACAGCAATGGAGCAAGGCAGTTGGAATCTGACACAGCAGAATGAACTTGAGATTTGGAGGGCAGAAATCCTTGTGAGTGACCTGGGGCAAGTGACTTAACCTCTCTGGGTCTTATTTTCCCAACTACTTTCCAGGGTTAGTATCATGATTAAGTGACAGCCAGTACATAGGGAGCATACTTTGTAACTAAAAATTATCCACAGGTATTAGCATTTAAGGGTTATTGGAGCATTAAATGAGATAACATATGGGAAGCATACAGTTAGTGACTGGAGCAGAGGAAAGGACACATAGTTGGTGGCTTTCACGGGTAGTGATGGTGATGGTTTTAGGAGGTGACATGGTGTAGCCCTGCCTTCAAATGCAAGCTCTGTCACTTACTTGCTGTGTCAGAGACTGAACAAGTTACTTACTCCTCCTAAGCCTTGTTTTTCTCATCTGTAAAAGGGGGCTGATAATATCTTACACTCTGGCAGTTGCGAAGTTCAGATAAACTCAGCAAGGAAAGCACTCAACGCAATGACTGGGGCACACTCATAAGTTATTTACCCCTTTGTCAGAAATGAGAAAGCTGTTTGGTTCTAAGCACTTTATCCACAACTGGTCTCCCACATATCCAGATTTTATAGGACTCCTAGCTCCTGGGACCTTTTAAGGGGGTGAGGATTCCCGTGGATGCCCCAGTATTTTCTGAGGGCTTCTGTTTCGCTCTTCAAACCTCACACTCACACCTTTTGCCTCCCTCTCGCACCTTGTGCTGATCCTTTAGGGAGCCCTATATGATGCAGGCAATAGACCAGCTCCATTTTCTTCCTAGGAATGTGGCGAGGACCATCAAGGTGATCTGCATCACCTTTAGATGATCAGCTATGGTTCACACATTAGTTACTGCTCTTATTCATTTTACCGTTGCTAATAGAGGGCATTGGTGGTGAGGCCAAGGGACTGCCTGGCTCTCAAGGTGAAGATGGGTGTTAAAGAGAACAAACCAAGCTCACTCTATTCCATGTACATCTCTTTTATTATCATTTAAACTTGACTTTAGTATCTGGCACCGAGTAGGAATTGAGTGTCTTGCACAGAATAGGTCCATAGTAGGAATTTGTTAAGAATTGGTTACAGTTGCTGGGCACGGAGGCTCATGCCTCTAATTCCAGCACTTTGGGAGGCTGAGGTGGGCAGATCACTTGAAGTCAGGAGTTGGAGGCCAGCCTGGCCAGCATAGTGAAACCCCATCTCTAGTAAAAATACAAAAATTAGCCGGGAGTGCTGGCACGTGCCTGTAATCCCAGCTACTTGGGGGGCTGAGGCAGTAGAATCGCTTGAACCAGGGAGGCAGAAGTTGCAGTTAGGTGACATCGCGCCACTGCACTCCAGCCCAAGCAACAGAGGGAAACCCTGTCTCAAAAAAAAAAAAAAAAAAAAAAAGAAAGAAAGAAAGAAAGAAAAAAAGAAAAAGAAAAGAAAAGAAATGGTTACATTGACTCTTATCATGTACATGATGATGATGATGATCATGATGCGTAAACATTGATTAAGTGCCTACTGTATGCTAGGCACTCTATGTGCATGCTATTTAAATTCTATCTTTGATGTAGAAAGTGTTACCTTCATCTTATGCAGGAGAAAAAACAACAAGGTCAGGGAGGTCAGGGAGTGACAGGCTTCCATCACACAACAGCCCACGACAGAGACCCATCTGTCTCCAGATGTTTTACATCCAGAATCTATATTCTTCTCCTCAGGGTCTAGGCCAAGCTGTCGCTGGAAAGTGGTCATCAGCTTTTCAGTGGTTGATCCCTCTGCTGCCTTGGAGAGCATAGTCATGGGCTGTGAGGCTGCCTCCTTTGTCCCTCATCAAGGATGCAACATTCCCCAAAGAGCCCTTGAACTGCAGGAGGCCTGAGTATGGGTCTGCATTTTTAAAAGGCGGAGGTTCCTTCTCAAGTGCCTCATAATTGCTGCTATTCCACAGATTGGCAGCCCTGATGTTCCTTTGGCCTCTGAAAGGTCCAGTCTCTCTGTGTGAAATCAATGGAGTGGCACCTGGGTGGCTGACCTTCTTCAGGCTACACTCCTTACTGTGCACCCTCTGCACACTTGCCTAGAATTGCCCCAGTGAGAAAAAAGTGGGCCAAAGAGGCCCTTGGAGGGATTTGTATTTTAAAGAAGAGCTGGAATCTCGGCTCACAGTTCGAGATGGCAGGGTTTGGGCCAGGAGAAGGAGAACTGTGGCTTTTCCCAGCAGGAGCTTGTAGCACTTGGCCGGTGGCTGTGCTTGCTTTGTCCGTAGAGAACAAAGTGAAGAACTCTTATTCCATCTCCAGCAGACATTAATGTTGTTCAGAGAGGATTTATTGGCTCTGAAACCAAAGCTAGCCGTGTTATTTACTGGAAATGCCATGGCAGGAACTCTCCTTTTTAATAAACCAGAGGAAAACCTGACTTGTTTGGAGCAGGCTGGTTCACACCCATCCTGGGCTGAGGCACCAAGAGCATGGGGGGAGGAACTTTCTTTGCTCAGGCGCTGCCGCCTCTGCCTCTCACAGCTGGAACCAGTTGCTTTCATGCCCAGCAAGTCCAGCCCAGCCGCAGGCTTCCTTCACATAGCCTGCTGGTCTGGGCTTCCGGCAGCATCTGCCTGTGTGCTTTCATCCAGGAGGATAGGGAAAATGCTGGCCCTGGAGTCAGATAGTTCCAACTCAACTCTGCTGCCAGCAGTATGTGCCCCGGGGGGGCACTGAAACTCTCTTTGTGAGGTGTGGCTAGTGATGATAACACCCACTTGGGAAGTTCATTTGGAGGAGAAAATGAGAAAAAGTATAGAAAGAGCTGCTCATGGTATCCGACACAGGGTAGGTGCTCAAAATATGGTAGCTATTCCTATGATCATAAAGGATATTAAAGCATAGGTCATGGCAAAGTCAGGCCCAGCCTCAAATCCCAACTCCTCCATTACTAGCCGAATGGCCTATACCAAGTTCCATAAAATTCTCTGAATCTTGGATTCCTTTGCAGAAATATAAACTGTACTTTGTTCTGAGGGTTACTGTAAAGATGAACCAAAGTGAGGGATACACACTGGCACTGTTTTTGATGCATAAGAACTCAGGGAATGCGTAGTAATATATATTTAATTGCTGCATGGTGGGTGTTCAATGCCCCTCAGTTCTTTGTTGTAGGACCCCATGTTAGTCCCACGTTGGATCTCCCTGGTGCTGAAGGGTTGTACTGTGCTCATATTGTTGTGGGTCACCTGCTCTGCCAGACACCGGGCGCTGTCTCTGCACTTGACTTCCTTCCAGGACTCAAGTGGGAGAAATATTCTCAGCAGGTGGGCCTAATTCCTGTTCCAATACCTTTCAGAATCCATCTGAACTTAGGGCAGGAATCTGGGCCATGCAGAGCTCAGATTCAAAACAGGATGCAAACAGACACAGATTAAAAATGAGAACCTTTTTTTCGGTTGAAAAGAAGAATCGATGATGCTGAAGTTTTAGACCAAATTTGTTCTTTTCCAGAGACACTACACTATGGATACGGTGGGAGGCCTCTCTATCAGAAGGCTGGTGAAAGATATGTCTCCAGACCCCAAAATGGCCTTCTTCACAGCAGGAGGCTGCATCAAAAGCAGTATCTCTTATGCTACAAACACAAGTGATGGATCCATGAAGCTTCAGCCCCATACTATGTGAAGTCACATAAGGAAAATAGGAAGGTGCCCATCATGGGTTTGCCCTGCAGACCTATTACATGTCAGACACTGTGCTGCATAATCCACAAACAGCTCATTCGATTCCCTGTAACATGAGTTTGACTATCCTTGTTTTATAGAGGAGGATATTGAGGATCAGAGAGGCTAAGGAGCTTGTGCAGATTTCACAACTAGTAAGTTCTCTGAAGCAGGGACTGCGTCATCTTCATCTGTTCATGCACCAGTGGTAAACAAAATACTCAGTACATGTTAGCAGCTTGACAAGTGTTGTAGCAAATGAGGACAAATAAATTTTCTAGCCTTGTTTTCTACTTACCCCATACTCCCAAATTTCTTACTGTTTCCCAGACTTGCCATGTCTCTTTCTGGTCCATGTTTTCAGGTCTGCCGTTCCCTGTGCCTACAAGATCTTTCTCCTGTCTTCACCTAGAAAACTCATTCCCTGCCCACAGAATGAGTTCAGGGAATATAAAAAACAAACAAACAAACAAACAAACACCACACACAAAAAAACAAACAAAAAACCTCCCATTCCTTCTTCAAGACCTACCTCAGATGTCAGCTTTTCTGTGAAAAATTTTTAAAGTCCTTTCAGTAGAGTTAGTATCTCCTATGTTGGGTCCCATAGCAATTTGAGTACCCCTCTCTTAGAGCACTTATTACGTGGATTTCAAAAAGTGATTTTATACCCTTTCCTTTCATTAGATCATGAGTGGTTTGAGGGTGAGGCCATGTTGGGATTGCCTTTGTGCCTGGGTGTCTATATCTTGGAGGGAAAACCATGCCTTGTCTTCTTGGAAATATCCCTTAAGCAGATTCACTTCTTTTTTAATTTGAAAGTAGCATGTTCGGCTCCTACCTCCTGGGAGTGGAAGGTACTTCCCAGGTTGTTGATACCAAGAAATGGATACGCAGAAAATTATCATGAAGTGACTGGCAATTCCAGGCTTTGTGGCAGAAACTCATCCCAATATCAATAGTAAATTGATCTTTTGACTCATACTTTGCTTTTCTGTGAGTTTGACACACGTGGATCAATTCCTCCATGTCTCACTGTCTGGACATCTAGAGACAGAGTCAGGTTAGCCCCCACCAGGGCCCCACCCTGGGCCTCTGCTCTTGGCCTGACAAATTCAATGTTTCTTTCAATGACTCAGACAAATACAATGAGCTTTTGCTCATCACATTTTCAGATGACAAAACAGTGGCAGGGATGGTGATTATGTCAGATGACAGAATCAGGATCCAAAATGATCGCAATAAGCTGGAACAAAGGGTCAACCAATTTAGCAGGGATTAATACTGGGTCCAGAAACTAACTGCACAGGGAGGGATTGGAAGGGGGTGGCGTGACTTAGCAGAAGCATCAAAGGCTTGTTTACTCAGGAGTGAGTTAAACACAAACCAGAGAGTGGTGTGGCTGTTAGGAGTGGAAGCTAAGCATGCATTATTAAAAGTAGAGGAACTAGAAGGAAGGAAGAGATTGTCTCCCTGGACTTGGCTGTTGTCTGTCAGCACCTGGAATGGGATACTCACTTCTGGCCCCCACCTGTTAAGTAGGGCTTTGTCCCAAAGTGGTTCATGTCCCTAGGAAAGTGATCTGATACTGAGACATCTCAAATCCAAGAAACCTAGGGAATGTTACCCTGTAGAATAGGCACTTAAGAAGGAACATGATTGCCCTTTCCAAATACCCAAGATTTTGTCACATTGAAGGGTGATTTTGTAAGGCTAATGGACAGATTTAATATTAATTGGTAAAAGTGTCAGCCAGACATATCTCTGTTCTATATAAGAAAGAATGCTCTAATAAGTCAGTGCTGTTCACTAGGAGAATGAGCTGCCCTGTGATGCTAGGATCTTTTTTTTCTGTGAACTGATTGTCAGGAGTGTTATGGGAGGGATTATGATGTCGGAGGGAAGTATCAACTTCCAGGTGCCATCCACATTTGACAGGCTAAAATTCCAAGTTATGTCTGTTTACCTGTTACTTTAACACTGTGAGTTTCCCTAGACTCCCCCAGTCCAGTGAGGAGGAGAATGGAAAAGTGGGTATTATTAGAGATGCACTCCATGCTGTATCTGTTCTGCCAAGGGCGGATTATTGACCTTGGAAGAAGGACGTGTCCTTCAGTCCTCTCTGTGCTCAGATAGAATTCTTTCTGTAAGGTTCCTCCTTTTCCTTTGCAAATAGACTTAGCCCTCTAGGCCAGCCCAAGCCAATCTGAGTCCCTAGAACATGAGCCCAAGTCCCCTTAACTGGTACTCACACTCCTTGATAACTATGTTGTTTACATTTCATATCCATGGGTCTCATATGCCCAATGCCATCATAAATACCCAGAAGGCAGGGCCATCTCTTCTGATGTGAAGCCCATCCCCCATAATGCAAGGATTAGGAGTGAATGCTCTAAAGTCAGACAGACATAGGTCCAAATTCCAAATTCCATTTCTCTCCTTTATTAGCTGCATGGGCTTGAGCAAGACATTAACCTCTCTGGGGCTACTTGTCTGTAAAATGGGAATGATAACAATACCTGCCTCATACTTTGTTGTAAGAATTAAATAAAATGTACAAGTGAAGAACTTAGCAAAATGTTAACACAGGTCAAGTGTTCGACATGCATTAGCCACTAATACTCTGCTGTGAGTATAAGACTGAATAGACTATCTTTGGCTGCTGCCCACTCTTCAGCCTGGGTTTTTCCCGGGCTCTTCACTCTGGCCTCCCTCCCCAGCCCCTGAGCCCCTCCCTTTGGGTTTCACCAGGAGCTGTTCTTTTCAGCACCCTGCTTTCTCCTGAGTGAACCCCACCATTTAAGCTGTGGCCACTGTTCCTGCATCCCACCGTCTGTCTTCAGGGTACATCACTCTCTCTCCTCCCACATAAAACCGTTCCAATTCTGACTCAGATTTTTCTTATTTCAGGGGTAAGCTGTTCTCTCACATGCCTTGCATTTTAACAACTTTCATTACTATTGCTCATTTTGATCTGTTTAATAACATGTTTTAAACTAATCTCTTGTAATAAAAGGATTTCATTACTAATGGAGACAGCTGCGTAATGCAGCAAGTTCATTAGTTTTACTTTTCTGATGAGGCCTGCCGGAGTGAAAAGTTCTGCAACTCTGCAGAGTTTTGGCAGGAAGCTTTGCCTGGTGAAGCTGAGAAGAAAGAAGTGTCCAGTGTGAGGACAGATCCATAGGCTGCAGAGAGAAAAGACACAAACTCTGCAGTTTGTGTCTGCAAAGACTGGGTGGAATGGGCAGAGGAATCCCTGTCTGGAGGCCAGGTGATAACTGTGAGGAGGAATGGCAAAGCCCTGATGGAGATAAGATAGTGTACTGTGAGCCAGGGGCTCTTATGATGGTGATCAGCCAAGGTTTACAGGACCCACCTGCCGGACTGCTCCCTCGCAGAGATAATGACACCTACCTCTCTACCTTGGCAGTTGTCTGTTACTATACACATAACGTGATATTTACTTATCTAACAGACTGAAGGCACTATGTCTTATTCACCCCTGTATTCCTAGTATCTATCCAGACTGGCACAAGGAGATGTTTGCCAAACTGAAACAAATTCTTTTCCCTCTCTATTTTCTCTCTATGTGCTCTCTCCCAAATATATGCAGCTTCAACAGCCAAGTCTAGGCTGATGACAGAAACTTTTATCTCCACCCTTGACCTCTAGAGACCCACCTGTATCCCTAGGTGTCCACTTTGCTTCTCCATGTGACTGTCTGTCTCATATTCACCTTCTACTTCATCTATCTAAAGCTGGATTTCTCACTTTCCCCTATATTCCACCTCTCTTACCACCCCTGAAGCTTTCCAAGAGTTATTCATTCCAGTGAATGGCACCACTGTATACTCAGTTGAAAACCTGGGAGTTATCCTTGCCATCTCTCTCTGCCTTACTGCTGTGATCCAATTAGTCACTAGGCTATATTGATTTTACCTATTAAATAGAATTTGAAACCATCCACTTCTCCCTCAATGACTTTACTGCCACCTCTCTGAGCTGCAGCCATCCCTCACCTGGACTCTAATTTATACCTAATGCCACATCATTCTCCAACCAGGAGCAAGAGTGATCTGTTGGGTCACATACGCCCCTGCTCTATGGTTTTTAACCTAAGAGCAATCCCATTAACATCCTTAATGTGGTCCATGGGTCCCTGGAAAGAGTGGCCCCTTCTGATCTCTCGGCCTCATTTAGTGTCATTTACTGCATGACTCGCAGACTTCCTGCGTGTCTTTTATTTTAGTTCCTCCAACACATCAAGTTGCTTCCCTCAGAACCTTGGCCTTTGCATTTCCATGAAGACCTCTGAGTGGCTCGTGTGTGACTGGCACTATGCTAAGCGTTTACATAAATTCTTTGGGGTGTGTGTGTGTGTGTCTGTGTGTGTGTGTGTTTTGACAGAGTTTTGCTGGGATTTTAGCTGCTTTAGAGTTTAGCTGGGTTTACAGGCCCCTGCCACCAAGCCCGGCTAATTTTTGTGTTTTTAGTAGAGATGGGGTTTCACCATGTTGGCCAGGCTGGTCTCGAACTCCTGACCTCAAGTGATCCATCTGCCTCAGCCTCCCAAAGTGCTGGAATTACAGGTGTGAGCCACTGCACCTGGTCATTTACATGCATTCTTTCATTTACAAATCACAACAAAGCTAGACAACAAGTACTCTTCTATCTCCATTTTATAGATGAAGAAATTGAGGCTCAGAAAGATTAAGGAACTCATCAAAGGATTCAGACCCAGCTGTGACCCAGTCCTTGCGGAACAAGCCAAGTGCTAACAGGAGTGTTTGTTGGCTCTTTTCTCAATCAGATGTCCAAGTCAGCAGAGGGGACTTCCTTCTCAACCAGGGAGTTAGTCCTGTACCAACAGAGAAATGGTTAGGACCTTTATCATTTTTCTCTTTCTGCAACCTCTTTCTCATTCTTCTGGCAAGACACAGACCCTCTCTCACCTAGCCAGATGTAGTAGGCTGAGCAATTCTGCGCGCCTGCGCCACTCCCACTTTCCGCTGCCCCGAAACAAATCAGATCAGAGTCTCTGGAACCTGTAAATGTCACCTAATATGGCAAAGACGCTGCAGCTGTGATTAACTTAAGGCTCTTAAGATGGGGCCATTACCCTGGCCCGGAAAGCAATCTTCTAAGAGAGAGGTACATACAACAATGTAACTATAGTTAACAATACTTTATTGTATACTTGAAATTTGCTAAGAGGGGAGATCTTAAATTTTTTCACCTAGGAAGAAAAGGGGAGGCAGAGGAAGGTTTGAGCACAGACAGAAGAAAAGGCGATGTGAATTTGATACCAGCCTGGCCAACATGATGATTTCCCATCTCTACTAAAAATACAAAAATTAGCTGGGAGTAGTGGTGCGCACCTGTAATCCCAGCTACTCAGGAGGGAGAGGCAGGAGAATTGCTTGAACCCGGGAGGCAGAGGTTGCAGTGAGCTGAGATTGAGCCACTGCACTCCAGCCTGGACAATAGAGAGAGACTCCATCTCAAAAAAACAAAGCAAAGCAAAACAAAACAAAACAACAACAACAAAACAAACAAATTAAAAAAACAAGGCAATGTGATCACTGAGGCAGATTGAAGTGATGTGGCCACTGGCCACAAGCCAAGAAATGCCAGCAGCCAGCAGAAGCTGAAAGAGGCGTGGAATCGACTCTTCCCCAGAGCCTCTGGAGGGGGTACAGCCCTGCTGATGTCTTAACTTCAGCCTAGTAATACGTATTTTGGACTTTTGGCTTCCAGAACTCTGACAGAATAAATATCTGTTGTTTTAAGCCCCTCACTACATGTGAGAATGGGCCCAGGACTGCTGGCCACACAGTTTTCACCTTTGTAGAAAAGGTGATCTGATCAAAGTACACCCATACCACAGAGAATGAAGGTGGGTGGAAGTTCCAGCCATCCCAGAGGCTGGCTGCTTACCCTCTACCCCACTTCTCATGTGTGCATATTCATGGATGGTCTTTTCCCCTTTCTTAAGGATACAGACTTTTATCAGCAGTGATCACTCATTCACCAGGATGGCTCTGACTGCATTTCTAGGAATAATTTGGTCCAGACCTGCCTCTCATGGTAATTGACTAGTTCACCACATGGCATAGACTAGTGCTGTGAGCCCAGGTGTCTCTTAGTACAACCTAGGCTCTGCTGTGGTAATCAATGCCTGCCCCACAATTTCAGTGACTTAATATAGCAAATGTTCACTTCTTGCTCACACAAAGTCCAAGGCAGTGTGGCTGCACTCCCTGTGGTAACCCAGCAATCCAGGCTGCTTCCAACTTGCAAGACCTCCATCTCAATTCATGGCCTCTGCGGCCACATCAGCAGCCCTGAGCTCAGGAGCTCATGAAGAAGTTACTCCCACTCTTGTTTGTTTGTTTGTTTTTGAGACAGAGTCTCACTCTGTCACCCAGGCTGGAGTGCAGTGGCACAATCTTGGCTCACTGCAACCTCTGCCTCCCAGGTTCAAGCAATACTCATGCCTCAGCCACCCAAATAGCTGGGATTACAGGCACAAGCCACCATGCCTGGCTAATCTTCGTATTTTTTGTAGAGACAGGGTCTTGCTGTGTTGCCCTGGCTGGTCTCGAAATCCTGAGCTCAAAGCAATCCACCCGACTCAGCCTCTCAAAGTGCTGGGATTACAGGCACGAGCCACCGTGCCTGGCTCTCTCCCACTCTTAACTGCACGCAAACAGATGGCACAATGTATCCCTTCTGTTTACAGCTCATTGACTGCAACCAGTCACCTGAGTCTGAACTTAACTGCAAAGGAGGCTGAGGAATATTGATATGAACACTAAAAGAAGAGGAAAATGGATATAGTAAGACTTACAAATGAATACTACAGGGAGGTCACCCCAATTCTGTTAGTGGATTCTAGGCTCAAAGGGAAATCTCATCAAATATGAAATATTGCTGGGCAGGGTTTCAGCTAATATGTCAGCAGAGCAAAGACAACATGAAAAAACTATGAGGCTAGCTGTGATGAGTGAGGCTGGGTAGGAAATTAATGATGACTCATTCAGGACTAAGACATCTAGCCCATTAGTTAAATCTGTCTGCAGAGGAAAGATCAAGGAAGAGATTTGGAAAGCACTTATCACAATAGCCCCTGACAAGAATATTCTGTCTGTCTTCATGCATGTGAATCTGTAGGCAAGCATGCATTCCTGAAAATCCTGAGATACTTGGGAAACTATTTATGAACAGGAATGATGATAAGATGAGTTTGGGGAAATGAGGCTTGAGCACAAACAACATTTTCCAAGGGTTGTGGGTAAATAACAATGATGAGTGAAACACAATACACTTCATCAAGCAAGTACGAATGACCAACTCTGTGCTGGGCTCCATGTGGAGCCTCAAGAATCACGGCCTGCTGAGGCCCAGCCTGAGACTGGCACATGCTGCTCCTTCTGCTTGAAATGTCTCTTTCTGGCTGGGCGTGGTGGTTCACGTCTGTAATTCCAGTACTTTGGGAGGCTGAGGCAGGTGGATCACTTGAGGTCAGGAGTTTGAGACTGGCCTGGCTAGCATGGCAAAACCCTGTCTCTACTAAAAAGACAAAAATTAGCCAGGTGTGGTGGCACACGCCTGTAATCCCAGCTACTCAGGAGGGTGAGGCAGGAGAATCACTTGAACCCAGGAGCCGGAGGTTGCAGTGAGCTGAGATCACGCCACTGCACTTCAGCATGGGCCACAGAGCGAGATTCGGTCCCCCTTCCTCAAAAAAAAAGAAGCCCCTTTCCCTCTTCTCTTTTCTTCCTTTAGTGAACTCTTCTCTTTCTTTAAAAGTGCAGCTCAATTGTTTTGTTTGTATTCATGTAGTTAGTAATTATATATTGCTATGCAACAAATAGCCCCAAAATTTTGTGGCTTAAAAAACTCACCATGTATTATCTCAGAGTTTCTGTGCAATCCAGGAATCCAGAAATGGCTTAGTTTGGTGCCTCTGCCTCAAGGTCTCTCACAAGGCTGTAGAGTGTCTCCCAGGGCTGAAGACTCAACATGGGACTTCTGTGGTTGTTAGTGGAATTCAGTTTCTTGAGGACTGTTGAAATCCTCACTCGGCTGGGAGCCAACAAGTCCTCTGCCGCTAGGACCTCTCCACAGGGCAGCTCATAAAAGGGCAACTGGCTTTACTCAGAATGCGTCAGAGCGCACGGGACATCATGCAAGACGAGAGCCTCAGTCTCTTTGGAACACAGAGACAGGCTCTTTGAGTCTGTTTGTCATCTCAGAGGTAATATCTATCACTTTTGCCATATTTTCTTCATTAGAAGCATGGCACTCAAGGCTAACCCACACTCAAGGGGCAGGGATTACATAAGTGCTTGAATACAGGAGGAAGAGATCACTGGAGCTGTCTGAGAGGCTGCCTGCTGCATGCTGCTTTCTCCAGGATGGAGCAGCTGGCAGACAGAGAAAGAGGGAGGAAATTGTATAGCCTCCACAACATCTCTAACAAGTCTTCCTTAATCTTCTCCTAACAATGTCCCAGATTCTGATTTGCTGCTCAGAATATGAGAGCTGAAATGGACTTTAGAAGTTATCTTGTCCACTATCCTTATTTTATAGATGATGAAAAATACATAGAAGGGGTGTATGGCCTTCCAGAAGGGATAGGATTATTTGCAGAATGGGACCTAGAACTCAGGTCACCTGCTTTTTCCAAGTGAACTTCATCCTTCTACTCTCTCCCACCTACTGTCTTCCTGATCTTTTACAACTTGATCAGCATTGGTCATTTTATAGAAATTATTCTCTCAAAGGTCACCTAAAAACATCTTGGTCAAGCATTCAATCATGAGTTACTTTTTGAGTTCTCACCTCTTTTGGCTTCCATGAGACCACAGAGGTCTGGTCCTGGCTTCTCTTAGTCCTCCCCCTGCACTAAGCAAAAAGTTTTTTACAATATCCCAGAGACTCAGTTCTTTGCCTTTGCCCTTTTCCTGACATCTAAGTCCTTGATGGACTTATGTGGTCTCAGGACTTTGACGATCACCTCTCCTTGCCTTGACCTTGAGTTGCACTCAATTCCCCCAATATCTAAGTGCCTTGACCTTGAGTTGCACTCAATTCCCCCAATATCTAAGTGCCTGTTGGGCGTGTTCACTGACATGTCAATGTTAATCATATATAAACTCATCCATGTTAGTATGAAGACCTCCAACTATCATTTATTGAACTCATATATGTGCCAGGTCCTATGTTAAGTGCTTTAATTATATTTTCTTATTTAATCCTTCCAAGAACACTCTACAGTAAATAATAATCACATTTTGTAGATGAGAAAACTAGGCTTAGAGAGGTTAAAGTGACTTGTAGGATATCCTATAACTTACAACTGATCCATGTTCTTTTGATTCCAAAATTTTTGCTTTTAAGCACTGTACTCATGATCTCCCCAAAACCGCTCCTCTGGTCTGTCTTATTTCTGTTTCTGTTTTGCCCTTCGCCAATGGATTCAAAATCTTGGAGTTTAAAACATGCTATCATGTGGAACACCTCTAACACCTCTATGTCTTTGCATGTGTTCTTTCTGCCTGAAAGTCCCCTTTTTCTTTCTTTTCCTTTCTTCCTTCCTTCCTTCCTTCCTTCCCTCCTTCCTTCCTTCCTTCCTTCCTTCCTTCCTTCCTTCCTTCCTTTTCTTTCTTTCTCTGTCTCTCTTTCTTTCTTTTTTTTTTGACAGAGTCTTGCTCTGTTACCCAGGCTGGAGTGCAGTGGTGCGATCTTGGCCCACTGCAACCTCCACCATCTACTGAGTTGAATAGATTCTTATGCCTCAGCTTCCCAAGTAACAAGGACTACAGGTGCCCACCACCACACCCAGCTAATTTATTGTATTTTTAGTAGAGACGGGGTTTTCCCATGTTGCCCTGACTGGTCACAAACTCCTGAACTCAGGCAATCTGCCTGCTTTGGCTTCTCAAAGTGCTAGGATTAGGGGTGTGAGCCACTGCACCCGGCCCCTTATCCTAATCATCAGTATGCATCTCCTCCCCTGACCTCCTCCCCTCTCTCCTGTCACCACACTGCCAAGATTATTACTTCTTCCACGGTGTCACATGGTCAAGTCACAGTGAGCTTGAAATTTGCCTCACTGGCTAGGTCTTGCACAGGAACCAAGGCATCCTAATGTTGAAATGGTGCCAGAGAATGCCCCTATGACAGTAGCTAATCCCTGAGCTATAATGGTTTGGATATCTATGGGCATTCCTCTGAACGCTATACTTTATAGAAGCAGAGACCATAAATGTTCACCTTTGCAGCTCCTGTCCTGGCAGCAGACACATGGTAACCTAGTCATCTTTGATGCATCTCATTCCTTTAATTCCCACAGCTAATTAGTAGATAAGCCCTGCAGACTGTTCTTTGTTAGATTTTTCTTATCTCTTTCTCAATTTCAATTTCTCTAGCCCCCATCCCAAGTCTATGTCTCCTACCTCTCATGCAGCCCATTGTAATCACTTCCAAACTCACCTCCTGGCCAGCTCCTTGCTGCCTTGTCCGGTTCATTCTGATGATTTCTATTCTATTAACATTTATTTGTACACATTGCTTGCCTGCTCAATGGCTCCCTGGTGCCTATAAAATAAAGCCCAAGCTCCTGATCTTGGCTTTCAATAATCTTCCCAATGTACCTTAATGACTTATCCCACCCTCCAGTCTCAGAGTCATTGTGGCACTGTATGAATGACCTGTTGTAGCCATTCACCATGGCTTTAATGCTCCTCTGAGTTCCACTTCCATGTCATCGCTCATGCTTTTCCTTCTGTTTGGAATGCTCTTCCTTCTCCCGCCCACATATCTGAACTGTACCGTGTGTTCACATCCCAGCTTAATCCTCACTTCTCCACCAGCCTTCTCTAACCACCTGAGCCATAGCAACTTTCCTCATCCAGTGTAGGAGAAAAAGCTTGAACCACACTATCTGAGAGCTATGGATCAACATTTCAACCATCGACTAGTTGTGCTGCTTTGGGAAAGTTATATAACTTCTTAGGCTTAGCAAAATGGGAATAATAAAACCTATCTCATAGGGCTGTGGAGAGGATGAAGTAGGGGAATATATGTGCTGAAAGGAAGTTCCAGTTGGTGATCTAAGTTATGGCATCCTAAGATTCAGATGGAACCAGGCACACCTGGGGGTTCATGGAGTAGACCCACAATGCCATCCTGCACCAAGAGGAAGAACTCATCATCCATGATGTCTAAGAGTCCAAGCCACTGGGCTTGACTGAGGCCATATGTTGCTGACAAGGACCAAGCATGGAATGAAGGGTCTGGGACAGGGGACCATGCTTCTCAATTTAAACTCCAACACTTCTACTTAGCCATGTAATCTTGGGCAAGTTTATTCACCTCTTTATGTCTCTCTTTCCTTGTTTCCAAAGTGGGGATTAAATATGGAATCTATTTGATAGGATTAATGTGACAATAAGTGAAACACGCATAAAGAGTTTAGCACACCTCTGGCACACTGTAAGCTTTTAATAAATGCTAACTATTATGTTTTATATTGTTATTCTCCAGCCTAGTCTCTATGGAGTTTGCTACATCCCAGGGTGACAGGGCTATAAGTAAAAATGGAAAGAGATGTTTCACTAATCATCCCTGGGGGAGCCCAGTGGGAGCAGAGGGAAGCCTGCTCCTAGCATCTGTTATAGAGGGTAGTGTAGGTGAGAATGGTGCCACAGAAAACAGCCTAAAACTGGGTCACCCATCAGAAGGGGTAGAGCATCAGCTCTCAGCCCTGGCTGCAAGTTGGAATTTGGTGCTTTCAACAAATGCTGATACTTGGGCCTCACCACCAGAGTTTCAGATTCAAATTACTGGGCTGGGCCCACATATGGATTTTTTTTGAAAGCCTCTCAGGTGATTCTATTGTGTAGCTAGGGTTGGAAAACACTTGGTCAAGGAAATACAGTGGTCAAGGTTAGAATAATGTGAGCAGGGTATGAGGGACAGAGAGAGAAGAGGTTCAGAGACTAGAGCAGAGCTGAGGGGACATGATCCCAGAGACAGGGCTGGGACTAGGGTGAGCCAAGTGAGGCACCCAGGGAGGCAAAATTTGTGGACAGTGAGTGCCTCCTTAAGTTTTGTACCTTAGACTCCTAACTTGCTTCACCTTAGAACATTCCTGCCTAGAAACATTCCTGGGGGCTTGCAGCAATGTCTTAAATGTTTCCCATGGATGCTGGTATTGGTTGGTCATGTCGTTTTTGAATCATATATACAAAAAGGGAAAAGACTAAATTTCTACTCTCATTGATCATACATCCATCCACCTACCCATCTGCCTATCCATCCTTTCATCCACCTACACACCCACTCATTCATTCACCCATCCATCCACGCATCCATCCATTTTTCCATTCACCCATCCATCTATCCATCCATCCCTCCCTCCCTCCCTCCACCATCCATGCACATATCTATCCATCCTTCCATCCACCTACCCATCCATCCACTCATCCATCATTTATAATTTCATTCATCTTTCTATCCACCCATCAATCATCCATTCTTCTACTCATCCACACATTCCCCCCCACCCACTCACCCACCCATTTACCCATCCACCCTTCCATCAACCTATCCATTCATCCATCCATCCGTCCATCCATCCATCCATCTTTCCATCTGTATTAGTCCATTTTCACACTGCTGATAAAGACATAACCGAGACGGGCAATTTACAAAAGAAAGAGGTTTAATTGGACTTACAGTTCCACATGGTGGGGGAAGCCTCACAATCATGGTGGAAGGCAAGGAGGAGCAAGTCACATCTTACATGAATGGCAGCAGGCAGAAAGATCTTGTGCAGGAAAACTCCCCCTTATAAAAATCATCAGATTTTGTGAGACTTACTCATTATGACAAGAACAGCATAGGAAAGACCTTTCAATTACCTCTCACTGGGTCCCTCCCACAACATGTGGGAATTCGAGATGAGATTTGGGTGGAGACAGGGCCAAACCCTATCACCATCCATCTGTCCATCCATCTATTTGTCCATCCAGTCACTCCTCATTCACCCGTTTATTCATTGAACAAAAATATATTGAGAGCCTATTATACGTAGACACCTTTGTGGGCATGTTGGGAATTCTGTCTCTGGCCTTATGATGGGGAAGACCAGAAACTTTGGAGCCAGGGTCTGGGACAGAGGGGCAAGGCAAGTGTGATTTTCCCATGAGATGCCTGGTAATTTGGAAGAAAGAGCAATGACTTTGGCACTTACCAGTTGACGGATTTTGACCATACTTCTTAACCTCCCCAGATGCACTTTCAAAATTTATGAAATGAGAACATTAGGTGGTGGGGATGATTGAATAAGCACCTAATCATATAAGGCCTGATTCACAGTAGATGTTTATAACAAAGGCCAGAGAAGCTGTAAATGGAATTGGAAGAACCGTCAGACTCTTGTCTTTCACTTTTTAATCAATTGGAGGAGAATATCAGATTTTCCCTACCTAAACAGACCTCGTCATAACCAGAGAAACTTAAAACTTGAGATTAGAAGGAATGGTCATTTAGTCTCATTCCCTCATTTTACAAATAAAGAAACAGACCCAGAGAGGGGCAGTGCCTTGGCCAAGGATGTGTAGCAAGAAGCTCAGGATACTCAGTCCAAGTTCTCATTGCAGCATCCAGGAGCAGATGCACCTCTGGCTTCTGCTAAATAGAAAATCAACCTTTGTAACAATTACGGTTCTGAAACTGGAATTGTCACAATAGAGACAAGGATCAAAATATCACATTTCCTGAATATCTGCTATGTACTAGGCATACATAGGCCTGTTATCTCACTCAACCTTTATAAGAACGCATGAAATGAAGTATTATGATTATTTCCTTTATTTTACCGATGTGGGAAACTGAGGCTCAAATAAATTAAGTGATTTTCTCAGGAACTTATTGCAGGGAAGTGGTGGTGCTGGGCTGGGACCTAGGTCTTTGTGACTTCAAAGCTCATACTCTCTGGGCTTTACCTCATTGCCTCACTTATAGAAGTGGCCCCCAAATAATTTATAAACATCTATGTGCCTAGGACTGTCCCTAAATCACTCATTTGAGGCTAAGGTAGAGGACTGATAGCATTTCTCATCATGGGGACATAGTTAGATCACCTGTCTAACAGTCTTTCATATAATCCTGAAAATATATCAGAAGGAACTTCAGTGATGGAGATAGGCATTGGGAAATTTACCTAGTCCACTTCTCTGCCTCCTCAAGTACCTGAAATTCTGCCATTAGCTGTTCATTTCCTGGCTGATTTGCGGCTCTCATCCTGAATAACTAGAAGTAGGGATGAAGGCACTGTAGGTTATAATAGCTAGGCACAAGTGAGTTTATTCTTCCCTCCCCTACCTGTTGAATTCTGACTCATCTTTCACGGCCCAGCACAAATGTCATCAAACACTAGAACTTACAACATATTCCGAGTCATCCCTCTGTGCTGTGGGGTAGGAATACAAGGATTATTAAGGAAGCACAGGTCCTGCCTAGATTGCTCACTGCCTGGTGGGAGGCCAGCTGAGAAAATGCACAATTACAGTGCAAGGTGGAAAAGACAACAGAGGACACAAACACAGAGGTGTTCAGAGGGGACTCCCAACCCTAAAGAGGGTGGGATCAGAGACTATGCCTGTTGCCAAATTCCCCTGGAATACAGTTTCTCCACCCTTAGTTCTCACCTAGCACTTTGCATGACCCTGTCAAAGCACTTATCTAGGCTGGCCATTTGTGAAGGTCCATTTCTTTGTCTGTCTTAGGATGTGAGCTCCTTTGGTAGAAGTCACTCTGCTCTGTAGTCCCTGTAACTAGCAGGGGACCTTACATGCAGCAGGTGCTCAGTAAATGACAATTGAAGGAAATAATTAGAGGAAATATGGGATGGTCTGAAGACAAGAGATTGGTGGCAGGATTAGGAAACTTAGAAGAATGATATAGACATGTGAGGGGAGAGAAGCTGGTGGCAGCAGGTTCCTCTAAAGAACATTGGATCTACTTTTCATTTTTACTAGAACTGTCCCTGGGGATCTGGGACAGGGTAGAGGCCAAGAGATAGCCCTTGGAACCCTAGAGAAAGAGATTCTTCAGCCTCCCATCACCCCATCAGCAAAAGGTCAGTGCAACAAGAAAGCTCAGGGCATAGCTCAAGGCCTAGCTGGAGGAGCCCCATTGGGCATTTTCCATCTTCCACTTCTACAACACTTTGATTTGCTCTTCATGTTGATTGAGATCCCAGTTTTATTGCAAATAATTAACTGCATCATATTTTAAAATCGTTCTTTAGTCGAATCTTATTCTTTTTGAGTCACAGTGATTTATATTTGCCAAATAATGACCTTCTCAATCAGGATCATAGTGGAAAAAAAATCTTAGAGTGTGAAGTTTCACATGATGGTGGGAGCAGTGCAGGGGATGGAGGAACTACAGGGAGATGCCTCTGTCTATTCTCTTTCCTTGGTGTCCTGACACTAACCGACTCTATGTTTTTGTTTTTCCTTGGCTTGACCACCTTCTAACATACCATATAGTTTACTTATATACTGTGTGTATTCTTTATTGTTTATCTTCCCCTTCTACATTAGAACAAAAGCTCCAAGAAGTTAAGAATCTTTTCTATTTTGTTCACTGATGTATCTCCAGCATTTAGAATGGGCCCCGGAATATAGCAGGTGCCCACTAAATACTTGTTGAGTGAATTAATAAATAAAAGAGCACGGGTTAACACAATGTAAGTTTCAGAAGCCACCCTGGATAAAGGGAGGAGATAACTTACAAAATTTCAAGCCCATGACTTTTGGAAACCTGTTGGAACCAAGACAGCATTGGGCCTCTTGGTGATGATGGTAGCAGTCATTGTGGTTATGATGCTGACGATAATAGTAAAGGTGATTATGTGGTGATGGTAGTGATGGTGATGGTTATAATAATGATGATGGGGATGATGGCAGTGATGATAGTGATGGTGGTGGTGATGATGATGATGATGATGGTGATTATGGTGATGATGGTGTTGGTGATGATGAAGAGAGAATGAACTCCCTCACCCTTGAACCTCAGAGTCTATGGAGTTTTTTCACATCATTTTCACTTTGGTCTTCACAAAATCCTTCAGAGCTAGCAGCAGTCAACATGATTGCCACCTTTTTCAGAAACCACTAGGATTTAAAGTGATGAAGTGACTTGCCCGGGGCTACACAGCCATTGAAGACAGAACCAAGATGGCAACTCAAGTCTTATTGTCCAGAAGAAGCTACCATTTACTGATTTCCTCTTGTGTGCTAGGCATGCTGCAAAGGGCCTTGTTTTCCTCTTTTCTGGGAATTTGGGAGTCATAGACTGGGACATATCATCACAGATACCTTGGAAGTGATTTAGCTTCAGATAGTGATGCTGCCATTTTGTGGTGGCCATTTTCTACTCTGTATCCAGAGAAGCAGAGAAAAGAAGGCTGGAGGGAGAGAGAAGAATACCATATAGAGATGAGCAAAGAGGAAGGATCAGATGGTCCCAGGGAAAGAAATATGGGGTTGGAGGTGCTGTGGTTTCTGATGCTTTCCTGGGCCTTGAGTTCTGTCCTTCATGAGGCCCTTCTTTCTCTACTGCCCCTGGGCTCTACTTATAAATCCAACTTCACCCAAGATGGCATTACAAGGAATATGTTCACTTCAAACAAAGGATCTCTGACAACCTGTTTGCTTAGCCCTTAAGAAATCAACCAGACAAGACTCCTTTGCTGGAGGATAGCCAAAGGCACACTGGGGTGAGGGACGATCAGGAGGAGGGCTTGTCCTTGCAATTCCCAGTGATTACATCCCCCTTCCCCCTCTGTCTCCCTCTTCTACACTCTCTCCTGACCCAGACCAACCCACTCTTCATCCTTGGGTGGTGTTGGGAACAACAACAAAAAATCTCCGATGAACCATCTAAATCCCAGTATGGCCTGTTCCCCACAGCATGCTGGCCACCATATGCAGGCATAGTGTCCAGACCTCATCAGTCACTATGAATCAGCTTCTGCTTTCAGTGTGGTCACAGTTTTGTGATGCCCCTTCCCCTTAATCTCATCATAAGCATCCTTTTCCCAGCCTCCTGGCATTTCTGATGGGAGAGAAAGCCACAGGCAGAAAGCCTTGCCCAAGAGTTAGCTCTCCTAAAAGGAGCGTGTGTGTGTTTGTGTGTGTGTGCACCATGGTAGTGGTGGGCAGGACCACACCGTCTCTGGGTTCAGTGTGGCCACCATTCCACCCTACATAGCACTTAAAACCTCATTTCTTTGGGGAATAGAAAAGTGAACTCTGCAGACAAGCCTGGGACCCTATCTGTCTCATTAGTTAACTTCCCAAGAAATTTCTCTGAGAAGGTAACAAAATAAGCAGACCTGGGTTACCATAGAGACCTGTCTGCACAGGTCTGGGCCAGATGTCTGTTCTGGACCATACATTATTAATTTCTTCCTTGCCAGTGAGGAGGCTGGTCTGGGTTAAAACTGCAAACCACTAAATTTGGTTTCCCCACCAATTTCTCTCTTTTCTCCTCAAACTGCAAAGTCATCTTGAGGTAGGATATATGGAAGGGACCTGTGAGATGGGGGACAACTGATTGGCTGAGGTTCTCTGTGTGTGAGGTGCCAGACTCCATGCTCCACCTATGTGTCCTTGTTGAAGATCTCATTATAAGGAAGAAGCAGTGCTCAGGGAATCTGTCAGGGTCTAAAATTTCAACAATGTGGACTGTCTTCAGACCAGTCTTCTGGTATGGGAAGACCAAGCAAAAAGAAGTGAGCTTAGAGGACAGTAGAAATGAGTTTGAGGGGAAGGAGCTAAAGAGAAATGTGGAGGGTGAATGTTGGCTGGAGTAGATTTGTGTCATTTGTGAGTGTTGATGACCTCTCCGACTCTACTCCCTTCTTGAAGTATACCTGATAATAGGGAGATTTATGAGCCAGAAATCTCTCTTTTGGGAAAAACTGGAGCTTCTATTCTGAGAGCTGAAAAGGATCTAGCATCTTCTTAGAACCATGCAAGCAGCATACAATCAGGACTTAAAAAAAGATCATTTATTACCATTTGATTCCATTCCAAGGCCTATTCTATGCAAACCACTGTCCAGGGGCTGAGAATTCAAGTTGTTCATATCTTCCCTTTCACCTGTCCTCACTGTTGACTCTTTCTGGTTCCTACCTGCCCCCTATCCCTGCCACCCCTGCCACCCCTGCCAGCCTCTCTATTACAAACAGGCATCTCTGTTTTCAAACTGCCTATAGGTTGAGTTGTGATGGTTTGGCAACAGTTTGGTGACAAACACTTCCAAAATCTCAGTGGATTCTCAGTGGATTAAAACAACACAGATTTATTTCTCACACTGCACCTCTAAAGCAGGTCACTGGAGAGATGCCATATCGTCGTCACTCAGGGGCCCAGGCTGACAGAGAGTTGGCCATGTGAATGACATCGCCGTCTCAACACTCTAACAGAGGAGAACACAAGGGGAATCACATGCCAGCCTTGAAGTGCTTCCATCCGGGAGAGCCACCTGTCACTTCCACTCTTATTTAACTGGCCAAAGGAAGTCACACAGACATGCCTAACTCCATAAGGCTAAAAAAGCATAATCTTCCCTTGTGTTGGAAGAAGAGAACCAGAACTACTGGTAAGCACTACCAATGTGTGCTTCGCCATCTGTAATCTACCTCCCTAATTCCTTTCTCCCCCTCTTCCCTCTCTGATCATCAATCTGAACTCCATTCCTTGATCCCTTGCCATTGTAGTGTTAACCTCTTCCATCCCTTCCTTTGCCTCCATGCCCTTCTCCCTAACTCTGCCACCTGCTGGCTCCCCTCCTGCCCTCCTTTGTCTGTTTTCCACCCAGCCCCTGATGGTCATGCCTCCATCGCTTGGCTGCACTGGATAGATGTGATGGAATACAACCTCAGCTCTAACTCTGCAAGTTTCTCTTGCCCCTAATTGAGCTTAATGATTTATGTCTTGTAATGGACACAAATGGGCAAGAATTCCTGGATCTCATTAATAATTTTAAGTATGCCAGAAGTAGGATTTTAAATCCTAAGCAAAAATTAAATGACCATAAAATCTTTGTTCGCTTCCCAGGAGACAATCCTGTTTCAACTTGACAGCTTAATTAAATGCTGGGTAAATTGGACACAACACTTAATAAACAGGACTTGGCAGGCCTGGAAAGGAGAGAGCAGAGAGGTGAGGATGGGAGAAAATGAAGCTCACAAAGTAACAAAAGGAAATTAAGTTATGCGAGGTCTCTCTCCCATAGTGTGACCTTTCTGGGAGCTTCAGATATGTTTAAATGACACGAATGACCCAGAAGATTGTGAAAGAATTGATTCTCTTCTTTGACTCCAATTCCCTCCATGGCCATATTGTTCCACAAGGCAAGAAAGCTGTTGTCCAGAAATATTCTTGGAGGTCTTTGCAAGATCTCCTTTGGATGTTTGACTCCTCCTGGACCAAGTTTCTTGCAAGCCTCAAGCCCACTGGGAAAGCTGCTGGTAGGCTGGAGCTGAGGGGTTAGATCTGAGGGGCCACACTGCATGGAGGGCTCCATGCACAGGCTCATATCTTAGTCTTCATATTTTCTTCTACTTTATGGTCTTGCCTTATCCTGGATAAGGCTTTTTGATCATGACTTTGTTTATTTTATTTTATTTTTTTAAGTTCCAAGGTGCCTGTGCAGGATGTGAAGGTTTTTTACATAGGTAAACATGTGCCATGGTGGTTTGCTGCACCTATCAACCCACCACCTAGGTATTAAGCCCAGCATCCATTAGCTCTTTTCCCTAATGCTCTTCCTGCCACTGTCCCTCAACATGCCCTAGTGTGTATTGTTCCCCTCCTTGTGTCCATGTGTTCTCATTGTTCAGCTTTCACTTAAAGTGAGAATATGTGGTGTTTTGTTTTCTGTTCCTGTGTTAGTTTGCTGAGGATAATGGCTTCCAGCTTCATCCATGTCCCTGAAAAGGACATGATCTCACTCCTTTTTATGGCTGTATGGTATTCCATGGTGTATATGTACCACATTGTCTTTATCTAGTCTATCATTGATGGGCTTTTGAGTTGATTCCCTGTCTTTGCTATTGTGACTAGTGTTGCAGTGAACATACGCGTGTACGTATCTTTATAATAGAATGATTTATATTCCTTTGGGTATATACTCAGAAATGGGATTGCTGCATCAAATGGCATTTCCAGTTCTAAATCTTTGAGGAATCACCACAGTGTCTTCACTGATCATTAGAGAAATGCAAATCAAAATCACAGTGAGATACCATCTCATGCCAGTCAGAATGGTGATGATTAAGAAGTCAAGAAACAGCAGATGCTGCTGAGATTGTGGAGAAATAGGAACGCTTTTATACTGTTGGTGGGATCAATCGTGACTTTGTATGGTCAAAATATTTCCATCTCTACTAATAATCAGATTCTTTAGATTCTGCTGCCTCTACCATAAACATATGCTCAGCCTGGGTCCTGGCTGCACACCTCCATTGCTAGTGACCATGCAGGGCTCACCAAGAGTTCATGAGTGCACTCGGGCAGAGCCTGTGAGAGCCTTTGGTTACTATTCTCTTTAGCATCTTTAGCAGAATACAGGTGTCTCATCATATAAATACACTCACAATATATTAATAGAATTTGAAGATTTAGAGGTGGGCACACAGCTTCTACCTCCACTTCCTTCTTCCCTTCTGCCTTCTCCTCAGTCAGAATTACTTTCCCATTAACATTTGGGAAGATCATATCTCTTCTCCATCAGTTGTCTAGCTGGGTTGAGCTTATCTTGCATTTGAAGTAATTTACTTATGGGCAGCTGCCACATGCTGCTTTAGTTAAATTAAGACTGTCTATCTTACTTGCACAGAAAAAATGTTTTAAACAAATCAAGAGATTAAAATGTGTTTAAAAGTATTTTATTCTTCAGTGAAAAGCCTTGTTTGGTGGAATTGGCTACAAGCCCCTGAGTAAGTGAAAATAATCGCTCAGACAGGTGTGGGATTTGCTGTACTTAGTACAAGAAACAAACCTTCCTTCATCATCAGGGAAGAAACCAGCCTTCCTCATCAAGTAACCAACCTCCATCATCATTTGACATTACCCTTTTACTTCTATTAAAGAATCTTGTAAACCTAAAGCTAGCAGAAACCTTGGCAATCATCTGGGTGAACAGTTTACAGGTGAAGAAGCCAAGCTCCAGAGAGAGGAAATGACTTTTCCAAGCCCCACAGTGAATTGCAGCTGGGACATCAGAAAGATGGCTTCATGAGTCAGTGAATGATAGTAACTTACAGAGAGACCCATGGACTTGTTAATAGTGGCTACCGGGATTTCTAGCTTAGTGCAATGCTTAACTTTTGTGAAGTCACCTGCTACATGAAAACAAGTTTCATTTCTTTTGCACTGACTTCCATAAAACATAGAGAGATATTCGTGTTTAAAAGACCTCAGCAGCTTGAGTTGCCAAGTTTGGGAAAGGAAAGGTTCAAATGATAGAGTAAAAGACTAGGCATGCTTAGTGGTTGCTAGAACTGGAGGTGGGGACTAGGAGTGACTGCAAATTAATGAACATGGGATTTGTTTCTGGGGTGACGGAAATGTGCTAATTGATTATGGTGATGATTGCACAACTCTGTAAGTTTACTAAAAATTGTTGAATTGCACACTTGAGTGAATTTTGTAGTATGTAAATTGTATCTCAATAAAGCCGTCCAAAAAACAAACAAACAAATGAAAACAAAGTAATGCAAAATAAATACAAGACTAAGAGCCAGGGCTCAGACAACACTTTCAGGACAAGAGCAAGGTAGAGGATCAATCCTAGGCCTCCAGATTAGTTTGCTTTTAGCCTCTCAAAGGCTGTCTACTTCTGGACAGAGGAGCAACATCTGAAGCAGATGGCTCAACTTCCAATCAGTTGCACTCCAGACCCTTGCCTAAGAGCTCAGTTTTGACCTGACAGCTCATCAGCTCCTGTCAAATGCATGTTGAGTTGAGCGACATTAAGAGGGACAACATATGCATCCTGTTACCATGCACTCTTCTGGGCTGTGGAAATCCCAGAGAGCAGAATGTTTGCACTTCTTTAGCCTAGATACACAAAGAAATATTTTGCCACTGTCACTATATTATTGTTTCAGTTTTATCAAAGTTCAATGAATGAAATGACCATATAAAGATGATATAGGTATTTCTGGCTATTATATTACCCATTATATTACTACTTGATGTCTTTTCCATGTGACCCAATATAGCAAGTACCCTATAGAATTTAGTACCAAGAAAAAATGTTCTGTCCTAAAAAACTTGAATGACTTATTTGATAAGCAGTGGGAGCTACTGAACCCAGGTGGCTTATTTTTTTTTTTTTCTTTTTTGTCTTGAACGCCAGGACACTCTGGGCTAATGTTAGAGTAGGGGGACAGGCATGTGCTTGTCTCTGATACAACTGTTTTCCATGCTCTCTGCTCAGCTGCATGCCTCTCTGTCACATTCATTCATTCAATTATCAAATGTTTCTCAAGGGCATCATATCTCCAGAGTTGGAATGATGAATAAGACCTGGTCTTTGCCCCCATGGAGGAGGCAGATATGGGAATCATTGCAAATAGAATTGCATGGTAGGGGGCTGCTTTGGATGTTATGGGATTAGAAAAAAGGGACAATAGGAATAGAAAAATGGGGTACAACTTTCCAAAGTAGTGTATTAACTATTTTTTCTTACTTTCTGTATTATTGATGCTCTGGCATTTGTGACCTCACTAACTGGAGAGAGATCACCCCTCCCAGGACTAGCCAATTCTTAGAGATAGCACTCCTTTCTTTCTTTCTTTTTCTTTTTTCTTTCTTTTTTTTTTTTTTGAGATGGAGTCTTGCTCTGTTGCCCAGGCTGCAGAGCAGTGGCGCGATCTTGGCTCACTGCAACCTCTGCCTCCTGGGTTCAAGCAATTCTCCCGCCTCAGCCTCCTGAGTAGCTGGGATTACAGGCGCCCGCCACCACACCCAGCTAATTTTTGTATTTTTAGTAGAGACGGGGTTTCAACATGTTGGTCAGGCTGGTCTCGAACCCCTGACCTGGTGATCCACCCGCCTTGGCCTCCCAAAGTGCTGGGATTACAGGCTTGAGCCACCACACCGGGCCAAGACAGCACTCCTTTCATATGTAAACTAACCAGTTCAGAGCCCATACCCTGAACCATCTTCTGTTTCTGGCTCTTACACCCCAGGAGACAATATTCCTCCACTCCAATCACCCAGGGGCCAGGTACCAGACAGTTAGAGACGACCCTGCCAGCCCGAGCCTGCGAGCATTATTTACACTAGCCAATCACAAACTTTCCCCTGCCCTGCCTTTCCCATGGAAAATGCAAAACAGGCTCTTTCCATGAAAAAAAACCTGGGCCAGGCTTTGCCCTGGCTCCTTCTGCCTCCTGACCCAACCTGGTGTTTTCCACTCTGGCTCTGGTGTGCCCCTTCCTCTTGGGAAATGTAAGTAATAAAAATATTTCAATGTCATTGGCCTCTCTGTGTCATAAAATCTGTGAGTATAATTGATATAGGTAAAGCTTGATGAGCAATTGGGAATTTTTCAGGGGTAAGAATATTCCAGAAGCAGAGCTCACTTATGCATCAGCCCACAGACTTGATATGAGAACATTAAGGTGCTGTGTCTGATGCACATTTTCAGCTCTTTCAAGGCAGTCTGCGAACATTCCTCTTTCAATGTGGACGGGGCATAAATTATAAATAATGATGGGTGGGCCAAGTCTTATTTGTACAAGACTGAGTTTTCCTCAAGGTTCTGATTGCTCTTTCTTTTGTTCTGTCAAACGCAGAACACAGAACACAGCACTGTGCAGAGCTGGAATCCCAGCTTGCTCTCTTATTAGCTGTGTGTCCCTGTACAAGTTTTTAAGCTTTCTGTGTTTCTGTTTCCTTGATTATAAGATGAGAATAACACCAGTAGCCTCCTCAGAGAGCTGCCATGAGGATTAAATAGATTAAAATGTGTAAAACATTTAGAACAGTGGCCAGCAGATGGTAAGGGCTATGCAAGCATTTGCTAAATTATGTTCTGAATCCTGCAATGTGAGGAGTACTTATTAAGACCATGGAATCCATAAAGATGTGGAAGGTATATTCCTACCCCTAAAGAGTTTACAAGTATAATGAGAGCCTAGAGAATTCTGGAAAATCAAAGGACTGTTCAGGAAACTGTATTTGCAGAAGATGTTGAAAATGATGAAAGTTATAATAGACTAATGTTTTGGCCTTTCTCCAGTCTCAAATAGAGAAGGAAGTAGAGAAAGTGAAACATTGTGGAAAGAATGCCAGATTCTGAGTCTGAAAGACTTGAGTTCAAGGTCAAGGAAAGCTGGCTTCCTAGAGCTACCATTTTCTAGCCATGTAATTTAGTTATTTAGTTTCTCTGAGTCTTAATTTTTTTCACTTGTATAATGTAGATAATATTATCTACTTTAGCAGGTGGGAGGAAAAGAGATAATGATAGCAATAGCTGACATTTATTGGGCATTCGCCAATGTGTTGGGAATTGAACTAAGAGTTCTCTAAGAAAATCATCTTGGAGAAAAGGACAATGTCTCAGTGCCCAAGGTCCCTCAATAATAACTGGCTGATCTGGGATTTGAACTCAGACACTTTGATTCCAGGGTTTGTTCTAATAACCATTATTTTACACTAAATCTCTCAGAACTGTACTAGAGCCAGCAGGCACTCATATAATAACAACCATTGTTATTAACTGTGTAGTATCTTTGATCCATTCGGCTAATGCCTCTTGATCACTTTAAGACTCCCTTCAAGTGCTATATTTTCTTCCCATCCCCAGAACCATCCTCCTGATACTCCCATAATGCATCACTCAGGGCAAGTATGGGCCTAATTCTCTAAAATTCTCAACTTTATATTTTCTTCAAGTGATAGAGAAAAGAGGAAAAGTTCTATAGGATCCCAGGTACATTAATAAAAATTTAATAAAATAAAGTTAGTAATGAAACAGTCTGATTAGAGAAATAATTTGAGCTTCAGGCCTTTGCAGATGGGGAAAATTAGATTGGATAAATGATTTACTCTAAATAGATTTAATGCAAAAACATTAGGACCTGCAAGACAAGCAAGCCCAAGGAATTCTGGGAACCAGGTTGGGATTGGCTTGGCTTGGTAGCAACCCTATAGTCTCTAGCCAGGTCAACTTAGGTATTGGATCAAATGCCAGGCCAGGACAGGGAGTGTATTGGCTGGCAACCCAGCCAATGAGAAGTGCCTAATGGCTTCCAAATGTCAGCATGATGATGTCACTTCCAAATCCTTCCTGTTCATGGTGGGGAGGCATTTGGGGCCACCAAGACCACACCAGTTCCAAATCTGTGGCTTCCCTGCCCTTTAGAAGAAGTGTGCCACATGTACCCGACAGCCTTGGGGAATGACTTCTCATGAGTTTCCTTTCTTGCTCAGATCCTGGGCAGAGTTTGACATGCAGGAGATGCTGGTGGGACCTATGCACATTAATCAATTTGGCTGAATTATCTGTAAAAAAGAGAGAAACTAGCTTAATTCAATAACCAACGTTTGTTGCATTTTGTGGCTTTCCTTTTCTGTTCTGATTTTCACTCCCCAACAAATGTCATGTCCATGTGCTGCAGTGGTGAGAACACCAGGAACAGGAAGACTTGGTTCTGTCTCTTCCATGCTGGGCTATGGTTGTAGGTGAAGGGTAGTGGGGAGGGCAGGATACTTCAGTACAATGTAGTGAAAAGAGGCCAGACGTGGGTGTGAATATGTATCCGGTACTTAGCTATGTGAGCTCAGTTTGTGCATCTTTAAAACACAGGATAAACATTAACTTAAAAATACAAGGCATATGTAAAATGATGCTATAGTAGGTAACTCAATTTTTAAAAAGTTATTCAGTATTTATTAGATGCTTGACAACACACACAATAACTATCCTCCCTTTTCTCCCCTTTCTCCACTGAGTAATAACGCCTTTATCCTCCACTCCCTGGATGAAAATTCATGATAAACAAATGAACAAACAAACAGTAGATTTGGAGAAGAGGTCCAGAAACCACAGAGCACCAATCTGATCTTTGCAAAACAATCAAGAATACCTTGATGTCTCGGGTAAGGCAGTGGAGTGGAAAAGCTACACAAGTGGGGAACGAGGGGAGCCACAGAGTGAGGGATGAGAGAGGACAGGGTAAATAAATGCTCAAGCAATGCTCAGAGAGCCCAGGGAAGAGGGTGTGTACAGACAGAATATTCCAGTCCTGGCTGGGCGTGATGGCCCATGCCTGTAATCCCAGACCCTTGGGGGGCTGAGGTGGGTGGATCGTTTGAGCTCAGGAGTTCGAGACCAGCCTGGCTAACATGGAGAAACTCTGTCTCTACCAAAAATACAAAAAATTAGCCAGAAGTGGTGGTGTGCGCATGTAGTCCCAGTTGCTAAGGAGGCTGAGGTGGGAGAATTTATTGAGCCTGGGAGGCAGAGGTTGTAGTGAGCCGAAATCATGCCACTGCACTCCAGCCTGGGTGACAGAGTGAGACTCTGTCTAAAAAATAATTTTTTTAAAAAAAAGTTCCACTCCTGCATTTCCTCCAGAGGTCATCAACTCCAATATTCAAGGCATGAGTTCCCAAAGTGAGGTGAGAGGCATCTGCAGTGGGGCATCAGCACAGAAACTGGAGTGACCTTCAAAGAGCCAGGTGCTCTATGTAGAGCCCTTCCTTCCCAACTTTGGGAGAGACTAGGGATCAGACTTAACACCTTGTCTGAGAAAACTCCAAGGGTAGCCCTACAATAACCCTAACACTAATGTTAGGAGTTTGGCCAGAACTGGAGAGAATGATAGAGATGCGTGAAGTTGGCATCAGCCTTGTCTCAGTCATGGTCACTGTACTCCTATTCTCTTATTCCCTCACCCCTCCACCACCAATTAATTCATCCAGATCAAATAGAATCGTGGTTAGGAGAGGAGCGTTTGCAGCAGGCAGCAGTATCTTCTGAAGTTCTGGTAAAGGAGAGTCTTGCGGAGGAGGAGGCCGAGGGAGCTGGACCATTTGTCTTATGTGTGGGGGAGGGGTATGAATACAGCTAGAATAGAGCCTCAGAAATGAATTTGAGCCTGGCTTTAGGAACAACTGATCCTCCAGGACCCCAGCCCAGTTTGGGCGGCCTCTTGGCCAAGTTTTGTTCTATTCTAGCACTGTTTGGCTTGATTCAGCCCACCCCCAGTTTCCACTTGTCCAAATCTGCCCAGTTGATCCAGCTCAGGCCAACATACACCAGTACAAACCAGCTCAGGGCAGCTCATTCTGGACCCCTCAGCAGGACCGTGTCTGTTCCATTCAGTTACAGTGGCTTTAGACTTACAGTTCACACCATTGAGGATGTATGGAAATTGGCAGATGGTCAGCCTAGGAGCCAGCTTCAAAGATGATGATGTGATATGTTGTAGCCACCTGAGACAGGTAGCAATGAGGCTCTAATCGCTGACTCTTCTAAGCCTGGCCACTCTGGATATCTTCTTACCAGATACCATTTCCAGCAACAGTGGGCAAAATGATGAGGGGCCACAGCACCCAGAAATCACAGCCCCGGAACATGCTGCTCTGAATAAAAAATGTGTGTTTTGTGCTGAATTGGACACCCTCTTATAGTAGACTCTCATCTAGATGAGTAAGGGGTACTAAGGGTTTAGAAACGTACATGAGAGAAGAACATATCAATTGCAAGAAACCTATCTTTAGCTTATTATTTCTCTCTTTGAATTGGGAAAAAAATTAATAATCCAGCTTAGGTCAAAAACATATCCTTCTGCAGATCAGGGCTTGAGAACTACTGCTTCTGGAGGGACTCAAGCCCCCTCGGTAAGCTGCCCTCAGCCCCATGCCTGTGGCTCGTCTCCAGCCTCCCAGCCCATCCCATCAGATCAGGCTGTAGTCTCAGTGCTTGTCCTTGCCATGAGGCCCTCGTGCCCATTCTTCTCCCCATCTGCTGCCTCCTTTCTGTTAGTCTTGGACTCTTGTATTCGTCAAGGCCCTTCCCTAAGTTGGGTGCCCTCAAGTCACTCCTCTCTTCATCCATGACTGTTGTACTGTATCATCTTTGTGAGACAGGCAAAGTTGTCCAGCATAGTACCTTTTCCTCTGTAGCTCTTTGTGGGATGGGGATGGTTTTGTAAACTCTGCAAGAGCAGATGTTTGTATCCAGCTGGAGATGTCTAGGATTGAAGTGGATGCCAGTAGACGCTTATTGGAACTGTGTCTGGCACATAGAAGACAGCATAACATATTTGTCAGATGAATGGATGTGTAGTGAGTAAATGAGAGAACAGGAGATTGAATAAATGAATGAAGGATAAGCCAATGAATGCAAAAGAAAGTGAAAGCATGACTAGGAAATGGTGAAAGAATATGTGAATTATGAGTGAATGAATGAATGGCCATGATGCATGAATGGCCACAGTCAAGTTGATGCTACAGACCACAATAAACATAGGCTGCTACTCCAGGCTGGCCAACTCTGTCTGAGCTAGTGTGTGTGGTCTTCCTGGCAGCCCTCCTCAGAATCCTCATTAGAATAACAATTTTCTACCCTATTGTTTTGAGTTTGGATTATATGGTTGTTACCATTTGTCCTCCAGTGATTAGAAAAACTTTGAGATGGTTAAAAAAAAGAAAAAGAGCTTCTCCATTTGTGAACCCCCAAATGAATATCATTGCAACTCAGGCCAGATTTCCAGAACTGGACTGTCATTATGTCAATCTGATGTTAATTTAAATGGTAATTGGATGAGAGTTTTCAAACAGCCTCCCTTACTGGGCAAGTGAGCCTTCCTGCTGGGCTGATTTTGGAGGAAGAGAAGCTGGCAAGGAAGGGAAAGGAAGGTATTATGGATTCTTTTAGGCCTGGAGTGCACCCATTCATCTATCTGCTCCAGTGGGGGTACAGATAGCAGTTTGATATTGTAGTTTTATTCCAATTCAGTGGTTTAAGAACCAGAGGGGCAATAGGAAGAAAAAAATGAAGTCTTGGCATTTACAGAGTCAGGCTTAAGGACCAGCTTTACCATTGACTGACTGTGTGATTATGAACAAGTGACTGAGCGAGGTATCTTTGGCCAGACCATGATGAGTCTCAGCTTCCTCATTGTGAAATTGGATAATCACGTCCACTTTACATTGCAGCATCACTGTGAGGGTCAAATGAGATAAAAGTGACATGGCTTCACCAACTTTAGGGTGTCATAAATAAAAGAGATCGCAATCTTATGAGTAGCCATCCGAAAATATTTGGTTAGGGTTTGAACAAATCTGTGAGTGCTATGGTTTGAGTGAAAGCTCAAGAAAAATGCAAACAAAACAAAACAAAACAAAACAAAACACAACCAAAAACACACAAAAAACAAAAACCTTGAAGCTACATCATTTGGGCACTGGCTCCTCCTGCTTATTATTTTTGATTTGTTCAATCTGAGCCTTCGTTGGGCCAGTTTTCATCGCTCCTTGATCCTATTGCTTTTTCTCAAGCTAAAAAGAAAGGAGAGAAGAGTTTATTGTATGACTGCCCAGCACAACTGTCTAGCAGCTCAGGCCCTATCATCTTTGTACCAACCCACGTGGTTCTTAGAATGCTGTTGATCACCAGGATGTCATGAATTATGATGGTTCCTGTTCTGCCTTCATGTGGTTCATGGTAACTGCAGAGGGGTAGAGAGGGGGTGCTGACTTACTGTGAGACTTCATGGGTGAGGCACTGGGCTAAGCATTTCACACGTGTGGCCTCCTGTCCTCCCTATGCAACAGTCCTTGAGGTCCACATTAATCTTCCCTTGCAGAGAGGAAGGCTCAGAGAAGTCAAATAATTTGCCCAAGATCAGACAGAGAAGGAGAGGCACAGTCAGAATTAAAATCCTGGTCTTGCTGAGGCAAAACTATGAAATAGTCATGATGAGGCAAATGTTCTCTGTTTTTTCTGTGGCCTTTGGGCTGGATATATGCCTATCTTGGGTTGAGTGGATAAACATAGGCATAGAGGAAGGCTGCCTGGATCATCTTTCCTGCTTCTGAGAGTGTGAGAGGAGCAATGAGAAGTGGGAGAGACGTTGGTGCCCTATGATAGGTCCAAGGCCAGAGAGATAAAAGGAATTGTGAATTTGCACGCAAAGAAGGAGCTCTGTGCAACTAGCAGTAGGTCAGGAACTGGAGCTGTGAGAGGAGCCGGGGTCTGGTTTAGCTAATGGCTAAACCAGATGAGAAGAGCGTGCAAGGAACCCCCCACCTGCTGCCCACAGCAAAGCTAAGGTGCTATGGACAAGCCGCTCTGTGCTCTTACTTGTTCCCAATGAGGGGCTACTGTCTCTGTGCCTTAAAGGCACTTGGCTTCTGAGGACTGAGGCTGATGAGCAGGGTTCTCCAGAGATGGGGGCATAGGGGGTGCCATTGAGGAGCATCACGCTTTCCCCCGAGATGTGTTTCCAAGGTTCTTGGGGTCAAGTGAAGTGTGACACAGCCCCCAAATCAGGAGCTCTGACTCAGGGATAAGGTCTTAAGTGTTCTCATCCGAGACTTGAAAGCCTCAGCAGGGAATTAGCAAATTCATTCATTAATGGCCCATTGACATTTCTATTATAAAGACTAATCATTTGTTTTTATTGAGAGCTTTTTCCTTGATTAAAGCCATTAGCACCAATGAGTAACCATCAATCAATCAACAAGCTTTCTTAAATGTCCCCAACTTGGTCCGATTGCAGCCTGAATACAGTCAATTTTACCTCCTAACTATCTCTCCAAGCTGCCCACTTCTCTCCCTCTCTGTTGCTGCCACTCTGGTCCAAGCCACTGCCGTTTCTCACCAGGACTACGCTGATAGCCTCCTGCCTGGCTCTCTTGGCCAACAAGGCCTCGCCTAGGCCCTTTTATTTTTCTCCCCAGCATCATATCCTGCCACGCCCATTCTCCCAGTAGCCTTTTGCATCTTCATACTGTCTACTCCTTTCTGCAGATTTTCACATGTTCAGCCTTGGCCCATCCTTTTCCCAGCCTTGGCTTCATTAGATCCCACTCACTCTTTAGCTCTCAGCTCAAATATTCTTTCTCAGAGAAAACTTCTATGACCCCCTGAGACTGGATCAGGCCCACCTGTGCCCTCTCTCTCCCAGCACTCTGCCTTGCTCCTTCTGGCACTGGCCCGGGTTATTTTAGGGGTTTGTTCATTTGATTCTTAGGTTTCTCCCTGGCATGCAAGCTCTGCAGGGGCAAAGAGCACTCTATTTTATCTTATCTTGGTTTTAGGGCCAGGACTTGGGGAAGGCAGGCAAGTTGCCTAAGGAGCATCATTTGAGGAGACCTTCACTCCCAGACATGGGCCCTGAGCTTGCAGTAGCCCGAGAGTAGGTCCTCCTTAAGTCTTGTTCCCGCAGCAGCCCAGTGGCCTACTCTTGTCCCACCCCTGCGAGGCTCTCCAACTTAAGACCAACACAAGGAAGGTACACGCCATAGGTACTTGTTGAGTGCATACATTGGAGGCAGGAAGATTAAGAAAAGGAGCTAGTCAGGAGGCTGCACCCAAAGAGGAGGGGAGAGTGGAAGAGGTTAGACCATGCAGGGATGGCGAGGAGGCTGGAGGGAGCAGTGCAGAGAGACTCCAGTAGGTAGAAAAGAGAGGATGCAGCGATGGTCTGGGTGTGGTGGAACGAGGAAGGGGATGTTCTAGGTTGGCAGGTTGGTAATGCCCATTGGCCAGGGGAGAAGGAAGTAGAGGGGAGGAGGACTGGAGCAGTGGGAGGATGAAGCTGAGCAGGCTATCTATTGGCTAGTTGGCTGGGCAGTTCTTCATTGTTCCTACCACGGCAGCCACCGACTGGGCTTTACCTGGACCTCTCTGGAGGGGGTCAAGGCCTGCCTTGGGGCTCTCCTCTTTCTCAGTTACCGCTAGGCTCATGTGCCCACTGAGGCCATTGGGAATCTGAGGGCAGGTGCTCCAGGGTTTTCCAGGACTCTGGGAGAGGGAGCAAATCCTGGTCCTTAACAAGGTCCATCTTCACTGAGAATGCTGAACACGTTTCATTTCTCTTTTAAATTTTAATTTGGTTCTGTCACTGAAATCACATTAGGCCCCACTCTGCTCTTCAAAATGACATCTTTTAATGTTCCCCAGATATGCAGATCAAACAGGTTCCAAAAAGCCTCTTCCTCTCCCCTGACCCCGCTTCTCCATGGCTCCTCTTCCTTCCTCTACTTTCTTCTAATCAGGACATGCAGTTTGGTTTCCCAACCAGGCTACTGCTAGTTCAGATACCCTCCTCACATGTTGGTGGGACTGACCATCTGACTGTGGTATTCAGATGTGCAGTCCAGGCACTGTCCTCATACTAGTGGAGGGCAGTCATACCACCCTGTGGGGACATGGATAGAATCTCAGCCTTCCCTTTGGCTGCACTGATTGACTCTGTGACTTTAGGCAAGTCACTTACCCTCTCTAAGTTTTGGTTAAAACATGACACTTGGACTAGAAGATTTGACAGCTTTCCCCTAGAGTCATCGCTTGGAATCTACACAGTATTGGCCCAGGACACCTCAGGGACATCAAAATCTGTCGATGCTCGAATCTAATATGGAATAACATTGTATTTTCATGTAACCTACACATATCCTCCCATATACTCTAAATTATCTCTAGATTGCTTATAATAACTAATACAATGGAAATGCTATGTAAATAGTTGTTATATTTTTTATTTGTATTGTTTTTATTGAGTTGTTATTTTTATTATTTTTGAATATTTTAATCTGAGGTTAGTTAATTATGTAGAACCCATGGGCATGTAGAGCCCATTGTATTTTCATTTGAGAGTCTTTGGATTTTTCTGAGAGAGAGAGAGAATTCATTTAGTTCAAGATGGTCCAAATCCCTCGCTGCCCACTGACTTCAAGCCTGCAGCAGCCAGTCAGTATGCTGGGAACATCCGGGGCCTCATATTACACACTGGAGCTAAACACAAGATGGGGATCAAGAAGGAGAGACAGAGAAAGAGAGAGAGCTGGAGGGGAGAGAGAGAGAGAGATTAAAAGAATAAGATAGCAGAGAGAGCAAAGTGGATGAAAGAGAAAGGATTCTGATCATGTTTTCTTTGTCCCCATGATGCTGAGATGCTGCAGTTAGACATCTTCTTGAGAATTGATTGAAAAACCCAGGATACTTGAGGAGAAGGCTGTACTCCTCTCTGTTCCGCCTGGAACCTGTGTGGGCCTGGCGGAGGCAGTGGCATTGAGCTGCATTCAATAAAGAAATTATTTCCATGGCGGTGTGAGGCCAGCTGCAGCCTATGCTCAGAGCAGGGAGTGGTAGTTCATGCCATTCTATCAGGCAGCACCTCTGGGCTCAGTGCTCATTTGCTGAAGTGTGTTGGGGGTGGTTCTGCCTTGCATTTGCTGTTAGCACATGAGAGTTGGCTGAGCCTGGCTCCCTGGTATCAGTCATGCACATGTTCTGAGATGTGACTATGCTGGAGGTCACTCACACACCCAATTCACACACCCATTTTATGAGGCCAGAATCAAGGCTGAAGCTAAAACCACATGGATTTGGAAATCTTAACAGAAGCACAATTCATTAATTTTATCATTGTCTTCCCTCACTGAACAAATTGACCAAGCTTGCACCATTCATCATGGCAGTTGACATCCACACTTCCTCTTTTTTCGATTTGCACTCCAGGGTCCTTGCCAGTGAATAACTAGCTCGTGGCATCACCAATCTTCTCTGCCTCCTCCCATGGGCCTTCCTCTTTGCTGACTGGTTACTGGTTTTAATTTTGAGGGTCTCATGATGCCTGGAGGGCAGTCCCTGATAGGAGTGGTGGGGGTAAAGAAGTAAGCCTGGGATGAGCTACTAACCAGGGCAGGTGCTTGTCTGTGCACCCACTGGGCGCCCACAGTGGCAGCTGAGGGAGGATGGGTGATGCCGTTGTGGGAAGATGGCAATGGCTTTTTAATAGCTGGGGGCACCCCTCATTCATCTGCACATGCTGAGTTTATTTTGCCATTTGTCAAATTCTGACTCTAGGGGACCTAGGTTTGGAGTGGTTCAGGCTTCAAGATTGATGACCCGAGTGGAATAACAAGTCCCCCTTCTCCTTTAAATAGGTGGCGCTGCCAAGAGGAAGCTCCATGGCCCGCTCATCTGTGAAAGGTCCATTTCTCTACCTCTGTAGAGGCTGGAGATGAAATATTTATTTGGGATCTCACCAATATGCCACAGCCTGCCTCCCTGCCCATGCTAGACAGTGAGAAAGCTTCTAAATGAGCATGAGGCTTAATGGCTTAACCCAGGTTCCACTTTGTTAAAGAGAGGAAAGGAAAAAAAAAAGGTTCCAGTCCTCCTCTATTTGGAGAATGGATATTCCTTGGGTAAAAGCAGCTCTTTACTGAGGCTCGTGTTCCTCTAGCTGCTGCAGACAGGCCTCGAACACACACAGACTCTAGTAGGACGCTGGAGGACTAGGGTGTTGAATGGAAGCAAGCCCAATTTTCTTAGGCAGGAAGGGACATTTCTTAGAATCTTTAATTCCCAGGGGTTATAAAATCTTAAAAATCCACCCAGTTCAAGCCCCTAATCCTTAAAACCCTGCCAGAACACGTCTGTCTATAATTGAATGCTTCCAGTGATGGCAAAATCAAGACTTCCTGAAGCAGATTATTCCTTATATGGAATAATCTATTGCAAGAATTTCTTAAATAGGATTGAAATCTGTCTGTCTGTAGCTTCTACCTACCCGGCCAAGACTACCCGGGAAACACACAGAATACATTCATTGCTCTTCTCCTTAATGCCTTTCGGTAAAAAGACAGTGATCTTGTCCTCTTTGAGGCTTCTTTCTTCCAAATCAAGTCCTCAGTGGGCTCTTTCATGCTAGGCACTGGGGATGTGAAAACAATGGTGTCCAGTGAGATATGAGGTCTGTGCCTCAGAAAACACACTTTCCTTTGCCATGCTGGTTGTTGAGGAGGACATCTGCCCATGCCTCTTCCAATGTTTCCGCCCCTCTGCACATTCCCCTCCTAACTCACCCCCAAGAGAGGACAGTTGCCACTTTATGATCCAGGACACTCACTGGGCCATGTTTTACTAACGAGGAAGTCCTCTGTGGGTGAAGAGTCCACAACATCTGTGTGATGTCCCCTTTGCTGTCTGGCTGCTGTGAAGTGAGGAGGCCAGGCAGGACTGGAGTCCTCAGGGAAGGCCCGACTAGGCTTTCTCTGTTCTACCCCTTCTGTGCTTGCAGCCCAGTCAACCCTATTTTGTTGACCCAGCTATCTTGGAATCGGGAGCCAGAGGCCCCACTCTGGCTCTCAGCATGTATGTATGTGTGTGTGTGTGTGTGTGTGTGTGTGTGTGTGTGTGTGTGTGTGTGTGCAGCCATGCTCCAGTGTGACTGTCAAGCACATTAAGGACTCATTCAGCTGTGAAAAGATATTCTTGTTTATCTTGCCAGTCATCTTTGGGAATAACTTCCTAGTTTGAAACTCCACAGTGCAGAGTAGATATTGAAGGGTAGGATTCAGGAATTTATGGGTTTATGACTTAATACCACCTGTGTAGCACCAAACCCCATCCTAATCTTCAGTTTCCCTGTGCCACTTGAAGTGTGACATGCAGAATTAAACGAAAACCTACCTTGAAAAATAAAGTTGTGCTCCCTGTTAAAAAAAAAATCCCATTTGTCAATTTTGGCTTTTGTTGCCATTGCTTTTGGTGTTTTAGTCGTGAAGTCTTTGCCCATGCCTATGTGCTGAATGGTATTGCCTAGGTTTTCTTCTAGGGTTTTTATGGTTTTAGGTCTTACGTTTAAGTCTTTAATCCATCTTGAGTTAATTTTTGTATAAGGTGTAAGGAAGGGACCCAGTTTCAGCTTTCTGCATATGGCTAGCCAGTTTTCCCAACACCATTTATTAAATAGGGAATCCTTTCCCCATTGCTTATTTTTGTCAGGTTTGTCAAAGATCAGATGGTTGTAGATGTGTAGTTATTTCTGAGGCCTCTGTTCTGTTCCATTGGTCTATATCTCTGTTTTGGTACCAGTACCATGCAGTTTTGATTACTGTAGCCATAAAAAAGGATGAGTTCGTGTCCTTTGCAGGGACCCGGATGAAGCTGGAAACCATCATTCTCAGTAAACTAACACAAGAACAGAAAACCAAACACCACATGTTCTCACTCATAAGTGGGAGTTGAATAATGAGAACACACGGACACGGGGGAGGGGAACATCACACACCGGGGCCTGTCAGGGGTGGGGGGCTGGGGGAGGGATAGCATTAGGAGAAATTCATAATGTAGATGATGGGCTGATGGGTGCAGCAAACCACCATGGCACGTATATACCTATGTAAGAAACCTGCATGTCCTACACATGTACCCCATAACTTAAAGTATGGTAATAAAAAAGAATCAGAGACATCAGAGAAAGAGGGAGCCCATGCCTTGTCTGGCAGAGACAGATGGGGAAGTGTTGTTGCACCCATTGGTGCCCCTCTTCCTTGCCCCAGAGGGAGCGGCTAAGGTGACTCATAAATGTGTGCTGGGTCTCCTCTCTATCTTGGCTGTTGATCTATGGGCAATGATGGGAAGCAGCTTAGAGAAAATGAACTGAATGTGTTTAAAGAAATAATGTCAAGAGGTACGCCCATTGAGGCTCATTTGAGGGATGAAGGATTTGACCAACCCCATTCCCAGGCGGCACAAAGCTTGTCAGTTCTGTGAATTTCTGGGAGTTTCTGGAACTATTGTTAATGTAATGACAGTGGCTTCTAATGCCAGAAAGGGTGAAAGTGAGCAATAGGTAAGAATGAAGAAGCAGATAAAGATTGCTGGATGGATACCAGCATTTCAGGTCTCTATGTGTTTGGCAGAAAATACAGCAATAGCTATTGAATTAAAAACGTATTACTCTTTGATCCAGCAATTCCTTTTTAAAGTATGTTTTTCACAGATATACTGGTACATGTGGGCAAATATGGATGTGCAGGGATAGTAATTGTAGCATTTTTGGTAACATCCAAGACAGGAAGCAACTTAAATTTCCATCAGTAGAGGATTGGTCACATAAAATATGATTCATCAAAAAGATGGACTAACATACAAACTTGAAAAAGAATGAGGTTCATCTAGTCGTGTTGATGAAACTATCTTTGAGACATATTAAGGAAAAAAAAAACTACAGACAGTGTGGTTCCATTTGTGCAAAATAAAATGGTCCATTCACAGACACAAGTGTCTATATATGTTTAGACTTTTTCTGGAAGGATACTCATAAAACTGGTAATACTGTTTACCTTAAGTTGGGAGTGGTGATGAGGGAATAAGGAATGGGGAGAGAGGAGGCTTTCTTTTTTTCATATGCCGTTTCATTATGTAAATGCATTATCATAAGCTGCGCTATATTTCCAACAAAAGTAGTTCATAATAAAAAGAAAGCATATGCCTTCTGCACGTCTGCTAGCTGCTGAGCTTCTCATTGCCCCAGATATTTATTGAACACCCATTGTTTGCAGGATATTCTGTTAGCCCACTTTGGGGAGGAAGTGGGAAAGCTATGGTTCATGCTTTCAGGAAATGTACTGTCCAGATGGAGAAAGAAATGTGTGCATGCAGTTATTCTACAAGTCTGAGCAGGGAAAATGGAATCTTGATTAGGGAACTGATGAAGATTTTATGAAGATGGCTTGTAAAATTTTGGTAGTGGAATTTTAAGCCTCACAAATGGATGAACGGGGCACAGAATTCCAGTTGGAGAGAAAAACATGAACTAAAGGTATGGAGTGGTAAATGAAAAGCCATGTGGTGTCACCTTAAGTGTACCTTCTCATCTACTTATGGTACTACCAGAAATACCACTTTCTTTTGGGTTAAGGTGTTGTTTGCTTTCAGGAGTCTTTGTGAGAATACAGATATCTGCTTTTGATTGAGATATAAGAGAATAGATTCAGGGAGGGTGCTAGTAAGCCAGTCCACCCCCCTCCAAAATAGTTTGAATTTGTAGCATTTGCCTATTTCCAAGGGGTAAATATTGCTCCCATGGCTGACTTCAAGCTACCAACACAGAATGGGAGTTGGGACGGGATGTGCATAAGGGTTCCTTTAAGCCCAAAAGAGCTCACTCCAGCCTGCCATGCCACAGGATGAATTAGAATCCCAGAGTCTTGGAAATAAAAGTGGCATTAAAGAGAGTTTAACATAAACCTTAGCTACACATGAAGAAATTAATGTGTTTGCACAACGTCTGAGGAAGTGGTAGAGTTGGAACATTATCTTCTAGTTCTTGGTTTAGTGAAGTTTCTACTTTTCCTTGGAAAGCACTCATGTAATGGAGGGAATGGAACATGGAGCAGTGTAGTTTTGGTAGAACAAAAAAGGTCATGAGGAGAAGCAGGAGCCTTTCTCAGAGAGAGCAGGGTGGGGTCCTAGAATAGAATAGGTCTTTGTCACCAGGAAGGTTCTGTGAGCTGGGGAGCTGGGGAGCAAGAGAAAGGACCACAGCAGGGAGGAGGGGGCACAGTCAGGAGAGGCCTTAGGGGAAGGGATTGGAAGACAAAATTTCCAGCTGCACAGTTTTGTTCAGGACTAATATTTCTTCCCAAAACAGGGATGTAATGAGCTGATCTGAAATATGGGAAAGAAAAACTGGGCAAGTCCCATCCATATCCTTGATGATCTGTGTGCACTTGGGGAAGTCAGTTCTCCTCTGTAAGCGTCAGAGCTTTCCTCCTTAAAGTGGGCCCCGGGAAAGGGGGCTAGTAGATGGCTTCCAAGAACCTTCCAGCGTGACAGTCTTTGTGGCTGTGAATCTGGTTTTTCAGTGAAGAAGTCCCAACAACCATTGCGGTAAGGAGTTGGGTAGAATGGGTGCAGCAAGTTGCATTGACTTATTTTTTACTTTATACCCAGTTTGGGGTAGACAAAGAGAAATCAGAGCAGCGGAAGGCAAAAGTGAGGTTTGTTTTTCAGTTTATGGTAGGGCCAGGAAGTAGAAAATGGATCAGGGAAGAACAGGACAGAGAATCCTCTTTGTTATGTCATGCATTTAAAAAATGTGACAGCCCATGCTGTTCTTCAGTGGAAAGCCATTGCCTTCAGTGCAAGGTCCAGGTTCCTTTGCACGGTCATAGAGCTCTCCATTTTCTGCCCTTGCCTACCTTCCCAGTCTCCTCTCCTGGGTCCCTGACTCCTACCTCCCTGTCACCTAACCAACACTAACCAAGCACACGTTGCTTCCTAACAGCCTGAAAGTTTGGGGGCGCCAGCCTTTGGACAGACCTCGACTTGGAATGTTTTTCCCAACTGTATCTGCTGGGCAAACTTCTATTCATTCTTCAAAATCCTGTTCTAGCACTTCAACATCTTTCTTAAGCCTTTCTTACATGACAGCCTCTTCCCTGACCTGCCTCCAGATGGAGAAAATCACTCGCTTCCTGAGCAGCTGCTTCTGTAGGCATGCCATTTTAATGGCAATACTGCAATTTCATTGCAAGTTCTGTTTTTATCTCCCCCATTTCCCTGTGAACTTCTCAAGGGCAGGAAACTTCTATCTTGGCTCCTGAGGATGAAATGAGCTGAATGGTGACTGGCTCCCAGATGCTGGCAGAATAAAGCAGAGAAGACTGCTCCTGTAGCAACCCCCGTCCCCACAGCTCCACCCTGGGAAAGATAGAGTAGGGCATGCCAGGTGATGCAAAGACTTTTATAAAGGCTGACTGGGAGTGCTGGTCTGCCAAGTTCCTCAAACCGTTTTTAGCTGAGCCCCTAAGGGAACTTGAGTGAAGCTCTGGGTGGGCAGGAGGGTTGCAATGCCATCGTAGAGTGAGGTAGTTGACAGTCCTGCCCATGGCGGCTCCATGCTGTGCTCCAGTAGAGTCTCTCCAACTCTCTGGAAATGAGGGTCTTTCCTGGGATCCCACACAAATTCGGCCCTCTGCTAAGGGCTGATGCAGATGCTGTGGTACATCACTCAGATACCCCTTCAACACAGAGAGACTTAATCCTAATGCCTCTTTTTTCCTCTCACAGGTGCTGATCTCCACACCAGGATCTAATCAACTGTTTGCATGCTAATCTCCAGCCCAGACTCAACCTATGAGGATGTCAGTCTGCTGCTAAGGGCTGCTAAGATTAGTGGACTGGTCAGAGTTGGTATACCCGGGTGATGATCTCTAGGGACAGTGGTAGGAACTGAGACTAAAGGCAGGAAGGTGATGTCAGCAGAGCAACCAAGAGAGTCACAGGGAGAACTGGGATCAACAGAGGTCATTAGAGTGCCGCACAGCCCTGGCCACCAAGCATCAGCCTGCCATGGCCATCTGAGATGCTTTTAGCTGTAGTGGGGAGGTGGTGGTGGGAGTGGGTCACCCTTCAGATATCACACTGTTGGGGGCTCGCACCAGCATGGATGTTGTGATGCATGTTGGCCTCGGTCATGGCCATACATTAGACTCACTTAAAAATACTGATTCCAGGACCATGCCTTGAGAGATACTGATGTAATTGATCTGTGGTAAGGCCTAGGTCTTGGTATGTTTTAAATGTTCACTGGGGATTTCTAACATGCAACTAGAATTGAGAACTACCGGTATGGTGAAAACATGATGAGTGCTGGAATCAGAGTTGGGTTTGAATCTGGTCCTATCAGTGACTGGGGAACTACAGGCTGTGATTAATTATTCTGAGCTTCCATTTCCTCATCTGTAAAAATCATGTAAATAATGTGTATTTCATAGAAATGTCATAAGGGTGACATGCTACTAGTAATAACACTGATGGTGATAACAGCTTTCAGTCCATGGAGCTTTTTGTGATCAACATTATTACTATTTGTGTTCAGACTTAGCTTTTTGTCCTTCCTTCTCCAGGGTGTAGCACCCTATGGTAGACTTGCCTTCCTTAGCCCCTACTCTACTGTGAGGGAGTCCTCTCTCCTTGCCCTGGTTTCAGCTACTCAGGGTTCAGCAAATTGGCTGCTGCAGCTCAGTGGAAAACCAGTGACTCTCTTGGGGTTGACCAGATGACCAAACATTGGCACCCATGATCACACTCTTGTTCATATCCAGAACAACTCATGCAGCAGCTCAGCCCTTCAGGATGACACTGGTCAGTGTGTGGCTGCTATGTGGAAAACCAGGCAGGGCAGGGGCTGCTCATTCACAGGGGCAGCAAGAAGGTTCAGGATGCTTAGAGGACTTCCTCAGAAATGTACCAGTTGCTGTGTGGCTTTGGACAAGTCCTTTTTCCTCTCTGTGCCTCAGTTTCTTGCTCTGTAAAACACAGATGGCTGATCTGGACAAACAACAATTCTATTCAGTTTGATGCTGCTGGTTCTGCCACTCCCCTTCTACCCCAGGAGATGCCTTGGGGGGCTGGCATCATCTCTGCCTTCTTCCACAGAGACTCTGATGCTACAGGGTGGGGCTCTGAGAAATGCCACTTCAGAGCAGGGCCCTGAGAGTCTGTTCTGGTCACTGCCCACACTGGCTTTCCTCACTCCTGCCCCCAAGGGTTATACGTTTCCCCATTTCTCCTCCTGCCACCTAGAACTTTAAATAGCCTCCAGCACACTATGTGGCTGCCAGAAGTTGTAATTAAATAATGTCCAGCTGTCAGAAAAGCTGTTATAAATGGTCCTTTTGTCTGCACCACTGTCTGGGAAACCAGGAAGGAGAGAAACTAGGGGGTTATAAATATGAAGGGCAGAAGTTCAGTGGGGAGTCCGGGGAAAGCAGCTTTTAGGGACCCTGAAAACACTGGAGGAATTAAAAGAAAAAGTGTAATTAGTCTATGGCAGAGGCCCCAGCTCTGGCTCTGTGACTGGATTTGCACATTGGGTAGCCTGAAAATAATTTGGGAAGCTAATGTCTTTATCTGGAGCTGCAATTAACATCTCCTTTTAAAATCCAGACAGGAAAGCAAAAAGGGCACAATGAGTGCTGGCAATCCAGAGAAAGTTCTCGGATCAACTTTCATTATTTTTCACCTCCTTTTCTTCCTTCCTTTAGTCCTTCCTTCCTCTCTTTCAACAAACACACTTGAATCCCTGCCCTTACTAGCCCTTCTACCTCTAGAGTTCCTGCACTTCACCTTCTACCCCCACAGCCACCTTTGTTGGTGCCATACCTGACCCTGTCTCCTAGGGGCGGGCCAGGATCTCAGTCCTCTCTCCATCAAAATATGCCCAACCTGGGAGCCACTTGCACCTTCTTTTTGTGCTGCAGAATCTGTCAGTGGATCTCTTGGAGTGCCCAGAGATTTTTCACTAAATGAGGAATAGGGAGAGGAAATGCACATTTATTAACCATGTATTAAGTATTAAATAATTTACACACATTATTCCACTTAAATTTCCCAACACTCCTAGGAGAAAATTATTATGAAGCCCAGTATTGTAAATGAGGAAACTGAGGCTCTTTGAGATGAAACAACTTTTCCAAGTTACACAGCCAGTAATTAAAGGACTGGAGATTAGAAAACTCAGTCTCTAAACTCCATGAGGGCAGAGGCTGTGTCTGTTTTGTGCATTGTCTTGCTAGGGCACTGCATGGTGCCTGGCACATAGAGACCTTGAGAAATATTCAGAGAAGAAAGAAAGGAAACAGAAGAAGGAGAAAAATGGAAAACAACTCAGCTCTGTCAGATGCCAAAGCCAGTGATCTTTCTATCGTGGCATATAGTCTCTGTAGAGTACAGACAGGCAGTTATGAATTAGAGAGATGTACATAATAGTTGGGGGAAAGTGATTGTTAAAATGTGTGCAAAAATAACATGATTAGAAAGCAGAAGATTGGTTTCAAGGATCATTGGGGAGGTGGAGTGAGAGTGCCGTGGGGGTTCAGAGGATGGAGGGATTGATTGCAGCTACAGGAATGGGCAGACTTCATGAGGGAGGCAGAGTTTGAGCCTCGAAGGATGAGTAGGATTTGGACACAGAGAGATGGTGGTCAGGGAAGGTTGAGAAAACAGAAGGGATGGGGAGAAACATAAATTATCTGTCTGGAAGGGGATAGACCAGTAGTTAGGCATTTGAGTCTCCATGGTGTCCTTGCGTGGCTATTAGGGATGAATCTGGCTGTGAAGTCCTCCATCTGGGCATTCTGAGACATTCACTGACAGATTCTACAACACAGAAAATGTGTGGGTGACTCCCAGGATGTGCATATTTTGCTAGGGAGAGGACTTAGATCCTGGCCTGCCCCTAGGAGACCCGGTCAGGCGCAGCGCCAACAAAAATGGCTGTAGGGGTGGAAGGTGAAGCGCAGGGACTCTGGAGAGAGAGGGGCTAGTAAGGGCAAGGGCTTTGACTTCACTTCTGCTCCTCCTGTGTTCCTCAGCATTCTTCAACCTGCCACTCAGCCAACCAGGGCACCTGACTAGTGCCCAGGGACAATGAAGGGTTGTTGAGGCTGTTGTTGAACTATTTGTTTTTGTTGTTGTTGTTTTTGTTGTTTTGCTGTGCTGGACATGCTCTGAGAGCAGCAGGAACACAGATCATGGAAGAAATAGCCCAATGGTTTGGGGGATTATTAAATAATCATAGCCAGGGCACTTTACCTTTATGGACAGGCTGCCTGGCAGCATCCTCAAAGGCCAGATGGGAACTCATACGACCATTTTAAGAGACGTGAATGCTCATAATGAGAAGGTCTGCAGTAGAATGATTCAAGGTTACTCTATAAGAGCCCTCTGTACCAAAACGCAGGAGCCCAGTCATCCCTTTCTGGGGCTGAGGCAAACTCTTGACCACCACAAAACTTTGGCTGTTTCGTTGGTGGGGAGACCTTAAAGCCAGCTTTAGAGCAGGTGTTATAGACACTTCTCCACATGAGGGATTCCAGGACAGGATGGATACCAGGCATGAGTGGGGATTCTGAATGTAATATATTTGCCATCAGGGCTAGGCAGGTGTCCTGCTACCTGGACAGGCAGCCTTGAGCACATCTCTAAATTCTTCTGGGCCCTGGTTTTCTATTCACAAACATTGATTCAAGAAGTTCCTTGTGAGGACCTGCTGTATGCCAGGTAGGCTCTGGGGGCAGGCAGCAAACAAAAGTCCATGATCTCTGTCCTCATGGAGCTTCTAGTCTAGTGGAAATAAGCAAGTAATCACACAAATGCACACATTATTGCAGTTTGCAATAAATGATATGATGGGAAAAAACAAGGTGCTATGGGAGAAACTTTTAGGGAGGGGAATAAGGGAAGACCTCTTTGAGGAAGCGACTTATAGCTGATACCTGAAGGGTAAGTTATCTGAGTCATATTCAGAGGAAGAGCTCTTTCAAAGGCCCTGTGGATGGGAAAAGATTTGTATACTTGAGGAGCTGCAGTTAAGCCTGCATGGCCAGAAACAGTGATCAAGGTGCAAAATGGAGTGGCATGAGGCTGGGGTGGAGGACAAGAGAAGGGCCAGTGATGCATCAGCCCATCGATCAGAAGGATTCGGGACTTACCCCCGTGATTGTTGGGAGACCATCGCTCAATTTTAAACAGGAGTGTAATGATTGGATTCACATGCTAAAAATAAAATAAACAATAAGAGATGGAAAAACAACAACCAAGCTTCAAAAATACTTGAGCCTCTGTACAGGGGAAAACAAAGATTTGAACAAGTATTTTCATGTTGCAGAATCTACCCCATGGGAATAATCTGCTAGCAGAACAAAGAATTATGTATGAAAGTATCCATTATAGTTAAAAAGACCAAAACCATTCTGGCTGCTGTGTGAAGGGAATAAACACTAATAAGTCTTGCCTGCTTCGGAATCAAATGAGAGAAAACTATGAAAGGGCTTTGTAAGTGGTAATATGGGTACACGTTTGAGAGGGACCCAAAATCTCCCCATCCTCCAACTCTCCATCCTCCCCCAATAAAATGCTGATTATCCCAGGAGTTTAAGGCTTTAAATCTATTAAAGGGGAAATGTCCCAGGGAGGCTCACTCTTTGAGCTAAGCAAGACAAAGGCAGAGCCTCAGCCCCAAAGGGACTAGAAGCAGTGATTCTCAACCCTGGCTGTACACTAGAGATACCTGGTATGGAGCTAGCCTTGAAAATGGCCCCCAAAGAACCTTACTCCCTTGTGTACCAGCCCTTGTGTAGTCCCTCCTATACTGAATATGACTATCCTATGTAACCAAGAGGACATTGTGGAAATGATGGAGTGTGACTTTCAAGGCTGGGCCATAAAACACACCGTGGCTCTGTCTTTCTGTCTCTTTCTTGGATTATTTGCTGTGGAAAAAGCCAGCAGCCATGTTGTCAGGATGCTCAATCAACCTTGTGGAGGGGTCCATGTGGCAAGTAACTGAGGTCTCCTAACAACAGCCATATGAAAGAACCTTGTGGAAAGAGATCTTCCAGCCTCCAGCTGACATCTTACCTGCAACCTCATAGGATACCCTGAGCCTAAACTACCTAGCTACACCATTCTCTAGCTTCCTGATCCACAGAGATGGTGAGACAACACATACGTTTTGTTTTAAGTCATTTTTTTGGAGTAATTTGCTATATAGTATTAGATAACCAATGCTCCTGGGGAGCTTTAAAAAATCTATGCACAAGTCATATCCCCAGAAATTCTGATTCATTTGGTCTGGGGTGAAGTCTAGGCGTTGGTATGTTTAAAAGCCCTCAGATGACTCTAATGTGCATCCAGGATTGAGAACCACTGCATTAGAGAATCGAGTGAGTAAGTCAACAAAGCAGGGATTAGGTATAGGGTATTGCCTCAATTTCCAGGGCTAAAACTTGGTTTACGCTGTGAGTTCTACTCTGGGATAAGTCTAAAGCCTAGTGTGGATCAGAGCCCAGGGTCACAGTGGGCTGATAGTCAGTTGTCTCAGTGTCCACAGTTTCTGTGGATCCCTAAATTTCCCTTAGGACACAGGGAAGGAAATCAAGTGGCCTCATTGGAGGGAAGAAGAGAGGTCCAGAGCCAGTCAGGTAAATCCACTTTCCACAGTCCATAGCTTTGACCCATGAACCCTCCCTGCAGTCCTCCACCTTTGGAATGCAGGTGTGCCGGATGCCCACTTCTCCACTGACGGACAGCCCTCTACCTTCCTCCCACCCACCATTGTTTTCTGTCCAGACCACGTTCCTGTCTCTGAATGTTCTCTTTGTAACTTATGAGCAATGATGACAGCTGATTCTGAAAACCTTTGTCTGTCCTCAAATTTCCATGACTAATGAGACACTGTTCCCATCTCTGCACAATAACTCAGGGGGCTCGGCTGTCTCTTTGTACTCCCTCATGTTATCATCCTGATGAAACCTGCAATAAAGTAATTAAAGTGATTAGAAAGGGAGTCCTAGCAGATGAAGATGCTGAGGAGATGGTCAGATATTGTGAGCTCACCCAGGTGATCTCAGCCCTGTGTGTCAGGGTAAGGTGTCTGGTCTCCTGGAACTCTCTTGTGAATGGATGCTAGTACCAACTTGCATCTGTGGGGTACCAATGATTTCAGAAGCATTTTAGACATTTTTTTTTTAGCACTTGTAACATGGTAGGTGTAGAAGATACAGAATTTAATAAAACCCTCTTCTTGTTCTCAAGGAGCTTTTGGCTTAGTAGAGACAAATAAGAGATAAGATAAGACTATGATGAATACTTTCCTTGGGGGCTGAGAGAGCACAGAGGAGAAGTACCTTGTTCAGCCTAGGTAGTTTTTTGTTTTGTTTTGTTTTGTCTTTTTTTGTTTTTTTGAGACAGAGTCTCGCTCTGTCGCCCAGGCTGGAGTGCAGTGGCGTGATCTCGGCTCACTGCAAGCTCCATCTCCTGGGTTCACGCCATTCTCCTGCCTCAGCCTCCCGAGTAGCTGGGACTACAGGCGCCTGCCACCATGCCCAGCTAATTGTTTGTATTTTTAGTAGAGACGGGGTTTCACTGTGTTAGCCAGGATGGTCTCGATCTCCTGACCTCGTGATCTGCCCACCTCGGCCTCCCAAAGTGCTGGGATTAGAGGTATGAGCCACCGCCCCCAGCCCAGCCTAGGTAGTTTTGAACAAAATGAGATCTGAGGCATTTTGTTGCCTGAGCAAAGACAGAGAGGGGCATATGAGAGAAACAGTAGGTATAATGTACAGATATAAGAGCATAGGGCTTTCCAGGGAATCATAAGCAACCCCTTGTATGTCTAAATATGTTCCTAGAAACCATGGCTAAGGGGGGTGGCCCAGTGGCAATTGGTGAAAAGCAACCTGCTTAAGTTGAACACCAGCCTGTGCACAAAAGGGATCCAGTGCACAGGAATCACTACCTTCAAAATACATCCTTCACCCAACCAAACACCATATCCAGATCCTACTCATTTCACAGACTATAGAACCCTTCCCTTTTGTTGTACTAGCCTAGTGTTTTCTCCAGTCCCATCCCCAGAACCAGGGCTTTGATTTTCATTCTTCTTGGCTGCATGACCCACTGAAACCCTGGCTCCTCGCTGGTCTTGTCCTCTTGTCTCCTGCTTAGGCCATGTTAAAACTGGCCTCCATTACCTTTCTGACTCTCACCTGGGCCTCAGTGCCTTCTCTTATGAACTGCATCCACAGGCAGTCTTAACACCTTCAAGGGTTTTATGGGACCAGGAGTTGGAAGGAGGAGGGCTGGGAAGGTAGAAACCCAAATGCTCGATGGGACTCCTGGGGGGAAAATCTAGAAGGGGCAGAGGCATCAAGAGTAGGGCACCAAGGATGCAGAATGAAGGAAATAAAGTTGGGGGAATACAGCGTTAAAAACTGGTTACATAGGTAAGGGGCTCCTGGATACCCTACTTCACGTCACTGACCCTACGATAGGAGTCATAATTGTCAATGCCTTCATCTAGATGTAGGGCTGGGAATAATAATGTAAATGTCAAGTGGTCAGTGAAGCAATGCAGGGTGCTGGGGCCACAGCAACCTGGAAAGCCCATGGTCCATCTAATTGTGAATGCAGCTACTCAGTTCCAACCTGCAGCTGCCATGTGGAAATGCGGTCCAGTGTAACCAGACATTGTAACTTCTCAAGATAAGCCAATAATCTGTATTTTAATGGAAAATAGTTGGCAGTTCAAATAAAAACAAACGATTAAAAAACTGTACATAGATTAGATGAAGGCAGTATGGTTTTTGAATTTCATTCTCTACATAAAAACAAACAGAGCAACTAGAGACCAAAGCTCCTAAACCCATGGACATTTATTAAATGTCCATGCACATTGGGTAATGAGGTAAAGCACACTGGGTAATGAGGTATCCCCATGGACCCTAAATATAAGCAGGTGAGGACAAACCACTAAAGACCACAAGCCCTGCCTGGTCTCAGCATCTATGTGAGAGGATGCAGAGGGGGGCAGCAAGGTATCTGACAGATCTGAGAAAAAGAGAATCCCCAAGTAGCCAGCATGTCCTCACTGGAAAGCACAGGGGGCAATTTGATAACATTAGGTAAAACTGGGAAGGGGTCTGCCCACTCCATTCGTGGGTCTGTGGCAACGTCTAAAAGGATGAAACAGTCCAGACCCTATAAATGTTTAAAATTGACCAACCAGGAGTACCCCATCCAGAGTCCACATACTGATGAGAAACTGCAAGGTGTGGAATCAAAGTTGAGTACAATAGGGATGATAGAATCAGAAGAAAGAGGTCAGGAGTGGTGGCTCACGCCTGTAATCCCAGCACTTTGAGAGGTCGAGGCGGGCAGATCACTTGAGCTCAGGAGTTTGAGAACAGCCTGGCCATGATGAAACCCTGTCTCTACTAAAAATACAAAAATTACCCAGGCATGGTGGCACACACCTGTAATCCCAGCTACTCAGGGGGGCTGAGGCACGAGAATCACTTGAACCTGGGAGGCGGAGGTCGCCGTGAGCTGAGATCGTAGCACTGTACTCCAGCCTGGGTGACAGAGTCATATAAAAACTGGGTAGAGGAAGAGAGTCAGGAAATCTCAGAAGAAAAGATACCATATTTTAGAGTATTGCACAAAAGCAACAAAAGAAGGAGCTCTGTGAAGTTAGAAAAGCTAACCTGAACCAGGTCTCCTTCACAAATCCCAGGAAAACTATGATTGCGTTAAAATAAACATCATAAAAATATTGAGGGCAAAACCCACACAAAATCATCATAAGAACGAAGAGAATAAGGTACAGACAACTTCTCTATAGACAGTGAAAGTATACCAGTAAGATATGCCCACGAAAGAGTATAACTATAATGCACTATATTCCAAAATAACTGAAAAGACATTAAGAAAATGATGCAAGGACAACACAAATGAGAATGTAAAAAATACTCAAAGACTTATGGCAAATCACAGGCAAGAATGAGAAACAAAAGAAAGAAGTCACTTCAGAAATGAAGACCAAACTAGAAGGATCACAAGAGTAAATTAATACAATTGACCCTTGAACAACATGAGGTTGAGCTGCGTGGGTCCAGTAATACGTAGATTTTCTTCTGCCTCTGCCACCCCTGAGACAGCAAGACCTCCTCTTCCTCCTCCTCCACAGTCTACTCAACGTGAAGACAACAAGACTGAAGACTTTTATAATGGCCAGGTGTGGCGGCTCATGCCCATAATCCTAGCACTTTGGGAGGCCCAGGTGGGAGGATTGCTTGGGCTCAGGATTTCGAGACCAGCCTTGGGAACATAATGAGACCTCGTCTCTACAAAAAGTACAAAAATTGGCTGGGCATGGTGGCATATACATGTAGTCCCAGCTACTCGGGAGACTCAGTGGGAGGATCCCTTTGGGAGGATCGCTTGAGCCCAGGAGGTCGAAGCTGCTGTGAGCCATGATCCCTACACTGCCTTCCAGCCTGGGCAAAAAAGACTTCATGATGATTCACCTCCACTTAATGAATAGGAAATATATTTCCTCTTCCTTAGGACTTTTTTAACAACCTTTTCTCTAGCTTACTTTATTATAAGAGTACAGTATATAATGCATATAACATACAAACCGTATTCATCAACTGTTCATGTTGTCAGCAAGTCTTCTGGCTAACAGTAGACTATTCCTAGTTAAGTTTTGGGGAGTCCATTAAAAAGTGGGCAAAGGACATGAACAGACACTTTTCAAAAGAAGATATACACGTGACCAACAAGCATATGAAAAAAAGCTCAACATCTCTGACCATCAGAGAAATGCAAATCAAAGCCGCAATGAGATACCATCTCACACCAGTTAGAATGGCTATGATAAGAAGTCAAAAAATAACTGATGTTGGCAAGGTTGCAGAGACAAAGGAACACTTACGCACCGTTGGTGGGAGTGTAAACTAGCTCAACCATTGTGGAAAACGGTGTGGTGATTCCTCAAAGACCTAAAAACAGAACTACCATTCAACCCAGCAATCCCATTACTGAGTATATAGCCAAAAGAATAGAAATCGTTCTATCATAAAGACATGCACATGTATGTTCACTGAAGCACTAGTAACCATAGCAAATACATGGAATCAACCTAAATGCCCATCAATAGTAGACTGGATAAAGAAAATGTGCTACATATATACCATGGAATATTATGTAGCCATTAAAAAAATGAGATCATGTCCTTTGCAGGAACATGGATGGAGCTGGAGGCCATCATCCTTAGCAAACTAACACAGGAACAGAAAACCAAATACCACATGTTCTTACTTATAAGTGGGAGCTAAATGATGAGAACACATGGACACACAGAGGTGAACGCTAGACACTGGGCCTGTCATTGAGTGGAAGTTTGGAGGAGGGAGAGGATCAGGAAAAAATAACCAGTGGGTATTAGGCTTAATACCTTGATGACCGGCCAGGCACAGTGGCTCACGCCTGTAATCCCAGCACTTTGGGAGGCCAAGGCGGGTGGATCTCTTGAGGTCAGGAGTTCAAGACCAGCCTGGCCAACATGGTGAAACCCCGTCTAAAATACAAAAATTAGTGGGGCGTGGTGGTGTGTGCCTGTAGTCCCAGCTACTTGGGAGGCTGAGACAGGAGAATCGCTTGAACTTGGAGGCAGAGGTTGCAGTGAGCGTAGATCGTGCCAGTGCACTCCAGCCTGGGTGACAGAGCAGGATTTTTGTTTGTTTCAAAAAACAAAACAAAACAAAAACAAAAAAACCCCTAGGTGACGAAATAATCTGTACAAAAAATCTCCATGACACAAGTTTACCCACATAACAAACCTGCACATGTACTCCTGAACATAAAAGTTAAAAAAACAATGGCTTAGGGAGTCAAAAAGTATATGCAGATTTCCACTACATGAGGTGGGGGTGGGGCACAGAGAAACAATAGGTAAGAGAAACAGAAGGTAAAAAGGAGAAAATTTTTAAAAATCAAAAAGAAGTAAGCCGGACAGGGTGGTAAGCACTATAGTCCCTGAGGCAGAAGGCTTGTCAGTATCCAAGAGTTCAAGACCAGCCTGGGCAACATTACGAGACCTCCTCTCAAAAAATAAATAAATAAATAATAAATAAATAAAATAAATAGAACAAAAAGACAAATGGTATTTGAGAGAAAATGAAAATACTGAACAGTGGCATAGAATATCTATTACATAATAATAGAAGTCCCTGAAAAAGAAAACCAAAGTAAGGAAATGGAGCAAATACTAGACATTATAATTCAAGGCTTTCCTGAAATAATGATATAGATAATAACAAATCTAAATCTGCATATAGAAAGAACACAAACACAGTGTACCTGAAAAATTGTGCTTGAGTGACCAACACCAAAATATATTCTGGTAAAATTACTGCACTTTAAGAAGAAAAAATTATTTAGGCATCTAGCCAAAAAAGGAAATAGCTTATAAAGGAAAGGAAAATTAGGTTATTACCAGACTTTTTGACAACAATGCTTTATGCTAGCAGGAAACAAAGTAATATTTTTAAGATACTTAAAGAAAGAAAATACAATGCAAGGATTTTTTATCCAGAAAAACTGACTTTTATGTACAAAGGACATAGGTAACTCATCGATATACAAGAACTCAAGACAATGAGCACTTCTTGAGGGATTTACTAGAGAATAAGCTTCAGATAAGCAAAATAACCAAAGAGCCATTGATAGTAAAGGTTTGGCAGTGAGCGTTAAATGCATAGCCTTATGAAACTAAGACCAAATGAAGGTTAGAACGGAGAGTAAGGTATGCAATGGCTATCTGATTTGAAAATGTAGATATAATACAACTACAAAAGTTCAGAGGACAATGTGGAGAATATATGCAGATTTTTTTCTAATTTTTTCCAGTAGTCATATTTGTGGTGGTAGTATTTATATTGTCTTTCTGAGACTGTTGAGTAGGTAATGTGAGATAAAACAAATGATTAATCATAGGATATTCTAATCTTATCTCCTAAGTACTCAAGAAACCAGGACACTCATTTTGAAGGGACAGAGATACAGACATACTAGGAAAGAGATAGAGTAAAACCTGGTAGTTCTGAATTCAAATTAGAAGTATCAGTATGAATACAGTGTATAAATTTTCTAGCTCTGTTTGCTGAAAAGGCCTAGAAATAATGACTGAACTACTAGCAGTGAACATCCCTGGTACACAGATTTTGGTATTGAAGTACCATTTCCCACTAGAGGGAATCAGGACTTCTTGAGACATGGCAGATTTCAGGTCTGAGGCCAGAAATGCACAATAAGTCTGGGATATCTTGTCATAGTAAATAGCAAAGAAATCACCAAAAACCACCATAATCTAAAGGATACAGGTACCAACTGAAAAAGCATCCACTAGCCAAAGATGAGTCCATTTGAGTATCAATAAGAATAACAATTAAAATGAATTAAAATGCATCACACATATTAATATTTAAATACATGCATTCATAATTACCCAGGCCCTCCTACCCCCACTGCCGCCATACAAATATATGTCAGCTTGGAGAATGAGGGAGCCAGTCATTATCTTGAAATCTGGTAAATAAAGGGGACGGATCAAGCATTTATTCTGCCTTTCCTGTATGAATGATAGGGGAAATGTCTCTTTATAGAAGCAGTTCTACTAATAAATTAAAAAACAAACCAGACTGAATTAGGATCCACCATTTATATCTCCTAACAAATTATTGAATCTAGGCACTGAGCATCCATGGCTGCTAACAGCATGAAAGGAAAATGAACATTAGTTGCCTCCTGATGTACCACTTGTGGTCTGGCCAAAGTGGTCAAACCTGAGTCTGATCAGACCTCTAGACCCAGCAGCCCATTTGCGGGAAATACAGATGACAAGGGAATGTGCTGAGCTGCACCACAAGTCAGCAATTAGCAAAACCCGGGAGAAATCAGGTCAGATGACTCAGGTTCCTCAACAGATAAATTGTGAAGAAAAATAAAGAGAAAGGAATGATAGTGAGACTGCTTTTGCAAAGATGATGACAGTGAGAAAAACCTAGCATGGCTGACTCCATCTTGCTTCTAACCTCACAATCTGGCTGTCTTCACTCATGCCTGGGCATAGGCCAGGCTATTTAGTTTATAGTTTAACCTTGAAGCAAGGATGATAATAGCCCCTCTCTAAAACTGATCCCTTCCCTGTTTGGACACTGAAACTGCCTTTGTAAGACTAATGAAAGGCCACAGGCTTAGGATTCTGAATTAGGGGCCTGAATTCTGCTAAAATGTAGGTATAGTTTCTATAAACTCTTGCTGCTCAGGAGTTATGTGGCCAGAGGTCACAAGATTTGTGGCTTCCTCAATTGTTTCTATAGATAAGATCACCATTACAGAACTGAAGATTGGTCATTTGAGATGTTTTTCAGACTTTTGCATTCTGGCAACTGACTGAACCCACCCAGACTTGTGACTCATGGCTCAACTGGTCCTGTGGCCTCCACCCAGAGAACGACTCAGCATATGAGGACCGTTTTCCACACCCCAATGATTTCATCCCCAACCAATCAGCAGCACCCATTTCCTAGCCCTCTGTCCACCAAATTATCCATAAAAACCCAGCCTTTGAGTCTCAGGGAGACTGACTTGAGTGACAGTGTCAGTCCTTTCACTCAGCTGCTCTGCATTAATTAAACCCTTTCTTTACCGCAATACCACAGTCTCAGTGACTTGGTTATTTTCTGTACGAGGGTGATAGGGAGGGGAGCACTAAGAACCTGCTGGGTGATCACAATAGCAACCTATAAGGAACATGCAATGCCTTAAAACACATTCCAACTTCTTTTTTTTTTTTTTTTTTTTTTTTTTTTTTGAGACGGAGTCTCGCTCTGTCGCCCAGGCTGGAGTGCAGTGGCGCGATCTCGGCTCACTGCAAGCTCCGCCTCCCAGGTTCATGCCATTCTCCTGCCTCAGCCTCCCGAGTAGCTGGGACTACAGGCGCCCGCTACCACGCCCGGCTAATTTTTTGTATTTTTAGTAGAGACGGGGTTTCACCGTGTTAGCCAGGATGGTCTCGATCTCCTGACCTCGTGATCTGCCCGCCTCGGCCTCCCAAAGTGCTGGGATTACAGGCGTGAGCCACCGCGCCCGGCCCCAACTTCTTTTGAGACAGGATCTCAGGCTAGAATGCAGTGGCAAGATCATAGCTCACTGCAACCTTGAACTCTTAGGCTCAAGCAATCCTCCTGCCTCAGCCTCCCAAGGAGCTGGGACCACAACATACCAACATTTTTAAATGGGCAAGACTAAACTATAGTCACTATGCACACTTGAGTGATAAAACTATAAAGAAAACACAAAGAACTGTTTACTATAAACATCATTATATAGTTAATGCTATTTCTTTTATATTAAAATGGAAAGATTTTTTTAAAACCCACATATATATCCAGGCTGAAGAAAACATATCTGTCAGGCCACCTTGATCAATAACACCTCCAGGTTTAAGGGCCAGGTGTGGTGGCTCATGCCGGTAATCCCAGCACTCTGGGAGGCTGAGGTGGGCAGATCACTTGAGGTCAGGAGCTCAAGACCAGCCTGACAGTGAAACCTCGTCTCTACTAAAAATACAAACATTAGCTGGGTGTGGTGGCACACACCTGTAGTCCCAGCTACTTGGGAGGCTGAGGCACAAGAATCGCGTGAACCCAGGATGCGGAGGTTGCAGTGAGCCGAGATCACACCACTGCACTCCAGCCTGGGTGAGACCCCATGCCAAAAAAACAAAAACAAACCCAAAAAACTTCCAGATTTAAATTCTGCATGGAGGATCAAGCTTTGGATATCATATGGACTCCCACCTTCCTGTTCCCTCTGGCCTCTAGACATTTGAAGAGATTATCCAATGACTAGGTTGAAGTCATGAGAGTAAACTACAGGCTTTTATTAGGCAACCAAGAAAGAGCTAAGTAATAAAATATAACTTGTCCCTGAGTAGAGGTCTCCTTGTATTTGACATTTCTATTTTATTTCTAACCAGAAGCCCTCTGGGGTCATACAGAGTCTCAGAAAATGTCATGAGCAATGTATATTTATGATGGGGGCTCCATAGTTTTAGGCAAATTCTACTTTAACGATACCCAATATGCAAAATTTCAGGGTAATTGTGATATTTTCACCACAAAAAGACTCTTCCCTTTAAAGAAGGGTTCAGCTTCAAGCTTCCTTTAAATAGTAGCTTGGAGGATAAGGTAAGCATTTGTTTACAGAACAGTAATTGCTTCACAGGATGGAGGGAAGTGTGAGCTGTTCAATGATTGTGCAAGCCCATGGGACAACAAAGCTTCGTTACATAGACAGTCCAAGGTTGGGAGGGCCATGATGTGCATAATGAAGCAAAGAGTTGAAGAACATCAATCACTTCACACTCTCCAGGACCAACTTGCAAATTTTCTTCTTTATAAGCTGGAATCTTCACATAGTAAGACAAAGCATGTGCTAAGAAAATCAGTTCAGAATTTCTGAATCATTTTGTTGAACACATTGAGCTACCCATTTGTCTCGGTGATTATTTGAATTAGTCATAAAAGCAGTTTTTGATACCTTGGGGTTTCTTAACATCTGAGTTTCCTTCCTATGTTTCCTCTGTGATATGAATTTTTGTGAGAAGAGACTATTCTTCACTATAAAAGCTGAACAGGACAATTACTCATTTTCCCAGGCTCCTTTGTCGTTAGAGAGCAGGCACATGAGGCACATGACCTGGCCCAACCAATCAGAAGCACTCACTTCAGCCTCTGGGGTTCTGGGGTGGAGAAATAATGATGGCAGGGGAACCTTTTTTTTTTTTTTTTTTTGAGACAGGGTCTTGCTCTGTTACACAGGCCAGTGGCACAATCATGGCTCCCTGCAGCCTCAACTTTCTGGTGCTCAAAAAATCCTCCCACATCAGCCTCCCAAGTAGCTGGGACTATAGGCATTTGCCACAATGCCCAGCTAATTTTTGTATTTTTAGTAGAGAAGAGGTCTCGCTATGTTGCCCAGGCTGGTCTCAAAATCCTGGGCTCAGGTAATCTTGCCTCCTTGGCCTCCCAAAGTGCTGGGATTCCAGGCATGAGCCATCACACCCGGCCAATGGTGGGGAATTCTTGCAGTGCTGTGGCACTGTGTCAGCCTTGTGTGTGACTTTCAATTTAGACACCTGGCTGATACCATGATCTAAGTCAATGTCATAATAAGCCACTCGGAGTGAAAGGGGACAAGGCCTCAAAGAAGATAGTCTTAAACTGTCTTAACTTAAACTGGTCTTAAAAAGAAAATAAGAGGAATATTTTCATTTTGGACGGGGGGAGGAGTGAAGGCTGGGAAGAAGAAAGAAAAGACTGTATGGAGTGAAACAGTGTAGGGGGAAGGGCCTGTGAGAATTCCCTGAGAGGACTTAAGAGCATGTTAAGAATAGGGATATCATAGGGGTTCCATGCAAAGTTGTTTTAAGTGCTGTAGTGTAAATTACCCCCCTCTATTCCCTGCTTCTTCAGCTCCCCAAGATGTCTAAAGTGTACTCCATACTCATTGGTGCTTTATTTGAGTGGGGTTTCAGGCATGTTGAAATCAAGGAGAGGCTGAGTTTCACAAATGTGTCATCTGAAGTCAGACAGAGGAGAGAGAAGAAAAACCAGAAGCCCAGAGCCAAAGGAGAACTGAAGACAATTGATGAACACTGGACATTTGTAAACATCTTCGGGAGGGGATTCTACAGAATAATAAAGATGATTCAACATGTTACAAGACCTTGGCTGGCCTCTGCACCCACTCTGGAGCAATGGAGGAAGCATCGGCTCCAGTCTGCCAGGCAAGGACAAGGCAGAGGGTGATGAACTCCTGAGATGCGAGCGTGCATGCAAGTCAAAGGTGACCTGGTAAAGGCAATGTGGCTTTATAGAGCAGGACGACTGTATTCGGGGAGGCTTTAGGCTTCTTATTTTTAAACAGATATTTTGAGGTATAATTTACATGCCATAAACTTCACCCCTTGTAAATGCACAGTTCAATGATTTTTGCATAGTGCAATCATCATAATCCAGCCTTAGAACATTTCCGTCCCCTCAAAATGCTCTCTTGTGCCCATTTGCGGTCAATCCACATTTCCACCCCCAGCCTTAGGCAAACACTGACCAGCTAGCTGTCTCTGTAAATTTACCTTTTCTAGAAATGCCATACACATGAAAGTCTTTTGGATCTGGCCTCTTTTCCTTAGCCTGACGTTTTCGAGGTTGGATGTAGCATGTACCAGTGCTTCACTCTTTTTATTGCTGGATACTGTTCCATTACATGTATACACCATGTTTTGTTTATTAAACAGCTGACAATTGGATTATTTCCACATTTTGATTATTAAGCATAGTGCTGTTATAAACAATTGCATACAAGTCTTTGTAGACATATGTTTTCATTTCTCTTGGGTAGATACCTAGAAATTGCTGGGTCACATGGTAACTGTGTTTAAACTTCCGAGGAAGTGCCAAATTTTTATGTAAAGTGGCAGTGCCACTTCACATTTCCACCAGCAAAGAAAGAGGGTTCCAATTTCTTCATATCCTCATCAACACGAAGTATATCGTTGGTCTTTCTGATTAGAACCATTTTAGTAGATGTGTAGTGATATCTCACTGTAGTTTCAATCTGCACTTCCCTAATGACTAATGATGTGGAATATATTTTCATATACTTATTAACTATTCATGTATTTTCTCGGGTGAAATGTGTACTCAAATCTTTTACTCATTTAAAAAAGTAGGTCGTTTGTTTTCTTGTAATCGAGTTATAAGAGTTCTTCACATATTCTGGATACAAGTGCTTTATATTACTTTCAAATATTTATATTATTTGCAATATTTTTATTACTTGCAAATATTTCTTCCCAGTCTGTGGCTTATGTTTTCCTTTCTTTCTTTTTCTTTTCTTTTCTTTTTTTTAAAGGCAGGGCCTTGCTCTGTCACCCAGACTGGAATGGAGTGGTGTGATCACAGCTCACTGTAGGCTTGACCTCCTGGGCTTGAGTGATCCTCCCACTTCAGCCTCCCAAGTAGCTGGGACTACAACCATGTGCTACCATGCCTGGCTAATTTATTTACTTATATTTTTTTGTAGGGATGGGGTCTAGCTATGTTGCCTAGTTTGGTCTTGAATTCCTGGACTCAAGTGGTCCTCCCACCTCAGCCTTTCCTGGGATTACAGGAATGAGCCACTGCACTGGACTCATTTTCTTAATGATGCCTCTTGAAAAACATTTTTAAAAGGTTTATATGAAGTCCAATTTATCAGTTTTTTCTTTTATGGACTATCTTTTCAGTGTTATACCTAAGAAGTCTTTGCCTAATACAATGTCAAAAAGATTTTCTCCCATAAAAATATTTCATAGTTTTAGTTCTTACATTTAGGTCTATGTTCCAGTTTGAATTGATTTTTGTGTATGCTAAAATGTGAGGGTGTAAGTTTATTGTTTTGTATTGATGGGGCTTCAGGACATGCTGCCCCAAAATATGACACCATGAACATTTGAGAAAACAGCAGAAGGAGAAGGTCATTCTCACCTCCTTCCTTCTCCTTCTCCCATGAAGCAGGTCATAAGGACCTCATTTCAGTGGTGCCCTCTCTCTACCTGGAAGAAAGGATGTTTGTTATCTCTGAAGACACAGAGAAGAATCTGAATAAATAGACCTTGCAAAGTTCCCCCCAGTTTATTATTAATCATTAGATTATACCCCTTTTGTCCAATCATACTTCTGCACAACTGTCTACTTTTCATCAATCTTATGCATAGAAATTTGGGTCTTCATTTCTGAAGCCTCCTCCGTCAAATAAAACTTACATTAAATAAATTTGTTATGCTTTTTAAAATCTGTCCTTATTTTGGGTGACTCAGGCGTAAACACAGCAATGAGTGAGAAAATATATTTCTTTTCAACACCTACAGTATATCGATATCCAGTGGTCCCAGCATTGCTTGTTGAACAACCCATACTTCCCCCCCAAATTGATTTAGCACAAATAGTATTTGTCAAATATTAATTAACCAAAATGAAAGGATTAATTTGGGGGCTCCTGGTTCTGTTCCATTGATCTATATGTCTATTCTTGTCATTACCGTACTTTCTTGATTTCTGTGGATTTATAGTATGTTTTGAAATTGCATAGTTTAAGTCCTCCAACTTTGTTCCTCTGTTACAGAATAGTTTTGGCTATCTTATATCCTTTAAATTTTCATATAAATTTTACAATCAGCTTGTTAATTTTCTAAAGAAGCCTGATGGGAAATTCTTTGGGATTGAGTTGAATTTATAGATCTATTTGGAGAGAATATTCAGTCCTTTAATTCATGAGCATGAACTGTATCTTCATTTATTTTGATACTCTTTAATTTATCTCAGCAATGTTTTATAGTTTTCAGTGATTGGCTTTTGCATGTCTTTTGTTAAATTTATTCTTAAGTATTTTACTCTTTTTGATGACATCATAAATGGAATCATTTTCCTAATTTTATTTTTGGATTATTCATTGCTAGCATATAGACATACAATTTATTTTGAAAAGATGATCTTATATCATGCGCCTTTGCTAAATTTGTTCACTAGTTATAGTAGTTTCTGGGTTTTTTTTTCTTTCTTGGTAGATTCCACAGGCTTTCTAAAGGATCATGTTTTCTGAGAATAAAGACAGTTTTTTTTTCTCTGTGTTTCCTATCTGTGCACTGCTAATTTCTTTTTCTTGCCTTATTGCACTGGTTAGAACCTCCGGTATGATGTTAAGTAGGATTAATGGCAGTTGACATTCTTGCATTTTCTCTGATTGTGGGGGAAACATTTAATCTTTCATCATTAACATCAGGCAAATGGCAGGGTTTTCATAGATGTCTTTATTCCAACCAAGAAAGTTCCCTACTATTCTTAGTTTACTGGAAAAAATTTTGTCATCAGCAGTGTTTGGTTTTATGAAATGTTTTTTTCTGCACTTATTGTGATTGTATGGTTTTTGATATTTCTTCTATTAATATGGTGTATTACATGAATTAACCAATCTTGTATTGCTGGAGCATATGCCACTGTGTCACAGTATATAATCCTTCTTATATGTTGATGAATTCAGTTTGCTAATATTTAGAAAATTTTGCATCTAAGTTTGTACAGGATATTGGTCTGCAGGTTTCCTTGCTTGTGATGTCTTTGTCCTTGACATCAGGGTAATACTGGTCTTATAATAGGAGTTGGGAAGTATCCTCGCCTCCATTTCCGGAGCTTATGTAGGATTGGGTATTGTTTCTTCTTTAAAAATGTGATAGAAGTCACCAGTAAAATCATCTGGGCCTGAACTTTTTTTATGTATGGTGGAGGGTAAGATTTTTTTTTTTTTTTTTTTTTTTTTGAGACGGAGTCTCGCTCTGTCGCCCAGGCTGGAGTGCAGTGGCGGGATCTCGGCTCACTGCAAGCTCCGCCTCCCGGGTTAACGCCATTCTCCTGCCTCAGCCTCCCAAGTAGCTGGGACTACAGGCGCCCGCCACTACGCCCGGCTAATTTTTTTTTGTATTTTTAGTAGAGACGGGGTTTCACCGTTTTAGCCGGGATGGTCTCGATCTCCTGACCTCGTGATCCGCCCGCCTCGGCCTCCCAAAGTGCTGGGATTACAGGCGTGAGCCACCGCGCCCGGCCGGAGGGTAAGATTTTTAATATGAATTCAATTTATTTACTTGTTAGAGAGAGGCCTATTCAGATTTTCTATTTTTTTTTCTCGAATCAGTTTGGTAATCTGTGTTCATTTGCTTGGACTTAATCTGCAGAACCTTTGACTCTGTGCTGTGCAGCTGCTTATATCTCTGCTCAGTTTCTTAAAATATTATTTATATTTTAGCCTAGCTTTCTGGGAGCCACTCCCATTCCTACCCAGCACTTGCGCTCAAACAAGTGCTTTCTGCTCCCAATCAAGCCAGCCCCCTCTGGCAGTGAAGCTGTTGGTTTTCATGGGCAGCAAAAATGCCCTAGACTCCCTCTGTTCTTACCTGAAATTCAGAAGTTTATCATAAATAAACTATTCTCAATTTGTTGTTTGCCTTTGGCCAATTTCTGGAGCTCCAAAATGGTTGTTTTTGACAGTATTGTCCAGTTTTATAGTTGTTTCAGAGAAAGGATTTATCAACTTCTTCACTCCCCTACAGCCGAAAGTTCTCTCGGTCTTTTAAAACTGCTGGGTGTGTGACCTGTCAGCTAAGCTTCTCCTTGTTTTCAAGTTGTCATTGTGCATTTGAAAGTCAAAGAGTAAAAGCTCTTTTGAAAAAGTCAGGACTAGAAATGATGCCAGGGAATGTGTGGTTGGTGCAATGGAGGGGCGTAGAGTGGGTAACCAAGAGGTCATAGAAATAGTGAGGAGTGAGTCAGGGGTGCAGAGCAGTGGAGGCAAGAATGAAATGCATGGTCTACTAGAAAATACAAACACAAATGGAAAGGCTGCCTTACATCTCTTAACATCACCAATCTAACAGCCGCCATTTCCATGAATAGTTCATCCCAGGCTCCCTCCCCCGGTTGGGATTTCCAGTTGCCTGGGGAGTGGGCAAGTGTTAGGGTAGTGTAGGGATAGGACAGGTTAGGACAGGAATGGGACTGCACTGGCCGCAGGGAAGGGAATGCGGTAGGAGCCACGTGCACTGGGAACTGGATACAGCCTTCATGTCAGCCTCTGGAAGAGAGCTACTAAGCAGTGATCACAGCTCACCCCTAGCTGCCCTCTAGCTCAGCCCTAACTTGACCATAAATAACCATAAAGACTTGGTCCTAATACTTAAAAGTCGACGGTTGGCAGGTTATAGCCTGCAGGTCAAATCCAGCTCATCACTTGCTTTTGTAAATAAAGTTTTATTGATACTCAGCCACATTCATTTGTTTACATACTTCTATGGATGCTTTCCTGCTACATGGACAGCACTGAGGAGTTGTGACAGACACTGTTTGACCTATAAGGTCTAAAGTATTTACTAACTGGCCCTTTGCAGAAAACGTTTTCCAACCCCTGTTTTAAATGAAAACTACAGTAGCCAAACCTCCTAAAGCATGATAATGTGGATAGACCATAATACATGCAATCAGAAGACATGGGCTGGGTGCAGTGGCTCACACCTAGCACTTTGGGAGGCCAAGGCGTCTGATCATTTGAGGTCAGGAGTTCGAGACCAGCCTGGCCAACATGGCAAAACCCTGTCTCTACTAAAAATACAAAAAAAATTAACTGGGCGTGGTGGCACAAGTTTGTAATTCCAAATACTTGGGAGGCTAAGGCACAATAATTGCTTGAACCTGGGAGGCAGATGTTGCAGTGAGCTGAGATCATGCCACTGCACTCCAGCCTGGGTGACAGAACGAGACTCTGTCTCTAAAATAAAATAAATTAAAATAAATTAAAATAAAATCAGAAGATATGGGAACAAGACTGATCTGCTACATACCAGCAGTGGCACTCAGTACAAGCCATTGGTTCTCTGTGGGCACAAGGTCACTATAAAATAGGGATCAGGTGGATCCCCTGAGATCGGAAGTTCAAGACCAGCCTGACCAACATGGAGAAACCCCATCTCTACTAAAAATACAAAATTAGCTGGGCGTGGCGGCTCATGCCTGTAATCCCAGCTACTCGAGAGGCTGAGGCAGGAGAATCGCTTGAACTCAGGAGGCGCAGGTTGTGGTGAGCCAAGATCACACCATTGGACTCCAGTCTGGGCAACAAGAGCGAAACTCCATCTCAAAAAAAAAAAAAAAAAAATGGGGATCAGATGATCTATTCTGTCATTTGGAGTTGTGGTTCAAACAAAACTACTGTATGTGAAATCATGTTGCAAACTATGCAGCAACAAACATATACTATTCCTGTTTGCAGAACACCCACTTTGACTTCCTAAACCACCTATTTAGACCCTCTCTGCTTGTGGACAACTGTCACCTTATGTACACCTTTTATGTGGCCAAGTCTGTGAAGTACCATTTCCATAGGGACTTTTTTCCTTGACTGGAAGATGGAGTAGGAGACCATGTCTACCACACCGCTGAAAGAGATGGATGGGACGAGGGAACTCTTAAGAAACTGAACTTACCCCAGCCCCGTGGAAGTAGGCATGTTGACCAGTAGCAAATAAATGGTGTGAGAAAGCTATTTTTCTTCCCAAGAACATCCCTGGTGGAGAAAAGCATCATCTGAATTTTGATCTTATGAATTATTTCTTTTCTCTTTAAGAATCTGAACATAGTAATCCCTGTTACAATAGCAGGGATAATTTAGTGGTTGACATGAAACTAAAATTTGGGTAAGAGTTATAACTTAGAGTCTGGAATTTCCAGCCTCTGTGGCTCATTTCTATAGCAAAGATACAAGAATCCTCAGGCCATTAGCTAAATTTGAGAGAAGGTCACTGGCCGGCTGAAATCAGAATGTTCAACGTGGATTATCAACTACCACGCTGAAAGCATCTGTAATCTTCCTGCAGGACTTCTCAGTGCGATAGGTTTCAATCTCCAGGTGCAGGGGAACAGAAGCATCATCTTCTCCCACGTGGAGAAGAAAAGTAGTGACGTTCTGTTTATAAAACACTCTCCTACCCATCCTGTTATTGACTATAGAGGCTATAGGTTCCTACAGGTAGGAACCATGTCTTTTCATCCCAGTACCTTGCACAGACCCAGAATGGACTAGGTGTGCAATAAATGAATGAATCCTCTGGAAGGGAAATCTTTGAACCTAGTCAAAAGAACACAAATCAGTAGACCTGTGTCAATTCTTGGCGCTGCCTCTTAGTCGTGGCATGGTCTTGAAGAATTCGCTTTACCTCTTAGTACCTCAGTTTTCACTCCTGTAAGATGAAACAATAATTATCTGCCTAAGATATCATTTGGTAGATTAAATGAGATAATGGATAGAAAAGTGTTTTATAAACTGAACGTCACTATTTTTCACCCCCATCCTGCCTGGCCCTTCCTGCTGCAGACGCTTTGAGCCTGAGAATAACAGCTAAACAAATTTATGGTGTTTGCAGTTGGATTAGCCACAGAATGAGCTGTGATCCCTGTTTATTTTCTGCCTGCCTTCGTGAGTTTAGGTCCTGGTACATGAGTGCCCGGGATCCGGGAAATGTTGATTACATGTAGTTGTCTGCAATTGAACGGTAGTGGGGGTTGAGGTGGGTGGCCGGACCTGATGGCCAGAAAGATTAAGGCTAAATGCATCTGAAGAAAAGCAGAGCCAGAGTCTGTCTCTGGTGGCAAGTGTGTCCCAGGTGACCTGCCTAGAGATACCACTAATCAGGAGGAGAAGCCAAGGGGGCCTGTCAAAGGGGGTGTTCTTATGAGGATAATTGTTTGTTGAAGTACTGTCAGAAACAGATATGTCAGGAGATGGGAACTAAAACACTACAGGTATGAGTGAGTGATCAGATCTTATAATGAGAGGGGCTAGGCCTTCTCTAAGGAAGGCTGAGAGATGAGTGAGGCTTAGCAAGGGAGAGGAAAGCAATAGACCCAGCTGTGAAAGTGTAAAGCAGGATCTTTCAGAGTCAGGCCTAGAACACTGGGTGTGATTAGCTAGTTCTCTTTTAGTTGAAAATTACAGAAACTGATTCTGGATAGCTTCAAGAGAGATACAAAAGAGGTTAGGGAGTCAGTTACTGAAAGGATAACTGATATATCTTGTAGAATCAGAGGACTGAGATACTTGCCAAGGATAAACTAGAATCAGAGATGAATCAGTAGGGTGACTATAGCTTACAATAATCTATTTTACACTTCAAAATAGCTAGAAGAGAATAATTCAAATGTTTCTAGCATAAAGAAAAGACAACTAGCCTGGGCGACAGAGCAAGACTCAGTCTCAAAAAAAAAAAAAAAAAAAAGAAAAGACAAATATTTAAGGCAATGAATATCCCAAGTATACTGATTTGATCTTCACTAATTATATGAATGTTTTATATTATCACATGTACCCTGAAAGCATGTACATCTTTATGCATAATAAAATAAAATAAAATAAAATAAAATAAAATAAAATAAAATAAAATAAAACTAGAATCGGGAGTTAGGTTACTGTGGAGAAACCAGGCATTTGTCCTCTCTGACTCTTGCCTCCTACGTCTCTTTATGTTTCCTTTATTTTTAATTTTTACTGCCAAATGCCATTTTTTGGCTAATCAGGCTGTGGCTGGGCTCCATTATATTTCAATTGCTCATCTGGCCACTGCTACCTTCATTAGAATGTGAATACTTGACGGCTGTTTAGTGGGCTGAATGGAGTCCCCAGATATATCAGGTCCTAATCCTTGGAACCTTGAATGTTACTTTATATGGGAAAGATTTTGCATATATGAATAAATTAAGGATCTCGAGATAAGGAAATTATCCTGGATTGGCCCTATGTGTCTTAGATTCCATCATAAGTGTCCTTATAAGAGAGAGGCAGAGGGAGATTACGCACTCAGAGGAGAGGACAATGTGAGGATGGAGGCAGATACTGGAGTGATGTGGCTACAAGCCAAGGGGTGCTGGCAGCTGCCAGAAGTTGGAAGAAGCAAAGAATGTATTTTTCCCTATAGCCCCTGGAGGGATATGGTCCTGTGAGTCCTGTGACACCTTGACTTCACCCACTGAAACAGGCTTCAGACTTCTGGCCTCCAGAACTGTGAAATACTATATTTCTGTTGTTTAAGCCACTAAATTTGTGGTAATTGACTATAGAGGCTATAGGACACTAATAAGAGTAGGGGCCATCCGTTTTCATCCCAGTACCTTGCATAGATGCAGAATGGACTAGGTGTGCGATAAATGGTTATTGAATGAATGGATCCTCTGTAGGGAAAACTTTGAACCTAGTCAAAAGAACACAGATCAGGAGACTTGTGTCAATTCTTGGTGCTGCCTCTTAGTTATAGCATGGTCTTGAAGAATTTACCTCTTAGGACCTCAGTTTTCACTCCTGTAAAATGAAATAATAATATCTGCCCAAGGGTACCATTTGGTGGATTACATGAGATGATGAATAGGAAACTGTTTTATAAACAGAATGCCACTATTTTTCTCCTCCATCCTGCCTGGCCCTTTCTGCCACAGACCCTTTGAGGTTGAGAATAACAGGGAAACTATCACTGTATCTATGTCTAAGCCCCAGTGTAGCAAGATGAGGAAGAGATTGATGGCTTCCTGAGCTTGGTCTCATCATTATCTCCCCAGAACCAGCTGCTTCCTTCCTCCCCTCTAGCCTTAGACATTTTTGCCAGTCAGGGATTAAGACCTACTCTCTGGCAGTCAAGATCTGCAGCCTTGTGGGCTGTAGCTACCTGCTACCTTTCCTGTATTTTTCCATTCTCTCTTCTCTGTAGCTTCTCCATCAAGATGTCATTATCACCTGTTTGCTTCTTGTCCTCTGGGTAGCATACTTTTGGCCCAGGTGCCTCAAGGGACCTCATTCCTGTTCAGCATACCTGTTGCAAATACCTGGACACAAATGTTCTCAAAGCAAACCCCTCTATCAACTTCCCAGGGAAATATAGTGCTCCATGTGAATTAATGTTCTAGGTAACTGAAAACCACCCTTTAGTATAAAAAAATCAGGATTGCTTATTCTAATGGAAAATTTCCTATACATAAAGCGTTATAGACCTTCTTATCCTTTGACTCAGGAATTTCACACCTGGGTTCCAAAGCTACACAAAGGATTCACAGAATAATTTTCTTTTTTCTTTTCTTTTTTTTTTTTAATTGAGACAGAGTCTCACTCTGTCATCCGGGCTGAAGTGCAGTGGCACAATCTTGGCTCACTCTAACCTCTGCTTCCCAGGTTCAAGTGATTCTCCTGCTTCCCAAGTAGATAGGGTTACAGGCATGTGCCACCACACCAACTAATTTTTGTATTTTTAGTAGAGATGGGGTTTCACTATGTTGGCCAGGCTGGTCTCAAACTCCTGACCTCAAGTGATCCTCCTGCCTCAGCCTCCCAAACTGCTGGGATTACAGGCGTGATCCCACCACACCCGGCCATCACAAAATAACTTTTATTGCAGCATTACTGAATAAGCTCAAACTTAAAAATGGTAGAAACATCCAAAACAAAAGGCTAGTTTAATAAATTGTGGCAAGTAACTATGTACCTGTTTTGAAGACACTGGAACTTATGTTTAGGCACGCTCCGTATACATGCAGAAAATACAACATTAAGTGAGGAACCATTGTTGTAAAATGGTAGTATGCAGACACTATTATTTTCTTACCCAGAATGCATTTTCCTCTTCTTTCTGGTTTTATTTAGGTATAACCTCCCTCATGGGAGGTGAGCCTACTTTCAGTAAAGCCTGACTTGCCTGAGCCTGTCATGGTTGTTCTCTTTCCACTTTTCACTGATTGGTTTAGGGGTGGTCATGTAATCCAGTGGTGGCCGATGGCTAACTGAGGGGAAGTCTTATTCTGGGGGATTCTGGGATACTTTTCTCTGTTCCTGAAAGAGGTGCACAGAAAGATGAAAAAATTCTGGAGATGGATGGTGGTGATGGTTGCACAACAATAAACAATATGAGTGTACTTAATACTATTGAACTGTAGAGTTAAATTAGTTGAGATAGTAAATTTTATGTCATATATTTTGTTACAATAAAACCTTGTAATCAAGAGGGATGCACAGAAAGAGACTGCCTCCATGACTTTGTCTTCCTCTGTGGCAGGGGTGGGGAGTAATTGTGTCTAGATGTGGAAATAATTATGTACTGATATAATGTACCCCTCAGTCATCACTGTCCCTGGGCAATCTCATCAGCTTTCACAGTTTCTGTACATCTGTATGCAGATGTATATGTATACAGGGACTGCCACACAGCCTTCTGGGCAGAGCTCCATGCCAACATATCCAACTGCTATCCTGACATGTTCTCTTAGCTGTCTTACCATAGGGATCTCAAAATTAATATGCTCCAAATGTATATTTTTGTATTTTGGAAAACTCAAACTTGTAGAAAATTTGTCAGAGGCGTACATGTACTTTTTTTTTTTTCTGAGATGGAGTCTCACTCTGTCGCCCAGGCTGGAGTGCAGTGGTGCAGTCTCAGCTCACTGCAACCTCTGCCTCCTGAGATCATGGGATTCTCCTGCTTCAGCCACCCGAGTAGCTGGGATTACAGGCACCCACCACTACACCTGGCTAATTTTTGTATTTTTACAAAGTTTTGTATTTTTCATGTTGCCCAGGCTGGTCTCTAACTCCTGACCTCAAATGATCTGCCTGTCTCGGCCTCCCAAAGTGCTGGGATTTACAGGCATGAGCTACCGTACCCGGCTGTACAATGAACTCTTGAATACCTTTCTCAATGACTCACCAGTTAACTTTTTGCCTTAACACGCCAAAAGTTTGACCTTCTATGACCCCTTCCTCCCTGAAATCCTCTTTTCCAGGCTCCCCATCTCAGTAGTCAGCGCTGTTACAAACCTGTTGCTTTTGCCAGACACCGGAAGTTGTTCTTGATGTCTCCATCTTCCTCTTCCCGTGACACAAAACCAACTATCCAGTCCTGTGAATTATATTTCTTTTTTCAACCATTGCAGTTGCCTTCTCACTACATCCCTTATGCCCTCTCTTTCATCCACTTTTATTCAGAATAACTAGTTATAAGTTTGAAACACACCCAATCATATCAGTCCTTGCTTAACATCCTCAGTGGCATATCCTCAATGGTGTATTGGCTTCTCTCCTTAGTCTCTTTCATCAGGACCTGACCTAGTTTGTTCTATACCCCATAGCACCCTACGTTTTTCCTTGTTTGTACTTTTCATAATTATAACCGCTAAGTAATTTGTGTGCACATTTGTTGACTACTATTCTCCCTTATATGTCTATGATGGTAGGGACTTTGATGGTATTTCTCATTGCTGTATCCTCAGAACCTATTCTCAGTTAGTTACATGATATGCACGCAGTACACATTCACCAGATAAGTAAATACATGAATGAATTAATGCATCACCTCCACTGAGCAGATTTTAATCTGCTGTGAAATGAAAACTTGGAATACCAAGTTAGAGCTGCATGTAAATTAAAAGCAAAAAAGCACTGACTGCCAACCTAAGGTGAGTATCTGCCTGTTAGTATTCGGATTGTCTACCTTCTACCTGCTTAGAGGTGGTGGAGACTAAAGGAAGGAACCTAAACTTGGCTGTCATGCAGATCTTGATGCTGGCTCTGGCCCTGGCCTTGGTTGCTCTTGGCCTCTTTGAACCTCAGTTTCCAAATCTGCAAGATGGGTATGGTAATATCTATCTCAAAGGGCTTTTGGGAGGCTTAAATCAGATAGCTTTGGCTTTCTTTCCATCACCTCTTTGCCTGGCAGCATAGTCAGGAGTGCTTAGGCCTCATGCCTCCACCTTCCCCTAAAATTTGACCTGCTTGAAAGCAATGGAAAAGGGAAGCTTATTATCACAGCCTCAGTCTTGCCTTTGAGTAGCAGCTGAGAGGTAGTTGTTAGTGGGTAGACAGTCACTGTTTCTCATGTGCTTCCTGGGCCCACGACATAGTCTGACGACAGAATGGGAACAAAGTGGACTTTTTAGTGCTTTGCATAATGATGCCATGCACGACCTCTATTCTGTGCCAATGATGGTGGAGTTAGGATTTAGATGCTACTGTCTCTAAAGATTGATGTTTTCTTTGTTTGGAACAGAGTGGGGTGTGTGTGTGTGTGTGTGTGTGTGTGTGTGTGTGTGTGATAGCCTTTAAAAAGCAAGGAAGAAACAAAGGTTTATGTGCAGGGTGTACTTGTCAGGGGCTCAGTCTTGCAGGGCTGGAACCCAGCTGAAACTTTTGTCAAAGCCATCAGGCTCTTTGTTAATGAAGCTCCTCCGAATCAAACTGCTCTACATGCCAGTATTTAGCACAAGAAAGGTAAAGACTCATGAAATGACAGGGCCTTAGTGTTTTTCCGCACAGGCACTGAGATTCCTTTCGAATGAATGTTGTTAGCACCCTTTCAAACAGCCTCTCCGAAGGTTGCTAACTTATGCCTATGAGTTCTGCCTTCCTTCCTTGCTGAATATCACATGGTCTTCCCTTCCTCCTCTGCAATTCTCACAGTATGTGTACATGTTTGTGGGGTCTGAGATTATATTTGTGTATTAGAGAAAGCCTGTGTTTTTGGATGTATTGGGGAGCTGGGGTATGGGTGCTTCCCAGACCATGGCTGGGGACACTCCTCTTCCTTTCTACAAAGCAGGTGAAAAAAAAAAAAAAAAAGAAACTGATTTTACATTCTGAGTCTATGGTCTTACTTTTCCATAATCTTTTATACGTTGGGAAATATTCCTCTCCTACATATTTTTCTAAGGGAGGGTGATGGACTCTAGAGCCAGAAACCTCTTACAGATGGGGGAAGCTTTTTGAAAAGAGGCAGGGAGGCCATGAAGGGATGTGAAGCGGAAGATGTTCTCAGAGGAAAAGAGGGCAGAGTGTGTACCTGCAAGAACACCCTCAACTCCCATGAAGGTTTTACAATTTTATATTTTCCCCTTGGTTTATGAGGACAATCATAGATTATGTATGGTTTTAAAAATCAGCTTTATTGAGGAATAATTGTTTTATAATTAGCTGTGTATTTTTAAGGGTACGACTTAATATGTTTGACCTATCTACATACCTGTGGGACCAGCGCCACAATCAAAATAATATCCATCATCTCCCCAAATTTACTTTGTTTCTTTGCTCCTTTGTAATTCATCTCTCTCCCCATGCCATACCCAGACAGCCACCGATCTGCTTCCTGTCACTGTGGATTAGTTTGCATTTTCTAGAATTTTATATAAATGGCATCATACAGTGTATGCTTTTTTTGGTCTGTCTTCTTTCACTCGAGGTAATTATTCTGAAGTTCATTTATATTGCTGCATGAATCAATAGGTCATTCCTTTTATTTTTCCTATATGGTTGTAACATAGTTTGTTTACCCATTCACCTGTTGGACATTTTTGTTATTTACTGTTGTTGGCTATTCCAAAGAAATCTGTGATGTGCATTTGCCTACAAGTGCTCATATGCTGAAGTATACAGTCTTAAGCATTTCCTTTTCTCTCATGGTGACATTTCTTTTACTTGTCCCCAGCCTCTGTAAAGACCAACACAGCCATCCAGTCTTACACAGTGGTGTTGTGGGAAGTAAAGAGACAGGAAGAGGCAGTGTGGCCTGCCCCTTGTTCACTGTCCACTATGTTGATCTGTGTGGTGACCAGTAGTACAGTGGACGGTGGTCTATAGCAGAACCAGAAATAGCCCAGAGAAGCAGTTACACCAAGGACTCAACTCAGAAACAGCTATGAGGCAAAGACCCTTTACTCCCAGACAGACTTTGTGGAGGCAGGCTGACATTTGAGATGCACATAAAACATCATGCCCATTGTAGGCACCCAGTACTTCCAAATTCCCTTTCTGCTATGTGTACTTTCTTAACTGCTTTGTTTGTAAGTTCTAGGTTATCTTCTTAACAATTGTGGTTTGTAGGCAAATAACCTTTGGCTAAGAGAGGCTTTATTCTGTTATTCTTTAAAAATCTTAGACAGCACATAAATATAGCAATTGTCTCAGTCCATTCCTGCTGCTATAACAACATACCTTAGGCTGCATAATTTATACACAATAGAAATGTGTTGCCCACAGTTCTGGAGGCTGAGAATTCCAAGATCAAGGCACCAGCAGATTTGGTGTCTGGTGAGGGATCTCAGCTTCCAAGATGGCTCTGTGTTATTGTTTCCTCACATGGTGGAAGGAACAGAGGGGCAAAAGCAGGGCTCAGGCACTCCCTGCAACCTCTTTTCTAAAAGCACTAATCCCATTCACTAAGGTGGTAGTGCTCATGACTTAATCACTTCCTTAAAGGTCTCACCTTCTAATACTATCTAATTGGGTATTGAATTCCAACATACGAATTTTGGAGGAACACATACATTCAAACAATAGCAGCGATATACACAGATCCTGTGTCTGAGGTGTCCCGAGGTATCCCTCTAACTCATAAGCCCTCTTTGGAGAGGAGGCTTTTGTTGTATACAGGTATCCTAATGTGTCTTACAGGATAGCACTGTGCCACCTTTATTTTTTTCTTTATAATTGTGTAATTTATTATTATTTTGTCATTTTTCCAACTTTTATTTTAGACTCAGGGAGCACATTTGCAGGTTTCTTACCTGGTTATATTGCATGATGCTGAAATTTGGGGTGTGAATGATCCCCTCACCCAGGTTCTGCATAGTATCCAATAGTTAGTTTTTCAACCCTTGCACTCCTCCCTTTCTCTCCCTCCAGTAGTCCCGTGTCTATTGTTCCAGTCTTTACATCCATGAGTGCCCAACATTTAGCTCCCACTTATAAAGGAGAACATGCAATATTTGGCTTACTGTTTCTTTGTTAATTTACCTGGGATAATAACCTCCAGCTGCATCCACGTTGCTGCAAAGGACATGATTTTGCTATCTTTTTATGGCTGCATAATATTCCATGGTGAATATGCAACACATTTACTTTATCCAGTTCCATCATTGATGGGCACCTAGTGTGCACCTTTTTAGATATGTTATCAGCACTGCTTCCAAATAGCTTCTTTGATGGTTGCTAACTTATGCCTGTGAGTTTTCTTCATCATCAATTTCAGAACTATCCCAAAGGCTAAAGAACAGTGAAATACAGGTAAATGGGGTTTCATTTACATCTCAAAAGCCCCAGATAGCCGGGAATATCTGAAGGACTGACTAGATGATGTCCTGATGATGTCCCTACTTGCATATAATTGCTTAGAACTATGCGAATCAAAGACTTTGCACAGTTCCTTATCACCGACTGACAGAGCAGGAGGGGGCTTTACAGGCCGTGTTGTCCAATGGTGTCATTTTTAAGAGGAGCCAGGACAGCTCAGAGAGGTGAGGTGCCCCACCCAGAGTCACAGAGTTTGTTAGCAGCTAAGCTGGATGAGGAACTCAGCCCTCCAGGCTTCCGGTCCAGGGCTCTCTATCCCAACTCCCCCCAACCCCCAGCTCTCATTTAGTTTTTCTGCGCTTAATATGTTTTCCTTGAATTGATTTTTCTCCTCTGCCTCATCCATTACCTTGAAGGTTATTTTTGGTGCTCTTCTCTGCTTCTTTCATTTTGCAGATTGATTTCCCAGGCTTTGCTGAGTTTGGTGGCACTTCCCACCCCAGGGTCTTTGGCTTCATTATTGTTCTGTTTCCTACCCCCTTTATTGTCTTCCTGGGGCTTATAAAACAGACCAGCCCCCAATATCTCTTAGCCTATCTTCCCTCCCCACTTCCTCCCAAATAGCCCCCAGGATGCTGCTATTTCCCATCATGCACTATCCCCATCCCCCCTTCAGTCTATTCCCAGATTGCAAAATCTGCTCATAATGACAACCCTCGGAGCTCATCCTTCAGTGATAATTCAAGGCTGCACCAGCTACTGGGTAGTGACTACTGATACATCTTTCTGATGGCATGTCTTTTCTCCACTGGGTTTTCATTGTGTGGAGATGTGTCTATTTGGAATGATTCCTTCTCTTTTAACTATGTGGTGGGTGGGGCATCTGCCAGGTGCTTAGCAGGTGATGGTTGCTAGAGTAAGGAGCGTTTGTTGTGTGTGGAGAAGGTAAGAGCTGGAGTGAGCACCATTCAGGGCACCAGAGTTATAGTTCCAGCACTGGAGTATTGTAGAAAAACGGAGAGGGCTTTAGATAGAGTCAGACAAACGTCCTTTCAAAGCCCAGCCTTAGCATTGATTGACTTTGTGATATAAACAGGCCTGAGTTGCCTCATCTGTAAAATGGGGATAGTACGAGTACTCAACAACTGTCAGATTGAAAGGCAGTCCTAAATGTGGCAAAGTGTCTAAATTGCTTAGCTCAGAGCCAGATACTTTCTTCTGGAGTCAGAAGAGGATGGGCTTCAATCCTGGGCTCCCTGCATAGTAGCTGTAATCCTGCACAAGCTAATTAATTTCTTTAAGCTTCAGTTTTCTTAACTGTAATATGAGAAGAATGAATCATATCTAATAAATTGGCTTGATGATTATTACACAGGAGTATATAAAGTACTTAGCACAGTGCCTGGCATGAAGTAAGAACTTAATAAATGTTAGCTATTTTTAGGTGTTCAATAAATGTTACTTTCTTTTCCTTTGTAAATTTAGCCTTTTTTGTTTTTCTTTTTTTTTTTTTTACAAAAGATGAATGTACATCTTGAGAATCCTATGAACTTTGAGAAGTTTGAGAAGTTAAGCATTCATCAAATACTTTTCTAAGTATTGAGTCTATTTACTGAGTGTATGATCTGTAGAGAGAAATATCAACTTCTGTGGAGCTCAAAACCTAATTGGGTGGCAAGCGACTAGGCAAATGATTTCAAGACAATTTATCACCAGAGCCAAAATAATAAATTGCCAATTGAACAACTGCTTCAACAATTCAATTCTATATCCACTTATTAAGAACATACTAAAGGCCAGGCATAAAAATGAACAAGACAAAGTCCCTGCCCTCTAGGAGTTTAGTCTATAAAGGTAGTAGTATTAGTATACACTAATGATGCTGCTGCTGCTGCTGCTGATGATGATGATGGCAATGGTGGTGGTGGTGACGTCAACACCTCAACACTAATAGCTAAGATGTATAGACAGCTTACTACAAGACAGGTGCTGGCCAAGGGCTTTGCATGCATTGTCTTATTTAATTCTTACTGGAGCCTTTTGAGATCAGTCATGTTATTCTCTTATGGATGAAGAAAAGGAGGCTCAGAGAGTTAAGCAATTTGCTCAATGCCACATAATTCCTGGCAGCAGAGTTAGATCTCATACTCAGGTCTGATTCTGGTCAAAGACCTTGCACCCAGCTGCTACACTGCACTACCCTTCCATTTCCAGTTACAATGGAGGAAATAATCACATAAATGCTGTGGTAGAGGAACAAAGTGCTGTGGGGGAAGGGGATTCTGATTCTGACAGGGGTGATTGCTGAAGTCGTCATAGCTGAGGCGTCTTTGGGGCTAGGTCTTAAGGATAAGTAGTAGATCAATGGCAGGTTATGGAGTGGAAGGGGTTCCAGACGGAGGAAACAGCCTGATAGATAGAAAGAAGCCTCGAATCTCTAGGTGTGGTTGGGGAACAAGAAACTAAGAAACTAAGAGGTGTGGTAGGAGGAGAGAGGTCTTGCCAAGAGCTTTAGAGTCAAGAGAGGTCAGAGTAGATTGAGGATCATTGGAGGATGAACTTGTGAGATGCAGCACAAAGGCTAGGGAGCCTCATACTACTTGTTTGGGTAACTCAAGTAATTTATTCCAGGATCTGTAGGGAAAGATTTTTAAAACTTTTATGTTTGGAGTTTTTTCACATGTTTGACTGGGGAGCCAGGAGAGTTGGGTTTTAGTGAAAGGCCAGAACCATAATGGGCTCTGAAGTTGGACCGTTGGGTTTGAATCCCATCTCTATCACTTTCTGACTGTATGATTTTGGCCATAGTTAACACCTCTGTGCCTCAGTTTCCTCCTCTGCATAATGGGTTGTTGGGAGCTGCAAATAGATGAATGTTTATAAAGCAGTTAGAACAGTCCCTAGCACAAAACAAGCACTCATAAAATGATTATTGGTCATGGTTCAAGTACTGGTTGGCCATATGACTTTCTCTATCTGGGCTTCAGAATCCTAATCTATTAATGAAGAGATTGAATAATAATTTCTATGATCTCTTCCAGTCTAAAATGGTCCAAATGACTTCTTTGGTGAGGAAGTATAAGAACATAATATCTTTAATTTTCTTTTCCTTCATTTCTAGTAAAATGAAGAACTAGAGTAATTCAGGGGTGCCAAGCTATGCTGCACAGGGTTTCTGTCCGACTGAACCTTCTTGGAGCTGATAATATTATCAAGACTGATGGTCTCATTACTGGAAAACCTCCACGTTGTCAATAGATATAGACAACGGGGCTCTTCTGGTTGAAATACTAAAACAAACTGTCAATTCTGGTGACCGCATTACCTTCGTTTTTTTGTTTTTTGTGTTTTCTGTTTTTTTTAATGACCCAGAGGCCCCACCATTACTCAAGAGTTTTGATCATCGTCACATGGTTTCGTCTGTGCTAAGTCTGTTGCCTGCTTGGCTAGCCATGGGGGCAGCAGTGAGTGATTCATCACCTGCTACCTGTCCACGACGGGGTCGGTCTGTGCTCTTGCTGAGTATCTGGCCTGTTTGTCAGGCTGTGTGGTTGCCGAGTACTGTGTTCAAGGCACATCTTGTCCCTGAGAGGCTGCCTCCCAGGAGACGCGTGCAGGATCAATGTATCTAATTCATCCAATGGATATTTACCTCATTAAACAGCAATACATTCAAACAGAAAAATGAAACCACACACATCATTAAAGCTAAATACGTTTCCTTTCTTTGTCTTAGTTTTATTTTCTGAAGGGAAATGCAAGTAGCTCTGCATAACGAGAGGCTCATTGCTGGAGCAGGGCGAGAAGCTGAAAGCATCGAGGCAAAGAGAGATAAAAGGATATTGGCTCCCAGCAATATCCCTCCTTGCAGGAAGTAAGCGGTGGTGAATTCATATTTCTACATATTAAGCTGTTCTGTCGGGGTGGGAACACCCCTTCGTCAGTGCAGGGGAGAATGTTGGCAGGGCTGGCCGTGCCTGTGGGGATGAGGTATCTGTCCCTGCCAGCCCAGGAGCAGCAGCTGGCCCTCCAGTGTGGTCTCTCTAGGTGGTTTCCCCTTGCCCTTTCCAGGCTGAGCTCAGACCACATTGTGGGGCAATTGCCAGAAGTGATTGTCTCTAGTGAATGGAGCGCCTCTTCTTTAGAGTGTTAAGGATATTAATTAGGTGGCACCAAGTTCATTTAGTCCTTGGTTTGTAGTTAAATCTGTTATGACCCCATAATCTTCTTGGGATTGTGAAATGGTTAAAAAAAAAACCCAGACTTTTCACTCTCTTTCAGGATTTTACTCAGATTTGTGTGTTTGACAAACTAGCTAGTAGTTTATGCTCTATAGCAGACATTTTTGCTTGCCTCCAACACATCTATTTCTTCCTTTATCCTGACCTCGGTGTCCAGATTTGCTTTGGAGGAACAATCTCCTGCTAGGATTAGCTTCGGGTATTGACCCCACTCTTAATTCTAGGGATGGGTTAGATTGGCTTGAGCTGATTAGTATGTCCTGTTTCCAGGCATGTGACACAATTTGAGCAAATGAGACACAAGGTGCCAAGAAGGGGATGGGGTGGATGGGCTGCCATTCTCACAGGCAGGAGCTGGTAGATGGCATACAAGGAAGCTGGGAGGTGGGAATTAGTGCGGCCCTTTATTTGTATCCTGAGGATGAGGGACATCCTGAGGATGAGCCTGGCACACAAAGGAGGCCAGAATAGAGAGAACAAGGGCTGGCTCTGCCATGACAAAGTGAACTTCTGGAAGAAGCCGTAAGTGAGGCCAGTTTCTCTCTGGGTTGCAAAGGGAAGTTTGCATAATCCTATCCACCACAGAAATGGGGAAAACTAATGGCCAAAGATTATTTAGTCTCATCAACAAAGGAATGCTTTCTGTTTCAAAATGACAGATTCTGTAGGAGCTAATATTTACAGAGAGCATGTGTCAGGCATGAGCTTATATGTTATGACTTGTTTAAGCCCTCAGATGACCCAGTGAGGTGCATACTGTTATAAATCCATTTTACAGGTGAGAAAACTGAGCCACAGAGAGATTAAGTAATTTTCTAAGTCACAGAATAAGTTAAGTGGCAGAGCCAGGATTCAATCTGACATCAGATTTCTCACCATCCTGTGCAACTGTAGTATTCTACAACTCTACGATTTCCAGAAACAGAGCCAATGACTCTTCCCACTGGGAACTATCAACCATCCAGCCAATTTCATTGCCCAGAGCTTTTCAGCTTTTCTCAATTCCATCTCCTTTGCCCAGATGATAATAGTCTGTTGCAGTCACAAATCATCTCGCCTCCTCCTCCACATCTGACACTCTGGTTTCTGTAATGTGCATCTCCCTAGCTCTATATAAGAAATGTAACCAACCCACTTCCACCTGCTCCTCAGCACCTGCTTTTCTACAATAGTCTCAAATGCAAAGTTCACCCACCCAAGGAAGCACTCAGTGGGATTAGATTTTGAAGGAATGAACACTTAACATTCCTTTACGTTTAGATAAAAGTTTTGAAACCTTATTCACCCTGTGACATACTGGTCTTGCCCAGGTCCTGGGGGAGCGCAGAGCTGTGGAATGTTTTCCCATTGCCCTTCTCTATCCTCTGGTCAATTCTATCATGCAGGCACATTCTTGGGCATATTCTCCAAATTCTCCATGCAGGGAGCCCTCCAGATCTTCACACTCAATCTCCTTACACTTTGATATTCCCCAGGGCCCTGCTTCTTGGTGCTGTCCAAGCTCTACTTGCTGTGTGATATGGTGGAAAGATTTGAGATGGGAGCTGCCTGGCATGATCAGGGGCACTTAGAGAGCAATGAAAAAGGGCGCATAATGACAAGCAGTGAACAAGTCATCATAGCATCAATGTTCTAAGAGGGTCCTGACTGATACCTAAGCTTTCCAAATGCTACCACTCTAGAATCTCTTGTTAAGTACATGAGAAGGGTGTGTTTATGTATCTACAGGGGTAATACCCACCCCCTCCACAGCCATTCTCTACCCCTTCCACATCAAGCAGTCATTGGCTTATCTGTTTGAATAAGCACACACACATGACTAGATATTAAAGGGTAATTTTTATAAATCAAATCAGAAAACCTTGAGGCTGTACCAGGTATGCCCCAGTTCCATTCACTTTGCAACTGAACCATCTATTGATCCATCCGCCTAGCCATTCATCTAACAAAACTTTATTGAGTACCTACATGTGCCACTGTGTCAGGCACTGGGGATACAAAGATGAAAAAACACGTATTTGCTTCCCCTGGAGCTTGTACTTTAGTGGAAGAGAGACCGCGTATTTCATGATATTCAGGTAAGCATTTTGACAGAGTTAATCACAGGGTGTCACAGAAGCAGAGAAGAGGGGCCAGGCTTTGGGAACCAGAAAAGCCTTCCTAGCAAAGGTGACAATTGGGATTAACTGCTGTGAATCACTGTGGCAGATACTAATTACTCCCTGGTACCTGTCCTCTTTCTTCCTTCTGGTAATAGAACCTACAAGGTTTTAGCTGGGCCCAGTGACCAAAGATCCATTTTCCAGCCTCTTTTACATCTAGATGTAGCCATGGGACTAAATTCTAGTCAAAACAGGATATGAGTGGAAGAGATGTTTGATTATATTTTTCACAAAGGTATTTTGTTCTCTGCTTCCTTGTTCCTATGTGGATAAGGTGGAGGTGATCTGACTCTGACTATGTGGATAATACCCTAGGGGATGAAAGAGACGTAAGATACAAGGAAATGGGGCCCCAGGATGACTCTGTGGAGCAGAGGCACCTACCAGCCCTAGACCTTCCACCCATGTCTCACTGCAGCTGCCGTATGTGGGTGCCACTTTGTAACAGCAGCTTAACCTGTACCTTTACAAAATAGCTGACCACCTTCAGGCTCATATTTGCTGAGAAATACAATCAGATAAGATATTACAGTGTCCCCTCCCTTTTGGTAAGTATGATCTATAAGTAGTTGGTGGTCACCCTACTTTGATATTCAGAAGGATCTGGAGGTAAATGAAACATTGAATTCTGGTGAGAACTTTGAGCCCCAGTGAATGCCCATATGATATGTAGTTAGTGTTTCCCTGCTAGGCCTTCTATTAGGTTTCTACTTTGCGGCTAGATGTTTGGAGACAGAGTCATTTATAGTGATGAGAGAGGTGATGGAGCTTTGTTCTCAGCCTATGATTTGGGCCACCTGTCCCTCCCACTTACTTCCTGCGGATCTCTTCCCCTTGGGCTTGCCACTGCCCTTGGTAAAGCTATATATCATCTTCTCCAATTCAAAGATACATTCCTGTTCTTATTTCTGAGATTTTCTAAGACGCAGTACTCTTGAAGTTGTATCCCACTCACTCCTTTTGAATTATAGTCTCAGATTGTGGATCCTTTCTAATGGCATCTTCATTTGGTACATATTTTTAGAGCCTGCCATTGGTCCCAGTATTACCCTCAGTCCTCCTGTTCAACTTAAACCAATGGAGTAGGTTAGTTTGACCCAGTATCTGTCTTTCTGCATTGGTTCTCACTCAGTGCTCTGTTGGCATCATCCCCAGAGGAAGTTTCTGGCGTGCTTTATAGTTGGAGCTATATAACTGTCTTAATGCATCATGATGATTCTCCTTCTCCTTCTTCTTCCTCTTTGTCACATGACCAAGATCACATCTAAAAACTACTCTTTGGACTAAATATTAGAGAATGAAGACTGCCAAGGACTTCACTACCCTCCAATATTTCCAATGTCTGTCAGTCAGTGAATTAGAAGGCAGTTGGCTGTGTCTCCCCCAGAATATATCTACAGGCAATGGGGCAGGTAAGGTAGCATCTCCAGGGGATTCCCTACTCCATGCAATCTGCCTGCGTGAGCCCCAGCCCTTATGGACCAAAAAGGAAACAACTGCGGGAGTCATGGGAAATCATCTGTGGAACTAGATAGACTCTCAGACTCCTGCCCTCCTATGATTAGTGTCCCTAAGTCCTGGATGGCCTGGGGCTCCCAGCCCAGTCGATCTCTCTCTCCTCTGCCCCCAGCTGCAGTGCATGCCTCTGTGATACCACTGCTCATACTGTACTGTTTTATTTGAGAATGTGTCTCTCCCTCCTTCAAAGTGAATTATGTATCTTCATGTCTCCAGAAACTAGTACAGCACCTGGCACATAGGAGGGGCTTGGGAAGGGTTTGTAACATGAATGAATCCTCAGAAAGCTCAGCTGACACATTGGTTGCATACCCTTATGAGTGGCATCTGAACACCTAATCACAAAACAATCCAGTTTTGAAATTCTGGATGCATGTGGCATTCCATTATTCATCTTCACATATCACACCACAGCATGTGTGGTCCACTGCCCTGTTGCCTGTCATTGCTCATTTTCCCAGTCCTAAGAGTCTGAGACCTGCCTTTCCTCTTTGTATCCTTTGTTTGCCAACAGGTCTTTAGCTAGCTCTTGACCCTGCCTGCTCAGTGGCTTCTGGTTTCTTAGCTGAGGTGCTCCCTATTTCTGGCTGGATTCTATGAAGCCTCTCACTAGTCCCAGGCTCCCTTGGTTGGAGGGAGTGTGCAGGGATTTGGATAATATAGTGTGTGAACCAAATTGGAAAGCTGGTTGACTGGCATTTGAGGAAGACATCAGAATAAGAAATTTCAATTAAAAGACACTCCTCCTTAATTCCAGACTTCTACATCATTCTACACATGCCTCTTTTTCTCTTTCTTTCTTTCTTTCTTTTCTCTCTTTCTTTCTTTCTTTCTTTCTTTCTTTCTTTCTTTCTTTCTTTCTTTCTTTCTTTCTCTTTCTTTCTTTCTTTCTTTCTTTTCTCTCTTTCTCTCTTTATCTCTTTCTTTCTCTCTTTCTTCCTTTCTTTTTTCTTTCCTTTTTCTTTTCTTTTTATTTCTTCCTTTCTTCCTTCTCTCTCTCTCCCTCTCTCTCTCTCTCTCTATATATATATATATATGTATATATATGTATATAACATTATCAAATAAGTGCCTGGAAATTAACCCTCCTACTGAGCTCATTACCTGGATACCTGGAACTTTATACTGAATGCTCAGACAGCCCCATAAGCATTTGGACAAATCTCACCATAGCATCTCTAGGCCCCCCTGAGTCATAGGAGTCCTTGACTCAGGACTTTTCACAGTTTACAAGTACCAACAAGGCACTTTTTTTTCTGCTTAGGAAGAACATTTTCCCTTTAAATGTTTTGTTTGCCTTCAAGTCCATTTGAATACAAAAATACTATGGAATTCCATTAAGATAATGTCTGGGGCATAAGACACCAGGATAAAAGGCAGGAAATTGCTCTATTCTTTATGCAGAGCTCCAGGAGGAGCTGACAGTTCCTGGATAACTTCAGGAAGCAGACTGTTAAGAAAATGAGTGGGCCATATTTCATGCTGGCTTCTAGCTTCCCCTGGCTGTTTTTGTTAGGAGCTTAAGGGATTGTTAGAGCAATAATACACCAGGCTGGTTTCTAATGCTTTCCTCCAAATGCTGAAGTTTCCTAATTGTTCAACAGGAAAATTGTTCCTTGGGCTGAAAATACATTCTTAAGTCCCTTCAGGTAAGTTAGTGAAATGAGTAGAAGATCTTTGAGTGTGGGCCTTTTTTTTCTTTTTCTTTTTTTTTTTTTTTTTTGAGATGGAGTCTCACTCTGTCTCCCAGGCTGGAGTACAGTGGCATGATCTTGGCTCACTACAACCTCCGCCTGCCGGGTTCAAGCCGATTCTCCTGCCTCAGCCTCCCTAGTAGCTGGGATTACAGGCGCATGCCACCACACCCAGGTGAATTTTGTATTTTTAGTAGATACAGAGTTTCACCATGTTGGCCAGGCTGGTCTTGAACTCCTGACCTCGGGTGATCCACCCACCTTGGCCTCCCAAAGTGTTGGGATTACAGACATGAGCCACCACGCCTGGCCTGAGTGTGGGCTTTGATGATAGGTAACTTATTCAGAACAGGAAAGGTCTGCCCCTTTTCCTTGAAGAATGAATGATTTGGAATCTGGAGAGGGGAAGAGATTAATGCCTAGCCACACAGGGAGATTCCTGATTTTTGGTCCTCCAGCTTTCTCCCATCTTTTGTGCCCAACTTATGTGGAGATGTGTAGAAAAGTTCTCTACCAGAGTATTTTTCTTGGTAGCTGTTGGATTCAAGTCTTAAAAACTGTAAGGACCAGCTTGAGAAAGTTTCCTCAGGATAAAGCCAGAGAGAGTGTAGTCAGACTTAGAAAAGAACTTCTTGATATCAGGGCACTGGGATTCTGGGATGGGAGATTTAAGTAGGATATGGATTATTTGCACTAACTGGATTGTATTTTTAAAAGAATGCTTAAAAATATTTTTTAAAATTAAAATCTCCTTAAGCTGATAAGCAACTTCAGCAAAGTCTCAGGATACAAAATCAGTGTGCAAAAATCACAAGCATTCTTATACACCAATAACAGACAAACAGAGAGCCAAATCATGAGTGAACTCCCATTCGCAATTGCTACAAAGGAAATAAAATACCTAGGAATCCAACTTAACAAGGTATGTGAAGGACCTCTTCAAGGAGAACTACAAACCACTGCTCAACGAAATAAAAAAGGACACAAACAAATGGAAGAACATTCCATGCTCATGGATTGGAAGAATCAATGTAGTGAAAATGGCCATACTGCCCAAGGTAATTTATAGATTCGATGCCATCCCCGTCAAGCCACCAATGACTTTCTCCACAGAATTGGGAAAAAAAAACCTACTTTCAAGTTCATATGGAACCAAAAAAGAGCCCACACTGCCAAGACAATCTTATGGAAAAAGAACAAAGCTGGAGGCATCACACTACCTGACTTGAAACTATACTACAAGGCTACAGTAACCAAAACAGCATGGTACTGGTACCAAAACAGAGATATAGACCAATGGAACAAAACAGAGGCCTCAGAAATAACGCCACACATCTACAATGATCTGATCTTTGACAAACCTGACAAGAATAAGAAATGGGGAAAGGATTCCCCATTTAATAAATGGTTCTGAGAAAAGGCTAGCCATGTGTAGAAAGCTGAAACTGGATCCCTTCCTTACACCTTATACAAAAATTAATTCATGATGGATTAAAGACATAAATGTTAGACCTAAAACCATAAAAACCCTAGAAGAAAACCTAGGCAATACCATTCAAGACATAGGCATGGGCAAGGACTTCATGACTAAAACACAAAAAGCAATGGCAACAAAATCCAAAATAGACAAATGGGATCTGATTAAACTAAAGTGCTTCTGCACGGCAAAAGAAACTACCATCAGAGTGAACAGGCAACCTACAGAATGGGAGAAAATTTTTGCAATCTACCTATCTGACAAAGGGTAGATTGTATTTTTAGTAGATACAGGGTTTTGCCATGTTGACCAGGCTGGTCTCAAACTCCTGAGCTCAAGCGATTTGCCTGCCTCTGCCTCCCAAAGTGTTGGGATTACAGGCATAAGCCACTGTGCCTGGCCTTGAAAATATTTTTTTTTAAGTTTAAAAATATGGGTGAATTCAGAGACAATTATCAAAGTGAAGAAATATGAAGTTTATTTTCTCAAAGGCTTTAAAAGCTGAGAAAATTATGAGCTGTCTTGGGGTAGGTTATGTAAACCAAAAATAAAATTCTAAGTCCCCCAACCATCTGAATGGATCCCTCCTCTTGGAAAAGGGCATTCCAAAGTTAACCTGAAAAACTAGTTCAGGCTATGATGGGAAGGAGGAGGTAGGAGAGGCCTCATTATACCCTCCTCCCTTTTAGAATTATTGCTAGAACAGACTCTTTATGTCTGATAGGAAACATTTATAATCTATTCTCTCTGAAGCCCTTGCTACCTGGGGGCTTCACCTGCATGATAAAACCTTGGTCTCCACAACCCCTTATCTTAACCCAGATATTTCTTTCTCTTGATTCTAAGTCTTTAGAGAATAACTTAATTATCTCAATCAATTGCCAATCAGAAATCTCTGAATCTACCTATGACCTGGAAGCAGATCCCCCACCTTCCAACTGTCCCACATTTCCAGACAAAACCAATGCACATCTTACATATATTGACTGATGTCTAAAATGTAAAAGACCAAGTTGCGGCCTGACCACCTTGGACACATGTTCTCAGGATCCCCTGAGGGCTGTGCATTGGCCATGGTCACTCATATTTGGCTCAGAATAAATCTCTTCAAATATTTTACAGCATTTGACCCTTTTCATTGACAGTTATATGCCCTCAGTGGTGGGGAGACTGGGCCAGAGAGCTGGACAGATCTCATCCAGGACTAAGATGCTCAGACCAGCAGGCTTCTAGACATATCAGATGGCTCTTCCTTGGTTCTCAAGACTGAAGACTCAAAGATATGAATGACAGAGACACTACTGGAGAGAAGCAGAGGAACTCATAAATAGCTGTACCCTCTATTCCACTCCCCAGCCACGATGGATTCCAAGTTTCCAGAATATTATTGGCCAAATGAGTAAATAAATCAGCCATCAAAGCACAATGGAAATGGGAGATGATGGCGGTGGTTGAGGAGGCAAAGACCATCTCCATGTTCTCCCCTCTGTATTCTAGATGGAAGAAGATATTAATAAGCAGTGTATCCAGGGATGAAGATTCTGAAAAGGATTAATCTTCCAGATTAAATAAAAATTAGCTCCTTTAAGCATAAAAACATTTTGTTTTGGTTCCTTTGATTTGAAAACATTTTAACCGTATTATATACTTCTAAAACACAATTTAATAAAAGAAAAATTATATTTCTCTCTGCTTCAGAACAATAATATAGTAATTTCATGATACTTTTTTTCCAGGATGCTTTATAATTATGATGTAACTCTTCACATATTATCTCATTTAATCCTCACCACAACTTTATAATATAAATTATATATATTTGTATATATGTATACCCCCACCCCACCCCCCACACACATACATACTTCTCACTTAAACAGGTGAAGAAAAACTGAGGGTTAAAAAAATAAGAAGCAATGTTCTTTAAGGGCACACAGCTGGTAAAAGTCAAAGTCAGGTGTCAAATTCAAGTTTTTTGATTGCAAATTCATTGCTGAGCTTGCAGAGTGAAGGGCTCTTGACTTTCTCTCAGGGTACGGCTAATGGCAGGATCAGGAATCTGCTAAAAACATGGACACTGCGGACTGGACAATGGGGAATGCTGGGCATATGCAACAAGTTAGTGAATAAGGGAAGGAGGTCAGGGTAGTTTACGGAAAGAGCCTGGCGGAGGCCTGGGCCCCAGAGAAGGGAGGCAGCCAAGAGTTGTTTGCAATACCTAAGTGGGTATGCAAAGTTGGCAGGATGCTTTCTGGCATTGCCAACCCAGAAGGGCCTAAGCAGTGGGTAAGACATGGTGGAAGGAAGCGCTTGGCAAAGACAGGTACTATGGAGTGCCTTAGAACCAGGCCACAGCTAGAGACAGGGCTGCAGTGCAAGGAGCAGCGTCGAGACCCATGGAGCACAGACTGGGGTGGACAAAGCCCAGTGTGTGGGCTTAGGCTAGGCGGGCTGTGCTTCAGGGCAGGGAGCCAGGCCAACCCAAGGGCAGAGACCATGAGGAATGGGGCAGTAGGCAGGGGTCCTGACCTGGCCTGTGCAGCTGGGCCTAAGGCCCTGCAGGTTCCACAGCACACAAGCACCTGGACACAGACCACCATGGGATTCTTGTTAGGCCCACCCTCTAGCTTCCAGTTACTCCTAAAGCTGCAGGAAGAGGAACACGGAGGTACAGGCAGGAACTCCAGCAGACACCGTGACCATCATGAGTAATCCTTGCATGGACCCTCTGGAGCCAGCAGAGAATCAAAAGACACAATGGCAAAGAGTCTCAGCTGTGGACTCGACTCTCACTCATTAGCTGTGTCCCTGAACAGAGGAACAAGAGCTCCTGGAATGACATTGTCATAATAATGGCACCCATACTTCCCTTCAGGGTTAGCTGAGGGAGCTGATGTGATACCATATTAAAAAGTATACAGGGAAGCCCATACTTCACTCTTGAAGAGGAAATATGGTCAATTCCCTGATATCTACTTAACCTCGGGGATAGAGAGTGAAGAATTTGGATTTTGCAATAATTTCAATATAGCAGCTAAGGTATTGTGGACCTACAATGTGCCAGGCATTATGGTAGGTGTTATAGGAAAACAAGATGAGTAACAGCTTGGACTTTGGGGGTCAGCGGGGGCAGCTAACATCTAGTTAGGGGGACAAATGCACAACCAGTAATAATGCATAATACAAAGCAGAATGGAATGTGCACTGAAATGGGGAACATGCATGGAGCAGCTGCAGAGACTCAGAGCTGGGAATGACTCATGTGGACTAGTGAGGTCAGGAAGGGATTCACAGACCAGCTGGTGTCTGAACTAGGCCATGTAGGAGAGTTGTAATTGAGGGTAATAGCAGACTCCAGCCAGGACACCATAAACTGTGGGCGTGGGTCTTAAACCAATGGACAAGTCTCTAAACTAATGCTTGGAAACTTAATCTGCACTTCTAAAGCACCAAGGAAACATGTAATTTGCCTGTGACCAGATCCCTTTTAGACCCTCTGTTTCAGGAGCCCTGGGCATGGGACCTGCATGCTTGCATAGTGATAAAGCCCCCAGGTGAGTCTGATGAGCGTTTTTGGTTAAGAGCCAAATATACTAAACCATTTCCTCGCTTTAGCAGGCTTAAAAAATCTCCTGGAGATCTTGTTAAAATACAGATTCCTGGACTTTTCCCTCAAACATTCTGATTCAGGGGTCTGGAGTGAGGCCTGAGATTCTGCATTTCTAATTCCTTCTCAGGTGATGCTGATGCTATGAGTCTGTGGATCACTGTGATCACTAAAGCCATCACCTGCTCTTCAGTTCTTGCTGGGATAGTGGGACTCAGAGCTAAGAGGTGCCCTTGATTGGAAATGCTTTTGAAAACAAATGCATGCTTCTCTATCTTGGACCTTTCAGAAATCACACACACCCAATCACCTTGAAACTACCTGCCCATACAGGTGAAATAAGGACATGCCAGAGGAGTTCACAGCATTCACCTGTAGTCTCTGTACTTGCTTCCACCTGACTCTACTTCCCCTGTGGGCCCTGCTTCTCAGTTATGTTTCTGTTTCTACATCAAATCTGTATAACTCTCCTGAATCTTGCACATCATTTCCCCTGCCTAGGGGTTTTCAGGAATGTATTCTGGATCTTTTTATCTTCTGCCTCTGAGTCTAACCCCTGACAAATCCACCTGTGCTCAGCAAAGATACGGTTTGGTCACACCAGGCCAGGTAGCTCAGAGAACAATGGAGGTCTGAGCATGTTCTGTGTAATTCTCTCCAATACTCACTGTGGATAGATTCAGACAATGGCTTTGGCTCACGTTTGTCCTTTACGTGTTTTTGGTCAGCTTTATTTTTGAAAAAAAATATTGCTCACAGGAGCAATTTGTGATCGTTAGTGTGAGAGAACTCTTCTAAGACCTTTTTGTGTTAGGAGAAATTACCTAGTTGGGATTGTTGAGCTCACTGACTGGCCATGGGACTTGGTCATTTGAATGGGTTAGCTGTCGACTGATGACACCTGCTCTTTAGAAACTCAGCAACATAGGCCTTATATTGTGGGATTTCATTAATTATTTCTTTTCTTCTTTTTTTGAGTCAAATCATTTGTGTTAGAAATAGTAAGAGGTGAGATGCTAGAAATGAAGAGATAAATTGGATTTGATCGCCTGTACTTGATTTGCTCACAGTTATTGGCAGAGGAGACACACATACTGTAAATAGCTATACCACAATACTATGTTGTTAGTATTGTACAATGACAGTGCAGAGGGGGGAGTAATCATTTTTGGCTACTGGAAAGAAGGAATCTTTATGGAAGGAGATACTGCCTTTTCTCCGCAGGAATGGCCAGACTTTTGAGAGAATAACAATATCTAAGCATAACACAAGAAATATGTGTTAATTAAGAGGAGGCAAATGTGTCACATTTCTTATTTAACCACAATGAAGATTTTGATAATATTAATAGTATTAATAACAAATATCTATTGAATAGTTTCTGTATGCCAACCACTGTGTTAAACCATTTATATGCATTATCTAATTTAATGAAACACTCTCAACAGGTGTATGAAGTGATAGTATTTCCTCATTTGACAAATGAGGAAACTGAGGCTTAGAAAGATTAAGCAACTCACTCAAGGTCTTACAGAGCTGAAATTTGAACCCAGGAATTTACACCAGGGACTTTTCTTTTTTTTTTTTTTTTGATACGGAGTTTTGCTCTTGTCATCCAGGCTGGAGTGCAATGGCGTGATCTTGGCTCACTGCAACCTCCACCTCCTGGGTTCAAGCGATTCTCCCACCTCAGCCTCCCAAGTAGCTGGGATTACAGGTGCTCACCACCATGCCCAGCTAATTTCTTTATTTTTAGTAGAGATGGGGTTTCATCATGTTGGCCAGTCTGGTCTCGAACTCCTGACCCCAGGTGATCCACCCACCTTGGCCTTCCAAAGTGCTGGGATTACAGGTGTGAGCCACTGTCCCTGACCACACCAGGGACTTTTTAACAGGGATTGCTTGCTAAACACCCACCATGCACTGGGCACATTGTGTAAGTTACCATTTTAATCTTTAAAACAACCCTAGAAAGTAGGTATTATGGCACCATCTTACAGGGGAGGATGCACATGCTGAGAGGTGAGTTTTGCAATTTTATACAGTCATTATACAGCTAGGAGCAGAAACCAGGTCTGTCTGAGCTCTAAAACTCATCTTCCTTTGACCTTGCCAGATTCTTGCCTCTTAATGAGATCCTTTGATCTCTTCACCCAAAGTGGAGATGATAACCATGGGTGATCCAGACAGGCTGCCTGGGGAGAGCCTGCAGAACATCTTGGCAATGGAATGATTACTCCACGTTGGCTTCTGGCTGGATGGAGGTGCTTGCCTAGAGAAGGAAGGAAACAAGAAAACATGGGGCACACAGGGGCCAGGAAGGAGGTGAGATGTTGAAGCCACTCTGGTAACTGACAAGGGATGAGTTTGGTGGGGTGGTGGGGTTTTGGCTGGGGGTTTGGAGTCCAGGAATTCTGGGCCCTAATCTTGACTTCTAATCCTGGCCTCAAAACTGTGGTAATCTTGGCCTATTTGTTGTACTTCCCAAGCAAATAGCTCAGCAAATGAGCTCAGTTTTCTCAGCTGTAAAATGGGAATACTAATAGTTTCCTGGTATGGTTGCCACGATGAATAAATGAGTCAGCCGGGAGCACAGAGTCTGGCCATAGGCATGCAATAATCAATAAGTACCATCTTGCTGCCTGTTTACTTTGGCTCCTGCTGGCTTTGATCAGGCTGTAAAGAAAAAGAGGCTAATTTCTTGAGCAGGAAGGATCTGATTCTAGCCAAGGAGGCCCTGGGGCAGGGACTGGCATGGGGGACTATGGCATAATATCCATCTGTTCGGTTCCTTCTCCAGGCGAGAATGCTGGTTTCTGCAGCCTTCATCCAAGCACTAAATCCACCTAATTGGTTTGAAAAGCACTGGGTGGATAAACATCCCATCGGCTTACCACTGTAATAATGCCAGTGACATTTATTCCTGAGATGAAGGATGCAGAATGAATGGAGATCAGACCCCAGGTACTCTGCTATAAATGACAGCCTAGACAAGGCACCCCCTGAGCCAAGAAATGCCAGCCTTTGGAGGCGGGGACTTGGGGATGCATCAAGCAGGAATGAGTACCACGCGGGGCTTCTGGACACTTAAGGAAGAGCTTGCAGGCTGAGTTAGGAAGTAGATCAGATTTGCCCATGACCTGGAGAGGTGGAATGAACACGAGAACATTGTGCTGGGCAAGTTACTGAATCTCTCTGAAACTCTGGTTCCTGTCTATGGGTTGAGTACCTCATGATGTTCTGGACATGAATGAGAAATAAATGAGGAACCTAGCCCTGTTCCTGCCAAGCTCCAGGTGTTCCAGTATTGTGAGGTTTTCTTTTTATCCTTTCACATTTTTTCTTTCTCCAGATCTTCTTTCTCCTGAAACCACCTTTTTCTTTGCTCCAAAGATCCCAAGACCTGTCCACCCCCCATCACGTACCCATGAGGGCACCCCCTTCACCCATTCATTCATTAATACCATTTTAAAATTCATTCGTCAATTATGTTTTGGTCAGGCAAAATGTGCCAGATTTCTAGCCAGGTACCTGGTATACAAAGATAAATCAGACCTCTACTCTGTCCTTGAGCTGTTCAGAGGTTAATGGAGGACAGGACTTTGAGTCAGACAGAGTCCTAACAAGAAACAGATGGCATGCTGGATGTGGTGGCTTACGCCTGTAATCCCAGCACTTTGGGAGGCTGAGGCAAGCGAATCATCTGAGGTCAGGAGTTCAAGACCAGCCTGGACTACATGGTGAAACCCCATCTCTACTAAAAATACAAAAATTAGCCGGGTGTGGTGGCACACACCTGTAGTCTCAGCTACTCGGGAGGCTGAGACAGGAGAATCCCTTGAACCTGGGAGGTGGAGGTTGCAGTGAGCTGAGATTGCACCACTGCACTCCAGCCTGGGTCACAGAGCACGACTCCTTGCATCCCCCCGCCAAAGAAAAAAAGAAAAGAAACAGATGGCATACTAAGAGTAAGGTAATTTAAGCAAGGCCTCTTTACAAAGGGACTAGTGAGAAAGGAATGGGTGTAACCAGCAGCAGCATGGCTGTCACCACCTCTAAGTCCAGGGATTCAAGGGGGAACGGAAGAGAACTGATCTTGGAACCTAGCAACAGAGGGGCGTGCACAGCAGGCCACCTTGAGAGGGGCAGGCGCACAACCAGCCCAAGGTAACTTCCCAAGGAGGGAGCCTGACTTTGCCCTTTCTTCCCTCTGACATTTTTGGGTGCTCCCTGTTGTCTGGCCTGACCAGAAGCTCAAGGGCAAGGGAGCCTGTTGATTTAGTCCACAAAGGCCAGCCTCCTATGGCAGAGGGCAAGGTGACAGAGGGTGGAGAGTGGGTTTGGAGGGACAAATGCAGTATGTACAGTGTGTGGGGTATAACTAAATATGGTTGCGTGTGACCTTAGAATGGTTAGAGGTAGGACTAGGGAGCCCTAGCCGGAAGTGAGCAATTCCCACCAGTCCTTTCTATCTCACCTGATTGCGCTGCACTCTCCAATTCAAAGGGCTGGAGTTGATCGTCCTGCCTCCAGGCTGTCCACCTCCAATCCTCTCCAGGATGGTTTTTTGTTACTCTCCTACCTCCACCAATGCTAGGAAGTGCACATTTTCCTAAATACTCAACACCCTCTTCTTGGCCTTTGAACTGCTATCTTTCATCTCCACTCCCCAACCCAGCCTGAGACACTCTTTCCCCTCCTCATTTCCTGGAACTCTCTGCTGCCCTTCGAAAAGTCATAACCTACCTAAACATTCAGAAACTTACAGAGAGTAAAAATTAGACACCCACATCCCCACCCCCCAGTATTTAACAAATGTTGAAATTTTACCATATTTGTTTCAGGTCTTTTTTTAAAAAAAAAGAAATAAAATATTGCAGATACAATGGAATCGTATGTTGTACTTCTACTCCTCCTTGTAACACTATTTTGAAGTTAGTGAGTGTTCACCTATCTGTGTTTTTTACACTTTTCCTAGATATCACTGCTTTAAAATTTCTTTAAAATAATTACCATTACATTATAAATATCCTTTTAAAATCTTGCTTTTTGCACTCAACGTTATGTGAATGTTTTGTTGTTTTGGCTTTGTTGGTTGGACATAGTCTTAGGACTTTTTATTGACTTCCTTCTAATGATGGGGGTTAAGTAACGATGTCTGGTTCACTCTTGATTTAAGAAGAGTGGCTTTCACTGAAATTTCATAAGAACCCAAAATTGCAGTAATTGCCAAGTCTTTTGCAGCTCCTCACTTTTTCAGTGTAACAGCGTGGCTGCTCGCATCCCTGTAATCTTGCTATGAGGGAAAGCAAGCGGCCTTATCTGAAACAGAAGCAAAGGTGGCTGCTGCAGCCCTCCCCCATCCCCATCCCCTGGAGGTCTCCTCCTCCCTTCCTGGGGTGAATGCTTGCCATCTGATGATCTCCAGCCGCTGCCCATAAACACTGGCAATTCTCTTGCAATTTTGATCCATTCTCCACGTCTAGCATCATTATAATTATCAAAATTTCCAGACTTACACCGACATCATGAGAGGAAAAGTGAAAGGCTGGGAGGTTATTATTTGGTAGCCCTGTTCACTAAGTAAGGAAAAGCATGAAACTGTCACCAGACATCACTGAATTCTGGAGCAGCTTTGACTTTAGACTTCATAGTCCACACGCTTAAGTATGTGGCACAGAACACTGTGCCAGTTCCATAGAAACCATTCTAGCAAGGACCTAACCGGAGGACCTATGGTATATCATGCCAGGAGGGTTTCTCCTATTCTCAGTCCCAGAGACCTTAGGAATACGTGACCACCATCACTGCGACCTCCACCATCCCATTTATAATCAACATTACGCTTTTGAGCCACAACTATGGTGACATGTCTAGCTCTATTTCAGTAATTATGGTTACTAAATCTTATTCCACTGTATGACTGTATCACAACTTATTTATCCACTTCCTTATCGATGGACATTTAAACTTTTCATTCTTTGCTATTATTAGCAATGCTGCCATTTAAAAAAATCCTTCAACTCATATAGAAAACCTTTTGCAAAGTGTGTGTGTGCATATATATATATATATATATATATATATATATGTACAGGGGTGTGTGTGTGTGTGTGTGTGTGTGTGTGTGTCAGTTCTTGGACTGAGCACCAATGGAAGAGAGCTACCCTCAAGGGAGGTGGATGACAGAACTTCCAAGAGGGGGTGCAGCTGAGAGCTGGCCAAATGGTGAGAGTGCTTGCTACCCTCAGGGACAAATCGTTCATGTGTCCCTGTGGGAGGCCCAGATGAAAAGAGTAGGCTCTGGCAGACCAATCTAATTTTCTCCCGAAGGACTGTGCACAGAAACTGTGCAAATAAGAGATGCGACCTCTCATGCCACCCAGAAGCCTTTCCAGTCAGTCTCGTGTGGCATGCCCGTTCATGAGTGAAGGCAGAAATGGTTTGCATATAGGACTTTTCAGCCTCAGCAGTTGGGGAGACCTCTACGTTATTTTTGGAGACCAAAAACAGTAGTCCAAGAACAAGCCTATACTACTATATAATCTCAGTGTGTGTATACTATGTATATGTGTGTGTATATATACTATGTATACTATACATCTATCTGTCTATCTGGCTCTATTTCATTAATTTTGGTTGCTAAATCTTATTCCATTGTATAGCTTTATCACAACTTATTTATCCACCTCCTTATTGAAGGACATTTAAACTTAAACATATATATACTCAGAATTGCTGGGTCACATGCTGTTGGCTATCTATCCATGCAAAATATCACCAAATTTCTCCCCCAAATTGATGTCTATTTACACTCCTGCCAGTAACATCTAAAAATCCCTATTAGAACTTCATTTTTTAAAATTTCTAGACTTCAAATTTCAGGACAATATAAATACATTGGGAAGCTACATGGTGTGGTAGAAATAGCCCTGAATCAGTGAGGTGAGATTCTAGCTCTGGCTCTGTCCCTGCCTGGCTATGGGGCTTGAACTAACATGACTTCCTCTCTGGGCCTCACTGTCTTCATAGTATAAATGAAGGCATAGCATTAAGATGTCTCTTAAGTTTCTTCCTGCCTTCACCTTCTGTAGTCTGTGCTTTAAATAGTGGCTGACTTAAGAGGGCAAGGGGAATTCATTCATTTATGCATGTGCTTCTTCTTTCACTAGATCCTTACCATGTCCCTACTGCCTCCTAGACACTGAGTGTCCACATGAACATGACCACGTCCCTGCCCTCAAGCACCTCACTCTTGAATAGGGAAGACAGCCATTCACATGGAGAAGCTCAGGCCATGGTGTCCCACACTAGGGATGGTCAGGGTAGGCTTCCTGCTGGAAGCTGTGCATTGTCTTAAGGATGAGTTATAGTCAGCCAAGCAAAGTATAAGGAAAGTCATTTCAGGCAGAGAAAGACATAGAGGCTGGAGGCAGCTCAGGGCATTTGAGGATGTGCCAAGTAATCCAGACTGATTATTCTACAGGGTTGTGGTTGGAAAAGTAGCCTGGGATGAAGCAGGAGTAGCTAGTCAGAGGCCAAACTGCAGGTAACTTTGTGATTTAAAAAAATGATCTTGATGCTTTTCCTGATGCCACCAAGAATCTTTTGCCAAATGCCTACTGACCCAAGGGGAACAAGGTAGCTTATTAGGTAGGTGAGGGCTCAGAGTCAGGCATGGCAGCCTAGCTGGGCAATATCCCAATGACAGCACCAATGGCGGAGAGCTACCTTCAAGGGAGGTGGATGACAGAGCTTCCAAGAGGGGGCACAGCTGACAACTGGCCAAACTGTGAGAGCTCTTGCTCCCCTTAGGGGTAAACTGTTCATGTGTCCCTTTGGGCGCCCAGGGGCTAGGGGGCTTAAGGGGCATCTGGGGAATCCAAGTTTAACTTCCCTTTATTTTTCACTTCAATGTAACATCAAACACGAACTACCGTTCTTGGTCTCCGTAAATAGCACAGAGGTCTCCCCAACTGCTAAGGCTGAAAAGTCCTATGTGCAAACCATTTCTGCCTTTGCTCATGAATGAACATGCTATCTGAGACTGACTGGAAAGGCTTCTAGGTGGCCTGAGAGGTCGCTTCTCTTATTTGCACAGTTTCTGTCAATCCTTCGGGAGAAAATTAGATTGGTCTGCCAGGGCCAGCTGTTTTCAAAGCCAGGGTGGCTCTAGAATGATTCCATGGGAGCCGTTTTACTGGAGACCAGAGAGTCTCAGCATGTGAGAGCTGGAAGAGTCCCTGGGTCCCCTAGTTCTACCATTTTATTTTCTGATGGGGAAACTGAGGCCCAGCTAGGAGAATTGATTTGCCCAAGGTTCTGCAATCAGGTGATAGGATTGTGGAGAGAGATCAGGATTAAAATCTTTGTTTTTACTCTGTGTTCCTAGATGCTTCTGCTAAACAGAATTCTTTTGAAAGTTATTCTCGAACCACTAATGAAAATGGACTTCATTAGAAGAAAACTTTCATGTTCAGGTTGCATGTCAAGATAATACTGTTAGGAAGTACATGGATGGGTTGCTGTTCACCATGACTTCCAGGAGTTTTATTTTATTTTATTTTATTTTGAGACGGAGTCTTGCTCTGTTGCTAGGCTGGAGTGCAGTGGTGTGATCTCGGCTCACTGCAGCCTCTGCCTCCCGGGTTCAAGCGATTCTCCTGCCTCAGCCTCCTGGGTAGCTGGAACTACAGGTGCGCACCACCACGCCCAGCTAATTTTTGTGTTTTTAATAGAGATGGGGTTTCTACATATTGGTCAGGCTGGTCTCAAACTCTCAATCTCAGGTGATCCGCCCACCTCAGCCTCCCAAAGTGCTGGGATTACACGCATGAGCCACCACGTCCGGCCCCTAGGAGCTTTTAAAACCATGTGTTGAGCTGTTTCTATATTTGTTGAGGGAAAGAGATTTTTTTTTAAGAGCCTAAATGATAAGATTTGGTGATGTTTTGGTGAATGTTCTGGGTTTCTTGTGGCCATGTGTGGCCCCAGTCTCTGGAGATGTTTGCCAGACCTTGTTTGGACTCAGTTAGTTAGAAAGAAATTGTTTGTCTTGCACACAACAGTGTTCAGCTAAGTTTCTTTGCTGTGTTTGCAGGAGCTGGAGGAATTGCAGGGAACACTGGATGGGGGTGTTTCTTCACCAGTGGGCCTTCTGGGGTGCTTCCCAGGGCCAAATACCTTCCACATTCACAAAAGCCATGCAGTCAAAGCCCTGGGCATAACCCGTGCTGGGGCTTGCTTGCCCAGCTGGATGGTGTAGGCCTGGCTAGGACCATGATTGATTAGGCTGTGACCAGGCCTTCGCAAGGAGACAAGGGACCCTCTCCTAAGCTTTCATCTGAGCAAGGCCCTGTGCCCCCCTCCCCAATCCACCCTTTCCCTGTGGGCCTCCTTTCCAATCTTTAAAACTGTGTGCTCCCGGAACCCTGGTTCATGGTAAACATCCCCTCCATATCTTCAACCTCCTCCTCCCCTTTGCTTCCTTGTGCTAAATAATAGGGGTGATCCCCTGAGGCCCCTCCTTCCCATGGTGAACGCTTTGCCTTCATACCCCAGAAATCTCCGGGTTCTAAAGCATGCTCCTCACTCCCAGAGCCATTCCCAGACCATAAATCCACCCATGTCTAAAACAAATCTCAATCTTTTGAGGCATATGCCATCTTCCCATTCCATTTTAAAATTCATTCAACAAGTTTGTACTGGGCATCATTGTGTGCCAGGCACTTTGCAAGGAGCTGGGGATATAAGGACAAAAGTGTCATGGTTCCTGCCCACGTGGGGTTTCCTTTCTCATGGGGGAGACAGACACTAAATAGACAAAGAAATAAACATAAAGAAAAAGAACAGGGTGCTGTGAGCAATAGTAACATGAGGAACAGATTTGGAGGGGTGGGGCTCAGTCTTCTCCAAGGAGGTAACAATTCCAGTTGAGACTTGAAGGACAGGAAGGAGCCACACAAGAGAAGAGACTGGGGTGGAGTCTGCAGGGAAGCAAACTGCATGGCAGTCTGGAGAAAGGAGCCTTCATAAACGAGGAATTGGAAAAAGTCCATGAGGTGGTGGAGCAGAGAAATAGGGAAGCCAGAAAGCAAGAAATAGGCTGGAGAGGGAGGCTGGGTACCTGTCATATCTCCAAGACCAGGAGAGGAGCTGGGCTTTTCCTGAGTGCAAGGGGAAGGGGGGACCATTGACCATCTCCTTACTTTCTATAAAGACCTGCTCGCCAGGTGGTATGGAGAGTTTAGGCATCTGATTCATTCTGGCTCCTTATCCCCACCCCAGCCATCCTCCCGAAGGACTGTAGAAACCCTCTACCCCAAAGACTTCCCTCTTCTCTGCTTCAGCCACCCACTCTCAAGGCCACACCTTGGACCTGACCATCACCAGGAGAGGCTCCACCTGCAGCATCCAACACCCATGCCTCCTTCTCTTCCACTGCAACCATACTTCCTTTCCCTCCTGGTCCCTCACTTAGTTCTCCAGGTTTGCTCTTTGACCTCATTAAGATGCTCAGTTCTTGACCTCTCAACTGTCTTCTGTCACCCAGTTTTTAATTCCTCCCCTCTCTGTCTTGGACACCACTAGTCATCATCAGCCACCAACCTTTCCTTGTTCTTGTCTTCATCTCTCTTGTGCCTGTCCTGCAAAGTGCCCATCTTGCACAATTCATTGAACACCTTTCACCTTTTCTGGTGCCTGAGTTGCTGAGGGTAAATGCTGCAGGTGTGTCCCTTTGTGAATTCATGATTTCCAATGCCTCCTAAGCCTGAAATGCTGCCTGTTTGAGGTTACCCTGGCCATCTCTTTTTCTCACGCGTGCTTACTCTTCATAGTGGTTATTTCAAATCTTCACAACTCTCTTCTAAACTTCTCTCTTCCTGTCCTCCCACCTGACTCTCAACAGATGAGTTAGCAGATCATCAGACAGAAACTCCCTTAACTGCCTGGCACAACACCTACAAATTAACCTGTGTTTGTGCTCTTTTTCACCTTTGTCTTTGTTGACCTGTGCTCTGCATCCCAATGTTTCCTCCCTCTGTGGGGAGGTTGCTCCATTGATCATCCATTCACAAGAAAGAGTCCACAAATCTTTGTCCTTGCTGTGTCCCCAGTGCCTAAAACAGTACTGAGCACACATGAGATGTTTGAGAAATAGTCGTTGAATAATTTCTCCCTTCCTTCAACCTCTACACCTCTATTGATTCATTACACTTGCATTTAAACCTGCTCAAGGTTTTTTTAAACCATTTAAAACAAAAACAAAACAAAACCACAGTGAAAACCTCTTGACCTGGTGCACCTTTTCCTTGGGCTAGAGTTCTGTGCCTTATCTCCCCTATCCACATGGCCTTGAACGAGCTGCCTCAGCCTTGTCGCCGCTCCATTACCTCCCATCCATGCCTCCATCCCCTGCCACTTGGCTTCACCCTCCCATGGAAATTGCCCTTCCCTTCATAACCTCATTTTTGCCAAGTACAGTGCATACATTTTATGCCGATAGCACCTGTCCTCTTAGCAATGACTGACCTGCTGCCCTCTCCTTTCTTTAGAAAACACTCTTCTCCTGATATCCATGACCACATTCCCTCAGCTCTCTGCTGCTCTGGTCTCTCCTCTCATGTGGTTTCCTCCTCCAGTCCTCTCTTTGCTCCAGTCAGCCAGATTGCTCTGATGCAAATTGGATCATGTCACCCACCTTGAACCCTCTGCCATGACTGTCTTGTCCATGGATGATGTCCAGATTTTTTCCATGTGGTTGTTGAGACTCAGCCTGCTGGGCCTCTGAAGACTCATCTCAGCCATTGTACACTCTGGTCTACTGCAGGATGCATGGTATTCACTTGCCTCTAGTCAAACATGGGCAAAAACCCATGCTGTTCCCTCTGTTCATATGACCTTCTGCCACTTTGCTCCTAACAGCTCACTTGATTTCTGCACCACAAACCTAACTCAACCCTAAGTGTTTCAGATCTTCTGCTAACCAGGCCTAATCTTAGACTTGGACTGGATTTGCATCCCCTATCTTGTGCCAATTCCCAGTAATATCCCATATTCTCGAGAAGTCATTTATCATTCAAAAAATATGTTCACCTTCATTTTCTCATCTGATTCTCTCAGCAGCCCTGGGAGATGGGGATATCTGCTATAATCTCCATTCCACAGACAAGGAGACTGAGGGTCAGGATTTCAGTGACTTGTCCAAGGTCACACAGTGAATAGACACTGGGTCTAGGACTTGAACCCAGGTCCTCTAACTCCTAACCCCAGCTGTGCCCTTGTTCTGCATCCTTTTCCCACACTACCCCATCACCCCCAATGCCAACCTTCCCAGGCAGGCCCTGAGAGGGCGACTTGCCAGCCTTCTCTCGGACACACCTGTTCAAGACAGGCCTGGCAATGAGAATTGTGATTGAACAGATGGTGGAAACACACCGCAACAAAATCTCCTTGTTCCTTAAAATGAAGTGTTTTCTTTTCCTTGACTCCATTTCCCCAGTGAATGGGGAATCATCTGCTCACATGACTAAAAATAAGTGACTAGGAAGGACAGAGATGAATGAGGCGGAGAGAATGGGGAGAGATGGCAAAGAGGCAGAAGCGGGAGGGAAGTCTTTAGGCTGAAGAAAGACCTTTCAGAGAAGAAAAGCTGTGGCTGAGTGGGCCTCCTGCATCCCCACGCCACACAGATCTACGCGGCCTCCTGACTCTTCCAGCCCGTTACTTCCTTCCATCCCTGATTAATAAAACCAGCATCACCGGCCCTGGCATGTTGTGAATTGCAGTGTGGGCTCCATCAAGCCCAACATCTGCTTTTAATCAGTTTTCCATTGCTCCTTTGATTGCAGTTTTGCCCAAGTCTTGTCACAATGGGTCCCCCGATACAGCCACACATCTGGACTGCTTCCGAAGGAGCTGGAATGCCATCAACCTGAAGGTGGTCTTAGCAAGTGGGCTCTATCCTCAGACAAGGTCACAGAGGACTGCTCTTTACAAAGAAGGGAAGGAGGAAGAACTGCCTTGCCTCACTCGGCGGGGCTCTGCACTGGCAGGTGGAGCGAGGTTTCTCCCCATTGTGGGCCGTTCTTAGCTATGTGAGCTCATACACGTTACTAAACCTCTTTGGGTCCCTGTTGCCTCCTCTGCACAAAGATTGGAATTATAGGACTTTACTGTCCTGAAGTCAGGAGAAAGACTTTCCTTTCCAGGGCCATGACTTATCCTACTGTGGTTTGGTGACTATTCATGCTCTATCTTATGGCCTATTCATGCTCTATCTTATGGCCTATAAATTGGAAGCTGGGATGAAATCAGCAAGTGTGGTAGGCTGAATAATAGCCCACAAATTGTCCACGTATTAGTCCTCAGAACCAGGTATTACTTTACATGACAAAAGGGCCCTTGCAGGTGTCATTACATTAAAGATCTTGCCATGGGGAAATTAGCCTAGGTTATCCAGGTGGGCCCAGTGGTATCACAGGGGTCCTTGGAAGAGGGAGACAGGAGGTCAGAGAGAAGGCAAAGTGATGATGTGAGCAGAGATGAGAGACAGGAGTGATGAGCCAAGGAATGAGGGCAACGGGGAGAAGCTGAAAAAGGCAAAGAAACACATTCTCTTCTCAGAACTTCTAGGAAGAAACAGCCCTGCTAATGATGTCTTAACTTTAGCCCAGTTAATCTGATTTCAGACTTCTGACCTCCAGAACTACAACAGAATACATTTGTGTTGTTTTAAGACATTAAGTTTGTGGTGATTTGTTACAGCAGCAAAAGGAAACTAATATAGTCCGACACATTTTATTCATAAGTAAAAAGAGCAACATATTATACAGCCCAATTCAAGGCATATAGGGAAGTTCCTGTGTCCAAAAGCCACACTCTGGGAGATGCCCCCATTTAAGACATTTCTATGGGCAAGAATAATGATATCCCCATTGAAATGCATTTCCCTGCAGCAGCACTGGCCAGTATAAATATGACATAAACTACACAGATAATTTTGTCTAGTAGCCACATGAAAAAGACTACAAATTAACAGGTGAAATGAATTTTAATATATTTTCTTCAACCCAATATATTCAAAATACTGTCATTTCAACCAGTTACCAATAAAACAAATTTACTGAGATATTGTACATTTTTCTGGACCAAGTATTTGAAATTGTGTATTTAACATTTACAATACATCTCAGCTCAGACCAACTGAGGTAGGAGGTGGGACTGGACTCTGGAAGTGGGGCTTGGACACCGGACCAAATTGAGGACTAGCTAAGGCAGGGACAGGGTAGAAGCAGCTTTCCACAAGAAATGCCCATGAGTGTGACATGTCAGTTTACCATTGCCATGGCAACACCCAGGAGTTACTGCCCCTTTCCATAGCAACAACACAAAAGCTATCACCCTTTTCCTAGAAATTCTGCATAATACACCCCTACGTGTAATTAAAAGTAGATATAAATACAACTGCAAAACTGCCCTGAGCTGCCACTGTCAGCACACCTATGGGGTAGCCCTGCTCTGCAGGAGCAATCATGGAGCTGTAACACTGCTGCTTCAAGAAAGCTGTTTTCTTCTACTCTACCACAGGCTCACCCTTCAATTCTTTCCTGGGTGAAGCCAAGAACCCTCATGGGCTAAGCCCCACTTTGGGGCCCACCTGCCCTGCAACATAGTCACATGGGGCTATGATTTGATCTTAGGTCCAAGCAGCATAGTTCTAAAAGGTTAAGACTATTGGCTCCTAAGAGTTCATCATCAGTTCATCAGACTCTTTCTAACTGACCTTGAGTGGATAAAGGGCCTAGGGAATGTAGCAGCCATGGAAGCCCTGAGTAAAGTGCAAAGCAGACATGGTTAGGAATGGCTGCCCAGGGTCAAGCCAATAGCCAGTGAGAATCAGGGCTAGAATCCAAGGGCACTGCCTCCCTGGCCAGGCCAAGAAGGGGAGGCTGAGACTTCAGAGCAGTGAAGCTCCCACTGGACACACTGTCTTGTAACTTACTTTTTATCCACTTAGCAATGTATACAGTTAGTAGGCTCCATGTGCTTCAATATCCTTCAAGTACTTAAGCTTAGATGACATCAAACCCATACATTGTGAGATGCTGACACAATCATTTCCTTTAGGCCACTCCATCTTTCTTCACAGCCAGTGAGACTCCGGGACCCCTATCACCTCCCCTAAACTCAATGAAGTGGGATCCAGTCTCCAATTGCTGCCTTCTTGCCTGCCTCTCAGAGGGCCTCATCATTTCAAGGAACTTGCTTCAATCTGGGAGACAGATTAAGTACAAGAGAACTCAGGAACTTGGGGGATATTTTGGAGTTTAAATAAAACACTCAGTGTGAAATGTCTGACCCAGAGCTTGGTGTATAGTGGTGCACCCCAGTCCCGAGAGAACCTGCTAATTCACGGCTGCTAATAAATAGCTGAAGTGACCAGACTTGAGCCTTCCCAGTTCATGCTCAGAACTGGCCCTGCTCTGTCTGGTCCACTGTGTCAGGGGGCACATGCCCCTTCCTGCCTCTGCTTTGCTGCCACCTTGCCCCCGCCTCACGGCTGTGCCTATAGCTCACTGCTTCACCTGCCAACCCAGAGCTCATCCCCTCTCTCCCTTCCTGATTTGCTGTAGCTTGCACTGACTCAGACTGACTACCTGTCCATTGGCTCCTAGAACGTCTCTCATCATCTTTGCCCCTCACCTTGACCCAGGAATCCCCAGACATAATAAAGATGATGGTTGACACCTGACTAGTGCTGACACCTACGGGTAGTGTTTTCATGGCTTTGCCTAGATTAGCTCTATGTTGTGGGCATTTGCATGATCCCTATTTTATGTATAGATGCCCCCAAAGTTCAGAGATGTTAAGTAACTTCTGCAAGGTCACACAGCTGTTGTGAGAGAGTTAGCTTTTGAACCAAGGCAATCTGGCTTCAGAGTCCATCAGCTTACTCACTGCATCAAACTGCCTCTACTCACGTTTTTTCCTGGAGCCTGGTACAGCACCTGGCATACGGTTTGAGCTCCATAAAAGCTGGTTGAATGAAAGCATGGACGAATCACTTTTACGGCCCTGGCTCCAATGGTCAAGAGACTTCATCAGTGCTTGTTGGGGATTCCCCTACAGGGACAGGACTGGGGAGTGTACTGCTCCACCCTCCAAGATGACAACTTACACCTCATTAAAGCCTTGTTTTGGAGGAATGTCCTAATATATCACAGGGCCTGAGGAGACATAAACAGCCTGAAGGGCTCCCTGGTTGACCTGTGGGCCTTGGACACTGACTTCTTAGTGCCTTGAGCAGTGACACAGGATGGGGGAATGTGCTACTGCTGTTCCTCCCACTTCTCACTGGCCAGCTTTCCCCTCATTCAGACCTCAGCATGTTGTTCTGAAGACAGGAGGGAGAACCACCAAGTGAGAAGGACAAGGGCAGTGCTGAGTTTTCTCTCTGAGGGCAGGTGTCAGGGTGGAGATGCGCAGCACCCAACCACAGCCCAGTCCTAGGTGGAGGTGTGGCGGGAAAGAGAGGGGCAGATGCAGAAAGGCTGGCTTTGGAAATCATCCTGCAGTAGTAGAAGAGGTTCTTGTTTTTAATTATTCCTATAAGATTTTTACAAACACCATCTGATATGATTTTGTGAGGCTTTCTTTGAAAGCCACTTCCAGACAAGCATTCCAGGTGAAGCAGAATTTTTTTTCTGGGACCAAGAAGAATTTTTAAAAACTAAGTACTAGAACCTGCAATGGTTCCCTTTTACCAAATAGGTTAAATTCAGAGCATTCTGCTGGGCATCCCGAGTCCTCCAGTAATCACTTCTCCATCATCACCACCTGTTATATCCCAGCAAGGTGACTAGGAAAGCCAGAGCCAGGAGGGGCCCCACATTGATACTGATGAAATCAAGACTCAGAGAGGTTAAGAAATCTCCTTAAGGTTGCACAGTTAAGAGCACTGGCTTTGGAGTCAGAGGATCTGACTTTCAACCCTGGCCCTTCCATTTATGAGCCATGTGACCTAGTGCAAGTGACAACCTTGCTAAGCTTTGGCCTCTTCATTTGTAAAATGTGGACAATCACAGCAGCTCCTATAGGTTTGTTGTGGTGGTTAATATTGAGTGTCAACTTGATTGGATTGAAGGATGCAAAGCATTATTCCTGGGTGTGTCTGTGAGGGTGTTGCCAAAGGAGATTAACATTTGAGTCACTCACTGGGAGAGGCAGACCAACCCTCAATCTGGGTGGGCACCATCTAACCAGCTGCCAGCGTGGCCAGAATAAAGAAGGCAGAAGATGGAAGAGCAGGCTTGCTGAGTCTTCCAGCCTTCATCTTTCTACCACGCTGGATGCTTCCTGCCCTAGAACATCAGATTCCAAGTTCCTCAGCTTTTGGACTCTTGGACCTACATCAGCGGTTTGCCAGGGGCTCTTGGGCCTTTGGCAAAAGACTGAAGGATGCACTGTTGGCTCCCCTACTTCGGAGGTTTTGGGGACTCAGACTGATCCACCACTGGCTTCCTTGCTCCTCAACTTGCAGATGGCCTATTACGGGACTTTACCTTGTGATAAACTCCCTTTCATATATACATAGATCCTATTAATTCTGTCCCTCTAGAGAACCTTGACTAATACAGTTGTTGTGGACAATGATTGAGAAAATGCATCTATTTTTCTACAGAGCTGAGCTATGAGTTAGAAAGCTCAGTATCAGTTTACCAAGTGAGAGGCAGAGGCAGTATTAGAAACGCCGTCACTCTCCCCCACCCTGTTTGCTTTCCGTTGTGCTCCTTAGCCTCCCTGTCATGCCTCTATTCCAGACAGACTGCTCTTCTAATTAGGGACTTCCTCACCTCCGCACCTTCGCACAGGCCATCCCCCAGTGTTAGGAAACTCATTTCTTCTCTGCTGGCCGACCAACATTACAAAAACATTTTTCAAATCACACTGCATATCCTTTATTATTAGCATTCACATCAGGGTCACCTCTATCAAATTCTGTGAAAGATTCTTTTTTATTTTTAAGTCCAGAAATGTGTTTATTTTGGATGCTTTTTATTTGCAAGTCCTAAAATGTGTTTATTTTGGTACTTGTGTTCTTTTGCTATGTTTGGTGAATATATAGTTGGATTTTATGTTCATTTCTAATCATGGTAAAACACACACAGCATAAAATGTATCATCTTAACTATTTTTAAGTGTCACAGTAAAAGATTCTCCTGTAAAGAATTCTTTTATGACCCTACCACATCCCTAAAACTCACGCCCTACCTCACCCTGAGCCTTTAGCTCAGAACAGCCCCACCTACCCACATTAAGAAGGAGTTTTAGGCATCTCCCACCTCCACAGTGAACTTCCCAGGCCCTCCAGCCTTGCCCTTTTTTCAGTCCTAATGACACGCTCCATCCCCATGATGGTACAACTTTGGCACAGAGTTGGCCTCTCTGATGGGGTCTTCTTGGATCTGATGCTGAGTTCCCCGAGACTCTTCACCTGGTCTGACCCAGTAGCATGGGTCACAGTCCCAACCCCTCCCTGATGAGATGATCCCCTAGGCCACTGTGTCTTCAATGTTCTGCCTTCAAAGTCCCTGCCCTTCCAGCCTAAGAGAAGAGACCACATACCATTCCTGATGGTCCAGAAGTCTAGAGTGAGAATCCTGCAAGGAAACCATCTGGCTGACCCTGGCTGATCCTTGGACATGGGCATCTTGGTTTGGCATGGCCCTATCACTCTGACTCCTGCCCACCCCTGTATAACTAAAAGCCACCATTACTGAGGGCTTCCTCTGAGCCAGACACTGTGCTGAGAGTTTTACACACATGGTCTTACTTCATGCTCATGAAAACCCAAAGGGGTGGGTATTATTAGCCCCATTATATAACCAGGAACCTGAGGCTCAAAGAAGTGAAGGGGTATGTCCATAGATGCCGAGGAGCTGACAGTCAAGCCCAGTACTGCCTGATTCCAAAGCCAGTGCTCGCAGCCAGAATGGAACTGGCTCTGCTTCGCTCTCTTCAGTCTCCTTACCTCTGTCATCTCCTTGGACACTTCCTTTTCAGTGCATGATTGCCAGCCCCCACCCAAGTCAGCTCACTGGCCCTGGACACTGAAGCTGTCAGTTTCCCATCTGGAGACTCCATCTCTAAGACCTCAGATTCCAGGCCAGGGCCACTTCCTCTAATAAAAGGGATGAAGCCACAGACCCAACCTCCAGCTGAAACTAGATTTGCTCTACCTGTTCACAAAAATGAACTTCCAGGTCAAGCTTTTGGCCAAGTCTGACAAAGTACTGTGAAGGCCAGCCTTCCTGAGTGTTCACTCATTCACCAAGCATTCACTGAGAATTCCCCAGGACTGTACCATGTCTGGGACATGGGAATTTGGGCCCCTTTATGCTCAGTCCTTGGAGAGTGTATCTTAGTCCTGAGTACCCAGGCAATCGGAAAGTCTTGGCTTTACCTTGAAATAAGAACGCGAGCCCACTTTATTCCACGATCTTAACTGAACTACCTATTCCTGATTTAAACATTTCTTTCTGGACTATTTGCATTTATATTTTATATAGTTGCAACACAATGAATAGACAATTTTGTGTTTTGCTTTTATCATTTAGAACAGCCAAATCCAGCCTACTACCTGTTTCTGTAAATAAAGTTTTATTAGAATACAGTCGTGTACATTCATTTACATACTATCTATGGTGACTTTCACATTATAAGGTAGAGTTAGGTCATTGCTATAGAGACTGTATGGCCTGCAAGGCCCAAAATATTTACTATCTGGCTCATTACTTAAATAGTTTGCTAACCCTTGATTTAGAGCATTGGAAAAATGTTGAATAGTCTTTCTGGTTATAATAATTAATGGCTACATGATACCCCGTTAGGTGGCCTGTGATTTTTAACTCATCACTTTCCATGTGGTCAGATAAATTTGTTGGTGTGGCTGGATAACTGCAATGAAGATTGACGTGGTTTGGCTGTGTTCCCACCCAAATCTCACCTTGAATTGTAATGGTCACTACCTGTCAAGGGTGGGGCCAGGTGGAGATAATTGAATCATGGGAGCAAGTGTTTTCCATGCCGTTCCATTGATAGTGAATAAGTCTCATGAGATCTGATGATTTTATAAAGCGGGGTCTCCTGCATAAACTCTCTCTTGCCTGGCGCCATCTAAGATGTGACTTTGCTTCTCTTTTGCCTTCCGCCCTGATTGCGAGGCCTCCCCAGCCACGTGGAACTGTGAGTCAATTAAACCTCTTTCCTTTATAAATTACCCAGTCTTGGGTATGTCTTTATTAGCAGTGTGAGAACAGACTAATACAAAGATTTTTGTGTGTTTGTTGAATTATTTCCTTAGGAAAAATTTCCACATGGAGTCTTAGGTCAAATCATCTGGCATTTTCGCCGGGGATAATCAAAATTCTGTCCCTGTTGTGTTTGTCTTGGTCCTATTTTATGAATTGACCTTCCTGAGCCTTGGCCAACTGATACCTCCACCTGAATTCAGAATACCTTTGTTGAATTTCTGTTCTAGGGGACCTTTCTGCTCAGTTCACTGAGGTCGCTCTTCCCCACTTGCCTTGACCTGCCCTGCATCTCCCCTGTTCCTCTTCCTCTGCAGCTTGGGTTTGCACCTACTTCCATTCCTCCTCTGCCAACCCCACTCCACACAGTGGTTCTATTTTCTGTCATTTTCCTGCATATCTCTCATTTGCAATTCCCACACCCACAGGACATCAAGCATCCAGAATAGATCTTTTAGTGTACAACAAAGTGGGGTTCAGGCCAGAACACACACACAGACAATGGGGAAGGGAGGGATGCATCACAAGATTCCTCCCCTCGGCTCTAACATGATGCTGGGCACCCAGGCCCAAGGGCTACTTGTCAAGAGGATTTACCAGTCCCTGCCTTTGACCTTGCTGTTGTCCCTGTCTGCAATTCATTTCCGCATTTCCTACAGTTTCTGGCTCCTCGAAAACTTTCCATACATTGGCTTCTGATTTACTGCATGCATAGACTATTTCTATGGGAGAGCGGCTAATAAAATAGGAAAAACTCTAAAAAAGGATTTTTGCCGAACACTGCATGCCAGTGAGTTTCCTTAATTGCAGCATTAGGAACATATGCAATTACTTTCATCGAGTTGATCTAACATAGTCATTTGGACCCTGGAAGAAGCCTAATCATTCTGGGAGGCCAGGCCCCTGTGTTAGAAGCTGTTGGCTGAACGATCTCATCCCTCTTAGTGACCGATGAACAAGTTCCTCTCTCAGAAGCCTGGCCTGAAACTAGAGGCTAGAGGGTCTCTGTCTGATGCTTCACTCCTCTGAGAACCTCTCTGCCATGGTCAGCCTGCTGCGCTTAAGAGGGAAAGGCAAGAGGGAGTCAGTATTTAGGGAGTTTATTCATTAGACATGTCTCTCTTGTGAGAAGCTTAAATCTCATGCCTTATATTTTCTCCTCGTGGCCCTAATTTTGCCTTCCAGGAAAGAGCTGAGCAAGTCTAATCTTTTTTGTAGCGGCTTTTTGGACATTTAAGGATTAAGATCCTGTCTCCCTCTAATCTTCTCCCTGGCAGCTGAAATATCTCCAATTCCTTTAACCACTTTGCGTTTGCCATTAGTCCTAGATCTCTTGCCAAAATAGGGCCTTGCTAGAAGTTGCAATACCCGTAATGTAATAACACAGCTAGCATGTATTAAGTGTGCGTTATGCAGCAGGTTCTAAGTGTTTTACATCTGGGAATTCATTTAATCTGCACAGCAATTCCGTGTGGTGAGGGCTATTACTGTTCCCATTTCACGGATGAGGAAACTGAGCACAGGCCATGATTGTTAAACTGTGAATTGGGTCCTGGTGCTGCTACTCACAAGTTGTGGTGCCTTCATCAAGTTACTTAGCCTCACTTTCTTCAACCATAAATGGGAATGATGAGCTCCACGTCATGGAGATGTGAAGATTCTAAGAGGAAGTGTGTACGAAGTCAGCATAGGTTTTCTTCAGTCCTTTCTGGGGAAGGCTGTCCTTCAGTTTGACATTATCCTTCCCACATAGAAACTCAGAAAATCACACTCTGAATCTTTGGTCTCCTTCCTCTTGCCCAGGGTCACACCACCTTGTTGAGTGAACATACCTTTCCTTCCTTTGCCCCATTTAAAACAGTTGGCCCTGAGTAATTGAAGTCCTGCACAATCCAGAGTGAGGATTCTGGGGATTGTGGACCTATGACATGGGCTGGCTTCTAACATTGGCACTGGTGAGCTGGGGGGACACATCTCTACCATCTGTGATCCATGTACACATGTGACAGTGAACTACTCCCAGCCTCTTTGCCTCTGTTCTCAGCTCTTTCAGAAGAGGGTGGTTGCTTTGTGGAATGGGGGAAAGCTGCCCAGATAGCTACTTGGTGCACTTTCCTCTCTGTACATAGCCTGCGTGGATGTGGGTCAAGGGCCCCCGTGCAGCCCTGCCCTCTAAGCCACAGAGGTTTCCAGCCACAGGCAGCTGAAATCTCTCCAGAACCTTGGTTCTTTTTATGTCAGGGCTATAGTCAGTCAAGTTTTCCAAATGAGCAGTTATAGAAATACAAAACAGGCTGCTAATTTAGTAGCTACAGACTTCTTTAAACAAACACTTGAAGCATAAATACAGATGAGAGGATTTTGGAAACACTTGTGGTCACTGGGCCCAGCAAACAAAGGGGAGTTATGGTTTCTTCAGGCTCCAGGGTATGTGCTGGGCTCAGCCACACCGAAGGCTGGGCTTAGTCTTCACCTTTGCTCTGTACTGGGCTGTACATCCTCAGAGGGGAATGTAGCCTCCTTTGAATTTCCTGTCCTTCTTGTCATATATCTTCCCTTTAAAAGTTTTGTTTTGAAATGATGCTGTTGTAAGAAATAATATGGAGACATCTGGGATACGCTTCACCCAGTTTCCCCCAAGGGCATCCCCTGTCTTGGATAACTATAGTACAATCTCTCAACCAGGAAACAGATTTGACCGTGGGTACTTTTTGACCCTCTGTAGCTTCCATAGCTTTTCCTTTCTCTTCTAATTTCCCTTGCTTTCTTTCTCTCATTCTTTCTTGCCCCCTTCAGTCAGTCAAGGTTCTCTTACTGGCTGCTTTCCTCTTCCATTTTCTCCTCTTTTTTTACACTCCTTTCCTCCCGTGTTACTAGGACTAGCGCTCTGTTAAAGCTTCTATTTTAGCTGTGTCCTTGGGGAGAACCCAGAATCGGTCTGCCCTTGCCTTGCTGGGAACCCGCCATCCTTCCCCCAAGATAGCATTCTTACTCTCCCCTCCCTCCACCCTGTGCTGGGATCTTAGCTGGAGAGACACTTCCAGGCCAGCTGCATTCAAGCCCACAAAACTCAAAAAGGATGAGTCGCTCCAGGATTGGGTTTACCCATCTGATTAGTATCAACAGTGCTGACCCAAATGTACCCTATACAATGCTGTTCTGGCTCCCACTGACTACCCTCTGTAGAAGTTATTATAGTTAAGATACTCCTCTCAAAGGTGGGAGACTCTTACAGCCAACCTGATTCAATTTTCCCTTGTAGTTTGGAAAATTGAGACTCTGAAGCGAAAGGTTTGTCTAGATCCCATAGCCTGTGGCTAGGAAATGGTAAGCTGGGCCAGGACCTGCCCTTCTGGCTTCTCTTCCAGTGCCCCTCTCAATCACCAGGAACCACTGCCTTTCCCCAGACAGCAAAGGAGGGGGAAGCCCAAGCCAACAGCATCAGAGGCCTTCTGCGTGCCTGTTGTTTGGGGATCAGTAGGAAGGTCTTGGCCCTGTCTTTTCTCATGCTTTTCTTTGTTCCCTAGAGACAGTGACTTCTGAGATGAGGGCCTGTTAATAGGTGACTCCTCCATCATGCATGGGTCGTTGCCATGGTGATGAAGAGCTCATGTTTGGAGCCAAGACTAATGATCCTAGACTCTTAGAGATTGTGGCCTTGGGTGAGTCACTTTCTTTCCAAGCCACATATTCCTCCTCTTGCAAAAGGAGCATAACAAGACATTCTTCACACGAGTATTGAGATAGGTCAATGGAATAAGGTGCATTGGGTTTAGCTCAGGGATGGAGTCGCAGGAAGTGCACCTAGAACAGCAATGAAGACCATTCAGAAAACCCTCACGGCTGGGAAGCAGCATACACTGCAGCACACATTGTGGGGTCACACTGAGGTAGGAGCAATGGGGCTGGGGCTTAAAGCTGGACTGGACAGGACTTCCCTGAAAACTTAAGCCTGTGAAAACAGCAGGTAGCCCACACTGCCCACTTCGGAGCATTCTGAACTCCGCTTTCTTTTGATGAAACTTTTTCTCTCCCTAGCTCATTATTAGCTCACATGAGCTCTGCAGGTTAGATATGGAGATAGAAAGTGATGACGCCCTGTGTCTAGGGCATCACCCTGCTCACTCACAGGAAATCTTCCTCACTGATCCTGGTGGCCTCTGACCTGCTGTGCTCCAGGGTCTCTCTCTATACTCTTGTTCTCTCAGAAGTTCCCAACTAAGTGATTCCTAAGTCTGACTGTGCATCAGAACCACCTGCAAAGAAGAAGTGAATTGAATTAAAGGTTTCTGGAGTGAGATTGTGGTTTCTACATAAAGCTGGAATGAGAGGGAGAGAAGTGAGGGGTCCAGGGTGCAAAATTTAGGGAGGCATCTGCTATCAGGATTGTCCAAATGCAAGTTCTGCCCCTGAGAGTGAGTGCCTCCTTAAATTTTGTGCCCTGGGGGGCTAGCTTGGTCCCTAGTTCTGTCCCTGTCTCTAGACCCAAATTTTAAAAATCTTGCCAGGGATTCTGATGGGTACCCAGGGGATAACACCAACCTGCTGCCTTGTTTGGCCCCTGATCATAACTGCTTTCAGTGCAGGCAGCATTCGTCCTGGTCCTGGGCAAAGAAGCCATGTCCAAGTGCCATGGCCAACTCCCATCGTTATTCTCATCTTCTCGGAAACCAAGAAGGAGCATGATCCCAAGTCTCGAGTCTCCTCTTTGACTTTATTTTTCTCAGTTGCTAAACCAAATCAACTCCCTTCACCCCATCTGGCAGTATGGCTCTCTGGGAACTCAGATTGATCTTGCGTGCCTGTTTCCTATTGAGTTGGGGGACCACAGTGGCCGTTCCTGCTTCAATCCCTTCAGTAAGTAGGAGGGAGCATTTCCTAGGCTGGGTCCTAATGGCACCTAATGGTGCCAAAGGCCAGGCCCCCCACCCTCCTGAAGCTAACAGGGTAATGGGGGAGACACCACTAAGTACACATCCATTCCTGTGAACTGTGGGGAGGCCTGCCATGGAGAAGCATAGGGAGCCAGGCCAGTGTAGAGAAAGGCACAACATCCACCAGCCTTAGGGATCCAAGAGCAAAGTCATTCCTGAGAAAGTGACATTGAGCAGAGTTCTCAGGATGGATTTGCTTGGCTGAAGGCAGATGGGAACATCCCAGGTACAAGGAAAAGCACCGACAAAGGCCCTAGACAGGTGAAGACTCAGAGAAGGGAAGGAGACCATCAATGTAGCCACAGAGGCAGATTGAACCCAGACTGCATGAACACCACATCACAGTCTTTCCCTACAAGCATTGGCCAAGTTTTGTGGAACTTTGGGCTGATGAATGACGCCACCTGATCGGCTTTATAAGGACATCAGGCAGCATTGTGCAAATTGATATAAGGGTAGGAAAGGCAGAAGAACAGAAAGCCATGGGCATTGTCTAGGAAAGACAGGATGAGGGCTTGGACCGGGCTATTGGAAGTAAACATGAAGAGAAAGGATGGCAAAAGTCTGCTGAGTCAATTTCTCCAAGCAGTTTTTCCCTCCTCCCCTCAAGGCTGGAATAGTGGCCCCTTCTCTGCTTCTATGGCACCCTTTGCTGTCCTGGATCAGGGCTCCTCTCCCACTGCGGTTGTCTTCCTCAGGATAGAAACTATGTCTTATTTTTAATTCTCACCACCAGTTCCTGCTATGTAGCAGTGCTCAGTCCACATCTAATGTTATAAAGTTTAGGGACTTGGCATGACTGAGGCTTCCCAGCCATCACCTGACAATTCAAATGCCCTCACCTTCTGAGCAGCTTCCAGTACATGGCTTGGAATGGGGGTCAATTGCAGAAAAGGAAATAGTTATTGTAGGTTTTTTTTTTTTTTTTTTTTTTTTTTTTTTTTTAGATGGGGTCTCACTCTGTCGCCCAGGCTGGAGTGCAGTGATGCGAACTCAGCTCATTGCAACCTCCGCCTCCTGGGTTCAAGCAATTCTCATACCTCAGCTCCCCAAGTAGCTGGGATTACAAGTGTGCACCACCATGCCCAGCTAATTGTTCTATTTTTAGTAGAGACAGGGTTTCACCATGTTGGCCAGGCTGGTCTCAAACTCCTGACCTCAAGTGATCTGCCCACATCAGCCTCCCAAAGTGCTGGGATTACAGGTGTGAGCCACCATGCCTGGCCTATTTTAGGCTTTTTAAGTGTTTTTCCTGGTGCTCTGTGAGTCTCCTGAGAATGGGACCATAGCTGTTTGTTTACCATGGTACCCTCAGTGCCCAGCACTTTGCCTAGCCCACAGTGGATGCTCAGTGAACACATTGGATGTGATGGGGGGAAAGGCAGGGGTACTGCTTAGGCCATTGCTGGCTGCAAGTGTTAGAAACCCAAGTCAAAATAGGTAGTGGGCATGTGTGATTTGTCTCCACAGCATCCATGTCCCCTTCTTCAATGAATGAATGAATGAATGGACAGCTTCCCTAGCCTTCCTTAAAATGCTGTCTTGCTCTGGGTCAAACCTTCTTGTTCTAGGTCACGAATCCAAGAAAGCCCTTACCTCCCTGGGCCCCACATGGGCATTTGGAGAAAGGGCCCATAGGGCTGTTTCCAATCAGTTGCCTCCTTTATCTTCTTCCATGTAGGGTTCACCTTGGGGTATATAAATAGCAGGGAATTTTCTTGATGCAACTTTTTTTTTCATTTTTACAAGAATAGGTCAGAGGAAGGGCCCTGAGGGGAAGGTTGAAGGACCTCGAAGGAAAGAGCTGGCAAACAGTCAGCGAAAGCACACTTTCCTGAGATTCATTAGTTCCCTGAAGCAGTGGAAAGAATGCAGAGAAGTCTAGTTCTTATCTAAAATAATCCCTGCTTCCCTTCTCCTGAGGATCCTGCCCCCACTAGGGCAGGGGGAGTGAAGAGGGGAGGGCACGAAGGTGCCATTGTGCTGGCCTATCACCCACTTCACAAACCCAATCCACACACCTTACAATCGCCCTGAGGGAAGGATACTCAACTTACTTTTTTTCAGATAAAAAAAAGGAGGCTCAGAGAGGTTAAGTCACTTGCCTAAGGCCACACAGCTAGTCAGAGAAAGTCACTAGAATGTCAGATATAGGCACCTAGAGAGTGTCACTAGAAGGCCAGATATGGGCACCTCTCTTCCCCACAAGCTCTGAATTAAAGGAACGTGGTAAGTGATCCTACTGGAATAAAAACAAGAGGGCAATCACAGTGGGTGGCTATAGCCAAGGGAAGTTCCTCAGAGGAGGCCAGGCTCAAAAGCAATTCTCATGGAGCAAGGAGCATGATACCGAGGGAGATGAAGAAGGATGTGTGCTGTGTCTTTTGTCCACAAAGCACTTCTGGAAATGGATAGAATCATCCCCATGTTTCAGATGAGAAAATTGAGGCCCAGAGACTTGAGTAATGTGCTCACAGTTGCTTCACTCGTGTGTCTGTTGTGCCCATGTGATCCGGGGTCCCTGCCCTCTGGGCTAGGAACGCTCCCACCAGGAACTGTTGAGCAATAATCCAAAGCTGGTTGTGATTCCGAGGCAACTCAAGCAGCACAGACAGTGATTTCATCCCCAAAGAGCAAAACATCAAAACAGTTCAGAACAAGACAGGGAGTCAGGCAGTGTGGAGCGTGGCTGCTGTAGGTGGGAGACCAAAGAGCACGGGAGTTTGGAGGCTCTTGGGTGAGTGAGTGTTATGCCCAGAGAGACTCATGACTATTCAGGAGGCGTTGAAGCCTGTTTAGGAGCACTGCCCTGGGTGAGGGAAGAGCAGGGGAGCCGGGGCTGACAAGCACTTGTGAGGAAAGAAGGCGGCCTGGGGGAAAGAGTGCAGAGGGCCAGGCTTGAATGCACGGAGCTGCTCGGGTGAAGACTCAAGGAGCCCTTGCTCTGGTCCCGGCACTGCGCTGGGCTCTGGGATGTGGGAAGCATAAGGCACAGAGCCTTTCTCCGGGGCTCACAGGCCGTGGAAGTTCAGGATGATACCACGTGGAAAGTGCTGCAATGAATGCTCTTCCCAATGTTGTGGAAGCAAAGAGGAATGAGTGTGTGTGTGTGCCATGGCCTTGGGGAGAGGCTTCCAGAGAAGGTGCCGTTGGACAGGGAATGAGAGGATGTGCATGGAGTATGTTAGAGATGCAGGGAACAGACATTTCCCAAAGAGAAAAGACATCATGACTAAAGCAAGTGCATGGTTTTACTGGGTTCTGAATCATAGAACTGTCTGGAAGACGAGGAGTTGGGGTGATGGGTGAAAGACAGGGGTACTGCTTAGGCAATTGTTGGCAGCAAGTGTTGAAAACCCAAGTGAAAATAGGTAGTGGGCATGTGTGGTTTGCCTCCCCAGCATCCATGTCCCCTTCTTCCAGCCACAGCTGGTTCCTTTTGTGTTTGTTTGATTGAAGTGGGGGTGTCTACATCTCCTCTACCCTCAGTCCCTCTGGTCCAGCTGGGACTTTCACAAGCAGCTCCAGGCTGAAGCACAGGATTCAGGCCTAAGCCAACTGGCAAAACATTTCCCCTTGTGTTGCAAGTTGAATTGTATCACCTAAAAGTTTATATGTTGCAGTGCTAACTCCCTGTCTGTCAGTGTGACTTTATTTGGAAATAGGGGTCTTTGCAGATGTAATTAGGTCATTCTAGAGCAGGGAGGGGTGCTGATGAAAGAACACCATGTGAGATATAGACTCACAAACACAGGGAGAAGGCCACGTAAACACGAAGGCAGAGATCAAGGTGATGCATCTATAAAGCCAAGGAGGGAGGCATGGAAAATATTGTTCCTCACAGCCCTCTGAAGGAACTGCCAACACCTTGATCTTGGACTTTGTCCTCCAGAACTGTGAGACAATATGTTTCTGTTGTTGAAGCCACCCAGTCTGTGGTACTTTGTTACGGAGACCCTGGAGAATGAAAACACCTGATGATACTGACTGGTTCTGTGTTGGGCAGCAGACCTAAGCTGGTTCAACCAGAGTGACACGTAACTTTTGCAGGTGTCACCTGCCATGCCTTTGGCCACTTTCTGTTGGATTGCACCTGAAGTTACAGCAGCTGCCACCATAAGGGCAAGCCTTTGAGAATGGAGGCCACAGAGAGGAAGCATTGCCGAGACGGAGAGAAAGAACCCAGGTCCTAATGATGGTGTTGGCATACCTGCATCAGGCCGCGGCCAGAGCTAGCTCTCCTTCTAGACTGTGAAGTCATAGAAGCCAACAAGTTAACTTTTTGCATAAGCCAGTTTGGGTAAGTTTTCTCTAATTTTTGACAGAGTTTTGACTTACACAGTTTAATTAAAAAAAAAGAAAAGAAAACGGGGAAAAGGATTTCCTAGAGGGAGGCTGAGACTACATACAGAAAAAAAATAAAATAGGAAGGAAAAGCTATAATAATCACAGCAGCTGCAGAAATCTTGGGAACTGTAAGTAGGAATACATTCGGCTGGCACATTCTCTTTTTTTCTCCTCCTTTTTTGAATGGGGTGAGGGGCAGGGGGTTTCCACGTGTGACAGCAGCATAGCAGCACAGTCATAATCACACCAACATGATGTGACAGGCCAAAGTAGCAACTGCCAACTCTGGGATCACACCCTGAGAGTCTCAGTCCAGTTTCCAGAGACAGCTCAGGAAGTCCCAGGGGAGGGTTTTGATTGGCCCACTCAAGATCATCACAATGGCCCATGGAATGGCTCCTCCTTATCTGAGGCCTGGGACAGGCCTACAAGCTGCCATTGGGTCCATTCCAGGTCTGACACGTGATTCTCATTGTAGGAAACAGTAATTCTATGATCTGTTAGGAGAGGTTCAGAAAGAAGAGTTGCATGGTCAAATAGATGTGGGTGACCTTGGATTCCCCAGTTACGTAGCTTGACCTCAGACTTCTCAGAGCCTTTAACATATTGTGTATGTTGAGGATTTCCAGGGGGCAGGGAATATGTGGGCAACGTTCTGAAACTTATCCGATGATAAAACACCTTTATCCCAGAGTGTCTAAAGGATTATACCTTTTAATGGTAAGATGTGTGTTTTCCTCATGTTTGTTTTCTCCTCTGTATCTAGACTAGTAGATTGCACACAGAAGGCACTCAAAGCAATCCCAGAAGCCCAGTGCTGGAAAGGGCCTCACCATTCAGCTGGCCTGGTGTTCCTTGTATGTGAATGTGTTTATAGCGTCCCGCTACAACTCTCTCTGATATTACCACGTCTACACTAACTTAGTTGTTTTAGTATCGACATGGTGCCTCCCAGGCAACGCAGTGTCCTGGATGAGAACGGGATCCCTGATGCCTCCATGCTTCTGAGCACTCCCTGGTCTGCAGGGACCATGGGTGGCATCTGAATCCCCAGTGAAATTCCCTGAGCCTCACAGTCCCAGTGGGCCTTGTCTGTCACTGAGTTACAAGCCACACTCAATCCCTGGAGATGCTGAGTGCTGTTAATGGACACGTGATGCCGGCTAAATAAAAATGATTTTCAACCTCCAGAAAGTATCTCAGCCGCTCACAAAGTCATCCACTGTGTCTCATTGTATGCACGTCTTGTTAGCTCCATGCTGTTCTTGATCTATAGCATCTCTGCTGCCTGTGCGTTGGGAGGCAGACACATGTCAGAAAATACAGACAGGGAAACTGGAAAATGCCAGTGCCAGCAGGGGCTCCAGTGAGCATCCTGCCCAACCCCTACCTTGTCTTTATTTGTTTTTACTCCTGTAAACACTGGCACAGAAAGGTAAAACAACTCGCTTGAAGTCACACAGCAAATAAGTGGCAGTGTTGAAACCTGTTAGTGCTAAGGTCCAGAAAAGAGTTAAATAAATGTTTCCTAAAATGTATTTCTAGAGAGCACTGCTCTTTAGGTACCGTCGAATCCGTGTTGGAAACACTATTTGATATGATGTGCTTGGAGGGGGCACACTGCCTATCAGCATGGTAGAGGCTCTGAACACCCTGCAGTAAGGGATCCTGTTGCATTCTGTTTAACTAGTGTTTTCCAAATTCATGTGCCCAGGTAACTTGCCCTTCCTTTTCATAAAAGGCCATCCTAAAGAATTAGTTCCTCAGTACCTAAACTTGAAGTAAGAGCCAGCCTTTGGCTTTGTCTGTATAGTTGTGGCATTGTGGAGGGCTGGGGTAAGGGGCCAGGTAGGGCAGGAGTGGAGAGCAGGGAGGAGGCTTGGAGGCCTTAGAGGGCCAGTGGCAAGAAAATCAACACTGGGGAAGCCTGGGCCTGAGCGTTTCCTTGATCAATGGCTTTGCCTGTTTGCAGACGCATAAGAGTGCCAGGCCAGAGGAGGTGGCTTCAGGGTGGACCCTGACACCTGAAGGTGAAATCTAGTGAGTTCCAGGCTACTGTCAAGATCTAGGGGGAAGGGGTGGGGTTCCAAAGGGGATGGGCAAGGTAGGGCTATGACTTCAAGGGGCAAGCAGTTGACACTATGTGGACAGTGATTCTCTATAAAAAGGGGATGGCAGAGCATGGAAACAGGACTGAACTCCCACAAAACAGGGTGGTGGCAACATTAAGGGGGCATGCCCTCTAGGAAGGCAGTGGGGACACTAGGGAGATGTTCCTGCTGTGTCTGAGTACCAGTGCCCTGGGGGACAGAGACATCCCAAGTACCTGGGGTTCTGGGCAGATGTGGAGCAATTGGATGCTCAACTTCTCCTGGGTTACACCTCTGGGGTTATACCCGCATTTGGGGCATAATAACCTGCAGGCCCAGTAGAGCTGGCCGCTAGCTTGGAGCAAAGAGGGCTTCCAAACTCCAGGGAAAGGGCAAGGGCAATTAGCCAGTCCATCTGTGCTTCCAGGAGAATGGCAGATTATAGCTGACAGATTCCTGAATACTCATTGTCAACGACTGGAGTAGACCTGTGTCCAGGCTCACATCAGGGCAGGAACCCAGAAACCCGGGTTACAATCCCAACCATGCCACCAAACAGCTCTATTTTCCCATGAAATCAGTTCTTCTTTTTCTGGGTCCCAGTGTCCGCATCCTTAAAATGGGTTGGCCTCAATTATTTCTTGATTTCCTTCGATAACTTTTAAATTCTCTGGCCATGCAAGTCACCCCTCAACTGATCTTCTGTCTGCTTGTGTTACAGGTTCCACACATCACTGTTCCTTCTTCTTTTGTAGATCTAAAATGAGACTCTTACCCTAGAATTATAAAAGAGAAAAATTTTTACAGGAAGGCGCATTTAAGAAAATTTTCAAGGAAGGCACATTTGAGAAATACAGCTTGCCTGGGAAGCAAAATTGATAATACCTTGTGATTCAGCCACACTTGGCTTGAGCTCAGCAAGTCCTGATGCCTCCCTGGGCATCAGCTTTCCCATGAGCAACCATACAAGGTAATTGGAAACGTCAAGGAAGACAATGGGCGTGGAAGTGATTTATAAAGCATATACCCTATAGTGTGCTGTGCACATGGAACGGCGTTGGAGATGAGAGAATGGTGATGAAGATGATAAAATTGCTGGATTTTTAGGTTAAAAGTTGTGATAAACAGACAAGTGGGTTTATTACAGGCAAAATGCTACTTTCTCTATTTAATACCTGTCCTGGGGCTATTGCTGCTGGAAATCAAAGCAATACTACTGTCCCACCCCCCTTGCAAGAAGGAATCAAGGAAGGGGTTAAGATTATCCTGATGTCAGGTAAGTCCTCTCTTATTCCTCAGGCAGCAGTGAGTGAATCAAGGATTTTCCTGGGAGTCAGGGTTCCCCAGGAAAATTAACCAGGATATTGGCTCACCTCACTCCAGTAACAAAGGCAACCCTGTTGATAAAAGACGGAGCCTTGGGGTCTAGTCTTCTCAATCTTATGCACTCTGTTGCTGGCCCACAGAGGCTCTACATCTTACCTTCTCCCTCTCCTCCTCCTCCTCCAAATCAAAACCTCTTGGAGCTCAGTGAGTGGTTGGATTAGGAGGAAAAGGACCAGAAGGCAGTTCAAAAATGGCACTGGACTGACTGCAGTTCTGATCCTAGCTCTGCCACCAAAGAACTCCAGGACCTTGAGAAAGCCACAGTCTTTTTCTGAATCAGTGTTTTCATCTATAAAACACAGGATTCAGCCCTAGGGACACTATCAACTCCACATTCCAGGATTAGGATGAGGAATGAGGAGAGACATTACACCACACCCATAATATTGATCTGAGTTCAGAGAGCTTGAGACGGAAGGACACATTGCAGACACACCAGCAACATGAAGAGAATGGGGAAGGGGCAAATGAGGAAATGCAGCTGGAGCTGGGGAGGAGATATTTATGCTTTTCAAGAGGCAGACCTCAGCCTCAGGACAATCCCCTAGGAACTGGGTAACCAGGGAAATGGGAAAATAATAACAGTAGCTAGCATTAACTGAGCACCAAGTTTGACATCCATCTTTCCAGTCCCTCTCCCTGTGAGTTTTCAGAATTTGTATCTAGATATTCATCACCTCTTTCTTCTCTCCTGGGCATACTTGTATGGTACTGCCCACAGCTAAACACTATTTCAGTTGGAGTCTAAACCATCCTGACTGTCAGATTGCTATGTTTCTATACCTGGACACTTTACTATTGACTTAGCCTGAAATCGTGTTAGTATCTTTTTTGTTGTTGTTGAGATGGAGTCTCACTCTGTTTCCCAGGCTGGAGTGCAGTACTGCAATCTCAGTTCACTGCAACCTCCACCTCCCAGGTCCAAGAGATTCTCGTGCCTCAGCCTCCCATTTAGCTGGGATTACGGGTGCGCCACCACCACACCCAGCTAATTTTTATATTTTTAGTAGAGATGGGGTTTCACAATGTTGGCCAGACTGTTCTTGAACTCCTGACCTCAGGTGATCAGCCTGTCTTGGCCTCCCAAAGTGCTGGGATTATAGGCGTGAGCCACTGTACCTGGCCTGACCTGTAAAGAGAGTATCTTTTTAATGTACTTGTTGCCGCATACTCCTGGTGACTGTTCAGCTTCTGGCCAGCTACTCAGCCACTCCTCTCAGATGTTTCTTTATCATTACTGCAAATCAGCTCTTTCCATCCTGTCCCTGTGATTGATTCCTGGGCTCAGTATGTAGAACTTGACATTTATCTCTGCTAAATTTCATCCTGTTGGTTCAGGTCCATTGTTCCTAGCTGTCAGAGTTTAAATCTACCCTATCAGCCTTCTCTTCCAGCTTTGTGTGGGGCTATGGGGGTGAGGGAGTGGAGCTGGCTGTGGCAGAACTGAGATGGGTGGCTGCTGCTACAAGGCATGGCTCAGTAAAGTGAAGAAAGTTGGATGGGGATGAATGGAGTTTATGGAATGGGTCTGGCTCAGGGCTGGTACAGAGCATGGCAAATAGCACAATAGATAACATTTATTATGGGTTGGTCAATTTGAGTTTGGTGATAGTGTACAAGGCAGTTCAATATGGTGGGCGGGGCACGTGAGCAGTAGTCCTAGGCAGGTGTAACACCAGAGGGGCACAGCACTGAGATTCCAGAGGGTCAGAGCAACAAGAGTGAGACCCAATCAGTGACTGGGAGAACAGAGGCAAGAGTCCAGTGCTCTGGAAGAGAAAGAGCATTTTCAAGGACTAGGCAGGGAGTTAACTTAGACCCCTTTCTCTCCTTCACCTCTCACACCCAATAGACCACCAAGACCTGCTGATGCTACCATACAACTATCTTGCAGTTAATTTTCTTTCCATACTTTGTTTTATCTCCAGTTTAAACATTATTGTTTATTGCCAAATCTATAGATTACTAACTGATCTTGCATTCTCAATCCCTCCCGCTGTATAACGCACAGGATCTTTCAAATTTGTGTCTGACCTAAACCTTTTTATGGTTCCCCATCATCGGTAGCATGAAGCACAGACTCCTCCCCATATTGCAAAGACCCTCTGTGATCTGGCTTCTGCCATATCCTCAGATTCAACTTAAGCTTAATCTATTCCAAGTGAGTTGCAGACATCAAATCTTCTAGCCTCCTAGTCTCAGCACATCCCGATCTCTCTGCCCGGATCGCCTACTAGCCCTGCACTTTCTCATCTGTGAACTCTCAACCTTGCTATCCTAGTCCTGACATAGCCTCTTAAGGGAAGCCTTTCGGGAGCTCAAGTTCCAAAGCCTGGCTACCCCAGCACCAGGGTGAGCAGCTCTCATAACTCATTATCATGCATTTTATTAGAGTTTATTTGTGTACCTCCCTTACTGGACTTCAAGCTCCTTGAAAAAAGGGATTGCTTTTTAAAAATCTCTGCATATAATATGTGATCAGCAGGTTTTTGATGAGATGGACATGAATATCAAGGTTTCCATATCTGCAGTCTGGGGTTAGGGCAGAGTCCTAGGATACTGGGATATAGGAGTAAAAGATAGAAATGAGGCTGGACAGGCTGGGTGTGGTGGCTCACGCCTGTAATCCCAGCACTTCGGGAGGCCGAGGCGGGCAGATCACGAGGTCAGGAGATTGAGACCATCCTGGCTAACATGGTGAAACCCCATCTCTACTAAAAATACAAAAAAAAAAAAAAAAAAGAAAAAATTAGCTGGGTGTGGTGGCGGGCGCCTGTAGTCCCAGCTACTCGGGAGGCTGAGGCCGGCGAATGGTGTGAACCCGGGAGGCGGAGCTTGCAGCGAGCCAAGATCTGGCCACTGCACTCCAGCCTGGGTGACAAAGCAGGACTCCGTCTCAAAAAAAAAAAAAAAAACTAGACAAAGACCTAAGTCATTAGGGTGTGTGAGTGTGTATGTGTGTGACAGAGAGGAAGAGAGAGAATATACCTTGATCTCTAAGCCTGCCCTAGGCATCAATGAAAAAATATGAATTCCCTTGATTAGCACTAATTATGGGGGTGTGTGTGTGTGTACCGTGTACATGCACACAATCTGTAGTGTAGCATTATGAGAAGAATCAGGCTTTTAGAATCAGGTTTATTGAAAAGAATCACTAAACCAGGGTATACTGTTTCTGCTACTTTGCACCCATGTGCCTTTGGATAAGCTCATCGATCTCTCGGATCCTCAGTTTTCTCATATGTAAAATGGGGCTAATCATGTCTGTCTCTGAGTCAATGTAAATAAAAAAACACCTCACCCTGTGCCTGGCAAGCGGCAGATGCTCAATAAATAGCATGCACTTGGTTATCGTGGTTGGTCCACTGAGGAAATGTAAGCCCAGCACACCAGCTGGACTAAACATGGTCTTCACTGCAGGGAGGCTGAATGTCATCAAAAGGCTCTTCAGGAAATGAGAGCAGAGGAGGAGACAGGATGTTAACAGCCTGATTCATTAGGAACTCTTCCTGTAGTCTTCACTGGGGCAGGGTCAAGGGGCCGGGAACACTTGGACAAGCTGCTCGGCACATCCTCTTCTGCCACAGGCCGGAGTCTCACTCCCAATACCTGATGCTCTATCTTCCCCCTCAGGACAATGATTCTATTAGTCCCTGAAAACAGCTCTGTTTACAATGCTGCCTCATGACAGGCAGGAGGGCTTCCAAGATTTCAGTTTATCTTCCATTAGCTGCTTTTTAAATTTATGCCTTCCTCCCAGAGAGGGCCCACAGACTCTATGCTGAGATACAGAGACAGCCGCAGCTTGGCCTTATCGGCAAGCACACCGATAAATCATCGCTCTGTGGTTTCATCCTGGGGAAGTGATACATCTCATCTCATTGGTTTGTTTCCCAGGCTGATATTTTCTGATTTCCTACCTAGACTCTGAGGTTTATTCTATTTGGAGTTTGCATCCTCTTATGCCAAGGATCAGCAAACGATTTCTGTAAAAGGCCAGAGAGTAAATATTTTAGGCTTTGGGACACCTATGGTCTCTGTCATATATGCTTTCATTCTCATCGTTTTCTCTTTTTTTTTTGTTGCAACCCTTTAAAAATATAAAATGGCTGGGCGTGGTGGCTCACGCCTGTAATACCAGCACTTTGGGAGGCAGAGGCAGGTGGAGCACAAGGTCAGGAGTTCAAGACTAGCTTGGCTAACGTGGTGAAACCCCATCTCTACTAAAAATACAAAAACTTAGCTGGGCCTGGTGGCACATATGCCTCTAATCCCAGCTACTCAGGAGGCTGAGGCAGGAGAATTGCTTGAACCCAGCAGGCAGAGGTTGCAGTCAGCCAAGATCGTGCCACTGCACTCCAGCCTGGGCAACAGAGCTAGACCCTGTTTCAAAACAAAATATATATATGACATTTTTAGTTGGGATTGTATAAAAATATGCCATAGTCTGAATAGTGTCCCAAATCAGAGGGCCACAGTTCGCTGACTCCTCACATCATTCACTAAATAAATGCAATCACAAACTTATTCCCCTCCTCTACCTTTTGCCCCATTTCCTGACTCCTCCTCCCTCTCCTCCCTTTTCCATCTTTTCTCTTCCTGCCCTCCCCTCCCCGCTTCCTCCTCCCCTTCTTTTACTTCCGTCCTCTTCCCTCCATGCCCCTCCTCCCTTGCTCCCTTCTTCCTTTTCTTCTTTCCTCCTTCAGCATTTACAGAGCATTTACTAGGTTTGGGGGTGCTGTGCTGTGGCTCAGGGATATAAAGATGAGTACAACAAGAGCCTTCTTCTCAAGGATGTTCCAGTATTTGAGGAGATGAAGCCTGCAACTGTAGACGGTCAAGTGTACTAACAGGAATCACAACCTGTCTGCCTTGACACTGTGTGGGCAGTGTGACAGCGTTATCTCGGGCTACCACCTGCAGGCCATGGAAGCCCAGTAGAGAGAGAAGACAGAGCCTGCCTGCCTAGGGAGGGTGGTGGCCATCCCAGGGAGGTGGGGCCAGTCCAAGTTGGACCTCAAGCAAGAGTTTACCTCATAGTGCTTTCCATGCAGTGGAAACATTTAAGCAAAAGGGTAAAGGCAGGAGAGTACATTTGAGAAAGGCATTCCTGAGAAGTCAGGTGGGGTACACAGCACACCTAAAAGTGGAATGATGTGGCAGGTAGGAGCTTGAAGAGCATTTACTAGGTTTGCTCAAGCTTGAAGCTGCTCCAGGCTGCCTTCAGTTTCTGGGTTTATCCTTCCAACCTGGCACTGTCTCCCATGCAAACCTCCTATGATGCAGACCCCTGGAATAGCTCCCATCACTCACCAGCACCATCATCTCCAGAAAAAGCCCTGTCAATATTTACCCATGGAAGGGTGACCTCTTACTTCTGAGGAGTTTTGGACCTGAATGGAGTTCAGTTGACAAACTGTCAGAGCCAACCTCCAGAGCTGGAGTTGGTTACAATCTCAATCCTTTACTCACGTTTGGGGATCTTTGGGCCAGCTCCTTAAGCTTCCCAAGCTGGTTTTTGTTAAGTTATAATAGTGCCTCCCATAGGAATGCTGGGAGAAAGATGTGAGTTAATGAATGTAAAGTGCTTAGCACAGCATCTGGCACAGGGTAAGTGTCTGGTAAATGTCAGTTGTTTCTATCAAGAGAGGGGAGGAAGGTAGGACGGAGGGAGGGCGGGACAGGATGCTGGGGTCAGATCACACCTGCCTAGAACTGACTTTGGACTTTAGCATGTAGGTAATGGGGACCATTTAAAGGTTATAAGCCAAGGCCTCAGATTTCACCCCCTTTAGGCTCTAACCCCCTTTTAGACTATGGACATTGGCAAAACCTATGGGGCAGGCTTCATAATGTCCACTTCACAGATGAGTCAAGTGAGGCTTAGGGAGCTTAACCTCTTCCTCAAGGCCAATCGGCTCATCTGCCGCAATCCCAAGTCTGGTTTCCTGAACTCTGTGTTCTATGCTCTTCCCTCCCACACTGCTCGCTAACAGACTGACAGACGGCATCATGCCAGCCTTGCCCAGGCTCCAGTTAGCAGACAAATCATAACTGGCTGGCGGGGCTGCGTGCCTGCTGCAGTTGTGTTTATCATTCATCAGAGAAGAGAAGCAACCTGCCAGGCCGGCAAGTCAGGCCCCGCAGAGAGAAGACTTAAGGTGATGTAGCCTATGGGGCTGGTCCTGGGGATGAAAATTTGGATTGTTGGATATGCTTAGGAAAAGAATATTTCAGCAATTCACTGAAAGCTGAATATAGCCCTTGCCCAGGGAGTGCTTTGAGTACTTAAGGAACTGGTGAAAGCAAGGCTAGACTGGGAGCCAGGAGGCCTGGGTTCTGCCCTAGCCTTGCCATTACAATAGGGGAGAAAGCACATCTTGTTTTAATTTCTGGATTTCAGAGTCCTACTGTGTAAAAAGAAGAGTTTGGGAAAATTCAGCTTAAGAGTAGATAGTACTGTAGTGGGGTTATGGAAAAATTCTGTTCCCTTCTCTTTAAATAGCCCTCCAGAGGGAGGTAGTAGCTGTGGGGTAGCACAGAGCAGTGAAGTGAGCATCTATCTGCATGTGAGTCTGGACTTTGCCTGTAACTCACTGTGTGACCTGGAGTTTTCCAGCCCTGTCTCAGAACCTGAGTTCTTGTATCTGTACAGCAGGTGGGTTGGGCCAGAGCAGAGATCTCTAACTGATGACCTGTGAGCTAAATCTGACCTGTGGATGAGACTCATTTAGTTCCCAGACAGATTCATCTTTCTAATTATTACCCATTTTTTTAAAGTGACCCAACATTTAAAAATCAGAAGAATTCACATACAATTCTGGATTCCTAAGTTTTCTTGAAAAAGCAGAGGGTAGCCTGGCATGGTGGCTCATGCCTGTAATCCCAGCACTTGGGGATGCTAAGGGTGGGAGGATGGCTTGAGAATAGGAGTTTGAGGCCAGTATAGTGAGACCCCATCTCTACAAAAACTAAACAGAATTAGTTGGGTGTGGTGGTGCATGCCACACCCAACTAATGGGTGGGAGGATTGCCTGAGCCCAGGAGGTCGAGTCTGCAGTGAGTTGTGATGGTGCCACTGCACTCCAGCCTGGGCAATAGAGTGAGATCTTGTCTCAAAATAAAACTAAACATTAAATTTTTTAAAAAAAAGAAACAAAGGGCTTAGTCACACCGAGCCCCCATTCACACTGGGAGCACACACTGGCATTGTTCCTTTGGACTGGTGGCCACTGCCAGTTCCCACCATTACCACCCAGTACCCTGGGCTCATTCATGTCACCAGCTTGTAGAAGCATCTGAGAGTGCAACCCCTGCACGAGGCCTTGTGAACCCACATTCTCTGCCCGTAGACATGAACATGTCACCCTGCTCTCTGAGACAGAGACCCAGCTCCTCCTGGGGGTCATGCACCCTCCGCAGTAAGGCCGTAGAGTCTGTTGTCTGCATCCCCACACTTGCTTAGATGACTGTATTACAGCACACAGCAATTATTACAGATTTTCACATGTACATTTATATTAGTGTAGCGAACATGCTTTTTCAAGCTACTGCACCCTTTTGGAGATGCTGAGCCTTTTCACAGACGGGTGCCCACCCCACCCACCCCATCCATGCCCCCTCCAGCTGTATGGCTGTAAGACTCTGTGGCTGTCACCCTAATTCTTGGTTCATCGGCCATACCCAGAGTGTTCAGTCACCATACAAAAGCAGGATGAGGACACACCAAACTGACAAGCAGTGACTCTCCAATAGAGGGTAGTTCCTTTCCTGGATGCTGCTTTTATTTCTGTCTTCTGCTCAGTCTCTTTTGGCTTTAGACACACACCCATGTTCTTGGAAACTCCTTTGGATAATGGCTGCCACCTCCAACTCAGCATGTCCCATCTAGACTCATCATCACTTCCCCTACCTCTATTCTTGCTCCTTTTCCCTAGTTCTTTATTTCAATGACTGGGCACCACCCAGTTGCCCTAGCCAGAAAATGGGGAGTCATCTTCTATTTCTCCCTTTCACTCATACTCTAAAGCCCATCAAAACCAACCTTTGGTGATTCCACCTTTTCGAAGGTGCCCACTTCCTCCCTGTCTCACTGCCCACATCCAAGTCAAGGCCATTGCTGCCTCTGGCCTGGACTCCTGCCATAGCCAGAGAACTTGGGGTCCCCTTATTCATACTCACTCTACTACCCTCCAATCCCATTGCACAAGCCAGCATGGTCTTTGAAAAACCCAAATCTGATCATGGCAGCCTGTATTTAAAACCTTTTCAACACTTAGGATAAAGACCCAAGTCCCTAACAAGGCAGGATGTGGGTGCTCTGTATATAGTAGGTTTGGAGGCATCCTCACTTGCCACGAAACCCACAGTCACCAAAAGAACCAAGCCTGGGGCTTCCAGGAAGCAGCTCATGTGGTAATGCAAACCACAGAGGTCAAGAGGGCTCTTAGATACCCTCACCTAGGGCTGCCCAGCCCTTGTCAGTGCAATAAGGGGAAAGCACATCTTATTTTTATTTCTGGGTTTCAGCGTCCTGTGTAAAAGGAGGAGTTTGGGAAAATTCAGCTTAATAGTAGGTAGTATTGTAGTGAGGTTATGGAAAAAATCATATCACTTTTCTTCAAACAGTCCTCCAAAGGGAGGTCTTAATGGTTCCAGGAGCTCAGTCTGACCAAGATAAGGGTGAAACTCTGCAGTCACTATCTATGCTGAAAGAGAAGCATCTTTCAGTGCTCCTCAAGATTTCCTAAAAAGTCACCTCCAGAGGCTAGAGCCTGGAAGAATTGGCAAAACATGAGTCATCATTATTTTGACTTGAAAGGAGGGACAGAAGCTTCTCCATGGACCAGGTTCCAAGGCTAGTTGGTCATAGCTGTAGGCAGCCTGTCCCTTAGCATCAGTTGTCCTTGATCTTAGAAACTTAAGACTGAGAGGAGAACACTTCTTTCCACTTATTATTATTGCTCCCACTGGGTACTGAGCCTGCAGAGTTATAGTGTGAAGAGAGATGAGCATTTAGAAAAATAAAAGGAGAATAAGAAGATGAATGAGTCTCAGAAGGGAGTGAATCCACCAGATTTAAAAAGAGACCAGGGAAAAGACCCTAGTACCATCACGTCTACACTCCTGCTTACTCTAGCTAGGCCCAAGCTTGAAGCTGCTCCAGGCTGCCTTCAGTTTCTGGGTTTATCCTTCTAACTTGGCACTGCCTCCCATGCCAACCTCTTATGGTGCAGACCCCTGGAATAGCTCCCATCACTCACCAGCACCATCATCTCCAGCAAAAGGCCTGTCAATATTTACCCATGGGAGGGTGACCTCTTGCTTCTGAGGAGTTTTGGCCATGAATGGAGTTCAGCTGACAAACTGTCAGTGCCAGCTGGTAGCCCCAGACTCTGTGCAAACTGGAAACCTGAAGGCCAGGGAAGGGAAGTGACTTGGCCAAGGTGAACATGGTGAACTTGGCTCCTGGACCATGTATCCTGTTGTCCAGTCTTGTGCTCTTTGCATTATACGAAATAGTTTTATTGATCATTCTACAAAGTAACGGAATTTTCAAGCTAAATTTTAGCATGGGATTCTTGGGGATGGGTATAAATGATGAGGGTGCTGGCATGGCAGGACTGCTGTAGGAAGAAGAGAAACTAATAAGAGTAAGAGTAGAATACTTCTGTTGTTCTCAATTGCACTAATTTTAGCTTTTATTTTCATTAAATCACTCTCCTGTGTTGTTTTGCATTTATTTTATGATTCTTTATCTAATTTCTTAGGTTGACTACTTAGTGCAATTATTTTCAGCTTTTCACAAGAAATAATAGAGGCATTGAGTGCTATAAAATGTCCTCTGAACACAGCTTTAGCTGTGTCCCATAGGCTTTGATGTGGAGTATTCTCCTTTTCATTACTTTCTAGATAATGCATAACTTCTGTTTTTATTTCTTCTTTGAGCCAAGAATTACTTAGGAAAGTATCTCTTAATTTCAAAGTAGTTAAGAGTTTTGGGGCCATTGGAGACAGAATGAAGAGGAGTTGGCTCCAAAGAAGAGACAAGCAATTAAAGCCAACTTCCCAACTTCTGTCTGGTGCCAGCTAGGTTGGGCATTTTTGTCCTGTCTTCACTGATTTGGGGCAGTAAGAGGTGAGAGGAAGTTGGGGAACAAAACCCCATGACGTCCTCAGTTTAGTGTCTGTTCTCCTTCCTGCCACTCAGGCTGTGACCAAGGGGACTGCTTCCTGCTCTGTCCCCTACACTTGGCTCCTGTCCTTGCCCAGGTTCAAAGGCGGCACCTTCCCAGAAGGCTCACTCCCATCTGTAGCTGGAAGTCACATCTGCTCAGGGCTGTTTGGAGGCTGCCTTCTGTTAGGCACAGACCTGTGCCCCTTCCAGCCCCCAGCTCAGGGGTGACCTTAGACGCCATCATAGGTGTAGGGAGGGCACCAACACTGCCCTCACATAATCGGATCAATGAATATGAGCACCAGCTGTGCCAGACACACTGCTGGGGGCATGACACATGGAACCTCGTGTACCTCGTGGGTAGACATCACTCCCATTTGGCAGGGATGGAAGACAATTCCCAGCTGTAGGCAGTTTTCTCAGGTACACAGCTGGGAACTGGATGCAAACACAGGTTTCTCTGGCTCTGAACCTTTGCCTTCATGCTGCATGCTCTAGCCTAATCTTGACCACCTGCCACTCCTGACTCAGAATTTTCAGATGAGAGAACTGAGGCCCTGGATTTCAAGGGACTTAGCTGTGCATGACACAGCAAGGCCCCAATGAACTGAAATGAAATGCACCACTGAGAAGCACACGTTCATGGCCCTGCCTTGCTGATCCTCTCCTTCCTCCATCTCCCCATCCTCTCTTCCACACCCCCCTCAACCTCATCGCGGTCCTTGCCTTCCTAACTGGTAAAATTGAGAAATTTGGGGGGAATGTGGGAGGAATTAGGAACAGGCCAAAGGGGAGGGGATTGTAGAGGGAAAGCATTGTTTTTGGACAGGAGGCCAACAAGACAAATGGACTCCTACATTCCGAGCATTTCAGAGCCACCTGTTTGGACTTCTGTCCTGCCCTTATTGATCTTTCCAGGGCATTTCCCCAGTGACCAAGAATTACGGATCTTTTTCTGGAATGGGATCCCATACCATTACAATAGATCATTTAAGGACTTTTATGACCGTGCTGCTAGGAACTAGGATTCTAAAGTTTAAAAAGATCACGTGGTCTTGGAAAGGCAGCCTTGTCTGTCCTCTACCTCATGGGCTACTCCACCTTCTTCCCTGATTCATGGCTTTGCTCACTCTCTAAATCACTGACTTTCTCGGCCCCTTGGCTGTGTGGCCATAGAGAAGCTGCTGGGCCTTGAGGAGTCATCCCGTGTTATCCCCTGGAAGCAGGACCTCGGTCCTTTCTCCCAGATGTTCTTTCTCACCTCCTGCCAAACTCCGTGCCAGCCCTCAGCACCACAGCCTGAGAAGTCATGCTTTCTTTTGTACTGTGTCCACGGATATGTGCCCAGCCTGTCATAGGTGCCAGTAAGTATTTAGTGAATAAAGGAGTAAAAGAATGAATGGATCCATCATGAATTATAGCTGCCTAGCTGGCACTTGGTGGATGGGGCAAGGAGGGAAGTGCACAGGGCAGAGGAATTGCTCCGTCGCTGTTCCTGAAGCTCTGGGGTTGGGAGGGGATGGAGGAGGAGAGCACATTCTGTCCCAAACCCCTCTAGATTCCCAGGACATACCCATACACTCCAGCCCTGCCTAGTCTCTCCCAACCAGCCTTGGCTGGCTCTGGATCTTCCTATGGGGCGCTCAGGTGGGCCTCAGAAGTAGACCCTGAGGCAGCCATGGACATTCACAGCCTGGTTTATTCAGCACAGCTCTGGCACCAAACTCACTCCATGGCCTATGGGTATTTCAGGCCCATGGGTTGAACCTCTCTCAGCCCTGTTTTCTTCTCTGTAAAATGGAGATGAGAATACTCACGTGTTCTAGTAGGAATAACTCAAGACACGGAATGTGAAGTGTTAGCAGAGTGTCCAGTGCCTTTGAGTGCCTCTCTCCTCCCTTCTATTTATTTTTAAGGCTACTCATCCTCTTCCAGGCCTTGTCTGACCCACGGCTTCTGCTTCCTTCCCGCATGGCTGGGGCTACTGGATCCTTAGCTGCAAGCTTAGCCCTGCCCGTGGCTCCTAGGACCAATCCTGAGGCTTCAATAGTCCCAGATGCCCACTCTCGGACTTGGCTTGCTATTCCTGTCCTGACCTCCGTCCTGTTCTGAAGAATGCAGAGGCCGGGTGCGGTGGCTCACGCCTGTAATCCTGGCACTTTGGGAGGCTGAGGTGGATGGATTGCTTGACCTCAGAAGTTTGAGACCAGCCTGGGCAACATGGCAAAACCCGGTCTCTAAAAAAAAATACAAAAATTAGCTGGGCGTGGTGGTGTGCGCCTGTAGTCCCAGCTACTTGGGGCGGGGGATGGCTGAAGTAGGAGGGTAGCTTGAGTTGGAGAGGTTGAGGCTGCAGTGAGCCAAGATCCTGACACTGCACTCCAGCCTGGGCGACAGAGCAAGATTCTGTCTCCAAAACAAAACAAAACAAAACAAAACAAAACAAAACAAAACAAAACAAAACAAGAACGCAGAGCGCAGTGTCCAGCTGGGTGGAGCCCAGAACTGCAGAGATGTGCTGAAAGATACTCCCGAGGCCACCACCACTCCCACATTGCCTTCCTTCTTCACACACAACCAGAACGTGCAGTTTGCATCACTCACATAGAAATTACCAAAGTTATTAATCACAGCGTATGAGTGTGTGTGTTTGTATGTGTGTGTGTGTGTGAGTGTGAGTGTGAATGTGTGTTTGTAAGTGTGTTTGTGAGTGTGAGTGTGTGTGTGTGTGTGTGTGTATGGAGGAGGGGTGGTGATGCTGTTGTTGCTCCTTCAGTTACAGTAATGGCACTCAACCTAACTACACATTAGATTCTCCTAGAAAGACTTGAAAATGCCGATATTCAGGCAGAAGTTTTGATTTCATTGGTCTGGAGTGGACCCTGGACATTGGGAATTTTATTAGTGCTATTAACACTTCCAGGTAAGTCTAGTGTGCAACTGGTGTTGGGTACAACGGAACAACTGGTGTTGGGAACTGATGTGAGCTCGCTGACATCAGGGATTTGGCTTTATCTATTTTGTCTCCTTGGAGGTGCCTGGCTTAGTACTCAGTGCCTGTAAATGGATCAGGAGTCCCTGTCTCTGGGACACTTTGCCTGACCACCCTCCTCCCTCCCATGCCTGGGCTAGGTGTTGTGCTCTTATTACACTGGGTTTGATTTCCTGTTTCCTGTCTGTCTTTTTCAATAGACAATGGACTGCCCTAGGGCAGGATCCAGATTTTCATCTCTGGCTCCTTTGTCAAAACCCTCACACATCAGAATGTATCGGTGCCGCATGGGTCTGAGGACATCTTATCCCTTCTTTTCAGGGTCCCTGGTAGTTAACGAAGCCTCTCTTTTCTTCTAGATGTTGTTTCTTTGCTTTGGGAAATGGTTCTCAAACCCTCATAACCTCTATCTTAGTTATACCTTTTGCTGCATATTATTATTATTATTTTGAGACAGAGTCTCGTTCTGTTGCCCAGGCTGGAGTGCAGTGGCGCGATCTCAGCTCACTGCAATCTCTGTCTCCCAGGTTCAAGTGATTCTCCTGCCTCAGCCTCCTGCGTAGCTGGGATTACAGGCATGCACCACCATGCCTGGCTAGTTTTTGTATGTTTAGTAGAGATGGAGTTTCACCATGTTGGCCAGGCTGGTCTCAAACTCCTGACCTCAAGTGATCGACCCACCTCGGCCTCCCAAAGTGCTGGGATTACAGGCGCGAGCCATGGCATCTGGCCTTTTGCTGCGTATTAAATTACCCTACACCTTAGCAATTTATAACAAATGGTTTCTGTGGGTCAGGAGTTGGGAGTAGCCTAGCGGAGTGATTCTAGCCGAGGTCTCTTGTGAGGTTGCAGTCAAGATGCCAGCTGGGGGCTGCAGTATTTGAAGACTTAACTGGGGTTGGAGAATCTACTCTGAGGGTCAATGCACACAAGTGAGAGAGCACTCAAGCCAGAGGCCACAGTCTTTTAAAATGCATAATACAGGAAGGGGAACATCACACACCGGGGCCTGTTGTGGGGTTGGGGGAGGGGGGAGGGATAGCATTAGGAGATATACCAAATGTTAAATGACGAGTTAATGGGTGCAGCACACCAACATGGCACATGTATACATATGTAACAAACCTGCACGTTGTGCACATGTACCCTAAAACTTAAAGCATAATAAAAAAATAAAATAAAATACATAATAATCACTTCCTTCATAGGTCGCCTAGACCAAGCCTGTTGCAATGTGGGTGGGAACTACACAAGGAGGAAGAACCATGTGTTGGAGTGTAACGACCGCAGGCTGCATGCTGGGAGCTGGCCTGGAAGTCCAGAGAGGGCACCCAGTCCTGATCCCAGCCTCTGATCATCATCCTCTTGAACACAAATATCTATTTGCCCCTCTGATGTGCAGGAACAGTGCAAGAGATGAGTGTCATCCTGGCCTCTTTTTGATTTTTTTGGAGAAGGGCTAATAGAAAATGTCCTCTTGGCTATCAGTCCTGAGCTCCTCAATAACGCCTGAACTCTGTAGAAATTTGGAAATTGAAACCTAAGAGTAAGCTCTAGAAACAGATACCTCCAGGATGTGAGCTTATTTTTGATAGCCATGGCGTTTGAAGCCAATGGAAGTGCGGGCGAAGGAGAGACTGAGAAATGCTGCCCACGTGGGCTCTGAAAAAGGCTAAGGTTGGTGGAGTCCCAGCCCCTGCATGATGTGGCAGGGGGCAAGGCCAAACTTGCCATCAGCTGGAGCTGACTTCCTGAGGGAGGCAGCAGGTGCAGTGGGCTGGGGCACCATGAGCACTAAGCTCCATCAGATCTGGGTGGGTTCCTTTCCTGCTTCCATTTGCCGTGTGGCCTCCACCAGCTGTTCTCTCCCTGGGGCCTCAGTTTACCCATCCATAAAATGAATTGGTTGGACTGATACACTACTTATGAGGCTTTTAAAAAACAATAGCACCTTCATTTTCCAAATTACACCTTACAACAAATAAAGTGAATACAATGTTACTGCCTCATTACAATATATGAGATAATATTATGAAAGCTAATATGCAAGAATAAATGCTTAGTGTGTTCCTAAAGCTGTTCTTAAATGCTTTGGACACATTAACTGATTTAATCCCACAGTGGCCCTGTGAGATAACTACTCTTTTTTTTTTTTGAGATGGAGTCTCGCTCTGTCACCCAGGCTGGAGTACAGTGGCGTGATCTCGGCTCACTGCAAGCTCCGCCTTCCGGGTTCACGCCATTCTCCTGCCTCAGCCTCCCGAGTAGCTGGGACTACAGGCGCCCGCCACTGCGTCCAGCTAATTTTTTGTATTTTCAGTAGAGACGGGGTTTCACCATGTTGGCCAGGATGGTCTCGATCTCCTGACCTCGTGATCCGCCCGCCTCGGCCTCCCAAAGTGCTGGGATTACAGGCGTGAGCCACCGCGCCGGGCCGATAACTACTCTTTTTAATCATCATCCCATTTTACAGAGGAGGCAGCCACAGCACAGAGAGGTGAAGTAGCTTACCCAAGGTCACACGGCTTGTAAGTGACTTGAACTCATGGAGGGAGGCCATAAGGCCTTGCTCTTGGCCCTTCCGTTATACAAATAGAAGCAGAGCGGCTCTGGTGGAAGTGAGGGAGGAATGCTGGAAGCCGCCCAGCTTGTTACCCTTCTCCTTTCCTCTCTTTCCACTGAGCACCCCCTTAAACACAGTTGGCCTCGGGCTTGTGGGGCAGCTTTTGAGCTCTGACATTTGACGAGCTATGACCCCCGTATTTCTCTACCTAGGCTTTGCAAACACATGCACCTGAACCATCTGGGATGCTTTATTCAAATCTGGATTTCTATGCCACTTTCCAGGTTCATGGGATCAGACTCTCTGGGTAGAGTCCAGGAGTCTCCATGTTAATCAGCGCACAAGTGGGTCTCGGCTCACTGTCATGGAAAAACTGCTGCATTTTGAGCAGGTAGGCAGCTTAATCACCACCACTGGGCTTGGAAAGGACTGGATTTAGCACTTTCCTTAGGGAGGAGGAGGAGGCCTCCTTAAGGAAGGTCTTTTTAAGGAGAGTGGGAATAATCTCTGTGCCCAGGCACTGCTAGACCGTCTGTCAAACTTGACCTCACTTCAGGCCACCCACGCAGGTTGCTGTAACCGAGAGTGAGCCAGGAACTTCAACTGACCAAGAGCAAAGCCTGGGTCGTGGTCACTGTGACATTCCAGGCCACAGTTAATCAGCACATCTGTGAATGCACCAGGTGATTTCAGAACATTTTTTATGCTTCAGAGAGAAAACAATTTTTATGACTGTTCAGTACAGCCCAGGAATCAGAGAAACAAATGCTGTTAAACATTCATGTGTTAATTATTGCCATTCCTTGCTATTCCTACCATCCAAGAGCTGATTATGAGCAGAGGGTATCTTTGCAACGAGAATTCTGGCTTATTGTGGCCCCTCCCCAGGGGCCTCTTTGGCTGTTAGATTTGGGGGAGGGTCATTAATAAATGCATTGTAGTCACAGGGTAATAATCCTGTTGTGATTAGAAGTATAGCTGTTCTACTTGAAGAAACACTGTCCAGGCAGAAAGGAATGAACAAGGATACGGGACAGAAAGACAGGGTCAGTGGGGAAGCATGAAAATCACTCGCGAATTCATTCTTGTGTCTGCACCTGCAGAACATACGCTCTTTGGCCAGTGTTTGTCACAGCTACACCATGCTCTAGCATTTACTCAGAGGAATACCTGGTCCAGTGGTTAACTGGGAGGTTGTATTAATTAGTATGCCTAACTATGTCCAACACACGAGGAGCTGGAAGGATAGTTTGGTGAATGGCCACCTGGGATTAATCACCCAGTCCAGTACAGTCGTATTAATTTGGTGCCCAGCAATGTTCAGCACACAAGGAGCCTCAGGAGGGACAGTTTGGAGAGAGACCACGAGAGGGCGGCAGTGAGCCCACAGTCTGGCTGATCCCCTTACCCACGGACAGGGCCCCTCTTGGGGCTATGAAGGGTGGAGGAGCAAGTGAGCGGCCCCAAAGCTTAAAACTTTATTTGCTTCACAGCAAATGTATCCCTGGGCCTCACCTGTGTTCCTGTCTTGGAGTTCTGAGATAGCAGGGAGTTCTGTTTCTGGGAATCTGCCTCTTCCCCAGGGGGAAATGACAAAGGGTATTTTGAAATTGACATTCAGGCCCTGGGGTTAAGCCTGTGGAACCAGCAGGCTAGGGGATGCTTGCCTCACCTGCCTGGGTGTGTGGGTGCTGGAATCATGTTGGACTACTTTGGAAAAGCAAAAACTTCGAAGAGAAGGTACTGATGTTGGCATTGCTGGCTTATGGCAGCCAGGAGTCTGAATAATAATAATTATTATTATTATTTCATAACAGGCAGGCAGGAATTCTACAGACAAGGTTCAATAACCTCAAGGCAGTCTCGTGGCGAACTGGCAGATTAGGTCTCGGGACTTGGGACTCAGGCTGGGCTGGGTCCACACAGCACTTTGCCTCTTGCGGGAGAAGTAGCAAATAAAGGCCTCTGGAGCTGGGTAAGCAGGGGCTCAACACTGTCGTCGGCCAAGGGGTATCTTTTGAAGGATGCAAATTAGCTGAAATTGAATGAATTATTTGGCTCTGCAGGGGGAGGTGGGAGGTAAAGAGGGCCCCTGGATAATGCGCCTGCCACTCGGGGCCAGCCTTGCTGACAGTTATTCACTCTGAGTGTGGCACACAGGGACACAAGAGGTACAGCAGCCATGGTGACTGTAGGGCAGGGATGGCCCAGTTCTGATGCGGCCAACGCCCCCGAAGTCCTGGAGACAGAAGTAGCCACATGACCAAGGAGTCAGTCTCTCCCAGTGGGTACACAGAGCAGGGTGCACAGCCCAGCTGGGGTCCCGTGAGAGCCTGCTGAGAGTCTGGCAGAGATGGGCAAGGAAGATGTTGGATCCGACTGGCAGAGCTGGAGGGACTGTTGAGAATCTTCTAGTCTACAGTGCGGGTGGATTTGAGTTCTGGGAGGGGAAGGAATTGCTCAAGTCACGTAACCTGATGGCACTGCTAGGACTGGAGCCCAGCATTCATGCCCCACGGTCATCATCTACCCTCAAAGGCCATACCTTGCAAAACCTCATCCCCGCTCCTCAGAACCCTGATGTGGGGCCTCTGAAGACACCTGACAAGAGGGGACCCAGGCTGTTCCTCTGGGTGTGCATGGCAGGCAGGCCCCTTCCCCCATCACCTGGCACCTAGGCGGGCAGGGAGGCCCTCTGGCAACTGCGGGCAGTGTGGTTCAGCCAGGGCTAGGGGGCCCTCTGCTGGGCAGCCGCTGCCTGGCCTATGGGATAGCTGAGCAAAGCCAGCTGGCTGGGTGGGTTCCGGGGCTGCATAGAGGAGCATCCTGTCAGGAAGGGTCAGGGATGGCAAAATTCTGACCCATGGCACTTCTTTGTCAGTCCCCCCACTCCTTCCTGTCACTGCTGTCCCTACCAGGCAGCCTTGTGCCCTCTGCTCAGTACCCCCTCGTGGGCTCCCCACCAGCCCCCCAAACCTCCAGTCCTATCTGCTCCCCATTCTAGCTCCTGCTAATATGATATTGAATCTTAAAGGGTCAATGAATTATTTCCCCCGTTCCTGAAGGCCTACATTTGCAGAGCATTCGGACTCCTCTGAGAAACCGAGTCTTCCCTGCAGGAGTGAGCTGAAGGCCCACCGGCTCCTGCTGTGGGCTGAGGCCCACCTGTGGGGGGCCCTGAGGTGTCTTTGTAGGGGCAGCGGCTTGGCAGTAGTTCTGACCATGGTTGGAATCCTGCCCCTTTCTAGTTCTTTGACTTTGAGCAACTCACTAAACTTCTCTGACCCTCTGTTTCCTCATCTGTGAAATAGGAACAGTAATTCCCGTCTCCCAGAATTGCCTTGGGTGCTAAGTGAGAGGACGCAGTAAAGAGTCCCTCACAGGACTCAGTGACTATCAGTTTCTTTCATTGAGATTTTCAGTTTTCTCATCTGTGGAATAAGAATTCTTGTCTGCCCTAGATTATAACTTTGAAAATCCAAGTGTTTTGAAAATCCAAGTGTTAGTTTTATTTGCGGTGCCATGAATTCCCACAAGAACAGACACACGAGAGCGCCACCTCCAGTGCAGACACAGACACTGAAGCCGTGTGGCATCGCAATATCCCTGAAAACTGCCTCCCGCTCTGCACCGTGCAGTCCTGGGGCTGCCCAGAACAAAGGCCAGGGCAACCCCTGGCTCCCCCTACCCCACCCACCGCAAGCCCAAGAGAGATCAGCACATGATCAAGCCAGGTTGCAGGAAGGAAAGTGATCTACACAGCAAGTGGGTGACAAGAAGTGTCAGGACACCCATCTTCTGAGCTGGGCCTCAATCTTCTTTTTGCAGATTCTTCTGTCTTAAGGAAAAGACCCTTCTCTTTTCTCTTCGTTCTGTGATGAAGGACCCTAGTTCTGAGGTCAAATTCCAGCAATGGACTCACTGTCTTTGTCATCTTGGTAAAGTACTCAGCCCCTCTGAAACTTTGTTTCTTGATTTCTAAAATGAGGATCACAAAGCCATCTTTATTTTTTATGTATTTACTTTTTGAGATGGAGTCTCACTCTGTTGCCCAGGCTGGAGTGCAGTGACACCATCTGGGCTCACTGCAACCTCCTACTCCCAGATTTAAGCAATTCTCGTGCCTCAGCCTCCCGAGTAGCTGGAATTACAGGCACCTACCACCACATCCAGCTAATTGTTTTGTATTTATAGTAGAGATGGAGTTTCACCATATTGCCCAGGCTAGTCTCGAACTCCTGGCCTCAAGTGATCCACCCACCGGGACTCCCAAAGTACTGGGATTGCAGGCGTGAACCACTGTGCCCGGCTAGGATCATAAAACCTCCTGCAGAGGGTTGCTTAGAGGTTTAAGTAGCATAATGCATTCCTGGCTCCTAGCACAGGGCTTGGCTTCTGGCAGGTTCCCCTTCCCATGTGAACACTGACTCAGAAAATGACACTTTCCCGTTGTTATAAATAATCTCGAAGACACCCAGTTCTGTGCTCTGTCTCTGTGCTTGGAAAGGCCCTCTGTGCTCACTCTACCAACTAGTCATCTACTCACGGCTGATGTAGCTCCAGGGAGGGGAAGCTCACCCTTCACTGGGCTGCAATCTCAGAACAGCTGGGACGGAGGGGAAGTTCCTGCTCTCATGATGTAAGTGCTGTCTCCATGCAGTTCTCATCCATAGCATAGCCTCAGGAAATTGATCTAATCTTGCTCTAAATCAACTCTTCGGATGACCCCTGGGCCTTCTTGTCTCTTTCAGTCATACACTCAGGGGTCAGCCTCAACCTTCTCCAGCTCCTCTCAGCTTTGAGCAGGTATCTTTCACTTTCAGGAGCAACTCAGCATGCCCCTGGGCCAATGCTGGTGTCCTAGTCTGGCTGGGCTCAGGAGTTTCTCTCACCATCCCCAGGCTCAGCCTCTGAGATTCTGCCCAGTTCTTGCTAATCCCTGCCTCCAAATTCTTTGCCCTCCAGTCAGAATGTGCTGATATACCGTTGTTGGGTTCCTTATATAGAGACACTGTGCATAGAATCCCCTTTTTAGCCTTCCCAGTACATCGTCAGGGTAAGTATTATTATTCCCATTTCACAGAGGAGGAAATGAAGCCTCTGAGAGATTGGCTGACTTGCCCAAGATTGCATAGCCAGCAAATTGTGAACCAGAAGTGGGAGCTTGGTCTCTTTGATTGGAGTTGAGAGAATGAGTTCTCCCCATACAGGTATGATGGAAATGAGAATTTATGTAAAACAAGAAAGGTGGTCTTTTACCAGTATTGTTTCTGTATGTTCTGGGTGAAGTGTAGACTCATTCGGAGGTGTGCACTGGGAGGGGGTGTCACAGCTTGTTAGGTGTATATGCATATGGCTAACGAGGATGGTGGGGAGGTGCTGGCTTGGTGTGGCAGCTTAGCTGAGTTGGGTCATGCTGCTGCTCACGAGAATGAGGTCCCCAGTTTGAGTCCCTCCACCTCCATCCACTCACCTGCCTCCCAAGTGTTATTTATTTGTTTGTTTATTTAGAGACAGGGTCTCATTATGTTGCCCAGACTGGCCTTGAACTCTTGTCCTCAAGTGATCCTCCTGCCTCAGCCTCCCAAGTAGTAGAGACTACAGGTGCACATTACAGCGCTGGGCTTCCTCCCAGATGTATTTAACTTAGTCATAAGTGAGTCCAGCTGAGAGTGTAGACAGTGCCTAGGGAGCCCAGCAGCTCCCTTGGGAATGTGATTCCAGGGCACAGGAAAGGCCAAAGGTCCTTGTGACCCTCAAAGTCTATCTTCATTATACCTACAATATGAATCCCAGTCTCTTCTGTTCCCCCATCACCGATACCTGTGTCATTCCTGTCTCTGTGCTCTTATTCTTGACGTTCCCTCTACTTGGGCTGCCTTCCCCTCACTGAGTCCTGTAGTCAGCCTCAGTCATGTGCATGGAACAGGAGGGCATGCTGGCTGAGTTGTGTGCCTACATGGCTAGACTGCGCAACACTTCCTAGCATTCCCTGCCACCAGGTCTTTCTGAGTAGGGCGGACACGAGAGAGTCATGTGGGAGGTGTGGAGGGCAGAGTGAAGCAGCCCCTTTGTAGCTCACATATCTTGTCGCTTAGCTGCTGGCTGTTTGTGTGAGGCTACCACTCCACCACCCCTTGGAAATATCTACAGCTTCTCTGCCTCCTGGCCAGATGAGTGAGCTTTGTTCTGTGATGAAGGACCCTATCTTCTGCAGGAAACCCTCACCGTCAAGGTCAGAGCAATAAAACTGACAGGGGTCTTAGTCCAACCTGGTGTAATTCCAGCTCGGGCTCACGGGTTCTGGCTTATCCTTGTTATCCCTCACTTTATCTCCATCTTCCCCTCCCTACCTCCTGCCTTGCAGACATGGAGATCCAGCATCAAATGCAAATACCTCTGCATTACCTAGACGGACTGACCAGCTCCCACAATAGCAGAAGGTCAAGTGTCTGTAACAAATCCCTTATTATTTATGTATCTTAGCAGCTTTGCTTTTCTTACTGAGCTTGAATTGTGGTATCAACATGGGTGGTGGCTGATGGTGGCCTATGACTCCTATCCATCCTTTGGAGCCCAGCTCAAGACTCACCTCCTCCAGGAAGCTTTCCCAGACCCCACTAGTCATCAGTGGTCACTTCTGACTGAGCTATTACAGCATTTACTGCCTGTCCTGCTTTAGGCTGTAAGTTATCTTTCCACTCGTGGGTATCTTCTTGTCCTAGGTCAAAATTTCCTGCACTTCACAGATACAAATCTCTAGTCTCTTCCTGAAGATTCTGATTCTGCGAGCCTTCACCTAGAATAATATGGTGACCAAAAAGTGTGAGGAATTCAGCCCCAAGTAAACTGTGAGCCCTAAGATGACAGGAACCAAGTCCCTGTTTTATGTGTCAGGGACTTCACATATCCAGCAAAAATAGTAGATTTGAAAGTGGAGGGTACCCAACCAGCCTTTTCTGGAGCAACATCCTGTCTTAGAATTCCCATTAAGTGAGATCTCTCAGACGCTTTTCTTTCTTCTTGCAGGGCAGCAGAGGATGAAACCCCAAGCAGTCAGGTGCTGGGGACGTCATTCATCCTGATGATCCTGATGGGGTTAATTCTTACTAGTCATGTCTCCCTCACTCTGATCAAGCCACCCTAGGACTCCTTCTCTTCTATTGCTTTGGAAGGAGGACTGTTCTTTCTGGCTCCAGGAGTCCACCTCCCAATCTCCCAGCATGTCCCCCGGAGCTGAGTCTGACAGATCCAGGCTCTTCTGCTTTTTCTTTGGGGCTTTCTCTCCACTTGTTTCTCTTATACGTTCTAGCTCAAACCTATGCCCAACACAGAGTAGGCACTCACTAAGAATGGGTGCTGGATTGTTCATCATCAGGGCCAGGTTGCCTTTGCTGCCCTCATCAGGCCCTTATACAGCCAGGGCATTGGTGGTACTCTGGGCAGGCTATGAGACCCTGCTTGCCTAGCATCTGAGAGATGGAAAGTCCGCCAACCAGACCTGGGCTGCCCACCCCTTCTCCTCCCCTCCCCAGAAAACCCCAGATTCCCCACTGTAAACAGTTCTGTGACTGTGTCTCCTGGAAAGGCCAGATCTGATGTCCATGCAGGAAGCTTTGTAAGAATTCCTCATGGTCGAATGCATCTGTTCCCTAATCAAAACACAGGCAGATTCCTCATGCTGGGCCTTAATTTGCTGAACTTGCACATAATTGAGACAGATTATCTCTATTTTCCAGCTAGTCATTTTATATTTCGGGGGTGATGCTGGGCTGGCTCAGGATGTTTCTGGTCGGAGCCCCCATCTGCTACCTGTGCAGGAGGGCTGGGCGCCCTGTGTGCCTACTTCCTTCTATGATCTAACAATAGAGAATGCATGTGGATGCCTGGTGCAGGAAGGAAGGAGAAATACTGTTCTTCTTCAGATGTGTGTGCCAGGGAGGAGGAGATGGACAGTAGGGTGCACTGTCCAGTGGGCAGATCTAAGGAAAGAGAATTTCTTACCTGAGTCTTCAAGGAAAGCCAGAATCAGGGCCCTAAACCCATTCAAAGACCAAGCAACAGCTAAAGGCTTTATGTTCCACACTGGACTCTCAGAAGTAGCTGAAACCAAGTGACTCTTACCAGAAACCAACTCTGGAGTAGTTGCCTTGCTCGAAGCCTAATCAACTCTGGGCTGAGAAGAAAGGAACACACGTGGTTCCTTTCCCTTCCACATGAGGATTAAATGAGATACATCAGGGTGGCAGAGGAGAGTGCTCCAGTGGGTGAAAAATGACCAGGAGTGGGGTGTTGTGTGTCCCACTTTATGGAAATCATACTTGGAAAAACTGAATCAAAAACAACAAACTCTGACAAAGAGGGTCATCGTGAACAATGGGAATATCAGGAATATCCCTTTAAAGAGAACCCCCTGACACATGCATGGTATCTGTGGGCTTACCAGAGTTGCATTTACACACTCATTTTAGGGACATGTGCCTAAAATGAAGTACATCTGTTAATCAGGGTACAGAGAGGCTGTGTGGTGAGGGGGAAAGAACTGGATAGGGGGTCATGGAGCCTGGTTCTGCCACTTTCTCACTGAGAGACCTGGAGCAAATCACTGTCCCAATCCAGGCCTCTGACTCCCATTGGACAGAGGGTAGGACTGGATTAGATGATCTTTAAGGCCACTTTCGCTTTGACATTTTCTGTAGGAAGAGGAGGAAGAAGATGGAACTTCATGGAGGCCCTACTGTATTGCAGATGCTCATTTGACCCAATGCCTTGGTAACCCCAAGAAGAAGTCATGCTCAAACAATTAAGCAATGCATCCAAGGTGAGAAGGTGTCAGGGCCAGTAAGTGTCATTACCACGCCCTCGTAGGAGGTGGCAGGGAGGATTCAAACCTGGGCCTGGCTGACCCGTGTATGTGGTAGGTGTGTGTGTGTGTGTGTGGTTTCCAGCTGTGATCCTATAGGACAGGTGAGGCAGGGAGCCAGTGGACTTGCAGTACTGCTTCTGTTTTAAATTGAGACAAAGCTTGGGGCCATCACATGGGCTTCCTGTGGGGAAAAAGGGAGGCCAATCCATTTAATTAACACCCCACCAGACCCCTGGAACTCTCCCTCCAGCCAGAGCACCAACAACCCTGATAGCAACTGGGCTGCCCCACCACAAACCTTTAAGCAATTCATTTTCTACACTTATAATAAATAAGTCAATGAAAAAAATTTTCGACATAATTTCCCCAGAGAATGGAAGAAAGAAGCAGCATGAATTGGAAGCTCCTATTATCTTCTGTTGTCTTGTCTCTGATGACAGATAATGGCGGCTGGTGAAGGGGATTGGTTGGCAGGGAGAATAATGCTTGGGTAAAGGTGGCCTTTAGAATATATCATCCCGCATCCAACTCAAAAAGGGAAGAAAAAAGCAAAAGACAAGGCAAGGCTAGCCGTGCTGCTCTGTTCAGGCCTCCCTTCCATCTACATCTAGCCAAGTTGCAGCCCCTCTTACTATTAGAAACCATTGCATGAATCACCCTATTTGCTGCTGCTTTTCCCCTGTGCCTTCAGAGAGCTGATTAATTGGTCCAATACCAGCAACTCGTCACGAAGGTCTTAATTAAGAAAGAAATAGCCACCTTGTGAATTCCCTGGGCATCAATAGCCCTGGGGATGTCTCTTCTGCCTTTCTGCCTGCTGCTCAGGGAATGGTGAGGAAAAGAGGACAGAGGCAGGCTCCGATTCAATGGGATTACAATATTGGAGGGAGTAAGAGAGCCAAGTGGCCAGGAAACTCCAGGACAGTTCAGGAGGAAAGAATAATAGAGAGTTTGGCCAAATGAGTCAGCTTCCAAGGCTGAATCCAACTGGCTGGGGGCTCCCACAAGGGGAGTGAACTTTGGGGACATCTTGGGTTTGGACTAAATTTTTAAGACTAGCTTTAAAAAGGACAGTTAAAAGTATAGCAATTATTTTCAACCCTGACTGCCCTGTAGGGGAGCTTTTAAAATACAGTGATGCCCGAGCCCCACTTCACTCCAGTCCAATCAGAATCTCCAGGGGGTAGGAACCAAACACTGATGTATTTTAAGAGCTCCCTGGCTGATTCTGTGGTACACCTGGGGCTGAGAACCACCAAGGATGGTACAGAGCGCGTTTCTTCATGTGTGCTCCCTGGGCCAGCGGCATCAGCATCAACATCACCTGGGAGCTTGTCAGAACTGCAGAATCTCAGACACCACCCCAGAACTACTCAAGTAGAATCTGCAAGACCCCTAGCTCATTCTCATTCACTTCCAAGTTTGAGAAGCAATAGTTTAGACAACAGATTGTTTGGGGTTTTATTTGGACTCCAGCATTGAGGCACATTACTCAACTTCCCTGAAACTCAGTTTCACTGTATGTAAAATGGGACTAATGATATGTATATGCCACAGTTATCAAGAGAAGAAGACAGAATCATTTCTGCAAAGCATTTAACACAGTGCTTAGAACAGTCACTTCTCAATAGACACACGTGGTTCCTTTCCCTTCCACATGAGGATTAAATGAGATACATCATGTAAGGCATTTAATAGAGTGCTTGCTTGTACTGTGTGCTTAATAAATGTGGGCTATTCTTATTTCCTCAAGCATTCCCTAGGCAGACAGCGGGACTCCTGCCTTTGTGCTCCTCCGGCTCGCTACTCATCCATCTCTTCCAGCCCTTGGAGTATTGAATTTCAATAAGCCATTTTTATGTCTCTCAACCCCGCTGGGTCTTATTCAGCTCACTTCCCTTGGCCTAGTACAAAGTAGGTCCAGGAAATACATGAATAAATGCGAAGGCCATAAAGCGTTCCTTAGCTGGAGAACAGAGAGGCCGGGGGTCACGTGCCTGGGGCTTCCAAGTCCTTAGATGTCCTGTTTCTTGGCCCTTGTGTAAGAACGAGGCTCTCTGAAGGAGAAAGGGGCCCCTTCCAGTGTCTGTGAGTAGAAAGCAGGTAGCAAAATATGTCATGGAATATTCTGTGTGTTGGGTCAATTTCAACCAACACAGAACCTAAATGCTTTGTAGACCTAATTAAACTGGGAGCTTCTAGAAAAATAAAACCGACTTTGAGATTGTCTCTAGACTTCCTTTATTCCTAGCATGCTTGGGCTGGAAAAAGAAAAAGAGAGAGAGGTCAGTCCCCTTTGTCTGTTATGCCCCATGGCAAGCAAGGGGAAGTCTTGGCAGATGGCAGCAAGGCCTTCCTAATTCATGGGTCACCCTGGAGCTGCCCACAGACACTGCCAGACCTTTTAATGAAACCACTTAATTGGCATGAACATAGGCGAGTGTACAGGTCACCTTTGCTCAGGTCAGGGGCTCAGATGGGAGCATGAGGCCTTTTGGGCCTGCACTAAGCCCTTTTTTCAAGGAGACTGTGTTGCTGCCAGGCTCAAGAGAGAGGTGGTTGGAACCTAAAATACTGATAAACAGCTCATAGTCCTGCCTAGGGAGACAGAGGTAGGCCAGCTTTGCCAGGTCATGCAGGACCAACCTCACAGGTACCAAGGGGTTGGAGACTGCCTCTCATAGCTTTGATAAAAGTCAATCATTTCTATTAGTTTATGCATTCACTCATTTAACAAAAGGTTTTCGAGTTCCTGCTCTGTGTTAGGTATATAAAGTGCTTTTCTGTACATTGTTCCATTTGATTTCATTTAATTAGACAAGAACTTGCTGAGTTAGCTACTATCTTCCCATTTTACCAGTAGATAAGCAGAGCCTTAAATAAGTTAAAGAAAAAAATATTTAACTTAAAAATTTTTATTTATTAAAAATTAATTACTAATTTTTAACTTAATTTATTAACTTATTGACTAACTTAGCTCAAAATCACACAGCTTGAAGGTTTGAACCCTAGACTCTGTGATTCAGGCCTCGATCAGTAGAAAGAGTTTACAGGCATGGCCTCCTGGACCTTTAAGGCAAACGTTCCAGAAAGGCTTAGGACAAGATCATAGAACTCCTGGCAGAACCAGGTGCCACCAAGAAGGAGTGTGCTTTGTTTCTGTAGTCTTGGGGTACATAAAGCTGGGCAGGGGGCAGGGGGCAGTGGGTGGGGGTTACACCAAATCTGAGCTGCCTTTATCTGTACCGACCTGACATCTTGAGCAGACCAAGCCCCAGGCAGTAAAAGTGCTGGAAAGTCAAGACACGTGGGCCTCAATCCTCTCTGCTTCTTGAGAGGCGTTCGACCTTGCAGAGGCCCTTGCTCTTGCCATCTGGGGGTTTAGGGCCAGATGGCTGCCCAGGTCTCTTAGAATTAGGTTGGCCTGATTCCTTGAGCTGTGGGGTTGGTGTTCCTGGAGTCACTGCTAAAAATTCTGCAAATTGCAGGGAAGCCAATGTTTAAAGACTTCTCCATCGCACTTGTGGTTGCATACATCCACACACCTCCCAGTGGGTCACGACTTCCTAGGGCTTATCCCACTGCCAAGGAGAGAGGCCCTTCTTTCCTCCATCCTCTACGTCCCCAACTCCCAGCTTCTTTTTCTATCACCTGGGGGGTGCCCATAATCTGTCTCAAGTTTCTGATGGTGAGGTGCTCGAGGTTGGGAAGCGTTTCCCTGACTGTCTCGTGAGCAGAAATGATCACACTGTGTTCCCAGCCCTTTGTTCTCCCCTTAGCCTCCCACTCGGTTTTCCAGGTGAGGTCAAGGGCCACATGGAAAGGGAAAAGGTATTATAATGGAAGGGATGCCCAAGAGGAGTGTGTATGGGAAGGGTTGAGCGATCATACTGGACACTTTCAGGTCTTTTTTATTGGCCATCTGTCCTCCACTTTCTTCTTGCTTCCAGGGAGGTGGGTCTGTGTCTGTGGCTGGATGCAGTGAGAGGAGCCAGAACCAACACCCAGTCTGTTCTTCAGCCAGAGGGGTGAGGCTGAGTCCACTAAGCTGGCACCTCCACGGTTTGCCCTCGGCAAGCGCCTGATGCCTAACCAACCTCACCCATGAAGTCAAGGGTCATTCATCAAACCCATTTTCCTAAGCATCTCCTACATATCAGGCACTGTGCCAGGCTGTGGGAATGCATGATCCACATGGTCCCTGCTCACAGAATTTACAATCTTGTGCTAGAAACTATTAAACTAATAATGACACAAATAATTATAAAATAAAATTGCAGGAAGTCTGCATGTGTCAGCTCCTGACCTTCCTTCTACTTCCAGGACTGGGTTTGATTAAAAGTGAGGCTACTATGATGGGCCACTAGAAGATCTGGGAGGTGAAATCCAGTCCCAAATCTCCTCTCACCCACTGACTCTTGGGACAGCAGAGCAAGTGAATAGGAAAGAAAAAGAAAGAAGATGCTGTAAAAAGGTGGCTTGGAGCTGGCAGGTGCTAGTGCAATGGATGGGGGAAACCATATAATCTGTCATTTCCATCTCTTCCACGTCACTGACATTGGTCCTCTTGACCCTGTCTCAGCTCAGACCTGCATCATCTTTTCACGAGATGATTGTGGCAGCCTTCTGCCGCCAGTCTTGCCTCTCACCCAGCCCAAGATAGCCTCGATAGAATCGATACAAGTCTGCAGAGAACCTCTCCTCTTTCTGCCTAGAGCAGTATTTCTCAGCCTTGGGACTGGTGGCAATTTGGGGCTAGATAACTCTTTGTTGGCTGGGGCTCTCCTGTGCATTGTAGGATGTTTAACAACATCCTTATTAGTAGTGACAACCAAAAATACGTCCAAAGATTGCCATATGCCATATGATTTGGGAACCACTGGCTCAGAGATATTATGCCCTTGAACTTGATATTCAAAGCTCTCCATGATCTGATTCTAAGCTGTATTTCAGGCCGAGTGCAGTGGCTCATGCCTTAATCCCAGCACTTTGGGAGGCTGAGGCAGGCAGATTGCCTGAGGTCAGGAGTTCAAGACCAGCCTGGCCAACATGGTGAAACCCCATCTCTACTAAAAATACAAAAATTAGCCTGGTGTGGTGCCACATGCCTGTAATCCCAGCTACTAGGGAGGCTGAGGCAGGAGAATCGCTTGAACTCAGGAGGCAGAGGTGGCAGTGAGCCAAAAAGAGTAAAGAAAGAAAGAGCGAAAGAAAGAAAGAAAGAAAGAAAGAAAGAAAAAATAAGCTTTGTTTCAGTATGCTCTTCCTCTGTCCTGTCTCTCACATTCTATTATGTAGCCATAATCAAGTATATGAAATTTTCTTAAAGTGCCCTACCTTTTTCTTCTTGCCTTTGGCCATCCTGTTCTCTTGACTTACAGGGCCATGACATCTTCTCTATCTATTAAAAGAAATCTACTTGTGTCACAAGATTCAAATAAAAGGCCTTGTCTGAGAAGCTTTTCCAGATTTCTGGCATTTAGTTATCTTACCTGTCAAATAAGGATAAAAAGTCTGCCCCATGGATTGCCTGGAATCAAAATTTCAGAGTTGTAGGAGACCTGGGGAATCACCAATGTCTTCTTTCAGGGAGATAGACAGAAATGCAAAGAAGTGGATTGTCTTGCGGAAGTCATAGCCGGATGGAAGATAAGCTGCACCTAGAACTTGGTGTTCTAAATTCCGAGATCAATATTCTAAACCCACTTGTCAGCTTTTGCAAGATGAAGACACTATCTAATCAACAGGAAAGTTAACTTTGTGGCCACAAGGTCACAAAAACTCTCTGCACCTCAATGTTTCTCTGTAAGGTGAAGGGCTAAACCAGCTGTTCCCCAAAAATCATTCCAGGATGCTTTGTGCTACTATGCTTCTAATTTTCTTTTGAGAAGATTGTCATTTAATCATAAGCTATTCTTACGGGGAGGTATTCATAATACTTCCCAGTCCATCTCATTGTGGGGGCTGGAAATTTCTGCCCTTGCTACGATGCTGTCAAAATTGAACCCCAGAGCTCAGCTCCCAAGAAGGTTAACATAATGGTTTTGCTACTCATCGTAACAACACCTCACATCATGCCTTCAGATCACTCCCCAGCATCATTCTTCAAATTCAAACGCGAACCAGAAGTGACAAATGATTCTTGTAATGCGCTCTTTGACACAAATCATTTCTGATTGCTCGGGACCCCAGACAACCTTGAGCATGCAGAATCAAGCTGAGAGGGAGAAGTCTTAGAAAATGAACAGCTTCAACTTCTTGCCGATGAGAACCCTCTCTCTGCTCACGAGGCAGGAGCAGTATGTGCTGATTGCCAAACAGATCATTTTTAAAATGATGCAGATCTGTGGGGGATTGGTCCGTGTGGTGATGTGTCTCATCTTACAATGTCCTATGCAGCCTTCAAAGCGTTTTTAGATCCTGGCAAGGAAACAGACATTCATGTGCGTAGGGTTTGCAAGGCCTCTGCATATGATGTTGCTCTTCATCCTCCCAGCAAGCTTGGGTATGTATTGTTATCCATCACCCCATAAAGGAGGAAAGGGAGCCTCAAAGAATTCCTAGAACATTGCCAAATGACCTAACGTGTTGCTGTTAGATCTTAGACTAGAATTCAGGTCCTGTGGCTCCAAAGCCAGTGCTCTATACCGAGGGGCACCTCTAAGCTATAAATCCCTTTCAAAGTGCTCTTACTATTTGGCCTCATTCTCTGTGTATGAATGCTTAGAATTGAGAGAAGAAGTGCACATTGATGTGAGGGGGGCTTATCTGGAAAATCAGGAGGTTGGAATGGATCACAAATAATACTCCTGGTTCAAATGCATTGGCAGACCAGTCTAAGTGCCTTATGAGTATCATTTCCTTTGCTTTCCTTAGCAGCGCAGAAATCCTGTGGGGTAAGTATTAGGATTGTTCCCATTTTTCAGAGATGGAACTGAGACTCACAGTAGTTAAGCAACTTGCTCAAGGCAGAGCTGGGGTGGGGCCAGAGGCAGAGATGAATGGCCATCCATCAAGGATTCCTGCTCCCTTGCAAAGACTGAATCTGTGTAGGGAAGTGGTTGCCTGGCCAAAACCTGCATTTCTCAGGTTGCCTGCATTAGAAGAGGCCATGTTGACCAGTTCTTAGCAATGGATATGGTGGGAATAAAAATGTCGCTTCTTTTTTTTTTTTTTTTGAGATGGAGTATCACTCAGTCGCCCAGGCCGGAGTGCAGTGGTGCGATCTCGGCTCACTGCAAGCTCTGCCTCCCAGGTTCATGCCATTCTCCTGCCTCAGCCTCCCGAGTAGCTGGGACTACAGGCGCCTGCCACCATGCCCGGCTAAGGTTTTTTTTTGTATTTTTAGTAGAGACGGGTTTCATCGTGTTAGCCAGGATGGTCTCAATCTCCTGCCCTCATGATCTGCCCGTCTCGGCCTCCCAGAGTGCTGGGATTACAGGCGTGAGCCACTGTGCCTGGCCCCAAAAATGTCACTTCTTAGTGGAAGTGGTTATGAAGCTGATGTGCCTTCTCCTCTCTCTATCGCCTCCTGCCAATAGACATTAATCCCTTGACTGACTTCAGAAGCCATGTGTGGTGTTGAAATCTTACAAACTTATTCTGAAATGCTTCCAAAAAGCAGAACAAAGAAAGATAAAATTGAAATTAAAAAATAAAAAAGAAGTCGTGTATGGAGGAGGACAGTGTCCATCAGCATGGATCCCTGAATGACCACGTGAAACAGAGTTCCCACCTCTACTCCAGCCTCCCCACACACTGCTAATTGCACGATGCATAAAAGAGACATCAACTTAAATTGGACTAAGTCGTTGAGATTTCAGGAGGTATTTGATATAGCAGCCAGCCTTATCCTGACTAATACAGAAGAGTCTTGTTTCCGAGGTGCATTCTCTTCACTGCTGCACCACAAAGTGGCCTCGGGATTGTTTAGATTTATGGAGATAGTAGAAAATGTTCTCCTTATTCCCTAGCCCAAGAGCAAAAGTGTGTTGGTATTTTTTTCCACCTGTGAAGGCTGGGGAGTATACGGGAGTGACGTTCATGTGCTTCTGAGCCGCTTCCAAAATTGACCACTCCCTTCAGTCTTCTCATCTCAGTAAATGGCACTAGCATATACTCAATGGCTTGGCAGTCATTTTGGATTTCTGTCTTTCCTTTGCCCCCACATCCTAACTTTCAACAAGTCCTGTAGACTCTACCTCAAAAATAAATTCAGTGGGTGCTGGAACTGGCTCAAGCCAACTTGTGAGAGCCGACTGTCAAATTGTTAGAAATATTGGAAGACAGTTGATGTCATATTGAAAGTTTTAGGCGGCCCATGGTGGAGGTATTTGCACTATGGAAATTGACAAATGCTACAAAATAAGGTCACCCTGCTCCCAACAGAGCAGATTGTTAAATGCCTACCGACACATCCACTGAATATTTTCCAAGTTTCACCTTTTCTTACCACTTGCACTGCTACCACCCAAGTCATAGCCACTAGCATCTCACCTTATCTTGCATATATGACTGTAGTAGGCTCCTAACTGGTCTTCCTGTAATTTTCTGCTCTTTCCCAGTTAACTCCTCACACAGTAGCCAAAGTGATCTTTTAAAAGTGTAAGTGAGGCCAGGTGCAGTGGCTCATGCCTGTAATCCCAGCACTTTGGGAGGCCTAGGCAGGTGGATTACTTGAGCCAAGGAGTTCAAGTCCAACCTGGGCAACATGGTAAAACCCTGTCTCTACAAAAAATTAGCCAGGTGTGGTAGCACTCACCTGTAGTTCCAGCTACTTGGGGCAGGGGGAGGGGTGCTGAGGTGGAGGAATCACCCGAGCCTGGGGATATTGAGGCTACAATGAGCCATGATCATGCCACTGCACTCCAGCTTGGGCAACAGAGCGAGACCTTGTCTCAAAAAAATAAATAAAAATGTAAGTGACACCACATCACTTCCCTGCCCAAACCTCTCTGGGCCTTCCCATTGCCCTTAGAGTAAAATTAAAATTTCTTTTTGTAGTTTACAGAACTTTACACATCTGGCATCTGCCCACCTTTCTGACTCAGCCTCTGCCACTCCTCTCTCACTCATCGGTCTGCAGCTGGGGTGGTGGTGTATCTGTTCCACCAACATAGCTTGTTCTGGTGTCAGGGTCTCTGTGTTTGCTGATCCCTTTGCCTCAAATGCTCTTCCCCTTGATCTTCATATAATTTGCTGTTTTACATCATATAGGTCTCTGCTAAAATATCACCTCCTCCTAGAGGCCTTCCTTGAGCTATCTAAAATAGTCACCTCCCGCCCACCCTGCCACAGCACGTGCTTCCTGAAGTTATGTTATGCATGTGTTCACTTGTTTACAAGTGAAATCTGCTGCTTCTACTGAAATGCACTTTGTGAGGGTGGGAATCTTTCTTTGTTCACTGTATTCTCAGTGCACGAACTGGTGTCTGGCACCAGAAGATGCTCAATATGCCTACTGCTAAATGGACAAACACATACCTGATCTTCAATATGACATGATTGAATGTAGCCAAGTCAAGTCAGCAGATGCTCAGATCATAATGTGGGTGGAGGTTCTGGAAGGCAGGGCCTGCAAGATAGTTGGAAAGTTGGATGGGCTGACTATGTCCAAGGACCACAGGGCAAAGGGGGAAACCAAGGGAAGAATGAAAACAGAACAGAAAGTTTGATAGGGTACCTGGAGGGAGAGTGTACGCCGAGCCTCAGGTCAGTATCTGTCAATGAAGCGTCAGAGTGTGTGTCTAGGAGGGGCAATAGGAACAGGATCTAGATAGATTTAGCCTAAAGCCTCTTTGTTAGGGCACCAGAGAAAGCTAATCCCTATCTATAACTTTTTCACTACGTGACTTCGGGCAAGTTACTTAACCTCTCTGATTCTCAGTTTTCTCTGTAGAAAAGGGTTAATGATATCCTCCTATGGCTGGTGGGAGCACTAAAGGAATAGAAGATTAAAAGTCTTGAGTAAAATGCTTGGCATGCAGTAAGTGTTCAATAAATGCTTAGTAACTGCAAATTTCCATACTCTTTTTAACCTTCCTGCCTGTAAATGATCACTCTTTTTATTGTCTATATCCTTTAGTTGGACCTTAGAGACAGGAGAAGCAGGGTATGGAAGCTAAACAGGACTTAGAGGTGAAAATGGTGAATGATTAGGTCTCATCGCATACCCCTGTAGGCAGAGTTGGGATGGCTAATGAGAAGAGGTTAGGAGGTATCAAAGGCTCCATACAGACACGGCCAGTGGGAGGACCTTGGGACAGTCCTCATTCCCCATGGCATCCACAATGGGATCCCCAATTTGTTCTCTGAAGTGGCATCTTCTACCTGGAGGCCTTTTTTATTGAGACTTACAGCATGGAGGAGAACACCAAGAAGGACTGAGAGGGATGCAGTGGGGACTTACCAAGGTCACAAGGCCAGTGCTTGGCAAAGCCGGGATAGAAACCCAGTTCCTCTGACTCAGCCCAGCACTGTCTATTCCACCTTCTACTCTGTATCACCTCATGTAGGAGCTGCTTTTCCAAAGGGGCATCAGCTGCTCCAGAGCATGATCTGTTATCCCCTCTTTGTATATCCACATTAACAGTTGTTCAACCAATGCCTGTGGAATGGAATTAATTCAAGGGCAGGTTTTTTCTACAAGGTAGATCCATGCTCTCTTTTGAAGAGGCATGCCCATGGCATGAGGCTGTGAGGATGAGATACTTGGAGGCTCAGGTAGATTTAGAAATAGAACAGTGAAATTTGAGTTTAGTAATGAATACTTACTAGGAATAGGATAACAATCTTCTAAATCTATAAAGTGCATTTTAGCCCATAAAACCCATTCAGACTCTCATTTTCCCCCACTTCTCCCAGCAAGCAAGTCTGTGGGTGGACTCAGAAGAGGTTAATGTCCCATTTGCAGTTGAAGAGACTGAGGCACAGACAGGGAACACAATCGCCTCTGATGAGCCACGTGGCCTTAGGCTAGAGTCTGAGAAAGGGTGACTATTGGCTACTGTAGTACACACTCCTATCACCTGCAGATGGAGCCTGCAGTGCCCCCAAAGAGGTTAATTTCTCACTAGCAGATTCTTTCTCAGACATCCAGCAGGTGACTTGCATTTTAATGGACCCCAGATGCTTATTGCTTGCAAAGAGGTCAAGTTTCTAAATGGGCAGCCAGATGGAGAGCCCTTCTGGACTTTCCCTGGTGTCAATCAAGGCTGCGCCTGCCATTGGCGCCTGCTTTTCTTGCCCTACAATGGTGCTAGCACCTTCCATGCTAACAGCTTCCTCCTTCTGAGCCCCTTTCAGGGCTCAAGGCTGGATTCCAAGGTGGAGGGCAGGAAAGCTGGAAGCATAGGCAGGGCAGCTCCAAATGCAAAGATCTGAAGACCCAAATGCACATTCTTTCCTGTTTGCCAGGGAAACATGTAGACAACTTTAACATTCAATGCCTTGTAGAAGTGCAACCATCGTGCATCACCACATATACAGTACAGACACCAATAATTAAAACCCAGCCCCTGTGCCTGGGGCCTCATGGCTCGTGCAGCACGTTCACAATTGCTCTCTCATTTGATTCTCATAGGAAGCTCAGCTCAATCCTTGACTAGCTCGGGTATTTACTGGCTGCCAACTGTGCCAGGTGCTGACCTTCGGGAGCTCACAGTCCAGATGGGAGACAGGCACATAGCAGGGAATTACATGGGAGAGTGCAGGGAACAACATGAGACCCATGCAGTGTCATGGGAATGAGTGACAAGGGACTTCTGTCGAAAAGGTGCTATCCAGGCTGAGGAGTTAGCCAGGTGAAGGGGCAGGGACAGCGGAGTGTTCCGGGCCAAGAAACAGCATTTGTAAGAGCCTAGGACTGAAAGAACTCAGCACTTGTGTTCATTTCCTTGGGCTGCCATAACAAAGTACCCCAGGTTGGGCACCTTCAACAACAGACAGGGATTGTCTCACAGTTCGGGAGGCTGGAATGCCAATATCGAGGTGTCGGTAGAGTTGGTTTTTCTGCAGCCTCTGAGGGAGCATCTGTTCCAGGCCTCTCTTCTAGCTTTTGGTAGCTCCAGGTGTTCCTTGGGTTGTGGATGTCATTTTCTGTGTATCTTCACATCCTCTTCCCTCTGTACATGTCTGTCTCTATAACCATATTTCCCCCTTTTCTCTAATGACACAAATCATATTGAATTAGGATTCACTCTAATGACCTCATTTTAATTTGACCATCAGCTAAGATCCTATTTCCAAATAAGCTCACACTCAGCATAGGTAGTAGGAGTTAGGACTTCAATATATTTTGGAGGGGGGCACAATTCAACTCATCACAGCACTTCCCAAAGAATGGGAGGTGGCATAAAGATTGAGGGGGAGGACAACAAGGGGAGGTCAGGCTAGCTGGTCTACCTGGACCCTCTTAGGGAGGGTTCATCAGCCATGATGAAGACTTTGCAATTTATTATAAGGGCAAGGAGTGACCCATTTTCGCTGCCCTCACATAGAGTTAGTTAGTCACTCCTGTGAGTTCTTGGACTCACTCCTGTGAGTCTCTCAAGAGTACTTTCCTAGGTGGGCGGGTATAGGTTTCCCTACTTGATGGTGCATTCACTGAGCATAGGGACCAGGTCTTCCAAGTCTTATTATTCACTGGGACCTACCAGCACAGAGATCAGCACACAGGACACGCTTAATAAGTGTTTATGAATCTAACACATTTAGGTCAGTTATTGCATCAGCTGAATGAAGAGCTGTCCCTTCATTTATATGTGCTTTTCACACATTTCACATCGTTGTTGCAATAGACACAATCCCTTTTGCACATCTTCATGTATATTCTTGATTTCTCAGGTTGAAATGTTATTTTCATCTTCTTAAAAAGAGAATCCTTCATTACATTCGCCCAGACTCCTGTGTCTTATGTGGTTTACAAAAGAGATCTGACTGGGCATGTTGTTTTTTTTTCTTAGGGAAAAAAAATCAATGACTTATTTGTGTGTCTTTAATGTAGAGGGAAGTAGTAGAATTGGTTTTGCCATCTTAAGGTTGACAAGTTTAATACTTAAGACAGGGTTTATTCAATCCCAACATTGTTAGAGCTTGTAAAAGTTTAATGATCTACTTCTAGGATTTAAGATTTGACTGAGTCTCTCTCTCTCTCTTAAATTTTACTCCGACAGGTTTGCTCTGAGAAAAGCAGGATTTTGTAGCCCTGGCCCCAATCTTTGGACTTCTGCAAAACGGGAGATCAGAAACCCCACAATGTCCCCCCCGAACAGAGTGATTGAGTGGCTGATAAATCTGTGGACATGTGAAAATGAAGTGCAGCTTGCTATATTATAGCATCCAAACTGCAGGGGAGCCAACAAACATCTAACTCTGCCCACTCATTTTACCACTGGGGCGAACGAGGTTCAGGGAGGAGCAGGGACTCACCTGAGCCCAGGAATAGGGAGGCTCAACGGAAACTCAGGCCATTGTTGCAAAGCACATCCTATCTGCAGTAAGGTGAGGACTGTATCATTAGGGCTTCCACTTTCTCAGGACTTTGGAGATTTCTGGCTCCCCAGAAGCCTCATGGAAAGGAGTGAGCCACCTTCATGCATTTACCTACTCCCAGAGACTCTAATGCAAGTGCCCCTTCCCAAGCAGCCACTTCTCAAGCACATCACTACTACAGGTACTCCATCTCCAGGTGTGGATCCCAGGTGCTCTGCTTCCATGCATCCTTCACCTGGTTTCCCAGGTCCTTTGCTTGGTCTAGTGCAGGGTTAAGACCCACTGGACAAGAGTTTGGGAGCTCTGCCCTTACAAGCTGTGATCTTAGGCAAGCTTCTTTATCTCTCTAAGTTTGTTTCCTCATCAATTTCATGGGAATAATGAAAGTTTCTATCTCATAAGGTTCTAACAAAGACAACAAGACCAATGAATGCAAAATGCTGAATACACTCTCTGTTGTATACTTAAATACTTGACTCCTTTGGTTGTGTGTGTAGATTCCAATTAGTGGGAAGCAAAAGTCACTTCAAATCAATCTTCATTGTTGGACATTTGGGTTGGTTCCAAGTCTTTGCTATTGTGAATAATGCCGCAATAAACATACGTGTGCACGTGTCTTTATAGCAGCATGATTTATAGTCATTTGGGTATATACCCAGTAATGGGATGGCTGGGTCAAATGGTATTTCTAGTTCTAGATCCCTGAGGAATCGCCACACTGACTTCCACAATGGTTGAACTAGTTTACAGTCCCACCAACAGTGTAAAAGTGTTCCTATTTCTCCACATCCTCTCCAGCACCTGTTGTTTCCTGACTTTTTAATGATTGCCATTCTAACTGGTGTGAGATGGTATCTCATAGTGGTTTTGATTTGCATTTCTCTGATGGCTAGTGATGATGAGCATTTTTTCATGTGTTTTTTGGCTGCATAAATGTCTTCTTTTGAGAAGTGTCTGTTCATGTCCTTCACCCACTTTTTGATGGGGTTGTTTGTTTTTTTCTTGTAAATTTGTTTGAGTTCATTGTAGATTCTGGATATTAGCCCTTTGTCAGATGAGTAGGTTGCGAAAATTTTCTCCCATTTTGTAGGTTGCCTGTTCACTCTGATGGTAGTTTCTTTTGCTGTGCAGAAGCTCTTTAGTTTAATTAGATCCCATTTGTCAATTTTGTCTTTTGTTGCCATTGCTTTTGGTGTTTTGGACATGAAGTCCTTGCCCATGCCTATGTCCTGAATGGTAATGCCTAGGTTTTCTTCTAGGGTTTTTATGGTTTTAGGTCTAACGTTTAAATCTTTAATCCATCTTGAATTAAGAAAATGTGGCACATATACACCATGGAATACTATGCAGCCATAAAAAATGATGAGTTCATGTCCTTTGTAGGGACATGGATGAAATTGGAAACCATCATTCTCAGTAAACTATCGCAAGAACAAAAAACCAAACACCGCATATTCTCACTTATAGGTGGGAATTGAACAATGAGATCACATGGACACAGGAAGGGGAATATCACACTCTGGGGACTGTGGTGGGGTGGGGGGAGGGGGGAGGGATAGCATTGGGAGATATACCTAATGCTAGATGACGAGTTAGTGGGTGCAGTGCACCAGCATGGCACATGTATACATATGTAACTAACCTGCACAATGTGCACACGTACCCTAAAACTTAAAGTATAATAAAACAAAACAAAAACAAAAAAAACAAATCAATCTTCAGTTTGTGTGCCAGGGACAGTGCCCAGACTCCCAAGTGTCTTTGGGGCCTCTATGCAAAATAACTTTCACCCAGTACTCTCTCCCTTTCATGTGAGAGGTAGTGTCAGAAGTAACAGTGAAAGCTTGAAAGTACAGACTGTAAATGGCTCAAGTTGCATCTCCCTGGAGCCCCTATTTCAACATAGTTTTGACCAGAATGTTGGTTTCAGCTGCAAGCAATTGATTGGCCTATACAATTCTGTCATCCCAACAACTGATTAATTCATCAGTAATGAAACTGTCTGTGGTCCCTGCTAGCATGCGAGCTACCATTATCGAGCATTTATTCTTTGTCAAGTTCCCCAAGTACTTTACGTACATTACCTCGCTTAGTACTCTCAATAAAGTCTTATTACACAAGCCTTGTTATTCTGCTCTAAGCATGAGGAGCCTGGGAGGTCAGTTCAGAGAGGTTAAGGAAGCTGCCCAGGGCACAGAGCTAGTAAACGGAAAAGCTGGGATTTGAACCCCAGTCTGTTTCAGTCTTTCAGCCACATTTTTAAATAGGCTTACAGGGGAATAATTTATATACAGTAAAGTTTACATTTTTTGAGAAGAGAGTACAGTACATTTTGAGAAAGTATACAGTTGCATAAGCACCATACAGTAAAGCTAGAGAACCTTTCCCTAACCCAGGAATTCCCTTTTGGCCCTTTGCAGTCAATCTGTTCCTTTCAACCCCAACCCCTGGGAGCCTGCAGTCAATGATTTGTTTTCTGTGACTATGCTTTTGGCCTTTTCTAGGGTGATGTATGAATGGAATCTTGTAGTTTGTAGTCTTTTGTATTTGACTTCTTTCCCTTATCAGAATGGTTTTGAGATTCATCCATGTGGTCGCCTGTGTCACCAGTCTGTTCCTTTTCAGTGCTGAGTAGTAGACCATTGTGTGAATAAGGTATACCCCACTTTGTTCGTCCACGCACCAGCTGATGGACATTTGGATTGTTTTTAGTTTGTGGCTATTATGAATGAAGCTGCTATGAACATTTGTGTACAAGTCTTTGTGTAACAAATGTTTTCATTTCTCCTGGGTAAATACCCACGAGTGGAAATTCCTGGGTCTCAGGTTAAGTGTATGTTTAACTTTGCAAGAACCTACTGAACCATTTTCTAAACTTTCTGTACCTTTTTAAATTCTCATCAGCATTGCACTGAAGGTTTTGTTCAGCTACATTTAAAAATGTTAGACTCAACATCTACCTCATTCTGAGCCGGGAGGTTGAGAATAATGAATGCTACATTTCGTTGACTCTAAGATGCCATCAATTTTAAGATGCGCCATTATTTTACATACTGCTAAGAAAGAAAAGCATTTCACAAATGATGACACAATGCTTTTATATCACTTAGAAAAAATTTTGCATACTTATTAAAATAGCCCATATATCACCCTTATACATACATAAAATGGAAAATACAAATGAAAAAAAATATAGGTCGGGTATTCCTAGAATGTGTATTCACCTTTAGAATCTTCTGATTTTTTTTTTGACTCCAGTCCTCAGTATTTATATTTTTGTCCCCCGGAGTTTCCCTGTGTGCCATCAGCCTGTTGATGGTGCAGCATTTTTAAAAGAGTGCTCTGTTACTGTCTCCAAGAATTATTTTCAAGAAAATCTCAGTGCTGGGAACTGTCTTACTTGACTACACTCATATTTTACACCCCTCTACCCACCCAGTTGAATTATGTATCACCAGAAGTTAAGTAGCTTCTGTTCAAATTTAGTAAAATGATTTTTGGCAAATTGATATTTGTTGCCTTAAAGATAGCCCTACTCCATAGATAAATCAGTCCCACCAGCCTCTATTGCTTTACAATTTCATTAATCCTTTTTTAAAGAAATATGACAATTTATCCTGCCTTCAGTAGCTGTTGGTTCTATATGTTAAGCAATGCACATAACCCAGCTGAAGTTTTGACAACATTCATGGCTGTGAGACCCAGTCCACACATGTATGGGCTGTGATGACTTCCTTGTGACTTGCTGTCTGACAGTGATTGAAAGACGTCTTCATTTGTAGGAGACAGTCTGATCTTAGGGACATTAAAATTGAAAAAAATTGTGCATCTTAGAGCTCATTAAATGCAGCATATTTTACCCGAGACGCGGATTTCTACTGTGCTCTATTTTTCAATATCCCCCAAATTCCCATAATAGACAAGAGAAACATCTGCTTCATTTTTGGCCACTTCTTTCTCCCCAGCCACCTCTAATCACAATGATTCTCCTCTTCTTAACCACTTCTGTCACCTTCATTCAATGCCCATTCTCTTTACCATAGCTATTGCAAAAACCTCCTCACTTCTCTAATTGCCTTCTAGAAATTTCTTCTCCTTCAATCAGTCCTATTTATTATTCCCAGAGTAATCTTGCTCCTATAAAAATCCAAACATGTAATTCTTCTTCCTAAAACTCTTTCTTGGATACTTATTATTTAAAGAATAAAGTACAACCTCCTTAGCATGACATTCAATTTATTTTACGTTCTGGGTCCTACATTTTGCCCCAGCATTATTCTCCACCATTTCCCACTCCAGGCACACCCAACTATTTGGTGTTCTCCAAACGTGCCTTGGACTTTCCCTTGCTGGGACTTTTCCATTCTGGAATTCTGTTTATGCTTTTGTCTAGAATTCCTTCTCTTCCTTGTTCCTATTGAAGGCTGTTCATAGAAATGAAGCATAATGCTCATTCTGGTTGTATTAGCATGATGCATTTATGGGTGAAGTTTTCTCATATATATGTGCATATATATATGTAAATATATATACACATATGTATATGTAAATATATATACATAAGTATATGTAAATATATATACATATGTATATGTATATATATGTAGACACACACATATGCACAAATAGACACAATCACATATATTCATCTTATTCATTCTTAGTTGCTATGTCCTCTATGGAATTTTCTTTGTGCTCTTTAATTGGATTCCTTCCTTCATGTTTTCTCAACACCTGCTTGTACCTTCGATTGCAGCATCTTTTGCTGTAAAATGGAGATAGGAGAAATGCATAGGCCTATTTCAACAATTAATTCAATTACATAGACTAAGGGTGCTAGAATTTTGGAGGCACCCGAGTATGATGAAAGACATCTAGAACTTGGCATCAGGCAATAGTGAGACAAAGCTGCAGCCCTGTCACTTTCTACCTATGCGACCTTGGGCACATAATGTAACCTCCTTGACTTGTGTTTCCTGAAGTTCCTGAGCCAATGTGAGCCCTCCAGACACCTTGTAGAACCCCTTCTCCATAGAGAAGAAATGCTGGGAAAACTGCCAAGTGCCTTCCTGAGTCCTCATGGGTAGGGCAATTCTGTCCCTCAAGTTACCTCCTCCAGCCCTTGGTTCATGTTTTGTGGAAGAGATGGGGCTTGAAACATTTCTCTCTCCTCTTACAGATTATATACGTGTAGCTGGCACAGGACCTTGCTAGCACAGGACCTCACTCCCAGCTCCTCCTGCAGCTCAACATGGCCAGGTGACTGGTTCTCACTAAAGCAACGTGAGTGGAAGTGACAGGTGCTACCTTGGGGTCAAGGCTTTTAATTTGCAAGTACCTCTCCAGGCTCTCCTATTTCATCTGCTGGCTGAGTGCAGATGACAACTAGGACCTAGGCTAGTGCTTCTCAAACTTGAGGGTGCATCAGAACCACCTGGAAGGCTTGTTAAAAAAGGTTGCCAGGCCCTACCTCCAATATTTCTGATCTGGTGTCCCAGAGAGGGGCCTGAGCATGTGCATTTCTAACAAGTTCCAGGGTGACGCTGCTGCTGTTGATATAGGAACTACAGTTTGAGAAGCACTGTCCTAGGAGACAGCACAGACACAACATGGAAAGGGCCTGGGTACCTAATGACCATGGATGGGGCAGCAGAGGGGGTGGGTCGGTCAATTGGGTATATTCATCTGCCACTATTAAATGATCAAGAAATAAACTTTTAGTGAGTTTGAGAATTTATAGATTTTGGTGAGTCTATATGCATTACAGTGGGTTAATCTATCCTTCAAAGCACTATCCCAGCTATTCATGAGGCTAGAGTCCAGACCCATTGAATTGTCCATTTGCTGGCTGTCTTTCCTCCTGGTCTGGACCCAGCTTTGGAGTCCCTCATACCCTCCCAGGTATCTGATCACAACAGTCTCTGGGCCATCACTCAGAGACTGACAGTCCTAATCTCCTACAAGCCCTCCTGCTCTCTGCCATTGGACCTATGGATAGTCGCCCCATCCTGCAGAAGCCTAGAGTGACCTCCAACCCACTGGACTTGGTAATGAGGACTTTTGGCCTCTCCCTGGCTGGGACAACTCATCCCCCCCATCCTAATTAATTGTCCCTGGTTGCTGCCTTCGCCAGCTTCTGCCCATGCTACACCTGCATCTGAGAACCCCCAGTCCCCTTGCAGAATGCTAGAATGCTAGGAGACAGAATGCTAGACCAGTCTCCCCACCTCATACCCAGTTCCTCAGTTCCAGCACTGCCCAGGCACACAGTAGGTCTCAATGCCTAAAAGCAAAACTGCAGTGACCAATTCTGAGGAAGAGGTCAGGACAAGAGGAATGACAGATGGCAGCTGATACAGCCAGCCATCACAGCCAGGCACAAGATACAGGTTCAGTGTCACTCCAGCAAAGTTCTTGGAGCTTATCAGAATGCAGTCTCTCAGACGTTAACAGGGAAATTGTGTGATAATTATATATTAAAAAGTTTAGCAAGTATTAAGAGATCACTAGTTCAATAAGCATATGAAAGCTCAAAGCAGGATTCATGCCATTAACTCAAATTACATGAGCCGAGTCTGCTGTCGTCTCCCTTTTAAGCAGCACATCAAGGAAAAGAGGTGCTTTCATTGGATTATTAAAAGGATTTAATTAACATGGAATACTTCACAGGAAGACAACCTATGACAGAATAATTAAAATATAGTTTGTTGAAATGCACATTAATTGGCTACTAATTATCACATTTCGTTCCCCTTTATGGGCTAAAGATACGCTCAGGAGGAGACATGGCTCTGTGCAGAAGTACATTTCCTTGCTTGTTCCGCTCAGTGTTTAATTAGAAGAAAGGACAAAGTGCTTCACTCTGCAATTCTAGAAAACTAGATTGGAAGTCAGAGCGAGCAAATGAGGGGTATTATTGCACACTGGCCATGCATTGTAGTGGGAGAGAGCATTGGACTGGGAGTCTACAGGCCTGGGTGTTCCTCTCCTGCTCTACTCTCCATTCACCATGGGTAATTACCATGCTTAAAACAGTTCACGGCTGCCCTTACCATTGCATAAATTCCAAATCCCTACTATCTGGTCAGTTATGGTCAGACACTCAACTGTTTTTCCAAGATTCCCCACCTTGCCCATTCCACTCTAGCCATGCTGACCTTGCTGTACCTTAAGCAAGTCAAGGTCATTACCACCACAGGACCTTTACACTTGCCATTTTCTCAGCCTGGAGTCTCTCCCCCTGAAGCTTCATATGGGACTTCTTCCCGTCATTCACAACTTAGTTCAAATGACTTCTCAGAGGGCTTCCCTGACTATCTAATCTAGTGTTGCCTTCTTTATTCTCTATCACATCACAGTGCTTTATTTTACCCCCAGATGTAACACCATGGGATTATCTTGAGTATTTATTTGTTCACTTGTTTTGTCTGTTTCTTGTATTGTCTGTTTCCTCCACTTGAACATATATGCTATGAAGGCTGGAACTGTATGTTTCCTTGATGCATTGCAGCTCCAGCACCTAGAACAGTGCCCGGGACATGGCAGGCATGCAATAAATATTTGTTGATTAAATGAATAAAAATGGCAGTGGAGCAAGAAGACCTCTGAAGGTCCTTTTAGCGCGAACACTTTAGGATACTTTGAACATGCAGAGAACCAAAAGAGACATAAAGGCTGCAGAAGACAGGGTGCATCTTAACTCGTTTTAGGAACCCCCTACTGGCCCTCAGCAAAGCTTTGCTGATGATGATCTTTCAGAAAGCATTTGTGGCTTGGGGTCCGTGCAAGTCTGCAATTCTAGGGTTCTCAAGAATCATCAGGATTCCTGACCATCTCTCCTTTTCAAAGCTATAATCATGGGGTCATCACTTTAAAAACTCACCTCCTCTCTTAATTTTTTCTTACCTGCTTTAACCTGCTTCATGGGATTCTAGCAAGACCAAGACCTTCCTTTCAAGGCTCATTTTGCAAATTAGCCTAGATTGTGGCTGACAGATGCTGCCTATGGCTGTTGAGTGGGCATGCTTGTTTTTCAAATGAAGAGTTCAGATCCTTGGCATTATGAAAGTACTTTCCTGGGTTCTAAATCTACAGTCCTGTTCTTTCCTCCTTTAGGGAAATCTGTGAAACATAATGGATGATAGACCAGGTTTTAAATCTTCTTCCCCAAAAGAGGTGGTCATCCTCCTCCCTAATGCTTCTGCCTGCCTCACTCCATGGTGCCTGGTCACTTCTTCCTCCTCCACCTCAGTGACTTGGGTGACAATGGGCTTTATCACCTCCCTGCCCTTTGTGAACTATTGCCTTCTCATGGGGCGGCTAAACCTAGGGACGCTGAGACAGCCTTGAGCCAGAGGCCTGGACCAGCTTCACCTCCAGCATTTTGCCAGATGCTTTCTTTGGCTCTGTGTTTCTGGTTTTTCATCTCAGAGCAACTCCTTATCCGAGCACAGTGGAAATTCAAATTTCAGAGTTGTAGGTGAGAGCTGAGATAAATCAGGCCCTCCATGAGGTCCAGTCCAGCTCAGTGGAGTTCTGCACAGTCATTTGGGGCCAGAGGTCCAGATAGTAATAAAGCATTGCTTTGTCTACTCTGTGAATATATTGTAGAAATAGTTTATGGAGGAGTGCAAATACCGGAACGATCTCAAGCAGTGTTGTTCTAAAGTCAACTTTTAAGGCAATATCTCCTTTGCAAGTTTGCAATCACAGTAACTGCTGCGGTCTGCTATGTGAGTGCTGGTGGGCTCTGCTGGGCGACAATGACTGGCAGGCGATATCATGGGAAGAAAGGGCTCACATGTGTGATGTTAACAGGGCGGGACAAATCACAGTAAACAGCTGCAGTGATGTCACAGGACCCTCATGGTTAATTCACATACTGGGATAGCTCTTGTTTACATTCTGGGACAGTAGCAACTGCTTTAAAGCTCTATTGTGTAGTAGTTAAACAGCAGAGGCTGAAGAGCCAGACACTCTAGGTTTGGTCCTGTCTATATCACCTACTGGCTACTACTGGGCTTTGGTTTCCTCATTTAGAGAAGGGATAATTGCATCCCTTGTAATCTAATGGAGAGAATATTAGCAAGAGGTATGATGAGCCCAGAGTGGAGAAAACAATAACTGCTGAGTAAAGAGATTATGGTTTCTAGAGAAGGTACATTTGCAGTGGCCCTCTGTGCATGACTAGGAGTTTTATAAGCAAAAGAAGCTATGGCAAGGACAGGAGTATAAGCATAGGGAAAGTGATAGTAGTGATGGTGGAGAGGAGACTACATTTTAGGTAGGAAACAGCTTTTGTGTGACTGACCTGTGAATTGTAGTGGAACAAGAACGTGAAAAGATATGTTGAAGCTCTGGGTGGGCTTAATGCAAAGCTAAGAAATTTGGACTTTGTTCTGTGCAGGATTTCTTTTATTTTTTCTGGATGATATTTTTATGCCTAGAAAATAAATAATATTTATCTTAAGCTCACTGCAGAAAACTTGAATACCAAGAAAGTGTAAAGAAAAAACAATCATATGCAAACCTACTACACAAAATAATTGCTGTTAACATTTGGTCGGATGTCTTTTCGGTGCTTTTTCGATGAATATGTATGCTGATCTAGCATTATGAAAATGTTATCTAGGGAATATTTTTGAGCAGGAGAGTGTTGTGCAATTAGGTTTGCATTCCGGAAAGATTCTGGTGGTGGTGGCTGTGGGGAGGAGGGCTAGATGAGGTTGCAGCCAGAGGTCAGGACGCTGTTAGGACTCATTCTAGTCCAGGGGAGGAATGATGAGGGCATGGGCCAAGGCAGCACCTGTGGGGCTGTGGAGAAGTGACACCTTCACAGGAAGAGACACCAAAGACAAAAAACTGCTACCTTCGTCAAGTCAAACTTGAAGTCAATGGCTGTACCAATGACCAATCAATGGCCACTAAGAATATCTTCTCTAGGATTCTGGTCTACTCCCAATCAGATGCCCATAGCTTGGTCTTCCATCCTAGAAAATGCTCTTCTCCTTGTGAATAATTAGATTATAGACATCCTTCCCCTAGGACCCCCAGCTCTCTCCAAAAACTTCACTGTGCTTCCTTCAAAACTCAGTAGGAGGGATTTTTAGACTGTTGTTCTGAGATGCCATAGCCATCAGGATCCCTTCGATGTAAAAGCCAGATATTGTCCTCACAAGGGAACTTGGCAGCATGGCTCTTCTGACTCTGCAGGTGCGATGCCACTCACCTCTCTAACCTCAGCCATTGTTCTCCTCCCTTCCACATCCCTCCCCAAACCAGCTGCCACCAAGCTGTGACCAGAAAATGAAGGTTGTCACAAAGGAGCCTGAGGCTGGGTGTGAGAAATGAGATGTGTTGTCTGTGATGGGGGAAGATTGAGAAACTGAATAATTGGGGGCCTGAGAACCAGGCTCTTCAGACAGTCGGGATGGGCTCACAGCATGGAACACATTAAAATCTCATTGCCCACCGCTTCCCGGTAGCCTCTGCTGCCTCGCTTCAAGTGCTGTTTTATAAGCAGTGTTTGCAGAGAGTTAACGAATTTGAAGGGGCCCTGAAAGGGAAAGGGCCTCTGTTGAATAACTTTTCTCTTACTAGAGAAAATGAGAGATGGTTTTCCTTATAACCCAATTTCCAAAGCCTTTTATTACAGAGCGTCAGGAAGATTTGCCTCCTGCCAGGCTGAGTGGGGCTGGGCCAGCTCCCTAGAGAGCTTAGAGATGGTTGGATGGCTGCTGGAGGCATGGAGGGTGGTCAAACTGATAGAATCAATACAATCTTCCCTCAGTAACACAAAAGACCTTTGCCAACTCATGCTTTTTGCACTGATTTTTCTCTCCTGAAACCATGAAATGGGAGGTAGCATGTAGCATGATGGAAAAGTAACAACAGGGACTTGGTGTCCAGCAGACGTGGGTTCCAGTTCCAGCTCTTGCACTTTCTGACATGACTGCAGTTTCCTACTTTGCAAAAGGAAAGACAATATCTGCCTGAAAGGCTGCCATGAGTGAGGGTGAGACAATATGTAAAGTCCTGGTACATTTAGACTCTCAACATCTCTTCTTGTTCATCATAGATACTTTGAATATTTCTCAGCCAAAGATCAACCAGTGGGATTTGTGCATTTTTTGAGGTAACAATTTTAGGGCAGTGATTTGTCAAAAGTTACGTACTGAGTTCCAGACAAAGCTGGAAGCCAGATGGTCAGTGGAACACTCGCGTCAGGTATTCTGTTAGTGCAATGGGCATGGCTGTTAATGGTGGAAATGTTTCCCCAGGGAAGTGCTGCTGGGCTCTCTTGCACCGCCCTGGAGCTGGGAGGGGAAATGCATTTGCAGTGGGTCTCTTCTCCCTCCCAACTGAACCCTGGGCCCACTGGACAATGTCTGTAGAAGAGGGGCTCTGAGCAGCAGGGACATTTGAGTCACTTGTTCTTTGGGGCTTAGGACTGGTCAAGAGAAAGGGACTCCTAGAGTTCTGGCAATCCTCCCCTACCCTGGAGTGGCAGAGGCCCTAGTGGAATTGGAGTCCTTTAAGGAAACACCAAATCAATGCAGTGGAGGCACTGCATATAATCTGAAGGGTAGGGGTCTTCTCTGGGGCCAGTGAAGGTGTTGCTAAGAGGGTGGGTTGAGATAGCACTAAGCTGACATGTGAACAGGTGGTAACTGAATATGTGGTTTATTTTGGGCTTTAGAATAATGAGTCATATTCATAATAACCAATTGAATGTTTCTTGCCTCAGAGCTTCCAGAGACCCCAAGACAACAGGTGTCACAACTTAAAGGGGTAAGACTTGCAAAGAGAGGTAGAATAAACAGCTTTATGTCTCATCACCTCTTCAGCTCTGATAAAGGAGATTGTTTGGGAGGCAGATCCTTTATTATTACTATTATTATTATTATTATTATTTTGAGATGGAGGTCTCTCTATGTTGCCTGGGCTGGCCTTGAACTCCTGGGCTTGAGCAATCCTCCCACCTCAGCCTCCCCAAGTAGCTGAGACTGCAGGCGTGAGCCACTGTGCCCAGCTGAGAAAGCTTCTTTAATACCAGATAACCTTTATTGAGTTCTTTCCATGTGCCAGGCATGGTACTATGTGCTTTCCATCTTTAACCCAATTCATTCTCACAACATTCAATTATGTGGTAGTAGATATTATTATTATTATTATACCTATTTTGGTGATGGAGAAGCTTAGGCTAAGACAGATAAAATAACTTATTCTAATGTCTCACACATACTAATGAGGCTTAAATGACTGTATGAAGCACTTTGTAAAGCAGAAGGACCCAGCAAAGAACTTTGATTGTTCTGCATGAGGCAGGTAGACGTTGAATCTGAGTCCTTCGTTTTTTCCCCTGCAGTTGAGTTCTCTTCCTAGGTGCAATTCAAGCATCCAGAAACAGCAGAAATGCTTAGGATCAATAAATTGGGTGGCAGTGCTGTTAGGCAGTAAACTTAGGGGAGAATTACACAGGGCAGCCATGAAGACCCAATTCTCTAATGCCTGGGGAAACACTTTGCAAATTGGTCGGTGATGTTTTTAACTGCCTTGGATGGTTTCCTATGAGTGAAATTGTTCTGTTTGGAAGGTGGCTTTAGTTGGAGACAGTGTTATTTGATTGTGTTGAATTCAGTTTGAGTCTACACAAATATGACACAGAGTCTCTGTCCTGAGTGGGTTTGAAGTTTAAGTGGGGGAAGGGAGAGAGATAGTAATGGAGTTAGACTATTTTAGCATCACTGCTTATATGTGTGTGTGTGTGTGTGTGTGTGTTTGCACGTGTGCACGTGTGGTGGATGGGGATCAATTGAAGGGAGTGACCATAGAAGGGCTATTGTAAAATAAATGAATCTCTACTATGTCAATAAGATAGGCTTAGGGGAAGGGGTATTTCAAGATGTGGGAAGAGCACATGCAAGGATCCAAAAGGGCCTGGGGTTGCCAGTTCAAAGACCATCAACCTATGTACCAAGCCCTGCTAGTGTCTGTGGCTAGGATCATTTTCAAGTGGTTCTTCTGTCTTCTGTGCTTTTTGAGGAAGAAGTTGACAGGCAAGGGAGGTGGGTCTGAAAGGAAGGAATGGCCAACCTGGCTTCAAAAGAAGCACCACCAGAGGGTACATACAGTCCTCACCACCAGGGAGGATCTATGCCTGAGGCTGGCCGGGGACTGAGCTGGGGGAAGTAAGGCTGAGTGATATTTCATATCTTTCCTTACTGAGAAGTGACTCTCAGTGAGACTTTTAAGACTGAAACACATCTGAAATGAACTCCCAGCCACACTAGACCATAAATAAAAGGGAAGGAGCCTCTCACATATCAAGGTGAGGCTGAGGGTTTTAAATAAATTTTTATCCCAGTACTCTCAATGACTCTGCAAGATACCCATCATTATCTCCATTTCTAGGTGATCAGTAAAAAGTGGATTTGAAGATCAAATCCAGATCTGTCTGGCTCCAATGTCTATGTCTCAAATGCTCATCCTCTCCATGTCTCTTCCGGGTTTCACAATGGTCAGATGTCTCAGAAAGTTATGGGCACGCGGGTAACAGAATGGTCCGTGGCTACCTAACCTACTATTCCCTGAGTTATGCCTGTAGTGCCCTCCTAGCTAGGTCCCACTTATGCTTTTGGTCCGCTGCTGATTAAATGAATGGATTTAGAAGGTACTTGTTTTCCAGTGTAGACGGAGTAGTCCAAATTCTTGTGAAATAAGGACAATACATGTCCTATTAACAGCTGACACCAAAATATCTTTTAAGAATGATACTATTTGTTTGGAATATAACACATTCTTGGGGGTGCAAAGTGAGACCCCCCAGCAACATGTGTATGAAGATAACTGTTCTTTGAGAGGCAAGGTAAAAATTTGCTTGCTACTCTAGAAAGACAGGAAATGAAAAGTGGAAAAATAAGAGGTGATGAGGAGAGAGAGATGGTGAAAAGCTGAGAGGTGCAGGATGTGACAGCCCAAACTTTGAGCTCATGAGTTAACCCAACTCATGAAATTCTTGGTCCAAATGACACTGTCATAAACCTATGAAAGGATGGAGCTTATGCTCAGGTTACCATGGAGTAGAAATTGGACCTCAGGTGTGAAGATCAGGAACCGAGATAAGGAAATCCAGGAGGATGTCAGCAGTCAGGAATTCAAAGCAATCATGGAAAGAACTCTGGACTCCCACAGGCCTTGATTTCGGGGTTTGAGCCGGTTTAAGTACATTTTCAAGGGATACAGGGACTCTAGCTGAGTTCTACCAAATTGAACTTCTAGCACTCTCCAGAGCAAGATGAGATTCAGCTCAGATAAAAGCATTCTGTTTTCCAGGACCTTAGAATCCAGGTATATAACGAAGGCTACCAGGAAGGATCTGTTGATCATAGCCCAAGATGCCTCTTGGAAAAGATACTTATTTGAATATCTTAAAGATGACAGCCGCCCATTCCTGCAATGTGATCCCACAGCAATGTGGACACTGGTTTCCCAGCAGCTTCATCATGAGGTAGACAAGTGTAATGGCTGAGAGTAAAGGTCAGAGCCAGAGATTAAGGGTCTGTGGGTGCATCATGGTGTTACCACCCTAAGGCTATCAACCCACCTTGGACTTCTGCCAAGGGGAGAGGAGACATGGGGAGAAGAGACAATCTTAAAGAGCAAGTTACACAATGAACTGAGTAACTGGAGTTCCTAGAGGGGCCTAAGGCATAAAGCAGAGATGCCTTGGAGTTTAAGAGCCCTGACAAGATGTGGCATAGCTGCCTCTCCACTCACCTTGGCTTGAGAATGACAGCACGTGGGAAAATCTGAGAGCTGGGATGATGTTACAGTTGATTTCTTTCCTGTCTCTATGACCTTGTAATGCCAAGGAGCCACTGGATGACAATTATTTACTTAGAGCTTAAATACGTTTAAATTCAGAAAATTAAGCACAGCTCTCTTCTAGGTGCTTCAGCAAAATTTTAAACTTTTGTGAAGCATAATGAAATAGATTCTGCTAATCTAAAGGTTTGTGGCTGCATCAGACACCCAAGTTTGGTAATGAGTGAGGCCTCTGGAGCTAGAAAGTCACAGTCATCTTTGAGGGAAGAACTTTGTGGAATTTGGAGGTATATGTATTAGTGTTTACAGGTAAGCTAGCCAGTGATGACTATGATGATTTTTCTTTCCATCTGCCCTTTAGTTACCTACATAAAAAGAAGCCATTGATCCTCTCAGCATATTTCCATTTCCCATATTCCCCTAAGTTATTCCCATAAGCATATCTTAGCAAATTCTGCTAGCAGTAGAACATGTCTTGGTCTGTGAGAGGTGCCTTAAGTGTAAGCACAGGTGAGGGAGGAATGGTGGAAGACTTTCTTGCAATTAGCTCTTCCTGTTCTATGCAAGAGCCCTTCTTGGACAGCTGCTTTTGCAGCATCTGTCTCTTTGTTATCATCATCACATTAGCTAGTATTTGTGGAGCATCTTAAGTGGAGCAAGCACTATGCTGACCACTTTCCAAGAATATTTCTACCTTACTTCCTATAATGTGGTAAATATTCCCACCTTATTCAGTATAAGGTGGCCTTTTTCCTTTTTGGTCTCCATTTTACAAATGTTAAGTAACTTATCTAGTCCCTAGCAAGTAAGTGAAAAACCAAGTGTAGTCTCAGGTCTATATTACTCTAAAGTCCCTGCCCTTAATCTCAGAAATTGTTTCCTAGTCACTATCCTCAGAGAAGAAAATCATTGAAATAATTGTATTCATTCATTCATTCAACATCAACTAAATACCTACTATGTGCTAAGTGCAATGTTAACAGTCAAGACTACAAAGATGAACATGGCATGGTCCCTGACTTTAGGAAGCTCATGGTCTAGGCGTGTAAGTAGATGTTATAAAAGAGAATAATAGGATAATTGCAAGCATCTCAACAGAGCATTATGGGAATACTAAAGAGGAACCATTCTGCATTGGTGGAAGGAGGAGTGTTAGAGTTGAGAAAGAAGATGAGCCTTAGAATTCTTGAGATTAAAAACTAAAAATGAAACTCAGCTTGTCCAAGACATATTTCTGCAGGGTTTGCCGTCTGACTATATGATAACACCAATGATCTCATTTTTCAAGACAAAAAGTTAAGCATTTTATTTACACATCCCACTCTATTATTCTCCATATCCAACTCATCACTATATTATACTAAATATCCCTCCTAAAAATCTTTTGAAAACATCTACTTATCTCCAGAGGCATAGCTACCATCCTAGCATAATCTATCATCATTATCTCTCACTTGAATCTTGGCAGTAACCTTCCAACTGGTCTTCCCATTTTCACTCTTTCTTTGAGCTTCCTTTTCTCTGCAAAGACTAATCTGTTACTCATTTGGACCATATTTTTTCTAGTAGAAAATTTACATTTATAATATATATTTTAAAGTCTTTACTAAACCCAACATTTGGGCCTTCTTGGTATCTATTTCTATTAAAGATTTTTTTCTTGCGTATGTGTAGGGTCCAGCCCCACAGGGTTGGTGGGTTTCTCCCCGTGTGTGGAGACGAGAGAGTGTAGAAATAAAGACACAAGACAAAGAGATAAAAGAAAAGACAGCTGGGCCCGGGGGGCCACTACCAGTCCGACCCTGTGGGGCTGGACCCTACACTATGGATCAGAGTTTTCTATTTTTATTCATGTTTAGTAATTTTTGTTGTATCCTGGACATTATGGATGATATGGCATAAATATTCTGGGTTATGTTATCTTCCTCTGAAGAGTGTTCAGTTTTGTTCCAGCAAATTGTTCAGTTTCTGGCTGATGACCTTGAACTTTTAGAGATTTGGTTTTATGCTTTGTTGGTGGAGGAGGAATTCTGTGGTGTTCTCTAATCTCCTCTAACTTCATAGTACTAAAATTTCAAAAATTCCCAGTGAATCTGGTTGAGGATTGTTTTTAGACTTTATTAGAATACATCTAGTGTAGTCCTTACTCAAGGACCAAGATCAGCAAACTTTCTCTTGAGGGCCAGATAGTAAACATTTTAGGCTTGTGAACCATATGGCCTCTGTAGCAAATAATCAGCTCTACTACTGTAACCTGAATGTAAATGAATGGGCAGGATGTGTTCTAACAAAACTTTGCTTATAAACATTGGTAGCTGAACCAAGAGCCATAATTTGTTGACCCTGCCTGAGGACATGATCCTTACTGTTGTTGTTTTTTTTTTAGACGGAGTCTGGCTCAATCTCAGCCTAATGCAACCTCTGCCTCCCAAATTCAAGCAATACTCCTGCCTCAGCCTTCCAAGTAGCTGGAACTACAGGTTATGCACCACCACGCCCGATTAAGTTTTGGATTTTTAGTAGAGATGGGGTTTCACCATGTTGGTCAGGCTGGTCTCAAACTCCTGACCTCAAGTGGTCCACTTGCCATGGGCTCCCAATTACAGGCATGAGCCACCATGCCTGGCTGACATGGTCCTTATTCTTAAGGCATGGCTTTCTGATGTCTTAACTGGATCTCCAGGTGTTAACAAGGCCTCTACACTCTGACTGAGCAAGAACTCCAGTATCTTCTAGCACTACTTGACTTCTAGTATTTTTGCTCCACTCTCAACCTCATAACAGCCCTTCCTGGTAAGCTTTTATGCCTTCTCCCTGTGTCTGTGCTGTCCATGACTCCTACCACAAAGATATCTGGGGCCCCCTTCCTCACAGCTCCCCACTTTATCATGGCCTACCCCACAGATTCCAGTCACTTCAGTAGTCTCAAAATCTGATTCCTGCTTCTGGTCAGTGGGAATGTCATGCTCTATATGGGCTCTGCCCCTCTACATCACAGCTAGAATATTGTCCCTAAATGAAGAACTGAAAAAAATGAGATCTCACTTCATAATTTTCTTTTTTTTCAAAGGTCGTGGTCTTGCCATTGCCATTGCCAGAAAGCAGTTTCCTTATATATTCTGCCTAGTTTTGTAGTCACTTATGGCAGAGGGCTAGCATAGTGCCAGTGTCTCCATTATTGTCAAAAGCAGAGATCCCCACATTCATACCTGCTCTTTTCAATGTATTTTCTACTCTGCAGCCAGAGTGATATTTCCATCTGATCATATCCAGTGCCCTCTTTAAGATTATTCAATGACCCCTTATTGCTTTGAAGATGACATGTAAGGGACAGTATGGGTTTTTGCCCATCAGTAAATTCCCAACACACAGTGTAGTACCTGCCTTATGATAGCTATGTCTATGATATAACTATTTTTGAGTAAGTGAATGAACAAGAAATAACATTTTTGGCTGACAGAACAACATAAGCAAAGGCAGGGTAGCATAAAATAGTATGGAGAATAGTGAACTATTTGGTGAAATTCCAACTCAGGATGCTGACTACAAATTACTCAAAGGCCTCATGTGCAGAAAATGTGACAATTGAAGCCCATGTTACTGTACTGCCATTTTTTTTCAATCACCAAAGGCCTTAAACCATTTGCTCAGCATGAAGCTCTTAAGATGAATACAGCTGTCGAGGCAAGGCAAGGAAAGCTTTCTTGGACCTCGGTTGGCTGTGTTCACAGACAGACAGATGGACATGTGCGCAGGCAGAGGCAATCATCAATTTGCTAAAAATAACACCTCAACCAGTTTTTCACAGAAACCCTAAAGGAAGAGAAAACAGATCGATAGCAAGCATACCACTTGTGTGATGTTGACGTCCTCCCTGATCAGAGAAAGTGAAATCACCTTGGAGACCAAGTTCTTTCCCAGACAGTAGAGGAAATGACTAAGGCAACTGCTACTTTGGAACCAAGGGAGGCCCCAAAGGACTTATGAGTTGATTAAATAAATCTGACAGGAAATTTTAGATAAGGAAAATTGGCATTTATGATACTCAGGGAAGGGAAAAGCAGGATTTGGGCAGCAATGTATCTAGGACCTTTTCGAAGGAAGATTTTTTTAAATGTTCAGAGGAAAGCGAGGTGTGGGTCTGTGGTTTGAGACTCTGGAAAGAACTCAAATGAGGTCAAAAGTTCTCCAAAATATAGTTTCAAAACTGTGCCCTAGAAAATACTCCCAAGGTGAAAGAAGCAACGAATGTGACCATGGAGGTTAGCAGGAGACAGAAATTCACATTTATTGGGTATCCTCTGGGTGAGGGCAGACTGCTTGGGGCTTTCCATGAGTTAGCTCATGTTATCTTTATAATAACTCCATACGTTAGGATCTATTATTCTTATCTTAGAAGTGAAAAACTGAAGCTTAGATAAGTTACAGTATCTGACTGAAGTCACACAACTAATACACAGCAGAACTTCAATTCATACCCAGATTTATCTAATTCCAAAGCCCATAGACCTTCCAAAATACCACATCGCCTCCCTGGTGTGCATCCTGTTTTTTTGTATGCAGTAGTAGGTGGCATACTTCTGGGCAGTCTAAATTTTCAGAGGTCAAGCCTTTCTGTTTCCTGGGCCATAGGGTAATGAATGCAGTGTTACAGAGAAAAGGGAGCATCGTTATGACGAAAAGGGAGATTCTCATTTCAGAAATGAGAATGTTAGGCCCACTCATTACTGGTAAGAATTCTTTCCACTTCCCCACTCATGAAGGCCAACACTAGAATTTATGGATATATGTATGCATATATGTCATGGCCAAAGGTCAAATTCCAGCTTTATCCTGGAGTCCGGAAGGCACAGGTATAACATCCATGCCTGTGTGCTTGGCTTGACATGCTTGGGTTTTAAAAATCAATTAAAGAGAGGCTTTGATCTAACATAGAACTGATAGCACTGGCAGGTGCTCTCTAAGCTTAGTTTCTTGCTATGCAATGCAACATTTATAAAATTCATTCCCACCTGTAGCAAGGCAACCCCACTTTACATTTGTGAAGGGTCTTCAGGAAGGCAAATAATTAGCTTCGGTGATAGAAACAGAAGACTGAACAGAAACAAAACACAGAAACTCTTGTTAGTGGACTCTTCTTCCACTGTCTGCATCGTTTGGAGTGCTGCAATTTGTAGAACACCATCCATTTTCTTATACACTTTGGTGTTTTTATTCAGACAGACATAGGGGGCGTGAGCTAGAACATATGCTGGTGTGAGTTTGGATGTGTGTATTGAAAGAAGAGCAGGCAGGAGCCTGGAAAAAAATATGTGCAAATATGGCAAGGAGCAGAAAGCCCAGCGGGAATTGCTGGTTTCCTAGCAATCAATGACCAATTTCCCTTTGGGGCTATTCCCAGAAGTGCAGATCACTTCAAAAATAGATGCACGTCTTAGTTCAGTGATTGACGTTTTTCTACCAAGGACTGTGTGCACAAGCATCCCTCTAGTGAGATCTTAAGATCTTGGATTTGAGTATTCACATTCCTAAGACTCCTCTTCGAAGTTCCCTCCTCACTTCCCAGACTTCTCGGGTTTTATCTCAGGATAGCTGTTCCAATCCGGAGTGATGAAAGGATTTCTTGCAGGGAATCAGTCAGTGGCAGTTGTTGTTCTCAGGACATTCAGAACCATCCTCCAAGACTCAGCTCAAAGGCCGCTTCCTTTGTGAAACCCTCTTCAACTTGTACGGGCCAAATGCCCCTTTCACCTTTCTCTGCACTTTCAAATTTGACATTTTCTTGTAACACATTTTTTTTTTTTCTAAATGGCTGTTTTTATGCAGGGGCTATCTTTCCCAATACAGTAGAAGCTTCTTGGTTCCATCTGATTTATCTCTGTCGCTTTCTGGTGCCAAGCACAGACCTAGTGTACGCTAGGTGCTTAGAAATGCTTGTTAAATGATTGAACAAATATACAGAGCCTCAGAGATTTCTTATGTGCTTTCAAATTGCCATTCCCATTCCTAATCATCAGCCTTGTATTCCCAGCTTGGAAAAAAGCAGAAGAATCACTGTCTAGGACCGATGGATGTCATTGCTGCATCAGTGTAGGACGTGACATGCTACCTGTCCTGGAGGGCCACCACCAGGAGAGAGCACGTCACACTCTTGTGCATCGGAGTGAGTCTTGCCTGATAAGGGAAGTCACTCTTGGCACCTATCTCTTGGGAAAAAGGAGCGTCTCAGACCAGAGCTGGCATGTGATAGGCTTGGGGGCTTCCTACAGGAATGGGACTCTAAGGCTTAGCCTCCAGAGGGTTGATATGTGAGGCAGCTCCTGGATAAGATGGCACCAACTACTTGGAATGGACCCAGCAGCTAGCTAGGAGGTAGGGGTATCAAGCAAGGGGCTGGATGGGTGGCTGCCTCTGATGACATGTGGATCCCACACTCAGACCACAGGATAAACTGGGCCTGAGTGTCACCCTCTTGATTCATTTTCTGCACTCCCTTAGTATTTAGGCAACTTCCCTGCATACCACAGCCAGTTGCAGCTGCTCCACAGGAGAACCACAGGATTCATGGGCTTAGGCTAGTGGGCTCTAGGAGGAGCTGTTGCAGGGAGATTGCTCAAGGGAATGGGAACTCTTGGGCCAAAGGAACCATGATGGCACAGCCAGCCACCCGTCAAACTGGGGAAGCTTCCCTCTAAAGCTTAAATCTCCAGAGTTTTGCTACTTAAAATGATGAGGCTTTCTGCTCAGACCTTCTGATAAGTGGGAAGACAGTGATACTTCAGTTAGCACAGGACAAGAAGGGAAATGACATTTGCACAGTATTTGTCCTGTACCAGACACTTTACATGTCTGCTAATCCAATCTGCTCAGCAGCCTAATGATGTAGATATTATTTTTCCTGTGTTATGGTGGATGAAACTGAAGCCTAGAAAGAAGTGACTGCTCACAGGATAAACCGGGAATTAAATCCACGCTTCCTCATTCCCAACCCTGGCTCCTTCTGATTCTTGCATTTGAGGCATCTGTAAAAATGTATAGCTCTACCTCCTCCTGCTCCCCATCCCCAGCCCACCACTGGAGCATTTTTCACTAAATGCTGAAGGTACTCTTGGCCTTTACCTACTTCTTATTTTTCTAAGCTGCATGGCCTCAGGTCTGCTCCTTGGTGATTCCACCTGAAACTTCTGGAGTGCATCAGGCTGAATGAGAAAAAGCATTCAGCCAGATCCAATCTTGTAGCCACTGCTCCCAGTTAAAGAACCAGTGAGGGGCCAGACTGGAAATGATCTCAGAGACCATCTAGTAGAACCCCATAGCTTTTAATATGGCGAATCCAAGGCCACATGGGGAGTGACTTGCCCAAGCCCATCTGTAGCAAAGGAGATGGGTGGGATGCTAGAGCCAGGTTTCTCCTGGCCACCTGCCTTATTTCTTGGATGCTTTGACCAGCAGGATGGGCTTCCTTTCACTATTGCCATCTGGAGAGCCAAGTCTGCATTTGACTACAGACATGCATCTCTAACTCTGGTACTCGAATATTTCTTACGAGATTAGATGGCTAAAGTAGAAATCAGGGCCATAGTCCTGACACTGGAACCAGGAGCTCCCTGCAGGAAGTCACATATTCCTGTGGTGGGAGGAGCACCGCGGCAGCCCCCCTGAGGAGGTGAGGCTGAGCTGATGCCCTGCACGGTCTTGCATGGCTGAGATGAACCGGATAAAGGTGCATTGCTCTGAGACACACAGACACACTGCCTTGTCTCTGTCTGTCTTCCTCTCTCGTTTTAAAGCCTGCATCCCTATCTCCAAGTCAGCAATCCAATTAGTGGAGATTTTTAAAGAAAACCTCAATATTGAAAAACAGAAGTCTCAGTTAAGGAGGCCTGCCCTGACTCGTTAATCCACCGGTCAGTTTGCAATGGATCAGGTTGAAGTTGGCTTTCCCCACCACCTCCAGGAGTGCTGATTTAAGGGGATCAAGCCCTTAATCCCAGAGATTAGGATCTTTGCCAGCAGCACCAGTACAGTCCCTGGGTCAGTGGAAAGTCACATAAAGTACAAAACTCTGTTTGGGTTTCCTGAGTTAATTATCCTTTTTATTTGTTGTCTTTCTGCAAATAGGAATATCCAAAGGTTGCAGAGGCTATCCATGCCCCTGAGGAGCAGCATAATGGCACTGCCTGCCATGCACACCTCGAAGTGCCAGCAAGCCACCCCTAGCCTGTTGGGAGCAAGCCCCCCAAAATCTGGCCATAAACTGGCCCTAAAACCGGCCATAAACAGAATCTCTGCAGCACTGTAACATGTTCATAATGGCCCTAACGCCCACGCTGGAAGGTTGTGGGTTTATGGGAATGGGGGCAAGGAACACCTGGCCTGCCCAGGATGGAAAACTGCTTAAATGCATCTTAAGCCACAAACAATAGCATGGGTGATCTGTGCCTTAAGGACATGCTCCTGCTGCAGTTAACTAGCCCAACCTATTCCTTTAATTCGCCCATCCCTTCGTTTCCCATAAGTGATACTTTTATTTAATTTAACATCTATAGAAACAATGCTAATGACTGGTTTGCTGTTAATAAATACGTGGGTAAATCTCTGTTCGGGGATCTCAGCTCTGAAGGCTGTGAGACCCCTGATTTCCCACTTCACACCTCTGTATTTCTTAATTCCTCTAGCACTGCTGGGTTAGGGTCTCCCCGACTGAGTTGGTCTCGGCACTAGTCTGTGTCCCTGGCTTGCCCTTCCCTCCAACTCTGTCCTGCAGGATCTCTCTCTCTCATTAATAATAACTAGCTTTTCCATATGAGCCATCCAACTCTGTCGGCTGGGAACTTCTACCCTCATTGCCTTCTTTGGGTTTTCAGACAGTTATAGGAGTCAGAGCAGATATTCAAATTCTCATTTTACAGGTGAGCAAGTTGAGGTTCTGGGAGGACATAATAGTTAGTAGGTGGCAGGGCTGGGACTTGAAAGCAGAACTTCTGCCTCCATATCTGTGCACACAGCACCACCTCTGCAGTCCCTGTACCATGATTTTCTTTGTGCCTTGCTCTCTGTTGTTTTCCAGAACAGTCCTTAGAGGTAAAGTGGACACTTCATCTGCCTTACCAGTGCCCATGCACGTCCTCATCTTCCTTACCAAGAGAACCCAGAACTGGTTCAGAGATCCAGGCCTCCCACCTCAGGTGACTCCACCCTCAGACTGATCTGAGGATAATCCCATTCCCCCTAACAATGGGAAGGGCCATGTGAACCAATTCTGGCCAATGAGAGAGGGAAAAGAGTCTGTTAGGAAACTTAGGGAAAACCTCTCCTCTCTTCTAAGAGACTCATAAGAAGAGAGCTTCTCTTCCTCCTCTGGACGCTGTCCTGTGTGTAGCACTCAGGACTGCTGAAGACATCTAGGTAACAGCTTGAAGGTGAAACCAGCACTGAGGTTTCCTGATTCCTGGGTGGAGCGCAGACTGGAGCCTAAGCCCTGACAGCATGGTGAGTGTTGACTGTCACACCTGGGGCTGATTCTGAACTTCCCATGATGTGAACTCAGGAGTTTTCTTACTGCATATGCCTGTTAGAATGTGGCTTCTCCTCTTGTAGCTGGGAGCACCCTTCCTGGCTGGGATCAGCCTGCAGGTGCGCTAAGCCCTCCTCACTCAGCTCTCCCTTCCCTTACGTCTTTCTCTGTTACTCTGCCTCTGTCCTTTTGTCAGGAGGGCTTATACATGAAGGGGAACTTGAAGTACAGAATAGATGGGAGTTCTGCCTAGCTCAGGACAAATACTTGGAATACTTGAGATAATTGCATTTTGTTTGTTTGGTTGGTTTTAGTGTTAAGATTCTTTGTGGTGGCCATATTACAGCCTTGGGAATGGTAGATCCTTTTATTTTTCCTATAAAGGAGCCACCCCTTCCACAGTCCCTGCTGGGCCCTTCCCTCTAACCAAGGCTCAGCTGATTGAACCAGGCAGGAACACCCAGCTCCAGAGAGAATCATCTGGGCTGCCAGCTGTCCATACATTGTGGCTGCTGTTAATAGAAAAGATGAGTAGGCAACTACAAGTTTGTCATCTGAGGACTTTGAACTAAGGGCACAAAACATGTTATTAGCCAGTGGAGAGACAGACATACACAGACCTGGGAGAGCATGGGCAGCTGGATGTGCTATAGTATATTCCCCCTTACAGCAGAACAGTCATAGAAGGTTTGCAATGCTCCTGAGCCACCTGGAACCCCAAAGCTCTTTCAGGTCCGGGCACAGTAATCTCTATCTCCAGGATTCCCTTTGCCACCCACTCCTTGTGATAATCTCCCATGATTTAAGATGTCTTCCCCCTGCAGCTAGACACCCATTCCCTGGCATGACACACAGGGCCCTCCGTGATCTTTCCTGACTGTGTCCCCTGCTGTCTCAACTTGCTCCTCTTAACTGCATTGCCTCCACTCCTCTACACATGCCACATCCTTCCATATCTTCCTGCCTTGGTTTGTGCTATTCCCTCTGCTTGGAATGCCCTTGCTCTTTTTCCCCTGGTGAGATCATGTTCATCTTCCAGAACCCAGCTCCTGTAGCTCCATGATTCTTTCAAGTAGATATGAGTATTCCTTTCCTTGTTTTCTCTTGCATGTGTTCATTCAAAATTTATGTATTTAGTGCCTACCATATGTGCTGTTATGACTATGAAACAAGGCTGGAGGAGGAAAGAGTGGCAGGATTGGGGTGGCTGTGGTGGCTGCTTTAGTGAGGGCCATTGGGGAAGTCTCTGAGCTGAGATCTGAAAGCGGTGAGAGAGTGGCCTTATGAAGGTCTGAGAGAAGACCTTCATTTCTAGCAGAGGGAACAGAAAGGTGAAAGCCCCAGGGTGAGAACAATTCTGGAAAGGAAGACAGCAAGCGTAGCTGGAGTGTAGAGAGTGAAGGTGCGTCAGAAAATGGGCAGGGATTAAATTATACAGAGCTTGATAGCCTCACTGGGCCACTGCAAAGAATGTGAATTTGGTCTAAGCATGAAGGGAAATTCCAGGGAAGGGTATGAGAGGAGCAAGTGCCAGGAACTGATTTGCATTTTAGAAAGGTTCATTTGGCTGCTGGACAGTGGGAAGGGAAGAGTAAAAACAGTATTCCAGGCAGGATGGTGTCTCTGGAGGGAGAAGCGTGGCAGGCCTGGGGCCTCCTGTGGAGGGAGAGTCAATAGGACTTGTGGACAGGCTGGTCGTGGAAAGGGAGGGCAAGGGATAGACTGGAATTGAATCTCAGATTAAGGCCTGAGCAATTGGGTACATGGAGGCACCTTTTACTGAGATGGGAACAAGTGGGGGAGTGAGTTTGGAGGTAGAGGTCAAGAGCTGGGTTAGGACCTAGAACTTGTCAACCATACTGCAAGACTTTGCTACAAGTCCCAGACTCCTTGAGGGGAGATTCCATGCATTTTTTTTTTGGTCTCTCTCCCCCACTCTACATAGCGCAAGTCTTCAGAAAAGAAGATACTTAGTCCATTGTTGATGAAGGCTTTGACTTCCACAATGTCCTTATTACTGAAAAATTGCAAATGGTACATGGATATCCTTCTTTTCATTACCTTACTTGGTCACCACCAAGCCATTTTGTTTTTATATTTGATTACTCTTCAAATGGCAGTAACATCATCCCTCAGTCACAAGTCAATCTGACCTCCCTCCACACCTATGCCCTCCTTTGGTCCTCTCACAGTCAAACATGACCCAAATGGGTGCCAGGGGAGCCCTCCAGTTAGAGACTTGTGCTGGCAGGTGTTCCATTAGCATACCTTGGTTCAGGAAGATGTGATAGCTTGTTCCCACTGGGTTATGTCAAATTGACCAATCAATCACCAACCATATACTGAGCACCTTTGATAATAAGCCCTTACCTTTGGCTTGCACTTTATAGCTTACAAAAAGCATTTTTATATATCCGCTCATTGGACTTGTGCAACCAACCTCTGAATTGATGAGGCAAGGTCTCTGGATATTAAATTCCCTATTTCATTTCAACTTCCACATCTTGCAACTAAGGGTCTTAAATAAGACTGTTCCCTCTGCCTGGTGTGTTCTTGTCCCTCTCATTGGCCTGGTAAACTTCCGGAAATGGTACCTTCCAGAATCATCTTAAGTATGAAATGACACCATTCACGACCCTCGAGCAGAGTTAATCATTCATCCCTTCCCCCTCTGTGTTATATGAGGCTATAGGGATATATCTGCCTTTTTATTACCCTCTAGATATACATAAACTATATAATACATATATACATACCTATCTCTCTAATAGATAATATTCTTTTTGAGGGGAAGGAATGTATTTCACCTCAGAATCTCAATGCCTGATATATTCCTTTACATATAGTTAGCAATCAATAAATCAATGGCCATATGGGTGTTCTTACAGCTTAAGGTCATATTGTGGAGAACTGTGTATATTTTGCTAAGGGATATGGAACTCAGCCTGTAGGCATAAAATAGTCAATGGGAGCTTGATTTATATCACGAAAGGCAGATGGCAGGCTCATTTCATAGAATTTATTTCCCTGAAAATTGATGAGTTTTGATTTATGTCTTCCCTTGAAGGTCAGGTTATGGACTGTTCAACTCACTTTGCCTTTCTCTCTACCAAGGGTTTCATGAGAATAAGATGGTGGAGATGGTGTCAGTTATACATAGCCTGTTTGTTTGTCTCACCCAGGAAGTTTCATTTCAACACATCAAATTTTCATTGAGCATCTACTGTGTGCCTGGCACTGTGGTCAATGCCGTGATAATAAGGCAAGGTGGTTGGGGCGCCCTTTGCAAAAGCCCTGGAGGTGGGGCCTGCAAGGCATGTAGAATGGTGACATGTCTGAGTCCCCTGTCGTGTAGCCTTCATTCCATGCTGTTGTGATCTGTTCCCAGGGACTTGCAGCTCAAGTATATCTGTGCTTCACTGGAAGAGTTGAAAGAGCTGGAGACTGTCTGTGATCAATGAGCCCCTGTCACTCTCATGACACTTTCCTGAACCATTTCACCAGCACTCAGGTGAGCCTGCAATAATGGGCTGATGGGATGGGCCCACAGGGAGTGAGGCAGTGGAGGGCAGCAGCACTGATGGATGTTAAGCATCAGAACGGCCCACTAGAAGACTTAATTGACTTCTTCAGGCTCTTCCTTCGTGTGCACTTATTCATCCATCCATCCATCCATCCATCCATGCACACACCCAGCTATTTATTCTTTCATCCACTCATTCATATCTTTAGCTTAAAGCACAGGTCTGCCTCTTCTTTTTGGTGCATATCATCCATCCATCTATCCATCCGTCCATCCATCCATCCATACATGTATCCATAATTCATCCATGAACCCTTAATTCATTTTTAAAGCACATAGTTCCTTGCTCAAAAACCCTGACTGGCTGTCATGTGTCGCATGTTAGAAGCAAAGTTGCCTGTCTTAGCATTCCCAATTAGCCTATATTTCCTGATCATATCTATATGAACCCTTCCTTAGCTCACTTTCCCCTGGGGCAAGCTGGATTTTTTTCTCCTCTCCTTTTCTCCCGCCCTCTTTCTCCTTTCCTCTGTGCCCTCCCCATCACTCCTCTCCACCTCTTGTTTGTTGCAGTCCAACTCTTCATTCACTTAAGTCTTCACTTCCTCGTGTGACTGTCCCCTTTGCTCTTGCACTAGCTGTCTCCTGGGTGATCTACCCCTTCTCTGAACTACTAAAGCTGTCAGCATCTGACTCACCCTTTGGGTTTTTGACTTTTGTGTCCTTAAATTTATCTTTTTATAAATGTGGTCTTTCTCCTCCAAGAATCCTGCCTTTCTTCAGTCCTAGTAAAGACTATTGCCTTTGACTCTATCCCATCTAGCCTTGAGCCCATCAGGACTCTGAGAAATCAGGAATGAGTCTTGATACTTCAAGCTTTGTGCTTCTGGCTCCTGGCCTGAGTCCTGGGCACCTGTGAGGCTCTGCTCTGAAGCCTTTATTCTCAGACCGCTGTACTTAAAGGAAGGGTGCATGTTAGGCTCACCTAGAAGCCTGTTTGGCTTTAACACTTGTGTCATTCTCCTGAGCCCCAGCACTGGGATGCAACCTGTCCCCTTACCCCAAATTTGATGAGCATTTTCTGTGAATTGATTAGTCCCAGAGAACCATATCACTGCTGTGTGTGTGTCTTTGAGTGTTACCATTTTAGTTACTTCTTGCTGTGTAACCATTTCAAAACCTACTGTTTCTCATGATTCTGAGTTGGTTGGGTGGTTCTTCTGCTGGTCTTCCCTAAGTTCATTTAGGTGACTACCATCAATTTAGGAGCTCCCTGGATAGCCTTGCCCACGTGTCTGGGGTGAAGTGACTGGAATGGCTGGGATGACCAGGCCTCTCTCTCTCTCCATGTGGCATCTCATCCTCAAGGAGGCAAGGCTAGGCTTCTCAGAATGTGGCAGGCTGGGAGTTCCAGGAGTATAAACGCAGATGCTTCACAGAGGCCTCAGCTCTGGAACTCACCCAACATCTCTTTCACCACATTGTTGGTCAAAGCAAGTCACAAGGCCAGCCCAGGTTCAAGAGTTGGAGAAAGAGATTTCACTCTTTTGATGGGAGGAGATCTAAAATATCGGGCCCAGCTTTTTCAATTCCCCACCTCATCTACCCTGTTCCATTCACCAGACTAATCTCCCCCAGAAGCGTACACCATTCCAGATTAGTCCCAAGTTCTCCACTTTAGAGATGACATATAACACCCTGGGCTATGACCTCAGGAGCCCTCTTTTTACCTCACTAGATCATCTCGACTCTCCTATACACTCTGTGAGGCAGGGGCTATGTCTAGACTCTGGCAACTGTCTGCACATCATCCTGTCGCATATTTTTCAGAGCAGTTATTACTACCTAAACTTAACTTCTTGTTGTTTTGTTCACTTGTGCATTGCCTGTTTTCCACCAAAACAACAGTTTCCTAGAGGAACTTTGTTTTGTTCACTGATTAATCACAGTACCCAGAGGTATACTTAGCGCAGAGTAGGTACTCAGTAGAAATTTTCTGAATGAGTGAAATGTCCCCAAAGACTGTGATCCAGCCTCAAACCCATTGATAACCCCTCTCCCAGCTCCTGTCACTGGCAGATGCCCAGAAACATGTTATTTAGGACAATTTATTCATTTATCACACATAAATGTGTGAAATGCTATGAAGGTTGTGGACAGCCTCTTTGCTCCCATTTGATAAATGTTTACAAGAGTCTTCTATATGCCCTGAGAGTGCTCTGCTCCTTGGAAGTGTATAATTTGTTTGATAAGACAAAACTTGAACATCTGGAAAGACAAGAGGATGTTGTCTGTTTCATTCAAATTCCTTCAAAGCAGTTCATCTCGGCCATTTGCATGTGTGCTGGGTGCACATTTTTTAAAAAGAGCAAAAACCCTGCCACCACTATTAGCACTCATCAAAGGGTTTACCAGCAATCCCTCAAGACTTCTCAGGCTCTTGTTTAGATGGGGTTGTTCACTGAGGTGAAATTCCAGGTGAGAGGAGATATTATATTTCTGGCATTTTCTCTGGCAGAAGATGAAGACTGTGCTCTACCTGTTCCTTCTCTGAAGCTAGAAGATCTGGTGTTTCGACTTTGCCCCAGCCAACTGACCACATTGAGTGATGTGCTTAGTTTACACTGAATACCAAGAGATGGGTGGGATTGCTGTGCATATATATTAGCAGGATTTTGGCTGGAGGCCACTTGTGACCTCTATTGAATGTAACTTCCTCACTCAGGAGTTGATATGGAACCACTCACTCCTATTGGCTCAGTGCCCAGAAGGCCTCAGAGAGAGCCCACAAGATCAACCCGACAGACCCCGGCTTTCCAAATAAAGAAACGCACCCCCCCCACCCCAGGGTAGGGGTCTTTGTGGGTCCTGCCTACACCCTCCTAGGATTGCTTTCAGGGGCTCAGAAAATTAGCAGTGATGTCCATGGCCACTACCTGAGCAGCGTATGCTTCCATGTGAGGCCGGGTTATGGCAGAGCTGTGATTTGTCCTTGGAATCTAGGCCACATCCCCAACACCCATAGGCTTCCCCAAGCATGGCAAGGAAAGGGGGACTCAGGGAACCCACTGCCCTTACCACACCCCAACCCTTGGTCATAAATAGGGGAGTTCTGAAACTGAAGGTGGTGAGCTCCCGCCTCCAGACTGAAGTGATGATAGAACTCAGTGCCTCTTTATCTTCAGATCAAATCTTATGACACCAGGCCCAGCCGCTTACCTGAATCAAGGCTGAGTCAGTGTGAGTAAATAGGACCAATGGTCACTCCCAAGTAGAACACTAAGCCACCCTTAGGAGATCTGCACGAAGTGATGGGCGCTGTCCATTGTACCTGCTTTGTGCCTTCCCCTGCTCCATAGCCTGGCCTGGCTGGAAGCACACAGCTGTCATCTCTGGGAACATTCCATTCTCTGCCCTCCTCCTGCCTTCAACCATGCACACTGCCTGTGACCTCATCTCCTCTGTCCTCAGGGACTGTCACAACCATCTGCCTATCATATTTTGGAGTTGACTATGAAATGAACAAGGATCCTGAATCTTAGTTCTTCCAGAAAGATAGATTTCCTCTTATGGTGTGAAACTATGGTCTTCCCAAAACGCACAGGTGCCAATCTTCAGAGGGGCCACAATGTCATCATGAAGGTGAAATATGGGCTTCATGGTACACGTTTACCTGGATAAGCATGGTTCATATAAGGAATCCAGAATAAGATGGACTGAAGATTCCCTCAGGACTCCTTTCTCAGATTTCCTGCTCCAACCTGTGTTAAAGGGGGCCACTAGACCATTTAGAATACCCTGCTATTTTCTTTGTCATTTAACTTTATTTATAAGTATATAAAATATAGAAAATAATACAGAGAAAAATTAAACAAATACCCACGGCCCATCTCAGGAAATGAAACATTATAAATACAACAGAAGGCCTCTGTGTGACTCTCCTAGATCCAACTCCCCATCTACCTTCCCTCCTCAGAGATAACCACCACCTGCAACGAATATTCCCAAGCTAGATATTATGCTTCCAGCACATGTGGGAAAGCAAACATCAGCTTGGTTAACAGTTTTGTTTGCCTGCTTTAAATCTTGTTTTTTTGTTTTGTTTTGTTTTTTCAAGACAGAGTCTTGCTCTGTCACCCAGCCTGGAGAGCAGTGTCATGATCTTGGCTCACTGCAACTTCTGGCTCCCAGGTTCAAGCGATTCTCCTGCCTCAGCCTCCTGAGTAGCTGGGACTACAGGTGCATACCACCACGCCCCGCTAATTTTTGTATTTTTAACAGAGACAGGGTTTTGCCACGTTGGCCAGGCTGGTCTCGAACTCCTGACCTCCGGTGATCCACCCGCCTCGGCCTCCCAAAGTGCTAGAATTACTGACATGAGCCAACACACGCAGCCTGCCTGCTTTAAATCTTTATCTAAGCAAAAGTACTATCTTCAGAATCCACTGTAACTTTTTCTGCCCTCAACATCAAGTTTCTGGTATTCAGCCACGTTGATACAGGCTGCTTACTCATTTGACCATCTCCTTCTCTTTTGGTGGACTGTTAGGGTGTTTCTAATCTCTCACTACCAGAGTGCCGCTCACTTCTCCTGCACAGGGAGGAGGAGCTCTCTAAGGTGGTTCTGTTCGTTTAGGTGTATCTTTGACTTAACTAAATAATACCGAACTGCTCTTCAAAGTGTTTGTATCTGCATTAGCATAAGAGTTACCATTGCTCTACCATCAATTAGTACTTGGCACTCTCAGATTTTTTCATTCCTGTTCCTTGGATGGTGGGAAAATGGCCTTTGCTCTTGCTTTAATTTGCATTCCCCTGATGATCCACCAGGCAGGGTGTATTTCATGCCTATTGACCATTTCTGCTTCCACTTCTTTATCTTACCTGTCCATAGCCTTGTCCATTTTACTATTGAGTTGTTGATCTTTTTCTTATTGATTTATAGCAGGGTTTCTTAGCAGTAGCACTATCAACATTTTAGACTGGATAATCCCTTGTTTTGGCAGGGGTTGCGTAGGGGTGCTGTGCTGTGATTGAAGGATCTTACTAGCATCCCTGGCCTCTACTCACTACATGACAGTAGCAAATTCTCTCCCACAACAGTTGTGACAAAAAATAAAAATGTTTCCAGGCATTGCCAAATGTCCCCTGGGGAGTAAAACTGCCCTCAGTTGAGAGCTGTTGATTTATAGGAACACTTTATTTTTCATAGATGTTAATCTATTTTTAGCCTTACAAATTGCATATATCTTTACAAAAATATTCTAGGACAGTCAATAGATGTGGTTCCTCTCTGTCTCAAAAACTTTGCCATGGAGAGAGGAAGATAGAACGGCACATTTATTGTGTCTGAAGAGCTAGTTTGGGTGGTCTCTGTTTCTATTTTTTTTTTTTTTGCTGCAGATCTACAAGATATGTGTTAATATTCATATTTTATAGATGAGGAAAATGAATCTGGTAATTTGCCCAAGGACACTCAACCAATAAGAGTAGAAACTGGTACAGATTCAGGTCTGTCTGTTTCAGCAGAGTGGAAAGAAGGTGGCACCAGGAGTGGGGAGGTCTGATCTTAGTCCTGGCTCTATCACTAGCTGGCCATATGACCAACGCCTGGCCTCCACACGTCAGTCTCCTCACATGATGATAAAGGGGCTGGACACAAGATCTCAAATGTTCCAGCCCATTCTACCAACAGCAGAGTGGTTGGCTTTGCCACTACCTCATGAGTGATTCATCTCTGAATCTCCACTCCTTGTTTTCCTCATATGAAGGTAGAGATGCAAACAGCACTGAGTCCCCAGGGCTTCTGTAAGCATTCGACGATTCATGTAAAGTACTTAACACATAGCACAAGTTCCATAGATGCCATAGACTGTCATTATAATTCCATAAATAGGAGACCAGTTAGTCTGGATTGGGAAGCACTGTGAAATGTAGAGTGTGATATAAAGGAATATTTCACTACCTTTAGGTATAAATAATAACACCCAGGAAGAGTTTTGTCAATAGGTAACTCTCCTTCTTTGAAAGGTGAAGAAAGGAGCTCTGTGACAAGCTTGTGGCTTATATGGTGGTGGTGCTTTGAAGAGTTACTCAGGCCTACCTATGGTTTGTCCTCTTTTCCAAGAGAATTGGCAGCTGGGCAGTGCTATCTGCAAAAACTGTACGGAGATAAATGTTAACCCAGGGGCTCCCAGAAATCACAGGATATGAATGGGGCTCTAAATGCATGCCTTGCTTTCCTCTCCATGAAAACTGTATTTGAAACAAGTGAGTCAAGCTGCTCTGGACTCGGTAGGTTTCATGGGCAGAGGGGCAGGCTATCAGCAAGCAGGGCCCCCCTTCAAAAGAGGGAGTACAGAGAGGCAAGGGGCTCTTTAAACATGCATGCCAAGAGAGCAAACGCCCCACAGCTAATGGCTCTGCAGGCTTAGAAAGGGGATGCCTGCAGAGTTTGCCTGTAATTAGTTGTTAACACATGAAAATAAAAGCCGATTTGGAAACAGAGTCCATCATTTATTTATAGCGATCCAATGCAAGTATTGTTTTAAATAAAAAACTGGACACAGTTCCTAGTCAGAACCAAACCATTCAAGTAGCTCCAGATTTACCTCCTCACTCACTCACCTTCTCTCTACCTTTTCTTAGAAGTCCGCCTAGACCAGACTGACCTGCCTGAGCCCTGCACCCTTTGGCTTTCAGGCTTGCATTCTGCCCCAGACTGTTGTGCATGACTAGATCGTGCCCCTGATTCCTTGCACTTGTGCCTCTGTGTGTGTGCTGGTGAATGAAAAGAGCACAGACTTCAGAGAGAACCCAGTTCAAATCCTGTTTCTAGCCATTTTCAGCTCTATGACCTCATGCAAGGCCCTCTCCAAGCCTAGGCTTGTTGTAATTCAGGTATAGATGTGACTAGGTATGGGGAGCCCCTAGTATGTTGCCTAGCACATAGCAGGCACCCTCATTCCCTCCTGGCCAAGGTCTGCATCTTTCTTTTTCATTCATTCTTAATTTATGGCAGAAAAATCAGAACAGCATAGATAGTACAAGTTCTAGAGCCAGATTGCCTCTCTGTGTTACTTCAAGTGACTTACTTAGGCTTACAGCGCCCAATGTCCTCCAATGGAAAGTGGGAATGATACCAGTACCTACCTCACAGGGCACCTGTGAAGGCCAAGTGAGCACTTAATAAGAACTCATTGCAATCCAGTGCTCTTGGTACAGGCAGTGATAGCATGCAAGAAGGAGATGTTTTCTCCTTACTCCCTACCCATAAATGCTATACCTGGAGTATGGTGAGAAAGCAAAGGGCACCTGGTTCTTTGAGTCTCACAGACCTGAACCAGGATCATACCGATTCCACCATTGTGATCCTGGGGAAAGGTATAGAACATCTCTGGGCTTCACTTTTCTTCTCTATAAAATGGGAGTATCAACAGCACCTACCTCATAGAGTTGTTGTAAGGGTTATATGCATTAATATGTGTAATGCGCTCAAAATAGGGCCTGACATATAGTATGTTCTCATTAAACATTACCTTGTAACAAATGTATGACCTCTTTGTTGACTTTGAGCCTCTTCATTCATCTTTTCTCCTCTGCTTTTCCTTCTTATACCTTCCTCTGGCCAGAATACCCAACTGCTAGGGCTTGAGAAGACAATGTTGAAGACAGTTAGCCCTCTCTCCATTGCCACTGAGTGCTGTGTGATTTATACACAGTATCCCAGGGAAGCCTCCTATTACTGCTGCAAGGGAGGGTCATTTTAAGAGGAGTCCAAGGCTTCTGGAACATGTTATGCTCCCTCTGTGGCCCCAGGTCTAAGTGCAGCCCTTAAATTACTGTGCAGCTTCAGAAGAGACTGAAGCATTTCCTTGTCAGAAAACAGCTTTGCTCCTTCTGGAAGGGAATCTCCAGGGGAGAGGTGTAAAGGAAGAGGAGCGGCGAGCAGGGCAGCCTGACATGGGATTCAGGTGCTGCTGAGAGGCCTCCCCATGCTGTGGAGACAACAGACCCTACCGTATTGGTTCTCTAGACCCAGTGCTTCCCAACCTGGCACAGCATTAGTATTTCCTGGACTTCTCCCCAGAATAACCAAACCTGATATTTCAGGAATATGGCCCTGGAATGAGCATTCTTACCAACCACAGGGGATTTGGGTGCAGCAAATGAACAACAGTGGAAAAGCAGTTCCCCTAGCACCTATTTTTACCAGTCCCCTCATTCTCTAAGGAATTAGCCACCAACTGAGAGATGTCCCAGATATGACTGCTCAGCCTCATTCCCCTCCTCTGTGTTCACACCATGTTCCACCCGGCCTGCCCCCAACCTGTCTTACACCACCATCCGTGAAACTCCTACCCTTCTGCCTAGGGCCTCTCCAAAGGAGAGAAGAGAACCTTTCCAGTGGCAGCCAGTGGTGTGTTCCTGGTGCTTGAGGTGTGAGTTGAAAATGCCATTATTAGCATTTTTCATCCAGCTGCATCCAAGCCTGGCCACGCTTCTGTTGCTTACTTGGGCTTCCAATCTCCATTTACAGGTTTTGCACACAGCGAGGACTCAAGGACTGTACTTTCTGGGTGGAGCTGAATTTCTATAGGAACATACTTCCCGTCTCCTAAACAGCTGACTTATAAGACACCTTTGGAACCCATTCTACTGGCAGTTTAGAGACCACCTGCCCTTATTTTATTTAACTGAACCCCTTCCACTCTACTTTGGGCCATAATCTCTGATTTTAGGAATGATGAGACGTTCTGAATGCCCTTAGAAGTGTTCCCCTATCTACTGGTCATTAAAAGCAAATGACAGCACAGTGAAACACTGTGGTTTAGAAGTTTCTAATCCTGGTAGTAACTCAAGCTGACATTTCAATTCTCTGAGCCTTAATTTTTATTTATAGGACACGTTAAACCAGATGATTTCTAAAATCTCTTCAGGCTCTGCTACCTTACTCATTTACAGTATCAGTCATTTACACCTTAGTATGAATAAAGACTGAACAAAGTAAAATGGGTGGGCGAGACAATTGGGACGGATAGAAGAATAAAGGGACATAGACAAAATGGCTAAGGGACACCAAGAAAAAAGTTCAAACAAGTTTCCTTAGGGAAGCCTTTGCCTATTCTTGGGAAGATCTTTATACGTTTGGGGTTCAGTCACTATGTCATTAGACTCCATCTCTCCCCTTATTTACTTCACTCCCCCCTCCTCTTCCCTACACCAACTCTACAACTGACCCGGCTTGACCTTGACAGAGGGGGCACTAATGGCTTTTCAATACAGCCCCACCTGGAAGGTGCTGATTTCGCATAATCCTAAGATTAGTCTAGTCACAGTTCATATAGTTCAGGGACTGTAATTAAACTGTGGAGCTAAACATTGGGGTCTGTGACCTGAAACAGTGACCGTGGTAAAACCCTGCCACAGCAGGCAAGAAAAGATGGATGGGGTCAGAATTCTCTAGCTTCTGCTGCTGCATCCTCACCTGGTCCTAGGGAGCACCTTGGAAGCGGTTATAGAATGCAGGTTAATGGTCAGGTGCGCTGTCTCACTCCTGTAATCCCAGCACTTTGGGAGGTCGAAGCGGGTGGATCACTTGAGGTCAGGGATTCAGACCAGTCTGGCCAACATGGTGAAACCCCGTCTCTACTAAAAATATAAAACAGTAGCCAGGCATGATGGTGGGCGCCTGTAATCCCAGCTACTTGAGAGGCTGAGGCAGGAGAATCGCTTGAACCCGGGAGGCAGAGGTTGCAGTGAGCCAAAATCACACCATTGCACTCCAGCCTGGGTAGCACGAATGAAACTGTGTCTCAAAAAAAAAAAAAAAAAATGCAGGTGGGTGACTCAGATGTTGGCTCAGGGCACACTGGAACACGATGTGGCTTGGTATGTTTACAAACCTCTAACACTCCGCCTCATTATTCTGGAGGGGAAGGTAGAAAACAAGGAGATATAGACTAGGGCTGCGGGGTACCCATCCAGTTTATTCATTCAACATTCATTGAGAATCACGTGCCTTACTGTGCCCAGAATTGTCTCCTCCTGGTGGGTTCTCGGTCTCCCTGCCTTCAAGAATGAAAGGGCAGACCCTACTGGTGAGTGTTACAGCTCTTAAAGATGGTGTGTCGGGAGTTTGTTCCTTCAGGTGTTCAGCTGCGTCTGAAGTTTCTTCCTTCTGGTGGGCTCCTGGTCTGGCAGACTTCTAGAGTGAAGCTACAGACCTTCGCAGCCAGCGTTACAACTGTTAAAAGTAGTGCGGACCCAAACACTAAACAGCAGCAAAACTCATTCAGAAGAGCAAAAGAACAAACTACCACACCGTGAAAAACACCCCTTGGATTTCGGCGTCTGGCTCGGGTGGGCTGCATTTATTCCCTTATTTGGCCCCACCCACATCCTGCTTATTGGTCCATTTTACAGAGAGCTGATTGGTCCATTTTACAGAGAGCTGATTGGTCCATTTTTCAGAATGCTGATTGGTCCGTTTTTACAGAGTGCTGATTGGTATGTTTACAAACCTCTAGCTAGACACAGAGTGCTGATTGGTGCATTTCCAATCCTTTAGCTAGACAGAAAAGTTCCCCAAGTCCCCACCTGACCCAGAAGGCCAGCTGGCTTCACGTCTTATTAACATCCTGAACTCCAGGGTTGGTACCCACAGGGTAGTAAGTTGACCACCAGACCACTTTATACAGCATCCAAACTGGCATGGAGAACTCAGACTCCATTCAGATGGATATCAATTCCATCTGGATCTAATTAAATGCAAAGGACCCAGCATCACAAATACAGGTGGCAGGTAAGACTCAAAGTCAGGAGTGCAGCACTGCTGCAACTCTGGGTATAGAGTTCTATGAGAGCAGGGCTTTGACCATTGTGGTGGGAGAGATGTATGCAAAGAGGGAGCGGAAGGAAAGAGCTGGGGACTAGAGATCTGAGTAGAAACCGCACTACAGGTGGCATCAGTATCATGAAAGAATGCAAATGATGTTACTTGTAGATGTGTGGGTCCCCAGGGCCCACACTAGGCAAATTGGATGATGGGTCTGTTGCACTAAAACCAATGCCAGGCTGCACTCATGAGTGACGCTGAGGGTCCTAATGGCTCCCTGCACCTATCAGGTTAGCTCAGGATTAGGAGGAGTTAAGAATGAGAGTGAAGACTCAATGACCCCAGCTCAGCACCTCCTCCTCACTCTTGTTTTTGTGACCCTGGGGTCCCCAGGTACTTCGTCAGTGGGATCTCACTCTTGCTGCGTCTCAGCTAATATAAGATAAGGTGGTAGTAATGTCTTATTGTAGCACCTCCCCAAGATATGAAAAATAACTAAGTTCTTTTTATTAAATGGCTTAAAGGCCTATGGGATACAAGCACTACAAGTGTAATAGTGTCATCTGCATAGGGGCACCTACCCAGGGTTAATGGGCCACGGTCATGTAGATACCACCTTTTTGGTTTATGCGGTAGGCAAAATTTTTAAAATGTCCCCATCCTCAAGATCACACCTCTAATCTCTAGGATCTTTGAATAGGCTGAGATACCACGTCCATGAATATGTTACATTTACAGCAAAAGAAGTTTTGCAGATGTAATTAAGGTTACTAATTAGTTGACCTTAAAATAGGAAGATTAGCCTGGATTATCTGGGTGGGCTCAATGTAATCCCATGTGTTCTTAAAGGCAGAAGAGGAGGACAGCAGGTGAAGTCAGAGAGATTCAAAGCACAAGGATTCAACTTTCTGTTGCTGGCCTTGAAGATGCAGGAGGCCATGAGCCAAGGAATGCAAGCAGCCTCTGGAAGTTGAAAACGACCTAAGTGCTCAGTCCTACAGCTGCATGGAACTGAAATCTGCCAACACCCTGAGTGATCCGGAAGTGGATTTTCTCCCAAAGCCTCCTGATAGGAGCCCCAGCCAGCTGACAGATTGACTTCAGCACTATGACATCAAAGAGCCCACCCAAGGCTGTTACTGGAAGGAGGGCCTTGAGTGTAAGTTATTCAGTTTCTTGGCGTTTTGAACAAAGACTTGGACAAAACACACAAAGTAACAAAGGACTGAAACATAGGAACGAAGTAGGGAAAGCAGGAATGTATTAAAGTGAAAAAGGACCCCACAGGGTGGGAGTCGGCCCAAGCAGGTGGCTCAAGGGCCCAGTTGCAAAGTTTTCTGGGTTTTAAGTTCTCCTGTTCAGATTCCTATTGGCTACCCTTTATCTGGATGAAGAATTTGGCCTGTGGCTAATTAAAGGATGAAGTGAATTGGTGTCCTATGCGATGAAGGGATGGTCCCTGCTTGGTCCTCGGCCCATCGAAGGCACTCTCCCTGTCCATCTGAGACATTGAGTAGCCTTTGCTCCTTTGCTACTCTGGAGCGGGGAGGTGGGGTTTTTCCTTTTGGTTTAGCTTTAGGAAGTTGGTTTAATTGGCCTTAGCTTCCCTGACCGTAGACCCAGGTGCTATCCTTTTGATTCAGCTTTAGGAAGTCAGCACGAATTGGCCTCAGATTCCGTGTCCCCACACCTTGGTGTTTTTCCTGGATTCAGCACCAATTGTCCTTAAGTTCCCTGCCTCCAGACCCTTATTCTCCTTCCTGAAGACAGCTTGAACTTCTGACCCACAGAACTAGGAGCTAATAAATGAGTGTAGTTTTAAGCCACCGAGTTTGGCAATTTGTTACAACAGCTGTCGAAAATGAATGTAATCTACAAAATAGGAGACTGTCACTTAGGGGAGGGACAGTAATGCGTTGTGAGCACCTGGAGGGCAGAAACTGGGTGTTATTTATTTGGAGGCCTTACAGCCTGATATGTAGTAAATGCTCAATAAATATAAGTGAATGAATCAATGAATAAATGTTAAAAGGATAAGCAAAGGAGCCAGGCTCAGTCTATAAATTAATGATTTCCCAAATAGCTGCAGATTCCAGGATGTGTTCAACCGAGAGGCAAGGGTGCTGAGAGGTTAGCGCTTAAGAGTCTGTTGTCTGGAGTCTGAGGTCTAATCTCAGTTTGGTCTGCTAGCTGTGTGACCCTTGGGCAAGTTACCTAACTTCTCTATGCCTTTATTTTTCCACCTGCAAAGTTAGGATAGTAACAGTAACTACCTCATAGGGTTGTCACAAGGATTAACTAAAGGATGTACCTCAAGCTCTTAGAACAGTGGCTTGCCATAGTAAATATTCAGTACATATTTGCAATTATTTCACAGATGGAATCAAAATGATCTGATTTCAATTTTTGTTTCTCCAACAAGGTACTCGATTGGTCTCCACACCCCACCCCCTCATACACACTCATACACCCCCTCATACACATTCCAAAGCTTCATTTTCTCATTTATAAAACAAAGAGATGAACATTAAGAACATTCTTTATTTTAAAAACCTCTGTCATGTTAAAAAGCAGTGGGCACTGTTATTTTAATCTAGGCAAAGCCCTGTAGTTCTCACTGTTGCTGGCTTTTCAAAGTGGAATTCATCAGCAAATAACGTTACTAATGCTGCAAATGAGTGGGGCTGGGTGGGGTTGGGCTGGCTCTCACCCTGCCCTCCAGATGCAATGAGTGTGGGGACACTGGTGACTTCTACAAAGGCTCATTGAAAAGGTCCAGTCCAGCAGCGGCTTGGTCTAAGGTAAGGCTTCTTTTCTCATTGATTAGCTGAGCAGGGGGAGAGGAAGCTATTAGTTTTATTGTTGTTTTTCTTTATTGGACTCACAAGGCCTCAATGCCATAAACCCATAAACCAGAACTGGATACAATCTATTCTTAATTATACAGGGACAGATGATCTGCATTACAAATTGTCCACAGCAAACCTTGCTCACTAATTATTGATGAGATTGTCAGTCACTTGCCCTGCCTAAGCTCATGTTGGCATAAATGGCCCCATTACTTACTGCGGACTTAGAAGGCCTTATATTAGAAATGCTTATGTGTGGACATTTCTCTGCCTGCCTCCCTAGAAGAGAAGTTGCTTCGCAGTGGGCACTGTGCTATCTATGAAACACATTGAATGTATGCCCCAACCATGACCTTCCTTCCAGAACAGAGGAAGGGAGCCAAGCCAGCCATTATAGCTATGTCTGTATTCAGCTCTAAGCATCAGGACCCAAACTCCAAGACAATGCCTGTCCTGTTTAGGCCAGTGTTTTGCATCGGTGTTTAGGGAAAATCTCTATAATAGAAACTATAGAAGGAGAGGGGACTGTCTTAGGGCATGTCAGAACATGCCCAGATTATTTCATAGCCCATAGCACCGAACATACCAATGTTCAAGGGTGAGCACTCAAGCAGCTTGTGAAGCCCCAGGTAAATGATGCTCAGCTGCCACGGTTTCATTTTATTCAGTCACAGCATGGGCAATTAAGAATAAACTGCATTTGATTTCTCTGTGGTTGAGAAAGGATCTTGATGAGATGTCATCCTGGGGCTGAGTGTGTAGGTCCCAGGCAGACATGTTCTGGGCTCCTGGAGCTGAGGGTGGGGATGAGCAAGCCTCTGCTTGGGTTTATCTCAGCCAGAGCTACAGGCCTTTTGGATTGTTTTCTTTCCTGTGCCCTAGCCTTGAACTCTTGGCACAGTTCGGAAATCCGTTTTCATAAAACCGATTTATTTTTCCATTTATTTGATTAATTGAAATTGCTAATACTCTGGCCTCTAGGTCATAAACACTGGATAATAAAACCCCCTCTACATCTGTCCAGTATTTTAGTGTTCACTAAGCATTTCACATCCATCATCTCAAAGGTAGGCAGGGAAGGGATCGCCATCTTTAGTTCATGGAGAGGGTGACATGTGTTGTCAATGATTACAGTTAGTATGGAGCAGAGCTGGGGCTGGAAGCTGGTTCTTAGAGTCTGAGTCTAGTTCTCTTGTGGGGTGGCTAACAAGAGAATGAATGGCTCTTGTTGAAATTATTCCAGTTTACCCCAGGACTGAGTTGATTTTTAGGATCTGAGGCTTTTAATTTTAAAACTGGGTAAGTTCTGGGCAAATTGGGAGGAGCTTGTCACTCTACTTCAGAATCCCAGGGTGTCTGTTGTGATAGAGCCCTGTCACCTCCATCAGGTTCAGGGGAGGGAGGTGGCATGTGACTTGGCACAGGTGAGGCAGATGTTGTACCTGGAGCAGCCAACCAGGGCTGCTAGCTGAGAACAGCCAGAAGAACCTTATGGATGATCAGAGAGTGGCAGGAGATCCATCTAAGTCAGATCTTGGGGTGGGGTTTGATGGGTTGTGGAGGGACAGGAGGTACTGGTGATGGAGTGACCCCTCCTGCCTAGGCTGCTTGTGGAGACAGTTCGTAGGAGAAGGATTCGGAAGCCTGAGAGTGCTGAGCCGGAGAGGGGACACTAACAGGAACTGCCTGGCAAGAAAGACCCATGAGAGAGACACCGATGGCCTAAAGACAAAGACAGGGCAGAGGCACCATGGTGGATTGATGGGATGATGGGGGATGGAGGGAAAACGTCAGAGAAGGAGCAGACAGAGAGAGGAGGGAGGGTCCATGAGGTAGTTTCAGTTGGAGAAGAGTTTTGGGGCCCTCACTTGCCATCCACAGAATCTCTGTCCTTGTGGGCTACAGCCTCCTTCCCTCCAGCCTAGAGATTAAACCCTTCCTAATAAACCAGCCAATCTAATTTAGTTGGGGTGGAAGGAGAGGGAAAATGATTTGTTCAAAGTGGCCTGAGCCTGAGCTGAGTCTTGAGCTCTCCAGTCCAGGTTAATGGGCTTTTAGCCTTGAATCAGGGCAAGAGCCAGGCAGGCCACGTGGCTCATGGATGTACTCCCTTGTCAGCCTCACTGTGTCCTTGACCCAGTCCCAGGACCTCTGGCCCTGGGAACTTACATGCCTTCCCCAGTCTCTGAAGGATGGGATCTCATGTCTTGGTTCCATTCCCTTGCTTGTTAGCATTTTGCCTTTATTAATTTGAAGAAATTCAAATCTTATTGAGAAATCATTAAGTTAAACCAAACCCAGAACAAATCAACTGAGTAGAAAATTGCAGATACCAGCTGCACTTTTTCCTTCCCACCCAGAGTGGAGAAAGGACTGTTTTTGTGATTACCACAGAGGCAAGCAGGGAGAGTGAGGCACCTGCACTGGGCATGTGGTCACCATGTGACTGGCCAGAAAGCCCCAGGAGTTGGTTGCAATATGGGAAACCGTGTAATGCTGCAGGGAATATAAATAAGACAGAAGGAATCAGCTAACAGATGGGATTTCTTATCCTTTTTTGTTATGGCAACCAGGTAGGATGTTATAACCTGCATTTTAGTTTTCCCTTCTGCCCGCTAGTCTCGATGTTTTATCTAATTTGTAGTTTTCTTAGTCTTGATATATTTAATTTATATCTTTTACTTTATTACATATATGTCTTGAAAGCTGCTTCAAATCCTCTGTGGAACAAAGTGAGGAATAAATATACAGTCTGACGAGCCTCTCCACTAGTGTCCTTTTTGGAGCGTAGTGCCACAGTATAAGACTAAGTAACTAGGGAAGAAGGATGGCGGAGTGGTCATGCATGCCTCCGCAATACCTTGTCTCAGTTGGTGTGCAGAAGGGGGCACTCAGCCACCTCTAAGTTGTGCCAGTGCTTCCTAGACTCAGGAGAAGCAAGTGAACATGGCTCTGTGTGAGCTGGCAAAGAAGAGTGTCCACCGCAGCTCTTGGCTCCTGGCGCAAAGTCACCCTGTCTCAGGATCTTATTGAATTGTGATTTCATGAATATCCTCATAAAGAAGCCAGTCTATCTTTCTGGAGCTTTTTTCTGGAGCTTCTGGGTTCTCATATTTTATATTCTCAGTCTGAGTTTACCATCTAGGGGGGCAGGGGGACCTATTGTAACCTGCTCGGGTGAATTGAGATACGTCTTATAAAATTCTTGGGTTATTGCAATAGCTTCCTAACTAGCATCTCTGCTTCATTCTTGCCTCCCTACAACCCACTGATTGATCATTAAAAAAATGTAAATCATCACTATGCCACTTCCCTCTGTAGAACCTTGCATTGCTCTTGGCGTAAAATCCATGGTTCTTCCCAGGCTTTCAAGACCCTGCGTGATCTGGACCCTACATATTCTTGTCTCCCTTGTCATTCTTCTTTTGGCTTTCTGAATATGCCCAATGTATTCCTGTCTTGAGTTTTTGCTTTGCTTCTTCAATTATTATTGCTTGTTACAGGATTTTCCTGTTTCTTCATGTAGTAAGTTCTTTCTTATTCTTTAGGTCTCAAATCTCATCTTAGACCTGCCTTCTCTCCCAATCCATCTAAACTGGCTCCATCCCTTTCACTCTGCTCGACCTCAAAATTATCCATCACATCATGCTACTTACATCCAGCATTTACCACGATCTGCAATTATCTTCTTTATTTTCTCATTTGTTCATTATACACCTCTCTGAGCAGTATATAAGCTTCAGAGGGCAGAGACTTGATCTGTTTTGATCTCAGCTATAACTGAGCCACACCTAGCATCTAGCACTGTGGCTGGCATGTAGGAAGTTCTTAATAAATATTTGTGAGATTAATGTATCAATGACTTAAACCAAAAGTTCACAAACTATGGCTCATGAACCAAATCCAGCCTGTTGCCTGTTTGTGTAAATAATGTTCTGTTGGAACACAGCCTATTCACTTACATATGTTACATGATTATGTATTGTCTGTGGCTGTTTTTGGTGCTACCATGGCAGAGTTGAGTACTTGCAACAGAGATCATATAGCCTGCAATGCTGGAAATATTTACTATCTGATCCTTTACAGAAAATGTTTGTTGACCCTTGGCTTAAACCATAACCCTAACAATGGCTTAATCCATATGGGTATTTAGCGTTTCACTTAATGAGAAACAGAAGATCTCAGGGTCAGTTCAGTGGCTCAGTGATGTCATTCAGAACTCACAGTCCTGCTATTTTGTGCTCCTCTGTGCTGGAAATATCTTGCCTCAAAGGTCTAAGATGGCTGCCACAGCTGTACACATGATGTCTTTACACATCAGAGTTGTAAGGAAAAAGGAGTTTAGTGAGAGCAAAAACTGGCTTTCACATGCTCAGCGCTTGCCCAGTGATTGACAAGAAGGTGATTGACTGCCATGATTGGCTTAGATTGGCTTAGATTGGCCGTGATTGACTGCCATGATTAGCTTAGGCCAGTCATGATTCATGCCTTGAGGTTGGGCATAACACTTGTAGTGAGCAGAGAAGAAGGCAGACCTCTGTCCACTTGTATGAATGAAGCATACTCAGTTTCCTCAAACTCAAGGTGGTTGTGATTAAGGACTGAAGTTGTCTACTCTCTCCCCTTGATAGAATTAGAAATGGATGGGCACATTATTACTCTTTTTTCCTTTTCTAGCTTTCAGGGGGATCTTCTATCTAATCCTTCACCCTCTTCACCATTTTCCTCCCACTCGCTCCCAGCCTTGACCATGTAACATAACTTCAGGCAAGTAGATCTCAGCTGACTTCATAACAGTCTCACTTGATTCAGATTTTCCTAAGAGGACAGCCTGGCCTCATTATAAAGATTTAGGAACACCAGTTGGGACTGTAAAATGTTCCCAATTCTATTCCCCACCAGCCAAGTCTGATGCTTTAAACTCCACTATGCAAGGGACATTTTAGTTTAATGCATTGTTGTTCAGAATGTCTCTGTTAAAATGAATGGTATTTTCAAAAGACCATGCATGATGTGAGCTTATGGCTTAATCTCAAAGGTATGACATCACATATCATCTTGGACAACAGAAATCTTGACCTTGAGAGGAGCAGGGAGAATGTTATCATGGAAATAGCACAGAATCATGAGATACCTAGATTCCAGTTCTTGTTTGTCTGTTGCTCTGTTATCCACCTTAGGTAAATTCACTTTCTCTTTCTGGACCTCACCTCCCTCATCTGTTTGATGAAAGAGTTGGATTCAGTGATCTTTGAGGGCCCTTTCAGCTGGTGAAGAGGGATTGGCCACACACTTTGTACAGTTTCATGTCCACATCACTGCCTTCATTCACTCCTTATTTCTTGAGCCATTCTTCCGATCCATATTTATTAAGAACTTTCCATGTGCTAGGAGTTTTCCTGGATGCTGGGAGGGTAGCACTCCTGCTCTCTTGAAGCTTACTGTCGAATGGGGAAGACAGAAAGAGTAAACAAGTAATATAACACCGTGAGACAAGTGTGAGGAAAGAGGAGACAAGATCGCATCACAGGCTCATTTCAGTCCAAGGCAGAGAGGGAAGGTGTTACCTTATACAAGGGGTCAAGTGTGGCTCCCCAGATATGGAGATGTTTGAGCCTGAAGGAAGATTCTGAGTTGACTAAGCTAAAAAAGTGTGGTGGGAGAAGAATCTCTCCAGTAGGGGTATTGGCATGTGTTAAGAACTGTTAGTAAACTGTGTATCATTTATGCTATATCAGGTTCACCATTTCTCAGTCAATTCACTTGCTGTGTGGCCCATTCAAAATGACAATGGAAAGAAGAATCAGATAAATTTAAGAAGAACCTGAGCCAAGTTTATCCAACCAATCACCACTGGGATCACAGTTAATATCTATTTCATTACTTAAATAAACATATACTATACATTTTAAGCATGCCACGTATATCAGATTCATTGCTTTAAAATAGAATTATCAAATTGTCACAGTGTGCTAGGCACTTGGCCAGAGCCAGAGAAGGGAAGTAGAAGAGGACACAGACCATAGTCTCCAGGAGCTCAGAGCTTAGTGTGGAGACAGTTGAGAACATTAACAGCACGAGTACAGTATGTTCCCAGGCACACAGAGGATGCTGACACTATCAGGCTGGGGCCAGGAAAGCTTTCAGAAGGCCATGAGCCCCCTGAACTGAAATTATTTCTTATTTATTTATTTTACTGTGGTAAAATAAACATAACAAAGTTTATTGTTTTAACCATTCTTATGTGTATCATTCAGAGGCATTGAGTACATACACAATGCTATACAACCATCACCACCATCCATCCCTAGAAACCACTCATCATCCCAGACAGAAACCCTGTGCCCGTGCAGCAAACACTCCCCATTTCCCAATCACCCCAGCTCCTGGAAACCTCGATTCTACTTTCTGTCTCTGTGAATTTGCCTACTCTAGACACTTCACATAAATGGAATCACACAGTATTTATCTTTCTGTGTCTGGCTTGTTTCACCCAGAACAATGTCCTTAGGATTCATCCAAGTTGTATTACGAATCAGTATTTCCTTCCTCTCAAAGGCTGAATAATATTCATATATATATATTCACACACCACATTTTGTTTAGCCATTCAACTGTTGATAGACACTTGGGTTGTTTCTACCCTTTGGCTACTATGAACACAGCTGTACAACTGTCTACTTCAGTGCTTGATTTCAGTTCTTTTGGGTGCATACCCAGGAGTGGAATTGGTAGATCATATGATAATTCTATTTGAACTGAATTTTGAAGGCTAAGAATGACCAAGCAAGAGGAAGCAAACACACAGTAGATTAATGCCAAGGGAGGATGCATTTCTGTGGGGTGGTCCACCCATCATATAATCTCTCACTTGTCCCTCCCTCAAAGAGCATGCTGTGTCCCACTGTGGCTGCAACCACCAGCTCAGTTCCTGGTTTCCCTAGAAGTGCGACTCTGGGTTCATTCAGGAAAAGAGGGTGGATCATGGTACCCTGTGGGACATGCCCTCCTTTCCTATATCCTTCCCTACTTCCACCCCACCAAGGAACATCCTGGGTCTTTTCATTCCCCTGCCTACCTCACTGAGTTGTTTTGAAGATCAAGGGGCAGTATGGATTGAAAGTGCTTTATACCTTTTAAGGCAGTAGTAGATATTTGTGGCCATAGCTGTTGCTATTGTCATTGTTGTCCTCTTTGTTAGGACCATTGTGAGCCTCCAGTGACCTCTCCTGGCCTGAGGAAGCAAAGGGGGAGTCATCCCAGCCCCCTGCACAGGTACTTCATCATGGTGAGGAACAGGTTTCTTATTTACTACCAGGTCTGCTAGGCTCATGAAATGAAGCTCAGGTAGAACACCTTCAATGGCTGTGTCTCTACACCACATCCCAATCTCTACACCACACCCCAATCTCTACACCACACCCCAATCTCTATACCACACCCCAGTCTCTACACCACACCCCAGTCTCTACACTACACCCCAATCTCTACACAACACCTCAATCTCTACACCACACTCCAATCTCTACACCACACCCCAATCTCTCCTGACACCAAAGTCTATAATGATAACTGATGAAAACAGAGATTCACTCATCACATCCTGAGACATACAAAGGAAGCCAGGCTGCCGTTTTCACTTAGAGTGTCCACAGGTCTGCATGGGAGAAAATTTCTAGAAATTCTGGAGCTGTAGTCTTCTCCCTCCAAGAGTTGGTTTCCAAAGCTTGGTTTACTTGATTTCAAACATCTAAACCATAGGTACTCAGGAACAGCTGTGTGTGTTTGGCACATTGCTAGGGTCTGTGGGGGTAGAGAAGCCCAAGACATGGGGTCTTAGCCTTCAGTCTGGTCATTGGCTTCATTCCAACGTGCTCAAATGCTTGATGTCTATTTCCTAACACCTCTGTTCCTGTTTTCTGTTATATTCTGCTGTTCTGGGCTCTGAGGGTGACTGCCATCCTCTGCTAAAAGGCTGTCTACTTTTAAGTAACTCCTTTGCTTTCATTTGGGAAAGCTGTCTTTCAGTTACTGGCTGCCTGTCTGGTTTCTACCTATAGTCAATCAAAACACAGGAAACTGTCTGACATGGTATATGATAAGATTCGGAATTGTGTGACACATAAAATTGCCCCAGAGTCCCTGGACCACTCTAGACCTCTGATAGTTAGTAGGGGTCCAGTTTCCCCTTAGGCTCAGAATGGCAAATAGATGCCACTGGGGCTGCATTTCTCTGCCCCCAGCAGACATGGTTAATCCATCTTGGTGCTTTTCAGCTGAGCCAAGGCTTGGCTTCTGACCTTTTCTCAGTGCAAAGCTGTCGGCAGCCGCCATCAATCGATCTGAGTTGGCACTTAGAGTATGTAGCAGACAGCTGGTGTCTCACTCCAATATCCTTTCTGGGCCATCCCCCCAGCTGCTAGGGGTAGTGGGTCTCACAACCCACCATTGCACCTGTCTCCTGAGAATTGTTCTCTGCTGGCCCTGATAGGAGCCACCTCACCAGGAAATGTCTCAGATCTTATGTCTTGACTGATATAGGGGCACAAAAGCCTGATGCCCTTGTCTCAAAGTGGGGCCACTCTGTGATGCTATTTGTACATATTGATATTCCTGGGATCAAGCTGAGAATGACTGTAGCTTTGCTGAGCCCCTCTCCTTGCTCGGTCCCCCTTCCCTCACATCCTTACAGCTTTTGTTTTAGTTTGCTTGCACCTTCAACAGATCACTCACACAAGAATCCTCATCTCAGGGTCTGTTCCTAGAGAAACCTGAGCTAACCTAGGTCATCTGCCATACCTGCCCTGCCTCTGCTCCTATACCTAAGAAGGAAAAATCAAGGACAAGAATAAATTGATAATGTGCAAAGTTTCCCATTCTCTGGCTCCTGTACAGTAAACAAACCATCATCCCACAAGTGTCTTCTGGGCTCTGGACTCGTGCCAGGTACTGTGGTGCGCACTGAGGACACACCAGCACACAAGACCAAGGAGGGCCCCTCCTCATGGAACTTCCATTCTATCTTAGCTTGCTTTTCCTATACCACTTGCATTATCTGTTCCATGTATCTCTGGATTTCAGGTCACCATTGACCCCCTGCTCTGTGTCCCAGTGCTGGCATTCTGCCCTATTCTGACAAAGATCATCTGTCCGATGGTTAACTTAGTCTTAACCTTGGTGTTCACTAGCTGCCGGAGCCTTCTCTGGTTTGCTCTGATTTTAGGCCAGCCTCTATCTCATACCGGGGCATATGTAACTTTGGAGATGGCTGGGTCAGGCACAAGCCTGAAGTGAGGGAAGCTTAGAGGGGGTCAGCATTGTCTATAGTGAGTTAGAATACAACTTACAATACCATCACTGATAACATCCACTTGCATTCAGCACTTTGCGATTTACAAAGCACTTTTATGCTTGCTATCTCATTTGCTTCTCCAACAATCTTGGAAGGTAGACTTAATTAGCTCTGTGTACGTGGTGAGTAAGCTTAAGGATGGGTGTAGATAGGACTGGACTGCGAGCAGGAAATCTCTACCCCGGACCAAAGTGAAGGAGGAGGGTAGAATGGAAAGAACAGAGCAGCTTCTGAAGCATCTCTCAGGAGACAGAAGGTCAAGTAGCAGAATCAAAGACCTTCCACTGCCCTCTCCTCTGTCTTCTGTTCAACTCAGGGAGTAGAAGGTCTTTGACCCTATTGCTTGGCCTTCCATCTCCTGAGAGACTCTTCAGAATCCATCTCTTCTTTCCATTCTGCTGTGCTCTGGTGTTCTCATTATCTGTAGCAGAAGTTTTATAATTTGCAGCTTACAGACCCCTAGAGATTCACGGGAGAGTTTCAGAGAGTTCATAATCCCCTTTCCCCAAATTGAAGTGTATGTCTATTTTTACCTGCAAAGTAGTTCACACATTTCACAAGATCCCCAAAAGCATCTGCAAACCACAAAAGTCAAGAATCACTGCTTAGGTTTTGTGGCCAGGATATACAAAGGACCTGAGATGAGGACGGAGAAAGGTTTTTGATAATATCAAAACATCCACTGCAGATGCAGCAATTGTATGTGCAGGCACAGCTGTGATGTCCATGGAACATCTGGCTGATAAATGAATTTTCCTCTTTCCAGTGGTTTTGAATCATGCAGTGACAGATTTTTAGAGCGAGATGCCTGTTCACTGCTGGGCACTTGATTGTCTCTCTGGGTCCCCTCATTGGTAAAAAAAAAAGCACATTGTGGCTAGGTTATCTTCAAGGGCTCGCCCATCACTGATGTTTTGTGCTTTTGTAAAGAGCCTCAGAAATCATCTCTTTCAGGATCTATTTAAAAGGTTGCAGCATGCAGTGGCTAAGGGTGGGTTTCTGAGCTAGAAAGCTCAGGTTGCAATCTCAGCTTTGCCTCTTGGTCAGGTTTTCTCTCTGGGCCTTGGTGAAATGGTGATAATGATGGCAGCTTCCCGTAGGGTTACTCTGAGGAGGACAAGAGTCAGTCATGTGAAGTGCTTAGACGAAAGCCAGCCACACAGTAGGCACTTCATCTGAATAAGTGTTGACTTTTGTGTAATTTGCACATAGAAGAGAGAACTGAAGGGTAATAAGTAATTTTGAAAAGGTCAATACAGTGAGAAAGAACAAGCCTCAGATTCTTGATTCCTAGTCTGTGCACCTCCCTGACTGCTACACTTGCTATGGTTCTTCATTTCTCCAAAGACTGAAGATTATTCTCAGTATCTGCACAGCCTTAGAAAACCCCATTCCCTAGGCCTGCTAATAAATCAATATTCAGGGAGTTTTAAAGACCTCTGTAAGGGCCAGACAGCACCTAGTACTATTATTTTCTATTCAAATTTTCATCCCTATTCCAGCCAAGTCCCAATGTCCCATCTTTGGACACTGTCCCATCAGGAAGATCCTGCTGTGTCTCAGATGCAAGTCATCTTGCTAGATCTTAGCTCGCGTTTCCTACACCATTTGCATTGTCTGTTTCATGTGTCTCTGGATTCCAGGCTGCCATTGGCCCTCCACTATGTGTCCCAGTGCTGGCATTCTGCCCTATTCTGACGTAGGCCATCTATCAGATGGCTGACTCAGTCTTAACTTTGGTGTTCACCAGCTGCCTGCTTTCAGAGCTGTCTCTGGTTTGCTCTGATTTTAGGCCAACCCCCATCTCATACCAGAGCAGGTACGGCTCTGGGGATGGCTGGATCAGGTGCAAGTCTGAAGTGAGAGAAACCCAGTGAAGGTCAACATTGTCTACAGTGACTTAGAATGCAACTTACAATACCATCACCAATAACATCCTCTTGCATTCAGTACTTTGCAATTTACAAAGCACATTTATGCTCACTATCTCATTTGCTCCTCCAACAATTTTGGAAGGTAGACTTAAGTAGCTCTGTTTAGGCTGGGCACAGTGGCTCACACCTGTAATCCCAGCACTGTGGGAGGCTGAGGCAGGCGGATCACGAGATCAGAAGATCGAGACCATCCTGGCTAACACGGTGAAACCCCATCTCTACTAAAAATACAAAAAATTAGCCAGGCGTGCTGGCGGGCGCCTGTAGTCCCAGCTACTCGGGAGGCCGAGGCAGGAGAATGACGTGAACCCGGGAGGTGGAGCTTGCAGTGAGCCTAGATCGCACCACTGCACTTCAGCCTGGGCGACAGAGGGAGACTCCATTTCAAAAAAAAAAAAAAAAAGAGCTCTGTTTAAGCGGTGAGTAAGCTCAGGCCTAGAGAAATTGAGTAACTTGGGTAAGGTCACACAATTTTTTTTTGAAAAAGTAAAATTGATGGCGAGGTGCAGTGGCTCATGCCTGTAATTCTAGCACTTTGGGAGGCCCAGGTGGGATGATCACTTGAGCCTGGGAGTTCAGACCAGCCTGGGAAACATAGCGAGACGTTATCTCTACTAAAAATTCAAACAAAAAAATTAGCTGGGCTTGGCGGCAAGTACCTGTGGTTCCACCTACATGGGAGGCTGAGGCAGGAAGCTTGCTAGAGCCCTGTAAGTTGAAATTGCAGAGAGCCATGATGGCACCATTGCCCTCCAGCCTGGGCAAAAGAGCAAGACTTTGTCTCAAAAAAATGAAAAATTAAAAAAGGTAGAATTGAAAACCAGGTCTGTCTGACCTGAAGTCCGTTTTCTTCCAGCTATGCCACAGCTGGGACGTCAGAGGGTTATTAGGTCTGGAGTAAGTGGAAAGAAGTCAGCTAGTTTGGGAAGAGCAACAAGATCTCAGGAGACAAGAGGGCTAAGGCTGGGAGCCCGGTTGTTCTAAGGCACTACAGTGTGACAGAGTACACCTTAGAGAGTTGGGCTTCTTTTGCCTTCCCACTTATGTAGCCTTTAACTGCGTAAGAAGCATTGGGAGCCTCAGCTATAGGGGCTTTTATTTCTGTTTCTTCATTTCTTGTCACATCTCCCAGGAAGTTCTATTGTGTCACAGAGATGAGCATAGGCTTTAAAACTAATCAGATCTGAGTTTAAATCTTTATTTTATGACCAAGAGATATTGGGTAAGTTACTCAGCATCCCTGAGCTTCTGTTTCTTCATCTGTAAAAATGGAATAAACACATCTGCCTTGCAGGGGGGTTGTGAAAATTAAATTAAATAATGATGCATCGTTTTCAGGAATACTTGGGGTGGAATGACCCACAAAGGGGTTTAACTTCTTGGCCAGAGAAACCCAATGGGCCTTCCCATGAGAGGCTGGGCCCAGGCCTCAGCTGTGTCTTGCCTTCTCTGGGCTCTACTTATTTTCTGGAGCCTCTTCTGTTGCAAGCTAAATAGTTCCTCCCCCTCAGTAGAGTCTATGCTGTTTCCTCTGGCTACAGACTCTATAATGCTCCTTGCTTAGCAGTTGCTTAGCCAAGCTGGGCCAATTAAGCTGCATTCCTCTAATTGTTTTGGTGGCTTTTCTCGGAACTCCCTCCAATTTGTCTACAAATCAGTTCTAAATTTAGACCCACCCGCCAAATCTTGGAGCTCTGAGCTTTTCACTGCTCTAGCCAACCATGAGGCTCTTCTACCATCAGTGATTGAGTTTGGGGGTGGTTCTCTTCCTCTCTCTCTTCTCCTTCCTCTAATTATCAACATGTAGGCATGAAATGACTTTGTGACATGCTTTATTTTGTTTGTAGAGTGCAGGTCCATATTCAGTTACCAAACAGTTATTCGTATTTAAACTCCCAGGAAAATGATGGTAGAGAATTAAAGGTGGGATTAATTTAAATGCACAAATTATTTTTACATTCCAAAACTGCACAGAGAAAACAAACCAATTTTGATATAACGGGGGAGAAAAGGTAAGAGGGTAGGAGCAAGAATAAAGTTATTTGCTCTCTGTGTTTTTGTGCCTCACTCCCTGCACTTTTTCTACCTTCCCAGTTTGCATTCACCAAAGTATCAGCGCCCCCGGCCTTGGTGTGTCTAACACAAAGAACCTGCAGTATCTTTGTCAGGTAGATAGGACCCTCCCAACCCCCAGGAGACAAGATTTCAAAGATCCCTATTCTCCCTCCTTTTTTCTCTCCCTCCTCCTTCCTTTTCCTTCATCCTCTTCTCCTCTCTTCTTCCTCCTCCATGTCAATATCAAATTCATTGCCACCAGCCATCTTTTATGCTAACAGAGTGGCTTATGCTCTTGAAAGCCTTTTCATAGACACAGTCTCATTTGAATTGTACAAGAGTCCTGGGCAGGGCCAGAGCGGGTACATAGACTCCGTTTGACAGATGAGAAAAGAGTACTCCAGAGAGGTTTAGCAACTTGCACAAAGTCAAACAGCTCATGGATGAGCTCTCAAAAAGACCCAGGATTTCTGGCTTCAGCCTTGGTCACAGCTGGTGCTCTACAAACATTTGTCAGATGAGAGAATTCTGATCTCACTGCTGGCTAACGGATCAGATCAACACAGCCAAAGGCTTCATGACAGGCTGGCAGGCTGGCAGGCTGGCAGAGAAGCCAGAATCTTCCGTTGTCTCAGAGCTTCATTCCCATCAACCCAGCGGACACCTGTTGACTGTTCCCAGAAAACCACTGCAGACATGTTTCTTTGTTGTCAGCAGAGTCCCCATGGACATCTCATGAGTCTTTGAGGATGCCCACAGGGCCCTGCAGGGAAGGAGACATGATGGCTGGCTGGAAGAAATGCCTCCACAGGTGGCGGAGAGTTTTTTTCACCTACTGTAGACTCCAAGTCTCTTTCTCTTAGGGCCTCAAAGGCATGTTAGCACATACATTTAACAGCAAGTGCTTGGATCTAACAATATTCTGAGTGCATAGGACATGTAGAACTGACAATCCTGCTTCCCTGTATAGATGACATGTCCCTGCTCTGCAAAATGGGCCTCTCACTTCTATATATATGACTTAGCTTTTTTTTTCAAGAATCAGGTGGGATAAGGAGTTTAAATGAGTTTACAAAACAGAAAGTTCTATATAAAATAGATGATAATTCTATATAAAAACTCCTTTGTTGCTGTAATTACAATAATCCTAGCGGTAAAGTTGACCTTAATACGTGATGGAATCAGCGATGGAAGAGACTTTAGAGTCACGTTTCCCAACCCCTGAGTTTGTGGGTGAGAACACGAAGCTCCAGACAGAAATGATGATCCCACAGGGCCACACAGCAGGTGTCAGGAGGGATAGTTTTAGAACTCTGTCTCCCGGCTCATCCCCTTGTATTCTGTCCTTTTGTTTTGGATGCTGTTTGTAACATCTATTTTTCTTACCTTAATTTCTCCCTCTTTCCTTTTCTTTCCCAAAATTCAATACGTGCAGAATGTCTTCCAAATACTCCTTATCCACAACCTTTTCTTTCTCCGAATGTATCTATTTTATGTCCCATTACCTCACAATCTTGTGATGTTGCTTTAATAATTAATGAATCCATGCTGACAGGTTAAAAAAGAAGAAACCACAATGACCAACTGTGCCACTCCACCCAGAGAGCATTTCATTTCAATAGACACCTTCACATACCTCCAAGAAAGAGAAATGACTATTCATGAAATTTCAAATTCTGTGGCACACCATTTGGGATTTTCTCCAGATTGCACATTGATTAGGGGGTTCATCTCGCTTTTAACTCATGGTTGAATATGTGGCTGCCTTCTCTTATTGGCTAATTGCTCTAACCTTCTGAGCTCTGTGACCCTGACTGATGGCACTGGATATTTCCACAGCCTTGTCCAAGGAGGCCTCCACCAGCAGGGCTGGTTTCTGACACAGAGTGTTTGCAGGTTATTCCATATTCTTTGGGTCAAGAATGGAGCTTGAGCTTCTTTCTGCATGTCAGTAATTAGACCCAATAGGTTCCCAGTGAGTGTGCATGAAATTGAAGGGTGGTGTTTCTTCAGGATGTGTTTCCTGGGTGAAGACTGTATGTGAAAATGTCAGGGCTGGTATCAAAAGAGGATTTAAAAAGAAAATTTTACTCAAGGAGAAGAAGCAAATGGACAGACAATTCCCCACTTGATGTCAGTCATCTGGTTCCTCTTTTCCTTCCCAGCTGGGTCATGGACTTTGCATCTTTTCTTGCATGTATAGAGCCTATTACAGATCCTGAAATTTCAGTGTTCAGTGAATACCAGTGCTGGGCTGTAAGACATTGGTGCCTCCAGGACAAGGAAGGATGTGCCCCACAATCAAAGAAGGGGGACAAGAAAGAATGAGATTTCAGAACTTGGAGGACTTCATTTCAACAGTTTTGGAAATTACCTAGTCTAACCTCCCTCAACTACTTTGTCAGGGAGTCTGAGACTGCCTATAGGGTATGCAGGAATGTGTCTTGCTGGAAACAGATAGCACCATTTGGACTGTGTGAGTGTGCATGCACCTTACGCAATCAACAAAGGGCTGCGCCTGTATGCACACATATGCCCATCTTCTCCACAGGGTGGACAAGCCCAGGACAAGCATCCTTCTCTGTAAAATGGAGCCTTGATATCTGCACTGTTTACTTCACAGGGTTGTGAAGAGGGTCAGTAAGATCATGCTTTGAGACACATAAGAAATATTTTTTTGAAAATGTGAGTGAAACCTTGGTGTGCATGGGATTAGGTGCACAACTAGAGGAAGCTGTGCTTGCTAAGAACAGGCCTATTTTGTGGTCTGGGGAACAAAAGATACCTCTTGCCCTCAACACACAACCCTGAAGGTTGGGGAGGCCACAGCCAGCTGGGAAGGGAGAAAAGGAGCCTGATGAGGTATGTGGATGAGGAGGTTGTGGTGGACAAGAAGGGATGGCCCTGTCTCAGGACATGTAGGAGGCTGCCTTATCTTGAACATTCTCCAGAATAACGGGAGGTCACCTGGGGTGCTGAGGTCCTCAAGGCCACCAGGTCTGGGGCTCAGAACTACCGGGGCTGAGTGTTTGTGTATGTAGATGACAGCTGGCAGATGTGGAGTAGCACATGGGTAGGAAAACAGACTAGGAGAGTGAAAGACATTTGGCTGAGGCTGCATAATAGGATGTGTAAAGTGAGGGACTGAACACAGGCCAGTGTGGCTCCAAACCCAGGATACTCTTCCCAGCATCACAAACAGAGCAGTGGAAGAGAAGAGGGCTGTTCTGTGCTGAGGAGACCTGAAGCCCAAGGAACAGGCCTTCCCTGTGCTTGGGATGAAGAAGGTAGTGGCCTCTGATTGCATCCTTGCTCCTCTGGGGAGGGTTGGTGAGCTCTACCACCCTTCTAGAAAGGATGGCTCAGACTTCCCACTACTCTCCTTTTTCTCCAGTTTCTTTCTCCAGTTGCTCAAGTTCAAATCCTTCCTGTAACCCTTGATTCTTCTTTTTCTCTCCTTGTGAGCTGTTCATTTGAAATATGTTCAGAAACTTAACAGTTCTCGCCATCTTCACTGCTGCCATCTTGTCCAAGCCCCATCATCTCTCTCTGGTCTCGTGCATCTCTCTGCATCCACCCTTACTGCCTGTCATCTTGTCTCTGCACAGCAGCCACAGGAATCCTTTTCATGGGTAAGTCAGTTCCTGCCTCTCTTCAGAGGGAAACCCCAAAGGCCCTACTATTATTTGAATGTGTCCCCCAAAGTTGATGTGTTGGAAACGTAATTATTGCAGGAATGGGCTCCTGATAAAAGGATGGGTTTGGCCTCCTTTCCTCTCTCTTTTGTCCTTGTGATGCCTTCTGCATGTTATGACATAGCGAGAAGGTCCTCACCAGATGCAACCCTTTGACATTGGACTTCCTAGCTTCTAGAACCATGAGCCAGAGAAATTTCTGTTTATTATAAATTACCTGGTCTGTGGCATTCTGTTATAGCAGTGCAAAACTAACACAGAAAATTGGTATTAAGAAGTGTGGCTATTGCTATAACAAATATCTGAAAATGTGGAAATGGCTTTGGGACTAGGTAATGGGTAGAGGTTGGCAGAATTTGGCAGGTCAGGCTATAAAAAGCCTATATTGCAATAAATGAAGCATTAACCCATTTATGCCTGAGGTGGCAATTTTTTTTAATTTTTGCAATCAGACCTTGGTGATGACCTTGAGTGCTAGGATATAAATAACTACCACATGCTTAGTGTTCCAATAATGGAACACTAGGCATAATTAAGGGCAATTCTGGTGAGGGCTCATAAGAAGAAAAAAGTCATAGGGAAAGCCAAAATCTTAGCAACTACTTGAGTAGTCATAATCAGAATGTTGGTAGAAATATGGGTGGTAAAGGCCATTCTGAAGAGGTCTCAGACAGAAATGAGGAAGAAGACATTGGAAACTGGAATAAAGGCCATCCCTTTTATATAGTTGCAAATAACTTGATGACACTGAGGACAATGGACTTTGTGGAAGGCAGAACTTAGGAGTGATGAACTAGGATATCTGGTAGAAGAAATATCTAAGCAGCAAAGCATTCAAGGTGCTGTATGGCTTCTTTTGGCCACTTACAGTAAAATGAGAGAAGAGAGAAATATTTTAAAGATGGGATTTATAATTAAAAGGAAAGCAGAAAATACAAATTTTGTAAATGTCCAGCTTGGCCACATAAAGAATGAAAGAGTATGTTTAGGAAAGCAAACTAGGGTGTATACAAGTGACCATTTGCTAAAGAGACTAATAGAATAGAAGGGAGGCAGGGGCTATTTACCAAAAGAATAGGAGAAAGACCCTGAAGGCATTTCAGAGGTCTTCCAGGATGTCCTTTCCATCTAGGGCCTTGAGAGAAGGGTTTCCAAAGAAGTGCCCAGAGGACCTCAGCATTCACTGCCCTGCACCACCTTTGGGACTCTGCTCCCCACATTTTGGCACAGTACTCTTTGGTTGCCCCAGCTGTGGCTCAGGCAGGCCCAAGTGCAGCTCGTACTCCTGCTTCAGAGGTACACCTTGGTGGTGTTTACAGGGTGCTATTTCTGCAGGTGTGCAGAAAGCAAAGCTGTGGAGGTATCGTGGCCTCTACTTAGATTTCAAATAATGTATTGGAGAGCTTGGGAGCCCAGGAAGAGAACTTATCCTGGAGTTAAGTCACTGCAGAAAGTTCCCACTAGGGCAATTCCTAGTGGAGTCATGGGCATGGGGTACCCAGCATGCAACTCCAGCCTGGGAAAGCTGCAAGACAAGACTCCAACCTGTGAGAGAATGAGTGGATTGAGCCTAGCACAGCCATAGCAATGGGGCTGCCTGAGGCGTTAGGGGCCCAACCTCCACCCTTGTGTGCCCGGGATGCAGGACATGGAGTCAAAGCAGATTATTCTCCAGCTTTAAGACTTCGTGTTTTCCCTGCTGGTTTTTGGACCTACTAGAGACCAGTTACCCCTTTCTTCTTCTCTATTTCTCCCTTTTGTAATGGACATATCTATCCTGTGCCTGTCCCATCATTGTACTTTGTAAGTGTATAACTTGTTAATTTCACAGGCTCACAGCTTGTCTCAAAGCTTCTCTTCAAATTCACAGAAAATAATTTATCTCAGGACAAATCCTTGGGTCTCCCTTATGTCTGATTTAGATAAGACTTTGGAGTTTGGACTTTCGAGTTGATGCTGGAATAAGTTAGGACCTTTGGGACTATTGGGATAGAATGAAGGTATTTTCCATATGAAAAGAACATGAATTTTTGGAGCCAGAAGCCAAATGCTGTGGTTTGAATGTGTCCCCCAAAGTTCCTGTGCTGGAAACTTAATCCTTAATGCAACGGTGTTGAGAGATGGGACTTTTAAGAGGTGCTTAGTTCATGATGGCTCTTGCCCTTGTGAATAAATTAATGTCATTATCCCAGGAGTAGGCTCCTGATACAAGAATGAGTTTGGCCCCCTTCGCTCTCTCTCTCTCATCCATGTGATGCCTTCCACCATGTTATGACACAGCAAGAAGGCCCTCACCAGATGCAGCCCCTCAATCTTGGACTTTCCAGCTTCTGGAACCATCAGCCAATAAAGTTTCTGTTCATCATAAATTACCCAGTCTGTGGTACTGTTATAGCAGCACAAAATAAATAGATGCCCCCACCCATTCATAGGACAAGGCCCTCAATGAGCTGCATCACCCACAAAAGACCTCTCTGGTCTCACTTCTTCCTATGCCCTTCCCCTGTCCTTGCTCACTGGCTCCAGCCACACAAGCCTCTCCTGTCTCAGGACCTTTGCATGGACTGGTCCTTATACCTGGGTGTGGGATCCACTTGACTTATTGCTATAGCTCTAGCAATGGGGCTTAACATGGGTTCAAGAAATAGCTGTGGAATGAAGTTCAACTCTTTCTCTCATCATTCTTTCTACCTTGTACCTTTTTCCTCAGTGTTTTATCCTCCAGAGCCCACTCTAGAATCCTCGCAGGGGCTCTAAGAGGAAGGCCTGAGCCCTTTCCCAATATCTCTTATGCAGAGAGGGAGCTGGAGGGCACAGAGTGTGAACATTTTCAAAATCCCATGCCAGTCTTCCTAGCTCTGCATTTCCCCACCACCTCCAGAAGCCCCATCTTCCTCTGTGTGCCATGCTTTTCTCAGCCCTCCAGGCAAGAGTGATGAAGTCACTGTTGTTATTCACTGTGACTGGTTGTCATGGCAACAGGGCCAACACACATCCACAGAGCCCCCGTTTAGTGTGCACCAGGGGTTTAGCAAGGTGGCAGTGGTGGTGGTGGGAGTGGTGGGGGTGTTGGGCTGCTTGTATGGGTTTCCCCACTAAGGAGGCATCTGGGGAGAGAGCCTGATTGGGACTCCAGGACAGTGGCATGTGCTTACACACTGCTTGGAAGGAGCATGATCCCAACACAAAGGCACCATTAACTGCAGAGAAGCTTGCACAGGGGCCAGCTAGTTGCAGCCCCTGGGAAAAGGTGCTTTTTGGATCATGGCCTGATAGGCTCTCTTCCTCTGCCTGGGACTTGGCTGATCTGGCCCAGCACCCAGAAGAGAAGACAGAGAGAGAAACAGACAAGAGAGAAATAAATGCATGGAAAAGTGAGGACATGAGGCCACTCACCTGTTTAAACCCAGATGTGGGCTCTTGTTAACTGCTGGGGTTGGGTCAGAAAAGGAGAAGTCAAAACTGGATTCTAGATCCTTCCCCTGAGATAAAGGACTGACCCATCTATATGAGTTACATATTAGTTAAAGTAGTATTAACTGCTGTAAAAGATAAACTCCTAGATTTCAGTTATTTAACCCAATAGAAGTTCATTCCCCACTCTACACAAAGTCTAATCAGCATTACTGAAGGCAGAAGGAGTGGAAGAGTGCTCAGGGCCCCAGGCTGATAACAAGTCTGCCAAAATCAGGTGGTTTCCAAGGTTGTCTTGGACCTTGGCATCCAGCAGACAGACTGTGAGGAAAAGCAGAGGGTCACGTGGGAGGTTTTCAGGACTGGTCTGAAAGTGGGCTGCCTCACTCTGCCCACATCCCATTGGCTGGAACTGTCACATGGCCCTACCTAGCTGCAAGGCGGCCTAGAAAATGTAGTCTAGTTATCTGGTCAGAGTCTCTGCTGCAGGCTGAAAGGGAGCCTGGCCCTGGAGGCTGTGTCAAGGAAATGGACTAGAGGTGGACATTGCCCACAGCCAGACAGGAAGGGGCCCCCAGGCATGCAAAAAATACCTAGTGATAAGAACCATTCAGAATTAGAATCCAGATTGGCCTGACTCCAAAATCTTTGGTTGTTTGTATTCTGAGGCTTCCTCCTATAGGAACTTCCTGGATTCTGTTGAAAGGAGAAAGGAGAGAAGGTAGGGAAGAGGTGGAGTGGACATGGAGAGCAGGTGGTGATGAAGTGTCAGCCTGGTCTAGCTCCTTGGGTGCCCTGTAAGCTTTGCCCACGTTTAGGTGCTCATGAGGGTTTCCGCTGGAAACTCCCTTACCATTCCCTTTGAAGCTAGACGAGAACTCAGGTTAATGTGCACAACGGTGGCATGGCAAACAGTTGTGGAGCACAGGGATGGAACACAAATGACAGCACAACAGAATCCAGGAACTTTTGGTCCAAACTGACAGGGCATTCCACCTGAGGGGTGGAGTGAATTGGGTCCTCAGAGAAAGAGGCGAGGGGGTTAGATTTTCATCCTGGAGGTGGCTGGAGGAAGAGCAGCCCAGGAGAGCCAGGTAGATGGGCACAGGAAAGACCGCTAAAAGGAGAGGATGGAGGGGTCTCAGGGTGGAAGGGAGGCCCATGTCAGACCCACCTAAGCCTTTGGTGTCAGGCTTTTCAAAGGTGGGGCTTCAGTGTGAAAAATCTCCCCCCTAAAACTCGTTCTTTCCCTGAGTGGTATAATGAGGCTCAGAAGGAGGAATTAGGATGTTTCCAAAGTCACAAAGCTAGTTAGAATCAGACCCCAGCCTAGAACCTTCATCTCATATCTCCTGGGTCAGTGGTTGTTCTACTTCTATAATTGCCCTACACACATATATTACTTCATTCTCTCTCTCTCTCTCTCTCTCTCTCAAGTTCTGAGGAACCCAGGTAGACTTTGAATCTCCAGCAGAAATCCTGACACTCTGACAGTTGGAGGCTGATTTAGCTGCATGTTCTCATAATTGAGTCTGTAACTTGCACAGATCTAATCCATATTTATAATCTTACGTTGGGCAAGTGATACCTTCTGTGTCTGCCGGCATGGCAAGAGCCCTGGCTGCAGGTTGCAGTGCAGAAGCGGGTCTCTGCTGCAGCGGGGAGCCCAGGAAGGAAGACCCGTCTCATCTCTGAGAATGACAGTGCTCTCCCTGAGTAGCTCCTGTGCAGGGTCTGTTTAAAAACCCTCAGTGATATGCAAAAAGAGGGTAGGAGAGAAGTTGCCTGATCTAAATTATATAAATTCTGAATTATAGAGAACTTTTAAAGATAGTAGTTTTTATCACTTTCAAGGCATTCAGGAACCAAATGGACAGATAGGAAGCAAAACAAGCTCAATTAGAGGCACTCTGAGGACCGCTTTAATGAATAGAAAGAAAGTCCTGTGTAATTAACATGCTTTATGCTGCTAAACTGGTATTCCATGTGTTGAAAGCTACCTTTTTAAAAAAAGAAATATGAAATTATGGGGTGGCAACAATGTATACTATTGCTCTGCATGAAGAACTCTGATTTGCATGTAGTAAAAAAACACTGGCCGAGACCAGACTATCAACAGCGCTAACCAAGGAGATTCTAGATCCCGCTGCAAACCTTAGACACAGCACGTCCTGCCTCCGGCCCCCAGCCTCAGCCCAAACTGGGTCCCTGGCAGCCTTGCCATGCATTCATGCTCATCCCCCTGTCTTAGACATAGCACCCTTTTCTAGCATGCTCCCCCTGTCCCCACTGAGTCTCGGGCAAGCCTCTGAACTCACCAGCTCCCACTTTCCTGGGGTGAGTGGCACAGGCACAGGAGATATTACAATGACACAGCCGTGAGACTGCCATTGATTTCCAGCTCTCAGTCTCTGCTTTAATCCATATTTTTATTAAACTTTTTTGTGCAGGAAGGAATATTTAGGGAAAACCATGAAGGGCTGTCAGGCGCTGTTATTAGTCTTCTCAGCTACCACCAATGAGCTGTTCCAGGCAGAAATATTTGCCATCAGACAGCGGACCCAGGGGCCAGCTTGGAAGCAGAGCTGATTTGGCCGACAGAAAGGAGAATAAAAGACGATTCTCGAGATGCCAGGAGGACAATGGGAGCAGCAGTTTCCAATTTATTTCACTTCTATTGAACTCTTTTTAGACCTCAGTTCCCACATCTGGTGAGTTGGCGCCATCCTTCTCTTAGAATTACTGAGGCTTATTGCTGGGGTTTAGAGAGCATCCAAATCACTCCACACAGCTTTATTTGGACCTTTCCAGGTGTGAAGCTTGGGGCTAGGTGCTGAAATACAGAGGCATACGGGCTCCACAGCAGTTCATGCAAAACTCCTTTCTTCCACTAGAGTTCAAGGCTAAGTCTTTAAAGATGCCCCCTCCAACCTACCACCTTGGAACTGCTTCTATTTTTATGTTTATTACAGTATTAATGTGGTCTGTGCTTCTTCTCCAACTACACTGTTGAGGGCATGGCAGTGTCTATGTATGTAGCATAGTGCCTGGCAGATCCTGGACACCAAGAGCATATTTACTGATTCATGAATGAATGAATGAATGAATGAACAAATGGCTTAATGCACCACACTGAAACATTCAAATCCTGTAGTACATGTTGAGAAGGAGGAGGGTATATACCAAGGGAAGGCAAGATGCCAACAAAGGGGGCTGAGAACTCCAACCCAGGGTCTGGAGGTCCTGAGGATCTCCTTGCTTCTTTCACACTTCCATCCAATCCCATTCTGTGGTCACAGTGCCTCCTAGGCTCATCCTAGTCTATGCCTCTGCTGATTCTCCACCAGTGTGGGTGTTGCAGAGCAGTAAAGGTGTGCAGTGTGAGAACAGCAGAGCTATTCTCTGGGGGAGAGGTTGGAGGAGCATGTACCAAGCCCCTGCTGAATCCCTAGTACCAATTTGACCCAGTGGCTGAGCATCCTGCAGAAAATCAAGACACTCCTGATCGGGAGGAGCATTAATTAGGATCACAGGACCCAGGGGCATGGAACAGCCTGAGCATGTTTTAGGGAGCAGACCAATAAAGGCCAAGGAACAAGGTAGGAACAACAACCCAGGGTGTGCAGGATAGCTTATAATGCTCTCTGCCCAAACGCAACCTCCTGGGGGAACGTGAGCAGTGAGCAATGAATAAATCGGGAAGAAACATCAACCCTGAGGGTGTAAGGCAGGGAGGAAACTCACATTAGGGACCACCTACTAGGGCCAGGCTCTGGGCTCACTACTCTGGATGCAACCCCAGTGGCCCCCTCCCACACTCCCTGCACTGATTTGGAGGCCAAAGTCTCTTCTCATTACACCCACTGCAGCAGAATCCGGCAGTCCCTAGAGGACTCCGAGGCGATCTTTCGAAAGCTGTTTGCTCTTTCCCTTGGGAAATGGGCCATGGTTGTATTTTTCTTTCTCATTTTCTGTGTGGGAATGATAACAGTAAGAATGATGTCTACATCTCCCCGATGAGGGAAACAGTGGCGGCATCTGTCTGTCACTGATCCCTGCCTTGTGACTCTCCATCAGCTCAAGTCATAGGTGACTTTCATTCATAAAGAGAGCTGCCCTAGACTCTAGCAAAGGAGCTTTGGACCACTCACTACAGAAATCTGAGCAAAATTGTGGCTGAGAATGAGGCTACCTGTGACCCATCTGGGCACCGCATTCTTAGAACATCAGCAATCAGGAGTGTCCCTGGGACTCAAATGAAGACCCTAATAGGAACTTCTGGAGGGACTGAGCTAGTTTAAGCTGCAGATAGGAAGCCTTCAACCTAAAGGAAGTGTTCAACCGGAAGACTTTGCCTTCAACCTAAAGGATCCTACCCATGGGCTGTCAGGACAAGAGGAATGGGGCTTACTCCATGCAACCTAACGGACAGAAGCAGAGTCAACAGGTGGAAGTTATAGGAAATACAATCGGGCCAAGGAAAGGAAGGTATTGGGACTCTCAAAAGATGGGCTCAGCATGATGGCAGCTTGTGTCTCTCTAAGCAGAACACCCCATGAGAATGGCGTTACATAGGCTTCCCATGTGCTTATTTCCTTTAACTCTCCACGTTCCCATGAGAAGGATCAAGCTCACACTATTGCCCTTTTTTAGAGGGTGAGTGTGAGGTTCTGAGAGGTCGAGTAGTAGAATTATCTCCCCCAGTATGGGGTAGATCTGGGTTTGATCCCAGTCTGCTGCTCCTTCCAGTAGGCCCTAAGGCCTAGAGTTCATATAAAAGTCTCAGGAATGTTGGAAGAGACTCATATATTTTCGGCATCTCCAACTGTAGGTCGTAGGAATCCACACATCTAGGTATGTGGATTTTTAACTGGGTGAACTCAGTTCTGGCCACTTGACTGCCCTGAGCCTCCATATCCTTATATGCATGGTGGGGTGGAATTGCCTTCCTCCCAGGATTAGTAGTGCCTGGGGGGGTCTCTGAGACCCAACCCAGGATGATACAGTGCTGGGAACTCTGGGATTCTGTTTACTCTCTGGGCACCAGTTGAGAAGCAACACAGGTCTCCTTTGCTCTAAGATCCCAAAGATTTGAGGAAGAGGAGAGCTTTTGTGCTCTCCTTGCCTCTCTGAATTAAATGGGTATATAATAGGATACAGAGCCCTTCACCAGTATTAAGAACTTCCTTACTTCTTCTGCATTCGTTCTTCCTATACCTTACCTGGCTCAGCCTAATTTTATTTCCTTCCAAGTCTTCTTAATGTATATTTGGACTTTGGCTCTTTAGCCCAAAGACCTAGGAAATGATGTCATTATCCTCTAGTTCTACCCTGGCAATTCTGCTAAAGCAACAGGTATCTTACTTTTTGTCTGCCCTGATAGTGAGAATCATGGGGCAGTGGGTGTGAAGGAGGTGGGGGCACATCAGGCAAGCTCTTCACAAATATCATCCTGCCACAAAGACATGTCTTCACTCTATGTACTTACTTCTCCCTATCTCTTTGGACGCTGTTGTGACTTAACCATCATCTCCCACCTGAACTACTACAACAGAATTTTAAAAGCTTTCCCTCTTAGTTCCCTCCAATCCATTTTCCTCAGGGATGCCAAATTTATCTTTGTACAAGGCAAAACTGTGTCATGTCAATCCTCTGCTTAAGAGACACTGACGGCTTCCCAATGCACTTGGGATAAACCACAGAATCCCTGCCTGCTCCCGCTCCACTCCTGCAGCCTGTCTAAACTCATCGTGACTGCCCTCCCGCTTGCCCTCCGAGTCACAGTCATTTGGGCCTCCCTCCAGTTCCTCGAGCACACCAAGGACATTCCTTCACACATGTTGGTTCTTCTTCCTGGAATTCTTCACATCCTGATCCTCCCGTGTTTCCTCCCTAGCTCATCCTTCAAGCATCAGGTTAAATGCTGCCCCCAAGCTCAACCCAGTAGAAGCCTTCCTGCAACCCCAGTCTAAACTGGATCTCCCCTGAAATTCCCTCCCTCTTATTCTTCACTGATTTTATCATAGCTTGGAGTTAAGATTCATTTTGGGGTTTGGTTGTTCCTTCCAAAATGTAAGCTCTGTGAAGCAGACATTGCTGTCTTTTCAGCCTTGCACCTGTTAAAGAAGCTCACCTTATCTGTGGGGCACATGAAGAAGAAAGGAGAGGGAGAAGAAAAAGGAAAGGGAAATGACAGTAAAATGTAGAAGGGAGAGAAGAGTAGGAAAAGCAAGAAGGATAAGAGAGGAAGGAGAGAGGGGTTGAGGAAGGAAAAAGAGGTAGAGGAGGGGAGGGGGGAAAATAAGAACCAGAGTCTCTCTAGCTGGCCACAGGCTTCCCCCTCCTCCCGGTGAGCAGCCTGGGAGTCGGCTTGATTGCTGGCACCCTCGCCTGACAGATGGAGCTTGTGCACCCACCATCTCTCTTCACTGGGACCCTGGACAGAGGCGCACACACACACACACACACACACACACACACACAGATATATGCACACACAACTGGATGCATGCCTTGAGTCTGAAAGAAGCAGATGCTTATTCTTTCTCCCTATTTTGCCTCTGTTTTTTTGAGACAGAGTCTGGCTCTGTTGCCCACGCTAGAGTGCAGTGGCACGATCTCGGCTTACTGTAACCTCCAGCTCCTGGGTTCAAGCAATTCTCCTGCCTCAGCCTCCCAAGTAGCTGGGATTACAGGTGCATGCCACCATGCCTGGCTTTTTTTGTATTTATAGTAGAGACGGGGTTTCACCGTGTTGGCCAGGCTGGTCTTGAACTCCTGACCTCAAATGGTCTGCCCGCCTCGGCCTCCCAAAATGCTGGAATTACAAGCGTGAGGCACCACACCCCCCACCGCCCATTGCCCCGCAATTTTGCCTCTTAACCTGGGCTCCTTTCCCTAATGGTCTGAGTATTATTTTTCTTTTTTTGGACATAACAAAAGGCATAAAGAAAGGACAGGACGCAATTGGAAGGTACACCATACAAATGATGCCTAGCCTGTCATCCCAACACTTTGGGAGGCCAAAGTGGGAGGATCAGTTGAGCCCAGGAGTTTGAAACCAGCCTGGGCAACAAAAAGAGACCCCCAGATTCTGCAATAAATAAATAAAAAATAAATAAATAAATAAATAAATAAAATAATTAACCAGGCGTGGTGGTACACCTGTAGTACCAGATCCTTGGGAGGCTGAGGTGAGAGAATTGCTTAAGCCCAGGAGGTCGAGGCTGCAGTGAGCTATGATAGCACCACTGCCCTCCAGCCTGAGCAACAGAGCAAGACCCTGTCTCACAAACAACAACAAAGAAACAGAACAAAAAGTTCCCACACAACTGGTGCCTAAAAAATTAGCACAGAAACCCTGTAATTCCCTCCAGGCATCTAGGAATCTGGTGGACCAGCAGACTGATTTCTGGGAATTGGTGTGGTGGCTGAGCAGGAACTCACAATCTGCTAAATTCCCCAGACTTCAACTAATCAGGGAGGTGAGAGAAAGCTTCTTAGACCTCTGCTTTCCTGCTGCTAGCTGCTGCTTTCCCAACTAGCCCTCCTGGTGCTGCCTGGTCCCCTTCCCTTTCCCCCTCTCCTGTCCAGATTTAAACACCAGCATCTCTAAGCCTCAGAGTCCTGGTCTGTGCTGGATGGTGGATGACTGGCCATTAAAAAGTACTGGTTTTGGCTCCAGAAACCTGGGCTCTGATCTATGTTCTGCAAGCTCACACGCGACCCTTCCCCTCTCTGGAATCCAGATTGCTCATCTGTAAGATGGCCTTCAATAACCCTGGGATCCAGACCTTGTGTTCTATGGTTCCAGTTAGCCTGCTGATAGGGCCCCATATCCGTCAGTTGTTGCTGATAACAAAAACCTTAAAATCTCAGTGGCTTCCAACAGTAATTATTTTTATGTTCACTGGTCTGTAGGTTGACTGAAGTTTGGCTGATCTGGGCTAGGCTAGGCAGGGTCAATCCAGAGCCCAGGTCAAGTGAGATTCAAATTTGCTCCACGTATTCTTATTCTGATGCCCAGACTAAAGGGGCAGTGGCCATCTGGAGCAAGATCTTCTCATGGCAGATCACAGGGGTGTGAGAAGTTAAGCTAGATTGTGCAAGCACATGCAAAACCTCTGCTCACATAGCATCCACTAAAATCCCATTGCCCTAGGAGAGTCACATGACCAAGGCCAACTCAATGGGGTGGAGGAATATTCTCTGGTTGCTCTAGTGGGAAGTGGTGCAAAGTAGCAAAAGGTGTATTAGTTTGAGTTCTTACTATAAGGAATTGGCTCATGCAGTTATAGAGGCTCAGAAGTCCAAGATCTGCAGCCAGCAAGCTGGATACCCAGGAGAGCCAATGGTAGAGCTCTAGTTAGAGTCTGAAGGCCTGAGGACCAGAAGGGCTGATACAGTAAATTCTAGTCCAAGTCCACGTCTGAAGGAAGAAGACTGATGTCCCAGCTTAAAGGCAATGAAACAGAGAGAAGGAATTCTTTCTTACTCAGCCTTATATTCTATTCAGGCCTTCAATGGATTAAATGAGGCCCACCCACATTGCAGAGGGCAATCTGCTTTACTCAGTCTACTGGTTTAAATGTCAATCTTATCCAGAAACACCCTCACAGACACACTAAAAATAATGTTTGACCAAATATCTGAGCACCCTGTGGCCCAATGAAGTTGACACAAAAAATTGGTCATCACAAAGGGCTGATACCTGTGGTTCTTTTACCAGGAGTGGGTAGAAAACTCAGAGCAATGAACTGATGCTCTGCAAGGGCTTTGAGAGATTAAAAAAAATGGCAAAAGGGCGTTTTGGGGATCCTGGCCAAACAATGAGGAAGAGAGTTTGAAGCAAGGATTCTTTTCATGCTCTACACATTTTGTCACATTGAGAGGTACCTATTCTGGGTTTCCTGCTTGGAGCAGAGAGTATCAGTGGTCACCAGTATCCCTGTGCTCCTCTACAGTTCCCAGCCTCCCCTGCAGTTAGATTGGTCACATACTAGTGCTAGCATGTGCGCAGAAGTAATCTGTGTCATTTTCAGGCTGAGGTGTGTAAGTATTCACCATGCCATCCCCTTTACCCACTTACACAATGCCAGGACAACCTTGAAGCAACAAGAGGGAAGACTAATTGCTGGGTGCAGCCTCAATCCCTGAGTCACCATATGGACGAGAGGAGCACAGCTGCATCAGATTGTGTCATGAGCAAGTCACTAGAATTTGGGATTTATTTGTTATTACAGCATGGTCCAGAGTATCTTGACAAATACATTGCTGTTGTACTGGCTCCCTGGGTAAGTCCATTATCTCTTCTGTTCCAAATTTGGACTCACTCATTGATTCACAGGCTATAAGAGTTAATGGGACCATCTGAGCAGACAATGCAGGCAGGAGCAGGAGGAGCTAGTGCAGACATTTCTGGTGCTTGGCTCCAAGGAGGGAGAGGAATTACCAGAGAGCCTTGGGGTAGCAGTATATGTTATTTTTTAAAACAAAATGACAGTCACTAGTGTGCGAATATGTTGTTTTAGTATATAGAGATAGAAAACCAACAAAAAACATGGACTACGATTTCCCGGATAACCCCTGCTTTCATTTAAAAAATAACAGTAATATGTGGTAGAACCTTCAAATAAAATAGATATACAAAAGGAAAATAAGATTTTCTCTCCTCATTCCTCCAGTGCCTCTGCTCAAAACTGGATACTTTAAACAGTGTGTGAACCGTTCCTTGCATTTTCTTTGGGGAAAAAGAATGTGTATTCTTTTTTTTTTTTTTTTTTTCCTTCCTGCTCTGTAGCCCAGACTGGAGTGCAGTGTTGCGATCTCGGCTCACTGCAAGCTCCGCCTTCCGGATTCACACCATTCTCCTGCCTCAGCCTCACGAGTAGCTGGGACTACAGGCACCCGCCACCACGCCCAGCTAATTTTTTGTGTTTTTTCTCGTAGAGACGGGTTTTCACCGTGTTAGCCAGGATGATCTCGATCTCCTGACCTTGTGATCAGCCCACCTCAGCCTCTCAAAGTGCTGGGATTACAGGCGTGAGCCACCGCGCCTGGCCCACATGTATTCTCTTATACACATACGGAAATGTGTAGTCTTCTTTATTTAAGATTCTGTTCTACATTTTGCTTTTTGTCACTTAATAAGACAGCATCAAGGTCTTCCTGCATCAGCACCCACGGGTCTTTCTCATACTACTTAATGCCTTTAGAGTAGTCTACCATATGGTAGCACTATCATTTATTTAATATGACCCCTACTGAGGGACTCTTTGCTTCCAATATTGTTTGTTCGTTTATTTTTCTACTATAACCAGTGCTGTAGTGACTATAATGAATATTCCTGTACCTATATTTACAGAGCAGGTTGCTAGCAGTGGGATTCTTGGGTTGAATGGGATGCATTTGATAAATATTGCCAAATTGCCTTCCCCAAAATTGCACCATTTTGCCTTTCTACCAACAGTACAGGTGAATGCTGTACATCCTCAGCTGCACCGGGTTTTAATTTTTTCCAGTTTTGTAGTTGAAAAATGGCATATTATTCTTTTCAGCGTGAGTTCTTTAAGGATGGGTGTCCTTATTATTATCCACTAAAAATCTGTTTCTTGAGCAAACTATTTTCATTAACAGGCTATGAAATAAATGAAACAGAAAACAATGCAGTGTTCAGAGGGCGTCATCACCTTCAGACGGAGCTGTACCCCGTCAGACTACCCATTGGTGTTCTCAGGATTCCTGAACTTCTGCCCCAAATCCCTTAACTGATTGCTTACCTGGTGGGTTGGGCTGTACCAAGGTCACCTTTTTCTTCTTCCTTAGACTGAGCCAACCCTGCACAGCCAGATCTGTGAGTTCCTTGTCAACAAAGCAATTCAAATACAGGTCAAGAAAATGCTTGATGGAGATGGTACCAAAATACATTTCTGCATCGCCAAGGGGCTAGATGGTATCATGTCTTGAGTTTATTTATTTTTTGAAAACTTATCTGCTATATTTTTTCTGATTAAAAAAATACCTTTGATGTGAAATCAAAAAATACAGAAAAATACAAATAAGAAAGCACAAATTGTTTGCAGTCCTGCCATCCAGTGTCACACACTGGTGTATAGGTTTCTTGTCCTTTTAAACACACACCCACATGCACATACATACATTTACCAAAATCATTAGATATTCTTCCAGAGGGAGTATAACAGAGTGGTTAATAGTATGGACTCTTGAATCAGATAGCTTGGGTTTATATCTCAACTCTGCCACTTTCCAGCTGTGGGACTATGGGCAAGTCACTTTTATTCTCAAGACCTCAATTTTGTCATCCTTAAAGTGCGCGTAATAATAGCATCCACTTCATAGGCTTGCTGTGTCTGTCAATGCATTAATTACAAGTCAAACTGGCAAATGGGAAGAGCCATATAGGTTCTTACTTTTTTATTATTAAAGATTTCTTCCTCTTGTATGGATGTACCATTATTCAGACCCACTTCTGTTGAACATTTGATATTTTTCCAACTTTTTCCATCACAAATAACACTGCAACAGTCAATCTTGTATATAAAACTTTTCTAACTATGGAATGGCCATTTCTATGGAAAGAGAATCTGAGAATATGGCTAATTTCAAAGATTTCAATGTGCATTGCCAATTTTTCCATAAAAATTGTGATAACTTGTATAGGCAGTACTTAAAAGTACCTGTTATTTCCTTGTTCTTTCACCAAAAGTGGGTGTTATTATTTTAAAAAATCTATTAAGTCCCCTGTGCCCCACCCAAAAACATATGATTCAATAGACCTTTTTAAGAAAGAAAATAACTTAAAGGAAAAAAATAACTGGAAAATTATGGACATTGAGTTGAAGCTAAAACCAAGATATTTATGTGATAGACCTTCAAAAATGAAGACTTCTAAGGTTAACTTGAAGGACTCCCACTGCTAAGAGGCTAAGGTCTTGGTTCTAATATCATGAAGAACATAAAACACCCTCAATTTCTTTTTTTAGTTTTAATTTTAACTTCTGGGGTTTAGATTTGTTACATAGGTAAGCGTGTGCCATGGTGGTTTGCTGCACCTATCAACCCATCACCTAGATAGTCCATGAAAACCTTTAGTTTTTAGATTTTTCGGGGATTATGGAGAATACCTTTAAAATAAAAACAATGACACTAAACTGTAAACAGCTGATCCTGGTACATTAATAACTCTTGAACTTCACTACTCTCTGGGGGCATAACCTTGGCCAAGCCACATCCCCCATCCTCTTATGTGCAGGATTCTAGTGAAGGAAGGAGGCGGGGAGTCTCAGACTGGGCTCTCACGGATCCCTTCTGGCTGTAACATTTCACCAGCCTGTACTACCTGAGTTTACAAAAGAGATTAGCAGTGTACACTGCAACCCATTTTAAATCATGGCCTTTGACCAGTACATGTAATTGGAGACACTCTTCAAAGTGACAAAATGCATTAGCAGGTCTTGGCTCTGCTGGGGTCTCTGTTACGACCAGCTGTCAGCAGCAACTGCAGCAGCACTTGCTTCAGCAGGAAAGTCTATACTGTGTGGAACCACCCCAGTTTTTCATCTATGCCCTTTCTTCTCTGGGTCCAAGAAATCAAGTCTTCTCCTTCTTCTTCCAAATGAGAAAGTATTTGGGGGTGGGTGGGGGGGTGGGATGCAGGTACCAGCCATGTTCAAGACAGAGCACCTGACACAGAGAACAGGAGTAGAGGCTGATTCTAAAAGCTCCTGATGAGCAGCATCTCCCAGTGTATACGATATATGCATTCGTGAAGCCATAGTTTAATGTGGCATAGCTTGGTGTTTCCAAATGTGAATCTTGGAGCCAAACCTCTTTAATGTGAATTCTGATTCTGAACTTACTACTGTGATTTGAGCAAGTCACTTAAACCCTCTGTGCCTCAGTTTCTTGTAGACAAATCCATATTTAACTTGAATAACCTAGTTGACTGATTCTCATTCTCTTCATCTCACTGTAGTTTCAGTTAATAACTGGACATGCTGGATATTGCCTGTTAATACCCAGTATCATCTCGCTTTTCTAAAAGAGATCTCCGAAACTCAGGGGCTAGAAGCCTGGAAACTGCATTTCCCAGACTCCCTTGCCAGCAGAGATTCTGCCAAGGAGAGGCTCTTTGTTTGAGATTTCTGAGATAGAAGAGCAGAAGAAAAATACCATTCTTTAGCAGCAGTTGTGTGGGCACAAGTGTGGCCTTCAACAGATAGTGGATATGGTTTTTGCCAGGGCTTTTGGACACCCTCCTATAGACATTGAAATATGTACTAGCTTTCTTGTGATTTCCACATTTCCACATTTTGTGAAAAACAACGATGCCTCTCTGACCTCTTTCCTCGGCCCTTTCAAGGGTTGTGTAAACCTCTGTTGCCCTATATTAAATACATTCCTGTTTAAAACATTAAAGAGGCTTTTGTTTCCTAACCTAACATTTGTGAATACATCATATATTCTCTAAGTAGTAAGTAGAAAGCACCCTAGGCTTAGAATTTAAATTCCTGGGTTTACAGCAATCCCATTATTGGGTAGATGCCCAAAGAAATATTAATTGTTCTACCATAAAGACACATAGACACATATGTTCATTGCAGCACTATTCACATAGCAAAGACATGGAATCAACCTAAATGCCCATCAGTGAAAAAATGTGGTACATATATACTGTGGAATACTACACAGCCATAAAAAGGAACAAGAATATGTCCTTTGCAGCAACATGGATGAAGCTGGAGGCCATTATCCTAAGCGAACTAACACAGAAACAGAAAACCAAATACCACGTGTTCTCACTTGTAAGTGGGGGCTAAACACTGAGAACACATGGACACAAAGAAAGGAACAACAAACACCAGGGACTACTGGAGGGTGGAGGGAGGGAGGAGGGGAGAATAAAAAAACTACCTATTGGGTATTATGCTTACTACCTGGATGACAAAATAATCTGTACACCAGACCCCTGTGACAACACGATGTACCTGTGTAACAGACCTGCACATGTACCCCGGACCTAAAATAAAAGTTAAATTATGCTTCTTTATAATTAGCTTAGATGTTTTTATATGAAATAAATGGTACTTGCATAATTTTTAAAAAACACAAAATAGATAAGTTCCTGGGTTTCAATTCCACCTTTGCTGCTGAAAATCCATGTGACCCTGGGAAAGCCATTTAGTTTTTTCATCTTCCAAAGAGGAATAATTATATCAATAATTACGTGTTTATAAAAAATATTTGTCCCGATTGCTTCACAAGATTAATTGCAAAGGCTAAAGGGGATTATGGATGCAAAAGTATGTGCTAAACTGTCCACATTTTTACGTGAAAAGGGAGTTACTATTTTGTCATCTTTCCAGAGTTTCTTTTTGAGAAAATGAATGCTCATGCTGCACATTAGAGAGTCTAGTAGACTCCTTCTCAGACCAATAGTTGATTGTGCAGAAACCTGGGGATGGATAACCTAGTTATGGACAACCTAGTTATCCATCCCCAGGAATTCAAGCCACTGTCGAATCCATATTCTGCTTGTATGACAATGGACTGTGATTCATACTAGTTATTCAGTTCTCCTTGGTTTTTGTTGTTGTTGTTTGTTTGTTTTTTTGAGACAGAGTCTTGCTGTGTTGCCTAGGCTGGCCTCAAACTCCTGGGCTCAAACTATCCTCCTGCCTCAGCCTCCCAAGTAGCTGAGACTATAATCATGAGCCACCACACGTGGCTCAATGCTCCTTATTTTTAACCAACTCTGAAGCCTCCTTGATGAAGCCAAGTGTATACCTCAGCTGCTCATTCTGGAATGGTCTGTTGAATTAGTAGAGAATATGTCCAAAGCCAAAAACAAAGTACAAAGCCAATGGGAAAGAAATCAATAATTACATGTTTATAATTTAAGATCTGTTTTGTTTGACACAGTGCCATTGTGGTACCAGCCCTGAACAATGTTTGCATTCTTTCTCCTCCTCATCCATGTATCTGAATGCTGCCACTTACGCTGTGGACATTCTGAGCCTTGGTTCCCTCATCTTTCATGGGTCACGTTGGCTCTGTAATTAAGTCCAAACTCCTTAGCCTGGCATAACTGTCCTCTCATGATCTGGCCCTTGCTGCTGTCTCTTCATATTTGTCTTTTCCTACTTTATGAGCTCACCCTCACCAATGCCCAAATATTTTATTAATAAGCCTCATCTGTGCTGAGTTACTTGCAGTTCCTCAAGTACACCAGGCTCTCTCATGAGCCTGGCCATTATACATGCTGTTCCCATGGCACAAATATTCTCCTTTTATTTTCTGTTTTGGAAATCCCTAATCATTCTTCAAATTCCGGGCCCAAAATATCTCCTGTGTGAATTTTTCCTGGAACCTTCCTTCTCCTTCTCCTGTGATCTCATTACACTGTGTAACTGAAATAATGTATGATAGACCATAAGGCATAGAAAACAGCACTGAAGATCAAAAGAAAAAAGTATTAGAACAAAATATGTAGGGTAGGAGGTTTGCTATACACAGGTACTTGAATCAAAGTACGGATGAGTCAAACTTGTCTGTAAATATAACTGTTTTTTAGATTCAGTTTCAATAATAATTTAAATAATAATGGGTGCTTTGGCTTTAATCATAATTTCCATATACTTTTTATTTGTACTCAATAATAATTTCAACACCAATTCAATTTCAACATATGAAGAGCTTCTTCTGTTAAGCTCCTAAAAATGATGTACCAGAAAAATTATACTCAATAATAAATTACTTCTTTAATTAAAAAACACAAGGTTTTAAGGGGAAAAAAGGTGCAAGTGCAACATCTGAGGTAGCGGCTGCTTTGATTGTAATAGAAAAGGATTCAAGGGTAAGGTTGGAGAGAGAGCACGAATTCACAGAATCATTTATAGGCAAGTGATTGCAGTAAGAAATGAAAGCAAGCAGTAACAAAAGGCCACAGATTCCATCAATGTGCTTACATTTATAAAAACAAGAGCTTGAAAATAGAGTCAATCATTAGGATGCTTTGTAATGAGAAGGGAGGTGACCATAACATCTCTTGCCGCACAGAGCGTCTCTGATTGTGTCACAGCAAGTCCTCAAAACAGCTGCTAAACTTACAGCAGAGCTACGTTCTTCTGTTTAAAAAGACAAGAGTTCCACATTTGATGACCTTTTCTGTGATGACAAGTTGCTATCAGGAGTATGCAACCTAGCAGATATTATTTGAAAAAAAAAAATCTACATTTAATCTGTTCTTTCAAGGTAGAGGTGACATTTTAACAACGCATGAGAGAGCAATTGCGTCTCAAAAGAAAGCCGTGCAATGCAGACAGCATTTGGAAAAATGGATGTTTGGAAATATTGCGATTGTTATGTGACTTTATTGCTGTAAATTATGTGTCTCTCTTATAAAAGTTTTCATATGTGTACACTCCAAAAACATGAAAATAATATTCTTCTGATCCTCTTTAAAATCCCCTAAAAGGAAAGTACCTGTCGAATTTTGAACCTGTTTGTTAAAAAATGTAAAAGTGCAGTATCTTTAATTATTTATCAGAAAAACTAAACAACTGATGGGCTGTTGGAAAATATCTGAGTAGAATGGGATCCAAGCAGAGGAAAATGAAAAAAAAAAAAAAAAAAAAACACGTCCTGCATTTTCCATACTACACCTCTATTAATACGGCCAAAAAGCTTACCAGTAATGCAGCCACTATACACAGTTGATGGCAAAGTTCCTCTAGGTCTCTACTCCACCAAATTTCAGCAATTCGTTTTTAAATTTAGGCAACTCGTGACGGACTCCTCTGTATAATGTAAAAATCTCCTGTCAATAAAGTCCATTTGTCTGTATTTACCATAGGGATTTGGGATTGCTTTGTGCAGTGTTTTCTGAAGCTGGTGAAGTTTCCAGTGGAATCTAGTGACAGCCTGTGAGAAGTGAAATCATCCTTATTTTAGAGCTTCCCCATAAAATTAGCAACTTTGCCATTTTTCTGTAGAGAGATTGATTTTTATGTTTCTCAAAAACAATTTAGAAAACATTTTTAAAACTATCGTTTCATCTGTAGCCTTCTTGTTTCTTATGAGGTAGAAAAGATGATTCTTGATGAAAGACATCTATTTGAATGGAGTCAGACTGTAATGCTCAGTAAAACTAGGGGTAATGTGCCTTGAATTTCTTCTTCAATTAATTTTTACCTTTTATCCATCTTGTGAATCAATTCTATGCCCATTCCAGGGCCTCCCAGACCATGCACCCCCAGCCCCCACAGCCTCTCCAGCCTCTCTGAGCCCGCCCCCTTCCACCATCACTCATGGACCCGCTGGCCGTCCTTCTTTTCTTGCACCGCATACTTATCCTGTCTCAGGGTCTTATCCTTGCTGTTTCCTCCTCCAGGAATGCTCTTCCCCCAGGTATTCAAGAGGCTAGCTGCTTCTCATTGAGAGCTGAACTAAAGTGCCACCTTTTCAGGGCCCTTTCTCAGCTCCTTTCCCTAATGCAGCACCACCCCAGCCATTCCCATCACATCGTCTTGTTCTACAGTCTCTTGGTCTTAGCCTGTGCATGTGTTTGTTAACTAGTTATGAGAGTAATATAACTATAACGTAAGTAATATAATAGAATGTAAGTGCTGTAAGAGTCCAGACCTTGTCTATTTAATTTACCACTGTACCCTGAATGCCCACAATACCATTTGGCATGTAGTAGCCAGTCAGTAAATGTTTATTAGATGCATAAAGAAACAATACTGCAAATGTCTCAGGCAGATAGATCCCTCTTCTTCAAATAGAACGGGGCGATGTAAGGAGTCGCAGATGTGTAAGGTCCATTTTAGGAGAATTGGGGAAGTAGTGCTCGTTAGATGGCCAGTGTACGCTGGTTCATCCTGATAGGTGTATCATCCTCCCCACAACCCATCAGTGTAGGTGAGATTGACTCCTTTGACCAGACAAGGAAGCGTAAGCTTAGCAAGTTAACACAGGTAGCACTGGAGCCACAGAGCTGACACCTGGCCAGGCTGTGCCTTGGGGTCAGTGTGTCGGAATCAGGACCTGTCTTCTTTCTCCTGCGGTTTTCTGAACAGCACAAAGATGCAGTTCCTGGGGGCCTCTGTCACCAAAATGCTAGGGTTCAAACGTCTTCTAATTATCCTCCACTGATCTTCTACTAATTAGATCTTCTACTAAATTTCTTCTAAATCTTGTAGATTTATTTTCTAAATCTTCCACTAAAATCTTCTATTTTTCTGTGACTTTAAACAAGGTATTGAATCTGTTAAGTTGGGATGATAATAGTACCTACCTTGCGGTTATTGTGACTAGTAAATGAGAGGATACACATTAAGCACCTAGAACAGAACCTGAACTGCTAGGTGTCTCAATAAATGTTGACTGTTGGCACTATGATCACTATCATCATTGCCATAAGTCTTATTGTTTCTGAAGCATTTCTCTCCCTTTCTTCCTTTAATAAATACTCTTCAGGATCCTACTAGGTGCCTGGCACTGTGCAAGGTGTCTGAGATAAAAGGACAAGCAGAGGACAATTTTAACTGAAGGTGATGTGTACAAAGTGCTACAGAAGCTTAAGAGATTGCTGAAAAGCTTTGTGGAGCAGTTGACATTTGAGTTAAGCCTTTAAGTTTGGAGTAGAATTCTTCAAGATGGAGAAGCCAGGGCAAAGGAAAGCATAAAGAAACTTCTGTCGGGACTAGGCTTTAGGATTGAGTCAAGATTTTCCATGGGAAAAACAAACTACAGTTTTTTTAAAAAAAGACACACACACACACAGACACTCACTGAGAGAGAAAGAATGGCAGATTGGAAGCTGAGTGCAAAATATGGCTAAATTCTACCTTTCAATCATATATTAAGTCTAGTTTCATGGAGGCAATATTCTTTGAGAGGAAATAACTTGGGTTTTGCTGTCAGACAGTCTGGAGGCAAAATGGCAACTAAGCTATGTGTCTTTAGACAAGTTTATTTACCTTTCTCATATCTAGGTACATTACTTGTTTAAAGAAAGATGGAAGGAAGGTAGATATTCTCATGTTATAGGATAGTTCTAAGAATTAAATGGAATAACCTATATAAAAATGTCTAATCAGGGCCTGGCAAATAGCGTATGTTCAATAAAATGTCTGCTTTCTTTCTTCCAAAATACAGCTGCACACATACTGACCATGCTGTCAACCTGAACCGAACATTGCCAGACTAGTCATTGTTTACACATTTAACAAAATTAAGAGAACACAACCACTTAACTCAGTTATCAGTTTAAATGAGAAGCAGGATTTTCTTTCCCAAAAATGAGAGCCCAGAGAAGTTGGGGCCTCTGGCACTGGTAGTTCATTGGTCGAATTTTTTATTTGGACATTTATTTAGTGCCTGCCAAGCAACAGAGACTTGGGCGATTGCTTGCTTTTATTATTCATTGATCCCTTACAACAAGCCTGAGGGTGGGAAGTCTCCCATTTTACAGATGAAGGCCACCTAAGCTTAGAGAAGTTAAGAAACCCACCCAGGGGGTTTCTGGCAAGTGATGACTCCAGGGCTGGCTCCAAGAGTTCTGTAATTCCAACTCTATCTGCTCATCCAGGATACCTCTTGTGATATCGTTTTTTTTTGTTTGTTTGTTTGTTTGTTTGTTTGTTTGTTTTTGAGATGGAGTCTCTCTCTGTCACCAGGTTGGAGTGCAGTGACGCAATCTCGGCTCACTGCAACCTCCACCTCCGGGTTCAAGTGATTCTCCTGACTCAGCCTCCTAAGTAGCTGGGACTACAGATGTGCACCACCACGCCCAGCCAATTTTTTTTTTTTTTGTATTTTTAGTAGAGACGGGGTTTCACCATATTGGCCAGGATGGTCCTGAAATCTTGACCTCGTGATCTGCCCGCCTCAGCCTCCCAAAGTGCTGAGATTACAGGTGTGGGACATCCTGCCTGGCCTCTTGTGATATCTTATGGTGGTAAAGTAATAGGACCCGAACAGCTATGAAGAGCAGAGCTAGGGCAACCTGGAAATGTCCATGTTTCTTATTTTTTCCATAACAGAACACTAGTCATTTTTGTCCATTTCTCTATCTGCCTTTGTCTCTCAGTGCTTCTTTTTCATTCTGTTTGTAGTCATGTGCATAACATTCCCTAACTACATTTTTTCTTCTTTTTCTCTACTCCAGGTAGAGAAACTGAGGCTCACAATCCTAGAGAGATAGTCCAAGCTGTATGTAGTATTTGACTTGGCTGGAATCCAAGGCTCCAGCCCCCCACCTTCCCATCTGTCACCCTCCTCTGCCTTCTCTCTCTGGTGTCAGACGCAGACCTTCTGCTTCCTTGCCTGCCAGTCTGACGCATTCTTCAGGCCCAGAACCATTTAGAAATAATTATTTTAAAAACAAATAAACTCTTCTTTCTGTGATCTTTACTTTCTGTTCATCCACACCAAGCTGTGGCTATTTTTACTCACCCTAGCTCCTGGCAGGTCTTTTTGGAAAGTCACCATGACATTTTGTGCTGCTTGGCCTGGCATTCATCTAGAATATTTTTTCGAAAACATCCTGCTCTGGAGAAATGTCAGTGTTTATGGTGCATCCAGAGGGATATATCAGCAGAAGAAAAGATCCACTTAAGTAAGTCCTAGCTTGACAAGGAGTGGGTTTGGAGGCAGACACACCCAGAAGTAGCAAAGCACAGTGAGGCATGCTGGAAAGAGATGGTGGTGAAGATCCATGTCTGTCGGGAGGTCACCTGGTGAAGGTTTGAAGAATCTGGAAAAAGGATGGATACACAGACTGAACAGTAGTTGGGTGCTCAAGCGAAAGCAGGGAGGCCGTCCCAATTAGTGATGTCCAGCTGGTACTGCACTTGGACAAGTCACGTTTTCTCCTTTTCTCTATTGGAGGCCTCCTCTTGTATCAGGTATGGGTAAGGATTCTAGGACAAACATACACAGTATCCTTCTTACTGATGCTGGAGAAGGAGCGTTGGAAGAAGAGTCTCAGGTTCTAGTGCTGGCTTTGCTGCCAAGTAGTTGTTTGATCAGCAGCAATTCACACTATCTCTTTTGGCTTAATTCACATTATCTCTTTTGAATAAAGTGGGGCACTGGATGGTCACTTCTAGGCCTTAAGTTCTTTGAGTCTAAGACAAATGAAGATGGTTGCTTATCATAGGGCTAAGCATTTGGGGTCTAACAAGTCAAAGGGAGGTCATTTTCACCAATCCAAGCATCCATCATACATCTGTTCACCTTCACTAAGAACATTCTATATGTCAAGAACTAAGCTAGCACTATGGAATTGATTTAACTAAATACCTATCTTCAAAGAATACATTGTGAAAAGGCACGATAGCCAGCATGACTCTCAGTGAGCACTGCCTCTGGCTAGTGACACCCTTGTGTGGATCCCTTCTTCCTTGTACCAGGATCAGTCTTGTTGATCAATAGAATACAACAGAAAAGGTGGTATGCCATTCTGAGGTTTTGTTATCAAAGACAATGTGGCCTCTCTGTCTATCTATCTATCTATCTATCTATCTATCTATCTATCTATCTATCATCTATTATCTATCTATTATCTGTCATCTATCTATCTATCTATCTATCTGTCTATCTATCTATCATGTATCTTTATCTCTCTTTCATCTCTTGCAGTAGAGGAAGTCAGCTTCATGTTGTAAAGATGTTCAGGCAGCCTATAAAGAGGACTACATTGAAAGCTGGTCTCCATCTAACAACCAGTGAAGAACTAAGGCCTTCCAACAACTACAGGAGTGAGCTTAGATAAGTATCCTTCCCCACTTGAGCCTTCAAATGACTGCAGCCCTAACCAACAGCCTAACTGTAACTTCCTGAAAGACCCTGAGCCAGAATCACCCACCTAAGCAGCTCCCATGAAAACTGTGAGCTGATAAGTTATTGTTTTAAGCTTCCACATCTTAGATTAATTTGCAACACAGAAATTGATAACTAATACAGAAGAGAGATTAAAACATGGACCTATAGAGTTGTCACACAAACTTTTTGAATATCCCTAAACATCAAAGACATAAATAAAAGGTCTGGTGTCCACTTTCAGGGAATACACAATTGAAATAAAAAGTGTTATAAAGAAATAAAATTGACAAATCTGCCATGTGAGTTTTAAGGAGAACAAGCTCATGGCCAGCTGGAGAGAGAGTGGGAAATCTACACTGCTTAGCTTGCAGACGCTTCATGAGTATCTTTGAACTGGATTCTGAAAGATGAAAGAGATTTGGAGGTGCAGGTGGAAAGGTATTCTGAATGTCAAGGTCCTTGTAAGCCAACCAACCAACCTCCTCTTAGATCAGGCATTGGTAGGAATTCCAGGGCAGGCATATACAGGGCCTTTCATGTTGGTGGTGGAAAAGGAGAATTGGAAGAAGATTCTGAGGTTCTAGTCCTGGCTTTGCTGCCAAGTGATTTTTTGATCATTAGCAACTCACATTATCTCTTTTGGCTTCTGTTTTTGCAGCTGTAGAATGCAGTGGGGCACTGGATGGTCACTTCTAGGCCTTAAGTTCTTTGTTAACTTAAGGAGCTTTGAATGAATAAAATTGGATGTATTCTTAAGAATGGCTGGTAATTTAATGTGGTTGGTAAGTATGGAAAAAAAAGGACTAGAACGTCGTGCAAAGATGTGAGTCCTTTTTCCTTTAAGCCATGGTTCTTAAGCTTTAATTATTCATTTACCACGTATGTTATTTTTTAATGCAAGTATACCATATATCATAATTTGGTTAATTATTAAATTTAGATTCACTAGCTTTTTTAAACATTAGTTTTGCCTTTGAGGACAATATTCATAAAACTATGAATCTGCTAGGCTATTTACATTTTTTCTAATAAACATAAAAGTGAACAGTCACTATTTAACGAAATGCGCTCTTCTGTGTACCACCTGAAATCCTTCAATAGTCCAGCAGTGGTACATCATGCTTTGGGAAACACCATTGATAACGGTGTCAGGGGAGGGGATGCCCTAATCGAAGCTGTGTTTGTGTGGAGTCAGCTGGAAGTCACCCTAGAGGCTCTCCTCTTCTTTAGCACTCCTGACATCCAATCAATTACCAAGTCCAGTAGATCCTGTCTCCTAAGTAACTCTTTATGCCCCTTGCTCTCACTCCCTCCTCAACTTCCTGGGCTTAAGTTCTCATCATTTGCAACATGCACCATTTCAGCGGCTTCCTGATTTCCAGCACTCAAACCTTGCCCTTCCTCTGCCCTATGAACACAATTCTGACCATGTGACTTCTTTGCTCAAAATCCTTTCCCCTCACCTTCAGAATAAAAACACACACTCCTTAGCTTTGTGCACTGGGCCCTTCAGACTTGAGACTGTGTACACCTGTCCAGTCTCACTTCTGGCCCTCATCCACCCCGCATCAACACATGCACAGGCACACTTCAGCCTCCAAGAACCCTGAAGGATTTGCACTTCCCTGAGCAAGACTGTTCTCACACATGTAACCTTGTGTCTTTGAAGGAAAAATGCTGTCATCCTGGAATGCCCTCCCTTCCTAGTCTGCCGGAACAAGCCTCCTCATCCTTAGGGGTTCAGCCATTCCAGATTCCAGATTTCTCTCTAGAGACACAGGCATGTCTTCCCTGGAGCAACCATTTCACTGGGTACAAATCTCTATCCTACCACTCTGTGTTATAAATGCCTCTTGATATCCCAAATCCAGTGCTAAAGTGTGAAGACAGAGTTTGGGTGCTTTATTTATTCCTTTATCTTTGATGCCCTGCACCCTGGTGCCACCCAATAAATGCTTCTCAAATAAATATGTGGCCTGCAGGCGTACAGAGGCAAGTCTATGGTTTGGCTAGAAGGGGAACTAAATTCCAGCTCCCTCCTGCTGCTGCTCCTGCCACTGATGAAAAGTGTCTTCCCAACAGGAAGAATGAATGAGCCTTGGGGCGGTGGTAGCAGGTGTGCTGAACTCTGGCTAGGTCTCCTCAACCCCTGAAGGTGAGGCCCTGCTCAAAGCTTCCTGATTCCTGTTAAGTTCAATGTTTTCTGACAGACACAAGCCAATTAGCTGTCTGCTGCTGGCGGCTGGTTTATTCAACATGGTTTGCTGTTTTGATTTGAAAACCTAATATTTTTCAGGGATTTGATTTGGTTCCACTGGGGAGCAGAGATAAGCTGTTCAGCCTCAGCCGCTGAGCTGGCTCTAATGGCCCTCATTCACTGCATACCCAGTATCCAGTGAGTTCTCAGGCTGTCTCCAGCTTGGATGTAAGAAGAGGCCTCCTCCGGGCATCTGTAGTCCCAGCTACTCGGGAGGCTGAGGCAGGAGAATGGCGTGAACCTGGGAGGCGGAGCTTGCAGTGAGCTGAGATTGTGCCACTGCACTCCAGCCTGGGGGACAGAGCGAGACTCTGTCTCAAAAAAATAAAAAAAGAAGAGGCCTCCTCCTGTGCTGTGTGTGGGCCTACACAGGTGGCTAGGACAACCCTGATTGGACCTCAAAGAAGCCAAAGGATGCCAATGTCCTCCCATTAGATCAGGGTGGTCCCGATGCCTGGGAGTCTGCCCAGCCCCTTCTATGGGGACCTAGTCTGATTCAGCTTCTGTTTCTTCCAAGTTCTTTCTGATTTGCTGTTGGAAAATCAGAAAGTAATTGATTTTCTGATATCTACCTGTCTGGTCTTTTTTTTTTTTTGTTGAGACAGGTTCTCACTCTGTCACCCAAGCTGGAGTACAGTGGTGTGACCATAGCTCATTGCAACCTCGACCTCCTTGGCTCAAGTGATCCTCCCTTCTCAGCCTCCTGAGTAGCTAGGACTACAGGTGCATGCCACCATGCCTGGCTAGTTTTTAAATTTTTTTTTTTGCAGAGATGAAGTCTCACTATGTTATCCAGGTTGGTCTTGAACTCTTGGCCTCAGTGATTCTCCTACCTTGACCTCCCAAGGTATGAGGGTTACAGGTGTGAGCCGCCTCGCCAACCCTATCTGGCTTTTTAAAAGCAGGGAACTCTGTTCCCTTTGTGTTTGTATCCCTGGCTGATAATAATAATTTGTCAGTGTTTAGCCTGTGTCCATGCCTGGTAAGTGTTAAGCACTGTCAACACTCTTCTGATACTTAATCCCCATAACAGCCCTCTGAGGTTGATACAATTATTACCTCCATCTAATAGAAGGAAAAACTTGAGTCAAAAGAGATTAAGGAATTTATCAATGCCAATGTTCACCTTCTAGCAAGAGACCAGTCTGGGTTTGAATTCCACTTTGCCTGATACCAAATCCCATGCTCTTAGCCCTGCACTGTGCCTGGCAGTATCTGTTGCACGTGGGAGCCCTCAGCACAGTGTTGGGAATACAGCATGGATGCGGCCGTTCTCCCCATCCAAAGTCCTCTCAGCTTTGGGTGAGGGCTGACCTCCGAGGAGTCACAGCTGCCTTCATCCAGACCCTCTGGATTAGGCCCTGTGTTGCCAACATCTGCCTGAACTACACTTGTATCTGCTATTCCTGTTTGACCCAGTACATAAGCCCTCCTGGTCCCCCTGGCTCCCATCCCAGAAACCAGCTTCTGTAGCCAGAGAATGCTCACCAGCCCTCCCCGTGGCTTCTTCCCTGCTCTCTGCCAGCTTTTCTTCCACTTTTCAGTTTGGTTAAGATCTGAAGTCTCCCATGATCCACTATTAAGGATGAATGATTAGGCTTCAAATTAGAAGGCACTTAGGAATTAATTGTCTGAAAGGGCTGACATTTCACTCCAGTTGGGAAGTTTTTAATCAATTCCCAGATCAATGCACAGCTCTCCTAATTGGAAGAATCTGACGGAAATCAGAGGGCTACTCAGTTTTTATAAAGTATCTATAAAAATAGATAGGTTAGGGAGCTAGTGTTGACCAAGTGACGTATGTTGGTTGCGTTAATACAAGTATTGTCTGTACAGTGAGGGAGGTGATTGGCTCTTGATTTGGTGAGTCCCAGGTTACATGGAGGAAGGTAGACAATATTTCCCTGGGAGAGCTGGGAAGGTTAAAGGATGCTAGAGGGAGGATACCATAGCCATGGCCCTATAGTGCTATCTCTTTGAACTGAAAAAAACTGGAATCAGTGCCTTACTTGAAAAGTGATAGAGGTGCTGCTCAGCAGCCCTGGGCAAACTTCCAGGGTAGCAAACCCAGTTCTGCCAGAAGCTCTGGCCTTCAGTAATATCCCAGGGAGAGAAGCGGTGACCCTGTAAGGCTGAAGAGCTAAGGATGATTATGCCAATGGAAATCCCTAAAGAGATTTTATGTTTCTCAGCTGCAGTACCATGAGGCTCAGCAAGACGAGGAAGGGGCTTGTTCAAGACTTGGGCATCCCTCTTGATACTTATTCATTGAAGGTCAAATGCAGGTTACATGTGACTCAGGTGCGGTTGCCCTGTTAAGCCCTTTATGGGACCAGGTCTCTCTAGGCCCACCAGCGGCCATCTCTCTACTTTTCACACAGTTGCCCCAGGGATGTTTCTGCAACTTGCATCTGATCACTTTTCTTCCCTACCCTCAATCCCTCTGTGGCTCCCAATCATCTGTAAGAACTTTGGGATCTCATTCCTGCAGTATCTTCAGCTTCTTCATCTATCAGTTCCTTCCTTCCCCATCTCACATAAGTTGGTCGCATGCTGACAGTTCCTGAAAAAGCCAGACTATGCCGCTTCTGTAGGTCCTGGTTCACATGGTTCCTTTTCTCTGAGTGCCCCTCTGCTCCTGTCTGTGCAGTGACCACCTACTCAGCTTTCACGAACCAGTCTGCACATGCCAACTCCATAAAGCCTTTCCTGCCCCTTTCCTGCCCCCTTTCCCTGTCCTCCCCGGAGAAAGGAAAGGACCTTGTGTGTGCCCCGTGGAGATGTCTGACTTGTACCCCCTAGTGCACTGATGTCCCCTTTAGGACCATGCCACTTAGCTCTCTATGACAAGCATGCTATGAAACACTGCAGCACAGTGCTCAAGGTCAAGGGTTCCAAATCCTAGCTCTGACACTCCCTGCTGTGTGGCCTTAACAATCTACTTAACCTTCTGAGCCTGTTTTCTCCTCTGTAATATGGAAAAGATAATAGTACTTCCCTTACTGGGTTATTGAAAGAATCAAATGTGAAAATTCAGGCAGTGTTCAGTCACACTGCCTGGTCTATGGTGTATGCTCAGTAAGCATTAGTTATTATTGTTTGTATTCTTGTCATCATCATCATAACTAGCATCATCATTTGTTGAGTTGAGATCTGGTCTGGCATTGAGTAGGTGCTATACACAAAAGTATAAAATTAAGGACTGACATGCAAAGTCCTATCTCACCAAAAGGGTGAGACCATTCTTTAAATTCTTATCTGCAAATTAATATTTGTTGAGTGACTAAATGGAAAAGTGTGGATAAAATGTGACTCTCAGATTGGAGTAAAGTTGGAGAATAAACCTGGGTAAGGAGCAAGTGGAAGGTTGTCCAATTTCTGTGGATGGGGCCCAAGAAGACACTGCCACATGGTGGTGGGAGGGAGTCAGAGGCCCTGAAGCCAGGCAACGTACAGGTCAAGCAATGCCAGCCCCTTGGGCTAAGGGAAGCAATTATTGGAGAGTCAGAAATCTGTACTTTGAGAACCTGCCTTTATGTGGCTGGTGTTTTCTGTAGTTATTTCGTTTGTGCTCCCCCTCAGTCTTAAGCGTGGCATGCTGCTTTTAGTGATTTTTTTTTTTTTTTTTGGAGGGAGAGTTTCTTTTTGATGCCAGCCCGTCTCAGCTATACTAAGGAGAAACAGAGAAAGTGACTGAACTGAAATGTAAATGGAGGGACTGCAGTCTCATGATGACATTATGGGCTTTGGAGAGAGACCTACCCATGTTTGATGTCTGCTGGTTCTGTGACGTTTTTGTATCTCAGTTTCCTCATCAGTAAAATGGGGATAAGAATAGTATCCACTGCAAAATGTTGCCGGGAAGATGGAATGCGATTGTGCCCACAGGGTGCTTAGCATTATGCCTGGCACATTGACAGAGAGGACAAAGACAGAAGTTAAAGGCATTGGGGGTGGTATAGCATCCATAGGTGGAAGGAAATGAAGGGGAAGGGGGAGTCAAAGTCTGAGAGTCCCAAAAGGCAAGTGAACTCTGGAGCACCTGAAAATCTCCTTCCAGGGTGGAATGTGTTCCCCTGGGAGGGCCCTTTGTTATATTCAAATAAAGAAGGTTATTGTCTGAGGGGGACTTGATCACCATTTTCAAATATTTGATAAGAAAGATAAGAGGGTATGGTGTAGGACAGATGACCTTTAGGTCTCTTCCAAGTCTGAGATTCTCTGATTCAAGAATGGGGAAGGGCCCAAAAGTGGTTGTATTATTGGTTCAAAGTAGGGCTGACTACACAGGTCTTGCAGAAAAGGAGGCAGCATGGCAGAAGTTATAAGTGAGGGCTTGAGGGACAGAACTGGGTTCAATTCCTGGTTCTGCCACTTATTAGCTGTGTGACCTGGGAAAATCAACTAACCTCTCTGAGTCTCAGTTTTCTCATCTGGAAGATGATAATATTTACCACAGAGGGTTTGTGATGATCAAATGATATAATGCACGGAAATCCCTTGGCTAGTATGTAGAACCTAGTAGTGATAGATTCATTGCATTTAAGAATGTCTAATGTTAGTGAAATAATTTACCTGCAATAATAATATGATACATCAAAACAACATAATAATAACGCTTAAGATTGTTGTTATTGATAAAGTAACACACAATTCTCTGTCACGGTTCAGATTAAACGTGGAGCTGTGGGATATGGAAGCCCTGCATGCCCCAGCACTCAGGACTGCCCAGTGCTGGGACAGTGTCCCTAGTCACATGTTTTGTAGGCCAGTCAGAAGATCGTACTCCACCCCTACCCCCAACCCTTGACCATGAGCCCCGAGAACCTGGAAGCTGCTTTTCCCAGTAAACTATGGAGTGTTTGGTGCACTCTTTGATTTTTATTTATTTATTTACTTATTGGTAGAGATGGGGGTCTTGCCATGTCACCCATGCTGATCCCAAACTCCTGGCCTCAAGTCCTCCTGCCTCAGGCTCCCAAAGTGCAAAGATTACAGATGTGAACCAGTGTACCTGGCCTGGTCCACCCTTTGAAACTCCCTCTGCACCTTTTCTGACTCTTCTTGACCAAGCTTGTCTCTAACCTTACAACAACAATGCCAGCAATAATAATAACAGCTGCTATTTATGTTGCATTTACTTTCTACTTGTAGATGACATTGTGCCAAGAGTTCTCTGTAAGTGCTCTAATTTAATCTTCAAATATAGTTGGGGTTCCAGGAGGTTTGATAACTTGAGCAGAAAGCCCTGGATTACAGCCTAGTTGAGGAAGAAGACCCAGAAGCTCTCTTACTTTTGCTCCCTGCTGGCTTCTCCTGTGTGGGTTCCAGCACAAAGCCTCCTCCCCTAGAAACATCAGGCTGAGTGAAGGCAACATGATTTTGCCTCAGTGCTGCCTTTCTTCTCCAAGGACTGGTGAGGGTCGGGTCTCCAGGGAGTCATCTGAGAGAGTGTTACCCTGATTCTCACTGGAGTGCATCAACCCAATGCCCATGAAGCCCAGGGGCTTGCCACAGCGCTCCTGACCTGTGCGAGGGTCCAAAAAGGCTCTTGTGTGAGCCATTCCCCACCTGTGGGGTGCAACAAGGACCAGGACACCTGCTTCTCTGGGCAGCCCTGACATCTGGACACAATGCAGAGGGCAGATCACGAGTGGACTCTGGGACATAGAAAGGTGAGATAGCAAGGAAGGACCGGTTAGAAAATAAACATCACAGCATTGACCCAATCCCAGTCCCTGCCACAAGCTTGGGTGCCCCAAACTTGGCCACAGGGAGCCTGTTTCTGCTGGGTCGAGGGGTTGCTGGAGTTGACATGCCCAGGGCCTCTCAGTTCATGTGCTCACCCCTTGCATTTCATGCAGCCTACGCCTGCCATGTCTGCCAATTAGCATAAGGCAGTATGTCCGGCAAAAAACAGGTGGGTGTTTCCTTCTCCCTATGCACAGGGATTGTGCCCAGAGCACATACCCATATCTCATTCTCTGTAGCAACAGCCACACCCATGCCCCAACCATTTAATAGCTTCTCAGCCTGTCCTATTCTAAGGCAGGAAAGGGTCGGTGGCAGTTCCAGCCTTATCCTCAGGGTCTGACACAATCGGGCTTTTACGAAAGGCATGTTTTACTGCCACCTGGGTCTAGCCTAGTGACCCTGAGACCCTGCCTCTTCATGACTCCTAAGCCCATCTTCTGTGCAAAGCCCCAGAGCTAGGGGCTTCCAGAGGCATTTCCTGCCTTATTCTTTGTGCCTTAATCTGTGTCCCAGGATCCTGCCCTTGCCCTCAGGTTCTCTGGGCTCCTACTAGTATTCCCCAAACCTGGTGGGTGCTGCTAGACCACAGCTTGAACTCCCAAACACCTGCAACAGGCCCCCAAGAGTTGGACTTCCCATTCACGTGGATTTTAGAGCTAAGCCTACTTCTGGATTTCCCATTGCTGGGCCCTATATGACTGTCACACTCTCTAGTTCCCTGAATATACTGCCCACATTCTGACAGTGCCATAGGGCTGTCATCTATGTCTGGGCTCCAGATTTCAGGATAATTGCTTCTGTCTGATAGATCAACCTCCCCCCTTCAGGTCTAACTAGTTTCTGATCCCATCCTCTCCTAGCCTGCCCTGTCCAGCTGCAGTGAACACAGTTGTTTCTGGCCCTATCCCAAGGTTTACCAGACCCTTCACCTAAGTTAGTAACAATAATTACTAGCTTGTTCATTCAAAAAAGCATTAACTACTTTCCTGCCACATGCTAGCCTATGAGGCTTGATACTGGATATTCAGAGAGAGAAAAACTTTTTTTTCTTTTTTTTTTTTTTTTTTTGAGACAGAGTCTCACTCTGTCGCCCAGGCTGGAGTGCAGTAGTGCGATCTTGGCTCACTGCAAGCTCCGCCTCCCGGGTTCACGCCATTCTCCTGCCTCAGCCTCCTGAGTAGCTGGGACTACAGGCGCCCAACACCACACCCGGCTAATTGTTTTCTTTCTTTCTTTCTTTCTTTCTTTTTTTTTTTTTTTTGTATTTTTAGTAGTGACGGGGTTTCGCCCTATTAGCCAGGATGGTCTCAATCTCCTGACCTCGTGATCCACCTGCCTCAGCCTCCTGAAGTGCTGGGATTACAGGCGTGAGCCACTGCGCCCGGACGAGAGAACTTTTATCATCCCTGTGCGATTGGAGCTTTGGTTTCGTGGAGGAGAGAGACAGTCAATAAACTGGCAAACAAAGAAATAGAGAATATACTTTGGCAAATAGTGATTATCTTGGGCAGAGGATTATGGGGAATTTCACACATTCCAAGTCACACATTTCTGTAATATTAGAAATTTTACAAGCATACACTGAGCAGGGAAAGAAGTAAATATTATAAACAAACAAAAGAATATTTGTCATCCAAGTCTAGGGCTTCATCTCCAACTCACTGTTTCTAAATCAAACGAGTACATGGTGAGGCCATTTATGGAGATGGAGAAGATTATAATGAAATTAGGTTGAACTAGATACAATTGCTGTATTTGTGGGTCAATAATGATAATAATAACGTAGCTAAGATTCAGTGAGCACTTGCTACGTCTCAGATACTATGCTAATTGCTGTGAACATATTGTTTCATTTAACACTACAGTCATTATTATCCTCTTTTCCAGAAACAGAAGTTTAGGTTAGGCAAATTACTCGACTATTATCTCACGGCTGTGAGGCATAGTAGCTGGGACTCTAACCAGGTCATTGTACTCTTAGGTTGGCTGGTCTATTTCCCTTAGAACTACTACCTGCATTAGGGGACATAAGCACATCATAGCAACACCAGTGAAAGCCCAAAGTGGGAGATAGCATTTAATCTTCTGCTCTGCAAGTGAATTGCTGGAGAATGTATTTTTAAACCCCTATGGGAATGCTGAGAATGCTTAAGAAAGACAGTTAAATAAACAGAGCGATGAGGAGGCAGGTGAATTTATTTTTAGCGTCTCTCTGTATAGAGAAGGCACCAGAGGCAGAGAACAAGAAATTGCCCTGCATATTAATGGGGAAGCTGAGAACTGACAACAGAGGAACTGGAAGCTTATGATTCTCCAGCCCTGCCTTCCTGGTAGGTCCCCATTGGAACAAAACCTCATCGCCATGATCTCTTACTGAAAGAGTCACATAAGGGTATGCTAAGGCACACACAAGGATGCTCACTGCAACTGCAAAACTTAGAAAACCATAGAAATGTTCATCATCAAAGGACTAGATAAACAGAATGGAGCCCATGCATACAAAGTAATAGTATGCAACCATTTCAATGACGGATACAATTTTATATTAATTGACATGGACTGATGCCCATGAAATGTTGTTTAGAGAAGCAAGCAAGTTGCAGAACAATATTGCATTATTTTGTTTTTGTAAAAATTAACAATGATGTGTATATGTGTGAATATATGTGGATATGTTATGTGCATATATACATATTAATACAGATTCAAAATGCTAGTATATGCAAATAAAACATACAGGGAAAGGTGTCAAAATATTAACGGGTCATGGTAGAGTTTCATGTTTTAAGTTGTGCATTTCTGAATGTTATAATATTTATAAGGATATCCTGAGTTTGACCATTAAAATACAACAAGATAATCTTATATATTCTTGCTTCTCCTGTCCTAATCAGCATGACGTGCCTTAGGGGGAAGAAGGCAGCCTTCAGTCCCTCTCATTATCCTACCATGTGTCAGGACATCTGGCCTCAAACCTCATTATTGGGCCACCTTGTTGTCCTGTAGAGAGCTAACAGGACCCGCCCTGGCTGGTTTGAGAGCTAGTATTCAGGTGGAAAGCTTGGGAAGATGCCTGGCCCTCCTTTTATCATCTCCATACGGCTGCCCTGATTTCTTTCTAAGAGTCCATATTTATGGGGCACATGTCTCTGGGCTGCTTTCCGCAGCTGAGAAGATATTAACTGAAATTTTCTCAATCATTCACTCTACTCCTTTCTAGGAAGCAAATAGTTCTGAAAGTCTTTATCTGGATATGCATACACACACAGCACTCAGACACACACCAATATGAGCTCAGACACTTGCATGGCAACACACCAAGTGACAAAGACAACCTACAACTACTCAAACTCCATGCTTACAAAGCTGCAGACACATGGCAGTAACACACAAGCATATGCATGCACACACACCCACACACACACACACACCACACACCTGTACAATTCTCTCCAGCTTTGAAAGAGAAAAAAGGGGAGGTGTACTCTAGACCCTCCAGCAGGCTGACCAAAGAAACTTCTGAACATGCAACACTTCTTTCTCCCCTTCCTCCTTCTTCTCCTCCCCTTGTTCCTCTTCCCTCTCTTCTTTCTCTTCCACTATTGTCCCTATGCAAGATGATTTTTTTCTAAGCTCCCTTAGAAAAAAAGCTAAGATTTTTTTCTAAGCTCAGAGGCTAAATGATGCAGCTAGAAGCAGAATCTGGACCACCAATTAAAAACTGCCTGAGGTAGCAAGGAGCAGGTTTTTCCTTGATTGTTTCTCCCTACCTGCCTGTACTGCTGCCTCTCCCAAAGCAGCAAGCTGGCCACTGAAGTGCCCTTTTCCAAAGAGCAGCTCGGCTCCTAGATCTGCATCTCCAGCTCCTGCTCCGATTCCTCTGGTTACTCTGGGCACCTCCAAGCTCCCCACCCTACCTTATGTCCACATACAAAGGATGGGTTTGGAGAGGGAGGAAAGAGGAACTAGAAAGGAGATTTTTAGCATCAGAAAGGAACTCATACTAAATACATTTTTGTTGGGGATGAATGGGAAGATTTTTTCTCACGTCTTTGTTCCCAAGTTTTGATGAAAATTTGTGCTGTAAGGGATCTTTCTGCTTCCCACTCCAGTGGCTATAAACAGCCACACATATACACCTTAAAACATCATCTTGAACACAATAAATATACACAATGCTATCTGTCAATTTAAAAGAAAGAAAGCAAATAAGGAAGGAAGGAAGGGCAAACCACATCCTTGTCAACATTGTAATTACCTGACTACCTGACTGGTACTTCCTGCCTGCTGCACAAATGAAACTAGTTCACTGAGCCCGTGGTATTACAGTAAAGAAAGAGTTTAATTGAAAGGAGGTCAGCCAGGTGGAAGAATTGTAGTTATCACTCAAATAAGTCTCCCCAGAGGCTGAGAGGTTAGGGTTTTTCAAGGATAGTTTGGCGGATGAGGGGCTAGGGAACGGGTGCTGCTGATTGGCTGGAGATGCAATCAAGGGGTATGGAAAATGGTTCTTGTGTACAGAGTCTGCCTCTGGGTGGGGGCCACAGGACTGGTTGAGTTATGAGTCAAAAGTCTAGATAGGCTCAGTCAGTTGCCAGAATTCAAAAGTCTGAAAAACATCTCAAAAGACAAATCTTAGGTTCTTATAATAATGATGTTATCTACAGGAGTAATTGGAGAAGTTACAAGTCTTGTGGCTTCCAGAACAGTCTGTCTATCATTTAACTATACCTATATATTAGCAGAATTCAGGTTCCCCTCATAATCCTAACCTGTGGTGTTTCATTAGTTTTACAAGGGTGATTTAGTTTTGGGAAGGGCTAGTCTCATCCTTGCTTTAAAGTTAAATTATAAGTTAAATTCCTCCCGTGATTAGCCTGGCCTCTGCCCAGGAATGAGCAAGGACAGTTAGCCTGTGAGGATAGAAGCAAGATGGAGTTAGCTATGCTAGATTTATCTCACTGTCATAATCTTTGCTAAGGCAGTTTCAACATCACCAAGAATGCTCTGATCGATGAGTGTTGTCTGCCGAGGATGTAACGCGGAGTAGAACCACATATGCACACCATTTGCATGAATGCATGCCTGCCTAGTTTGTACACACACACACACACACAAACATTTATTTGTCATTTATTGAGAGTATTATATCTTGGATACAATGTTGGGACCTAGGACCTGTGCTCCAGGAGTCATTGTTGAACAGAGAGATGGGTATAGCAGCTCCTGCCAGTGCCCCACCTCAAGAAGGCTGCTTAATGAGAGCTGCTGTGACTCTGCCTGAGAATTTTTTTTTCCTGGCAGCCCAAGCACATTTTATCCCTGAACAGAATAAGCCAAAACTACCAGAGGATTAGTATCCCTGGGCTGCCCTCAACCAAGGATGGATGGTGAGTTAGTGGGCACTTCCCGGCTTCCTTGTCCATCAGTTGCAAAACCTTCAAGGCCTATTTCCTGGAGTTCTCTGGCAGGACTGCACCCCAGTTGTCCTGGGTGGTCATGGGCCAGATAACACACCCTTTACTGAATTTTTCCCTTTTCTGCCTCCGTTCCCCAAAGCAAAGAATGAAGAGAGGTTGTCACCGGTGTCTAATGAGTGATATAAAGGTGAAGAGGAGATACCATGGGAGCTCACCATGGGGAGACCCAACCAGCCAAGCAGACCAAGGCCAAACTGGTGATGGGCAGGTGCAGAATGCCAGACGTGAGGCTTTTCCAAGGAGTCAATCTGCTTAAGAGACACAGAATGAAGCAATGTGTGTGGAAGCACTTGGTAAACTGGCTAGCTTTGTAGCATGTGGAAAATCATTATTGAGAAATGTGACCAGACAAAGAGATTTCATCCCCTCTCCTGGGTCTCTGCAATCAGGCAGTTTATCTTCTTAGCCACAGCTTCCCTTTCTGGGCCCTTTTCCAGAACACTCCATGGTCCATGTGAACTTTTTACTCTTTTTCTTCGTTCCAAATCTTCCCTGAGAAAAGTCTCTTATGTTTATCTTACACCCACTGTGGTGACTTCAGTCAAAGGTTCCCACTCTGGGGTCCCTGGGAGCCTGCTTCTTAGTGACCATGAAATTCTCAAAGAGGAACTGCCCCGAGGAGCTGCCTCCTTGGGAGTGGGGCAGGAGCTGTTAATCCTGTGACACAGGAAGTACACTGCACCCATGTTTCTTCCCAAAGGGGGACCCATTTTCAGCCCAAACACTAATCAGGAAGTGACTCTTCTCACCAAAAGGGGTGGCATAAAAATCTTCCCTTTGCCCCATACTAAGGGTGGGCAGAAAGCTCAGGTTAAGAAAAAAAAAAAAAAAAAGCGGAACAAAGCCCTCCATTGTTTAACAAATAGAGCCAGCGGCCAGTATTCGGCAGAACTTATTGGAGGGAATAAAAGCCTCCAAAAAACATCAATGGATAATGATTATTCTTAAAGTGCCCTTTGAGCAATTGCATTAGGAGAGATGGAAAATAGTCTGTAAATAGTAACAAGGGTCCTGATACAAGGAAGTGACTGTAACAGGGACAAGGATTACCAGTGTATGAATATTCCTGAACTCCCTCACCCCTGGGCTTCTAAGGGAGGAGGATTTCTGATCGCTGTGTCGGATCCTGGCCTCTTTCTTGAGGATAATTCGGGTAGGGGATGCAATGGAGAGAAGGCTAAGGAGGTTGGAGGGGTTTTTATCTACATAATAAAGATCTAAGAAAGAGGAAAGGCTGAAGTGAGGAGACAGGGAGAGGCGGGAAAGAGAGAGAGGAGAGAGAAAAGCTGCCATGGGGGCTGAGGGAGTTTTGGGGGTGCAAGATATCTAGAAAGAGAGTATTTAGAAGAGCAACAAGGGATGAGGGGATTTGAAAGAGATTTTCTTTGAATTAAGAATGCACACCCACCTTTGCATTTCGCCAAAAGACAAGTCACGAATCGAAACATGTTTAATCATTGTTTGCTTGCCAGACTTCATTTCTTTGCAAAAAAACCACAAAGCACCTCCTGATCCACCTGGATTAGACAGCCAATCTCACAGAGAGAGCACGGACTGTGAACGGCATAGGGTACACACAAGGACATACAGAGTCCAGAAGAAGAACTCAAACTAAGTTGGCACAGAGACTCTCTCAGCAGCTGCACTTTTAAGAGTTCTTATTCAGTTCTTACTGAAGAGAAACTGCAAGGGCCTCACAGGCCCTGTTGAGTAGCGTTCAGGGTTTACAGTAGAAATGCGTGTCAATGTTAGTTATTTAGGAACCTGCGTGTAGTTCCCATTCTGCGGTGTGGAGTCAGTCATTCTCAACAGATGCTTTAGTTATCTCTAGAGTCCCTCGTAGGTATTGCTGAGGCTGAGCCCTGCTGCCCCTGGCTGGCCTGCGAGAGTCAGGTTTCATCGGCTGAGAGCAGGAATCCCCATAAGCACCTCTCAGAGAATGTGGGACTCAGGAGGCATGTTTCATGGGGGCTGGCTACGCAAGACACTTGCACTTGAGTCCCTACCTTGGAAAAAGAAAAACTCTGTCCCTAGTAAAGGAATGGCAGCAACATAGACCCTATGGGAGAAGGGGTCTTCTTTAGGCCACGGAGTAACTTGCTGTGATGCTGAAGTTAGGCCTGGTTAGGGCTGGGCTGCCTATTTCTGCTACAGAGAAGGATGAACCTGCCTCTGTTCCTCTCTCCATGGAGACATCTGTTCCCTTGGGTGGCTTCCTGGATCCTTCATAGAATCTCCTTTCCTCTAGCCCCATTTTTCAGCCCAGCTTATAGACAGTTCTATTCCTTGCCCAGCACGTGGCTATAGACAGGGCTGAGAGAGGAAAGCTGAAGAGATTGAAAATGCAAACAAAACAAAACAGAAGAACCCACCTTCACTTCTTTACTGAACATCCGCACACAGCACACGCTCAGCATATACTATAAGCTCTGTTCTCCTTCTGCAGACATGTACACACCCCTGAGTAATAATGCTGTCTGTGTGTTCTCATGCATGGTGGTGCCCAAAAGGCCATAGGAATTTGACAGTTGAGGAAACTGAATCCAGGGAAGCTCAAGGACTCACTCAGAGCCACACAGCACCCAGAACTTGAACCAACATTCCAGACTCCTTGTCCACTGCTCTTCCTGTTCAGATCATGTATGGACACATGCAGTGGTGCAGAGTGTGCCTCACTTTATCATCCCAGAAGCCCCTCTTTTTGCAGCTGAATGGAATCACTCCAAAACATAGGAAGACCGAGGATACCCCTTGAAGATACCAAAACCTCACCTCCTTCTGGTTGCACTATGGAGCTGGACAGTGAGGGTTCTCTGTGGCAGGACAGTTTAAAGTCAGGCAGGGATGCCATTAGCACCAATTGCGTGGTCTGTACAAAAGGGACTGGAAAGAAATAGAATAAGTCTCAGTGCCTTCATCTGCATAATGGGCATATTAACAGGCTCTATCACCCAGGGCTGTGGAAAGGATTAAGTGAGATATAAAAAGATCATACATTTCTTTTTCTTAATTTTCCTATTTTTTATTTTTAGTTTTTAGGTATACATAGTAAGTGTATATATTTATAGGGAGAAGATCATACATTTCCTAGGACAGGACTAATACATTCAGCTGTGGCTATTATCAGAGAGCACCAAGACCTTAGGTAGGGCAACCAGACTGGCTATGGGGCTTGACATAAGCCAGGCCCATGGCCCATAAACTATTTCAGGTAGGAAGTAAGCAATACTATAACTCGCACTCTAGGGGGAGCAAAAGGACACCCCCCCCCCCCCCACACACAATGGTTATGGCTGCACACCTGGTCTCAATACAGTGAAACTTGGGACTTGCTGCCAAGCTCCACCAGGCAAGGGGCAGAGGACACTGAGTCTCCCCAGACTGAGTCAGGAGCAGCTCAGGAGCTGACACTGGCCTGAGTTTGCAGCAAAGGGCCCTTGAGTACCAGGCTAGGCAGCTCTGGAGAAGGCGGAAGTGGAGAAAGTTCCAAAGTCAATTCCACTCTGACACACTGTTTGTGATGTTCCACAGTCAGCACAATGCCTGCCCCTTGTAAGGGTTGCAAAAATACTTGTTGAATGAATGAATCAATCAGTGATACAGACCAAGGTCAAATCAGAACCCCAAACCCTAAAGACTTTATACTCTCACTGTCCGTCCATCAACCTTCTATCCTGTCAGAAGTCAGGATATCCCTTGCAAGACCCTTTGCTGTCCTTTCAGTTATCTTTTGAATAGAGGCTCTGAGCCTTGCAAGTATTGCCTGGGAAATATCAACTCCCTCAATTAATTATATGGTGCTATCTGACCAGGACCTTATTTTGGTATAATGTGAACCTGAGACAGGAGCACCTCCTAGTTGCATCTTTGAAATGCCAAGCACCTTCATTCATGCTTAGCCCTGGATTGTGGGGAGACCTGCAAACCTTGTCAGAGCATGGCTTCCCAAGGGCCAGGTCACAGGGCACTTTGCAGCCAGAACTCAGCCAGTACTGCCTGTGGCTAAGCACACTAATTTGTTGACCAGGGTGGGTGCCCTTGGCAGCTCCAACCACCACGTAGATACTCCAGTAAGTTTTTCTACTTCAAAGAATGGAGGTTTTCAAACTCTGTTGGCCATGACCCACAGTAGGAAATACATATTGCAGTGACCCAGCGCATTTATGCATACGATGTATTTTATCATTCTCACATGCTCATTTCCCCCCCCCCACATTTGAACATCTCTGAAATTTGGATATGTTTTACAAATTATGACATCTTGCCATTAATTGGCAGCATTTTTTTCTTTCTGGGTGATACATAAAATTTTGCATCTTCCAATAAATGATGACTGTGATTCAGTGAAATATGGCATATGTGTAACTTAAAAATACTTTTTATAAAAACTATCTTTGCTGCATGGTGCTCTATGACATTTTCTATGTGTTATTTTACTTCTTCTCCTTTCAATGCTGTTCACTGCTACCCATTTAGTCAACTTGCACCACCCTTTAGAGGGTCTTCAATTGTTATTTTCAACATATAGTCACAGGAACAGAGGATGGTGTTAGTGAACTCTGTGACTAAAGAGTTTTCCATAAATGGGTGGACCTGAGATTTACAAGCATTAAGTTATTGGGCCAGGAGGTGGAATAGATCATGATTAGGAGAGTCGAAAAGAAAGATGACAAATCACTTTAAGTCAGACAAACCTCTTTCTATACTAGCTCCCTTACTTACTAATCATATAACTGTGGATACATTTATAAAAATTATTAGTGTCTTAGTTTTCTCACCTGTAAAACACTGAACAGAGCTCCTGTCATTCAGAGCTGTTGTCAACAAGAGAGTTAGAGTGTAAAGCATTGACTTGGGGCCTGCATGTAGTAGGCACTCAATAAATGGTGGCAATCATGGCATTGGTGATAATGACGCTCAGTAATTAGTAGGTGTTATTATTAAAAGTTGCAAAAACGGCTAGTACCCAACATGACTTTAGCTGGTATAAAGATCTTATAATTATTTTTAAAGTCGCAAACTATTGTATTCATTTGATTGTATAGTTTCTTGCCATCACAACAAACACTCCTATTCATGTCTAATTCAATACTTGGTGAGTCCAAGAAAGCATTTGGGTCCCTACTGATGGGAGCACCATGGCCAAGTCACCCTCTTGGTCAGGTTCTCTTGCTTCTCGTTGTGTGTCTTATCTCACTGTAGGCTTTCAAACTATGGGCTCGGGCAAGCCTTTCCAGTGATCACATTAATCTTATATTTTATGTGTTAACGTGTGCCTCCAATAACTTGCTTTCCTTGCTCACCATGGTGATGCGTTTTTCCTGCTTTGTGTCCTCCCTCATTGATTATGATGGGCTGTTGACTATTTGAACCTGGTACTTCTACTTGATCAGCTCTACACAGTTTCACTCCTTTTCAATTTCAGTTTCTCTTTTATCAGTGTTCTCTGTCAATCCTTATAGGCCTAGATGTTCATTGTGGTTTCATCATCTATTTGATCTCTCCTGTGATGTTTCATTAGCATTTCTTCAATAGTTTCTCAGGGGTATTTGCCATGATTCAGCCATTGTACACTTCTTAAAACTTTCAAGCCTTTGAATAACTGAAGGAATGTCTCACAGAAACATAACCTTTCTTGATTACATGAATTAACCCTCAAAAATGCATCCGATTATCAGAAATACCTTAATGCATTGTATTGGGTTCAAAATGGATAAGGTATGTTTAGTATTACGTGATGAATAAATTCTAAGCTTAATTTAAAAAATGTTAAGTAAATGTCTAGAGATGCATACAATTCTAATAAATAGATATTTTCTACCTGTCTCCTGTCATTGTCAACATTTGTAAACTAACAGGCATGGTTTTCTTGTGAATACCAGATATTTGTGTGTTCATTGGCTTGATTGAATATGTGAAACATTCCTAGACTTCTTTAGCTCAGTATGTAGGAAGGTAGATGGGTAGATAAGAAAGGAGGAAGAACAGTAGGAAGATAAATATGTCGGTTGATAGATAGGTAATAAGGATAATTGCCATCATTATTATTTTGCTTGGTTTTTCATGATTAGCCACGTGAAACATTATTATAGTTTATTGCGCGTGTTCCTGGTCTCTTAGTTTGCAAAGAGCATTCACCTCATGATCTCCTAACTACTCAGTAATAGAGACAAAGTAAATATTCCCATTTGACAGAGGAGGACATAGAAGTCCAGAGAGGTGAGCTCCATGAGCAAAACGTTAGATGCAGTAATGTAATGCCGTAAATAAATGGCAAATCTGGAGATGAATCCCTGGGCTCCTAATTCAGTGCTCCTTCTACAATACTAGGTAGGCAGAGATGACAAGAAAAAATGTTGGAAGTAGCAATGGGTACTCCTTTCCCCATTCCTTCTGTGAAGGGCTTTGGTTTCATTTAAAAAGTAGAACACTCTAAAAAACTTGGCTCAAGACTTTTTGGCTCTCATAAAGCAACATTAAAACAAAATGGCCCCAGGTCATAAAGATTGCATTGTACTGAGAAATGACCTCGCACAGTGGTCAACCTCAGTCCCAGACAAGCTTGCAAAGCAGAAAATCTTATTTTCCACTTTTCCTGACCAGCTTTTCTGGAGCCCTGAGCTCTCTTTCTTATGAATGGGGACACTGAGCTAAGAACTGAGATTTCCTGATGCCTAGATAGGATCTTTACTCCTTACCCATATTTTTGACACCTGGTATCTGACCTTTGCAGGCCAAAGGGCCAGTTTCTGTTGAGTTCTGATAAAGTCAGTCCACAAGTGCTATTTGCTGGTCATCTCATCTGTGACTATCTTCTGCTGGGCATTGGTTCCACCTTATTCTAATCTCTGATTGTCAAAATACAACTCAGTCCTTGCAGGGATAGTGGAAATGCCAATGAATTGGGCAATTTTATAGTGTGTCTAGTACATGCCATAACTTCTTAACATGTAATTTTAATTCTCACAACAAACTTATGAGGTTGTTGCTATCATTCCACTTTATAGACAGGAAGATGGAGGCTTAAAAAGGCTAAGCAAACTCATCAGTGGTGAACAGCTGGTGCACAGTAGAGCTGGGATCCAAATGCACAACTGCCTGATCTCAAAGCACTAATTTTTACACTCTGTCATTAGCACCTGAATACTTTTGTTTTCAAATCCCCAGCTCACCGGGGGTTTGGACCCCAAATTTTAAAGAAACACTGTCACCCAACTCAATTCTTCTGACCATGAACAAACATCCCAAGCAGTATGAGAAATTTTAGCAGCCATGGTGCAGAGCTCTCTGAAGCCTGATATAGATTAGGAACAGAAAGAAGATTAGATGTGTGTATATTATGGATTGTGGGCATAAGACTTGGATAAGGAAAAGATTGCATTGTACTGAGAAATAACCTTATTTGAGGGAAGGAAGAGATGTTCCACTGATTGGCCAGATCCCAAGATGCTAGCATGGGAGTGAAGGTGGGCTTGGAAGGGGAAAAGAAGGAATCCACAGCCCTCTTTCTGCCCTGGGTGGTATAAGAAAGTTGAAGGAATTAGGGGAAGACGAGTGTGCTCTTGGGGATCACATCCCTTGGAGGGAGAAGAGAGACTTAGAGACAGTGAGTCCCCTTCTACTTCTGTATTTTGTATAGAACAGACACTTCTACACCTTAGTTTCTTTGAATTCCAGGTATTGGAAACAGAAATAACAAAAACATGTACATTTTACTACTTCAGTTCTACTGAAAATCAGATTCCTTGACAAGCTGGGATGGGGCTGTCGGTGAGGGATCATCCCTGTAATATCAACTTCTGGGTGCAGAGTAGCTACAGAGGGATGCAAGGGGCAAAAAGAGTCTAGGTGTTCTTGTAATTATCAACCAATAGTGGAAATGGCAGAGTGACAGAGTAAAGTAGGGAGGAAGGGGAGAAGTGGCCAGCAGGCACAGTGCTGGGGGAGCTGACAGTGAATGGCGCAGGGGGCAGAGCTGGGGGAGAGCGGTGGAGGAGTCTGAGAAGGCTCCTTGTGAACATATTTTGAGCTTTGGAAGATGAGGTAGGTGGGACGCACAGGAAGGAGAGGGACAGCTTTCCCACCAGGGAACCTTGTTTGGAGAAGTTACTGAAGTTGATGCCCACAGCCCTGTACTGTTGTTTGGCCAGAGTGGAGGACTGTCTTGAATGGTGTATGAAAATGAGGTGAAAGATGCCATGGAAAGCACCTGCCTGGGGTGGCTACAACATCTTGCTGCCTCTGTTTATCAATCTGTCAAATTGGAGAAATAATCCGTTTTATAGAAATGTCAGGAGGATTAAAAGTGGTAGCGTATGTCAAGGATCCAGCCCACTCCTTGGCATAAAATAGATGCCCTGTGAACTGTCACTTCTTACTCATTAGAAAGGGAAGATGATGGGTCCTTGGGGCCTCTTTCATATACATTTAAATGGTTGTTGAAAGGGATCCTGGAGCCCCTCTTGGATACAATAGAATGCCTCCATTGCACCACACCCCAAGACGCAGGAGAGAACTCTGCTGGGCACACTGTAGGGCACCAGCTTGTCTTCTTCCTGCTGTAGCTTGCAGTAGGGAGGTCTGGGACCTGATAATGAGGGGCAGACCAGCAGGGCTGAGACCCCAGGTTACCCACTCTGATGGCCTCTGCCCTGCTGCTTGTGTGTGTTCACCCATGAGTGTGTGTGCCTGTGCACATGTGTATATCTGTGCTCATGTGTATAAATGTGTATCCTTCTCAGTAACTCTAAAGCCTAGAGAATGACAGACAGAGGATGGGCAAAATGAAAGCCAAAGATAATTGTCATTGATCTATCTACTTAATGGCCTGAAAATGCCCAATTAGAGCAGGGTGCATGGCTGGCTGCTGAGCCAGAGGGCTGAGGGAATTCTCTGGGCTACTGCTCATAGTGCACTGCTTTTATTGAGGTGCCCTGTGGATAGCCAAGGCTTTCTTACTCCTGCCTCCCTGGGAGAAGGGTCCTGGATTCCAGACACCAGGGAGGTATGACATGCCACCCCCATACCTGTCACCAGTAATCTAATAGTGGCTTCCTGGCTTCATCTCTGGGCTTGGCATGTGAGGACGGTCCCCATCATGAATCACAAGATGTATTTCTTAACTGTCTTCCTTTCCTTTTTGCCTCTGAACTGTGAGCTGAAGATGAGGTGAATGTAGTATTATCAAGATGAACAGAGTCCAGTGGAGCCTGGGGAGGGAGGCTCCATCTGGTGGCAGCCACATGTAATTCTGAGGGACCACACTTAAGAACTAAATGCACTGTGGCTTGCTTCCCAGCTCTGGAAGGTGTGGGATGTTAGGCAGCTCACTTGGTCTCTCTGAGCAGAGGCAGCAAGCATTACGATGATATCTAACAATTTCTGGTCCTTTCCAGTGCACTGTCCTGGCTAGAGCCACTAACACCCCCTGCCTGGGTTATTAAAAGATGAGCACTTCGCATGTTGTTCACTGCAGTATCCCCACTGCCTTAAACAATGACTGCTATATAGGAAGGACTTAGTAACAATATATTGAATAAATAAGTAGAAGACAAGATGACTGCCTGGGGCCTCAAATCTGCAAACGCCTTATGTGGGCAAGGATCTTTCTAAGACAGGGTCATCTAGAAACCACAGTGAACACCTTCTACATGCGCAGCCTGCATTGTGAAACTCTAGGGTCTCTATTTGTGTCAAATACAATGGGGGCTGTGCCTCTGAGGTTGCAATGTGGGGGACTAGCCAGACCTAAGAAGAATGAAGAACTCTCAGTCTTTGCACTTGAGCTTATTGTTGATTCATCCACATAACTGTGGTCTATAAAACTATTCAACTCACATGTACAATTTTAGGAAAAGTCATGTTTGAATGATTTTCATCTTTAGAAACTATAAAACTGTATTGTTAAAAAATATTCTGAGAACCCATTTATGATGTTAAAACTTCAGAAAAATAGAAATAGAGGGGCTGTTCTTAACTTGATAGAGTGCATCTCCAAAATACTTGTAGCTAAAATACTCGATGCTGAAAGACCGAATACCTTCCCCCTAAGATGTGGAAGTAAAGATATCCACTCTCACCACTCATTCAACATCGTTCTGTAAGTTCTAGCCAGTGCAACAAGGCCAGAAAAGAAAATAAAAGGCATACATGTCAGAAAGGAAGAAATTAAACTAACCCTATTTGAAATTACGTGATTGTCTACATATAAAGTACCAAAGAATCCACAACAAAACCGTCTACAACTAATAAGTGAATTCGGCAAGGTTGCAAGACAAGATCAATATACAAAAATCAACTGTATTTCTATATACTAACAATAAACACATGGGCATTGAAATGCAGAATAAAATATTTACAATTGCTCAAAAAATAAAATAATTACAATCTAAATATGTACAGGACTGACTTGTATGTTCAAAACTACACATGCTGATGAGAGAAATCAAAGATCTGAAAAATGGAGAGACATACCATGTTCACGGATTGAAAAACTCGACATATCAACTCTTCCCAAATTGACATACAGGTTTAATGCAATTTCTATGAAAATCCTAGTATTTTTTTAGGAATAGATAAGATTATTCTAATATGTGTATGAAAAGGCAAAGTAACTAGAGTTGCTGAAATTATTTTGAAAAAGAGGATCAAGTGGTAGCAATCAGTCTTCTGAATTTCAGGACATTACACAGCTACATTAATCAAAACTGTGCAGTATTGGTGGAGGAATAGACACACATATTAAAGAAACAGAACAAAGAACCAAGAAATTGACCCACACAAATATGTCCAACAGATTTTTGACAGAATTGCAGAAGCAATTCAGTAAAGGAAGGTAAATTTTGAACAAATGATGCTGGAGCAAGTGGATATCCATAGGCCAAAAGATGAACCTCAACCTAAGCCTTACTTTAACTATTAACTCAAAGTGGATCAGAGACTTTTGTATAAATGGTAAAACTATGAAACGTAGAAAAAATATAGATAAATTATTTCAGACTTGACACTGAAAGTGTGGTCCGTAAAGAAAAAATTGATAAATTGAATTTCATCAAAATTAAAAACTTTTGCTATTTGAAAGACTCTCTTAAGAGGGTAAAAAGACAAGGTACAAAATGAGAGGAAATACTTTCAAATTACATATTGGACAAAGTATTAGTATTTGGAATATATAAAGAACTCTCAAAACTCCATAGTGAAAAACAATATAATTAGAAAATGAACAAAAGTTATAAAGAGACATTTCACTGAAGAGAATATACAGATGGCAAATAAGCACATGAAAAATGCTCGACATCATTAGCTATTAGGAAAATGCAAATTAAAACCACAATGAGTGATCACTATCCCTCTATCAGAATGAATAAAATAAAAAAGAGTGAGAACTCCAAATGCTGACGAGGATGGGAGAAACTGGATCACTCAGACATTACTGGCGAGCATGTAAAATGACACAGCTACCCTGGAAAGTTGCAATTTCTTAAAAAACTAAACACACGACTACCATATGACCCAGCAATTGCACCTCTGGGCATTTATCCCAGAGAAATGAAGACTTATGTTCACACAAAAATCAGTATGCAAATGTTGATAGCAGCTTTATTCGTAATAGCGAAAACCTGAAACAACTCAGATGTCCTAGAATGGATGGTTAAACAAATTGTGGTATCTCCATATTATAAAATACTTCCTGGCAATAAGAAAGAACAAACTATTGATGTACAAACAACCTGGATGAATTGCCTGAGATTTATGCTGAGTGGAAAAAAAAAGAAACAGTCTCAAAAGGTTACATGCTGTATGATTCCATTCATATAACATTCTTGAAATGATAGTTACAAAAAAGCAGAACAGATTAGTGGCTCCCAAGAGTTTAGCAGGGACTGAGGAGTGGAAGGAAAGGGGCTGTGGCTATAAAAGGGTAACATGAAGGATCCTTGTGGTGATAGAGGTATTCTACCTTTTGACTGTGTCAATGCCAATGTCCAGGATGTGATATTGTACTATAGTTTTGCAAGATGTTACCATTAGGGTGAACTAGGTAAAAGGCATACAGGATCTCTCTGCATTATCTCTTATTATTTCTTATAGCTGCATGTAAATCTAAAAGTATTTTAAGATAGAAAGTTTAATTTTAAAATTAAAGAAGAACAAAAACTACACATGTGACAAAATTTTGTAGAAACACACACACACACACACACGAGTGCCTGCTAAACCGGTGAGATCTGAGTAAAGTCTATAATCTAGCTAATTGTATTGGTCTGGTTAAGTGTATTGTGCCACTGTCGATTTCCTGGTTTTGATCATTTGTTATGTTATGAAAAGTGTTGAGAGAAGCTGGGTGAGTGATAAGTACGTAGAACTTTTCGTATTAATTCTGCAACGTCTTGTGAGTCTATAATTATTTCAAAATAAAAAAAGTCTTTAAAAAGAACCGAGAACAAAAAAGAAACCATTTATTATGGAGCCAAATGTAAAATTCCAACACTGACAGTTCTGTTAGAACTGTCGCCACTCGTCTGGATGTGCATTCGCAAGCTGCCCTGCGAGTGCTGTCAATTGCAAATTCAGTCAATTAGGACTCAGCATCAGGCAGCTGGAATGACACTTCCTCTAGTGAAGCCTCAGAGAGCTTACTTATGCCACTCATTTCAGATGGAGAGCAAGGGTTTGAATTTGCCCCCTCTAGAGCCCATGCTCGCACTTCTGCACCGTATGGCAAGGTTGAGTCAGGCAGAGCTTGTCCTCAAGAAGCCCGCAGTCTGCTGTGGAGAGAGGTGGGCAGTAAAACACATGCTCCAGCTGTAGCCATGTCCCTGTCTGGACCAGTTAACTCAATTCAGTTTCAACTTGCAGACAGCTCCTTCAAGCCAATCAGACATCAGAGAAATAAAAAGGATGTGACAAAAGAGAGTGAGGTGGAGAACACAGTCTCCCTCTCCTGGACAAACTGCTCTGGGAAAGTTTGCACTTGGAGGTAGATGGGGATGAAGCCAACACATCATCCCGCTGTGGTGTGGCAGGAATCCCAGAAAGGAGTGTGTGCATGTGCATGCGTGTGTGTGTGAGTGCTGCTGTAACAGAAGGGCCTCATCTGTCTGCCCATCTGTGAAATGGGGAGGCTGCCAAAATTCCTCTTCCCTTGGGTTCTAACAGACTCCCAGCAAGAATGGAAAATAAGATATTGGGGCTGATATTTAGGTCCTTGGACAATAGGATCAGGACCTAGGGATGTGAAGAGCAACAGAGGCTGCTCTCAGCCTTTCTGTAAGTGCCCCAGGTGGGCAGGAGACTAATCCAAAACAGGAGAGACAGGAGGTCTAATTGCTTTTTGCTGGACTCTGCCTGGAGACTCTGATTGAATAGGCCTAGGACACTGGAATGTCCTCAGACCCATCTCAAGCTCTTGTGCAAGAGGCATTAATAGTAGCCAACATGCATTGAGTAGCAGTTATGTGCCAGGTATGTTTTTAAGCACTTTATATACATGATCTTATTCAATCCTCGCAATAACTCTGTGGGCAGGTTCCAGTATTACCTCTGATTTATAGTTGAGGAAGTTGAGGTGCAGACTGTCCAATTTTCCTGCATAAAGTCACACGTTAGTGGCAGAGCTGAGATTGTAATTTCCAGCTCCAGAACTCATGCTTTTAATCACAACTGTAGAATCCCTCCTTCTGCTATTTGCTTTCCTGCTGGGCTAGCCTGAGAAAGCCGGGGCCAGTCACCCCTCAACTCCGTTGCTGATCCAAGTTGCAATACAGATGGGAGGAGACCGTTCTTCCTGTCTCAGGGAAGCTGCCGCCTTGGCAGTGAGAGGAATGCAGCATTTATGCAGTTTGCATGTGTGCCTCTGTTTCACAAATTCTCCAGTGCACACCAACAGCACTGCCAGTGACTGATGAAGAAATATGGTTTAGACCACCAGAAACCTAAAGGACCAAATTCCAGGGGATGAGAAACACACTTGGCCTGGTAAAGCTGAAAGGCATAGGGGTTGGTATCAAGAGATTTGGAATCCAATTCCAATTCTGCCATTTCCTGGCAAATGATCTTGGCATGCTTTTACTCTCTTTATGCCTTAGCTACATGTTCTAAAAAAGATAATAATATATTTGACCCTCAAGGGTGTTATAAAGATAAAGTGCTGGACTACAAAAGGCTTTACACGCTAAGCTTTATTCGAATGGCTGGAACCATTGTCGTGATTTCCAGGGTAAAGGAAACTGGAGATCCAGATAGCGGAGAAGAGCTTGCTGGCCTTCTTCCCTGTTCTCTATTGGCAAAGGGGCTGCCTTTAGATTTCTGCTCTGACACCACGTAATCAGTGAGGCCTCCCTAACTATGGCATTTACAATAGCATCATCCCACCCTGGCACCTCTCCTATCTCCTTTCTGTCCTTCAGTATTTATCATCATTTGACCACACTGTTTTTTGGGGATGATTACATAAAACAATGTATAACACATCTAAAAATTTTAGGAGCTCAGCACATATTATTTACTGGGGTAGAGGGAACTCTTTCTCCATGCAATTTAAAAATGCTCAACTGGTGTAGTCTCCTGGAATGAGTATTTTGCCCTCAGCCTCACAGAACAGAAGCTAGGTCAATTACACCTTCTTGTCTGCCTGGCTCCAGGCCAGTCAATGATCTCCCATCTCAGGCATTTGGTATTGTTCTTTTGTTAGTTTCTAAAGTTCCAGTTTCCCAGAAGCTTAAGGAAGCAATGGATTGCTTTGGCCACCTTCCTGGTCTTTTAATTAGGAAGTATTTGCTTCATTTCAGAACTTGTGATATAGAAGAAGAAACATGGAATCTGGAACCCCCCAGAGCTGAGATCAGGACTTAGTTCTACCACTTATGATCTGTAAATATTGTTATTATTACTTAAAAATGTGATAACTAAGGGATATATATTTCCTGATATATGCAGGCATTGTACAGGACAATCTGTGTACATAATCTCATTTGTTCCTTTAAACAACCCAGAAAGGCAAACATTATATTCTTTTTGCAGATGAGGAGACTGAAGTTTAGAAAGTGAAAAAGTTGGAGCTGATCTCAGGTCCATCAAAATCCATGGATGCAGTTCTTTCTACTATATTTAACATACTCAGTGAACCTCATTTTTCTCATCTACAAAATGGATCTATCAATATTTGTCTCATAGAGGTACTGTAATGATAAAGTAAGGTGCTGTCTGGCTAGAACAAGGTACTTAGTAGGAGCTGGAGCTGTGCAGAATCTCTCTTCCTTCCCCCAATCCCTGAAGGAAAGTGAGCATATCAAAAGAGCTCACTAGAGCTTTTAGTTGAGAGCACAGAGGTCAAGAGGAGACCAATAATTTGCAGAAGCAGAAGTGAAGATCAACATTTTTCCTCTTTAACAGAAACTCTGAGCAGCTGTTTCTCCCCTAAGCACATCTGAACTGGATAAGGATTGACCAGGAGGCCTTTGTAGCTCTGTGCTTGGCTTCTTGGCTCTGAGCCTTAATCAATAACCTACTCCTGATCTGTAAGACATAAAATCTCAAGGAGTGACACACTTTCCTTCTTCAAAATAGTTCTTGGAATTCCCATGGTCTAGCAATGTGATGTCAGATGATGAGATAGGCCTGGGAGGCAAAGGCAACATTATTTATAGACACCATTGTGTATAACATCTTTGTATCTCTTAGAGTCTTGAAGCCAATGTGCTTGGCACAATTAGCTGGCTTTGATTTGGGACCCAGAGCTCTCAGACTAAAACTACTCCCAAGTTTACTAGAAATAAGTCCACACTAAATGAAGTACAATTCAGAAGAAGTAGGGAATGTGGTAAAACAGGCCACTAAGAAGCTCTACAGGATGCTAAGCCAGCCATAGAATGAGTTTTTCTTGGTCAAAAAGAAGATGGCTTGGCTGGCACCATGGCTCATGCCTATAAATCCTGGCACTTTGGAAGGCTGAGGTGGGAGGTTCGCTTGAGACCAGGAGTTTGAGATCAGCCTGGGCAACAGAATGAGACCCATCTCTATAACAAATAAAACAACAAAAAAAGAAGACCTCCTAAGTCTTGAAAAAGCAGTCTTGGACAGTGTCTTGACTGGCTCTTCTCTCAATCCCCCACTAGATCCACCACACCCCATACACTGGGACAAGTGGTAGCCCTTTTAGAATAGTTTTCTGGCTCCTTACTGATTCCACCTTCATCACAGTGTTGTCAAAGAACCAGACAGACCTGGTGCCTCGGGAAAGCCCTTCTGCTCTACAGACCTCAATTAAGCCTACCTGTAAAACTGGAATAATTTCGTTGCCTTGGAGATTACTGTGAGAGTTAGGTCTCTAAAGCACCTGGCACAATGCCTTGCACATGGTCATTGCTTCCTGTTTCTCCTCCAGTTTTCCCCACCAGTTTCTCAATTCCTAATGCCAGAAATCCCAGAAGTCTGTCTGGGCTATTGCTCTGATTCAGATTCATCCACCTTCCTAGATGTTGAAGAATGGTCTGCCCACTGCATTCCTTCTAGCTGCCATTGCAATTAATCTGTGCCAATTTCCTACCCACCCCTGCTCCAAACACTGACACTGCAATCTCTGATTTGCTCTTGGGCTTCACAGTCTTGCTTGTCTATCTTGGGCTAACAACTCCATCTGAACATTCTTGAATTGCTTGACTGTTCCAGGAGGCCCTGTCCCTTAATTACCCTGTCTAATCCATCCTGTTCAGATCTGAGTTTGACTCTGCAAGGCTGCACCTCTATTTTGGGAATGATTACTGCTATGATGGTTGATTCTATTTTTCTATTTTTCATGTCCAATAAATAGAGTAATGATGAACCATGATGCAATAAATTGAATATTGAGTGTTCTTTCTATTCAGTCCCCATGTAGAAAAAAATCTTAATGAGTTCTCTATATCTATCATGAAGAGAGAGAAGTTTTCTTCCTTTTAAGCTTCTCAAGTTGGGTTGGAGATTTAACTCAGTGATCTCATTCCTGTTTCAGAAGTGTTAACACTTCTGAGTTTTGGGGGGATAGTATTATTATATATGTTTTCTCTTGTTTGCTTTTAGAGGCAGCATGGCATAGTGGAAGTAGAAAGGGCCCTTAGGATATCTGTAACATTTACCCCAGAAGAGCCAGTCATGAGAGTCTTCCCTAGAAACTAAACCTGAGAGGGAAGGAGAAAGAAGAAAAAAGGCTTTATGCTCAGAGAAGCTCATAATCATATTATGGGATTATAGCAAAAAAACAAACAAACCAGAAATGACTTAAATCTTCAACAATAAGATAAAGGTTAAGTAAAGAACATATAATCTCCAAAAAGAGAGAGAGAGAGGAAGGAGGGAGAGAGAAAGAGAATCAGATTGACACCAGACTTTTTATAAATGACATGAAGACCATGTTAATGGAAATAAGGTAATAGGCTCAATTCTTACATTAAAGCATCAGCTTCTTGGCTTGCTTGTATCTCTAAGTATGTCCTTGTCCCCCAACATTGCAAATGGCCTAAGACCAACACGTTCCTATTTCTGGAACAGAACTCAAAGCATGTCTGCCAGGGTCCCCCTCAGCAAGTCTGAAGTATGCCCACTGCACTTAGTGGGTATCTCCAAACCTGCCTGAAAACCTCTGCTCTGAGGCTTTCCATATGCTGCTCTCTCCATCAGGAATATGCTCTCTATTCCTTCTTCAAGTCTCATTTTAGAGGTCTTTTCCTCCAGGAAGGCCTCCTGGAACCTCCAAGCCTGTGTCTTGTGTTCCCCCTCTGTGTTTTCATAACACCCCATGTTCCCCTATGGTGGGTCTTTATCCCCTCCTGAGTTATAATCATCTGTTTACTTACTTGTTTCTCTAACAAGCTTATTTTCCATGGGGCCAAAACCCTAGACAAATTCTCTTTTCAATAACCCCGAGTGTTGCTGAAATCAAAAGGCTATGAAGAAGCAGAAGTCTTGTGAAGGTGTTGTTGGGAAAGAGAATTGTTCAGATATGGGTAAGCCACTGAAAAGTGTCTTGATGGTTCATCTGAACATGGGCTGAGAACCTGAAGCAGATACAGAAAGCAAGATGACCATGCTGGAACAATGAGGACAGGGAGGATGGGCAGAGTGGCTAGGGAGAAGGAGGTCTTGGATGAACATCTGAGATAGAAAATGCCCCTCTGGCGGCTCATGTGTGCTCTCCTGATCACATGCTCTGACATGGCAGGCCCCAGCCCATTCTCCTTACGAACGACACTTGCTGGGAATCCCTACTGGGCACACACAACCCAGTCTACAAGATAGAGTGGTCCAAACCCCCCATCCTGGGCTGTGGTGCTTGGAAGATGCAACACACCGACTGGCTACGCTGCAGTTACTGCATCTTTCTGGCTGGCTGGCAAGCAAACTTCCCACTGCCTTTCTCCCCAGGCCTGACCCCATTATGACAATGGAGCCATTGTTCTGAACAGGGGCCATGAGGCAGCTGGGACTGGCCGACCCTATGCTGGCTCCTCACATCTCAGAAGTCAAGCCCTCAGACAGATCAAGGAAAGTGATAAAATTCAGTGGGAAGCAGGACAGAGTATTGGGGGTCCTGAGCCAGCTTCTTCCTCTCAGTTCTGTATCGTGATGGGAATGAATAATCACCCCAATTACAGAGCAACCTGAAGGAGACAAAATCACTTAACTAAATGAGGTGCTTGGGGAATGGAAGGTGGGAGCAGTCTGCAACGATTTTGGCAGAAACTTCTGGGCCAGCTCCCCCGAAAGCTTATATGAAAACAAGCAATATGATTATCAGAGCTCCAAGTCAGCTGCCTCAGACACCTTTGGCAGTTTCTAAAAAAAAAAAAAAAAAAAAAAGTCTGCTGCATAATTGTCATCTCCAGGATGTTTAGAAAAGGGAACACTGGATTAAACTTAGTTGGAATCCAACAGCGATCTAATAAAGGCATGATCAGAATATAGGGAGGTGTGCTCAAGTTAATTAGAGCCTGGGGGAAGTGTGGGCTTGGCTGTCTTCTTCCAACAACTCCTCAGGGATATAATTAGCTCCTACTACTTGGGACACATGCCCTCTGCCTACTACAATAAGCCAGTCCAGAGAAGCAAACCATGACAAAGACTTTGGGCTGAAGGCTTGCCTAGCCCTCACCTGAGGCCTCACCTGAGCCTGCTATTCCATCTCATACATGCTGCTCAGAGCCTGGGCTTCCATCTGGGCTCAGTCCAATTTGCTACTCCTTAGAAGTGGCCTGAGCCCAGAGCACAGTGAAAAGCAAGACAAGACAACTAAATCTGATACTAAACCAGAGAGGGACAGAGGCCCCTGCACTCATCAGAAGGCCGGATGATCTTGAGTGAGCCAGGAAGCGAAGCATAGGAATCCAAATTCCTTTTGGCCAATGGGGAAAGTTTGTGCAGTCCTCCTTCAGGAGGTGTTAGTGTGTGGTTTAAAAAAAGCCTTTCAGACATTGATTCTGTCCATTTTCTGTTACTGCACCTAAGGCAGCAGTTTGCTCTGGAATGGGAGAGCAGGCATGTGTCTTGGTCTCTTGGGGCTCCTCATACTGGGTAGTTTGTAAACAACAGAAATTTAGTGCTCACAGTTCTACAGGCTGGAAAGTCCAAGACCAGGGCACTGGCAGATTCTGTGTCTGGTGAGGGCCTGTTGCTCGTAGATGGTGACTTCTTGTTGTGTCTGCACACGGTGGAAGGGGCAAAAGGGCTCCCTCAAGTGCCTTTATAAGTGCATGCATCCCATTCACCTCCCAATCCTCTCCTAAAGGCCCCACCTTGGCTGGAGCTGCGGCTCACACCTGTAATCCCAGTGCTTTGGGAGGCTGAGGTGGACGGATCTTTTGAGGCCAGTAGTTTGAGACCAGCCTGGCCAACACAGTGAAAACCCACCTCTACCAAAAATATATTTTTTTAAAATTAGCCAGCCATGGTAGTTGGCACCTGTAATCCTAGCTACTCGGGAGGCTGAGGCAAGAGAATTGCTTGAACCTGGGAGGCGGAGGTTGCAGTGAGCTGAGATCGCGCCACTGCACTCCAACCTGGGCAACAGAGTGAGACTCTTGTCTCAAAAATAAAAATAAAATAATTTTTTAAAAAAGCCCTACCTCTTAATCCCATCACAATAGGGAATAGATTTCAACGTGAATTTCGGAGGAACGCACACACTCAGACCACAGCAGCACGCAGGGCGGAGGGTCCTAGTGTGGACACCAGGAAGACTGTGGCTGGCCACTCAGCCGGGGAATATTCCTGTCTTGTCTCTCACCTCTGCAGTTCCTTGAAGCATATCATTACATTACGGTTGCTTTGCCTGACTCGAGATCCTCAAACCCAACCCCTCCACTCCAGTTCCTTCTTAGTACAGTCCTGAGCCACTTAACAATGACAGGTATATGTTCTGAGAAATCTGTCATTAGGCGACTTTATCATTGTGCAGACATCAGAGAGTGTGCTTACAAAGCCTCCGTGGTACAGCCGACCACACGCCCAGGCTATGTGGGAGAACCTATTGCTCCTAGGCCACAAACCTGTACATTATGCGACTGTCCTCAATACTGTAGGCAATTGTAACACAATGGTAAGGGTTTGTGTATCTGAACAAAGAAAAGATACAGTAAAGATATAGCATAAATGATTAAAAATGATACACCTGGCGGGGCGCGGTGGCTCACGCCTGTAATCCCAGCTCTTTGGGAGGCCGAGGCAGGCAGATCACTAGGTCAAGAGATGGAGACCATCCTGGCCAACATGGTGAAACCCCATCTCTACTAAAAAAATACAAAAAATTAGCCGGGCGAGGTGGCAGGCGCCTGTAGTCCCAGCTACTGGGGAGGCTGAGGCAGGAGAATGGCGTGAACCCAGGAGGCGAAGCTTGCAGTGAGCCGAGATCGCGCCACTGCACTCCAGCCTGGGTGACAGAGCGAGACTCTGTCTCAAATAAATAAATAAATAAATAAATAAATAAATAAATAAATAAATAAAATAAAAATAAAAATAAATAGCTGGGCGTGTTGGCGCACGCCTATAGTCCCAGCTACTCAGGAGGCTGAGGCAGGAGGATTGCTTGAACCCGGGAGGAGGAGGTTGCAGTGATCCAAGATCGTGCCACTGCACTCCAGCCTGGCGACAGAGTGAGACTCTGTCGCAAAAAACAAAACGAAACAAAAATGATACACCCCTATAGGGCACTTAGCATGATTGGATCTCGCAGGACTAGAAGCTGCTCTGGTTGAGTCAGTGAGTGAGTGATGAGTGAATGTGAAGGCCTAGGACATTCCTGTACACTCTTGTAGACTCTATAAACACTGTCCACTTATGCTACATCAAATTTACAAAAAACTATTTTTCTTTCTTCAACAATAAATTAACCTTAGCTTATTGTAATGTTTTGGCTTTCTAAACTTTTTAATTAAAAAAAAATGACTCTTGTAGTAGCACTTAGCTTAAAACACAAACACATTGTACAGCTGTAGGAAAATATTTTCTTTATATTCTTATTCTATAAGCTTTTTTCTGTTTTTAAAATTATTTATTATTTTTACTTTTTAAGGATTTTTGTTAAAAATGGTGTACAATTAACTTTCTTTTTTAATAAGTAGGAGTACACTCTAAAATAATGATGAAAAGCATAGTATAATAAATACATAAACCAGTAGCACAGTCATTTATTAAATATTATTTACTGTACATAATTGTATGTGCTGTGCTTTTACCTGACTGGCAGCATGGTAGGTTTGTTTACACCAGCATCGTCACAAACATGTGTGTCCCGTGCTGCGCTATGATACCACATCAGTAGGTGACAAGGATTTTTCACCTCTGTTAGACTCTTACGGAACCACTGTCGTTAATGCGGTCCATCATGGACTGAAACGTCGTTATGCGGCCCATGACTGTATTCCTGAACTTTGCCCTCCCACTGCACCCACACGTTGAGAGCTGCACGGCACTTCTCAGCCCACAAGCCCACTTTCCATGCACCAAGCCCACCCCACCTTACACTTGGCCCCTGGCTCCTTAACCTTGAGCTCAGCCTCCATCTTAAGGTTTCACCAAGCTGCCCTTCACTATCCGGTCTGTTGGAGATTTTCCAGCTAGACTCTGCTAGCCACGCTCTGACTCTGTTTGACCCAGCTCCCGGGGAGAAGCCAAGCCGACTCCCTTCCACTCCCTCTGCCCCCGCTGCTGTCTTACACAGCCGTACCTTCCTTTCCTTTGCCCCCTCTCTTGGCTGGTGCTGAGCCACATTTAGCACCAGCCTCCAAGAGCAAGCACCCTGTGCTAACTTGGGCTCGTGTCTCGCAAGCTACCACCCTGATCTTAGAAACCCGAAGCTCAGAAAATAGTTCCTATCTTATGTGCGTTATACTCTTCAAGAAGGTAGTTCGTTTTGCATCGTGGAAGGAGCACTAAACTAGGAGTTTAAAGACTTGGATCCACCCTTGATTGCCTCGCTTGGGGCTGCCCCATTGCACAATAACGAGGGCCATCATCTTTGTAGAATAAATAGAAACAGAGCACCCTGAAGTTGTGTAACCAACTGGGTTCCCCTGGCCAAGTCTAGTGGCATGGCCTTGGGCAAGACATTGAATGATTCTGGACCTCGGTTTCCCTATCTTATTCCTAGCCAAGTGTCCTTCCTTCAGAACCTCAAGTTTAGGCAGGGGAGAGTAGTTGGGAAATGATACCTGAGCTTTGCCTTATGCTCTGCTAGCATGGAGAAGTGGAAACTGATTTGGAGAAATAGTTTGAAGGCTGGGAATGAAAACTTGTTTGCAACCTAGTCATGCTGTTTGATTGATTTTCCATGTGGCATAAAGTCCTGGAGATATTCTGAATGAAAGTCAGGCCTTTCTTGACTGTCCCAGTACACTTGTGGGAACTGAGGAGAGGGCTCTGGCAGAAAACTGACTGGCGGCAGAAATAAAACCACCATAGAACTTACCTTGGTATCTATTCATCCGCTGTAACCCACAGGTCCCTGCCTGGTTAGACTTTACTTCGCTCTGTCCCCCTCTACTCATCCCTACTTTCCTTCTCCCAGCAACACCCTTGGGAGGGAAGAATGAGACCATTCTTGCTCACTTCTTCCTTAAGAAATAATACTTCCTACTATGCATTATGTCAGAGCAAGGATCTTCTATGTATATCGTTTAATCCTCACCAGAAAATTTGGCAAGGTGAAAATCATTATTACTCTCATCTTAAAAGTGAGAAAATTGAGGCTCAGAGAAGCTAAGCCACTTGCCTCAAGCCACACAGCAGTTAGGTAGCCGAAGCTCAGTTTTCTTATCTGTAAAGTAGAGATGAAGTGCTTCCTACCTCATAGGATTGTTGTGATAATTAAATGAAGGGTGTGTTATGAATTTAGAGCAGGGTCTGATAAAAGTAACCTCTACTCAAGCCAGGCATGGTGGCTCACGCTTGTAATTTCAGCACTTTGGGAGACCGAGGTGGACAGATCACTTGAGGTCAGGAGTTTGAGACCAGCCTGGCCAACAAAGTGAAACCCCATCTCCACTAAAAATACAAAAATTAGCCAGGTGTGGTGGGGGGGGCACCTGTAATCCCAGCTACTCAGGAGACTGAGGCAGGAGAATTGCTTGAACCTGGGAGGCGGAGGTTGCAGTGAGCCGAGATCATGCCACTGTACTCCAGCCTGGGTGACAAAGCAAGACTCTGTCTCAAAAATAAATAAATAAATAAATAAATAAATAAATAAATAAATAAATAAGTAAAATAAAAAATGAAGTAAGTTCTACTCACTTTTAGTACTGTTTCCTCCCTCCCTCCCTCCCTCCTTCCCTCCCTTCCTTCCTTCCTTCTTTCTTCCTACTTGTCTTTTTCTTTTCTTCCCAGAATTTAAGGGTAATTACAAGAATATGTAAGATAAAATGAGAAACATTTAAGTAACTTTCTTAAGGTCACGTACCAGCAAGCAGGTCACAAATATAAGAGTTATAAAGTTAAAGAAATCCAATATTTTTCAAAAGGGTTCGTATTCAACCCGGGTAGTAGTGAAATGTAAAGGGGAAGACCTGCCAATTGTGGCCTTTTTGCTGACTCTTGTTAGGTGACACCAGGCAACAGGTCTCCACACGCACTCGCATGCGCCTGCACGCACACACACTGACGGAGAACTCAATGCACGAGAGACATCAGTCACTCAGGTTCACGATCTCATTTCATCTTCAAAATAACTCAGCAAGGTAAGTATATTTCCCCCATTTGGCAAATGAGAAAATTGAGGCTTTGTGAGCTTACCCAAGCTTTCCAGGTTCACGCAGCAGGTAATGGGGGAATGTGAGTCAAATCCGGGTTTGTCTGATTCCAAAATCCTTGCCCTTTTGCCTACACAATGTTGCCTCCCTCTAAGATCATAAATATTTCTCAGTGTAAATAGTAGTTTCTCAGTATGAGCTTTGTAAATGGCTCTCAGTGGATCCTAAAATGTTTACCTAGAGTGAAGAAGTGTGTTTTGCTCATTGAATGTAACTGAGGCTAATGCCGTCGTTTTTTTTTTTTCTTCTTCTCCAATCTTCACAGAAGTATATGCGTGCTAAAGTGTGCTTATAGAGTCTTCCTTTTAGACCTTACGTGTAAGGTGGCAGTAATTAAATGCAGGTTAAAAGACAATTTGTATTTCATTTTGAAAGTCTTCCCTGTGCCTCGAGGTTCGTGGCAGGGCTGAGTTGAACTGTATGTAAGTACCATGTGGTAGGGGAACTAATTTATAATTTAATGCAGCAGTGGGGGTATGGGGACACAGACTGTAATTTTAAAACAAGGGAAAGACTTGCCAACGGATAGCAGGTTTGAGTTTTTATCAGCAACTGTGATTGCTGTCAATGGATCTGTGCCCTTCCCTGCACACTCCACTGCCTGCTCTCATTATTAATCTCTCATGTCTTCCAAATGTTCTCAGCTGAATCCCAGTGTGCTCAGGGCAGCCCTCCTCAGAGTCCCTCAGGCCCTACCTACCGCCAGCTGCCCCAAACCTGTCCTCACCCAGGGCTGTGTGAATTCTTTGCTTTTACTGTTGCTTTTCCCTGACCTTTCAGCCTGTCTTCATCCTGGGGTATTTTCCAAGCACCTCCTTTGAAATGCGTCCTATAAAATTCTCCATGTCTAAGAGGGGTCAAGGTTTATCTGATGCTATCATCTACCTCACTTTCTGCACACTTACGACGTCAGCCTTGGTGCAGTTGCCCTGATAGACTCCGCCTCCTCTGACCTTAGGGCCCTTACACATGTTGCTTGCTTCCTGTATCTAGACATCTCTTCCCTGACTTTTCACCTGGGAAAGTATGTTTTGTCTTTGGATCTCAGCTCAATTGGCCTTCTCAAGGAAGTGGTCTCTGGCCAGCCAGTCAAAGTGAAAGCCTTCTAGTCTGTGCTTTCCTCTCAGCAGCCTGGGTTTTTCTTCATTGCATGCCTCACAACTGATACTGAAACATTCATTCGTGTGATTCCTTGGCTTATATCAATATGCCCCACTCTGCAGTTTGGTAGTTTCCAAAGTGGAGTATACAAGATGATCCAATGAGAGCTGAGAAGATAAAATGAGAATTCCCATTGACATTACTCTGATCTAAAAATGTAAAATTAAGCCTCACATATTTCATATACACATTGACACTAGTGCCTCCACTTGGCCCACTGTCAGGCAGCCAAGTGTCACATATGGTCCCCGAGCATCCAGAGAAGAGTGGGAAAAAGTCCAAGAAATGGACAGTTGATAGAGCAGAGCTCCCCCCTCTTCTTTAACTTGCAGATACATTGTGATGGACTCAGTTCACGTGTTCCCAGCAAAGAGGATTTTTACAATATATTGTTGAGTTTTAGTTAAATCAACCCTTACAAAATAGACAAGTGGCTTCAAAAGATTCCCGCAAGAAACCGTGAGCTGAAAATGATGTGAGCAATGCAAGCACAACAGTCTTCCTGGTGCTATCTCACCATCAGCCAGATTTCTAGGCTAAAAACCACCCTCATCTAATCAGGTCCAAAAAGAAAAAGCCCAAAAAGCTGCAATTGTTAAAGTGACTCTTTGAAATATCCAAGCATATAATATCATTCATGATGTTTTGTCAATAAAAATTTTATTTTTTTTTTTAAGACAAAGAAACAAGAGGCTCAGAAAGGTGAAATGAGTTACCCAAGGTCACACGATTCCTCAATTTCTGGGCTCAGACCGTGAAGGCAGGGCTTAAGCATTTTAAGGAGATACTGTTTATTTCCTCTCTTCCTCATTGTTTGAAAGTTTCCATTTTGTGCATTTTTTATTATTCTCACAAACTATTGGAAATGTGGTCCATATATACAATTTATGCATAAATGCATATACATATTTCGAGGTGTACTCAAAAGTATGTACTGATGGGGGTGTCGAATTCCAATTCTGTAGACAATGGCACCGTGATGTAAAGCCACAGAGACCAAAGACCATAACATTTTACTTATCGTTGGCACAGAGGGTAGGGTAGGAATGGCGTACCCATGTCGAGGGTTGGCATTTAGGTTCTTCAGGGCAGTTGTTTCTACTTGAAACTATAGGACATATTGAGGCCAGATCTTGAACAAATTAACAATCTTTTAAGAAAAGACAAGGTTTCAATGCAAAGCAAATGTGGCTGCCAACGCTCTTGATTCAGACATTGCAGTTAGAAAATCATCTTTTGTTGCTTAAGTGTGCTCTCAGAATCTCTCTTCCCAATCCACATTGGAACAGATAATCCAAGTATATTTTCCAAGCAAGTTCAGTGGTCTTTCCACAGAAGAATTCTGGTGAATAAGATTTTCTCCATCTAATTGCTCAATGAAGGGAGGAGGCAGAATTAAATATTCAGAGGTCTCGAGGGGAGGTTGGGAGAGGGAGTATCTCCCTGTGGCTGCATTCTCCAAATTGACTTTTGCTTCTCTCTCCAGAGACTGTTTGGGCCTCACCACCTCAGCAAAACCTTCCCTAAGTGCCCAGGCTGGGTTAGGGGCCCCTTCTCTGTGCGTGCGACTATGTATTTCTTGGGAAATACATAGGATTACATACAGTAACATATATTTACATACAGTGTGAGCTCCTGGACTTCTTTTCCATGTCTCTGGCACCCGACGTGAGAATGGATGTCTGGTGGATGTTTCATAAATGTCAGAACCATCTTGTCATTTGCCCATTTTCCCCCCACATAACCAGATTGTTCTTTCCTGGTTTGATTATAAGCTCCTGGGGAACAGACCTTTGTCTCTACTACTGGGATGAACATATGTTTTATACACAGTAGGCACTCAATAACTACTACTTGTTGATTGATTGACAGATTGCTAGAGGACTGAATTCCCAACAACCAGTACAATAGCTGGCAGAAAAGGAAACGTTAAAACAAAATTAAGAAACGGGCAGAGTTTGGGGAGATTTTGAGTGTGTGGGTGGCAGAAGGTACTTTTAGGTTGGGGTCACAGTGCAGCGGGCCGAGCACCAAAGCACAGATATTCTAGAACTGGGGTTCTACATCAGACTACTACTGTGAGAGCCAAGAGGCTCAAAGCCCCCAGAGGGTGACTCATTCTTCCAGCCCTCCGCCTCCTCCTGCCTGTCCAGGTCATCTTGATCATCCCATTATCAGAACTGCTGGAGGAATCATCTGGAAGGCTTGAAGTGACTGGGGGGCATCCGCTGGGTTGTGAGAGCTGCTCGGAGGGTCCCTTGTCTGTCCCAGTCCACCTCCTCCACCCACCTTATGCTGTCACCCCCTGCCCAGGACTGGACCTCCATTCAACTCTTCTGAGCAGAAGGAGCAGAAACCATCCTATCTCTGCACTGGCCTGGAATGGACAGTGCTCCCCAGCATGGTTCTAGGGAGTTGCTAAGGTCTGCTGCCCCAGAATCGTTTCTCTGCTGGTCTGCTGTGGTTTGGGTTGCCAGATAAACTGCAAGATGCCCAGTTAAATTTGAATTTCAGATCAATAAATAATGATTGTTTAGTATAAGAACATCCCATACAATATTTGGGAAATCCTTATATTAAAATATTATTTGTCGTTTATCTGATATTTAAATTTAACTGGGTGCCCTGTTTTTTATTTGCGGAATCTGGCACCCCTTGTTATGGCTTAAACAGGTGGACTATGGGACTTAGTCAGAAAGCAAAATCAGCATAAAGCGGGTGAGATGGCGTGAGTCACTGATGAGATAAGAACGATTCTAAATCTCAGCCGGAAACCACCTATTGGATGCACAGTGATCCGCTTGTGTGCATCTGGCAGCTTGGAAATTCTACCACGCCCTCGCCAAGGGCACGCTTAGACGCAGGTGTGGTTGGCACGGGTTCTAGAGAGTGCATGGTTAGGTGCTTCCAGCAGTATGGGAGGGCAGGAGGGAGGAAGAAAGGGAGGAAGACAGCGTGCACATGTGCTTTGTGGTTATTGTTAAGTAAGCAGAAACACCCACACAACGGAAGTGCATAGAACACAAGGCTGTTAACCTTATACATATGTTTCTCTCTCTGTCATTCTGTTTTTCTTCCTTTTCACTCATCCTCTTTCTTCTCTTGCTACTTACTTACTTACACAGTCCATGATGGTGGTAAAATGGCCACGTTGCAGAATACAGAGGGGCGTGGGCTTCCGAACCAGACAGCTTGGATTTTGGTTCTGGCTCTGTTGCTTATTAGCTGTGTCATTTAACCTTTATGAAAACCTGTGTTAGTTCTCTATTGCAGCTGTAACAAATTACCAAAAACTTAGTGGCTTCAAAAAACACAAATTTACTAGCTTACAGTCCTACAGATTAGAAGAACTAACCTTCTTCTTACTCAGCTGAAAGCAAGGGTTCACTGGGGCTCACTGGGCAGAAATCTAGTCGTCAGAAGGTCACTGGGATGGTCCCAAGGGGAAAATGGGGGAAATTCTGACAGATTTATTTAGTCACTTTATCTATAAGCACAGCTGCTTAAGGAAACCAAATGGCCTGTTGCCACACACAACCTCGTGACCATTATCGGATACCAGAAAGTCCAGGCCTGCTCAAAACAAGTGCAGACTGGAGTAGGAAAACTACAGTTATCTTTAGATCACCAACATATTATTATAATACTAAAAAATCCTCCCCTAAGAGGAGACCACCGCCATTTTGCATACATATGAGGTAGGAAGAAGCATGTTTGTGAACCGCGCTGGCGTGTCTGGAACTCCACCCTGTGCCTGCCCACATACCTCTCTGTCCAGCATAAAGCTCCCATTGCTCCCCCTGCCTGGAGAGAAGGCATCTTTAGAGCACAAGCTCCCCTTCTCCATTCTTTGGCCATTGAATAAAATCTGATTGCTTCTCCAATCAAATGTTCTTTTTTTTTTTTTTTTTTTTTTTTTTTGCAGCCAGTATAAAGTAGAAAAAGAACACAACTTATTGGTGCCAAGAAGGGCTGCGTTCCTTTCTGGAAGCTCTGGGGGAAAATCCATGCTTGCCTTTTCCAGCTGTTAGAAGCTGCCCACATCCTGTGGGTCAGGAGCCCTTCCTCCATCTTCAAAGTCAGCAGTAAGGGGCAAAGTTCTTCTCATGCTGCCATCTCTCTGGTTTTCCGCAGCCAAGAAACAGTTCCCCAATTTTAAGAACTTGTGATGAGATTGGACCCACCTGGATAGTCCAGGGTACTCTCCCCATTTCAAGGTCCTTAAATTTGATCACATCTGCAAAGTCCCTTTTACCACATAAGGTCACATATTGACAGGTTCCCAGGATCAGGGCATGGATATCTTTAAGAGGCCCTTATTCTGCTGACCTCAGCTTTCACATCCTTATCAGTGCCTATGTCAGAGATGGTTGTGAGGGCAGAGGAGTTAGTACATGTAAAGTGTTGGGACACCGTCTGGTATACAGTAAGTGTTCATCGTTACTGCCTCTGCTGAGCCAGGCCTTGTGCTCAGTGCAGTAGCAGATGCAAAGGTAAATTCCTCGTACCCTTCCAGATGCTGCCAGTGTAGAAGAAGGCTTCTTGGCAACACTGAATTTCCCTTCCTTGAATCTATGCTCACTAGGCAGCCTTCTGAACTGCATCTGGTCCTGCAACAGACGCCGCCAGGAGGAAGTAGCCCATGCAAGTGGTCTAGCATGGGCCCTGCATCCTCCATCTCTGAAGACAAACTTCAAAATCAGACTTTGGGTTTGTTGATCTATTTCTTTTGCACTTGGTTGTTGGAAGCCTGTTCCCTAGAGGGTCATCCTTGGGTAAGTGACCAAATTTCATATCTGTGAACTTGGAAAGCTCAAAATTCCTGCCTCAAGGTTCAGCCATTCTAGAAATCTACCCCAGGCACCACACATCGTTTCATTGGAACAAAGCAGCAACTGTCTGCAACATGTAAAGATGTTATGTGAAAAGGGTAATGTATTACCTCAGCAGTATATCTACCTGTGCTCATTTTCACATGAGCAAAGTCCAAGTCAGCAGACCCAAAACAGAGGTACTCCTAAGTGTGTATGTACATAAATGTGTGTATATCTAACTAGGTATGTAGGTAAGTAGGCAGGTAGATAGACAGACAGACAGACAGACATGGAAGAGATTCCTCATTTCCTTCACCTTCAGCAGCAGAAGCATGTTTACTGTTCATCACAACAATTTTATAACCTATTTAGCATTTCTGAGGTCTCTCTAGCTACACCACTGACCAGCTTGTGTTAACCCCCTGCCCCCAAATATAGAGAACGTGTGTGAATATGGAAACTTATGCCATTAAGAGATGTTTCTCTGGGAAGAGTGGGGGTTGGGTGGGTGGCGATGAAAACATTAAACAAATGCATAATACAGAATAAGTTGGTGAGATTTCATGTTTGGTTTTTGCTGCTGCAGATATCTTCCCCTCCTGTTTTGTTTGTTCATTGTGTTTTTGTTTCTTTGCCTGCCTGCCTGTTTAGACAAAGCAGAATTATCAGGCACCCATAAGACAAACAACCTACAGAGGCTTAATGAAAGTTAGCGAGAGGACAGAAGTGCACTGTCTGAAAAAGGGAGAGGCTGAAAAGGTTGAGAGATTTTAAGGTGGGCTTCCTGTAGAGACAGTGGAGGGAATGGGGGTTTAGTAAATGCCATGAGAATTAGGTACTCATGCAAGGCTGAGTGATGCAGAAAGGGAGGCTGGACTTTGGGAACCAGGACACCCCACCCTGGCACAGAGCACAGAGCCCAAACTTGACCAAAACAGAGACTGGCAGCCTTGGGCAGTGGTCATATCAGCCATGTCCAGCAGAGATTGAAAACCATGGGGCACCCTGCAAATGTTCTGTACTGCATAGGAGGCCTCCCAGGAATTCTGGATGACTGCACCTCCTCCACTGCACCGTCAAATGGGTGCTGTTGAACTACCCACCAGCCATGCTGCTAGAGGCCTGCTAAGGTGTCTTCTAATGCAGAGAAAATACTCAAGCCTGAGCCAGTTATGTTAAATAGGAATGCTGAATCTTCAGGACCAAGAATGTTTAAAATAAGGAATCACCATTTTAAATGAAGAGAAAAAGTGAGAATTGCAAGCAACTACAAAAACAAACAAACAAAAATGAAACATGGCTACCCATCTCAACGGTGACGAAGGCTTCCTGGAACAGGGGAACTAGCAGCAGGCAATGCCATTCTGAGCTCCATCCCTGGATACCTCCTTTGATCAGGCAATGAACTACTGGAGCTACTCTTGGACTAGATCTCCAGCCCCCTGATGCCCCCTCTAATCCATCAACCTCATCTTTCTGAAATGGAAACGTGAGCACACTTCTCTGCTTTTCAAAATACTTCTGCAAGTTTCCATCCATCAACAACAATGGTGTTTCTCAGACTGGGTACACAGGCTCCAGGATGGTATGGCAGGACAACCCCCAGGTAAATGTGCACCAGTCCTAGAGTTTATCAATTTTATTTTCACATTGGTATATGTAAAAGAGTAGTACACAAACTTAGCTTAAGTTTTAAAGATAAAATATGAGACTCCCTCAAAGTGTTAAGCCTGGAAAATGCTTTTTTTGGGCTTTGCCTCTGGAGCTGTCAGATTTCCTGTTCCTTCATCTATGCTTTTAAGAGATGAAAAGTTTAAGAACCCATGGGACAAAAATTCAGATTCCATGGGAGTGCTGCATGAGACCCGTCTGGCTTTACCTCTTATCTATATCTGCAGCTCCTTTATCAATTACTCCATGATACAACTTGCTCTTTAGGATAGAAACTCAGAGACTTACTCTTTCAAGTGGATGTCCCATTTGCTCACATCCCAAGCCTGCCTTGACCTCCTTTCTTCGTCTCACATGGCATTCTGTGCTAATTGCTCCCCCTCCAACACACAAACACATGCATGTGCACACATGTACACACGCACACCCAGCATAGCATTTAAAATCCTCTGGGTAATAATCAGAAAAAAACTCCTTCAATAATAAAGACTAACACACATTGAGGGTTGACTACGTGCCTGTGATACTTCCAAACACTTCATCTTATTAGCTCTGCCCCACAACCATGATAGCGTTCCCACTGGTTGGTGAACTGTTCACTAGACATTGAATTAGTGAAAGCAGTTCTCTATGACTGACAGCCAGAATGGGATGGGATATGGGAAAGACAAGGAAGGAGGGAGAAGTGGACTATTTAGTGTTCTCCTAGGGCAACTTTTAGTCAGACCTCATATGATTAAGACACAAAGATCCAGGTTTCTCAGCCTGCGTGGACATCCACTTGGGAGGGTCCAAAGGTCTTGGGAAGGCTACAATTAGTAAGTACATCTTTATGAGTCAAATCACATTGCTGGGGGGTAAAGTCCAGATTAGATGTCAGTGTCTCTATGGCCTGGTCTGGGTCCTGAGTCGCGAGATGCACCGCTTCATGCTTTTATTAGGAACCTGATAAATGGAACCATCTATCTTTTTATTCTCATTCTTTAACGCTAATGAAACAGAAGTCAGGCTTGGAACCTTGAACCTTGTTTAGTGACTAATTCCAGCCACTTTCTGTGATCATTACCTGTGTTGCTCCCCACTTTAAATCAATTGAAATTGCACTCTTCTTGCAAATTGGAATCACATCAGTTCACTTTTCCCCCCCTATTCATTTGGAGGTTTGAAAAGCCAAGAAAAAAAATTTCCAGAATAAAAGAAGTCTCTGGGATCCATCTCTGCACAAATGAAAAATAAACCTCCCGGTTCTTAACCCTTGGCAGTCATTTTTCTTATACCTTGTCCCAAAAGGCCAGTTTCACACACTCCATTAATGCTGGCTGCCACTGGGACAATTACAGACAGACAGCTTTTCCCATTTGAGCAACTTCTTAAATTTAAAAAGCAACTGTGCAGGAAGGAAGGAGACATGTGGCTGCTCTACTACAGACCTTGTAAAAGGAGGTTCTTCTATGCTATTACCCACCCCCTCCCATACCTACCTTTCCTACCACACACAAGAGCTGAAATAAAAGTTGCATTTCACTTGTGTTGTGGCTGTTATTTTATTTTACACTCCTTGCTTAAAAAAAAAAAAAGTCTTCACTTAAAAAAAAATACATCACCCAAACATGTCTGAGATTTTTTGCAAGGCTTGGGTCTGAACCCAGTGCCTTTGATAGGGGCATTTTTCTTAGCCTGCTGTGGCTAAAGATGGGCATGGTCGGATTTCACTCGCTTGGATTAGGATGGACTTGGCCCTAATATTTTGTTTCTTAATGATTCTTCCAATTTTTAAGTGTCCCAAGAGATAGCTTTGACTTTCCACCCCAGCCTGCTGATGTTATCTTCCTAGGAACTGCTACATCTTTTAATACAACCTGTATTCAAGTTCTCCTTATAGGACCTGAGAGATTCAACTGGCAGCATTTAGGACTACCAGGAATCTCCAGTCTGGCGTTGAGATGAGACGCCTGCAGAAATGACTGGAACATACGGCAGAGCCTCTGTGGACAAGTCACTCAACCACCCCAGAGCTCACTTTCTCTATCTATAAAGTGGAAATAGCCATAATATCAATATCATAGGTTTGTGAAATGGGTCAATAAAATAAAGCATGCCACATATGTTACATAACGCCCAGCATGTAGCAAGTTGTTAGCAGGAAGTAATGACAGTGATAATGGTGTAAAGCTTGGGATGGGGGACATAAAGAAGAGAAGTTACTCCGTTTGAGAGAAATCAGGGGTGACCTCATAGAGGCGGCAGCATTACAAAGCCCTGTAGGGTTTGACAGGCTCAGGTGCAGGTGCAGGGGAGTGCAGGAGGCGGTGAAGGTTGAAGGGAGAGAAACTGAGGATGGGATGACAACAGGCCTCAGGGAAGAGTGAGGAGACCATTTCATTTTAACTGAGGCATAAAGGGGATGAGGAGGGCAGAGGAGGCAAGGGCTGCCTCCAAGAGAAGCCCAGGTGCCAGGGCAAAGGGCTTGGGCTTTCTCTTTGGGTGAGAAGAAGCTATAGCAGACATGGAGCAGATTTCTCTTGAAGCACACACTGTTTTATCTAACAGGCTGCCTTCCAGAGCAGTGATGTCTGCATCAAAGTCATATAATATCAGAGCTGAAAGGCATCTGAAGAATCATCTGATGCAAACCCTTTTTTAAAGATGGGGAAACTGAGGCTCAAAAGGAGGAGTGATGTTCAGGCAAAGGCTCCAGGACCACATATCACCAGGGAGCAGGAGAGGATTCCTACACTGGGGATGAAGGACATGTCCTCTGTGTCCCTTTCATTTTATGGCTTCTGAGATCCTCGCCCAGTCCCCTGCACCCACAGCGATAGCAAAACTCTCTCGGGGAGAAACATGGGTCCTGGCAGCTCTCATCTTCAGGGGATTAAATCCTATGCATACTTCAATATCCAAAGAAGTGGCTCCCTGAACCTACCTTACTGTCAGAATCATTCGTGAAGCTTTGTAAAGATGTGGGCAAGTGAGACCTGTCCTTTGAGCTGGGGATTCTGTAGGTCTGAGCTAAGGTCTGTGCATCCGTGTCTTTTTTTTTTTTTTGGAGACGGAGTCTCACTCTGTTGCCAGGCTGGAGTGCAATGGTGCCATCTCGGCTCAGTGCAAGCTCCGTCTCCTGGGTTCAAGCGATTTCCCTGCCTCAGCCTCCTGAGTAGCTGGGGCTATAGGCACATGCCACCAAGCCCAGCTAATTTTTTTGTATTTTAGTAGAGACGGGGTTTCACCATGTTGGCCAGGCTGGTCTTGATCTCTCGACTTCGTGATCCGCCCACCTCGGCCTCCCAAAGTGCTGGGATTACAGGCGTGAGCCACCGAGCCTGGCCCGTGTCTTTAGCAAGATATTTTCAGAAGCTCCGTGCTCCAAGAAGGTGCCCTTCATTTCTCCCGACAGTGGGGAGTCCCCTCCTCTTTCCCAGCGTATTACAGTTCCTTTGCAATGATTTTTCTCCCTTCTTCCAGAAAACATATCTGAGTTACCTTTGAAACTCACCCTCATTCATTCCCTTGGCCCTAGGACAATTTTTGTTGTTTGTTTACATGACAGATACTAAATGAAAAAATGTTTGGTGAATGATTGAAGGAATAACTGAAATACTGTGCAAATCAATGAATAATGGCAATAGTAGAAGCTACTATTCTTAGCACTTGCTCTGTGTCAGACATGGCTAAATATTTTTTATGTGTGTGTCATTTAAGTCTTGTGTCCCTATGAACAAAATACTATTTTCTTCACTTTATAGATATGGGAACTAAATTCAGAGAGATGAAGTGACCTGTCCAAGTTCGAACAACTTGTAAGTTATGGAATAAATAATTTTTTAATGGGTGAATAAACAAATCCATGCCGCTCGTTCTGTGATATCCAGGGCTCTAGTGCTGTCCCTGGCTGGCCTGAAAAAGAAGCAATGTTGCTCTCTTCTGCTCTCTGCCGGCCGAATGTAGTGTAGCACAAAGAGCTCAGAAGTCTGTCTTAGGCCCTGCATTTGTGGTCTGAGCCCAGAAATTGAGGAATCACGTGACCTTGGGTAACTCATTTCACTTTTCTGAGCCTCTTGTTTCTTTGTCTTAAAAATGAGAATGACAATCTCATCAATGAAAACTACTTGGGGATTTGGGGGAAACCGAATCAGATAAACAAAGGTGGGCACTTTGCAAGATTTGGACACAATAGTTACACAAATAAAAGCGTCCGCCTTCTGGTGTTGTGGAGATTAATGACCTAATTCTTGTAAAGTGCTTAGACCAGTACCAGGCACATAGCAAGTTACCACTCAATATCAATTAATGTTATCATCGTTATTTCCCTTTAACCCTTTAGTGACTCATCTTCTTTATTCTCTTTTCACCTGTCATGCTCCATCTACCTGAAATCTTCCTCTTGTCTGACACATTGCTCCTCCAGCTGGATTTGGGCATAGGCTCAGGGTGGCTGCAGTGTGTTGTAGGAATGTGAGAGGTACCAGGATGTCCTGTCTACTCTGGCATCAGGAATTCCCAAGGGGTATCTCTGGCCTTGGGCTCTGCACGGGCCCCGTGATCAGCTCCACACCTGTTTGTTCCAAGGAATCATGAGCTTAAGCAGAGTTTGGAAGTCTTTGAAAAAGCCTGCAACCTGGGGTTCTTGCCTTGGGGGACACAGATGAGCTTCACGGCCTCCCACATTTGCTTGCTTGGGTTTATAGGTACATCTCATTTTATTCTTTTTTAAATTAAAAAAAAATTGATACAGGGTCTCTGGGTCACCCAGGCTGGAGTGCAGTGGTGCAATCAAGGCTCACTGCAACCTCTGCCTCCCAGGCTCAAGCCATCCTCCCACCTCAGCCTCTTGAGTAGCTGGGACTACAGACGTGTACTACCACACCGGGCTAATTTTTGTATTTTTCGTAGAGACAGGGTTTCACCATGTTGCCCAGACTGGTTTCAAACTCCTGGGCTCAAGTGATCCACCCACCTCGGCCTCCCAAAGTGCTGGGATTACAGGTGTAAGCCAGTGCACCTGATTTAGCCTCATTTTATTGCACTTTGCTTTACTGTACTTTGCAGATAATGCATTTTTTACAAATTGAAAATTTGTGGCAATCCAGCGTCAAGCAAGACTATAGATGTCATTTTTCCAACAGCTGTCTCTATGATGTCACATTTTTGTAATTCTTGCAATATTTCAAACTTTCTTATTATTACTGTGTCTGATATGACGATCTATGATAAGTGATATTTAATGTTACTATTGTAGTTGTTTTGGGGCACCATGAGCCACATCCATATAAAACAACAAATTTAATTGATGATTGCTGTGTGTGTTCTGACTGCTTCATCTCTTTCCCTTTCTTTGGGAAATTGTTTCCCTGAGACACAACAATATTAAAATTAGGCCAATTAATAACCCTACAATGGCCTCTAAGTAGTCAAGTGAAAGAAGGAGTCACACATCTCTCACTTTAAATCAAAAGCTAGAAATGATTATGCTTAGTGAGAAAGGCATGTAGAAAGCTGAGACTGGCCTAAAGCTACGCCTCTTTCACTAAATAGCCAAATTGTGAATGCAAAGGAAAAGTTCTTGAAGGAAATTAAAGGTGCTACTTGTGAACACAGGAATAAGAAGAAAGTGAAAGCCTTCTTGCTGATATAGAGAACGTTTCAGTGGTCTGGATAGAAGATCAAACATGCCCAACATTCTCTTAAACCAAAGCCTAATCCAGAGCAAGGCTCTAACCCACTTCAATTCTATAAAGGATGAGAGAGGTGAGGAAGCTGCAGAAGTAGTTTGAAGCTAGCAGAGAGAGGCTGGTTCATGAGGTTTAAAGAAAGAAGCCATCTCCACAACATAAAAGTGCAAGGTGAAGCAGCAAGTGCTGATGTAGAAGCTGCAGCAAGTTATCGAGAAAATCTAGCTAAGATAATTGATGAAGGTGGTGATATAGCTTGAATACATGTCTCCACCAAATCCCACGTTGAGTTGTCCCTCCCATTGTTGGGGGTGGGGCCTGGTGGAGGTGGAAGGTGTCTGGGTCATGGAGGTGGATCCCTTATGGTTTGGTGCTGTCCTCCTGATAGTGAGTGAGTTCTCCTGAGATCTGGTTAAGTTTGTGCCCCCCATGCCACTGCCTCGCTTGCACCTTCTTTTGCCATGTGAAGTACCCGCTCCTGCTTCCCCTTCCACTGTGAGTGGCATGCTGGTGCCATGCCTGTATAGCCACTAGAATCATGAACCAATTTAACCTCTTTTACTTATAATTTACCCAGTCTCAGGTATTTCTTGGTAGCAATGCAAGAACAGCCTAATATAGGTGGCTACACTAAACAATATTTTCAGTGTAGACAAAACAGCCTTATATTGGAAGAAGATGCCCTCTAGGACTTTCATAGCTAGAGAGAAGTCAATGTCTGGCTTCAAAGCTTCAAAGAACAGGGTAACTCTTTTGTTAGAGGCCAGCGTAGGAGGTGACTTAAGTTGAAGCCAATGCTCATTCACCATTTTGAAAATCCTGGGACCCTTAAGAACATCTATTCTGCGCCCATGGATCAAGAAGTAATTTTGACCTTTAAGTCTTATTATTCAAGAAATATATTTTATAAAGCTATAGCTGCCATAGATAGTAATTCCCCTGATGAATCCGGGCAAAGTGAATTCAGAACCTTCTGGAAAGGATTCACCATTCTAGATGCCATTAAGAACATTTGTGACTGATGGGAGAAGATCAACATATTAACTTTAGTGGGAGTTTGAAAGAGATGATTACAACTCTCACGGATGGCTTTGAGGAGTTCAAGGCTTCAGGGGAGGAAGTCACTGCAGATGGGGTGGAAGTGACAAGAGGACTAAGAAGTGGAGCCTGAAGATGTGACTGAATTGCTTCAATCTCATGAAAAAACTGGAACAGATGAAGTTCGAAGTAAGAGTTGTTTTTTATGGGTGAGCAAAGAAAGTGGTTTCTTGAGATGGAATCTACTCCTGGTGAAGATACTGTGAATACTATTGACGTAACAAAGGATTGAGCATATTACATAAACTTAGTTGATAAAGCAGCAGCAGGGTTTGAGAAGATTGACTCCAGTTTTGAAGGCGTGGGTAAACTGTGGGTAAAATGCTACCGAACAGAATTGCATGCTACCTGTTAAATCCTTTGTTAAAGGAAGGGTCAGTCTACATGGCAAACTTCATTGTTTTATTTTTAAAAATTGCCACAGTCCCCCAGCCTTCAACAGTCCCCATCCTGATCAGTCAGTAGCCATCAGCATCAAGCTAGCAAAAAGATTACAGATCACCAAAGGCTCAGATGATCATCAGCACTTTTTAGCAATGAAATATTTTTTAATTAAGGGCTGACTTTTTTTAGACATACTGCTATTGCACACTTAGTAGACCACAGTATAATGTAAATGCAATTTTTATATACACTGGGAAACCAAATAATTTGTGTGACTCACTTTATATTGACTTTATTGTGGTGATCTGGAGCTGAATTTGCAATATCTCTGAATTATGCCTTTATATCTGTTCTCTGTGGGTTGAGGAGAGTTTTCATTAACATCTCCAAGTTCTGAACTATGGTGCCTGGTTCAATCCACACACACACACACACACACACACACACACACACACACTGTAGAGGTGAGGGTGTCACAGCCCAGAAGGAGGAAGAGAGGAATTGGCCTAAAGTTGCTAGGGGTGTCAGTGGGACTTTACTGCAGCTCCTGACACCCAGTCCACAGCCGATCACTACACCATATTCTCCCAAGACTGTCTGACTCTCCTTTGCAAAAAGAGACAGACTTTTAAATCAGGATTGCCCTATGTCAGAGGGCGTGTTCCCTGAGGTTCGGTGAGGAGTTTGGCCCTGTCCAGAAGGCTCTGTACCAGGTGCACAGGAGCAGCTGCATCCAGCTGGAACCTCAGAGCAAATGAGAGTGCCCACATCCCAGGGGGCATCAGTCAGCGGGCATCCCAGGGGCTTCTCTTAGCTTCAGAAACCCTCCCTTGTGATTCACTACCACCCTGGGAGACAAATGGAGCAAGTGAGTGCCTCTCCATTTAACAGATGGGAAAACTGAGGCCCTGAGGGATTAAGTGACTTGCTCAGAGTTTCACAGTCAGACAGAGGCAGAGCTGGGCAGCCCCTCAGCTCTGTGCATTTTGTCTACAAGCAAGGTGACTTTGGGTTTAGTGTGTTCATGTTTCAACAAGAATGTAAGTTTGGGATCAGACATATGTTACCCCTGTTGGATAGTAGCTTTGCAATCAGTCTTTGCAAAAAATATCCAGAACAAGGCTAGAACAAGGTGGTACAGAAACAAATAACACGTGTTACAGTTACATATGAGCTTGGATTACCTCCTTTATAGAAGGAAGTGGAGACATCCTTCATGCAGAGATTTAGGATCTCTCACTAGCACTAACCCTCTTGCCCCCACCTAGTGTTTATTCCAATCACCCCTGTTGCTTTTTATCAAATGAAAGATACAGATCCACTTTTAAGAGTAAAGAAGAGAGGAAGCACAGTTTATTAATTACCCATTGGTATCCCAAGGACTTGTGCTTCCATTATCTCATTGTTTTATTCATTCATTAATCCAAACACTCATTCAGCAGGGATTTCTTGGGGGCCTACCTTGTACTGGGCTCTGTGGTCCTGGGAGATGCAGCAGGGAATAGAGTCACAGGCTTGCACTCATAGAGAGAACCTTCTAGCTGGGGAGACAGACAACAATGACAAAAACACATAGCACTAGGAAGGGAGCCAGTAGAATTTCAGGTGAAGAGTAATGGGAGATGGGAACCTACACAAACTGGAGAGACCCAGGAAAGCCTCCTGAGAAGGTCCTTTAAGATGAGCTGTGAGGCCAAGGAAGAGCAGGCCAGGCGAAGGCAGAGGGGACAGCCTTCCAGTGAGTGGAAACAGCAAATGCAAAGGCCTCGAGGCGGGGCAGGGCTTGTGCTTTTGGGGAGCAGAAAGAAGGTCACGGAAAAAAAACAGCGTGATTCATGGAGAGAGGCCCAGGGCTGAAAAGGGAGAGGCAGGAGTGGGGCTCATGGTCTCTAGAAAACAGACTGGGTTTGAGTTTGTGTAATAGCCTGGTGAGGACGGTATTATTATTTCTGCTTCCATTTTACAGTTACAGAAACAGAGGGCAGCATATGATACTGGGGGGTACTGGGATAGGGCTGTGTTATTGATTGATGGGGGACCTTTGACGGTCAGAAATGGAGGGAGGCTGGTGGTGTACCCCCTTGACTTCACCTGAATGTCAGGGCAAGGCCAGGAGCATGCAGGAGGCTTAAAGATTGGGAACCCCTATTCTTGGGCCTTCTCCCCATTCTTTCTGGAGCAATTGGAAGAGGCCCATGGGAGGGAGGTGACTGTCATGATGTCCCCCACTATGAACTATGGGAATGGCTGGAGGGTCACTGGGCCTGGTGCTCCAGCTGCCTGACCTGCAGGGAAGTGGTACCTGCAGGACCTACAGTGAGGGAGTGTTGACACCCTGGCTCTGGGAAGGAGCTCATGGAAAGTTGGGTGAACTTCTTGTTAGACTACGCAGGCTTTCAGAAGTGCATTCCATACGGAGTGGGGTGGCCTCCCCAGGGAGGAGCAGAGGGCAGCCACTGGAACAAGCTACAGCTACAAAAGACCACCTTTATCCCTCTCAAGTTCTCCCAGGGGCCCCTGTGTCTGCCTGTACTAGAGGAAGTTTCCAAAGGATTTTCCTTTCCCCAGGATGAAGAATGAGGCCACACTGCCAAAGCAAGATCTCGTGCTATGTGTGATTGAATCTCCTGCTGGGCGCCAAGCAGGAATCTCATCATTTCCCCACAGGCCCTGAGAGCACACAGGCCTCATCCCCACCCCACCACAGTGCAGTGCACTCACTGCAGAGCCAATGAGGCCTGAGCTCAGGGTCTGCGTCTGCCTGCATCTGCATGGCCACTTCCATCTGTGGTACTTGTTAGTTTATTTTAAATGTGCGATTTGTTTGGTTGCATTTTCTCCTTCTAAATATACAGTAGTTTTTGCATGTAATTATGTATTTTTTAAGAAGGGCTCCCAAATTGTGCAAGCTTCAGGCCTCACAAAACTGGATTGGCCCCTGCCATCTATAAGGAAAAAGGCAACTGGTTTGTGAAGTGCTGGCCTGGCTGCTCCTCCCCAGGAACCAACCAGATAGGGAGTTTCTTAGGTGAAGCTCAGTGGTCTCTGGTCCCGATCCACAATGATAAACTGGCCTGCATCCAGCCCCACCTTTCTCCTTCCCAGTTGAATGCATTTTGTTCAGGCATCTGTTGTCATGCACACCTCAGAAGAAACTGACTCCTTTCCCTGGCCCAGGGGAGCATCTGGTTGGCCTATGATCATTTCACTCCCCTTATTCATAATTGGTTAAGGGCAGAGTTTCTCAACCTCAGCACACATGTACATTGGCGGCTGGATAATTCTTTGTTGTGGGGCTGTTCTGTGTATTATAGAATGTTTCACAGCATCCCTGGCCTCTACTCATTAATACCAGTTGCACCTCCCCAAATTGTGATAATCAAAGATTTCTCCAGGCATTTCCAAATGTCCCCTAGAGGGCAAAATCCCCGCCACAATGTATATGTGGGTTGGGAACTACCAGTTTAGGGTGACCCTAATTCTGGCCAATGAGACTTGAAAGAAACTCTGCAGGGCCCTTCCTGGAGCATTTCAAAGATTCCCCATAATTTTCCAATGATGCCCAACTCCTTGCAGCAGTGAGCAAGGCTCTGCGCAGCTGGAGGGCTGGTCTGTGTCTCAGCTTTGGGCTGTTACTCACGCCGTTCCTGCTTCCTGAAATCCTGAAATTTTCCTTCACCTGGTCGGCTCTAGTCCTGCCAGGTTCAGAACCCAAAGCCTCTCCTCTGTGTTATTCTGGTGTCGTGCACATATGCTTGTCACTGCATTTATTACAGTGACTGGAATTATTAATTCACTGTCCTCTGTCCCCTACTAGAACATAAGATCCTTGAGGGCAGGAGACACACTCATGCTGACATCTCTAGTGTCGTCTAGTGGCTGGAACATGGTGGAGCCTCAATAAATGATATTTGACCTGTATTAACTTTCTGCCCCTCACTTTCTCATTTATAAAAGGTAGTGCTTGTACAAGGTGACCTTTGTAGAACTCTATGACTCCACAGTCAGGGGCCAGTTCCACACAGGATGGCATCAGTGACATCTTTTTTTTTTTTTTTTTGAGACAGAGTCTCTCTCTGTTGCCCAGGCTGGAGTGCAGTAGTGCAATCTTGGCTCACTGCAAGCTCCGCCTCCCGAGTTCACGCCATTCTCCTGCCTCAGCCTCCTGAATAGCTGGGACTACAGGTGCCCGCCACCATGCCTGGCTAATTTTTTTTTTTTTTATTTTTAGTAGAGACGGGGTTTCACCATGTTAGCCAGGATGGTCTCAATCTCCTGACCTCGTGATCAGCCCACCTCGGCCTCCCAAAGTGCTGGGATTCCAGGCATGAGCCACCGTGCCCAGCTGGCATCTTTCTGTGATGACATTTCTGTGAGCAGGCATCTAGGAGAGGATGAGCTCCATTTTCCCATTTTCTATTCTCCCCACATCCAGAAGACCTGCGTGCGGCCTCTAGAAATCACATTAAATCTATCAATTAGAAATAACAATAATGTTAGAATAATCTTCATGTTTTAGTCCTGATAGTTCAAAAAAGTTAATCTCTTGCATTCACTCCTGGCTTAATGCCACAGTCAAATTAGATTTATGAATTTAGCATGATTGCAAGAGAACAGATAGCTGCATGTTCTGCTGAGCCAGTGCAAACCTTTAATGTTTAATTAAGAAGTGGAATTAGGAGTTAAGTATGCCTTGCTTGGGATATTAAAAAAAAAATAAGAAATAGCCTTAAGTCTTCCAATCACAGCCAACTTCCAGCCTCTCCAGCCTGCCAAGATTATTCTCAGGGGAGATAACTTTGGAGAATGGTGCTTCCCAGTACTAAGGTAATGCTGTCTTTATTTTAACAGTGAATGAAGTAAGCTATACAAGCAAGCTGAAGCACTTCAACATCTGCCCACAGCTCCCATCCATTGCAAGAGATGTAATTGTCATTGTATTCTTTTGCTAGGGCTGCAGTAGCAAGTGCTACATATTGAGTGGATTAAACAACAGAAATGTACTGCCTTATAGTTATAGAGGCTAGAAGTTTGAGATCAGGGTGTCAGTAGGCCACGCTGCCCTATAAGGTGCTACAGAAGGATCTGTTCCAGGCCTTTCTCCTGGGTTCTGGATTCTGGCTCACTGCAAGCTCTGCCTCCCGGGTTCATGCCATTCTCTTGCCTCAGCCTCCTGTGTAGCTGGGACTACAGGTGCCCGCCACCACGCCCAGCTAAATTTTTGTATTTTAGTAGAGATGGGGTTTCACCATGTTAACTAGGATGGTCTCGATCTCCTGACCTCGTGATCCACCCACCTTGGCCTCCCAAAGTGCTGGGATTACAGGTGTGAGCCACCGCACCTTGCCTAATTTTAGTTTTTAATTCTTTTGAAGACAAGTTCTTGCTCTGTCACCCAGGCTGGAGCACAGTGGTGCAAACATGGCTCACTGCAGCCTTGACCTCCCTGGCTCAAGTGATCCTCCCACCTCAGCCTCCCAAGTAGGTGGGTCTATAGGCACATGCCATCATGCCCAGATAGTTTTTTTTTAAAAATCTTGTAGAGATAGGGTCTTGTTCTGTTGCCTAGGCTGGAGGACAGTGGCATAATCATAGCACACTGTAACCTTGAACTCTTAGGCTCAAATGATCCTCCTGCCTCAGCCTCCCAAGTAGTTGGAAATACAGGTGCATGCCACCAGGGCCAGGTAATTTTTTTGTTTTTTACAGAGACAGGGGTCTTGCTATGTTGCCCAGGCTGGTCTCAAACTCCTGGGCTCAAGCAATCCTCCCACAATGAGATTACCACTGTGCCCCGTCTCCCCTTTTTAGAAGGACACAGTTACATCGGATTAGGAGCCCACCCTTTTCCCGTAGGGCCTCATCTTGACTCTACCAATTACATCTGTAACAACCCTATCTACAAATAAGGTCATGAGGTACTGGGAGCTAGGACACTCCAACGTACGAATTTAGGGGGAGGAATACGATTTAACCCAATAACAGTCAGCTTGATAGAAAATCATTAGAATATCCATACATTTGCATATAGATTTTGCTTTTAGTTCTTTACACAAATCTAGCTAGTTGTTTTTGGTACACTTCTGCTAATAATTCTCCATACTCTTTCTGTTTTTGACTTCTAAGGATCTTCCATAAAAGGCTCTAGGCTAGAACCTGGTCTACAAATTATACACCCTGGCATGTCCAAAAGCAAAATGCTGCCTACATCTCCTGAAAATGCAGGAATGTCAGAAAAGCTGCTGAAGTGGTGGCTACCAGGAGCTCCAGGGGCCTAGCACCCACTCCCAGCCCGACCCTGGGGTGGGGAGGGGGGTGCTCTTCAGAGTGGCTCATTTTAGAGCTGACTACCCAAGTGCAGAAGAAACAACGTTTTAAATATATCGGGCAGCAGAGCAGCTAGATATTAAGGTTCTTCTTTGCAGGACATCATGAAATATTGTTCATGACGACCCTGACCCTGGGTTGGGCGCGGGTGCTCTTCAGAGTGGCTCATTTTAGAGCTGACTTCCCAAGTGCAGAAGAAACAACTTTTTAAATACGTCGGGTAACAGAGCAGCTAGACATTACGGTTCTTCTTTGCAGAACATCATGAAATATTGATGTTAAGCTAAAACGAATATAATAAATGTATGATTGCCTGCTAAATTGGTCATTATCTTTTTTAGATTCTGGCTTTGACAGAAAGTAGCAGGCCCCAATGGTTTAAGAAAGAAAGGAAAAAATTTTTTTAATTGAGGAAATCATATCCACGTCTTTTTTTTTTTAATTGTTGAAAAGATGTCCACAGTCAGATTTCAGAGGAAGAACAAATTGGTCCCAGTCAAGAGCACCGTCTTGTGGGAATACCATTGTGTTCTGTACGGAGCTGGAAAAATACATAACAGCAGGATCCTATTGTGAAACCAGATATTATGCGGAAGTCTAGGCATGAGACAGATGTAAGTGGAGCTGTCATATCGAAGCAGAAATAGCAGCCCTCTGGATTGTCTTCCCCCTCCAGCCTTTATCCCAGCACCATGGCAAGCCCTTGAAGCAAGAAAGTCCTGCTAACTGCATGACTTTGGTCTAGTCCTCACGTTCTGGTTCCCCCTGGGGGGGCTTAGTCTTTCACTGAGAGGAGAGACGTGTACACACGGATGGAGGTCAGATTTCCCCCCTCCCCAACCCTCTCTAAGGCAGCAGGTGCGTTTGTTGCTTTCCAGATAAGTAGAAACCAATCCTTCACCCCTGGAGTGGTCCTGAGTGGGCTCCTGATCTACCATGCCCTGCTCCCACACCCAGCGTGAAGATGAATGGCTTCTCTCCAGGCCACCTCGCGCTCCTCCATCCATCACTGCTGCATGTGTGGCCCTCAACAGCCAGAAGGCTTCTGTCTCCACTTCTTCAATGACTCTCCTGCCTTCCCCAGCCGTGCTCCAGCAGCCCCCTCTAACACCCTGCTCCCACCTGAGCTCCAAATTACCCTGACAGCTAGTCCTTGATAGGGGATGATTGGGGACCATGTTTCCAATCAAGGAGTGACTAGCTGTGAAATCCCAGACTCCAAAGTACTTGCTGTCTCCTGGAAAACAAGGAATGGGCCTAGCCAACCTGATAGGGATTGTTTGAATTCTGAGAGGAAGGAGGCCGGCAGACTTGGTCCTTTTATTTATTTGAAGAGAGTTTGTTGCTCCTTGGTTTTACTGTACCCCTTCTGGTCATTTATTTCTTAGCTGATCCTCTCAAACCTCTAGATGGCAGAGTCCACCAGCCCCATTGGTCAGGTGGGTAGACTAAGGCCTTCAGACAGCACTCAAACAAGATTCTCGGCAGCGTCTGATATGGTGCCCATATCTCTGCTTAGCTATGTCAAAAAAGGACCAGGCAGGAGGTTATGCGGAAGGGCCTGTTCTCAGCTGAGTGGCTGCTGCTCTCAGTCACGGGGGACCGGGACACGGGGGACCAGGGACTCGCTCACACTTTGCTTTGGGAATCGGCCTCCTGCATGAGCGTGGGCCAAGGCTGTTTCCCCACTTGACGACAGTGTTCATCTTGTTCCCACCTCGGAAGTGGGAGGTCGGAATCCTCAGCTCCAGCAGGAGGAAGAGCCTGGGCTGGAGTGGGTTTCTGAGTTCTTAACAGCTGCAGCAGGGAATTCTACAATGGCTGGAGGAGTAGGCAACACTGAAGCCAGGCAGGGGTATGAAGGTGCAAGTACCGGCACAGGTAGCAGAAAGATGGCCAAAGAGCACGCTATTCTTGATAAAATCACACTGTATTGGGGGCTGCAAAAACCTAGGATTCTTCGGATGGAGAACCTATAGGAGGAGTTCCTATGGAGAGCACCCAGGGTACTTTGCGGGTGAGGGTGTAAGGGCTCCCCCTGCTGGGGTGGAGTGGAACACCAACTAATCTCTTGTCCTGTTCAGTATGTAATTCTGTACAAAGTATCTGGCAAAGTCTTGGCCCATAGGGTTTACAGCCCCAGCTGTGCTTAATTTCTCTCTCTCCTTCTCCCCACCTGAAACCCCCTCAGGCTGGTTGAGATCCATGGGCAACTCTGCTGGTCCTCAGTGCTCCTGCAGAAGAGAGAAGAGAGCTCTCTTGGCATTCCTGCAAGCAGCCTCATGTAGGAAGAGCCCAGCTCTGGCCTTGCAGTCAGAATGACTGGCCTGATGCTGGGATCACCTCCCAAACAGCTCCTGGAATTGGCCTTGTCCTGCCCTACTCTCCAGTGTGCATGTGAGAGTTTCTGTCTCTGAATTTCCATCCTGACTTCTGGGAAGCAGGTCTGAGGTCAGCTCCCATCTGTGAATTAGGCTTGGGCAGCCAGAGTCCCAAGCCATCAATTGAATTGGGGGTGAAAATGGGGACAGGACTGGGGTGATACCAGTAGAGTTACATCAGGGAGGGGCAGGGGTTGGGAAAATAAACCTAAATGCAGTCTAGCCAAGAACAGTCTAGCTGAGGCCATGAATGACCAAGGGAACCTATGCGGGCTTTGGGGTTACACAGACCCAGGTTTAAATCTCAGTTTTTCTATTGACTGTGTGTCCTTCGATGAGTGGCTTAGCATCTCTGGGTCTCAGTTTTTTCATGTACAGCAAGGACAAGAGGAATGCTTTCTTCATAGGATTGTGAAAACCGAATGGAATAACACTTAAAACATCTAGAACTGTACGAGGCACATCATAGGTGCCTGATGTGAGTTCTTTCTTCACCTTCCCTACATTCTTCAGTTCATGAACGGAGTGGCGTCAGTACCAGGGAGTTGTAGCAGAGCCCTAGGGAGTTGGAATCTGGAGGGAGAGGATCAGGTGGAAGTTGGGTTACCCCTTAGGAGAGAGGCAAGAAGGAAGATCCAAACAAGAGAAGTAACAGAGGTGGCAAGCTACCATGGGCTGCTACCCAGGGTGATGTTTCTCATGCGTCAGGATAGATTCTTCCAACACTGAGTCCTGCTGTCTCCACCTTATTGCCTAGGAAGGTCCAGCCCCTCTCTTTCCCTGCCACAATGGTTGGAAGTCCCTGGTATTGTGGAAGAGGAGAAGATGGGGGCTCTTAGAGGAACCTCCCCTCCATTCCTATTGTGCCCCAGCCCACGCAGCTCTCATCCCCTTCAATGTGGCTCTGGGTGGCAGGTGCCAAAAGATGAATCCAGACAGTTCATGGGCCATCTCCTCTGCAGCCAGAGAATAAGAGAGGATAATTATTCATTGGATGTAGTTTACGGCATTTAGTTGCAGGTCCTGTGCTGAGGGATGGTCACAGCCCAAGCCTCTCTAATGACCTGGAGAGCAGAGAAAAGGATGCTATTATTCTGTTTATTGAGAATTAAGATAAATCTGGTTAGAGGAGAAGCCATCCGCTATTTGGCTCTTCCCAAAAGCAATTACCTATAATTTTGCTGCTTCAGGAAAGAAAGTCACTAGTATTTGTGGGACCGAAACCATTACATGCAACCTGAGAAGGCCCAGAGGAGATTAATCATAGCATTTTTCTCAGTGCTGCATCAATCTCACTTCCTCTCAATTTGGGCTCAATTTACAGGCTACTCAGTTCCCCACAGATGCAGGGAGAGGGGAATGTGTGTGTTGGGGGTGGCCTGAGGGTTAATTGGAACATTTTGCAAACCACCTTTATCAAAGCAGAGGTAGCCTGCTGGCCTCTTAGTTCAAATGGTTTCATCCTGTCCAGCTGAGAGGTGTGTTGGGTCTGGAGACTTCGTGTTGGTTTTGTGTAGTTGTGTGTGTTTAGATTAAAGATCCTAACTTAATGGGGCAACTGTTCTTTACTGCCCTGTTGCGGCCCACTGGTGTGTTAGGATCAATTGCAAGGTGTGTTACAAGTAAGTTTTTGCTACTACCAGTAAAAGTACTGAAGTTTTTGAATAATTTACCTAAGAAATAGTTTCCGACAGAATGAATGTTAACTTAACAGTATTAGTACACCCACTCACCTGTGATGTACTTAATGGAGCAGGAGGGAACAGGCTGCCATCAAAGCTAACTCCTGGAAATGACCTAGAACCCACAGCCTGTCTCAGCCGTGCTGCATGTTCCAGCAGGGAACAAAGCGACTGTTGTATTATGTAAAATTACTTACCTGATAATAAAATGTTTGTGGATTGGATAAATTTGAACGGATATATTGTTTCCTTCACCCCACCCCCACTAGTGGCAAAAGCTGCTCTGTATGAATCTGAGTACATTTCTGTGACAGTATTCCTCATATGTACAGCATTCTATGTGAATCATCTCCCAAAAATTGCCATGGGGTCATTATCCCCAGTTCTTAACTAGAGAAACTGAGATTCTGGAAGTCCCTCTGAATGGCCCATACTTCCCCAGGTGTCTCTGCAGGAAACAATGTGGACAATCACAGTAGTTGGAAGGACAATGACTGACCTAATGGAGTTCAGGACGCTATGACTGTTGGCACCTGATGTGCACAGCTGCTCCCATCTGCGCAGAGAGAATATAAAGGCAGTGGCGCTGAAACATCTGCTGCTTTCACTCACCATCAAGATGGAACTGACTGTACATGCAAGCAAATTTTGATGAAGAGAGTGATCTCAGAGTGCGAAGATAAGTTGTTTCTCCTTGACACCTAGGAATGCACCTGGCCAAGACCCTCAGTTGAAAGACAATATCAAATAAATGCAAAATCTAAATATCCATGTGCTTGTTTACTTTTCCCCCTTAGATAATGGACTGTAGCCATTGCATATTTATTTATTGGTTTACCTTTTAGTAGAGATGAAGTCTCACTATGCTGCCCAGGATGGTCTCAAACTCCTGGGCTCAAGTGATCCTCCCACCTCGGCCTCCCAAGTACTGGGATTACTGGCACGGGCCACAGCACCCGGACTAGCCTCATGGTATATTTAAAAGCATCCCTAACCTCTACACGCTAGATGCCAGTACACACTAGACACCACCTCCAGTGGTGTCAATCAAAAATGTCTCAGAGACTTAGACTCAGTAATATGTATCCCTCTTTCCTCTATCCTTCAGTCATTCAATCTCCACTTCTACCCCTGCCCTGGAGGCAACCAATCTGTACCAATTTTCTGTGTATCTTTTCTATAGAAATATTAGATTGAGATGATTCCCCCTCACCCCAGACAATATGCCATGTCCAGATCCCTGCAGCCAGTATATATTACCTTATTTGGAAAAAAAAGTGTCTCCACAGATATACTTAAGTTACAGGTTTTGAGATGATATTTCATGATGGATTACCCTGGTGGGCCCTAAGTCCAGTGACCAGTGTCCTCTTCAGTGCCAGAAGAGAAGACACAGACACACAGAGCAGAAGGCCATGTGATAGAATTGGAGTGAGGTGGCCACAAGCCAAGGAAGCTAAGTTGTGCTGACAACCACCAGAAGCTGGAAAGGCAAGGAAGATTTCTACCCTGGAGCCTCCAGAGGGCGTGCAGCCCTGCTGATACCTTGATTTCAGACTCCGGTCTCCAAAACTGAGTCCAGAAACTTTTGTTGTTTCTGTTGCTTTAAGTTTCCCAGTTTGTGGTAACTTGTTATAGCAGCTCTAGGAAACTAACTCTCTCTGCAAATAGAGGTATATATATTTTTTCCACAAACTCACAATGATAAGGCACATTGTTCTGCACCTTGCTTTTTTAACTTAAAATTCTATTATAGAAATCTCTTCATATCAATATAGCTTCATTTATCTATTATTGTGTAAAAAGCCACTCAAAAACATAGTGACTTAAAACAATAACAATTATTTGTTAGCTCATGGTTCTGCAAAGTGGGCAGGACTCAACTAGGCTGGGTCATCTTTGCTCCCTATGGCACCAGTTGAAGCTAGAATTTCCAAGTCTGTTTTTTCACTGACATTTCTCAGCTGATGCCTCAGCTAGGATGGCTAGGACAGTTGGGGGCTTTTGGCATCTTTTGCTCTTCATGTGGTTTCTCCATGTGGATGCATGGGCTTCTTCATAGTATGATGGCTGGGTTGTAAGAAGTGTTCCCAAGAGAGAAAGTTCCAATATGCAAGCTCTTATTAAGCCTCCATTTGCATCTTGCTCTCAATGCCAAAAACTAGTCACATACCCAAGCCCAGAAACAATGCGGGAGGGGACTATACAAGGGTTTAAGTTTTGAGAGGTATGGTTTGTTGGGGGCTGTCAAAGTAAGTCTACCACAAGTAGACTTGCATATTTTCATTTCCCAAAATTTACTTTAGGCATGTAATCTAGACAGTTACTCTTCATTGTTTTTTTTTTTTTTTTTTTTTTTTGAGACGGAGTCTTGCTCTGTCACCCAGACTGGAGTTCAGTGGCGCAATCTTGGCTCACTGCAAGCTCCACCTCCCAGATTCACGCCATTCTCCTGCCTCAGCCTCCCAAGTAGCTGGGACTACAGGCTCCTGCCACCACGCCTGGCTAATTTTTTGTATTTTTAGTAGAGACGGGGTTTCACTGTGTTAGCCAGGATGGTCTCCATCTCCTGACCTCGTGATCTGCCCATCTCGGCCTCCCAAAGTGCTGGGATTACAGGCGTGAAACACCGTGCCCGGCCTAGACAGTTACTTTTCATTCTTAACAGTTAAATAGCATTTCATTATCTGGATGGACTAATTTATTCAGTTCATATACTAATGGATATTTATATTACTTCCAAACTTTTGTTGTTAAAAATGATGCTGCAAAAATATTATTTTATGTATACATCATTTTGCACATCTGTGAGAATATCAGTGTGCTGAATACCTAGCAAAATTGCTGGTTAAAACAGCATGTGCACGTATAATTTTGATGGAAATTGATTGACTAATTGCCCCACATAGAGGTTGTACCAAATTACATTCCTATCAGCAATGCATGAAAGCAACTATTTCCCCCACACTCCAATCATCCTAGGCATCAAACATTTTTTGCTTTGCCAGTGTGATAGGAAAAACATAGTATTTATTTTTGTTTTCATTTCTATTTCTCTTCTGATTGAGATCAATCATGTTTGCACATTTGTAAGAACTATCTATATTTTCTTTCTATGAGCTGTAGTTATTTCCTTTGCCCATTTTTGAGGATTGTTGGTCTTTTTCTTGTTAATTTTAAGGAGCTACTTATACATTAAAGTGATTGTGCCTTTGACCATAATATAAATTGAAGATTTTTTTTTCTGATTTTAAAGCATGACTTTGTTCATGGTGGGGTTTTTGTTCTATGCAGAAATTGGATTCTATGTAACCAAATTACTCTCTTCTCCCATGGCTTCCACATATTGTTGTATTTAGGAAGGTTTTCCACATTAACAGATTATATATGTGTGTGTATTTATGTATATGCATGCATGTGTGTGTGTGTGTCTGTGTATACATCTACAACTACGGGTAACTTAACAACAGGGATACATTCTGAGAAACACATCGTTGGGTGATTTTGTCATTGTGATAACATCATAAAGTGCACTAACATGAACCCAGATGGTATAGCCCACTGCACACCTATGCTATATGGTAAAGCCCATTGCTTCTAGACTACAAACCTGTCCAGCATGTTACTGTACTGTATATTGCAGGCAATTGTAACAAAATCTAGAAATAAAATCTTATTTCTAGAATACACTGTATTCTATACACCATATTCTACACACCATACTCAATACACCATATTCTATAGTTAGGTAAGCAAAACAAGCAATTAATATCAAACCTGCACCCCAAAAAATGTTGGTTTGTATCCTTCCTGTGCTAATCAACCCCTCAGTTCCTATCATTATCCTCTTCACCCTCTTCACAGGAACTACAATCACAGTATTTATCTTGCACTGATTACAAGTCTGGATAGGGCTGGAAGTAAATATACTATACATTATTCCTATCCTATCCTAGTTAAAAAAGCAACTCCCCACTTCACAGAACCCACTACTAAATGATTCTTTATACAAGCAGCTGCATCCATAGTCCTAACAGTAGCTATGATTATTAACATAAGGTACTCTGGACAATAAACAGTTATAAAAGTCTTGAACCAAACAGTATACACAAATAAAGTTTGTGTATCTAAAGCTATCTAAACATAGAAAATGTACCGTGAAAATACAGTATAAAAGATTTTTTAAACCAGTACACCTGTATAGGGTACTTACCATGAATCGGAGCTTGCAGGACCAGAAGTTGCTCTGGGTGAGCCACTGAGTGAGTGGTGAGTGACTATGAAGGCCTAGGGAATTACTGTATGCCCTAATGTATGACTGGCAGTGCAGTACGTTTATTTACACCAGCATCACTACAAACACATGAATAATGTGTTGCACTATGATGGTACAACAGCTATGACACCACTAGGCAATAGAAAATTTTCAGCTCCATTATAATCTGATGGGCCATCCTCATATATTGTCCATTGTTGACCTAAATATCATTATGAGATGCCTAATTGTGTATGTATGTATATGTAAATCAATCGCATATTTTAAATCTTTATGTATTTGTTTTTGCATTAAGTTCTTTAATTTGTCTGAAATTCTTTTTGGTGTAGGTTATGAGGTTATTATTTTCTGGAGGCTCAGTTGCCTCAATGTTTATCACATAATCCACTGTTTATCCACTAATTTTAACTGGTATCTTTTTCGTATACTAAATTCTCTCATGTATTTGGTTTGATTTGTAGGCTTGCTATTCTGTCCCAATGATCTATCTGTCTATTAATATCCAGTAACATATCTTTTAAAAATATCCTAACATTATATATTCTAAAGTTCAGCTCATCTTGTTTTGTTTCAAAAACAATCTGTTGTTAATTTTATTTAGTACTGCATTAAATTTGTAGATGAACTTAGGGAGAATCCTCTTGATTTTTGAATTTTCTTTTTGGCCCAGTCTTTTCCTTGGCCTGAGCTTGATTACTCAAATTAATCTGTCAGGTCTAGGCCTGTTGATGTCACACCTCTGATAGGAACATCCTGGGGCAAATTGGCCTGGAGCTGTCTGGGTGCAGCAGGCTAAACTAGAGCTCAGGTGCCTTAGGGACTGGATGGAGGCAGATGAAATTGATACTAGGTATGTAGTCAGGGGACAAAGCAGGATCATCTCAAGGGTACCAGAAGGATCTGGGTAGACTATTCTGCGGACCAGGTCTGAGGAGCTCAAAGGAATGTTGAGAACCAGGAGAATAAAGAGAAGAGGGGTGTCAAAGGAAAGGAAGCGAACAGACTGTATGTCTCCCTATTGCAGCTCACTTAGAATCTGGGGCGTACTTTGAGGGGCTATAAAGAGCCATGGAAGACTTGGTATAGGTCAAGGTCAAGGTGAATTCTCTCTAGGTGAAAGGGCTGTGAGTACACATGCCTGGTGGAGAGTTTGTTTTGAGAGATAGAACAGTGATAGGAGAGGGCTCTAGAATAGATGTCAGATCATTTGGATTCTTTTAGTTCTAGTGTCACGACCAATTTGTTGGAGGATGGTGGGATCAATCATGTTTGCACGTTTTTAAGAACCATCTGTATTTTCTTCCTATGGACTGTGTTTATTTCCTTTGACCATGCTACTTGCCCACATTACTTGCTTGCTCATCTATAAAATCAGGTGGAGGTGGAGTAGCTCTAAGATTTTTTCCCAATGCAGTGTTTCATGGCTCTGTGATTACTTTCCAGAGTGTGAGAAAGATTCATGGCCTCAGGCTATGGGTAATATTCCCGAGTCATCTGAAGTCCCAGCCAAGGCCATGGGGTTTAAAACGTTTAAAACTTCAACCTGGTGTTGGCACATTTACAGAGTCTGGGAAACTTGAGTTCTTCATATGAAAATGCGTTCCATCCAATGGCTCCTCCACCGTCAACAGAATAAAGCCCTGATGTCTTACCCTGGGACGGGAGCACCGTCATGATCTAGCCTAGCATTCTTTTTCAGCTGCACCACCCATCCTCCCTTTCAGGAATTCTGTGTTCCAGTCAGGCTGAACTTCTTGTGATTTCCCACAAGTGTTAATACTTTCTTGCCTCAGTGTTTTTATTCATGTTGTTTCCACTACCTGAGCTACTCTTCCTCATCTCATAGCCAAATCCAAGCCACAGTTAAGTGCCAACCTCAGATTTTACCTCTTCTCTGATGCTCCCTGTTCTAGTTGAGATCTGGGGGTTATAAGTGGAAGAGACCCAGTCAAGCTAACTCAAGCAAAAGGAAGTGTATCACAAAGCTCCAATGGATAATGTCATATACAGCCAGAGAGAGAACAGGGGGTGAGATACATGTGGAGTGAAGGAGGACTCTAACTGGGACCTGGGGATGCTGTAATGGATGCTACTGTCTCCATCTCTCAGGGTGAGTGGGATTCCCTTCATCTCCAGTTACCTCTGTTTTTCCTCCATGCAGCTTTTCCTCCAAGCTTGTCCTCCGTGTCTTCTCTTCTCCTGTCCTCTTGTTCCCCGTCTCACTCAGCAAATAGAATGGCTGCCCCACGCTGCCTACATGATTTCCTCAGCACCTACTACTGACGGATGTGTCACTTTGTTTAAATTCTTAACAGAAGGAATATGGTTGGTAAGTAATTTTTAAAGGTAGCTATTAACCTAAGAAAACAGAAATTGTATGGGAAAGAAAATATATCACAAAAAAAGTTTTTTGTTTAGTAGCAAACAGTATTTATAAAGCTATTATAATTTAAACACTGACTTGGTTTAATAAAAAATTGAAATCAAATGATATTGGGAGAATAGGAGAGGAGGCAGGGAGTTGGTAGATATCAATTAAATACTCTTCTCTCACAACAGCAAGTTCATGTCTAACTCTGAAAATCCAGGAAGAGTAACATAAACAAATCATTTAAAAATATGGTGGTACATCCAGAGGCAGCTAGAAAAGTTGAAAGAGGCCACTGCTATGGGGTTGTGGGGCTGGGGAGTGGCAGTAAATGTGCAGGGGATTGATGTATTTATTATAGGGCTTTCTGTAGTTTTTTTAAAAAATTAAAAAATACATATGCATGCATTACTTTTAAAATTGCTCTTTTAAAAATTATGAAAAAATGTAAAGAATTTAACTTTTATAAAAAAGCTTTAGTTCTTAATGAGATGCACTTTCAGAAATCTGGCAAGCTGAACTATACAGAAGGTCCCATTTCCTGGGGCTTCCCAAGAGTGCTGCTTTCACTGGACAATTAAGCAGATGAAAAGTTTTGTTTGTTTTTGTATCAGACAGATTTTACTTACACATAGGCACACACACATGCACACAACATAACCTCACAGATAAAGACATATGTCCTCCATTCCAGTCCCTTAAACTCCATCCCCCAAGCAATTAGGAACATAAATTTAATGTCATTCTTCCTAGTCCACAGTTTTTAATATTTTTACTATAATACATACACACATATGACACATCTATACACATATCTGTTAAAAAATACTAATTTACTTATTATGTTTTGAAATTTTCATTTAAATGTTATCATAATGTACGTATTATTCTGGTACTTGCTTTACTCATTTAATATGTTGAGACCTATCTATATTCACATATGGATCTAGTGCATTCATTTTATTTCATCGTATGAGTACAGCAGAATTTATTTTGCCTGCCAACCTTTTTACTCTTACAATCAGTGTGGCAGTGAATATCCTTATACAAACCTCATGCCAACACATACAAGAATGTCTTCTGCATGTATGCCTAGACACGGAATTGCTGGGTTACAAGGAGGCACATTTTCCTTTTACTAGGTCACTGGGTCAGCATCGTTTTTAAACACAACTAAATAGCGCTGTTGTCAGATTCTGGCTCCTGGGTGACAGGCTTGTACAGACTGACCCAGCTGGGGGTGGAGGCCGTATCTGAAATACCATCTGTGTCGCTGTCACAACAGTGCTGGAGGCTCTCTTTTCAGAGGCAGCAGTTTAGGACCGGAGCAAAGAGACACATTTATTCATGTTCTTTCTAACAAGCTGGTGTTTGACACTTAAAGGGCTGATAAGGTTCTTTTCTTTTTTACATATATGAGGGGAAAGCACTAGGTAACATACAACAAAGAAGACCGAGGGAGGATGAGCAAAGTAGAGTTATAGAACACATGACATGAACGAAGAAGGCCCCCATGGGTGGGAGGTGGGTCTATACATTTTTCCGTTCGTTCATTATCAGTACAGTTGACTCTTGAACAATGCAGAGTTGGGGTGCCAACCTCCATGTAGTTGAAAATCCATGTCCCCCAAATTTAACTAACAGCCTACTGCTGGCCAGAAGCCAAACTGATAACACACAGAGTCATTGAATATGTATTTTTTATGTTACATGTATTGTATACTGTATTCTTACAATAAAGTAAGCTAGAGGAGAAAAATCTTATTAAGCAAATCCTAAGGAAGAGAAAATATATTTACCATTCATTAAGTGGAAGTGGATTGATATAATTTGGATGTGTGTCCCTTCCCAAATCTCATATTGAAATGTAATCCCTAATATTGGACGTGGGGCCTGGCAGGAGGTGATTGGATCATGAGGACAGATTCACATGAATGGTTTTGCACCATTCCTCTTGATACTGTCCTCACAATAGTGAGTTCTCCTGAGATCTGGTCATTTAAAAGTGTGTGGTTCCTCCCTCCCTCCCTACTCCTACTCCTGCTCTGGCCATGTGATGTACCTGCACCCCCTTTGCCTTCCACCATTATTGTATGTTTCCTGAGGCCTCCCCAGATGCTGAGCAGATGCCAGCATCACACTTCCTGTACAGCCTGCAGAATGATAAACGAATTAAACCTCTTTTCTCTATAAATTACCCAGTCTCAGGTATCTCTTTATAGCAATGTGAGAACAGACTAATACATGGATCATCATAAAGATCTTCAGCTCATCATCTTCACTTTGAGTAGGCTAAGGAGGAGGAGGAAGCAGGTTGGTCTTGCTGTCTCAGGGTTGACAGAGGCAGGAGAAAATCCACATAGAAGTTGACTCTTGCAGTTCAAACTCATGTTGTTCAAGGGTCACCTGTATTTGTGAAGAATGTGTCAGACTTGGAACTAGACTCTGGGGCAGAAAGTACCATAAGAAAGGGACGGTTCCCTTTTGACTGATATGGTTGATGAGATTTGGAAAGCCTACTTCATTCACATTCCTTTCCAAAGAAACAGCCCCTGGCCATAGGCTACCACCTTTCTCCCAACCATGGCAGTAACTGCCCTCATTTCTCACTCTTGAAAACTGAGTCAGCTGTTTAGACCAGAGAGAGTCCCTTGACTAAGGACTGCTGCTCTTAAAGCCACCCAATGACCTATGATTCACACACCACATCAAGAAGATGAGTGGCACCAACTATATGTATATAGTGATATATCTTCATATGATATAGCAATACCATGAAAAGAACTCTGACTGTCAGTGACAAGAGACTGGGGCCCAGAGTGTATTAATAAACTGAGGAGAACTTTTGCAGTGAGTGTCTTGAAAGGGCTTGATTATTTTGGTTGTACTGCACGTTGTAGATAGATGCACATAGTAGGTGTTCAATTAAGATTTGTTGATTAAGACCGGTTGAGTAGTGTTCAATGCTTATTTAGATGTGATGTTGGAAAGTGAATTTTATTAATTACAAAATTAGAACTACTTTATATTCACATAATTCTTTGTTTTCAGAGGGATTTTATATACATTGTTCATTTTAATTTTCACGAGGAGTTATAATACCAGCATGCTATTTAGATATAGTTATTATTATATAGGTGGTTTTCATTAGGAATGAATCCCTATAGTGTAGCGGTTAAGTGTGGATACAATTGCCAATCTTGCTTTCCATCCCAGTTCTACTTCATATGGGGTTTACGCATCTCGGTACTTAAGATTCTTCATCTGCACAATGGGGAGAAAAGCAGCATCTACTTCATCGTGTTGTCATGAACTGAATTCATGAATTCATGTGTGTGAAATGCTTAGAACAGTGTCTGGCACATAGGAAGTTTTCAAACGTTATTATTAGCTGTCATTTTTTTTGTTGTTGACCAAGGTGGAAGCTGAGATTCAAGAGGATCAGTTTCATCCCAGGCCACCCTGCCAGTAAGTGACCCCATGAAAATTAGAAAGCTATCAGTAAAAGCAAAGGAGAGAAAGTGTGAGACATAAGTTTTGGTTCCCACTGCAAAACATCACTGGTAACTAAATTGGGGTGAATAAGTACTTGCCAGCCTGCCACATGGGGTGTTGATGAGGTTTCAACAAACTGATGGATGTGCAAAGTCTTTGAAAACTGAAGTACAATGGTGTGGCTGCATTGTTCTGCTGGGGAGGAAAGGGCACGAGGCTGCGGTATGGTGAGGCTGAATGGGGTCTATGGCTTGGGAGAAAGAAAGGAAAGATGGAGACCCGCAGCTCATTTCCTGGGAGCATGGATAGGCAACAGTTTGGATTCATTACAGAGCCCCCAAGCAGGTGGTGAGAAAACGCAGATGCCCCCCCTCTGCTTTTTGAGCATCTCATGTTATTCAACATTGTCCATATATTTGTGCAAAATGCTGTCTCCTCATTGGGAGACTTCACCGGCTCCCTGTGCTACTGGCAGGAGAATAGGAGTTTCCTAAAGGGGTCTGTTCAGAAATGAAACTCATAAATGTATTCCTGGTAGAGAAGGAACAACTGGTTTCTTAGCCAACTGAGTTTTCCTGAAATCACCTCCAAGGACAAGCTCTGAGCCTGTAACACTGGTTCTCTCCTCACAAGGACTCCATGAGTCATGTGGAGAAGACATGTTTAATTCTGTCCAGCAGGTGAACAAATGGGCCAAGAGAAGAGAATTGATGCACCCAGAATCACGTGGCCCATCCTTAGCGTGGAGCTTCTGGCTCCTGCTGACACTGCTCCCAGCCACACATGGGGTGCCTGCTGAACAGAGCCCCTCATGTCTCCTTCCCCACTACTAACTGTCACGGGATGCCAGTCTGAGGCACCAAAGTCGGAGGAACAACCACAGTCCAGGACGACTTTGGGAATCCATTAGTGTGGGATTTGATGCATTTCCTAGGAAAGCAAACAATCTCTGCATGACTTTCGCAGCCACATGTCCATAGAATAGCAACATAATATTTATAATCTCTTATCTGTTCCTTTTCTACCTTTCTCCTTGTGGACAATGGTTACAGCTCATCTACATGTCTCCCTCTCTCCCAAATTCAGCAGCAGAGACATCACAGATTTCTGGTTGGGAAACCATGGTCTACACCACAGATACAGTACCCTCAACAAGGCTGTAAAGAAGGGGGTTGTTGGTTAAGAACATGGGCTTAGTGGCAAGACAGAATTAGGTGTGAATACAATTTTGTTATTTCTTAGCATACATTTATTGTTTCCAAATTTCAGTGTTCTTCTCTGTAAAACAGAGATAATAATAGTGCCCATGTCATGAACTTACAGCATGAGAGGAGTACATATAAACTGACTACAGGACTTTCGTTTTTAGCAAGTTAGCCAATTACATAGACTTCTGGATAAAGTATCGTAAATATATTTTTAATAGTGTATCTATGCTTAATGGAAAAAAAAACCCTGAAAACCAGAAGGTTAAGAAAGACCTAATATTTTGGCTACCCTGAGACAAGGATGCATTTTCTCAACTAGCTTGAATTTTTAGCAGCCACTTGGATATAGAATATGAGTCCTTAAGCTCACATTAGGCAAAGAATTGGAACTGAGATCCCAGACTAAGCTGGGATCCTCAAAGGGTTGGAACCCTTGGTAAATGGTTAGAATAGAAATAAATCTTCCTGCCGACTCAGGGAAATAGCAAGAAACTTTGCTTTCCTCTGGACTCTGGGGAGGTGAAAAAAAAAAGTTTTCTGTTGATAGTTTGTAACCATGACCTTGACCTCTCTTGGATTTGGTATTTACCTTTATTATATCTGTTCAGGAAATTAACACAAAGAGATCCCTAGCTGGAATACCCCTAGAGCTTCCAGCAAAGCAAAATCAAATTCTGTCCTGCCAAATACAAGCTCCATTACAAAATACATGAAGAAGCAAGACACTGTAATTGAGGCAGCAGACAGCATCCATGGAAAGACAAGAGCCCCCAGTGCTTCAGAGAACAGAATTATCAGAATGGAGAAATAAGTTCCATTTGAAACAAGTAAAGACAGATGCGAAAAGGGTAAGATACTACTAATAAAGCATTCACAGGGAAGCTGGCACGTAGTAAGCAAGTAATAGATGTTAGCTATTATTCATATTAGTGTTAGGGTTCTGTTTTCATGGAGGAAGGGAAAACAAATCTGAAATTCAATCCATGCGTTGATCACTAGTTCCCTTCAGACACAGCGCTTTGCAGGCTGAGGAGCATATGACCAGAACCGGAGAGATGGGAGGGTCCATGGATGAAGGTCTGGAGGTAAAGTCTCCTTGGTCCCATCCTGACTACTCCCCAAATGACCATGAGAAAATCCATCGCTTTTGCAAGAATCACAAATCTGACCTCCTAAAGCTGAAGTACAGAGTAGAATTGGGGGAGCATTCTAAGGCTTGCTGTAAAATTAATCACCACACAATAATAATTTTAAAAAGCCGTTGCCAGAGGGAGAAAGGCATAAAGTCACTGAGGTCACAGTATCAAGCTATCATTTTGATGTACAGTTCCCAAAGAGATCAGTCTACTCTGACTTAGAACACATTATTTTTGATAAAATTGCAACCTGTCAGGGATAGCAAAGAACCCGGATTCTTCAGATTAAAAACCTAGGATGCAGATGGACAGCCTAGGGTACTCTGAGAAGTATGTTGTGTGTGGTGGGCGGAGGGGGCATATGAGGACTGTCCTTGCTGGAGTGGAATGGAATACCGACCAATCTCTTGTTCGTCTGTTCAATATTTAATTCTGCACAAAGTATATGATTGGCCAAGCCTTGGATCATATCATTTACAGCCATACCGGACTACAATCAGTAAATAAATAGCTTGCTGAAAATCAATAAATAAGGAAATAATTGTCTTCTATAGGATTCAAAATGAAGAAAGACCATCATTTTTGTTATAGTTCTCAGCCCAATTCACTCTTACACAAGGGACAGGAAGTAGGTCTGAGTCTATCTCCAGCAATAGGCTGAATTCCAAAGGGTGTTGGTCCCAGGGTCTGTCCTGGTTTGAAATGAGTTCAAGGTAGGGTTTGAGCACCTTGACACAGTACAGACTCCCTCCAAGTCAGGGTCAGCCATTGGCATTCTATGCTGAGACAGCCTTTGCAGTGCTACCTTGGATAATTCATTCTTACCCACTTGATCATTAGAGATCAAGTCATGAGGTATTTGCAAGTCACTTAATCGGCCAGAAAGCCTTCGGATTAAGATGGCAATCAGGCTTCTCCCATCAATGTCTTTTTGCAAAGAATAGTCCAGCCTGCCTCTGCACATCAGTCTGTATTAGTCTAAGGATCATTCTAAGATGTATGTATTTCATTGTCGGTACTTCTGATCCGATGGACAATTTGTCTAAGTGAGTTCTGCAGACATAGAAGTTCTGCAGACATAGAAGCTGGTGGCGTTGAGCTCGGCTGTGCCAGCTGGGTGGGGAAGGTCTCACTTTGGCATGGTGGATAACAGGGCTCATTCTGGAAGGTGGTAACTTCTTCCTTTCATTCCTCTTCAATGTGACGTCACAGACAATGTCCTGGTTTAGGGATCAGGATGATGTGAGTTTGTGTCTTGGCTTTGAAGCATACTCGCTTTGGTACTTACCTCAGTTCCTTCATCTGTAAAATGGTGATACCTCTCCCAATTGTTGTAAGGATCAAGTAACTTAGCACAATGCTAGGCATATAGTAGGTACTCAGTCGTAGTTAGTTTCTTTCTCCTTCCTGGGGTTAGAGGGGGGGTATCACTGATTGAACCAAGAAACATACCTAGAGATAAGGTTTTAAGGCAGGAGGAGGCTTCCTGTGGAGGAAGAAAGGATGAAAACGTGAAATCTCTTAATCCTCAGCTAGGATAGTTCACTACAACTTGAAATCTGGGCAACCCAATTCTCTCTGAGTTTCCATCAAGGGAGCAGAGCCAGCGTCACACCTTTAACTTCTATGACAGCCAACACACACCATTACACTTTAACTTGTGTCCAAAAGGAAAAAAGGCCTTGCCCCGAGGGAGGAATTAGGGAGATCCCTATGAGCAAGGTGACCTACACAATGACAGCCCAGGGACATCAAAAATCCAGCAGGGTTGCGAACTGGGGAGTTGGGACACAGAACAAATGTCTTGATAACTGCAATCTACTTCTTATAAATATCACAATAATCGCATTTGTTCAACTACTCAATCAATGAGGTTAGCTATATAAGTGTCATATGTTGCCTCCCCTGGAAGTGAATCTAGGAGATTTAATGATTCATTCACTCAACAAATATTTATTGAGCATCCTCTGTATGCCAGGCGATGTACCAGGAACTAGGGGCATTAGGTTCCTGCTTTCATGAAGCAGAGAGACTAAACAAACAATATCAGATAGTGCTAAGTTCCATGGAGAAAATAAACAGAGTTACGGATTGTGCCCAGGGTAAGGGAAGAGTTCATTTTAATAGTGGCCTGGAAAGGCCACTGGGATGGTTACTTTAAGAGGGGATATGAAGAGTACAAAGGAGGCAAGCATGAAAAAAATCTGGAGAAAAATATTCCAGGCAGATGGGATAGCAAGTGCAAAGTTCCTTTGGTTTGTTTGAAGAATGGAAAGAACCTCAGGATACATGGACGCCTAGAACAGAGTGAGCAAGGGGGCAAATGCTGAGTTGAGGCTGGAGAGATGGGAGCTATAGTTTGTATCATGGCCAAATATTTGGATTTTAATTAATTAAAATAGAGACTCTTTGGTAGTTTGGTTTCTTTTTCTTTTTTTTTTTGTTGCTGTTGTTGTTGTTGTTGTTGTTGTTGTTGAGACAAGGTCTGGCTCTGTCACCCAGGACGGAGTGCAGTGCAGTGGCATGATCTCTGCTTACTGCAACCTCTGCCTCCTGGGCTCAAGTGATCCTCCCACCTCAGCTTTCCGAATAGCTGGGACTACAGGCACAAGCCACCATGCCCGACTAATTTCTGTAGTTTTTGTAGAGATGGGGTTTTACCATGTTGCCCAGGCTGCTCTCAAACTCCTGAGCTCAAGCAATCCACCCACTTTGGCCTCCCAAAGTACTGGGATTACAGGTGTCAGCCACCGTGCCCAGCATATGTTATATAATACTAATATATAATCTCTTTGGTAGGTTTTAAGCAGGGGAAGGTACATTCAGGGGAGAGAACCTGGGGCCTTTAGCCTGTCCATGCCCTCAATTCTGTAAGCTCCCCTGTTCTGCTCCCAGACTCAGCATGCCTCTAGGTGTACATGATTGTTAGACTGCCCTCCTGTCCTCCCCCTTAGCTAGGTGGGCCAGGCCAGAGCTCCTAAGCTCTGACCTTTAGCCCTCAACTCCATCTGTCCTTCTGGCCTCAGGCTTTGGCTTTCACAATCCTATGCATCATTCAGACCTAGGTTTTAGTACCTCCAACTTTCCCACTCGCTTTTCTATTTTTATTCTGAGCTCAGGTCACTGTTCTCTCCCTACTTCCTGAACTTTGCCTGTGCCTGGACTCCTTAAATCATAGAGAAACTGAGGCAGGATAGGTAGTCAAGAAAGTGACCATGTTCTTGGGACCCAGCAACCACGGTGACCATACAGTCAACACAATAAGCCTCAGCATTAGCATTGTAATTGGACTTTCTCCTGAAGAGAGCATGCACGTTTTGATTTTACCTGTCCTCAAACTGATGCTTTGCTCGTTATCATGTAAAAAACACAACCCTGGGTGGAGATTCAAGATGCTAATGAGATATTGGTATAGGAACAAGCATGTATAGCTACTGCACGTGTGCACTCAGAGAGCCATCCAGAATATGCTTACCTGTAGGCACCTCTTTCCACCTCCTTATGAATAATCATGCATGACTCCTGTAAAGGGAGTCTCCCTAGTGCCAGTCTTTGCTGTCTCATCCTTGCCAGTAGCCCACCCTGAATTCTGTCTCTCTCAAGGTGTACTGTCTAGTCTGCACCTAACTTATAAAATATATTTTTTCTTTTGCAATAAATTACTCTATGTCGCACTTCTTTTGCTGTGTGTCTCTTATTTAAATTCTTTTAAACTAACAGGATAAGAACCAAGGTATCACAACAGCTGTCAACAAAACAAGGGGCAGAAGTTCATGGACCAAAGACTAGGATCAGGAGTCACATTCTGCCTCTGCTGCCTTGGGGATCATTACTTCACCCCTGTGGTCCTCTCTGGAGCTTCTAAACTGTACTGTGTTGGGATTGGATGTAATGGTCATTAAGGTCCTTTTCAACTTGGATGCTCTAACCTGGGGTTCAGCCAATTCAAGAAAAATAGGAAAAAACTAACAGGTACGAAGTAGATATACTATATATTTGAGAGAAAATGACTCCCTATATTGGGTTTAAAAGCACTCTTTGGTTTTGAAACCCCACAAAACCTCTCTCCAGCCCCTGAGCTCTTGGCTTCCTGTAGGCGTATGTTTGTAACACACATATGTCTTCCAGGGAACAACATGAATGTCAGTGTCATTTAACTGGAGACTTGCCTGGTGTTTGTATTTGAAATGAAAGTCTTGGAACTAGTTAGCCTCAAATGTAGATTAGCCAAAGCATGAAATTTTTCTTCCTGCCTCTTTTTTCTCACAAATTAGCATTTTACATGAGTAATGTATGTTCATTATTCAAGAACACTATGGAGTTAGATAATATAGAATTGAAAGTCTCCCAGAATTTTCTATTGATTACCACAGTAAAAAATTGGTACATATTCTTTCCTTTAATTAATCAACTAACTAATTTATCGTATGTAAATGTACTAAACATTTTTTTAAATGTTTGTGGTTGGCTTAGCAGTAGCCCCCAAAGATATATCCACATCTCAATCTCAAGGTAAGAATGTTACCTTATTTGGAAAAAGAATCTTTGCATATGTGACAAAATTAAGAATTTTAAGTTGAAGAGATGATTCTGAATTATTCAGGTGGGCCCTAAATGTAATCACACATATCATTATAAGAGGAAGGCAGACAGAGATTTTAACAGAGAGAAGGCCATACGATGATGGAGTGGAGAGAAATTTGAAGATGCTGGCCTTGAAGATTAGAATGATGTGGTCACAAGCCCAGGAATGCCAGCAGCTACCAGAGGCTGGAAAAGGCAAGAAATGGGTTCTCCCTTAGAACCTCTATGGGGAGAACAGCCCTGCCAACACCTTGGTTTTGGCTCATTGAAATCTATTTCTGACTGACTTCCAGAACTGTAGAATAAATTTCTGTTGTTTTAAGCCACGAAGTCTGTGGTAATTGGTCATAGCAGCCACAGAAAACTGGTACGATGTTCAAGGCCTAAAATGGAAAACTGCAGTCCACTTCACTCATTTTCAAGCCCCTAGTTTTGTTTCCCAGAGGCAAATATTTTAAATCTTGGAGCAGTTACTTCTGGAAATTTTCTTGATATTTCCTGTTGAAGTGCATGTATACGTTATATGTGTGCCCACTGACTTTGTATTTTTGTTTTAAAAATGTTTAGAAACTCTTATACCTCCTAAACATATACATATATATGCACATGTATGCATATATACACCCTTCTCTTCATCACACTCTCAACTTCCAAGATAATTATAATACAACTTTTGGTTGAATCTGTAGTCATATGTGTGTGTGTGTGTATGACTATACATATATGATTCATATATATATATATATATATATATATGTATATTTTTGAGACAGGATCTGGCTCTGTCGCTTAGGCTGGAGTACAGTGGCACATTCTCAGCTCACATTCTTCACCTCCCAGGCTCAAGCCATCCTCCCACCTCAGCCTCCCCAGTAGCTGGGACTGCAGGTATGTGCCACCATGAATGGCTAATTTTTTTTTTTTAATTTTGTAGAGACAAGGTTTCACGACGTTTTCCAGGCTGGTCTCAAATTCCTGAGCTCAAGCAATCCACCCACCTTCACCTCCCAAAGTGCTGGGATTACAAGTATCAGCCACCGTGCCCAGCCTGTAGTCATATTTTTGTGTCATTTATTACAATGATATAAATTGTACCATAGCAGTTCTGTGTGGTGTACTATGTTTATATTTTCTTTCTTGAACAACCTTTTGTTTTTTCTGGAGTTAGTAATTGCCTCAAGTTTTTCTTTGCCCACTCCCTTTATGTGCATATCACCATAATTCCATCCTCAAACTCTCTGCCAGAAATAGAAAATCTCTCTCAATATATTCAAGCACATGAAATAATCTGTGATTTTCATTCTGCCCCCACCTGGGAAACATCTTTCCTAGATCTCCTCATCTTCTTGGTTCAATAAGAAGTGGTTGCTTTTTAGTATTTGTAACTGTGCTGTCATTCTGAAATCCTAACTGTTGGAGTGTCAGCTTTGCATATCTTCTGTCTCTCTTTCTTCGTTGTGCCTCATTAAAATGAAGATTCAAAATTCAAGTAGCTTCTGAAGAAAGGGTGAATGCTGTGAAAATTCTTTGATTTATTGCATATCTTTATCTTGACTATGCATAGAAATCTAGGAAACTGATTTTACCTCAGAGTTTTGAAGACATTTTCTTACTGTCTCCTAGCTTCTGATAGTGCTATTGATAATTTTAATGCTTTTGTTATTTCTGATCTCATGTATGTGATCTTCCTCTGAGAGTTTTTGGGATTTTAATTTTACCCCATTACTCTGATATTTTATAATATTTTATTCATTGTGCTGGGCATAAAGTAAGCTTTTAAAATCTGAAAACCTATAACCTTTAATTATGGCAAATTTTCTCATTCTAGCTCTTGTATAATTTTCTCAATTCTAATTTCTTCATTTCCTGGAACTTTCCTCAGTTACATTTTGAACCTTCTGACTAATTTTTTAACACACTTATCTTTTCCTTACTCTTTTCCATTACTTTGTCTTTTTATTCTACTATCTAGATTTCTTTTCAAATACATATACAGATAAATTTGTCCATTCTATCAAACTTTGTATTTTGGCTTTCATAATTTTAATCTCTAGGAGAAATTTTATTTGTTATTTTTGAAGCTCCTTTTAAAAATCATGTAATTCTTGTTTCATGGATTCGATATTTTTTACCTCTGTGAGAATGTAAATTGGAGAGTTTCCCCGCATAGTTTTCCCTTCTCTGAGTTCTGCATCGTATTTATTTTCTCTAGGCTCCTTTACTCTGTTTATCTGCCTTTCAGTTAGAGGTGTTACTCAACTGTTTTAATATCTGGTATCTTTTCGCATTTAAAAGTGAAGCATTGCAGAGATAAGCAGCTTCATGGGCATGCACCTGACTTCCATTAGGATGCTCCTGCAGGCATGGAGCCATTTTTTTAAAGGACGATCAACTGACACTATCTGTAAGACTCTTCTCTCTGTTGGGTCAGCTTGACTACCCTCCAATCTTCTGTAAAGGGCTAGAGGACTTCTATTCCTAATTCCCAGTTTTCAGCACAGTAATCTGCACCTCCCACTCTGCCCAAGCTGTGCAGGGTATTCTTGAGTTATAAGTTCCTCTGGGTCAACTTCTTCAGAGAGCAAACCTCCAGTCTCCTGCTAGATAGGGGAGGGAGAGCTGTCTGGTTGCCTAAGGTAAAGAAGGGAATGTGGGGGTCTAATTATTTCTTTTATGGAGTTTCAACCAATTCTTTACTTTTAAGCTCCATCCACACCTTAATTTTTGAAGACATCTATTGCCTTAAATTCTAAAGTGTTTACAGAGTTCCAGAATGGAAATTGGTTGGCTTCTTGTTTTACCCACCCAGCAACCTTATGGGCATTTTATTTTGGCTTTCTTTGCTATGCAAAGTTAAATTTTAGTTATCCATCTGTCTTCTAACATCCAAAGTTATCTTGATATTTCTCTGTTTTTTTTCCTTCTTGATCTTCGTCTTCATAAGCGCATGCTTTTAACAAAATCTTTTTACATTCATTTTAGTGGGATCTTGGAGCAGAACAGGATAAAACACCTAAGTTCTATTGACCACATTTTACAAGAGCCTGTCTCCTTCTTTCTTCTCTTCCAGCTCTGAAGCCAAGATCTCCTCCTCTGAATTTGTGGCTGCAAAACTTCTTTCCAAGTGCAGGTATGTGGCTACTACCTCTGTTCTCTATGGGATGAGGTTTCTCTGCTCCATGTCCAGTAGGGAAAAGAGGAGCCTCATCCAGCCCCAGCGTACCCCACTCCAACGTCACCACTCTGCACCAACCATCTCCTCCCCTTTCCTCTCCCAAATCACAATCTCCTTGGCTATCTTGGTCATAGAGACTCCTCTCCTCCTTCTCTTCAAGATCTCAATGATCCTTTACCCAACTCTGACTCCCTTCCTCGCACAAGCAGGAGCCCTGTTTCAAAAATTTCTGGTTGGACTTATTGCCAATCACACCTTAATTTTAATGTCTGATGTTTTATTTTTGGCTTGCTGCCTTGAGCCTCAGTCAGTTTTCTAAAATGAGGAAAAGAAGGTATAATTACCAACTATTCTGGGTCAAGATATATCCTGCCATCAACAGAACCTTTAAGCCGTCTGCCTGTTTTTTGAACAACACATTCAATACTCTGTAAAAGGTAAACCCTACATCTTTCTGGGTCTCCATGGAATCCATCCTGAACTTGCCTTAAGTCATAACTCTGTAACGCCGTAATCTTTCCAGCATCTATTTCAACTGCCTGTTTCCCTCATTTCCAGTTTTTCCTCATAGTCTTCTTGAAATTAAAGACAAAGTGTTATATGCCTCCTGCAGTGGGCTCAATAATGCCCTCCTCCCACAGAAGATATCCATGTCTGAATCCCCAGAAACTGTGAATGTTACCTTATATGGCAGAAGGAACTTTTCAGATGTGTTAAAAATCTTTAGATGGAGAGATAATCTCGGATTATTCATTCAGATGAACCTAATGTACTCACAGGTGGCCTTTCTAAGAAGAGGTCAGAGAGTTGGCTCATGCTCTTTCTGCCACATGAGATTACAGTGAAAGTCAGCAGACTGCAACCCAGAACAGGGCCCTCACTCATGTGGCACTGTGATCTCAGGCTTCCAGCCTCCAGACTGAGAAGTAAATTTCTGTTGTGTAGAAGGTACCAATCTATGGTACCTTGTTGCAGCAGCTAGAACTGACTAGGACAGTTGTGTTCATGTCTTGATTCCTGGCCCAAACAATTTCTTAAAATAAAAGATGATCAGTTAAGGGATTTAATTTGCAGTAGCTTTTGCATTGGGGGAAATGGATAATATAATGGGTATAAAGAACCCTTAATATGCAGAGAGACAGAACAAGTTCAAGCCACTTACTTTGTGCTTTTAAACAAACCACTTAACATTTTTAAGCACCTATTCCTTTATCTGTACCATGTTGATTCTCTATTTGGACATTTCCAGTGACATGGATGCTCAAGTCTTTATGGGCAACCCTTATTATCACGGCAGTATTTATACCCCCTTCTTTCTTTTTGCATTGACCTTGTTATCTTTGTTCCACTTCCCTAACATCTGTCTCCACACATGCCATGAATTAATTATCTCTGCCTCCAAGCTCCATAGGTTGATGGAGCAGAAAGGAGATGAGATTTCTCCTCATGGGTCTGCATGGATCCTGAGATCTGATGTCTGCACCAATGTCCATCCCTCTCTAACCACATTATGTCACTGCCAACGGCAAGCCATGTGGCAAGAGAGACACAACTGCCTAGTCTGTTTCCCTAGAAAGCACAATTCCCACCACAGGTAAAGAAGCTCCATTTATCCATTCATCCATCTAGTCACTCTTTTATTCAACAAATAGTTACTGACCATCTATTATGCGTCAAGCAGTCAGTTAGATCCCACACACACAAAGAAAAATAAGACAAAAGCCAATCTTTGAAGTGCCGCAGGGAGCTGACTGGATAATGGAGGAAACAGGTCCGGAAATCCACAACCACTCTGTAGGAGCTATGATCAACAGAAGTGTGCCTAGGTTGTGGCACCTGTGGACGTGGGTCAGGTCTGCAATCTGGTGAGGTCATGGGAGGCTTCCCAGAGGAGATAATGCCAGAGTTTTCAAGAATGAGAAGAAATAAGGCTCATAAATTTACTTTTACTTTGTTTCTGGACTTTCTGATTCTTTTAATAGGGAATGGTAAAATACGATTGGTGAAGAGGCCCTTAAAGATTATATAAACTAATCATCTGATTTTACAAATATGAAAACTGAGGGAGAAGAAAGGTTGTGGTGTATCCAAGCATATTGGTAGGGAAGCTTGAGGAAATCGTACTAGAGCAGTTTGGGTCCTTGTGGCAGGAGTTATCATGTTATAAGGCTTTTTCCCGGGTCACTGAATTTACCTAGAGGTTAGTTGAAGCCTGCAGGCCCTGGGTTATAAATAAGATGACGCTATTTTGTTAAAAAGCAGTAGTTTGAGTGGGGGCACAGTGCTGGCTTTTTATTTTTAATTTTAATTTTTTTGAGACAGGGTCTTGCTCTGTTATCCAGGCTGTCTGTCATACAGGGACATGATCATGGCTCACTGCAGCCTCCAACTCCTGGTCTCAAGCGATCCTCCCACCTCAGCCTCCCAAAGTGCTGAGATTACAGGTGTGAGCCAACACAGTACAGTGCTGGTTTGAACCCTTAGAGTGGCGTTGTGTTTGGGTAACACAATTTGAAGGTGCAGCGGGGCACCTGTGCCTCTGCTGCACTGCAGCCCAGCCTGGAGCCCATTCTTTCTTCAGGAACACCTGGCAAAGCAAGGTGTTCCAACCCGTGTTGGTCTGTGATGTGCTGTTCAACCTGCTGAAATGTCCCTTTTCTCTCCCAGTACTCATCATGGATACGTGAGCTTCTCCTGAACTCCCTCTCCCACCAATCTTGATGCATTTGCCACAGTTATACCCACCTGGGTGAGAGTCAAGGAGCCTCATCCTCCTCCATATGCGGTCAAAGGGTGGCGGGGCTGGGAGCAATGAATCTCATTTTTGTTTTCCCTGGGTCTGGTCAGTCTGTGCTTGTATTACTCTGTTCTCACACTGCTATAAAGAACCACCTGAAACTGAGTAATTTATAAAGAAAAGAGGTTTAATTGACTCACAGTTCTACATGGCTCAGGGGGCCTCAGGAAATTTACAATCGTGGCGGAAGGTGAAGGGAAAGCAAGCACGTCTTATCACGGAAAAGCTGAAGAGAGAGAGAGTGAAGGGGGAAATGCCACTTTTAAACCATCAGATCTTATGAGAACTCACTCACTGTCAAGAGAACAGCAAGGGGGAAATCTGCCCCCAAAATCCAATCACCTCCCACCAGGCCCCTTCCCTGATAGGCTGGAATTACAATTCAACATGAGATTTGGGTGGGGACACAAAATCAAATCATATCAGTCCTCTTTGTGTGAGAACCTTCTGTAAGTTTCATCTTCAGAACCAGGAAATTAGTCTCTGACTTTTCTAAAACCCCAAGGTCCCTGGGGTGATAAATGACAGCTAATTTCATAAATGAGGCCTCCTGACTCAATCCAATCATCATCCCCCTTTTCTCCATACCTCCCATGATGTAACAGTAGATGGAGAAAGGAATTCCCAAGAGTGAATATAGGAAAACCTTTGGAGAAGTTACTGAGTCTAAAACAGTCTGTAAGGAGCTAATCCCTGTCTTCTTTCAGGGGAGTTTCACTGAACCACTTGACCTCCAGGGATGACTGCCTACAGTCTCAGTTTGGAGCAGCTGCCTTCTGTGCAGGCAATGGGAATGGGCACATAATGTAGAGGCTTGATGTTTGCAAGACGCTGTAGCTTTTCTAAGTCACTGTTCTGGCCCCACAGCACACAACACACACTGAGCCACAAGAGGGCTCCAGCACAGGCTCCCTGTAATCTTTGTTCCCAAGCATCTGCTTTGACCTACTGTTTGCATCTGTTAGTTATTTATTGCTGCATAACAATTTGCCCCCCAAAACTTGATGGCTTAAAGCAAAGGATGTACTATTTCACAGTTTCTGTGGGTAAAGAATTCGGGCCTGATTTAGCAGGTCTTCTGCCTCTGGGGTCTCCCATGTTGCAACCAAGGTGATGGCTGGAACTGTAGTCATCTCAAGGCTCAACTGCATGTGAGGGTGGAGCTTTGCTTCCAAGCTTACTCATATGGCTTTTTTTTTTTTTTTTTTTTTTTTTTTGAGACGGAGTCTTGCTCTGTCGCCCAGGCTGGAGTGCAGTGGCGGGATCTCGGCTCACTGCAAGCTCCGCCTCCCGGGTTCACGCCATTCTCCTGCCTCAGCCTCCCAAGTAGCTGGGACTACAGGCGCCCGCCACTACGCCCGGCTAATTTTTTGTATTTTTAGTAGAGACGGGGTTTCACCGTTTTAGCCGGGATGGTCTCGATCTCCTGACCTCGTGATCCGCCCGCCTCGGCCTCCCAAAGTGCTGGGATTACAGGCGTGAGCCACCGCGCCCGGCCCTCATATGGCTTTTGGCAGGATTCAGATCCTTGTCTGAAGACCTTCTTCAGTTCCTTGCCATAGTATGATATAATGCTATCAGCTATCAGAGCAAGTGAAGGGCAAGAAAGAGCCAGCCAGATGGAATTCGGTTTTTATGACCTGATCTTGGAAATGACACACTGTCATGCTTGCGCTATTTATTAGGAACAGGTCACTAGGACCAGCCCACATAAGAGGAGAGGAGATTACATAAGTTGTGAATACCAGGAGGCTGGTTTCTGGGGGCCATCTTGGAAGGCTGCTGTATTAATTTCCTAGGGTTTGCCATATGACAAACTGGGTGGCTTAAAACAACAGAAATGTATTCTCTCACAGTTCTGGAGGCTAAAAGTCCAAAACTGAAGTTTCAACAGGATCACCCTCTTTCTGAAGGCTAGAGGGGAGGGTCCTTCTTTGCCTCTTCCTAACATCTGGTGGTTGCAGCAATCTTTGGTAATCTGTGCAGCTGCACAAGTTCAATCTCTTCTCCATCATCATGTGGTATTCTCTCTGTACGTCTCCGTCCTCACATGGTATTCTCCTCTTTGTGAGTGTGTGTCTCTTTGTCCAAATGTCCCTCTCCTTGTAAGGACACCAATCATATTGAATTCAGGACCCACTCTAATTCAGTATGATTTTATCTTAACTTGATTACATCTGCAGACCCCATTTCTAAATAGTCACATTCACAGTTTCCAGGTAGACGTGAATTTGAGGGCAATGCTATTCAACGCAGTATAGCTGCAGACTGGTGCCCCTTGGCAAATCAGTGCAGGTTTAGGATCATCCTAACCCAATGCTGATCCAGGGATTTTTAATAGCAAAGTAGTTAATGCATTTGTCTCCTGTAATCCCCTGGGATCTGGACAATATTTCTGTTGATAACAAGGCTTTGAGGGATTTAGCAGCTAAGGCAAAGACATCAAAGCAAACTAGTTATGTCTTTTTGATCTTAAAGTCAATTATTTTCAGTCCCCTTTCTCTTTCAATACACCTGAACCTGTGACACATTTCCTTACAAGATTGTGTCTCACTAAAGTAGAGCTTCTCAAGTGGGGGGTGGGCATGGCTTCTTGGTGGGGAGAAGTGGCTGGTATCAAAGTAAATAAAAATTTCTGGATGGGTGCATGTTGTTTGAATATAACTCTTACATTGACTGCTTCACCCCACTCCCCATGAGGTGATATTTGGTAATATGTAAAACAATTTAAAATGAACACCCTCACTAAACCATCAATTCACAGCAATTTCACCCGTACATATACAGTACACTTAAGGTACTCAATCAGTCCTAGAGAAACTTACATAAAAGCATGCAATGAAGCATGTAAAAGAACGTTCATTGCAACATTCATTGTGTGTAATGACAAAATTTGGAAGCAACACAAATATCCTTCAGTAGTGGAATGGCTAACTAAATGGTGGTATGTTCCTAAAATGGAATATTATACAGCAATTAAACAGACTAGATCTCTATGAATGCATAAAAATAGATCTTGAAAACCATGCTGAGTGAAAAAAAGCAAATTGCAAAACACTACATACTGAATGGTGCCATTTGTGTTAAATAAAAACACACCAAACAATACTATATTATGTTTATGGACATGTATATGTGGCAGTAAAAGTTTAAAAACCATGAACAGGAAGGAAATCACCCAAGTTCATGGATCTCGATTGCCTTTAGGCTTTGGAGGGAGAACAATGAGACTGAAGGGGAGAACAAGGAGGATTTCGACTTTGCCTGTTTCTCTTACTCATATCTTTTTAGAAACCTAAAACAAAACAACCAAATGTTGTTGTTTCACTGGTATTTGTTATATTACGTGATTCTGTGACCTTTTTTTTTTTTTTTTTTTGATTTTTGAGACAGGGTCTCACTCTGTAGCTCAGGTTGGAGAGCAGTGGCACAATCATAGTTCACTGCTGTAGCCTTGAATTTCTGGCCTCCAGCAATCCTCCCACCTCAGCCTCCTGAGCAGCTGGGACTACAGGCTCATGCCACCATGCCAGGCTAATTTATTATTATTATTATTATTATTATTATTTTGAGTCAGGGTTCTCTCTCTGTCACTTTGTCTGAAGTGCAGTGGCAGGATCACAGCTCACTACAACCTCAAAGTCCTCGGCTCAAGTGATCCTCTTGCCTCAGCCTCCTGAGTAACCAGGACTATAGGAAGATGCTGCTGCACTTGACTAATTTTAAATTTTTTTTAATAGAGACAGGGTCTCACTGCGTTGCCCAGGCTGGTCTCCAACTTCTGGCCTCAAGCGATCCTCGCACCTCAGCCTCACAAAATGCTAGGATTACAAGCATCAGCCACTGTGCATAGCCCATTTTTAAACTTTTAAAAATAAGAAAGTAGAATGGAAATAAGGCCCTGATTTGTAATGACTAAATTCCCATGGGAACGTGGCTTGCTGGAGTTGTAAATCACCACTTGTGTGCCCATGGGCAGGATTAGGATGCCCTGGCCGCTGAGACAAGCACAAAGAGGATGGACAGAGCTGTGTGGAGCAAAGCACACATCCTAGTTTTAATTGAGTTGTAGAATCCCCCAGATATTCATTGTTAGACCACTCACTAAATTTCTACTGTGGCATTGTAATGGCAGAACATCCTTAGATCTGGAGCAAGAGGGAAGGAGTGGCCTGAATTCCTGATATCTTTCTCATTCTGGTTTACATGAAGGCTGTCCGAATCTCAGTCACTGTTTTTGGATTTCTGTGAGATGTCACTATCCCCTTCCAATGGCATCTTTTCCATCTCTTTCAGCAATCAGTTCTAGGGGATAACATCTCCCTGTAGTCAAAATGGCCATGTCCAAAATAAGATCATGTCCCTAGAGGTCAGTGTCAGGAGAAGAGCCAAACCACATTGATAAAATTGTAGAGACGTCATGTAGATACAGAGAGAAAGTGGCGTGGAGGGCCTAGAATTCAACATGCTCCACCTGAACTCACAAACTCCTCTAATCACACCGCCAACAGCTTGATCGCTTAATCCAGAAATCCCAGAATCATGATTAACATCTCCTCCTCCATTGCCACATAGAGTTAATCAATTGATCACTAAATGCTACCCAATCTCCCTTCTCAACACCTATCAAAGCCACCCATTTGTCTTCATCTCTCTTGCTCTCCTCACAGTCCAGGAATCCAAGCCTAGACAACTTATTTAGCCTGCAGGAACAGCCTTCTAACTGGTTCATCCTGACACCCCACTGTTTTCAATGTCATCTCCATAATAGCCAGAGTGATCTTTCACAAACAAATCTGATCATGTCCCTCCATTCCTTAAAACCTTCAATGATTTCTTTGGATCTTACGGATAAAGACTCAAATCTTCAGTGGCTTATGATGTCCTCCCTGATGATCCTTGACTACCTCTTCACCTCTATCACTGTGTTCCATTCACACTGTAACTGATACACCTCTTTGGAAGGGCCTGCAATGGAGAGGACATCTTGCTAAGCACTTGATCCTGCACTCTGAGGCTAGGCACTGAGAGTTGGGCTCAAAGTGGGAGCTATTTCCAAACTCAGGCTTTAATTACTTATCGTTGGACTTGAAATGGACTTACTGTCATCAACTCTCCGTCTTTGCCACCCTTCAAGATCCAGCTCAAATGCCATCTCCTAAAGAGGCCTCCCATGACTGCATCTCCTGCCCTCGACACACACACTCAGAATTGTTCTCTATATGTCTGTTTGAATATCATTTTATAGATTCTTCTCCTCATGCCATCTGTCTGTCATGACTGCATCTCCTGCCCTCAACACACACTCAGAATGATTATCTATATGTCTGTGTTTGAATATCATTGTATGGATTCTTCTCCTCAAGCTATCTGTCTATCTTTCCTTCTGCAACTATGAGGGCAGGAATGATGCCTCGCTCTGACTCTCTAACCTAACAAGGCACTTCAATATAGCATGTGCTCAATAAAGATGAATGGAGTTTAATAGCATTGATGGGCTGGAAATAGATGCAGTGTGTGAAGGAATGAAGGCTTATTAAAGATGCTGGGCTCTCCAACTTTCTAAAGAAGATCTGTGGCTCACCTTTAAATTCCTCTAAACTTAACAACCTCTGCCAGCTATTTCCCTGGAATCATTTGGACAGACGCACTACTAATGATGATTTAAAGTGAGACTTTGATGTCAGCACCTCATTCACACTTCAAAAAATATGTATTCAGAGGCACACAAAAAGGGTGTAATTACCATTTCAGGAAAATATGTTAATTTGATGCAATGCATTACTGCTCTGACAGCTTTCAGCTTTTGCACAAAATGGTTGTAAAATGGATATTACTGGAAAAAAATAGTTTTCTTCCCGCTCAAAATATAGGTAGAGAGCAAAGGCAAATAGAGTGAGGGCCCTCTGTGGAGTTGGGCAAGGGGAACAAACTGTTAGCACATGGTCTGACTATTAGCTGGCAAGGGTGCAGGTGCTGATAACATTTCTGGTGTGGAGGTGCCTGTCTGGGCCTCCTCACTCACCAAGAGTGTCAAAAATCCTATTTAAAGTGGGAGCGATGGGAGGTCATAATGCTGGCTCTACTCTGGAAAGACCCAACTGTCCGGTCCAGGCTGGAGCTGGGGTTCTCTGTTTGGATTCCTGGGGCTGCCATGACGCCTGGCTTCCTCTGACAGAGAGCTCCCTTTATGGACGCATGAGATGTTGCTTCCAACCCCTGCTAAGAGAGAAGAGCCACCCCCTGCCCAAGCCCCAGTGAGCTGCCCAACAGTCCTCTCTGAGCTGAGAGGGCATTGGATCTCCCTGTAACTCAGGGGCCTCCTCTCTAGGATGTGGGTAATTTCTCCTACCTCGAAGGGATGGCGTGAGAGTTAAATGAGGGCAATGGATATAAAAGCTGAGCTTAGTACAGATACTTAATAAATGGTAGATCTTCTTACAGTTATTATTACATTATCATTTTATTATCGTAGGGAGTAAGCTGATTAAAAATAATTATCAAAAGGAGTGTTGAAGTGACCCAGACCTTAAGAAACCCAGAGTGTGAAGCTGTTTCTACCATTTCAGAAGGGGTTTCTACAGCTGTCCCTCAGCATGTACCAGGGATTGTTTCCAGGACACCCCTCTCCCTGTGCCAAAATCTGCGAATGCTCAAGTCCCTTATATAAAATGGTATAGGATTCGCACATAACCTACACACATGCTCCTGTATGCTTTAAATCATCTCTAGTTTACTTAGCCCTAATACAATGTAAATGCTATGTAAATGGTTGTTAGACTGTAATTTAAGCATTTTTTATTGTTGTATTTTTTCCGAATATTTCTGATCCAAGGTTAGTTGAATCGACAGGTATATTAAGATGAGCTAGTTGAACCCGTGGATACAGAGGCTGACTGGATTTACAGAAAGGGTGTTTTACATATGCACCTGTCTAGGCCAATAGGTGGAGAGTGGAAGGGGCCAGAGAGAACTCAAGAGAGGCGATGGCTCTCCCTCATCTGCCAGGTGTCTCGGTGATCTGAAAGTGTGAGAAGATGCCCTTGTAGTAGGTCCTGCCTCCCACACCCCAACAATTTCAGGATGTGTGCAAATTCCTGCTCCACTCCCACATGGTGCAGAGATGGAGGACAGGGGTGACTTAGATTAAATCAACTAGAAATGTCCTTGCGAGCAGACACCTGTTTTTGCTCCCACCTTCCTAACATGCCTCCGCAGAGAGAAGGGGCAAAGAAAGCCTTGGGACTCCTGTTCTATCCCCAAAGAGGTGGGAGGTGGGGGAGGAGGAAACAGTGGGAGAACACTGGTGTCTGCTAGGCAAATGCGACACTCAGGGCTCAGTTCCCCTCTCTTTTCCTGCCTTGTGGAAGCATATACTGGGGAAGTCAGCTAGCAGCTTGCAGGTGGTAAGAGGGGTCAGTGACAGCCAGAAGCAGGGATGCCCAGGCATGCTACCAGCAGCCCATAGCTTCCATTACAAAGATCTGGGTCATCAACCAAAACCTGGAGGAAGACCCTTGTCAGGCACTGGTCCAAGGCCAAGCTTGCTCAGGGTCACCCAGGACAGAGCCCTTGTTGTTCAGCAGTGCAAAGCCTTGACTCCCTGGCTGCCCGGGGGATAGGCTGAGTCCACCAATGGGAACCTGCTACACAGGGTGGGAGGAGCCCTTAATTTTCACACAGTATTGCCACCAGAGAGGAAATCAGACCCTTGTCTGGGTGGGAGGGAACAAGGCAGGATGATGGATTGGCCCTCATGCCTTCAGTTCGCATCTGAAATATTAGGGTCAAGGGACTTGCGCATGGAGGAGAGCATAGGAAATAAACCAGAGAGGGCTTGGTGACCAGGAGTGCAAGGGAGAGCCTGGTGAGCCAGGACCCAGGAGACTCAGGAGGGACCTGATTCAGCGCTGCCCTGCAGGTGTCCTGTGCAACCTGCTCCATACCCTTGATCTCCTACCCAGCTGCATGGCTGCTGCTAGCGCACAGAGCTACTGCCTGAAGATTAGAAGGAGTGCACCTTCTCAAGGTGCCTACTTTGCATCTGTCAGGAACTTGTCTTAATATACTCACTTTGTTGGAATAAGATGTTTTGCTGCCATCTGCTAGAAACATTGTCATAATAGATACACACAAGTAAGATGTCAGCAACGTGAGAGGTGGCCTTGTACAGCGCAAACATCACAGTTGGGCATGGAGCCTTCAGTACCCTTTGAAGTTGGATTTAGCTAGAGGCTGCAATAAGGCACTGAGTCTTGCCTTGAGTTGGGTGTGAGGCAAGAAGATTGGCTTCTCAAATGAGCTGGCGGTTTGTGCAGGGCTGGGGAGCTTCAGTGCTATTGCCCTTCCTATCCCAAATTCCAAACTTATCCCTTCAAAGGAGTTTGGCCGCACAGCGAGAATGAATGTGTGTCATCCAGGCAGGCCAAGGGAAACTTTTAAATTTTTTTAGAAACAAGAGTGTCACTCTGTCACCCAGGCTGGAGTGTAGTGGTGCAATCTCGGCTCACTGAAGCTTCAAAACTTCTGGGCTCAAGTGATACTCTTGCCTCAGCCCCTGAGTATCGGGGAATACAGGTGTGCACTTCATGCCTGGTTAGTTTTTTAAAAAATATTTAGTAGAGATGAAGTCTTATTATCTTGCCAAGGTCTCAAACTCCTGGCCTCAAGGGATCCTCCAAGCTCAGCCTCCCAAAGCATTAGAATTATAGGTGTGAGCCACCAAGCCTGCCAAGGGAGACTTTTAGAAAGAGAAGGCTTGCCCAGCCTGGTTTGTATTGTTAATGTTATTTAAAGAATCTAAAGAAAGTAAGTGGGATCTCCAGAAGCAGAATTAAGAAGGCAGGAGGCTTTGAGTTTTCTTTGATGCCTATAAACATGGTTACAAAGCAACAATCAATTTCTTTCTCCCTACAGTTTCCAAATACTTTAATATTCACCATATCATTTTATTCACAGACTACTTCTCTGTAAAAGGCAGAGTGGGTATGATCCTTATTTTGCAAAGGAAGAAATTGCAAGGCAACGTTTTAAGTGACTTAAGGCATGTACTGACTCAGAGATTCATGAACATATGTCTTGATTTACTATATAAAGGGTTCAGTTCTAGTAACTTGAGGAATGGGGCATACCACAAGTACTCAAGAGTAGCCTACTGAATGAAAAAATAAAGAAACATAAATGAATGGACAGAGTTGTTAGGTGATAGCATTGTTGAGGTAACTAGACTGGCCAGGTTGACCTCATTTGGGATAACTTAGGTGTTACTGCGGTTCAATAAACATCCAACACAGACCAACACAGAAATAATGCTTGTGACTCCAGCTATAATCTAAGAGGAAAGGTAAGAGATGGGAGATCACGGAGTAATGCACTTGCTTGGATCGTTGTCTGTAATTCATCATACTGCAGAAAGGGAAGGTGTTTTAGAGTCCATCAAAGTCTGATCCAGTCAGCCTTTGGTGAGGCCTTGGACTAATTATTTCATCCCTCTGGATCTTAGTTGACCCAACTGTGAAATGGAGCAAATACTGTCTGTTTTAGCAATCCATATAAAACTCTAAGTGCATTGTCCTGGAAAATAACAAAAATGAAGCAATGAAAACATTCATTGCTATTCCTCTACTCCTTAGAACATAGTTAAAGGCATTATTCAGCCCAGCCATTTCTCAGTGGAAGACAATGGTGGTCCCCTGGTGTTGTGTGGAACTCAAGAAATGAGAAGAGCAAATAACTTGTTGCACAGTCTCTGCACAACCTGACCCCATCTCTTGGTCTCTGTTTCCTGAATTCATTCATTCATTCATTCAGGAATTTGGGGATTCATTCATTCATGCTTTCATTCATTGCGCTCACCAGGATTTCAATTCTCCTCTCTTTCCAAGCATGCACCATTTGAAGGCATGACCATCTGCCTTGCCTTGAACAATGAAATATGATCAGAGATGATGTGTGTGACTTCTGAGTGAGATAATTCAACAGTCACTGCTCTGTTCTCCATGTTCTCTTCCCCTGCCTAAGCAAACCCCCAGGTCTGTGCTTGAGAAGGTGGCCTCATAAAATGATGGCTCCTCTGCCAACCTGGGTCCCTGAGTAATTACAATGAACAGAACTCCCCTTCCAGCCCACATTAGACAAAGAGCAGGACCGAGAAATAAACCTTTAACATTTTAAACACTGATCCTCCTGTCTCAGCCTCCTGAGTATCTGGATTACAGGCATGTGCCACTGGGCCCAGGAGAGGAAATCTATTTTGGATGCAATGGTTAGAGAAGACCCTTTGAGAAGATGCTATTTGAATAGAGGCCTGGATGAAGTAAGAGGGTAAGCCATCCAGATATCTGGGTTAGGAACATTCCAGAGAGAGGAAAGAGTGAACACAAAGTGCTAAGGTCAGCTCATGCTTGGCATGTGGCAGGAGCTGCAAGAAGGCCAGTGTGGCTGGGTCAAAGTGAGTGACAAGGCGAGAGATGAAGGCACATCAAAAGACATGGCTGAGAAAGTGAAGAAGCAAACCACAGCACCAGAAGGAAACATTTATCATCATATCTAACAAAGAACTCATATTCAGAATATAGAAAGAACTACACATCAGTAAGTGATATGGTTTGGCTCTGTGTCCCGACCCAAATCTCACCTCGCATTGTAATAATCCACATGTGTCTGTGAAAGGACCCAGTGGGAGGTAATTGAATCATGGGGGTGGGATTTTCCCATGCTGTTCTCATGGTAGTGAATAAGTGTCACGAGATCTCATGCTTTTAAAAAGGGGAGTTCCTCTACACAAGCTCTCTTGGCTGCCACCATGTAAGATGTGACTTGGCTCCTCATTTGCTTTCTGCCATGATTGTGAGGCCTCCCCAGCCATATGGAACTGTGAGTCAATTAAACCTCTTTCCTTTATAAATTACCCAGTCTCAGGTATGTCCTTATTAGCAGCGTGAGAATAGACTAATACAATAAGAAAAAGACAAACAACTTAAAGTTTAAAAATGGGCAAAAGATTTCCGCAAGTAATTTATAGAAAAAGATATCCAGGCTGGGTGTGGTGTGGCCCATGCCTATAGTCCCAGTATTTTGGGAGGTCAAGGTGGGAGGACTGCTTGAAGCCAGGAGTTAGAGACCTGAGCAACATAGTAAGAGCCTCTCTCTACAAAAAAGGAAAAAAAAAAAAAATTAGCCAGGCCTGGTGGCACATACATAGATACTTGGGAGGCTGACACAGGAGGATCCTCTAAGCCCAGGAGTTCAAGGCTGCAGTGAGCTATGATTGTGCCATTGCACTGCAGCCGGGGTAACAGGGTGAGACCCTGTCTCTAATAAAACAACAATGGCAACAAAAAAAAGATATCCAAAGCACCAATAAGCCAATGAAAAAGAAGTGTTCAATCTTACTACTCCTCAGGAAAGTAAAATTTTGAACCAAAATGTGATACCACTATAAACTCCAAGAATGGTTAAAAAGGCTGAAAAATAGCAAATATTCACAAGAACATGAAGCCAATGAAACTTTCATCTTTTGCCAGGAGGTGAGTAAAACCACACTGGAAAACTGGCAATTCTAACAAAGGTAAAAATCTGCCAATTTTATTAAGCAGAAATTCCATTCCTAAGGATACACCCAGGAGGAATGGGGAGAAAAATGCACATAGCCCAAAGCTGAATACTGAATACAAGACAAATGGCCATCAACAGAAAAATACATAAATCGATTGTGGTCTAGTCATACAATAAAATAAAATACCTCACAGCAATAGAAAAGAACAAAGTATTGATATAAGAAGGTGAAGCTCAAAAACTATATTGAATGAAAGAATCCAAACACATGGATGATTTCATTCCAAACACTCTATGATTCCATTTATTTACTTTTTAAAATATTATATTATATTTTATTTTTTGATACAGAGTCTTGCTCTGTCACCCAGGCTGGAGTATAGCTGTGTGATCTCTGCTCACTGCAACCTCCTCTTCCCAGGTTCAAGAGATTCTTATGCCTCAGCCTCCCCAGAAGCTGGGATTACAGGTGTATGCCACCATGTCTGGCTAATTTTTGCATTTCTATTAGAGATATGGTTTCACCCTGTTGGCCAGGCTTGTCTCGAACTCCTGGCCTCAAGTGATTTTCCTGCCTCGGCATCCCAAAGTGCTGGGATTACAGGCATATGCCACTGCACCCAGCCCTATGATTCCATTTAAATTAAGGTTAAAAACAGGCAGAATGAATCCACAGAGATTAAAGTCAGAGTAATGGTGACCTCAGGTGGAGGTAGGCATTATCTGGGAAGGGACATAAGAGAGCTTTGTGGATGATGGACGTATTCTGTTCTTTGTTCTGGATGGTGGTTCTCTGAATGCTTACCAAGATGCAACCCTATCAAGCAGTACACTTAAGATTCATGCATTTTAATGTGTGTAAATTGTACCTCAGTTGAAAAGAACAACAAAAATAAAGAATTTTCCTGGCAGAGGAGCTTGAAATCATGCAGGACTTTACAGGAATAGTCAGTGATGTGGTTTGGCTGTGTTCCCACCCAAATTGCATCTTGAATTGTAGCTCCCACAATTCCCATGTGTCATGGGAGGGACTCAGTGGGAGATAATTGAATCATGGGGGTGGGTCTTTCCCGTGCTGTTCTCATGATAGTGAATAAGTCTCACGAGATCTGATGGTTTTATAAAGAGGAAATCCCTTTCACTCGGTTCTCATTCTCTCTCTTGCCGGCTGCCATATAAGACATGACTTTCATTTTCCACCATGATTACGAGGCCTCCCCAGCCACGAGGAACTGTGAATCCATTAAACCTCTTTTTCTTTATGAATCACCCAGCCTTGGGTATGTCTTTATCAGCAGCATCAAAACAGACTAATAGAGTCAGGATTTTAGATTTCTTTCTAAAAAAGATGAGAAGCCCATAAGCAGGCTCAGAATCATTGGAAAGTTCTGAGCCGACTTACGTCTGGAAAGAATGATTTTGTCTGCTGCGTGAAGAGTAGACATTGGTGAGATCCAAGTAGATCGGGTAAAGGGTGTAAGTGGAAGACCTGGGAGAGCTGAAGGTGACTGAGTCCAGATGTGAAGGAGCGGAGGAGGGATGCTGTGTAAATGCTGGAAGTGGAGAAGATGGGATGCCAGGACAATTGGGAATGAGGAGCCTAAGGGAGGGGCTTTGGCCTGTGCACTTGGCAGAATGCAGCAGCCAATTACTGGGATGGGAAAGACCAAAGGAGCAGCAGTTTGGGAAGTAGTGGGGAGAAATCAAGAATTTGGTTTTGAACAGGTAAGTTTGATGCCCATTAAACACCCAATGAAATGTTCAAGAGGTGGTTGACTAATTGAGTTTGTATTAATAAATAGCATGCATCAATACCCTCAACCCCCAACACATACACACACACACACACATACACACTCACACATTGGCTCCTTCCCGTTCATTTTTTTCTTAAAAAAGGGAAAAACAAATCTGAAAAATGCCTTTCATCTATTTTGCAGTAAGGGCCCTCGCTAGAAGTTACTGAACTGAACATGCAGCTGCTGGTCTGGAAGCCACAGCCGAGATCTGAAAGGCAGGTTGGCAGCTTGCACTTGTCGGGACGCCCCTTCTGGATCCTCGCTCTGCCCTCTGTCACGGGCTCAGCACACGTGGGGCATCCCCCTGTGGTGCCCTCTGCTTCAGCAGCTCTCAAGGCAGCTCTGCTCCCCACAGCCTCTCACTGGGGGACCCAGCGGGGCCTGCAGGTGGATGACTGTCAGGACAAGTAGCCTCTGTGTCCTGTGTTGAATAAACACATCATTAGAGAGCTGGGGAAAATACGTGGAGGGAAGGGAAAATGTCATTTTGGTAAAGGGCTCAGCTTAAAGGAAGAAAAGCCATAATGACAACATTAAATATTTAGGTCTCAGGCCTATCAGGAGGTTTTCTGTAGGGCAGGGACTTAGTCCGAGTTGTCCACTCACGGGGAGGCAGGCAGGGCAGCCTGCAGTGATGGGCGTTAGGGTCAGAAGGGCCTGATTGTCCGTCCCAGCTCTATTACTTGGTTAAGTATGGTCTTTCAGAAGTTAATTCCAGCTTGTAAGACTCAGTGCCTGCATTTTAAAATAGACTTAGGAATAAGTTAGAAGAGGTCAAGATCACGTGAAATACAATGGCACCTTCCATGATCCGTGGGCTATTGCAAACACTTATAGGATCCTACATTCTTCTCTCTTCTTACCCCATCCCAAGTTTCCTCAGCATATGGATGCAATTGCATCGCATTACTATTAAGAAACCCCCCCCCCCTTTTTTTATGCTTTTGCTGTTAGTTTCTTAACTCAGAACCCTGGCGACCTCGCCCCACTCTGAGAATTCCGAGGGATTCCAAAGTGGGTCTCTTGTGGCTCACAAACCGCTGTAGCACAACCTTCTGCACTGACCCCACAGAGCCACACGAGGGCAGCACATCACCAGTGTTGCCGCTTCCTGGTCCAGGAGCCGACTCTGGAATACCCCAGGGTGCATTCTTATGGGGTTCCCAATTGGACCACCTGTGTGATGCCAGGAGACTGTGTGGCATGCAAAGATGGCCTCCACTGAGCTGCATCTCTCAAGACTCTCACCTTTCCACATGGAAGGCAGACTGGCCCTGGACAGAAGGTAGAGTTTGCACCATTTCACGGCTTTCCATTTGAATTTTGTGCTCTTTGGGACCCTAGGCTACCATGTCAGAAAACTGCCAAAGCTTCTGGAGAGATCACGTGAAAAAGCCTCGAAACTTAGAGAGGAAGAGAAAGAGATAGACACCCAGGGGTCCTAGCATCCCAGTTGAGCCTCTAGGTGTCTCCAGCCCCAGTTGCCATCTGACCACACCTGTATGAGAGATTGGAGCAAAACCAGCAGAAGAACTGCCCCGCTGAACCCAGTCAGCTCATAGAACCATGAGAGACGATAAAATGATAGCTGTTTTAATGCAGCAATAGAGAACTGAAGCAGGTAGTTTGTGTTTCCTTGCATGTTCAGCTTGAAATGTCTCTGCAGTCCATGAAGGAGTGGGGAGAAAGCCCCATTTTTACAGCACCACAAGGCAGCCTGCACCCCTCCTTCCCTGTCTCAGGCTTTGATAAGTTTCATGAAGCCAGGCTAGGGAGCAGTGACAGACACAGACTCTAGGCTCTCTGCCTTTCCGCATTTCCTCAAGATTCCTCTCAAAATATCTGTTCCTTCTCCCTCAGCTGAAAAACCCTGAGACAATTTAACACTGGCAGTCTGGTCCACCCATTCCTTAGGCATCCTGGGATAACCTCAAGCTAGGACTCCCTGCTTTGATTAAAAGATTAAATGAGAGAAATCCAAATGTGAAGTTATTTGTTCTTTGTTAAAATTATTTGGAAAGGTGTGACCTCCTTCTGATCTGATTATAGACACCTCAGGGCAGAAAGAAGGTTCAGAGATACTTGGTCTTGCAGCCATCCTCAAATGTACCAAAAATTTTTGGTAGAATAAGTAAATATTACATCTTGCTTGCCTGCCTGCTAATTGGAAAATTAGTATAAATATTCTAAATCATAACATGCAAATTTATCTAAAAGAATCACTGAATCTCCTAGAAGGTTTTGGTCATTACACATTCTTTCAAACAATGAATACCAAAACCAACTACAGAGGTGAGCCTGTAATATACTTTGTACTCCTAAATGGAACTCTACTCAAAAATAGGGGAAACTCTTGATCTAGTCTAACTCTTATTTTATTAATGAAGAAACTATAGCTAAAAAAAGAAGAAATGGCTCACAAGAGGTTGGAGATTTTCCAGGAAAGTTCCAAGTTGAAATTTCTCAGCCTTGAAGATGGCAACACAGGATCCCATGTCTATATGCAGGAACTTCCAAGACACAAAGTATGCCTTTAAAATCTCAGTTTTACAACAACAGCTATCAGCAGAAAGAAGTATAAATGGTCCGATTTTTTTAAAGTGTTCAATTTGCAGGGTGATATGGCTTGGATCTGTGTCCCTGCCCAAACCTCATGTCAAATTGTCATCCCCAATGTTGGAGGTGGGGCCTGGTGATTGGATCATGGGGGCAGATTTCCCCCTCCTTGCTGTGATGGTGAGTGAGTGCTCACAAGAACTGGTTCTTTAAAAGTGTGTAGCACCTTCCCCATCTCTCTCTCTTGTTCCTGCTCTGGCCATGGAAGATGAGCCTGCTTCCCCCACACCTTCTACCATGACTGCAAGTTTCCTGAGGCCTTCCCAGAAGCCAACGGATGGCCAGTATCATGCTTCCTTTACTGTCTGCAGAACGATCAGCCAAATAAACTTCTTTTCTTCATAAATTACCGAGTGTCAGGTATTTTTTTATAGCAATGTAAGAGTGGGCTAATTGACAGGGGCTTTCTCACCTTTGGAGAAGGAAACTTCTTCAAGATAAGGTACATGTCACTGTTCTGTGGGTCTTTCATCCTTTGTTCATATTGTCTATCCACCAACAAATACTTACTGAGCATCTTCTTTTCTTGGGCACCTTTGGGTTTAAAGCCTTTGCCCTCCAAGGGCCTACAAGCTAGTTAGGGAGATGGTGGGTACAACTAAATGCAGCAGGAGATGTGCTGTGGTAGAGGCAGCACATGCTCTGCCTGGATTCCCTCCCATCCCCATTGCCAATTCTGCACCTCAAGTCCCTCCTGCAGACTTTGCTCCTGCTGGCCCACATCTGCGACTTTCTTCTGAAGACTCCAAGAGGGCTACTGGAGACACCAAAAGAAGAGCCGCCACACAGAGACCCAAGTCCCTGTAAGTTCATGTGGCTCCAGGGGCCCAAAGCCAATGGTGGGTTTGGCTCTAGCTGGGACACGTTCTACAGCATAAGGGACCTCCAGACCTCACCACAGACTCAGGCTGAGGCTGAGAGTTCCCCTAAAATTGTACCCTGATTTGGCTTTCCCCCCTACCCTATCCTGCTCTTTTAATGGTCAGCTTCTGTGATCTTGTTTTAACAGGGCAAAGATAAAGCACAACTTATGGGACCCCTAGCTCTCTCTTACCAGGTAATGTACTATTTTGGACAACATCATTTCCTCCCTTACAGTTATTTATCGGTCTGACCTTTCCTTAGAGACCTTATCACAGAAAGAAATTGGTTTTCTCTGGGCATACCTGTAATTTAAACTCTGGATTCATAGCCTGTGATGGGTTCTGTTTGACAGAGTACTGGGTCTATCTAACTATTGAGGGTCTGAGGACCCAGGAAATGTCACCAAAGTGAATCAGGGGAATAAGTTATAGCTGTAGAGATGTGAATTATGGGAGGGAATGAGTTGTCAGAGTAGATTGAGTTGGGAAGGCAGAGGAAGAGTTATCCATGAGCCGGGCCAACCAGAGCTGCAGCGCCTATGCCCAACAGCATCCGTATCTACAGAGGAGCCAGGGAGGGTCATGTTGTGGGTGCATCCAAATTGTTAATGACTGCAAATGTAGCACTCTCAACAGCAGGGTACACATCTGCACCCTGGCACTCCCAGTCTTTGCTGGGCCCCATCACCCCCGACAACATAATCAAATTGCACAGATTCAAGTTCATTGGTCTCAATCCAGAGAAATGGAAGAAAAGGAAAATCACCTGCATTAGTCAATTTTTGTGTCACTATGAAGAAATACCTGAGGTTGGGTAATCTATAAAGAAAGAAGTTTAATTGGCTTATGGCTCTGCAGAGTGTACAGGAAGTGTGGTGCCAGCGTCTGCTTCTAGGGAGGTCTCTCAGGAAGCTTGCAATCCTGGCAGAAGGAGAAGGGGGAGCAGATGCATCCCTTTTGAAAGAGGGAGCAAGAGAGAGAGCAGGAAGGTGCCACACTTTTTTAAACAACCAGATCTTGTGGAAACTCAGAGCGAGAACTCATTCATTACCTCTAGGATGGCACCAAGCTGGTGCCTTCCATAAAGTACTACCCCCATGATCCAAACACCTCCCCACCAGAACCCACCTCCAACACTGGGGATTACATTTTGACATGAGATCTGGAGGGGACAAATACCCAAACTATATCATTACCCCGTGTTGGATTGTTAGGTTAGTATACTCCCAGTGAGATTCTGGAGTCTTCTAAGTGGTTAATGTAAAAGGAAGTCCAAGGTAACTGTTATACCCACAGAGTCCAGAGCCAGATTCTAGAGGGCTGAATTTGGGGTCACTTTCCAAACAATGTGATCTGGGCAAATTCCTTAAACTGCTTTTGCTTTAAATTCCCCATCCATAAAATGAGACTAACAAAACAACCCTCACAGGGTTGCAGTGAGAAGTCAATGAGTTTATCTGTGTAAAGCGCCTGGGATAATGCCTGGTGTTTTGGGAGTGTTGACATATTAATGATCCTTAACACCTCAGTAGTATTATTCTAGTTTCATATGTAAGCAAACTGAGACTCAATGAAGTTAAGAAGTTAACCCTAATTATTCAGCTGGTTCTTTTCAAAAACATTGCTAAATGCTTACCTTATACTTGCTAGAAAAAAGCAAAGCTGGCATTTAAACGGAGAGTCCATGATCTTCCCACACCTCACTGCCTCACGCTAGCAAGATGTCTGGGATATTTCATTTTAATTATTTTATTATATTAAGGGACATTCGGTGCTTTCGGGTGATCTAACAAAGTTTCAAATACAGGTTCAGCAGGGAAGGGCTTTATGAATTCAGAAGAATGACTTTTAATTAGCCCCTGTATAGTTTACCTGTGAATGGATAACTAAAAAAGTGTAAAAAAAAATGCTTTCCTACCTTTTTTGGTTAAATATTTCCTTTGAAACTGAGTCTCTTCTTTTAATTTGCTTAATGGACTCCTGCCTTTGATTCTGAGCACAGGGAGAGGTAAATCAGAACAGGCATTGCTCCAGAGACTACAGATCTCACATTCCTGGGATGACAGTGAGGTCTCACTAATGAGGACTAATTGCGGGAGGAGAAGGGCGAGTTACTGAGAAGTCAGAACAGAAAATCTTCTGCACCACTTTGTCATTTTGAAATCACACAATAATTCAAACCTGGCTCATACAACTCATTCATCCATTTATTCATTCAACAGTCCTTAGGCTTCAGGAATAGATATGAGTGATCTAAAATTAACATATTGACTACTTGAATATAAATGAACCATTCTAAAGTGCTTGATGGGGCTGGAAAAATGAGCTCTTCTAGATGTTTGAAATAGTTCTCTCCTAAGTCTTGCTTACTTTGTTAAACTGTTTTACAAACTCTTTCTTGAGACGCTTCAAGGAGAACTTCAACTTGGATTTGAACTCAGTTCTCTGTGTCTCCAAAGTTCACTATTTTCCCCTTTTCTTTATCTGTGTGTATCTTGCACAAAGTAGGTGTCTATGTGGTTACTGTTGATTGAGGGACACTCAGAGATTAAGAAATGTGGACCAAATATCAAAGCTGAAAGATATATCCCCCCTGTTTCCTTTCAGAGACCTGAAATTGATCCTACTCTTCTGTGGATGGTGTCTGTTCACAGTGGTGGCAATGAGGGCAGGTTCCTGGATCTTGGGCATTTATCTTGTTTCTACAACACTCTCCTCTCCCTGCACCTACACTGCACCTACTCCACCTCAGAATGGATGCTCGGATGCCCCATGGAAGTGGGCTGAGGGAGTGAATGAGTGAATGGATGAGGGTATGAATAAATGAACTCATAGCATGAGGGCACAGGCACCCTGTTTATATTCTCACACCTCAAGGGACCATCTTTGATGCTTCAGGTGTGGGGAAATGTTTAGCAGAGATTTACTGGGGAGTCACAAAACCACTTGTTGCTCCTTTGTCAGGTGTTTTTTGGGAAGTAGACATTTGAAGTTCCTGGGATCTCTTGCTTTAGGACAGACATTGCCATAGGAGTGCTATATTTTAGGGGGGAGGTCAGAACATCATTTGGAGCCCTTGCATTAGAACAGAATTGAATGTTGGAGGGAGACGTGAGTAGCAGAAAAGGTAGAAAAACAGAGTTTGGGACAAATTCATTGAGAGTCAGAGTTTGGAAAGTTTGAATCAAATGTCTTTCACCTAAGGTCCATAAAGAAATCTCCCTGCTGCCTCCATCTATGCTAGAGTTCTGCTGGGACTAATCAATAAGTAATTAGAAAGAGCTAGGAATTTAATATACAGAGAGATTGATGGGAGGAGTCTATACAGTGGTAAATGAAACACTAAACCCCCTTGGGACTTTGGGGGAAAGTTCCTGAGAAAGGCTGAGCTAACTGAAGGTCTTCAGATATTCCTAGCTCATCCCTAAATCATAAGTGTCTCAGCTTAGGCCCTTTCCTCTGCCCTTGGCCACTCCAGGAATCCTGGATAGCTGGATGCAGGTCTATCTCCTCTTCAATGTGCCCACATGGGCCTTTGGGAAGGCTGGCCTCAGAGCAAAGACAGTGTTCAGAACAGCCTATAAAACAAGGATAGTCACAAACTGGGGTGGGGTTGGGGGAGCTGTTGTGATATGTGTACCCAACAGGGGAGGGCTAGATGAACAGAGCACTAGAAGGTGACTTAAAATCAAAGAAAAAAATGATGATTCATAAAATGTATCATGAATGCATGGGGTAAATAACAAAATTGTTGAAAATTTATATAGATGTAATTTGGCCATCTCCACCAAAATTGAAAATACACATATCTTTGATTCAGCAATTCCACTTCTAGGAATTTATCCTACAGATAGGCTCAAACACACATAAAGCAGCAGGTGCATAGGGTTATTCATTGTGGTATTAATTATAAGATCAAAAGTGTGGAAGCAAGCTGAACACATAAAAGGATACAATTAAATACATCGTAGCACATGTGTTCAATGGAAGGCCAGGAAGACCAAAGGAGTCATTCAGACTTTTCTGAATTCTTCCTTCATGTCAGGCGCTGTCCTAGGTGCTGAATATAGAATGGTGATCAAAATAGTCAAAAAATCCCTGCCCTCCAGAACTTACATTTTGGTGGGAGATGCTTCTCTTTATGTATTGATAGAAACTGATCTCTATACCTCCATGTTCTTTTGTTACATAAAAAGAGTAAGATGCAGGCGCTAAGGAAATTCTTTTTTTTTTTTTTTTTTTAAGACGTAATCTTGCTCTATCGCTGGATTGCTGTGGTGCGATCCTGGCTAACTGCAAGCTCCGCCCCCGGATTCATGCCATTCTCCTGCCTCAGCCTCCTGAATTTTTTTTATTTTTTATTTTTTATTTTTTGAGACAGAGTCTTGCTCTTGTTGCCCAGGCTGGAGTGCAGTGGTGAGATCTCAGCTCACTGCAACCTCTGCCTCCTGGGTTCAAGTGATTCTCCTGCCTCAGCCTTCTGAGTAGCTGGGACTACAGGTGTGCACCACCAAGCCTGGCTAATATTTGTAATTTTAGTAGAGACAGGGTTTCACCATGTTGGCCAGGCTGGCCCCAAACTCCTGACCTCAAGTGATCCGCCCACCTTGGCCTCTCAAAATGTTGGGATTATAGGCGTGTGCCACCATGCCCAGCCCCCTAATGTCAATGTTGATGTTTGCATTAAGTATCTTTGAAAGGACACACAAGAAATTTATAGCATGGCATCCTCTGGCTAGAGGACAGGAGATGTTCCCTGTTTACTCTTTGGTATCCTTTGATTGTTGAGCCACTTGGAGGTTATTTATTTTTTTAAAAAAACTTTAATTTGTTTATTAAAAGATAGATAGAATATAATTATTGGCCCTAACCCTGTCCCCTCACTTCTGACTCCAACCTCTGCAGGAAAGAAAAGGGTCCAGTGCAAGAGAGACGGATGCTCCAGAGGATCTTCTTGTCAGAAGAGGGAACTCCTAACTAAAAGCCTGGCTAATATTTGCCTTAGCCTTAGAGAGCTGTATTTGCACGGGTTCCTAATGGTATCTGGTGAAGCCCCCATCAGTCCTTTCTCCCTGTGTGTGTGTTGATAACCAATCAACCTTGTTTGCCTAGGACTTTCTTCATTTTAGTACTACAAGTTCCATGTCCTGAAAAACCCTCAGTCCTGGACAACTAGGAGAGTTGATCTCCCTGAAAGGGAGGAGACGGAGAGGGTGAGGGAGAGAAGATGGAGACCTCAATCATGTGCATACATTCCTCTCTGAGTTTCTTACCTCCCTGGCACTTATATTCTAAAGTCCCCAGAACATGGCTCTTCTACTGATTAGATACATGACTTATCTCTCTGAGCCTCAGTTTATTTATCAACAAAAGGGGCTAATTATCTTCCCTGCCTGCCACTGCTAAGAAATTAATATCCTTTTCCTCTCCCAGCCTCATGTCATCATGGCCCTTCTCATCCTGCCAAGCTTCTGTGGACCATCACAGTAGTTACCCTCGCTCCCGTTCAGATAGTTGTCTGGCTAAATCCCGACCTGGCTAGATACAGTTATTGTCCTACTCTTTCCCTGAACCTGAGAAGAGGATGCAGTTGGAGAAAACTACACTCTTAGGCTGATGGGTCTCACTTTAAATTGTGACCACAAGTGACTGGAGGGCCCTTGGCACTGCTGAACAACACTGGTATTTCCCAGATCTCATGACTACTTCACACCCTTTCCCCTCCCCCTAGGCCTCTGCAAAGCAGTCTTAGTTGAGAGCCCTGAATCTGATTTCACTGAGAAAATAGAAGCAATCAGAAGAAAAATATGTCATCTCCCCCCTACCCCACAGGCACAGCCTGCATCTGCGCCAGGCTCTCTGCCTTCCCTCATGTGCTCCCATCTGAGGCCAGCCCTTCCTCCAGTGCTCCCGTGTGAGGCCAGCCCTTCCTCCCATGCTCCCGTCCAAGACTAGCCCTTCCCTCCTGTGTTCCTGTGTGTGGCCAGCCCTTCTTCCCTTGCATCCGTGAGAGGCCAGCCTTTCCTCCCCTGTGAGGCCAGCCCTTCCCCCCGGGCTCCCACGTGAGGTCGAACCTTCCTCCCGTGCTCTGTCTTCCACTTTTCTTACCAGCTCCACACCATGGTCCCTGTGATAGTCATTTCTCTCTCTGTATTATCCCTCACTGCCCCTCATGTCCTTCCCACACCACCCGCACTTCTGGATTGCTGCCAACTGTTTACAGAGAAGCTGTCAATCTCATCTCATTTCCTACCTACCCCTCTTCCTTCACTCACTACTAAATTGTGTTCCCCACAAATGTGTATGTTGAAGCCCTCACCCCCATTGTGACTGTATTTGGAAACAGAACCTTTAGGGTTGTAATTAAGGTTAAATGAGGTTGTAAGGATGGGACCCCAATCCAATAAGACTGGTGCCCTTATAAGAAGAGGAAGAGACACCAGAGTGCATCTTTCTCTGTGCACACAGAGAAAAGACCATTTGAGGGCACAGTGAAGAACTGCTCTGCCAGCCAAGGAGAGAGGTCTCACCCAAAACCAACCCTGCTTGCACATTCATTTTAGACTTCCAGTCTCCAGAACTATGAGAAAATAAATTTCTGTTGTTTAACCCATCCACTTTGTGGTCTTGTATTATGGCAACTCAAGTAGAGAATACACTTACTGTGTTCTGGCCACACTGACTTTCTTGCTATTTCTCAAAAATTCCAAGCATGTTCCAGTTCAGAGACTGCACTTCGCTGTTGCTGTTGTTTGGAATGCTCTTCTCTGAGATCCCTGTATGATTCTCTCCTCTTACTCAATCTCAGATCCTGTAGCAGTTTCTGTGACTGTCATATCTAAAATAGTGCCCCGTGCCCAAACTCTTCACCCTCATACTCTGTCTTATTTTTCTTTCTACTGCTTGCCTCTGCCTGCCATTGTGTTTGCTTATTTTCTATCTTCCTCACTTGGACAAGAGCCCCTCCATGGAGAAAGTTTGTTCCCTGCTCTAGTCCTTGTGTGGGAAACAGAGTCTGGCCATGGCAGGTGCTTGGTGAGCCTTTCTTGAATGCATAAGTGGGCAGTGTGAAGGGCTCCGTGCTTTTCCTGGTACAGGCCATTAGGAAAGGTTCACTGTATTATTCCTGACTGTTCTTCTGGGTAGTGACCAAAGAAAATGCCCTGGGTGACTTCAGACATAGCAGGTTCCTTTAGAATGGAATCAAGGAAAAATACATATGTTAGAGGTAGAGAAATGAGAGGGAGCCATAGCTTGGAGTCACATAGTGTGGGTGGAGGGTTGGCTGGGAAGTGTCATAGTTTTGGTCTTAATCAGGCAAAGACCCAGCAGACCTTAGAGAATTGTATTTGCAAGGGTTCCTAATGGTGTCTGGTGAAGCCCCATCAGAGAGCCAAATCCCTTTCACAAAGTCCTCAACAGCGGCTACCCACCTCCATTGAGCACTCCCTGGGATCACTCACTGTGCTCCAGGGTGTGAATCAATTCTAATGATTAGAAGGGTCTCCCTCCCTTCTAACTGCTGCTGTGTCCCAGTTCTGCTCTCAAGAGCCACAGTCAACAAGCCTTATTTTTCTTCCACTGGAAACTTCACCATTCTTGTTTCGTCTCTAAGCTCAAGATCTCTGTTTTCAAATTTTCCTTTGGCATGAATGAATGAGTGAGTGAATAAATAAATGAACGGCTTCAAGATCCTCACAGTCCCAGTCACCCTCCTGGTCTCTGCTTGTTCAGTGACTTCACTTTGAAGTGTGTTGTCCAGAACATTTCTTGGAATTCTTGAATCTTTAGTGCTTGATACAAGCAAAATAATAAAGGTAAGAAAATAGTGCTCAATAAATATTTGCTGGCTGAATAAATAGACAAAACCCTGTCTCAACGGGTCTGCTGGGCTGGGGCTATAAAGAGGCCACCTGGGGAATTTATTTTTCCTCCCACAATGAGAGAAAAGATTATGAAATAGGAAATCATCCTGCCATTGCTGAGGAAAGTGGGGTCTTGGTGGGTCAGCACAGTGCCCGAGGCAGCGATAAAAGCTCAGCCTGCTAATAATTCCTACTCTATGAATTTATGAAAATCCCATATTTTATCATGCAGACATTTTGGAAGGGAAATACATTTTCTATTACCACTGGCCTTTTCTACACTCAAGCCACTGTATCTGCTGCTGAAGGCAAGACAGCCCCCTGCCTCAGTGTCTCCCGCCAGCCTATGGAGACCGTGAAGATCCCAGGCATCTGTTTCCTGTGAGGCAGAAGATTGTAGTTGGCTCACTAGACCAGCTATGCCTCTGTGATGATTCACTGACTCTTTTTGTTTTAAGTTTTTTTTCAATTACAAAAGCAATATAAGCTTATAAAAAGTCAAATAATGGAGAATTATATAAAGAAACATTTAATTGTCTTCTTATTTTTCCTATCAATTGTACCCTCCTCTCCGAGATCATTAGGGAGTGACCTTTCACACTTTCCCTATACTTACATAGACCATATATGGAAACATGTACAACTGTGCCCCAGTTTTTGAAGTCCCAAATCAAATCATACCATGTACTTTACACGGAAACGTGCTTTTATTCACAAAGACATATATCATGGGCATGTTTTTGGCCAATTGCATATGGATCTAAATAATGTGGTCTCTTTTTTTAACAGCTTTATCGAGGTGTAACTGAGATACAGTAAGCTGCACATATTTAAAGCATATGCTATGATATATTTTGGCACCTGTAACACTGTCTTTTTAGTGCTGCATCATATTTTATTGTTTGGAGACACCACAATCTATTCATCTATTCCTGTATTGGTAGACACTGACATTGTTTCCAAGTTTTTGCTAATACAAAAATGCTGCAACTCCCCCTGCTCCACGCCTCCACATTTATTTTACCCTTATAAACTGAGGCTTTGTTTTTATGGGGTAGGTTACTATCAGTAGGATTGCTGATCAAAAAATAGACTCATTTTACATTTTAATCATCAGTCTCATCAGATTGTTTTCCAAGCCACAGCCTTAGCTATTACGAACAAGAGGTGTCCCTGGTTTGTTCTGTTGAATCCAGGACCATGACCTCAAACCATGCTGTGACTCCCTAAATATACATGTCTCTGCTCCAACATTCTTTGTAGGACCTCCTGTCTCTTTCCTGAATGGGATATCTTGGGAATGGTTTGGCTTGCTTCCTCACATTTGAACGGATTAGAAATATTTTTAATCTGGTTTAAATCTCAATCTAGTTCACTGCTAATTGTAAACTGAGACCGCTTATAGGTTTATTTAACTTCTTTGAACTTCAGATTCCTCATTTAAAATGGAGACATAAAGAGTGCTGCACTTATTGGGTTGTGAGGATTAAGAGAGCACCAATGTGTAAAATACCCCTAACAGTACATGGAATTTAGTATTTGCTCAAAAAATGGCAGCCATCCTTATTGAGTAGATTCCTGAACTAACAGGAAAGCGTCCACCTGCATATAATATCCATTCCACCCAAGTCAAGGAAGAGACAGTTTACTTTGAATATGCACAAAAGCCCCAATTAGACTTAAAAGTAACTTGTGAGTAGGAATTTGCAAACTCTTCAGACTGCAATCCAGTTGGATATGGCAAATGACCCCAACTCTTCTACTCATTCCAACTTTCCAGAGAAGGAAAAACCCAACTTGGTAAACAAAAAAATAAATAAATAAAAATAAAATGAACAAAATAAGGAATATGGAACTAAATTGCTGGTAAGATTTAATAGCTCACTGGTTCAGTTACTGGTCATGGCAATTAGTATATAAAAGTAGGTGTCTAAGAAATTGAGATCATTAGCCTGTAAGACCAAAGGCTTGCATTTTGTGACACACCAGCTCTTCTCAGGCCACTGGCATCATGAGGACCTCACTTCTTCATTGAGAGAACATCTGGTCCATATTGCCACCCAAAGCAGGAGCCCCTGTTTTGTCCATTTGGCCTCTTCTTAGATGTGGTTGATGATGGAGAGCTCACCACCCCATTAGAAAGCTGTTGGATGACTTGAATCATTAGACAACTTTACATGGTGCTTGTCATCCTTCCCCCAGACCTTCAGGATCCCCTTTTATTTTCATATGCTTCCAAAAGTCAGCACCTGCATTTTCTGGTCTGCCTCTGGGCTGCCAGAACCTAATTTGTTCACCAATATACATGCACCAGCCTATAAATACCCTGATCCTTACCCTCAGGTGGGATAATTCTGGGGGATTGCGTTTTACACCACCAATGAGTCTCCCTGAGCCAATAAGCTTCAGTTTCCCCCAGTGGTAGCTGGCTTAATATCTAACTCCTTCTTACTGCCTTCCCTCCTCTGTGTCAGTGCCCCACCCTACTTCTACTATCCCCACATCTACCAATTGACCTACTTGCACTCAATCCTTGTTTCTGACCTGCTCCTAGGGTGGGGACGTATAGGCAGATCCAACTAAAACAATGCCCAAATCTTATCTGTGACTTACACCAACTGGCTCTGGTTCTTCTGGGCTCTCCCGCTAGAACAAGGTGTATCAAGTCTTTGTGTGGCTTAGGTGGCTTAAGTCAGCTCTCAGGTTTTCCTTTTCCCTAAGGTGAACATCTCCATTTCCTTGATTCATTGCTCCCACCCTAGGAAGCTTTGACCCAGTCTTGGAATGTTACTAAAGTTTCCAAGGAAGAAAAGACCAAAAGCATTATTTAACCACGATGATTCTTTTGTCCTGGTTTGCCCATGTTTAAGGTAAGAATAACAGCCCCAGTTCTGGCAGAAAGCTGTAAGGTTGACAAAATGGCAGTGCTGTGGTGATGCATTCAAAGAGAAAATTACTTCTAAGATGCAATGCTCTATGTTTCAAGATGAAGAACCAGGGTGCTCAAAATGTTAGACAAATGTCAAAGTTTATATGACAAATGAATAAATAGAGATTGAAATCTGTGTCAGGCAAGAACTGTCCCCACATTAGTGATTCTATGTGCCTATTCCCAAAGTGATCCATGGGTCAAACCAAAAAGAGGGGATTTGAGTCCATCAGAATCATTCAAAGGGTGGAGGGAAGAGCATGGGATTTGAAGCCAAGACAAGCTGCATTCAGGTCTCAGCTCTGTCACTGTTATGTGTGACCTTAGACAGATCTCCTAAGCCTCCACCAATAAATTTGTAGCAGGCCCTTGACAAGAATGTGATGTAATAAATTAAAAACAATTAGCAATGGTGAAGCAGACAGTAAATGATAGCCAGTGGAGCTGCAGTTGCAGAAATATTATTCTGTGAAGGTGCAGTGAATTCCAGTCTTCTAAGCTGTGCTCTAAGCTTCAGCACAGGTGTCTGAATAAAAGCTGCACTTGGCCTCTCACTGAGAGCTCCTGAGAAGTATCTGGTGAGTATCACTGTGGTAGACATTGAAGGGGCTACCAAAATCACCAGAACCCCAGGCTAGGAGAGGGGATAAAACATGTGTGTTATAACCACATTAACAGGAGAGAAAATGGAGGAGAGAAAGAAAAGAAACAAAAGAAAGAAGAAAGAAAGAAAGAAAGAGAGAAAGAAAGAAAGAAAAAGAAAGAGAAAGAAAAAAGAGAAAGAAAAAAAGAAGGAAGGAAAAAAGAAAAGGAAAGAAAAGAAAAAAGAGAAAGAAAGAAAAGAAAAAAGAAAGAAAAAAGAGAAAGAAAGAAAAGAAAAAAGAGAAAGAAAAGAAGAAAGAAAGAAAGAAAAAAGAAAGAAAGAAAAATAAAGAAAGAGAGAGAGAAAGAAAGAAAAAAAAGAACAGAGGGAGAGTCAGGTAAGAGCCTTGGGAGCCCAGAGGCAGAAAGGAGAGCCAGGGTTATTCAAAGTCATAGCCAAGTACAATATATGCCTTGAAGAATGAACTAGAATAAGTAGAGACAGGAGAGCAAAGTAGGTTTATGGCAGATGAAGCACTGCCACTCAAGGGCCCAAATATTATGATATATAGTTTGGGTACAGCAAGGGCTATGTATTAGTGCGTTCTCACACTGCTATAAAGGACTGCCAGAAACTGGGTAATCTATAAAGGAAAGAGGTTCAATTGACTCACAATTTCACATGGCTGGGAGGCCTCGGGAAACTTACAATCATGGCAGATGGGGAAGCAAACATGTTCTTCTTCATATGGCAGCAGGAAGAAAAAGTGCTGAGCAAAAAGGGGAAAAGCCTCTTATAAAACTGTCAGATCTCGTGAGAGCTCACTATCATGAGAACAGCAGCATGGGGGTAACCAGTCCCATGATTCAATTACCTCCCACCGGATCCCTACCATGACACTTGGGGATTATGCGAGCTACAATTCAAGATGAGATTTGGGTGCGGACACAGCCAAACCACATCAGCTAGTAGCAAGGAACATAGACATCAGATGGGAAAGGTTGGCTGGAAACAGACCTTCTCCTCCTCCTTCAGGGCTGGATGAGGATGAGATACTACACACAGTGCATTCCAAGAACACCTTTAAATTAACTCACCAGTTCTCCCTCAGAGATTCAGCTGCATATGCCTTAGCCACTACTATGGGTTGTGGGGTATGGTTCTGGGACCAGATGGGCTTGGCTATATAGGAAAATGAATCTAGGACTCTGCTAGAGTCTCTAAAAATATAGCTGCTATTGTCCCTTCAACAGGGTTATAGTAAGGGGCAAGGAAATTCACATTCTGCTGTTTGAATTTAGATCCCTTCAACACCTTAAGAGACTCTCTCGGCTATTACCTCCTCCAGTATACCTAGCCAGCCCTGTGTGCAGACTGCCAGGGAAGGTGCTTGCTCAGGTAGACCCAGAAAGCCTTGGGAGTGCACGGAGCTGTCGAAGGGGCTTCTAGGCAGGTCAAGGGCATCAGGGAGAGGCACAGAGAGTGACTGCCCAGGGTCTTCAGACCCTTAAGTTGCTTTTATTTTTTTCACTATGTTTTCTGGTACCCCTTGTTATGCCAAGATGCACCAGTAGGTTGGAAAGCATGTCTTCCTGGAATCAGTATATTTGGTTTGATTTTTAGTTCCTCTTCTGAATTGCTGCATGTCACTGACTATCTCTGGGCACTTTGTTCCTCATCTGTGATGTGAGAATTTCAATACCCATTATGCCTGCTACACAGGACTGATAGGAAGATCTAACTGGATGAAAGAGGCAAAGGCTATGTGGACACTAAAATGCTTTACTTTTTACATGCGTGAGCCTGCTCTTTGGGCCTCTTCCCTGCTGGACTGCAGAAGTCAATGGAGGCAGATTCAAAACTCAACACCCTGGAGATTCCAAGGGGGCATAAAGATAAAACAGTAGTGATGCTGGGGTGATGAAGAGTCTCCTGGACCCTGGGCAGGCACCAAGCATTATCTCCAGGCATGCTGGTAGTCAGAGTTATCCATCTCAGCTTCTAAAATGTTTGTGTTTGCCACTGATAATGCTGACAGTGACAGACAATGCAGTTTTCTCCTGCTCTACTCAGACATAATCACCATGAGCCCAGCCCCAGCACCAGCCTACCCATGCTCAGGCAGGCTATGGCATTGATTCTTGCTGACATTCAGATAGCCCCTGAGGCCACCATGCCTAGATGCCCTGCCAGAGTTTGGAACAGAGGATGTCTGCGGCAGATCCTGATGGACAGAATTAGGCTAAGTGAGAATTCTTAGCTTAGTGGCCTAGCAGTGGGGAGCTCATGGAATGAGTTCTGTTATTCCTACCATGAGGAAAGGCCAGTGGTCAAAGGTCTAGGCCTGGCCGGACACTGAGGCCATTCAGGTGCCAGATGATCACCAGAAACTTTAGGAGAAATGGGGCCTGCATATAGTCCTTGCTTGAGCATGGCCAGAGAAGATGTGAAGGCCAGTTTCTGGCCAGGTTGTTCCAGTTGTTCATATCGATCTGGATATGAGAAAGCAAGAATGGAACATGACCCATCTACTGTACTTGCATAGACTGATTGCTGCCCACGCCCCATTTGTTTCCAGTGCTCCAGCCACAAGGGCACTCTTGCAGCCCCCTACTGTGCTGTGGTCATTAAGCCTCTCTAACCACAAGCTATTCCCACTACCTACAATGCCACCTCCCTCTCATTTTTTTTCTAAAGCTGGCTGGCTGACTTCTACTTATCCTTAAGTTGAAGCACATTTTTTTGATCCCCACTCCCCAACTGGAAAAGCACTGTGTTCGCTCTTGCTGGCCTTATAGTGTATTAGAATTGGCTTGTGGACATTTTGTGCTCCTCTAGAGAGGAGTGACAGAGTCATACTTAACTTAGTGTCTTCTATAATGTGGATGCACAGAGTAAATCTCAATAAAGATCTGATGGGCAGGTAGACAAATGAATGGATAAATTTACGGAACAATGCAGGAAAAAACTCCAGCATAATGACATCACATGGAACACTCCTTGGAGATTTGCAGCTGGGAAATGGGTGGCGTGGCCCAGAACATAGCTCTCCCCAGGCATAATGGGTTCTGATGTTCATTGGTCACAACTGAAGACACTGGAAACTGCTTTTGACCAGATGGTGATGTAAATCACCCTGTCTACCACTGCCTCACGTCCCTGGCACACGCACCGTTCCTGGGTGCAGGGTGGCATGATCCATGCTGAATCCTGCTGGCTCTCTGGGCCTGGCCGAGATAAACATTTGGTACTGATGCTGATTCCCCAGCAGCCTTCTGATGAAAATGAGATTCTACGTATTTTTCCAGTTCCTGTTGGTAAGTCCTAGTAACTTGCCTATCTCCTGTCACTGGCGTGTGCTTTCCAGCCCTTGCCTCCTCTACCCTTTATCTTCCTAATGGGTTCAGTCACAAACCTCTCCCTGCTCTTGCAAATAATCCTGGACTTAGGAATTTCATGCTGGCATGAGGGGCTCTGTTGGTCTACTTCTCAGCAAAACAAGCAACACTGGTGAAACTACTTTTAAAAAAATCCAAATTATTTAAAGTCTCTGGAAATTGTTCTAAAGGCATACAGCAAAGATAGAAACATTCATAAAAATCTACTATAATGTGGTGAGAACAATGAGGGACTGTGGCACTTGAGCCACAACTTGCTCCCTATCTTCCACCCACTACCCAGTTCAGCTTGATGGAAGCTCCATCATGTGTGGGTGTGGCTAAGAAGACAGGGCTTCCTCTCCCCTCAGTTCCCAAGCTAGGGTTACCACATGTGATAGTTAATTTTATGTGTCAACTTGGATGGGCCATTGGCCCAGGTATGTGTTAAAGCATTATTCTGGATGTTTCTATGAGGATATTTTTGGATATTAACATTTAAATTGGTAGAGTTTGGGTAAAACAGATTTCCCTCCATAATACAGGTGAGCCTCCTCTGACCAGTTATGGCCTAAATAGGACACATGATTGATCTCCTGATTTTCCCTAAGCCAGAGAGAATTCTGCAACAGACAGCATTTGGATTTCAATCACAACACGAGCTCTTTCCTGGGATTCAGCCTGATGGCCTTTGGACTTGAACTATAGCATCAGTTCTCTTCTGCATCTCCAGACTGCTGGCCAACCCTGCAGATTTTGGAATTGCCAGCCTCCATACTCACGTAATCCAATTATTTAAAATTAATCTCTCTCTCTCCCTTCCCCCTGTCTCTGCCTATAGGACAGTCTTTGCCCCAAGTACAACAGGCTGTGAATACTGGAGCCCTAAATTACTCTGACTCCAGATCTTTCGTAGGACATGCTGGAAGAAACAAGCTAATCAGAGGCTAGCACTCTGCCCAGTGCCCAGAGTAATGGCTCAGAGATTTTGCCTAGCCAGTCTCTAAGGAGAGAGACTGCCAAAGCTCCCCTTAAAGGAACTGACTTTGTTTGAAACAGAACATGGGGAAGTTCAAGCCTAAGGGTGTATTCAGAAAAAATAACTCCTCTTATTAAGAGCAATGAGTCCAGTTAGTTCACTAGAAAGAACCAGAGAAACAGACTGCTAAGAAACACCCTGCTAGGGTCAGAGCAAACCTCAAAGACTGGTCTCAAAAACTACCCCTTTTCCAATTTAAATGGACCAAACTGCTGAGCAATTTATGTCTTAAGGTGTTGTTGAAAACAGCAAAGCAAGCATCTAGTAATTAGTGGAAGTTAAAGACTGGGTGTAATACCAAATCAGGAAGATAGTTTAACAGACAGATTAGTAAACAAGCATCCAAAGAGAGCTCTGCTAAAACTACTGCTATCCTAGGTGAGCACTGAGGAGCAAGCAACACCAAAGGCTTAACACTGCATGGGGAATAGACTTAGCTAAAATATCCCAGCCAAGTCACAAAACAAATAAATAATAAAACAAGAAACACAAGAGCTGGAGTTGTGGGAGGGAAATCAGTATCCAGAATTGCTATAATGTATTACCTAAAGCATCCATTTTTCAACACAAAATTATGATATATAAAGAAACAAAAATGTGTGACCCATATACAAGAAAAAAAGCAGGCAACAAAACTGCCTGTGAAGGGAACCAGATGTCAGATTTGACAAAGACATCAAAGTAGACATTATACATACGTTCAAATAACCAGAGGAAAGCGTGCTTAAATAAGTAAAGAAATAGCTCATCAAATGGAATATATCCAAAAACTGGCAGAAATTATAAAAAAAGAAACAAGTGGAAATTCTGGAGTTGAAAACCAAATCAACGAACATGAAAAATTATTAGCAAGGCTCAGCAGTAGATTTGAATGGGCAGAAAAAAGAATCAGTAAATTTGAGGATAGATCAACAGAGATTATTCAATCCAAAGAACAGAGAGAAAATAAAATAAAGAAAAATTAGCAGAGCCTCAGAGAAATGTGCGATACATTTAAGTGTACCAAAATAAATTTCACAAAAATCTACTAAAATATGGTAATAACATGAGGGCCTTTGGCACTTGAGCCACAACTTGCTCCCTATCTTTCCCCTCCCACCCCCAGTTCCGCCTGATGAAAGGGCCAGCAGGCTGAAGACCCAGAGGAGAGCTGATACTACAGTTCAAGTCCAAAGGTCACCAGGCTGAAGACCCAGGAAACAGCTGATGTGGTTTAAGTCCAAATGCCGTGTGCTGCAGAATTCTCTCTGGGTTGGGGGAGGTCAAAATGTAAAAAGAGATAGGAGCAGAAAAATATCACAAGAAATAATGGCTGAAAAACCCCAAATTTACTGAAAAAAAAAAATCAATTTACATATCCAAGAATCTCTACAAACTCCAAGTAGGATAAATGCAAAGAGCTCCACACCCAGATACAGTAAAAATGCTGAAAGTCAAAGTCAAAAAAAAAAAAAATCTTAAAAGCAGAAAGAGAAAAATGACTCATCACATAAAAGGGAAACCCAATAAGATTAACCATTGAATTCTTACCAGAAACAATGTAAGTCAGAAAGCAGTGGGATGACATACTCAAAGTGCAGAAAAAAGAAAAAAAAAATCTTTTAACTGAGAATCTAATGCCCAGAAAAACTATCTTTCAAAAATGAAGGTAAAATAAAGGCATTTTCTGATAAATAAAAATTGAGAGAATTCATTGCTGAACTTACCTTATGGAAAATACTAAAGGAAGTGCTTCATGTTGAAAGTAAATAAGCCTAGATGGAAATTTGAATCCACATGATAAAAACAAAGAGCACAAGCAAAGGTAACTATATAATTATAAAATAAAGTATAAATGCACGTTTCTTCTTTCTTCTCTTAACTGATTTAAAAACAAATTGTATAAAACAATATGTATATAATTGCATTGTTGCACCTGTAATACACAGAAATATAATATATTTAACAATAACCACACAGAAAAGGTAGACAGGAGCAAAATCATATTGGAGTAAAGAAATGATAACAGATGGTAATTTGAATTCACAGAAACAAGTGGAAATTCTGGAGTTGAAAACCAAATCAATGAAAATGAAAAAGAGAATATGAAGACAAACAAATGATAAATTAAAGGTAAATATAACAAATTCTATAAATGTATACATGTCTTCCTTTCTTTTCTTAGCTTTAAATACATATACACATATATGTATATACATACGTGTACATGTATATACATATACACGTATGTATATACATGTACACATATATACATATATGTATATATACATACATGTATCTACCTATATATGTAGATATACATGTATATCTACATATATAGGTAGATACATGTATGTATATCTGTAGATACGTATATGAATATGTATATATGTGTATATATGTGTGTATATGTGTATATGTATGTATATCTACATATATGTATATATACATATATGTGTGTGTATATATGTGTATATATAGTTTTTATACTCATATACCTAATGACAGAGACCTACAATTTATGAAGCAAAATCTGACCACATTGAAGGGAGAAATAGACAGCTGAACAATAATGGTTAGAGGCTTTAATACCACACTTTTAATAATGGATAGAACTCAAGGGAAGATTAACAAAGAAATAAAAGACTTGAACAACACTATACATAAATCAGTCCTAATAGATCTCTACCGAGTACTCAATTACAGCAGAATATACATTTTTCTCAACGTTTTCTCATGGAACATTCTCCATGACAGACCATATATTAGGCCTTGAGACAACACAAAATATATTCACTGATTACAATGGGATGAAATTAGAAATTAATAACAGAAAGAAATTTGGCAATTTCACAAATATGTAGAAAGTAAGCAATACTCTACTGAAAAATGAATGAATGAGAAAATAAATCACAAGGGGAATTAGAAGAAGACTTTGAGATGAATAAATAAAGACACAAGATACAGACTTGACAACGATGTTCTCCTCTGTGAAACGGGTAACATAATCCCTGTTCAGCCTGTCTTATAGGGTCCTTCTGTAGGTCACATGAATCTATGATTGTGAATGTACTTTGTAGATTGTCTTACAGGTATAAAGTTCTACTATGATGAACTCTCTGCTCTCCTGCAGGGCACGTGACACAAAACCTTGCTCCCATCCAGCCGTCTTTTTTTTTTTTTTTTTTTTTGAGATGGTCTAGCTCTGTGATCCAGGCTGGAGTGCAGTGGCATGATCACGGCTCATTGCAGCTTTGACCTTGTGGGCTTACGTGATCCTCCCACCTCAGTCCCCCAAGTAGCTGGGACTACAGGCATGCACCACCACGCCCAGCTAATTTTTGTATTTTTGGTAGAGATGGGGTTTCATCACTTGCCCAGGCTGGTCTTGAACTCCAGAGCTCAAGTGATCTGCCTGCCTCGGCCTCTCAAAGTGCTGGGATGGCAGGCGTACTCCATTGTGCCTGGCCATCCTTCCCACACTTTACCTGGACCTGGAGATCCGTTGTTTATGCTTTGCTTCTTTTACCTCCAGTTGAGATGAAGATCATGCTACTCTTGCTTCCCACTGCTGCTGTCAGGTCATGCCACCTCTCCCTCAGATTCTCCCCAACTTCCATTTTTCTCCCTATGGACTCCACAGAATGTGAGATTTGCAAGTCCAGAGAGGGAGTGACTTCTCCAAGGCTACAGGCCAAGACAGAGGCAAAGCCTGGACTAAACCTCCCTCCCCTTCTTCCCCAGGTCTGCAGGGTCCTCAGGACACTCCCCTCTGGTCTCTGATGCCTGCCTCTGACAGGCGGGCCTCACCTCAACTCCATCCCCTGACATCATCCCCGCATCTTCAAGTCACTTTAGTTTTAGTGAAAGAAGCCAGTGCTAATTCAGTGTGTAACATGAGCTAGACATTCTGCATTCTCAGGTGGCCCTCAACAACCTCAAGTGGAAGGTACCAGTATCATTTCCATTTCAGAGATGAGGAAGTCAAGGCTTGCGAAGGTTAAGCGACTTGCTAGAGAGCGCACGCCTTGAATGTAACAGAGTTGAGCTTTGAGCCCACTCAATCTAACTGCAAAGCCCACCCTTCTGCCGGCCACACTCTCTGGGCAGTTCCTCTCATCTCTTGCCCTCCTAGCCACCTGCCTCCTTAAGCACCCGCCTCCTGGTGCCTGCTTCCCTGATTCCTTGCAGCTTTCCCTGAGCACTCTTGGGCTTCTCCCATGCAAACTGCCACCTCCCAGGTCTGGAGATGTGGAATCTTGAACCCCAAACTCTGGTCCTTTCACCTCTTCCATCCTTCAGTGCAGGGGCTTGGCCTGCATCCAGAGCAGTTTATGGAAACTCCTTTGGCCTCAGATTTAGCCTCTGCAAGAGGAGACACAGTACAGTCCTTCCTCACAGGGCATTCGGGAGAAAGAAGTCCTGAGAAATAATGGTGCATTATTTAAAAGCAGGGCTTCCTGATAGGAAAGAAAAAACAGAAACCCAGACCCCAATTCACTAACTCATCATGGGTAGGGTGGAAGTGGCAGGATACTGCCCCTCCTGGTCTCTGCCTCCCTGTCTACAAAATGAGATGGCACGGTGGTGGCCTGGGGATTCCTTCCACCTCCCACCTTCTGGGCCACATGAGAATAGAAGCTGCCCTCATGATCTCTGAGCTGCCTTACGGCTCTAGAACTCCAGGATGATAAATATATAAGGCTTCATAATGTCCTTTCTTCCTTCGTGTGCCTCTTAAGTGATTAGTGTAATACTCTGTACACAATAGACTTTTAATTATTATCTGTGGAACGCATGCATGCGAGAGCCACGCAGGAGCTCAAATGGGAAGGAACTGAAGTCCCATGGGACAACAGTCCACGGAAACATCTCCCCAGCCTTCTTTTCAAGGGGAACACAGGACACGTGTCTGCAGCATGGCCCTGGGCTCAGGGGGCCCTCGGCACAGCCTAAGAACACTTGGCTGCCCCTCCAGAGGTGAGAGGAGAGCAAGCTGGCTCCTGCTCTCCTTTCTTCCTTTCCCTCCTGGGCAGGGGAGCAGGAAGGTGAAGCAGCACCACCTAGGAGAGAACCGGGTTGGGGTGCAAGAGCACAGCTTCCTCTGGAGCTCTGGCAGGAAGGGTGGTGTGTGATTCTCCCTCCTGGAGGCCTTTCTGTCATGCATGCTTCAGGACCCTTTCCCTCCCTTTCCCCCTACCCCAGGGAAACAAGACCCCTCTCCTTCTCCAGCTGCTCCCCCAACCCCAAGACCCCATCTTTGCTTGGTAGGACTCACTTCCTCTACTGGGAGGAGAGCGGCGAGGCGTTCTCTCTGTGGAGCACAGGAGTGCTGTCTAAGAGTGCAGGTGGGGGCTCCTCGGACCGTGTGGGAGGGGCGCTTTCACCAGTCCAGCCCCTGTTCCTCTCCTCTACTCCTGTGGGCCTGGGGGTCTCTCACATGGATCTCACTATTGAAGGGGAACTTCTTAGTGGTCCCAACCTTAGCACCAGTTTCATGCACAGATCCTGAGCTGGCTGTCCCCATCTGGACCGCCCTCTCCATGGCTCCCTCCCACACCTCAGAGCTGTCACTTGGTGGGCTTGTCATGCCCACCAGACTGTTACTTATGGGAGGAGAGGACGACTGCCTCTCTTACAGCTTGCCCCGGCCTGACACAGCCTCCAGTCAACACCCACTTCACCGTCAGCCCTGCCTGCTCTCCAATTTGGTCTCTGTCATGCTCAGGCCTGTTCTATTTCTAAGTCCGTCCAAAGCCAGTGTGGATTGGAGAAAGAGGGTTATTGGCAGGTACAGGATTGGGGGGCCCAGCTTTGTGTGCCTTGAAATGTCCCATGCTGCCAACTCCAAGGCTGTGCTGCCAGTGAGCCTCAGGAGTGCCCGAGTCTCCCCCCATGCCATCTTCTGCCAGGCGGGACCTCAGTTAGGGACCAGCTGTGGGGACCAGCCTCCCTCTTTGATCTAAATATCCACTTTCCAGTTTTTCATGCAGTTCCTCACTTCCTTCCTCTACTCCTGTCCATTGCATATCTATTCTGTGCCAGCCACTCCGCTAGGTGTAGGGAATGTTGTTGTGATGTGTGGGTGTGCAGGGTCCCTGAGGGAGAAACTGAGGTTCAAGGAGGTCAGGTGAGGGGTGAGCAGATGTGGTGGAGTCAGAAGACCCAGAGAGCCCTTGTCCCACTCTGCAGAAGACTATCCAGGACCCTGGGCAACCCCTTCCTCTTTCCTGGACTTTGGTTCCTCATCCTTAAATGAACAGATTGCAAGGAACTGAGGGGGAAACGGTGGTTCCTGAGGTTTGGTAGACTGATGAAGACTGGATGCTCTTCTCAGATGAGCTCATGTGCACGATATTGTGCAAAATAAATTCAGTGCACTCAGGAGGCCCTGGAGCCTGGGGTGAGATGCTCGCTAGGAACCTTTACATTCCAGAAATAACTTAGTGCCTAGGGCCCAGTGGTTAATAACTCCAAGATGACTTAGTGCCGAGGGCCCTACATTTAATAACAGGACTTAGTGCCCAAGACCCTACAGTTAATAACTCCGAACAGTGCCCATGACCTGCACCCTATGTGGAGTGCACCCGGATGTCAGAGTTTGTTTTTCTGTTTATAATGCTTTGTTTGTTTTGTTTTGATCTAAGATCATTGAGACATCAGGCATTGTCTGATTGGGCTAGGGACTCAGCAGGGCTGATCTGTGATTTCTGGAGTCTTCAGAGAAAGCTTCCTGTATGTTTTCCTTCCTACTTACACCCAACCAGAAGCTTAAGGCAGCTGGGGATGGGGAGAAGGGGGTGATTCATCTTTCTAATAAAACACATCCATCCAGTTTCCTGGGGAAACACATTGGAGAGATCCCCAGGCAAGACTCAGGGAAATAAAGTAATAATGTTATCAGTCTTCACAGAGCTATTTAAATACAGATTGGGTTGCTGGGAGATGAAAGGGGGCCCCTTTTGTTATGAAAATGAAGGGAGATGGGAGGGTTGAGTTTGTGTTTTGATATGTTAATCAGCTTGGAAGCCACCCAGGGTAGGGACGGGTGGGGAGGCTGAGTTGCCTGGCATATTTATTTGTTCAGTTTAATTTAACAGCTAGGCTACAACTGGGCTGCAGTCGGGATTGTGTAAAGATGATTACAGCCCTATCATTAATCAGATGCCTGCAGGAGACGGCTCATAGCTTGCTGCTACCTTGGCTGCATACAGATCTGCAGCCGCCCTGACACGGCACCAATGTGGTCTCATTCCGCCATCTAGTGGCACTGCCAGGAATTGTTCTGGGAAAGTCAGAAAAACAAAGTATTTTGGTTTCTTTTTAAATGATGCGGCCACCTTCTAGAATAAACAGAAACTGCTGCTGTTTCTGAAGAGATAAGATATAGAAAGGTCTTTGGAAATTAAGTGACCAGTCTTCCCTTTTTACCGATGCTGAATTTGAGGTCTGAGACAGTAATTTTTTCAAGGACATAGTTTTTTTTTTATTGCGACTAGAATTTTGAATTCCAAATCCATTGATTTTCCTAACATACCAATGTATATAAACACGGATACGTCTCCATCCCTCACGCTTTCATCCATTCTGTTTTTCAACTCTTCTGTATAACGTTTTGGTTTACTTTTTCTTTCCTTTGGATTCAGATCCCGATTTCATTTAATTCTAGTTTCCCCTGCTCCCTGCATAGAATGACTTAGAGTCCAATTAAGAAACAATTACTCCAGCTGATGGAGGGTCAGGGGAGCTGCAACAGCAAAGAATGAACTGTCCTGTAGAACTGGTAGACTTAGGGGGCAGACCGGGTGTGCTGAGAGGCAGCGGGAGGCTGGGAGGGAATGCTAGGCTTTGGAGCTTTCCTCAGCCCAGCTTAGGGAAGCCGGGGGTGGGGGTGAGGGGTGGGGTGGGGGTGGGGAAGATTATACTTTGGTTTTACTCTTGTTAAAGATGTCCTTCTGTTAACATCCCACATTTGTCGTCTAAGCACCACCTGACAGAGCAGGCACTGGGAAGGAGTGAAGAGCAAGGCAAGTCCCTGCCCTCTAGAAGGTTGCAGTCTGGGTAGAGACTGACCCAGGAACACATACACAGAGTAGGGTCATTTTTCCAAGAGTAGACTCAGCTGGTGGCCCTCTGAGAGTCGGCCCTTTCAAACAGAAATTTAAAAAAATATTAAAATTAAGATAAAAAAGAGTTTCACTTTTTCCTCCATACCTCTCAGAGGAAATTAAAATGAATCTAATTTATAACCTTAGCACCACTTCTTCTAACCCCTTTCTCTCCACCTCAATCATTCCCATACTCTACACTCTGAACGCTTTCATTAGCAAAAAAAAGTCAAAAGGTGGGGTGGTTAGAAGAATGAAAAGACAAGCCACAGACTGGAAGAAAACATTTACAAAGCACATATCTGAAAAAGGAATTATATCCAAAATATACAAAGAACTCTTAAAATTCAATACTAGCAACATAAGCAACCCAATTAAAAAATGGGCCAATGATCTTAACAGACATCTCACCGAAGAAAAGATATATGTATTTATGACTCTTTCATGTCTTTTGGGGACTGGATAGACCATTTCCTTTTATCATTGAATAATATCCATGGTATGGGTCTACATAGATGGCAGATAAGTATACAAAAAGATGCTCCACATCAATGTCATTAAGGAACTGCAACTTACAACAAGAGTGAGATGCCACATACACCTCTGACAATGGCTAAAATCCAAAACACTGACATCACCAGATGCTGGTGAGGAGGTGGAGCAACAGCAACTCCCATTCATTGCTGGTGGGAATACACAATGTTGCAGCCACTTTGGAAGAAAGTTTGGCAGTTCCTTATGGAATCAAACATATTCTTACCATATAATCCAGCAATCAAGCTCCTAGGTATTTCCCCAAACAAGTTAAAAACATACATCCACACAAAAACCTGCACACAAATGTTTATAGCAATGTTATTTATAATTGCCAAAGAACTGGAAACAATGGAAGCAATCAAGATGTCCTTTAATAGGTGGATGAATACACTGTGGTACATCCAGACAATGGAATATTATTCAGTGATATAAAGAAATTGGTTGTCAAGCCATAGAAAGACATGGAGAATCCTAAATATGTATTGCTAAGTGAAAGAAATCCATCTACAAAAGCTACATACCGTATGATTCCAGCTATATGACATTCTGGAAAAGGCAAAACTATGGAGACAGTAAGAAAATCAGTGGTTGCCATGGATTGGGGGAAGAAAAGGAGGGAAGAAGGGGTGAAGCTTGGGGGTGGGAGTCTTTTTGGCCAGTGAAACTATCCTGTATGATACTGTAGTAGTGGACACACGTCATCATACATTTGTCAAAACCCATAGAATTGTATAACACAAAGAATGAACCCTAATGTAAACAATGGACTTTAGTTAGTAATGTGAAAAGAAAAACTTCAGCTGAATTAAATTTAAAGGAGTTTAATTGAGCAATGAACAATTCGTGAATGGGGCAACCCCTAGAATCACAGCAGCTTCAGAGAGACTCCAGTGCAGCCGTGTGGTGGAGGAAGATTCATACACACAAAAAAGGGAAGTGACGTAAGGAAATCGGAAGTGAGATACAGAAACAACTGGATTGGTTACAGCTCATCCTTTGCCTTATTTGAACACGGTTTGAACACTTGGCGGTGTATGAGTGGTTTGAAGTATGGCTACTGGGATTGGCCAAGACTCAGCTATTGTTACAGGTGCATACTCCTAAATTAGGTTACAGTTCATCCACGAGGTCTCAAATATAGAAGTACAGAGTCCTTCTCAGGCCATATTTAGGTCACTTTAACAGTAACAATGTATCAATATTGGCTCATCAATTGTAACAGATATATCACACTAATGCCTGTTGTTAATAACAGGGGAAACTGCAGCTGCCGGAAGAGAGCGTACATAGGAACACTCTATACTTTCTGCTCCATGTTTCTATGCACCTAAAACTGCTCTAAAAATCAATTTTAAAAACAAAAAATAAAAAGATGGGTGGGAAGGGGTACTGATTCCCTTCCTCCACCCCAGCCTCCCTGCACCACCTCTCTATCCCTGTTCTTTATGGGGTAGGTTGTCTGAATCTCTCCCTTGCATGTCCCTCCCCTCTTCTCTCACCTTTGAGAATCAACTCTTCTCAGCCCATCTTCAGATTCTGCTCCTAAAACATCAGGGATGATGGTGGGGGGAGGGGTGGAGAGTCCATCCGAGTTGGCAGGTGGCGTTCCTTCTGGTTAGAGGGGTTATGCATATTCATTGTGAGAAGGTTCCCAGCATCTGGGCTCCGGATGTCACACAGACACTCCGATAAAGCTATGGACATACCCTAAGGCCTCCTAGCTCTAAGCAGGCCCAGCAGCTCAGAGGTCACCCCTGAGCTCCTGGGGGCTTCCTGCTCCTGGGAGCAGCTAATTGTTTATGCATCTCTCTCCCTGGGTAAACTGCAAACTCTGAAAGGTGAAGACTACATCTAATTCATGCTGTTGTTCCTTCTCAGCATAACTCTAGCATCTAAGGCAGAGTATATGCTCAAACTTCAATTATCAAATAAATGTGTTGATGGGTTTAGTATATGTGTTAAAGAACAGTTCCCTATAGGCTGGTGCGGTGGCTCACGCCTGTAATCCCAGCACTTTGGGAGGCCGAGGCGGGCAGATCACGAGGTCAGGAGATCGAGACCATCCTGGCCAACATGGTGAAACCCCATCTCTACTAAAAATACAAAAAAAGTTAGCCAGGCATGGTGGCGGGCACCTGTGGTCCCAGCTACTCAGGAGGCTGAGGCAGGAGAATGGTGTGAACCTGGGAGGCAGAGCTTGCAGTGAGCCAAGATCGCACCACTGCACTCCAGCCTGGGCAACAGAGCGAGACTCCATCTCAAAAAAAAAAAAAAAAAAAAAAGAACAGTTCCCTATAGACAGTGAGAATGTTGCCTTGTATAACAAAAAGGACTTTGCTGATGGGATTAAGTTAAAGATTTTTGAGCTGACGGGATTATTCTGGATTATTCAGGTCAGGTCAAGGTCATCAAAAGTGTCCTTATGAGAGGGCAGAGGAAGGCAGGGGGACATTTGACTACAGAAAAGGAGAGGACAATGTGAAGAAGAGATCAGGGTGAGGTGGCCACAAGCCAAGGAATGCTGGCAGCCACCAAAAAGCTGTAAGAGGCAAGCAAATGGATTCTCTTCAAAACTTCTGTGTGGAGCACGACCCTGCTGTTACCTTGGTTTCAGCCCAGTGAAACCCATTTCCAATTTCTGACGTCTAGAGCCATAAGACCCTATGTCTGTGTTGTGTTAAAGCCTCTCAGTTCCTGATGTGTTACAATAGCAACAGGAAACGAATACAGCATCATTCACTGGAGATGTTTCCTTCCTGGTTTGGTTTATCTTTCTGAGTCTCTCTTTGGGATGTCACTAAGCTCATAGGCTTATGCTAAGCAGAAACCTGCTCTTAGAGATGAATGATACATTTGAATGGACATCATTGGAGACTGAATGCTTTAGTTGATCATTTAACACCCTTCATTGGGTAACAAAATCTACCAAACACTGTGCTCTGTTTGGGACATACTGAAAGGGAAATTAGTTCTTGGTCTTCAAGGAGTTTGCAGGAGAACAGGGAGGCAGTCATGTAATGAAGAAATACTAGATCTAACGTGACGTAAGAGTGTGCAAACATAAACACGCAGGATACAGAGGGGACCAAAGGAAGAGGTGACCCACTGGGTGAAGAAGGCATCAGAGGATATTTACAGAGGAGATGTTGCAGCAGCTGAGCCTTCACAGGCAAGTTAGGTGCACGAGGAGGGCAGAGAGGGCCCCTGTGATGTGCAGGGTGACCCCCTCAACATGGTGATGGATGATAAGCAGGGTGGGGAAGGGAGTGGGCATCATGACCGGGAACATTTGCTCCAATCTTGCTAAGCGCATGTGTGCATGGTCAGTACACCCAGCCGGCAGCTCTGCTTCCCGTTTTCCCTGTAATTGAACATTGCACCCCAATACTCTATCAGCATGATCTGAACAGGCTTGATCAATGAACAAGACAACCTTCAAATGGACCAACAGGATAAGTGGCATGGCCTTCAGCCAGCCAGGGCACCTGACCACAGGTCATCAATGTCTCCCCAGAGCCTTTGGACTGCTGACCACTGACCTATTCAATGCCAGCCTTGGCTCTGAGACAGCTGCTGACAGAGTCACCTGCAGGACTTTCCAAACACCAGCCCCTCAGATGGCAAGTGCAGCTCAGGTGTCTTTATGGAATTATCTATCAGATGCTCCTTATCACCAGAAAGTTGTTGGGCCTGCAGCTTTAGGATTAAGAGTTCAGAAATAAGTTCCCATATACACACTAGGGAGGGGACCTGTTTCAGATGTCAGAGCTCCAACTCAATTTTTTGACAGCAAGCCAAGGTGGCCTTCTGAAAGGATCACTCTCTCCTTCCACTGTCCTGCCACCTGCACAAGTGAGACCTACACTCACAAGAGCCAGGGCTTACCTTCTAGCATCTGGACCCAGGAGATGTTTCTGAGCTCCCACCTGGGCTGGGAAGGGCACTTCCTGCCCCTGCCAGCAGAGACTCTGAGGTAGGAAAGTTACTAAACACTTAGAGAACCTCTTTAAGAAGGTAAAGAGAAATCTTCAAGGTAAAGTGACAGCCCAAAGAGAGGCCCAGAAAGATAAACAGAACAGGAAGGAACAATCTCCAGTGGAAGATGCTGTATTGGTTTTCTCTTGCTGTTGTAACACATCAGGAACTGAGTGCCTTTAACACAACACAGACGTAGGGTCTTATAGTTCTGGACGAGATAAGTTGGAAATAGGTTTCACTGGGCAGAAACCAAGGTGACAGCAGGGTCACACTCCACACAGAGGTTTTGAGGAGAATCCATTTCCTTGCCTCTTCCAGCTTTGGTGGCTGCCAGCATTCCTTGGCTTCTGGCCACCTCAGTCCAATCTCTTCAGAGGTCCTGATACTAGTGAAGGAACAAGAGGACACTAATGTTGGGCTCTAGAGGGAGAACGCCCAGGGAGTTTCCTGATTCTTATCATGACTAGAATCCTTCCTGCCCTTCTCTTCCTTTTCCTCAGCCCCAGGAGGAGAACGAGGAGTGAGATTCTGGAAGATTCTCTTTGCTGTCATTGTACTACTGTCCCTATTCTAACAAGGGACAAAGTGAAGACACTTTCTCACTTGGGACTTCCTCCTAGTTACTAGCAGATTCTCCTGCGGGACAAAAGGCAGAAGTTTCCCAGGGTAGGCATGGTGACTCACACCTGTAATCCCAACACTTTGAGAGGCTGAGAGGTGGAAGGATTGCTTGAGGTCGGGAGTTCGAGACCAGCTTCCCTCCCTGGCTGGATGTTAGAGTTCTGCTCTTTCTGCCTGCTCCCCACTGTTCATTTTGCACTTAATGGCCTTGATTATGACTGAGAAATTCACAAGATCTTTGGACCAGCTCCTTACTTCAATTTAAGTCCAAACAGGAGGTGGGGGCACATAGCTCTCAGCTGACCCCACAACAAATACAGCTCTTAGACTTCTTTCCCTGAGCCCCATGTTTTATAGAAAACAGGAGTATACACAAGTAAATGTATCAAAACACTCTTCTGTATTCTGCTCTCAGGATCCACAGTTCAGCATTTTCTCAGAACAACCTGCAACCTTAAACATCTGTTCTGTGACTGACACTTTTAGCCCCAAGAAACATCCCTTTCCCACCCAACTCTTGCCCCATGTCCTCCAAACCAAAGGCAGCTGTGTTGGCATTCCAGGCAGGTGTGTGCTGAGAGGCTGCAACCTCAGAGGCCGACAGTGCTCTGGAAGATTGGGAGGGTATGAGCTGCAGAAGCCTTTCCGTAAGCAAAAAGAGAAATTAATTAACTTGTCGAATCCTCCCTCTCAGATAGCTTGAGAACAATTGATTTCTGCATAAAGAGGACGATCCAATTCTTGCTTATTTGGTTGCAATGTGTGGTTCTGATGAAACTCATGACTTGCTGCAGTATTCACAAAACCGCAAACACTGTACATGGTGGCTGAAGATCATGTAGCAATAATAACCAAAATTCATCCTTTTCTTAAATGTGTGTGTGTGTGTATATATGTGTGTGTAGGTACTGTATATGTAACATCTGGGAAGTGTGATACCAATTCTTAACATTATTGTCATATGAGTATAGATATTGCTACCAGAGCCAGTGAGAAGCTTAATATAAGTGATAGAGATTTTGTAATGAGATTCACATATTCAATATTTTTTGAGAAAATTATTTATTGTATACAGTCCCATTGCATTGTTTGAACATGTGTATAAAATGTATAGTCCTTTTATGAACCTAAGGATTGCTTTACTACTATTGACAATCCCAGTTGCTACTGTTTGCTATGGTTTGAACGTTTGTCCCCTCCAAAACTCATGTTAAAATATAATCCCCAGTGTGGTAGAATACATTAAGAGGTGGGGCCTTTAACAGGTGATTGAACAACAAGGGCTCTGCCCTCATGAATGGATTAATCCATTCACGGATTAATAGATTAATGAGTTAGTGGATCCATGGGTTATCATGGAGGGGGAGCTGGTGGCAATGTAAGAAGAGAAAGGGCATCCTGAGCTAGAACATTAGCATGCTTGAGTCCCTTTGCCATGTGATACCCTGTGCCGCCCCAGGACTCTGCAAAGAGTTCCCAACAAGAAGAAGGCTCCCACCAGATGTGGCCTTTTTACCTTGGACTTCTCAGCTTCCTTAAATGTAAAACATAAATTCCTTTTCTTTATAAATTACCCAGTTTCAAGTATTCTGTTATCAGCAATAGAAAGCAAGCTAATACCAAAAAAAAAAAAAAAAATGGTATTGAGAAGTGGGGTGTTGCTGATAACAGATACCTGAAAATGTGTAAGCATTTTCAGAAGCTGGAAGAATTTGGAAGAGCAGGCTAGAAAAAGCCTAGATCCTAGTGAGGGCTTAAAAGACAAGAAGATAAGGGAAAGTTTGGAACTCCTCGGAGATTTGTTAAGTGGTTGTGACCAGAATACTGGTAGAAATATGGACAGTAAAGACCATTCAAATGAGGTTTCACATGGAGGTGGTGAACAAGGTATTGGAAACTGGAGTAAAGGCCATCCTTGTTGTAAATTGGCAAAGAGCTTGGCTGAACTGTGTCCATGCCAGAGGGTGCTGTGGAAGGTGGAATTTAAGAGTAACAGAAGAGCATATCTGGCGGAAAAAATTTCTAAACAGCAAAATGCTCAGGCTGCTTCATGATTACTTCTAACTTCTTATGGTGAACTGCTAGAGAAAAGGGAAACAGAGTGAAAAAATTGGAAAAACGTACAGCCTGGCCATGTGGGAGATAATAATAAAAAGTATGTTCAGAAGAAGCCAAGGATGCAGCCTGTTGACCTTTTGCTAAAGAGATTCATATGGATAGAAGGGAGCCAGGTTCTATTCCTCAAGACAATGGAAGAAAGACCCTGAAGGCCATTTCAGAGATCTTTGAGGCTGCCCCTCCCATCACAGGTTCAGAGGCCTAGGATGGCAGAATGGTTTCAGGGGACAAGCCTGAGGTCCTCATGATGGCCTTGCTGCTCAGAGTCACCTCAGGGCTCTGCTCCCTTCACCCCCATGCAGTGCTCCTTGGCTACCCCAGCCTTGGATCAAGTGGTCCCAGGTGTGGCTTGTGCTGCCGCTCTAGAAGGTACAAGTCCATGTGGTGCTAATTCTATAGGATGACAGAAAGCAGAAGCTGTGGAGGCCACCCAGATTTCAAAGGATGGTATAGAAAGCCTGGTGACCCAGGCAGAGACTTGTTGCAGGGGTAGAGCCACCACAAAGTCCCCACTAGGGTAATGCCTAGTGGAGCCATGGGAACACACTCTCACCAGATGTAGCCCCTTGACCTTGGACTTCCCAGCCTCCAGAACTCTAAGAAAGAAATTTGACTTCATTATAAACTGCAGTTTCAGGTATTGTGTTATGAGCAACAAAAAGCAAACTAAGATACTGTCTCACCAGAGCAGTTTGTTAAAATTGGAATTAATTTTGAAAAAATAAAAGTATCTAAGAATTATAATGACTCAAAAAAAAATGGACTTATTTGACATAGCATTAAATAAAACATATATTATGTGAAAATACTGACTACAACACAATTAGCGATTCTGCTGGAATGAAAGCAGGAAAAATATTTTATGGAATATATATATAGTATTTATAAATAATGTATGTTTTTATTTTATTACTCATTTGAACATCACTGGATTGTCAACAGAACACCCAGATATGTGCAATAAAAATTGAAATCAGTCATCTTTGATGTTTTGCTGACTTTCAGACCTATACAAATCATAGCCAGATTTTATAAAGCAAGATATAAGTGTGTGTGTATATATATAAAGCTCTCTCTATAGATATGCATATATATAAAGCTATATATGTGTGTGTGTGTGTGCCATAGATTTATATATAAACAAACATAGCAAAATTATTTATGTGTATATAAAGCAGGATATATGCAAGATATATATATATATATACATACACACATACACAAATATGTATGGGTATGTGGGTGTGTGTGTATATATATAAAACCTTACTTTACATATACATGTATATACATAATTATAAGGTGTATTCTTGAAGGTAAGAGGACAGAACTTATTTACTTTGATGAGGGAGTTGATTTTTGTCTCTTGAATATTTAGACTTATGGTCTATGGGCTGCCATTGTTCTCTTCTTGAGCCCTTTAAATTTAAGAGTGGTCCTGTCCCCAGGCCCTGACTTTGCAACAAACCTGCAGTACCTGATTTTGTGAAATGCATGTATTAAACCTAAACAAGAGGCGCTTCCTTCTAAAATATTTGGTTAGCAGACTGGCTCTTGTATTCTAGGGCAATAATTTTTGGCTGAATGGGATACTCAGGTAGCTTATTAGATTCCAGTCTAGACACACCTGGATGAGTGTGTACCAGGTGTAGACATTCCTCATTCATCTGTTCTAAATCCAAAGGCAGCAGCTCATGACACTTTAGCTTTCTTTTTCTTTCTCCCTTTCCCACCAATTCTCTATGTCCAAACTTTCTGCCACCTTCATCCCAATCCATAGACTATCCTGCAAATACACTATTCTCAGATGTCACAGTTTAAGAGATTTTGTTGGATGGATTGAGTAATTTTTTTGTGTTGTTAAAATCCAGAGGGAACTGAGTGGTGCTTGGATTGAATCTGCTGGTTGGGTTATGGGAAATCAGCCATTTTGGAATGGGTGCTGGCTGAATGAAGGAGCTCTGTAGGGAATCCGGGGGCCCTCAACACAGGGATGGGATGGGGGAAGGCTGCCTGAACTCATGCCAGGCTCTGACTGAGCACCAGGACTGATTCAGAGGGACCACTCCAAAGGATCTTGCTGCAGATGTGGTCTGGCCTGGAAAAATATTCCAGTCCCAAATGGAATGGAGTGATCAACTCTCAGGGAGGGACTTCAGCTTGAGATGGAAGACGTGAGCTTATGCCAGTGGTGGCTCATGTGGTCCAGGCTGAAAGAAATGCCATGGCCAAGAACACAAACATATGATTTCAAAATGACACCAGTTACCATGGAGCCCCTCATACACTATGAAAGAGAAGCACAGTTGACTCTAATCATCTTCTACATTCACTTTTCTCTACCTTCTATTTCCCTCCCACCCTACAGCTGAGAATACAAACCTGTTTCAAAACCCACCTAAGACCTCCCCAGCGCAAGGGCTTTTTTTTTTTTTTTTTAACTTTCTACCACCCTTTCCAGAGTCCTCATTTCAAAGCCCACAAATCAGTTCAACCACTACTTGACCTTCCTAGGAGTCAGGGGGTAGGGATGGAACTGAGTGAGGACAGCCAGCACTCTCTATGGTAGGCAAGGGTGGATGAAGGCATGGAAAAACTGGTTCACTGACAAATGTCAGCAGGTCACACCTTCTTAAACTGAAAGGAGAAATGAGTGGGCCATTTGATCTTGCAAATGCCTGTAGCAGGGGCTCAGACCCAAGCGAACTCAGCAGGTGCTGAGAATGGTATGTAGGCTCCAGGCAGGCTGTGGAGGTGGCACAGCCCTGGAGGAATGGTGACATGGCAATGCTAAGCCCCAGATTTATGGAGGGGGGCAACCACCACATTGGGTCCTGGGACCCAAAAGACCTCACAGGATTGAAAAGATATCAACCATTTATAATATTCTCAGGGATTACAGCTCATACCCCATTCTCCATGTTTTGGATGGGGAGAAGAATTTGAATAAGGGGGAAGGAGTGGGTTATGGGAGCTTGTATTCTGGAAGCAGGCTGATGTGGTGTGCAGCAACTCACTTTTATAGTGAGTTTGCTTACCCTGAAGTTTTGGGTTCACTGAATGCAGAAACATGATGACCAGACCATTATAGTCACCATTTCATGGCTGCTCCATGAAGTGGTGATACCAGTGGTTTCCTCCCCAGGTCTACTCTTTAGAGACACAGTCTATAACCATTTTCAGAAAGGCCGCTCCCATAGTCCTTACTAAGTGGACACATGACTCCTCTCCTGGCCATAGCCGTTGCACAGCAATGGATACACGACTCAGTCCAGGCCAAGTGTATTTTTTATGTTTGAACTTTGTTAGCACTGGGCTCAAAGATACTGTATTTGATGGTAGGAGGGCACTGGGTGTCCCATGTTAGAGCAGCCATGGTTGGGGATGAATATGTGAGGAGAGAAAAAGGTTGCAGATGGGCAGAGAAGCAGAGGTGAGTGACTCCTGGAGAGGAACCTCAGTCCCTGACTTCCAGTCCGTTGCGGGGCCTTGGCTCCTGTCAGATACTTTTCTGTCCTTCTTGTTGCTCTGTTTTATTTAAGCTGGTAGAGTAGGCCCCATCTTTGCAATGACAAGATCCCTGAATCAGACAGGGAAAGGGAAGCCTACAGAGGAGAATGAACTTGACCAATGTTACACAGTTAAGTTAGAACCAGTATCAGATCTCTGACTCCAATTCCAGGGCTCTTTCCCCTCAACCATGCTGCCCCCAGCTTCAGTGAACCATGAGGAGCTCTCAGGATACAAGTCTCCTGACTACGACTTCTTGGAGTTCAGAGACCATATGTCTTGTTGATTGATCTCTCTCCAGGATTTAACATCATGCTTGGTGCATAGTATGTGCTCAGTAAATATCTGTAGAATGAATGAAGAATGAGTGGAGGAAGAACACAGCTTTAGGCTCATGATCTGGTCACTCTGTTCACTTAATTCAGATCAGCAGGGCAGGAAAGGGTGGGATGCTAGCTCCCATCTCTAGCCCTGACCTTCAGGTCTTTCAGCCCTTCCTCACTAAATTCAAGAGCATCCTCTGGTTCCATAGCAGAAGGGCCTTTTCCCTTCTCCTTGGGCACTGGGATGGATTGCGTTATCTATTGTTTACTAGTTTCCAGTTCCATTGCCAGGGGAGGGTTATGCTTTCCCTCCTTTCAAACTTAGGTGCACCCAAGTGACCTGCTTTGGACAAAGAAATGTGAGTGGAGGTGAGATGAGTCACTACTGTGCAGAAGTTTTAGGAGCCACTGCCGGACACATTTTCTCTTTCCTCTGCTGCATATTCCAAATAATGGCTGCTCCTTCCTTCTGGGTCCCAGAGTGAGTGAGGATGGTGCTGAGAAGATCCCAGGCCAACCTATGGTAGACATATGTAAAGTCACTGAGATTTTCTGGTTGCCTGTTACTGAAGCACAGCTTGCCTTTTTATGACTGATCCAGGGCCCTTACCCTCTCTTGACAGGTCCCTTTCCCCCAGCCCTATTCTTAGAAACCACTCTGCTTATCTTTGTTTGTGTTGGAGGATTTCCCCTGCATCAACTCCATCCTGGGGGCTGCCCTCCTACCCCAACAAGCCTTTTCTAGTTTAAGAGTCTTTGATTTCGGCCGGGTGCCGTGGCTCGCGCCTGTAATCCCAGCACTTTGGGAGGCCGAGGCAGGCGGATCACGAGGTCAGGAGATCGAGACCATCCTGGCCAACATGGTGAAACCCTGTCTCTACTGAAAAACAAAACAAAACAAAACAACAAAAAAACAAAATTTAGCCAGGCATGGTGGCGGGCACCTGTAGTCCCAGCTACTTGGGAGGCTGAGGAAGGAGAATGGTGTGAACTCAGGAGGCGGAGCTTGCAGTGAGCCCAGATCGCGCCACTGCACTCCAGCCTGGGCGAGAAAACAAGACTCTGTCTAAAAAAAAAAAAAAAAAGGCTTTGATTTCAGAATGAGAATGTACTGTCCTGGAGCAGCCAGCATTCACTGAGCCTTAGTGGGTGTGTTAGTCTATATTCTCCTGCTTATAACAGAATACCTGAAACTGGATAATTAATAAAGAAAAAGAATTTGTTTCTTACAGCTGTGGAGGCTGGGAGGTTTAAGGTCAAGGGAGTACATCTGGTGGGAACTTTCTTGCTGATGAGGACTCTGTAGAGTCTCAAGGCAGCATGGGGCATCACATGGCGAGGGGTCTGAGTGCACTAACTTGCTAGCTCAGGTCTCTTTTCCTCTTCTTATAAAGCCACCAATTCCTCCTCCATGATAACCTATTCATCCTTTAATTCATGAATGGATGAGTTCATTCTTGAGGGTACAGCCCTTATGGTCCAATCACATGTTAAAGGCCCCATCTGTCAATACTGCCACACTGGGGGTAAGTTTCTACATGAACTTTGGAGGGGACATTCGCACAATAGCAATGGGTATGTAAGATGGAAACCAAGCCCCTTGTGCCCTTTGATACATTCACGTGCCTGACTTTTCCTCTTTCCATCTTCCTGATTGTTACTTTCTCTCTTCTGCTCATGGACCATCAGCCTGGGCGTATGCTGATGCTGACCTGTAAAACTGCTGCCTATCTAGCCATCATCATCCAGCACCCGTGTCAGCACCCTTGCTCTTCTCCTAGATAGTCTTTCTGGAGGGGAAAAAGCAGCAGTCAAAACTAACTGTGATGGTGACAGTGGAACTTGATGGAGCATAATTGTTTTTTGTTTTTTTTTTGAGACGGAGTCTCGCTCTGTCGCCCAGGCTAGAGTGCAGTGGCGCTATCTTGGCTCACTGCAAGCTCCGCCTCCCGGGTTCACGCCATTCTCCTGCCTCAACCTCCCGAGTAGCTGGGACTACAGGCGCCCGCTACCACGCCCAGCTAATTTTTTTTTGTATTTTTAGTAGAGACGGGGTTTCACCGTATTAGCCAGGATGGTCTCGACCTCCTGACCTCGTGATCCACCCGCCTCGGCCTCCCAAAGTGCTGGGATTACAGGCGTGAGCCACCGCGCCCGGCGATGGAGCATAATTGTAAAATAACTTTCTTTTCCCCTCTCAGGAATATCTGACAAACCAACCTTATCAACCCTTCCTACCCACCCAAAGATGTTGTCTCAGGCAGGTTCCTCAATTTCCTGTCACTTTCAGGAAATGAAAAGTTCTTAGGTCACTGCTGGTTTCAAAATAGTATGATTTCAGTGATACAATGTCCAGTCTTCTGCAGTTCTTAAAAAATCTGAACTCTAAGTTTCTTGCCATTTCCCCTGGAATCTTGGAGTGGAACACAGCTATGCAATTGAGTTCTTGAGAGCAAGTTTTTGGAGAACAGATGGGGGACATGGATGTTCTGTTTGACTGGTGCTATCATGATTTGACTCTGGAGTCAGATGGGGTTAGAGGATATTCCAAGATGGGATTCTTCCTTTAGGCACATTCGTGAGGTCTTTGGCGTCCCTTCCCGTGGGCTCCGCTGTACCGCACAGCCCCAGATGTGGGCAATGTATTCCCCATGCAGTATCTTATGACCTTTCCACCTTGACTCCTATTACAAGCAGAGCTGCTTGGGAAGGGGTCTCCCTGCTCTAGTAGGCCACCCTCTCTTGGCAGGGACCCTTAGGAGTGGTTCTTTGTCTTGCCATTGCAGGTGGCTTAGCATATAATGGTCCCTCTTTATTGGAGGTTTTGCTTTCTATGGTTTTGGTTACCCACGGTCAACCACAGTCCAAAAACAGGTGAGTATGGTACAATGAGATATTTTGAGAGAGAGAGAGGCCACATTTACATAACATTTATTGCAGTATATTGTTATAGTTGTTCTGTTTTATTATTAATTGTTAATCTCTTACTGTGCCTAATTTATGAGTTAAACTTTATCATAGGTATGTATAGGAGTAAACAGTGTATTTAGGGTTTGGTAGTATCATTGGCTTCAAGCAGCTGCTGAGGCTTTTGGAATGTATCCCCTACAGATATAGAGGGACTGCTGTACTCAAAGAGAAGCAGATCACACTCTCCAAGTGGTTTCCTTGAAGCCTCTCTGCTAGGCTTGAGGTAGAGGCAGTGGCACCAGATAACACCTCCATATAATCCAGGAACAATGGGCTTCAAAGCACTCTTCTCCCTCAGACTTCTCAACCTCCATGTTCTGTGCCTCACCAGGGTGTTGAGCTAGGGCTGAGCTTGTTTTTGGTGGCTTCTTTCACATATCTGCATGTGTAATGTAGCATCCTAAATGTGGGATTATTATTATTATTATTTACCTATTGTTTAGCTCTCACTTTGACTGAGGAGATGATTCTTAGCCAAATCAGAAGAAAAATAACAGTTAAAATGAAGCTGTATGCTGAGAGTTAAACTCTGTGCTATTTGATCTGTGGTGAAAAGGGTAAAAAAAGAAAAATCACAGCTGTTTTGGTTTATTCCTGTGCTATTTCCTGTGTTTATTCCAAAAGCCCATTCCTCTCAACTACCATTGCCTCATTTACTTTTATTTGTCAGTGGATTTTGATGGCGATAAACTCTAATACAGATATAAGCATTGTCAAAGACAGACAAAAATATGTGGCAGCCCAGCCGGCTTTGCTTATGATAATTTTTGACCATCATTAAATAAAAGAAACCACACTGCTATTTGCCCTGGACCAGGCTGCACAGAGTTTTCCATTTGTAAAGCATCTTGGTAGCAGATCAGTGTGTGCGATTCAGTGCATCTGCTCTGCTGACCTTGGATTTGAGGCTCACATTTGAAAGCCCTGCTTGTCTGCTGTGTCTCTGGTGCCTCATTGTGCAAGGCATAAATTCCCAGTGGGAACCCACCTTGGACCCCAGTGAACCTCAGTTTCTGCTGGTCTCTCTTTGTGACTTTTCCAGGGCGTTCAAAAGTATATTTCCTGTGCGCTGCAGAGTTCATGTTTTAAATCAGACCACTGGAAATGTACCTTATGATGTTGAAGGAAACTCACTCAGCTTTGTGTGTGTGTGAGACACGGTGATAGGCAGATTTCATATAAATGTGTTTGCGTATAAATTAGTGAGTGTAGAAATGAAAAAGCTTCAAAAGTTAAAATCAGAGGTTACAATTTATTTCCACAAGCAGGAAATCCAAGAAACTTTCAGAAGCTGTTCATACAAGTTTTAAGAATACAAGGCACCCTTGAATCAATTAACTCATGTATGAATATATAAGAAAGTTAGAGGATATTTACAAACCAGCTCTCATAAAATTTAAGTTAAATCTCTACTTAATTTATATCAGATAATGCTAAAGTAAAGTTTCTATCTGATCCGTATACTACAAAAGGACAAAGAGTATTTCTGTTTTATTGAAGGATTTTAAAATTCTAAGGCCAATTTACTTGTAACCTTGAGACTATGAATATTTTTAGACAATACATTTATTAGAATATTTATTCTGAAAACTGTTAGTTAAGGTTGTAAACTTTGCTATAGGAGGTGAATTTTACCCACCAATCTTGAGATAATTAACCCATTAACTGCTGCTTCACTGATTCAGTTCCAATGTACTCAAACAGTGTAACATCTACATAAATTCTAATAGAAAATCTAAACTATGTGGGAACATAGCTAAAGGCAGCCTTTATTGTAAAAAGTTACATACACAATTTTTTTTTTTTTTTGAGACGGAGTCTCACTCTGTTGCCCAGGCTGGGGTGCAGTGGCGCGATCTCGGCTCACTGCAAGCTCCGCCTCCTGGGTTCACGCCATTCTCCTGCCTCAGCCTCCCCAGCAGCTGGGACTACGGGCGCCTGCCACCGCGCCCTGCTAATTTTTTTGTGTTTTTATTTTTTTTATTAGAGATGGGGTTTCACCGTGGTCTCGATCTCCTGACCTCGTGATTCGCCTGCCTCAGCCTCCCAAAGTGCTGGGATCACAGACGTGAGCCACCAAGCCCAGCCCATATACATTTTTTTAAAAAGTAACTCCCACATTTAAATTTAAAATGCAGTGCAGAATCCTTGTTTACATTATCTAAGGGTCTAGAATCTCCAATGCAAGATGCTTAAAGAGAGAATTTATTTTTGCTTCTTTTCCTGGGAATCTACAAACAAGCATATAAATGGGCCTCAAGCTGAGGAGGTGTGATGGTTTAGAGAGAGGCTGGCATTTTCTATCCGTTGGAAATTCGCTTTAACTCAATATCATGTACTGAAATTAATAGAAGCAGGAGGCAGAGAAATCCTAGGCAGACAGGGGCAGGTCCCCAGTGAAACCCCACCTTCAGGCCAAAAACAGCCTGAAATCTGTGGTCCAGAGTGAGAACTTCTATTCCTATTCGCCTGATCTCTCCTGATTGGCTCTTCCTGAATAATGCCTTCGAACCAATTGTATGTTGCCTTTTCCAATACTGCCTAAGGCCCACCCTTCCCCCATCCAGTCCCTATAAAGACCCCAGACTCAGTCGGTAGAGGGGAAACAGCCTGACTTCAGGGAGGAGATGGCATGACTTTGGGGAAGAGACCTCCTGACTTTGGGGGAAGACGACTTGCCCTTCCCGTTCCCTCTCCAGCTTCCCTCTCCTCTGAGAGCTGTTTTCATCACTCAATGAAATTCCCCACCCTCCACATGTGCCCTAAAACTTAAAGTATAATAAAAAAAATTCTCCACCCTCACCATCCTTCAATCATCAAGCATGACCTTATTATTCTTGGATACTGGACAAAAGCTCGGGACTCACTGAGTGTGGGTACCCAGAAAGGCTGTCACACTGGCCCTTTGCCATTGCTGGTGGAGTGCAGCCACCCCATGTGATGGGACCAGGGGCCAACTGAGCTGCTAACACACTGCCATCCATTGGGGTGTGGACAGTGGAACTGAAAGAACTAATTAGCACACTAACACCCCCTTTGGGGCTTCAGGCTCACAGGCACCCTTGCCTGGGCAACATTGCATTCATGCAGTGTTGGCCGTGGGTTCTGCATGGAGCTTGCTCCTGTGTCAGCAGAGCAGCCAACTAGATCCCACACTTACTCCCTCAAATGCTCCCTCACACAAGGGCCTGAGCACAGCAGGCCAAGTAGACGGAGTGCCCCTGCTGGAAGTCCAGCAAAGGGGCCGAGAAAATTCCTGCATCAAAGTTTACTGTACCAAGCCCAGCAATGGACACAGGGGACCCAGAGGTAAATGACAGTAGTTGTTCTTCCTTTCTGAAGGCAGAACACCTTTATTTATGAACACGTATCCTTATTCCCAACACAGATATCTGCATAAATTTAGAAATTCATGTGTCACCTTAGCCTATCCACAGGGAAATCAGGAATTTATGGATTTTCCCTGATTAAAGAAGCTTGAGTCTGGAGGAAGAGACGATCCACTCTCAAACAGCAAACATTTATTTCCCACAGTTCTGGTGGATGGGAAGTCCAAGGTCAATGTGCTGGCAGGCCTCGTGTCTAGTGAGGCTCACTTCCTTGTGTGCGGATGGCCATCTTCTCACTGTGTCCTCACATGGTGAAGAGCAGAGGGAGAAAACCCATGGCTCCTCCTCTCTTATGAGGACTCTAGTCCCATCAGGAGGGTTCCATCCTCATGACCTAGTCACCTCCCAGTACCATCATGTTGGGGATTGGGTTTCAACTTGGGGGACACAAACATTCAGTTCATAGAAAGCTGAATGACCACTGAGGTCTCTGAAAGACAGGAGGCCCTAGGTAGGAGTTTATGAAATGGAACAGCTGATTTGCTAGGACTCTTTAAATGATTCTCCATGAATCCAGCTGCTTGTATCACTCTTCATCTCACCCAGCTCTGTGGTGGAATGTGGAAGCAAAGAGAAGTTGCCCTGGTCCCTAGCTTAACTGCTCTTTCTCCACCCGAATACACTGTGATGGATGCTTTATTTGTAAATAATTCAGAGCAAGCCTTTGGAGTTGGGCAGGACACAGTTCAGAATTCACCTCCCTGACCCCTAGTGTCTTCCTCTGTAAAGCGAAAGCTGGCCTCATACAGTTGGTGTAAACATTTAATGGAGGAATGCATTTGTACAGCACCTAGACAGTGGCTGGCACAAAATACAGGCTTAATGTAGGCTTGTTGTTTTTGTTGTTCTTGTTGTTGTTTTTGCCACGACTGCTATTTGACAGTAAGGTACAGGCCCTGGTTCTGGGCATGAAGAAGTTCACTCTATGCCAACTCTTACCACTGTTTGATGATGCTAATTTTTTTCCCAGGCACCCCACTACATTTTCCAGGTTGTAAATCTGCCTCTCACCCTTGTAGCCAGCTGCCTCTTGAACAGGAACCAATTCTCTGCAATCAAGCCCATGGAGACAGCAATTCCCCATCCCCACATCAGCTGGGTACTCACAGCTTTATCGCTCTCCTTGGTTAGAATTGAAATACTTTATAGCATTAATGCTTTTCAGATTGAAACCTGCAGGGCTGGTTTTTCAATTTCCCCCCTGGGACTGTAGCAGAACTTGTCTTCCAGAAGACAGACTCATTGTGAGGTCTCTGACAAGGCTCTAAACCCACCTGGCTGGCTGGAATAGCACCTTCTGGCACAAAGGAACATTCATTGTCTGGGTATTATTTGTCTATCTGTGGTCAATGGGCTATCAGCAAGAAAGATACCCAGGACCACTACTGCTAAAGGGGACAGTGGGGATTGGGGGACTGATCACATTTATTGCTCACAATGTAACAGGCACTGAACTAAGAGCTCTGTCCTCAAGTGATTCTGGGAGCCAGGGTAAGAATAAAACTACATAGTAACTTACTATGGCAATTGTGGGGTACAAGTATTTATAATGGCAACAGCCCCTTAGCTCGTTCTGGTGTGTTCTGGGTGGATGTCTGTGCTGAGAATAAGAAAATTATCACCATTCCTCAAACAAACAGCAGTTATGGAGACTGAGGACCAGGGAGATCAAAATAATTCATCCCAGGTTGCACAGTAAGTGGCAGAGTCTGGGTGCAACCCTAATCTGATCTGTGTGGCACATTTGGGCACCTTCTGTCTCACTGCCCTGCATTCCATGTGTGCAAACTCTGCTGTCAGCCTGGATTTTCTTTCTGACTCTACATCTACATAACATGTCTTCTTTCCATCTCCTCCTCTTCCTTTGTATTGCTGTTTTTTAAGCCTGTGCCTGTGGGTAGAAATTGAATCTGAGCTGAGGCCCCACAGAACTTACATTAGTGTTTTTTTTTTCAAGATGCCAGGACTCTGGTTTTGCCTGAGGGCTGAGCTTGTTGGAGTTTCTGGCACAGGCCTGCAGGGCCTTTTCCCTGTCTCACTGCAAAACCCAGCAAAAGTTCTTGGGGAGCTGTTGGTCAGATCAGCATTAGAGATCACTCGTGTTGTGGTGTTATTCATTTTTTTAATTGATACATAATGATTGTACATATTTCTGGGCTTCATGTGATCTTTTGATACAGGCAAAAGATCAAATATGTAGGGATCAAATCGTGGTAATTAGATTTCCATCACTTCAAACAGTTATCTTGTTTTTCTGTTGGGATGGAGATCACTTTTATGCATTCGTGCATACTATACTATATACTAAATGTAGACTGTATATATAGTATGTAGTATGTAAATTGTTGGGACTCAGAAAATAATACCCAAAATGAAGTAGCAGCCTCAGAAGCAGAAGCTTTTCTCTGGTTTTCTCCTGTCTTCCTGCCTATCAGTCCCATTTTCCCCTGAGGCCAACCAGAGACACTAGAATCCCTCTTTCCCAAGGAGAGTCACAGGAGCAGAACCCCTTTTCCTGAAAGCCAGCTGTAAAACCTAAAAATATTCTATGTAAAAATAGACCATAAATAAATGATCTAACTGCCTTGTTTGACTATGGGTCATAAGACCCTCATTCCAGAGAGGGTCCTGTCCCACATCCAGAGGAAAGGAATGAATGCTCAGAGAAGGCTGGAAGAATCTAGACAGGCCAGCCTTGCTGGGTTTTCCTAAGCAGTCTATTAGCATTAGATCATACCCTTTTTAGCCAATCATATTTCTACACAGCTGTCCATATTTTGTTGAACTTAAGTATAAAGATGGACAATTTTCCCTGTATGTTTGGGTCTTCATTCTAAAGGCTCCTGTGTTACACATTAAATAAATTTGTATGTCTTTTCTCCTCTTCACCAATCTGCTTTATGTGTGTGATTTCTCAGGAAACCTGTACGGGGCCAAGGACCTTGGCCCCACAATATGTATACTATGTATTATGTATGTAGTATGTATACCTATATATACATATGTGGTATACAAAGATACACTATATCCTATACTGTATGTGTACTATGCCATACCACTTTAGACGAGGAAGAAAGGGAACTAATGTTTCCTAGGCTCTCAATATGCACCAGGCACTTGACTCTTTATCACACTCAATCCTAAAACCTGTCTCTTGAGGAAAGCGGGGAGGCTTGGGCTTCCTATCAGTGAGGCGGAGACTCAAATCCCAGCTTGGCCACTTACTGGCTGTGTGGTCTTGTTGAAATTATATAACATGTTCTTCATTTGAAAACCGGATACTTCCCAAAGAATGAGTTTGTTGGCCAAGTGTGGGGGCGGATTAAAAGCTATAAGGCATGGAAAAGTGTTTAGCGTGGTACCTGGCACACAGCAAGTGCTTAATAAGTGGAAACGACTGTTATTTGTGCCTACTGCAGATGAAGAGGGTACACACAAGTCACATATTCACGGCCATCTGACTCAAATGTAGTGAAATGGTTCAAACTCCTGACACATTATACCAGATGATGCTTTTTGTTGAATAACTTCTAAAACTTTGTGTCTAGTAAGTTTAAACTGCATAGGGATTGAAAATCTTTCAGAAAATGACACTAAGAATTCAACTACTTTTTTTTTTTAAATCATACAATGAACTCCCTTTGTAATGGGCTACACTCTAGAGGATGGGTGGTCACAAGGAAAGCACTTGCAATAAGGTAAGAGCTATTTCTTTCCTAACTAATAACTTTTCACACCCCAGATTGCCATTAAAACCCCCAAAGGCAGGGAGACTGCTGCTCAACTGAGCAGAGAATTAGCTTGTTCTAGCTTTTGGCCAAGTTGCAGATCCATATGTGGCGGGGCAGGTTTGGAGTGGATATAATTCATTTTCAGAAAATCAGACCAATCTCTCTTTTCATTATCCCAGTTCTACTTCTCTAATTCTAGTCATTTTCTCTCTGTGGAATTGTACCACACTGAGAAGGGGAAGGAAAGAGAGAAGAGATTCACCAAGATGCACTGAATGTCTTTTAGGTTTAATTCCTCTTCCACAGTTTAGTCTCTCTGTTTTTTTTTTTTTTTTGAGACAGAGTCTCACTCTGTCCCTCAGGCTGGAGTGCAGTGGTGCAATCATGACTCACTGCAGCCTCCAACTCCTGGGCTCAAGTGATCCTCCCACCTCAGCCTCCCAAGTAGCTGAGACTACAGGCATATGCTAGCATGCCTGGCTAATTTAAATTTTATTATTATTTTTTTTTGTAGAGACAGGGTTTTGCTATGTTGCCAAGGCTGGTTTTCAACTCCTGGGCTCAAGCAATCCTCCTTTCTCAGCCTCCCAAAGTGTTGGGATGTACAGTCTTGAGCCACCATGTCTTACCCATAGGTTTAGTCTTCTCGACCTTCCTGGGAAGTATGCAGCATTATCTTCATATCACAGTTTTAAAAACTAAAGCTCAGAGAGGTAAAGTTACTGACATTTTAAATGTCACCCAGACAGTAAGTGGCATGGGCAAGATAAAAATGGTAGGCTCTCTGGCTCCCAAGCTCATATTTCTTCCCCTGCATCAGGAGTTAGGAAATCTGCTCCCAACTCTGGCTGTGACATTAATTTGTTATTTCAGAATCGCTTTTCTCTCATGCCCCATTTTTATTCAAAATGATGGGTCAAGGAAATTTGGGTGAGGTCAGATATGGCTAATGGATTTCACCCAAAGGCCAACTTTGATCAATTGGTAGCAGCTGCTTGGAGCTATGGGTTGAATGAGAGTCTGAGGTCATGTCTAGGCTCATTAGGAAAGAGTGCTGTGATTGATTTGTGATGTCTGCCTTGGGCATAGATATGGATGACTGGAATGGTTCACTGAAGTGCTGTGATTGTTGTGGTTGTCACCACAGCTCATTTCAAGATGGCTGCTCCACCTCAGCCTGCCATCTCTATTTTTAAGCAAGAGAAAAAAGAAGGAAGGAGAAAGGGGGAAAGGAGCATATCTGCATCTGGAAAGCAAAACATTTTCCAGAAATTCCTAGCAAACTTCTTTTATATCCCATTGACCAAAATTGTATGACATAGCAACACCTTGTTAAATGGGAGTTTGGAGACATACACACTTTAATTGGGCTCATTTCTGCCACTCAAAATGACTAGAATTCTGCTAGTAAAGAAATGGAGTCTGAATATTGTGCAGGAAACCAGCAGTGTCTGCAACATGTACCATCCCTAGACTGAATATCTTTATGGTCAGTTCCAGCCAAGTCAGCCATAGGATAATTCAGCAAATTTACTTCTTTTCGGGTACAATGATGAATTTTTCAATGACTGTGCAGTCCCTGGTTCATGAGGGATCCTTAACAGGTATTTGGTGTGAGGGAACCCAGGCCAATGCAACAGTCCCTAGTAGTTTAATCCAGGAGGACAGAGTATCCAAAAGAGACATATCCTGAAGAGCAATGCTCAGAAAGCCATGGAGTGACCTGAGCATACTGTGCAAGGCTTGGAAGCGATCCCATCCGGGCTTGGGAGAGACAGGAGAGGGATAACATGGAGAGTTCTGAAGAACAGGGAGGGTTAACTTTGTTTGCCAAGTGAGACTCCATGATGGTCAGAGCTGGCTGGGAGGCTACTGCAGCCTCCTCACATTACAAATTGGGAAACAGAGTTCCAGTGAGACAAAGAGAGCTGTTTCAAGTTGCATGGCAAGTTCACTACAAAACCAGAGTAGAACCCATATTCTGACTCCCAGGCACAGAGGATGCAGCAGTACACTGGGACTCAGCATCTGCCTTCATGGGCTGACACTCTGGGAGTATGAGTGGTAAGATACTAAAGCTGATTAACATGAAGTATTTCTTGACAGCTGGAAGAATTATGTGAATGAAGAGTACGTGAGCAAATAACAGGAGATCTGTAGGTGCGAAACGAATGAAAGGATAAAGTTTGAGCTGAGATCTAAAATCTGTGTGGGAGTTAAGCAGGTATCTACAGCAGGGTCCCATAGTGTGCATCTGTGTGTGGTGAGTGATGTGCGTGTGTAATGTGCATGTGTATGTGCTGTGTGAGCACATGTGCATGTTTGTGGTATGTGTGTGTGGTGAGAAAGTGTCCCTGGCAGAGGGAACTGAGTCTGTATGATGCTGCAATTCTTTGTCCACCTCCTCCTGACAGTGAGTCTCATGTAAGCTCAGCTCTTCCACTCTCTGTGCTGTCCTTGGGGCTCTGACCTTCAGTGATTCCTATAGGGTTGGTGTTATAGACTGAATGTCAGACTGGACGCTGTGGCTCACACCTGTAATCCCAGCACTTTGGGAGGCCGAGGAGGGTGGATCACCTGAGGTCAGGAGTTCGAGACCAGCTTGACTGACATGACGAAACACCGTATCTACTAAAAGTATAAAAATTAGCCGGGTGTGGTGGTGCACACCTGTAGTTCCAACTACTTGGGAGGCTGAGGCAGGAGAATAGCTTGAACCAGGGAGGCGGAGGTTGCGGTGAGTCAAGATCATGCCACTACACTCCAGCTTATGTGACACAGCAAGACTCTGTCTCAAAAAAAAAAAAAAAAAAAAATAGACTGAATGTCTGTGTCCCTGCCTAAATTCATATGTTGAAATCCTAACCCTCAAGGTTATTGGTATTAGGAGGTGGGGCCTTTGGGAGGTGAGTAGGTCCTGAGGGTGAAACCCTCATAATTGGGATAGCCCCTTATAAAAGAGACCTCAGGGAACTTCTTCATCCTGTCTGCCATGTAAGGTTACAGCAAAAAAATGGCAGCCTATGAGCCAGGAAGCAGGCTTTCACCAGACACCAACTCTGCTGGCATCTTGGTCTTGGTTTCCAGCCTCTAGAATGATTGGTTGTTTATAAGCCACCAGTCTGTGGTATTCTGTTTCAGGAGTCCGAACAGACTAGATGGTAAGGTTGCCAGATAAAATACAGGATGCAGAGTTACATTTGAAATTCAGATAGACAACTGCTACAGGGCTGCTGGCCTTGGGCCTGGAACTCCTCGCTGTCACCCACACCTGGCCCTCTGTGAATCGAGGCCAAAGGAGGGAAGCAGGGGCAAGCAAACACACAAAGGCCGGGGGGTCCAGTGTGGTGCTGAGTGAGTTCCTGGTCTGGACTCGGAGGCCTGAGCTCTACCGTGGCTTTTTCACACCCTCGCTCTGTGACTTTAGGCAGAGCACCTAGCTGGGCTTCGGGCTTCGTGATAGAATTTGAGTTTTCGGATACTCTCTACTTTATTCGTTAGCACAGGAATGCCATTTTTATAAATAATAATAATAACAATGGCCATTGCCACTGGCTTAGTGTGGCCCTTACATCTTTCGCTGGGTGACCTCCCATCTCCAGCCTCGCTCCCTCCATCCTGAGCACCGTGTGACCCTGTGTCTCCCCTTCCGAGCCCTGCGATGGCTTCCCATTACCACCAAGCCGATGTCTGCCTCTTGGGCATGGCATCCACAGCCCATGTAAGCTGGCACCAAGCCAATGTCTGCCTCTTGGGCATGGCATCCACAGCCCATGTAAGCTGGCGCCCGCTGATCCCCTTAGGGTCACCATCTTCACCACCTATTCATTTTCTATCCTGTAATTCCTGAATTCCCTGAGCTTCTCAGAATGAATGGCACTTCTGCCCCTCTGGGCTTTTGCCTGCATCCTATCTGCCTGAATCGTTAAATGAATGAATGAATGGGGAAAAAGAGCATGTGTATAAGCCATAATGGCTTCCAAAACTATTATCACCAGCCTTCATCACAGAATAATTTAATTGGTTCCTCATGATGGGTCATGATGAAGGCAGCCAGGAGTATCTTGGGATTCTGGTGTGAAGTTGCAGGGACTTCTTTTGGGGCTTAATATGATTGATGTGATACAAGCCCTGGAAATGAGGCTGCCAAGGAAAGTCCCCACCTCCCTCCCAGCCCACCAACCCACCATGACACATCTGTTTGAACAACTGGGCTGCAGACTGAGCTCAAGCAAAAGTCATGTGGGAACCTGGTTCTAGTGCACAGAGAGGTTTGACAAATTGCCATTTGGACACCTGAATTCAGCCTGCTGTGCGGTAACTGAAGGGATGCTTCCTGGCTTCCTATCTTTGACTAGAAAATGAATGTCCAGGTTAATTATAAGCTGGAAAAAAGATTACCTGATGCATAATGTCCTTTGTGATGTTATTAAAAGTCCTCCCAGGTAGCAGGTGTGCGGTTATTATCGTAACAAGACAATGGGGTGGCACCAAGTGCTTCTCTCCTTCCTCAAAGTGGACCTTGATGACACCTCTTGCAGGAAGCCTTCAGTGATTACCTCTTGACTTCCCATTGCCCTGCACTGACTCAGCTCAGCCCTGCTGACTCTCATTTCCTTATTTCCACGATGGGCTGTGTGTCAATGTGGCCCTTCTCAGGATAGCACTATCAATGACCTTACTCGTGGGCCTTCCGCTGGGAAATAGGAGGAGGCTGTGTGTCCTCAATGTCCCCTTGGTATCACTGCTGATTCACTGAGCTACCTTGTGAGGGGATGCACTCATCTCAAGCCCATCTCCTCTTTTCTAAAATGGAGGTGAGTTGCTCCTGTCTGAGATCTCAGGGGGAATTGAAAAGAGTTTGGAGATCCTCTGTGAATACTTATAAAAAAAGCTCTTGCTTCAAAACTAGAAGCATGAGTGTAAAAAAGAAAAATATGGATGCTGAACACACTGGAACCAATACATCCAAAAGAACACAGTCCTTGTCAAAGTCGTGCCTGTACCAGCCACACCTCATCCCCTGCCCTTGCTTGCTTACCAGGCTTTGAGAAACACCTTTTAGCTAGTTTATCAGCAGATAGGCAAAAAAACAATTTTGTGCCTTGGATTCATACCTTTAAAAAAACCCTCAAATCCCATTATCCATTGGATGATTTGGCCCAGAAAGACTGTTTCTGAAAATCAAATTCACCTCCTGGGGATAAACACTTGTCACCACTGAGATAATTCAAGAGCTTATCTCCCCATAAATTTATTCTCCTCCCTCAACAGGCGGCCTGATATCATAGAAGGAGTTTTAGAATCAGACCAGAATTCTGACTTCTTCACTTCTCTACTGGGTAGCATTGGGCAAGTGACTCAACCTCTCTGAGCCTCGACGTCCTCTCCAAGATAAGATGGGAAAGAGTAACTAAACGCACAGGGTATTGATGCACGTTAAGTGAGATAATGTCTAGACTGCATAGTGGATACTCATGAAGTATTAGTCTCTCTCTTCTTCCCTTCCTCTGAATCTCACCAAGCTGGCCCCTACTGGGTAGCAATAGGGGCAGGGCGCCTAGGGTATTCTAACTTATGCTATGTTTAAGTCATCTTGTCCTTATTTTGCTCATCCCCCTCCTGGCATCTTAAGTGCAGGGCCTTACTCATGTCTGTATCCCTTACAGTGCTAGTGTGGTGCTTGGCACATAGTAGGTGCTCAAAAAATCTGTTTCATTGAGTCAAATATGTCATAGGGGCCCAGACCACTTTTAATAGAAGAATAAGCCATGCAGGACGGCCATGCAATCAGAAGGATGCCATTCCAGGGTAATAAGTAACTATTGGCAGTCATTTTGTAAACACATTTGGCTTCCCAGGGTGTCTGCTTTGAACCTCTTAGAATTCTGTTAAGTTCTGTTGTTCCTTAAAAAAAAGATTAACTCTGCCTGGGGTGCAGTTCTTCAGCTGCCCTCCAGATGGCGGTGTTCAACACAGATTTATCTCAACCGCTCAAGCCCCTGGGAACTCAACACAAGAAAAAAAAAATCTCTGTTTTATTATCAATGCATTAAGAATGAATTTATCATCCCGGCTCAGCAAAAGTCTAGTTATTCTGTAAGAAGCTTTATCCCTAGCTAACGTGCAGCTTAATCAGTTCAGTTAGATACAAAGCCAGCTAGGGCTTTTGTCCCGTGTTCAGAATGAATAACCTAGTGCTCTCAGAAGTTTCAGCTTTCCTGGCAGACAAACCTAAGAAACTTAGTTTCTCTCCGGGATCCTTGGGCTGGGGGTTGTGGGGAAAGTGTGGGAGAAATAATATATGCAGAAAGTTCTATATCCTGAAGTGAGGGGGAGGGATGATGGATTATCCCGCAAAGGGGTTTTAGTGGGATAATAATAACAACAGCAAAACAACAGCAGCAGCAACTAAGGTTCACTGGATGTTTACCGCATGCCAAGCACCACTCAAATGCCTGACTATTCCAACTCATTTAATCTTCGCACAACCCTATGTGGCAGGGACTCTTGCTATCATAGTTTTATGGATGATGAAATTGAAATCTAGAGAGTGAGTGAATTGGACATTGTCCCATACCTAGTGGGTGACAGAAGTAGCATTTAGACCCAGGTCTGGCTACAGAAGCCTTTTTTTTTTTTTTTTTTTTTGAGACAGAGTCTCACTGTGTTGCCCAGGCTTGAGTGCAGTGGCATGATCTTAGCTCACTCCAACTTCCACCTCCCAGGCTCAAGCAATTCTCCTTCCTCAGCCTTCTGAGTAGCTGGGAACACAGGTGCCCGCCACCATGCCTGCCTAATTTTTGTATTTTTGGTAGAGACGGGGTTTTGCTATGTTGCCCAGGCTGGTCTTGAACTCCTGACCTCAAGTGATCCTCCTGCCTTGGCTTCCCAAAGTGCTGGGATTACAGGGGTCAGCCACCACACCTGGCCTGGAAGCTATGGTCTTAACTGCCAGGCTATGCTGCCTCCCCTGGGTGGCAGACCACAAGTGGGCTGAGGATATATACTCCATACTTCTGAACATCTTGAACCACCAATGCCCACCCCATTGTAGCCACAGTGTTCCCTAGCCCACAAGCAAGAGCAAGAAGTAGAAAAGCCCAGTGCAAACCCATCCCTGTCTTGGGGAAACAGTGCAAAGCACACACTACACCTACTCCAGGTGTAATAATATAGGTTGTTGGAAGAACACCCAAGTTTTACAGCCAAAGGGACCTGAGTTTGAATCCCTATCCAGTCAATTTCTTGGATGAGTTACTTAACACCCTAGAATCTCAAATAGTAGGTGCAGTCCAAAGGTGGGAAAATCCGGCAGTTGCAAACTCTCAGGAATCAGCAGTTATGTGGCGGGCACTGTCCCCAGAACCCAGGTACCAGGAGTCAGCTCAGGTTCTGCTCCCAGGCAGTGGAGGACTCTGAGCAGGGAAGGCGGGAGGGCCCTTCAGGGAGCAAGACCTGGTCTGCCAGGGTGGTCATTGACTTAACAGTGAAGTGCTTTTGTGTCACTCAGCCTAGATATGACTCTTGGGCTCTTCTCTTTATCAGCCATATGACCCAGGCCAAGTTGTTTAGCTGCTCTGAGCCTCAGTTCTCTCATCCATAAAATGGATGTGATAAGTTAATGTGTGTGAACAGCTTGGCACAGGGCCGGGCTCAGGCCATGTGAGGATCGGGGGTAATGAGCATGCAGAGGCATGATGATGAATCGTATCCTGAAAGGAAACTCAAGGCATACAGAGGGTCGCCATCACTGGGTTGGTGTGGAGGGGGATGGGGGTGGTTCCCTTATCCTAAACCTTTCTCCCAGCCCTGCTTCCCAAAGTGCCCGCGTTTAATGTTTGCTAACAGCCACGCAGCTTAATCTTCACTGCCTGCTGCTTTCCTGTTAGAAATGACCAAAGCTTTGCCCCTGTGGCCACTGGACCATGCTAAAGAGCCCGAGACGCCTCTCCACAGCATTTCTGAGTGGCTGGCTACGTGTCTTTTTGTTTTGCTCAGGTGTCTGTGTGTGCATTTCTTGGAATTGCTTTCTGGAACACTAAGATCAATATTGTCTCTAACATTGGTCTTGAGAGATGCTGGGGACAGCGCAGGATGATGGAGTGGGTGGGATTGGGAGGCAGACATAGAGGGGTGAGGTAGGGTGAACAGTCACTTCCATCGAGCCCATTCACCAAAAGTGGATCCTTGCCACCAGTGTTGTAGTAACAGTAATGCATTTGGACATGATAGTCATGAAAACCATGATGGAAAGGCTTTCAAGGACACAGAGCGAACACAGGAGTCAGCCCTGCTCCACATAGAATTAAAGCATCTGAAGTCAGCTGTGAGACAAATGGAGAAGGTGGCCCTTGAATACTGCTCCTTTCCCCCACCGCTGACAGTCTTTGCTGTCCCCACCTCCCCTTCCTGATTTCCCAGTCTCCCACATAGGAGCAAGGGGCTTTCCATGGACCCAGCCTTAAAGACATAATAAGGCATCCTTGATTCTTCCTTTACCTTCCTATAACACCCTGTTCGTCAGAAATTCCTTTTGACTCCACTTGTAGATATAACTTGAGTGCCTCCCATTTCTTCTTCTCTGGCCCAGCTCAAGCCACCGGTGGCTCTCTTATAGATTTCTGTAGGAACCTCCCCTGCATGGTCTCCCTGCCTCCAATCTGGCCTCTTGCAATGCATTCTCCCACAGCAGGCAGACTGGCTTTTATATATTCCAGATAGAAGTTCTTTGTCTGATCGGTGGTTTGCAGATATTTTCTCCCAGTCTGAAGCTTATCTTTTCAACCAGGGTCTTTTGTAGAGCAAACATTTTTAATTTTAATGAAGTCCAATTTATACATTTTTTCTTTTACAGATAATACTTTTGTGTATGTCCAAAAACTCTGCCTAGCCCTCAGTCCTGGGGCCTTTATCTTATTTTTTTCCCCTATAAGCTTCAAAGTTTAACATTTTTACATTTACATCTGTGGTCCTCTTTGAATTAGTTTTTGTAAAGTATAAGGTTTAGATTGAAGTTCCTTTTTTTTTTTTTTGCCCATTGCTCAATTTCCATTTGTTAAAAAGATTATCCTTTCTGCATTGTAGAGTGATCTTTTAAAAATATAAGCTGGCCAGGCATGGTGGCTCACACCTGTAATTCCAGCACTTTGGGAGGCCGAGGCAGACTCTTTGAGCTCAGGAGTTGGAGACCAGCCTGGCCAACATAGCGAAACCTTGTCTCTACTAAAAAACACAAAAAATTAGCTGGGCTTGGCGGCATATGCCTGTGGTCCCAGCTACTTGGGAGGCTTAGGTGAGAGGGTTGCCTGAGCCTGGGAAGTCGAGGCTGCACTGAGCTGAGATCATACCACTGCACTCAGCCTGGGTGACAAAGCAAGGCCCTGCCACTCCCACTACTCCCCCACCAAAAGAAATAAAAATATGAGCTGATCATGGACCTCCTTTGCTTAAAACCCTTCAGTGCCTTCCTACATGCTGAGAAGAACATCCAAACAAGCCTATTCTCAGGCTCCGGCCAGCCCCCCTGACCTTATCTCCTCCTCTCCGTCCCACTTGTTCTAGCTACAGAGGTCTCCTTGCTCTCCTTAGAACACCCAAAACTTCCTCGCCTCAGAATTTTTGCACCTGCTGTTCTCTCTGCCTGGAAGGCTCCTGGGCTTCTCCCATGGCTGGTCCCTTCTTATCCATCAGACCCAAGAGCAAATGTCCCCTCAGCAGATTCCTAAGCACCCTGCTTACATTACTCCTTTTCACCCCATCACTTTCCATCACCACACTGTGCAGTTTCCTTCTTGGCACCCATGGCTAGCAGAAATGATCTCACTTACCTGCTTACCAGTTGATTGTTCACCTTCACCTGAATCTAAGCTATGCAGAGGCAAGGCACTAACCATCTCCTTCACCGTTGTGGTTAATAGCTCATGCTCTGGAATCAGACAGCCTAGGTTCAAATCATCCCTTTGACACTTACTAATCCTGGTGAGATCTTGGCCATGTAACATAACCTCTCCATGCCTCAGTGGCATCCTCTGTAAAATGGAGATAGTGATTGCACTTACATCATTGGTCCTAACAGGGACTAAAGGAATTCATGCATGTAAATTCAGTAGAGTGTCTGGCATATGTTAGATGCTCAAAGCATTTGCGATATTAGGACTACTGTTGTTGGTGAATAAATGAGCATTGGCAGTGGCCTTTAAACTGCACTGCAGAGCAGAGCTCCAGGGTTGCCTGCCACATGGTAGATGAACACTTAGGTGGTGTCTGGGCCACCCATCCCTACCTTAATCAGACTGGCTCTCCTGTCATCTGTCTATATTTTGGATTTCCATGTTTGTTTTCAGAATAGGATATTGCTGCTAATATAAGTTTGAAAAAACATGAATGAAGGGGAATGGACTTTCCCATGGAAACCCCTGGATTCTTAGTCCCAACTCCAGTTGTAATTTTTGGCAAATCATGTGCCCACTTTAGACCTCAGTTATCCACCTGATGAAATTTAGCTGGATAGTCAGCAAGGTCTCTTCCATTTAGGATGCTCCATTTATCATGTTCCATTATTCTAAGTGAGGAACCGACTTTCTACGCCATACCGTCTCCAGAGATGCCCTTGGCAGGAACTTGGCAGCGACTCTTTACCTGAGAGCCCAGAGCACCAAAGGTACAGCTCTGCCTGTGGGTGGAATATGGTGCAACCAAGCTCAGGGGGGCCTGGAGTCTGGCATTAGGAGACTGAAGTTTTGTGAGGTTGGGGGGTCATTGAGCACTCTAAGTGCTGTGAAGTTAGGGAGCCCTGGAATCAGCCCTGGCTCCACCACTCATTAGGTTAAAGGCCTTGGGCCAGGTATCTCATCATACCCAGTCCTGTTTTTTCATCTGAAAAATTAATATGTATATATGGGTTTGATGAGGGCATTCAGGGAGATAATACATGGGTAGTTCTGGCAATGCCTGGCATGTACGCGGAAATACAAACTCTTAAACTTACTGAAATAGAGTCTTTAGAGGAGAAGCCTAGGAATTTGCATTTTGAACAATCTCCCTACCCCTCCTCCCTCAAGTGAATGTGATGGTGAACCAAGCTTCAGAAACACTAATCTATTTCATGACCATTGCTACCTCCTAGGCAATGCTGTTCAATAGAAATATTCTCTGAGCTACATATGTAATTTAAATTTTCCAGAAGCCCAAATTAAAAAGGAAAGAGATGTAAAAAGATGAAATGAATTTTAGTAATATATTTAATTTAATGCAATACATCATTGCAACAAAATTATAATTTTGTCATGTAATCTGTATCAAAAAATTACTAATGAAGATATTTTACATTTTTTTCATACTTAGTCCAAAATCTGGTTTGTATTTTATACCTATAGCACTTCTTGATTCCCATGAACCACATGTCCAGTGCTCAAGAGCCACATGTAGCTGAGAGCTGTTTTGTGCAGTGCAGGTCTAGAGACTGCCCCAGAAAGCTGGGGTCAGACATGCAGCCCAGACAGTAGTGAAGTGTGCAGGACCTTATGACATGCCTTTTGGGGAACAATTTTACCCGTACTTTATCATTTTTTTTCCTTGCCTTTGTCCCCTTGAAACAAGCTCACTAACAGCAGATTCTACATATATTGTGTCTGATTAGTGCTTTGCATGTTGTTATGAGCTGAATCACATTCCCCCAAAAATTCCTATGTTGAAGTCCTAACTCCCAGGGCTTCAGAATATTACTATATTTGGAGATAGGGTCTTTAAGAAGTAATCAAGGTTAAAAAAAAAATGAGGGCATTAGGGTGGACCTAATCCAATATGACTGGTGTCCTTATAGGAAGAGGAGATTAGGGTACAGACACACAAGGAAGGAAAATGATGTGAAGATGAAGAAAGAAGATGGCCATCTACAAGCCAAGAAGAGAGGCCCCAGGAGAAACCAACCCTGCCGACACCTTGAATTCAGATTTCCAGCCTCTGGAACTGTGAGGAAATCAATTTCTGTAGTTTAAGCCACTCAGTCTGTATTACTTGGTTATGGCAGCCCTAGCAATCTCATTTGCATTCTGTTTGCATCATCTCTGCAATGCAGTTACAACAACTCCATTTTATAGATGAAGACACTGAGGCTTAGAGAGGTTACATAATCTTCCCAAGTCATGGCTGGAATGTGGCTGAACCAGGATTCAAATTCAGGTCTACCTTCACCTTGCTGTTGAGCCAATGCCCTTACTCCTAACCACTAATGCCTATATTTTTCATCCACTTTCCTTCCCAACAATTTTTTAATAGTAATCTTTTTGTGAATCACAGATGTGGGTTCTAGTCACATGTGATTTTGAAAGTGGTACTTGAGTCATCAATATTCTCACTTATGAAATGAAATGGTCAAATGGTCCAATGGTCAAACGGTTGCTGAAAGTCCTTTCAAATTACTGTTCTATGAGAAATTCCAAATTGCAGGGGCCAGAGAGAATGATGACTCCAACATAGCACAGACCTTCAGGAAGATGGCAAGACCAGGGGAGGCAGAAGATTTTGCTACTAAAGCAAGTGCATTCAAACTACCACATAGGATCCCTTGAACTGGAATCTGCGTCGGCTGCTTCAGAGACCAGCACAGGTTTACTGCTATCTGCTAAGTGCTGCTGCAATGTCATTACTATGTTCCATTCTCCCAGTGTGGAAACTGAGTCTCAGGGAGAGTTTAAGGAGCTTGGCAAGCTCACGCAGCTGGAAGTAAGAGAAGAGGCTGGGGTTTGGACACAAGCCTTTCAGCTTTCTCATCTGTGCCCCCCCCTTGATCATGTTGGCATAAACCAGGCAGAGTAACAGGCTGTGGGCAAACTTGTTTGACTAACTGGCAGGTTCAAGGGCCATAAATGTGACCCTGAAATAGAAGGTGAGCCCTGAGTTACCCTTTCTGGTAATGGACAGGGACCCAGCACACTAGGTGATATCTCAGACCTCTTCCCTCTGGGATTCCAAGATAGAGCAGGTAGAGGAGTGGGAAGGGTGACCTTGAGCTCCAAGTACAAGTCGAGATTCCCAGACTTCTTGATGTCAAGAAGTAGTAAATGATGAATTAAAAAAAAGAAAAACTGAAGGTGGCATTGGGGACCAACTTTTTATTTTGCCCTTAAAAACTTACTATCTGCTATCACCATTATTTTACATATAAAGGACATTTTTAATACCCACCTAATTAAAAATATTTTAATCTTAGAGTAAAGAATGGCTTTTTAAATTTAATAAATTTCATTTTATGAAAATTCACTACTCTTTCCTTATTTTTCCCTTTTTACTGCAGTCAAAGGAAATCTTCATTACTCACTGTCAGCAATTCATGAGACTCCTGGCCCCTGGCCACCCCATCATGTGTCCTAAGCCCTGGGTCATTTTGCTGTAGAGGCAGTGAAAGTCAGGGTTGGGAAGCAGGCAGTGTTGATGGCTTATCTCTCTTGGGTACTACAAGTCACCCCTCAGGTTCAGCTGAAAATCGAAGAAAAATAGACAAAGGGCATTTTGCATGAAGAGTCTGAGTCAGTGAGAAGGGTGAGCTGCAGTACATCATCAAAGGTGGGCTAATTTTATTCCTCTCAAGCACATACTTTCATACTGTGATACAAACTAATTTAGCAAAGAATTGCTAATTAGATGTCTTTGGGAAATCAAGCTTCTTGGATGGATGAGACTGATTTACAGATACTCTTCTCATTGCATACCTGCTAATGGGTACTTCCAAAGTACTTGTGGGGAGTCCAGGAGAGAAGGGGCCTATGGTACAGGAGCACAGTACGGCTCTCACAGCGTGCTCACAAAAGGCAGTTTCTCCTTTTAAACACTTGCTATCTCCCATTGCAACAATTATTTCCAAAGTTGCCTGAATGAAAGGTGAACTGCATTCTGCAAGGCCCCAGAGGTCCCAGAGCTATTACTACCTTTTTGGAGGCAGTCTTTGTTACTGGATAAAGTGGTATCTGTGGCTGTAGAGGCTCCACCTGCTGAAGAAGGTGTGTAACCTGGGACCAGACCTGTATTCACACATTCCCCAGGAGGGAAGATGGAATATCTAGTGTTCCCTTCAGAGCAGAGCTGATAGGAGAATATTCAGATGTAATAAAAGGATAAATTAGAGCGTGAAGCCATATGTTACCAAAGGATCCAATACACTTATTGGGTCTCAGGAAAAGGAGAAGAAAATACATATTTTTGAGCCTCTAGAAGGTATCATGTTCTCTAACAGGTGCCAAGGAATGAAAGAAAAATTGAGCAAAGGTGTAGCCCTCAAAATATGTCCCAGCAGCATGTAGGGGAGGGTGACAAGTAAAACAGTGGCAAGGTTCACTGTTGTATCAGTAGTTTCTGCACAGTGTTTGTGACAATACAAGAGGAGCTCCACTGAGCACCTGGGAGGTAGGTGTGTGATATGGTTTGGGTCTGTGTGCCCATCCAAATCGCATGTTCAATTGTAATCCTCAGTGTTGGAGGTGGGGCCTGGTAGGAGGTGATTGGATTATGGGGGTGGATTTTTCATTAGTGGTTTAGGACCAAACCCTTGATGCTATTCTCCTGATAGTGAGTTCTCACAAGATCTGGTTGTTTAAAAGTAAAACTCCAAACCATAAAAACCCTAGAAGAAAACGTAGGCAATACTATTCAGGACATAGGCATGGGCAAAGACTTCATGACAAAAACACCAAAAGCAATTGCAACAAAAGCCAAAATTGACAAATGGGATCTAATTAAACTAAAGAGCTTCTGCACAGCAAAAGAAACTATCATCAGAGTGAACAGGCAACCTACAGAATGGGACAAAATTTTGCAATCTACCCATCTGACAAAGGTCTAATTATCCAGAATTTAAAAGGAACATAAACATATTTACAAGAAAAAAAAACCCCATTAAAAGTGGGCAAAGAATATGAACAGACACTTCTCAAAAGAAGACATTTACATGGCCAACAAACATGAAAAAAAGCTCAACATCACTCATCATCAGAGAAATGCAAATCAAAACCACAATGAGATACCATCTCATGCCGACAGAATGGTGATTATTAAAAAGTCAGGAAAAAATAGATGCTGGAGAGATGGTGGAGAAATAGGAATGCTTTTACACTGTTGGTGGGAATGTAAATTAGTTCAACCAGAGTGGAAGACAGTATGGCGATTCCTCAAGGATCTAGAACCAGAAATACCATTTGACCCAGCAATCTCATTACTGGTTATATACCTTAAGGAATATAAATCGTTCTACTATAAAGACTCATGGACGCATATGTTCATTGCAACACTTTACAATAGCAAAGACTTGGAACCAACCCAAATACCCATCGACGATAGATTGGATAAAGACAATGTGGTACATATACACCATGGATTACTATGCAGCCATAAAAAGGAATGAGATCATGTCCTTTGCAGGGACATGGATGAAACCGGAAGCCATCATCCTCAGCAAACTAACACAGGAACAGAAAACCAAACATTGCATGTTCTCACTCATAAGTGGGAAGTGAACATTGAGAACGCATAGATGTAGAGAGGGGAACAACACACACCAGGGCCTGTTGGGGGGGTTGGGAATTGAGGGGAGAGAACTTAGATGATGGATCAATAGGTGCAGCAAACCACCATGACACACGTATACCTATGTAACAAACTTGCACATTCTGCACATGTATCCCATTTATTTTTTTGAAGAAATAAAGAAAAAAAGTGTGTAACACCTTCCCATCTCTGGCTGCTCTTGCAGTGTAAGACATGCCTGCCCCGTTCAGCTTCTGCCATGATTATAACCTTTCTGAGGCCTTCCCAGAAGTCAAACTGATGCCAGCATCATGCTTCCTGTACAGCCTGTGGAATGGTGAGCCAATTAAACCTATTTTCTTTATAAATTACCCAATCTCAGGTATTTCTTTATAGCATTGTGAGAATGGATTAATACAAGATATCTCACAGGAGAAGGAACATTTAATAATGATTGACATTTGCTGATTCCTCACTGTGGTCCAGACATCCTGATAAGCACTTTTATAAACATTGTTTTCCTCAATTCTCCCAACAACAAACTACAATCCCCATTTTATAGACAAGGAAACAGGCTTTATTTGTGAGATTTAGCAGAGAATCATGGTCACACACACACACACACACACACACACACACACACACACGTGCAGCATTTCAGCTGCTATGGGGATCCCTAACTTGTATGGGCTCCCCCTCTGAAGCCCTTGGAAAACCCTAGCACTGATGTTGTATATTTTGATAACATTTGCAAGCTATTTTACTGGCAATCAGTATTGTCTTTTTCCACCATGACTTCTCTTCTGTCATAATTTCCTTTGTGTGTGTGTGTATTGAGTGATTTGAGAAGTCTTGGCATCTGGCTAAGGTTGTGTTTTAGATACATTTGTTTTGGGTTGAATAGGATATGTTTATATGGATTTTGGTCACTTCTGTGCGTAGTTAAATGATTGCTGACTATTCTGGTGTAGGAGTGGCTTCCAGGAATACTCCCACCACCTAGCACTGCAGTTCACTGGGTGTGGTGATGTCAAGTCCAGGGCCCAGGTCATGGAGTTATATGAATAAGTCCTATAGCATCTAGTGCAGAATGACGTGGGTCATAGAGGAGAAACAAAGTGGGAAATGTACTGAGCCAGAAGCTCTGTATGGAAAATTCTTCCAATGATGAGACATGGAAAGTTGTATAATGAAGACATTTTTCATTGATGCCTAATCAAAATAGAAGTTTCCTTTTTTCAGCAACGTATAATACTAATGTGGGCATTAATATGTTTGTACTATACATTTATTTTACTTTTCAAATGGCATTTTGCAAGATAGAATTCATGAAAATTCTTGAATTTGTAAGACCTGGACACATAGCAGTATAATAAAAAATGGTTACATCTGTGCTTGATGCATCCCAACTCTCAATAATATATTTTTTTGACCAACTATGCTAGACAAAAGACTGAGTCATATTTCTATTCACTCTCTAGAAAATTGTTATCACAAAATTGTTTTCCTATGAAGAAGCAATCTCAGAATATGCCACCCAAAAACATAGAAAAAATGTATTATAGAGGTGGGTCAAGCAGCTAATTAATAAAAATATTCTTATTTTTCTAGATATTGTGTTTGCAGTATTGGTTAGCTATTTTAAAATTTGCAGCCTCTTGTGATATTTTCTCATTCTCACTTTCATTTACACTTAATTTTGTATATTTTATGAGCCAATTCCAGTCTGTTCATGATCTTTGCTTCCTGACTCCAGCCCTACAGACTTTAGCTTTCCTTAGGCAGCCCCCATAGTTGCATAAGCTGATTTATTATAATAAATCACACACATACACACACACACATCTCAGATATACATTACATCTATCATCTCTATCATCTCTTATTGGGTTCTGCTTCTCTGATTGAGCTCTGACTGATAAAGATGATGATGACGATCTAACAACAATAACAATATTAGAATCTCATACTGATTGAGAATTTATCATGTACCAGACATGATGCTTAACACTTTTCAGGCATTAGTCTTACTTACTCTGCTCAACTCCATTAGGCAGATGCTATATTATCCCTTTCTATGGGTGAAAAAAACAGAGGCACAGAGAGGCTGAGCAAGTGATCATATAGCCAGTCAGCCTCAGCCAGAATTGCAACCCATGTCTCCCTGGCCTGTGCCCTGGACTAGCCCAGGGTGTAGCATGAGTGACAGCACTGGATGGGACCCCTCATGCTACGTGAGGGAAACACAAGCAGATTCCACCCTTTGGCTGCTCAAAGTCAGGAGTCACGAACAATGAGATGGAAGAAGCCATGAGGATTTATGTCAAAGTCATAGTCACTCTGTGTGGAAGCCTTCTTGTGGGTGAGGTAGGCAGGCAAGAATCCTCATAAACAGAACAGAGAACATAGCATGTCAGAGAAGGAAGGCACTCTGAGATCGGCTAGTTCATCTGCCATGGGAAATATGAGCAAATTGAAGCCCTGCAGAGATATGGAGAAGCATCAGGGTGTAAATAGGCTATCAGGTTGGTAATGCCACATGGTATAGATTCCTTTTGCTGTAGAAGTCTCGCCATGACCCTGGACCCCATTGGGCAGGGGAACTGGATTCCAACAAGGTCTGCCCTCCAAAAAATTCAGTACAGTAGCCAAGGGTTAGTATGAAATTTGAGGGAGAGACAAATTTGACACATTAATATTTGACATTTCACAGGCAGGAAGTAGTGAGTCCCCAAACCTGTATATAACAACATAGTTACTGCAAGGCTGAGGAGGTGGCCTTTGGCTCCAGATGTGTTGTTGATTATGCCAATGGCAAAGAAAGCATGGTGGCTTTCATGCAAATAATGGTAATATTGAGAATGGAAATAATAATAGTACTAATAATCATTTATTTCTTTAAAGTGCTATAATAGTTCATAAATGGCTTTTTACATATTTTCATGTTTTTATTTATTTTATTTTATTTTAAGACAAGATCTCACTCCCTCACCCAGGCTGGAATGCAGTGGCACAATCTCAGCTCACTGCAGCCTCCAACTCCTGGGCTCAGGCGATCCTCCCACCTTAGCCTCCCGAGTAGCTGGGACTGTAGTTGTGCACCACCATGCCTGGCTCATTTTTTTGTATTTTCTGTAGAGACGGGGTCTCGTCACGTTGCCCAGGTTTGTCTCGAATTTCTGGGTTCAAGTGATCCACCTGCTTGGCCTCCCAAAGTGCTGTCATTACAGGCATGAGCCACCACGCCTGGCCTATTTACATGTTTAATAGGATGTTGTCTGTCACTACTATTATTCCCATTACACAAATGAGAGTATTGAGGTCCACTAAGCAATTGGTCCTAGGTAACCCAGTGGGTAGTGGTGGAGCTGGTCTTGGCCTTCAGGTCCCACTTAACTCCATTCTCCACTGTTCAGTGCCACCTGCTACTTCCAAGGGCTGGGAACATGTCTCTGGACAATGACCAGGCAAGGGTGATAGTCCCCCATTCCCTCCACTCCCGGCTTCTCTTTTTCTTTGTGAACAATAGAATATGTAGCTATTTCTCATTGGGGGTGGTGGAGGGGGGAGGTGAGGAGCAGCTGGAGAACCGGCTGACTTCCAGGCTGAGAGATGATGATGAGTTTGCACCAGTGGCGGTCAAAATACAGAGATTAATTACACTCAACCCAAGAAGTGGGTATTTATGGGCTGTCAGTCAGAAGAAAATATTTTGAAGCCAAAATTTGAAAACTGTCACAACTGGTGTTCTGAATTCGTAGATATCTTGGGTGCCTTGTAATGCCTTCTATTTTTCATTTAGAAAAAAGAAAATACCTGTCTTTGAAAATCACAGTGGCTTATGAAGTGGTCAGACTGAGTTTCAGTTTTGAGCTCTCTAGGTGCCGTGGGCCGAGTGGCTGGCATGTAACACATTCAGGCAGAGATGCTCCATGAGGAACTTCTTAAAATATGGTGCAGAGAACATAGGCTCAAGAGCTTGACTTGAGGTCCTCTCCTTTCCAGCCCTGAGACCTTTGGCAAATTCATCTCCATGCACTTGTTTTCTTCACCTGTAAAATGGGATCCAGATCAACACCCTCTCCAAATGGCCAAGGGGATTAAGTGAGATTCATTCATCCACTGCCCAGAACAGGACTTTGACTAATGTTTTAGTCCTACCTGTAGCATTTGAAGTAATTAACAAAATGCTTTTCAAACAGTACCTGTTAGATAACCCTGTGTGGAAAGAATGAATGAAAAATAAGGGGAGCCTTTAACTGAAATGTTGAGGCTGCTTCCCTAACATTGACCCTAAAATCTGTCTAGTCTAGCCTGTTTTACACTTTTTGCTGGGTAAGAAATATCTATAGTAATTCATAGGTTTTCTAATAAATAGCCATGCACATATAACATTTGTTTATAGGTGTAAAAATGACAAATACTTGCAGAGCACTTTCCAAAACTTAATCTGTGTTATTTTATCTTATCCTCACAATAATGCAATGAGCTGCAGATACTAGCACTGCTGCTGCTGCTACTTCTGCTAAACATTTGCACTAACTGGGGATCTGCTGTGGGCCAACCTCTGTACTTACTAAGTGCTGTGTGTACTTCATTTACGGTGAATTCCTCAGCGCAGGCTATCAACAGCATTTTTCAGAGCCAAGAATCAAACTCAAGCCAATCTGAGACCATAGCCATTGTTGCAAAGCAAGGGTTATTGTCTCATTATGTAGATGAGGAAACACACTAAAAGGAGTTGCAAGACTTGCTTCAAATGTCCTATCTTGTAGGAGGTAGGATCTGGAGCCAAATCCATGTATTCTTGCTTCAGATTGTAAGCTTCTACCATGTGCCTGTTTCTCAACCTGGTGATGGTGAAAAGAAGGACGTGGTCAGTCTGCTTTCATTGAATGCTTCTATCTACCAAGTCCGTGCCAAACAGCTAATAATATACTTCGTCATTTGATCTACCCAAACACAATGATATACATGTTCACAGAAAGATGCTTGAGGGTTCAGTCTCCGGAATGTTAATGGCTATTATCTCCAGGTGGTATGGTAGGATTTCAGACGATGATGGTGACGATGATTTTCTTCATCATTTTACATGTGGTTTTTGAAAACAGAGACAGTAAAACTTAAGAGCACACACTCTAACTGCCTTTTCTTGGAGGTGTTATTTATCCTGACTTTCTGGCTGAGGAAAATTAGGCTAAGAGAGAGACAGTGAATGGTCTATTCAAAATTAACTTGCAAAGCTCTAGCTCACCCATTCCACTGAGCTGCCTCCTAGGAGCCCCAATTTGCAGGACAAAAGTGCAGTGTCCTGAGTGACTTTATAGTCTCCTCCATGACAGAGGGCATGGTTTCTTGGGCCCTAAATTTGTACCTAGATTCACATGGTAGTGGGGCCTCAGGCTTTCCCACAAGGACAGGCTGAACAGGTCAAGGGGCTACTTCCTAAATGCTGGGCTGCAGCTGATCGGGTGTGTTGTGTGTTACAAAGGCCCCTCAGGGTGTAAAATGCCCTTCCTGACCTCACATTCTTCATCAGTCATTGCCTGGGAAGATGGAGGTGGTGATGCTGCAGAGAGGGCCTGGGAACCATTGGTGAATGGGTGAGCATGTAGTATGGATGAATTGTGGGTCAGGGGTGATGCACATCTCATTTCAAACACTGTAGTGTGGGGGTTGTAGAGAAGGAGGTATGTGACTACCTGTTAGACCTGTTCTTTTGTTTTGGAAATTTGATGCTATGTCCAAAATTCAAAAATTTAGATGACTCAGTAGAAAGTTCATGGTGAAAAATGACATCTTCCAGGTAATATTGGGTGAGCCCTCCGAGGCCATTAAATTCCAGCCTTGTCCACAGAGACAAACAAGCCTTCTATCACAGTCACCACCAGACCTGTTGATATAGCATATTTATTAAAACATAAAATCAGCTCATTGCCTTACAGCCTTTTATGATCGAGATCAAAATGACCAGCAGCAGGTAGCACAGTTTAGTAGAGAAAACACCAGGACTGGGGCCTGGTTCTAGTCCTTAGCTCTGTCTCTAACAAGCAGTATATCTTTGAATAAGACACTTGGGCCCTCTGAGACCCCTTATCTGTAAGATAAGAAAATGAGCCACATTATCTGAATGACCTATAAATACAATGGAATTCAATTCAAGTCTGCATTTATTAGGCATCCACTTGTGTCCAGCACTGTATCATGGTAATCAGAGCAAAGCTGGAGATTGTAGGAGCTTGATTCTGTGATACCACAATGAACTTCTCTACATTACAGAGAAACCATGAAGACTGTCTGTACTGAATGGTTTGTGCAATGCTCAGATGTTCCTTTAGGTCTGAGGCACCTATTCCCTCAGTTAAGGAAGTGTTCTCACCAACACTACTCATCCTACACCATGACTGGTTGATGCTAGGGTCCAAAGGCCCAGCCCTTCCCTTGGATTAGGAACATCTTTGAAAATCTCCTTCAACTCCAGAGTCCTGCATGGGAAAGTTGAGGTCTAACTGCATTGCAGTTTAACTTCTCTCTTTGCCCCATCCTTTTTGCCTTACTCCTTCACAGAAGCCCTTGTTCCTGAGAGCATGCCCCTCCAACCTTGCCATGTGCAAGTCTCTCAGAGTCTATTTCCTGGAGGAACTCAAACATTGACATGAAATCTCATGGCCTTTGGAAAAAAGGGGTCCCTCCAGTGTCAACCTTCCCCTACTCCCATCCCTTCTGTCCACTGAGCCCATATCCACTCAGAGTGGTTCTGAGCATACCTGTTGCCCATCCCAGTTCCTGGGATACAGACACAGAAATACCTTCTGTGGTTTCAGGGGAGTAATGTGATGATCCATGCATTGATAGATATCTCTCATAAATATGGCCCAGGGGCCCTGTTAATCTTTAGTTTTGAAAGGGAAACTAAGAAAGCCTAAGTTCTTGCTTTCTTGATATCAAAGACCTGCAATCAGTAGCACTTCAATGGGAGCAAACTCCCTGGGGCCAGAACTTATCCAGGTAGCTGGAAGACCAACTCTTCCCCTTGAAGTTAAACAACAACAAAAAAAGAGGTCTGAGTTGAGCACATGGCAGAAATTCATGAATACTTGTTGAATCTGGGAGAATTCCAGTAGATTATCAACACTGTTAAGATGAGGCTTTGTGAGAGGTTGACTGCATATGCCTTTACTGTAAATCTCCATGACTGTGAGGGCATTTTCCACTTAATAGGCCAAGTGCCACAATCACAGTGGCTTCTTCTTGCCCTTGGTTTAGAAAACCATAATTGTGTCGGAGGACAGACTCCCCCACCTTCCTTGTAGACCACCAATGTGTTTAGTACATACTTTGAGAAAATTCTCAGTTGAGTTCAAGGCTCTGTGCTCCCTGGGAAACATGGAATACACACCAGAGTGCCACAGAATGGAAAACACATAATGCTAAGCACATCTGGGTCAGATCCCAAATCTAGTATCTGCCAGTTTGTGTCCTTGAACAAGTCATTTTGCTCCTCAGGATTCTTGTTTGCTTATTGATAAAAATAAGGCTAATTCTTAACTTCCAAGGATTTTGTTGGAATTAGAAATAATATTACATGCTTAATAGCAGGTTGGATCTCAAAGCTAGTTATTATTAGTAGTAATAATAATACCTAGATAATACTGATATTACAAAGGAAATGAACATTAGCTAGCCTGTATAATGTAAAGGCTAAAACTGTAGTGAACACTGACTCTATATCATGGTCAACTTTAAATATTATGTAACAACAGACACTCACACATACATTTCCAAGATCCATCTGATACTTGAAAATGATGCTGCCAGAAACGCTCTTTCCCTTTAGTCATTGGCCTTCACTCATAGCCTGGCCTATGCTTGCCTTGAATGACAAGTATGAAGTGAGGGAAAAAGGTATTTCTGCCATACAGAGAAACTTGGGGCTGGTAGGAGATTAAGGGATGGGAACCCTGAGCTCCAGGCTTGGCTCACTCATGTACTAAAGGTGTGATCTTGTGCAAATCATTTAATCTATTGAGTCTCAGTTTCCTCCTTCATTTATTTATTCATTCAACCAACATTTATTATACATAGAGACTCAAGTATGGTGTCTCCCTTATGCAAGAACCATGCAGTAGGTGAGCTGGAAGTAAGCAAAGTGGAAATGCTGACATGTTCAGTGCATGTTATGGGGCATGCAGATCCAGGTGAGAGCCATGAGAGTGGAGCCTTTTCTCTCTCACTCAGTGCCATAGTTTCACCCCTGACGCAGTGCCCAGTACATCAATATGTTCAACAAACAAATGAAGATGAAATTCTGCTGCATAGATCAGGGAAAGTTTTAGAGTGAAGGTAACACTTGAGCTGGGTCTTACATGATGAGCAAGAAGAGGTTAGAAAGAGACAGTAGGAGTGGACCCTCCAGGCAGAAGTAGAGCTGTGCAAAGTCCTGGAGCTGAGACAAACCTCTGAGATGTCAGGGAAACGTCTGGCATGACTAGCGAGGAGTGTGCACAGGGAAGAATGAAATCCCTTGGCGGCACTGTGAGAATGAAATGAGTTAGTAATGCAGAATGGCTGGGGGAAATAGGTTAGGCGGTATTATTGCATCCTGCTACCTTGATGTATAAATGTTATATATTTATCTTATAATTGTTGTTGTCATTACTTTAGATTTCAGTCTAATTTTGTTGGTCCATGATTGATCATTAGTAAATAAATATGCATGTTGATGTGAAGCTTGGCTCTGTGTACAGCATTATTGATGGGTTCATTCACTGGTCCAACAGATATTTTATTCTGATAAATGTTAATTGCTGCTCAGAGTGCCTGACCAAGGTAATTTGCTGAAGCGTGAGTTTGCGCTTCCCTGGTTCTATTTGTCTGCAGACAGAAGGCTGTTTGGAGGACTGAAATGTGGGCATGTTCCGCGTTTGTACTCTTGGCCTTTGGGGACACTGCTCAGTGCTTGCAGCAGGGAAGGAGGTGGGGTTTCTCAATCACACCTGAGTGCTTCTTCCTACAACTTCAGCATCCTATGGCTTCCTCCTTCTCATCACTCACAGGACTAGCCCCCACACATAGGCTGGCTCAGCTGTACAGAGCCTGGCGAGAGAGGGATCATCGCAGTGTGCAAAGGAGGAAGTGGGGAGAGGTGATGGCAGAGGTGGCAGCTGAGGAGAGAGGGCTCTAAGGAGCAGATGGGAAACAGGATGGGAAAAGGAGATGCAGCTTTCATCAGTGCCGGAGGGAAGAAAATGAAGTGGGAAAAGGATGAGAGAAACTAAAGGACTAGCGAGATGAGGAGGTAAAGGGAGAGAAGTAGGTATTGGAACAAAAATTGAAAAGGGCAAGAAAGTTGGGGCAGGAGGAGGAAGTAGGAAAGGGAGACAAATGGGATGAGATAATTGTATAGAAAGATTCCTTAGAGCAGGTGTTTATGCAGAGATTCTGGGCTCAGGAAGCTTTGCTGCGTGGAAGGGTAGAGAATGTCTAAGACCACTAGCTTGCCAGCCTCCACTGATTCCCCAAAGTGAGGAGGTGTCAGGTGTCAAAATATTCAGTGGTGACGCATGAATTAGCAGAGATCAATTTGTGTTTAAGAAATCTTGATGGAACAGCCCAAAGCACAGATCAAAGCCATCAAGCGAATGAGACTGTTCATCCAATTAGCACAAATCCAGCACCTGGCTCTGTGGAGCGCAGCAGCTCTCAGGCTGGCATCTTGATGGGGAGTAGGGTTGGCTTTGCTTATTCACTTGTCTGTTTGTGTGTTCTGTGCCGATGGAGGAAATCATCTTCAGGAATGTGCTGCAGGCTGTGCTTAAATAAAGGTCATCACATCCCTGGTTTTTCAATAATCATGAGGCATTTAATGTGAAATGAGCTCATTCCCCAGCTCAATTTAGGCAGCATTTCCACTATCTAATGCAAATCAATGATGACTCTTTGGAAGGGATCAGGGCCACCAGCAATTTCTGCTGTTTGCAATGGTCAGGGGAAAATGCCAGCCCTGGGCTGGGGAGATTGAGCCTGGCACAGCTGTGGGCCCTGGAGACTACATTAGGTGGGTTCCTGAGCATACAAACCACAGCAATTGGGAGCTGGGACTGCGAAGTCTGTGTGGGACCCAGCCATCTCTGTGTCCCTGGAGCTGCATCCTTTCTTCCAGGCCTCACTTCTGGATTTCTGTCCAGAGGCCCCAGTGGGGTAGGAGTTCTGTCCTAAATAGAATTGACAAATGCCTTGACCTCCAACTTAGTTCTTTCTGCTCTTTCTTCTTTGTAAGTGGACTTGTTACCTTTACGCCTAGGGCTAGGTCAGAGCCCTTGTCTAACTCAGAGATATATTTGTGTAATCAGTTCCTTCCTTCCTTCCTTCCTTCTTCTCTTTCCTTCCTTCCCTTCCTTCCATCAATCCGTTTTTCCTCCCTGCCCCTTCCCTTTCTTCCTCTTTCCCTCCCTCCCTGCCTTCCATTTTCCCTCCCTCTCTGTTTCCTCTCTTTCTCTTTCTTTCTTTCTTTCTTTCTTCCTTTCTTTCTTTCTTTCTTTCTTTCTTTTCTTTCTTTCTTTCTTTCTTTCTTCTTTCTTTCTTTCTTTCTTTCTTTCTTTCTTTCTTTCTTTCTTTCTTTCCTTCTTTCTTTCTTTCTTACTTTCTTTCTTTCTTTCCTTCTTTCTTCTTTCTTCCACAAGCTTTCAAAACATTTTATTTCCTGCTTTTATTTTTCTCCAAAATGCCAACCTAGTGCAGTGATCCCAGTGTGCACCTGGGTAAGGTTTCTGGGATCAGGGCATATGAGATAATGTAGTTGCTTCTTGGACTAAATCCTAGTCCAAGAGGTAGGCTGACACCTCTGCTCTGTCATGAAGAAAACACAAGCCACATCTGCCAGTCTCAGGGTGACTATAGCTACCATATATTGTTGTATAGGTTGTGTAACGAACAACCCAAGAGGGTACTCTTTACATAGATGATAATGTGAATGGTGCTCCCTAAGGTTGGGCAGTATACAACCTGCACGGCCAACCACTGCAGACTATCTGGGTCCCCACAAATACTGCGGCCATGCTTTGGTTGTACTAAGTACAAAACAGGGCATTGAATAAACAGTTTCTGTTCTAAAATTGGCTCTCACTAGGTGCTTCCTTATTATCACCATGCAAATGTCCTGGACTCTGGATCCTGTATATAGAGACCTTTGAGACCTCCTGCACTTTATGACCTTAGCTGGTCCTCCATGCTCTATTACCTGCTTGACCTGGACATACCCCATTGCCTCTTCAGCTGCATCTGCATCTCAGGCCTTGACCTGTATGTTTGTGGTTATAATTCCTGGTCAGACCCATCCAAGCTCTTAGACCAGGACAATCTGTCAGCTTTGCCAGTCTGCTTCCGATTTCCTAAAGAAGTTCAACTTGGAATGCACACCCCCTTTTGCACAGGAATTGTGGGCATCAGATCTTGCTCATACAATATCAGTCACACCTTCAGGAGGGCAGAGTTAGGTTTGGGACCAAGACCTATATGACTCCAGAGTTTCTGTGCTTTTACCTTGCATACACACCTGCCTTTGGTGTGTACGAATTCCCAAAAAAGTTGCACAAAGAACAGACACTGATACCCTACAGAAGAGATGAGAAATAACCCTTTCTAACTGCTTTATCCACTTACGGAGGAGCAGATCCATTAGAAAGTCATTTCTCCCACTTCCCTGACAATCATAATAATCAAGGGGTAGTTGTTAAACATGTAAATTCCAGGGACCACTCACACCCACAGTATCAGAATTTCTAGGGGGATGATCCTGGGAAATGGTGTCAATGGTGTCTTTAAAACACATTGCAGGAGATTCCTATTATTATAAAAATGTAGGAAACTTTGGACACAGTATTATAGTGATAGCAATAGATGACCTCATGCTAACAGCCATTCCAAGTGTTTTCCATGCAGTCAATTTTTTATCCTGCTATCAACTTTTCAAGGTGGGTATTATTATCATTACCACTGTATGGATGGAGAAGGGATGCACAGAGACATTAAGAAACTTTCTTAATGTCACACAGCTAATCTAGTCTGACTCTAGAATCAGTCTTTTAACTACCATGCTGTGCTACCTCTCAAAGAAAAGGGTTTATTCTGTCAACTTCATGCACAGGAAGAACAAGCAGTCAGTTGAGTGCTGAGATTAAAAACCCTCTAGGAAAGGAGATTTGCAATACACTAGAAGTGGCTTTGAAGTCCACTTCGTCAGAAAGCTTTGGTGTCCATCAAAATGTGGCCTGGAGAACTAGACTTGAAGCTGGTATCATTCACTCACACCTCTGGTGAAGAAAGGAATTAGTGATAGATTTTCTTGGGAGAAAGGAGAGGAAGGAAAATGAGGGTTCATCGTGTGATGGTAGGAGGAAGAAGTCGCCATCAAGTGAGAAAACATCAGACATTTTGCAGGAGAGCCCGCTGGGACTAAAATGGATCACCAGGCTTTCGTTTTTCACCTCACAAACTCTACCCACACACCTTTGCTCTCTGCTGCTCCAGCTTCTAAATACCCTGCTTGATTGTCTGATCTGACATGACCTGTCCTTCCTCCCAATCCCTGTTTTGACACTTTTTATGACATTTATGGTTTGGGTGGAGTCAGGGAGGTATGGATTCAAAGTCTGCCACTTGATATCTGAGGGACCCTGGGTGAGTTACCATCTTTAAGCTTCAATCCTCTTCAATAAAACAGGGGTAAGAAACATATAGTATACATCAAAATGCTGATGTAAGGATGAAAGGAAATAATACATTCGAGACGCTTAGCATAGTGTCTCAACACGTTAATCACCCAGTGAACAGTTGCTCTTCTGTTGTTATTAGCCAGAACCTTCAATGTCCAATATGATAGCACCTGGTTAAATATGACTGTTTGAACTTAAACTTAGATTGATTAAAAGTAAGTAAAATCTAAAATCTAGTTCCTCATTTACAGGGCTCAATACCCACAGGTGCCTAGTGCCTACTGTACCGGACAGCACAGACAGAAAGCAACTTGTTTAACTTTCCATCATCGCAGAGTGTAGTTGGCTAGAACTGGACGAGAGGGAGGTATGGACCACATATTATTCAAACTATTCTCTAAAATATTGTTTCTCTCAGGCTAATTGGTAAAAATTGGACAGCTGTTAGTTCCCTGGGAAAGACATGGAGAGAAGGTGTTTTGATTTTCTAGATAAGTCAGACGTATATAGTCATGCACTGTATAACAATGTTTTGGTCAATGACAGACTGCATATACGACAGTGGTCCCACAAGGCTGCAATGCCATATTTTTATTGTACCTTTTCTATGTTTAGATATGTTTTGATACACAAATACTTACCATTGTGCTACAGTTGCCTAGTGTATTCAGTACAGTAACATGCTGTATAGGTTTGTAGCCTAGAAACATAGGCTGTCCCATATAGCCTAGGTGCGTAGTGAGCTGTACCACCTAAGTTTGTGTCAGTAGACTCTATGATAATTACACAGTGATGAAATCGCCCAATGATACATTTCTCAGAACGTATTTCTGTTGTTAAGCGATGTGTGGCTGTATTTTAAAAACACAAAGTAAAAGGATAGTGAAATTTGAGAACACAGAAAAGGTTGACCTTCCGAATTGCCTGCCACTCCCTGCCCACGTGGAAGGTGGACCGAGAGTCATCTCCAGGCAGTGTGTGGAACCTGCTTTGAAAATAGTCCTGAACCTGCTCCAACAACAGAAATACATAACATAGCAACTCCCAGTCTGCCCTGAATTGTTTCTCAATATTTGCTTTCTTCCTGGTTTTAAACAGTAACTGCTTCAGTCAGGAGAATCCTCTAGAAACAGAAGGAGGAACAAAAAGAACAGTTAAATGAAAACTTTGTTTTTGTCTGCCGTTGGCCTAGAGGCCAGGGACATGCTGTTACTGACTCTTCAGCTTCTCTGCTCATTGCTCCTGCCAACCTTCCCTCTTGTGTGCTCTTTCGTGGGGTTGAGGAGTGAAGGGCAATTCCACAATGACTCTCTAGCCCTTTGAAGAAACTCCAGCAATGAACTAGAGCCACATTAATAGCCTCGTGTTTCTTCCTTGATGTTGTTCTTAAGTGCGCATAGCCAAAGTAAGAGATCTTGAGTGTAAGCATTGCCTTTGGATAGCTGGTAAACCTCTCTCTTTTCTCAGCTCCAAAGTCAGTCTTTTGTTCTGAGTAATGAGGAAATGCTGAAGGAAAGGATCCATGTCTGAAGGTCTAGAGTGCTTCAACTTGGGGTTAAGTGTGGAACTCTGAAGAAGTGGGTTGGTAATTGCATGAGGGAATTTCCAAGCACTCTACATCTCTGACCACTATTGTTAGGTGAAAACATCAGGGGTAAAGAGAGGAAATCTGTGTGACTAAAAATTACACATAAACATGGTTCTTCACTTCTATAAATTTCTAACTTTAAATGCATAAGGAAGGCCAGGCAGTTTTCCACTGTGTATGTGTATATGTGTGGGTGGGTGGGGGGTTTGGTTGGGGGAGAGATTTGCATACATGTGGATTTCCACATCCCAGATTTTCTTAAGTGCACTTTCAGTATAATAAATGGCAAGAGAACCCTAAGAGTGTACCCCAGGGCATGGCAGTTCACTATGGTTGATGCGGTGGATACCTAATGTTTACTCCTAGAAGAAGAAATAATTGGAATAAGGAAATGAAAGCCCTGGTTAAGACCAACACATTTCCCTTTTCTTTTTTTTTTTTTTTTTTTTTTTAACAACAAGGCTTTGGCTTCATGTTTATCACAAGAACGGGAATCTGTTTCCTCTGAAAGAAAATTCATTTCACCCACAAAACCCATATTTTCCCGCCTGCCTTCTATTCAGACAAGCCCCACAAGATAAATGTGTTCTCCAATTCACCAGCGGTAAGGAAGATAAAGGCTTGGAAACTCCAGAAGTACATTCTCCTAATTATTGTAACTGGCATTTTTTTTTATGTGGCAAACCATCTATTCAGATTAAACTACAGCCCAGGAGCCTTTTATGTGAAGATTGCCAGTGTGGGGTGGAAAGGTAGCTCAATTGTGTGATTTCCTCAGCTTTAATAGCCCAAAGAGAAGCATTGAAAGAGATCCAAGTATTTGTGTGCAAGTGATTTTTGTTAGGAAAGATCTAAAAATACCCACAGCAGCCTGTCTCCATGTTCTCTCCCTTTGAAGTCAGCTTGAGACCTTTCCCTATTTGAACACCCAGAAATATGTGTCAGAAGTCACCTGTTATTACCCTTATGTCCTGGTTTCCCCTAAGATCTAAATAAACAAATGAGTCCAGCAAATGTGTCGGGGAGCTCCAGCTCTGCTTCACATTAGGAATATATTTACCCATTTAATAACTGTTATTTATCCAGACATTTAATTGCACCATTGTAAACACACAGGGAAACCTTTGGGGGAAGGAAGCTCAGTTGCTGAGATGAGACAGATATTTAAAACTCTGCTCCTGTAGCTGAGCCTTCTCTCAGAGTCAGTCTTTGGGACTGGGATTGGTGTGAGTTGTTTTTATGTGGTGGGGACTCACCAAGAAGCCTCCACCCACTGGGCATGCTGCTTTTCAGAAAGTACCCAGTATATCGATGATGAAGGAATGAGTGAATGAGTGCAGGAAAAAAGAACCAGAGGTTAAAGCAAAAGTCTCCGCCCATTACCAAGAGCTTTGCTGGTGCTGGGTGCTGGGTGGAGCCCAAGCTTTTAGTGTGCCCATCATTCTATGGCCACAATGACTCTGCACCTTTGAACGATGCCTTTCATAGCAGCAGATACCCTAAAGAGGGAGAGCTCTGGGCATCACAGAAGCATTCTTGAATCTCTGAGTACATTCTCAGCTTTGTTCCTCATTCTTCGATCTGTTCCTCCTTTATCAGTCTCCTGGATTTGGGATCTTCTGTTTTTAGGTGTATATTAATCCTTTAGACCTGACAACAGATTAAATAACATTCACTTAGCTCTCCATACTTCCTCTCAGAAATAATTTTGCATTTGTTTTTGATCTCTCTTTTTTTTTTTAATTAACTCAGGTCATAAATGCATCTGATTAGGCTCTGTATCCTGGGATCCAACTATGAGTTGATTCACTTGGTCCAAGCCAGCCTGGTATCCTTAAAACTCCCTGCTCATCCCTAGCTAAGGTTCCAGACGCCCCATAAAAAGCAGTTGCCATTATGTTCCAGAACTTCTGGAATGATCTAGAAGCAACACCCCTCGACCTTTTCTTTCTTTCTGATCCCTCTTGCTGTGGTCTGATGCTTCTGAATTCTTCCAAGGGTCATCTTATTTTTGAATTCTTCCTCTTCGTCTAACTCTTTCAGATTGATGTTACAGTTGGCCTGTGTTTCTGGACTGTGATTTTGACTTTGCCCAGGAACCTCTGCAGATGGTAGGTGAGTTCTGCCATGTCTGTTGATTGACCCAGGTTCTCAGAATCTTACTCTTGGAAAATATCCCAGGTGAAACCCAAAGAAGGGGGAGTTTGGTCAATGGTTTCATGTTTCACCCTTTTGAGAGTAATAGGACAGCCTAATTTTCTTAGCAAAGGATCTCACCTGCCACTCCTGACACCAGCCAGTCTCCAAGAGCCTCACTTCTTCCTCATAGGGAAATCTTTCTTTGAGATCCCAGAAAATGTGAGGAGTCTTAGAATCCAATGAGTGTCAAAGTTGCTGACTGATAGATGGACTGACTGACTGGTATTCCTCTTCCAGTGGTCTCCCAGCTCTTATATGGTGAGTAAAAGACTTAGCATCACTGAATCATGGAATATTAAATATACTCTGCCACCAAATATGTTGGAGAATCCTGTTTCTGACGTTTCCCTTTCAGAAGGTCACGATGGACATTAGCATATAAAAATCCTCATAAGGTCTGTAGTGATGAAACCTGCCTTACTTTCCTCACCCAGGGCTTCCATGCTTATTTGCCCACCAAAGCCATTTTTCAGAATGTTACACACACAACATCCCTTGGAGCTAATATTACATGGAACACGCTTTGCAAAAATATTGATCTTGCTTAAAGCCCCTGCTCCATCTTGCACATCCATATACACACACTTGCACACATATTATAGTTCAAGAGAACAGGCATTATTCTCTATTTAAACACTCTTCTTCACAGAGCCGCAGTCCTCCCACAAATGCACAGCCCTTCTCACTCACTCATTCCCATGGGGGCCACCCGCAGGGGCTCCCATGTCCCAGCGAAACACCGGAAAGCACCCACATTCATACTCAAGAATTTATCACACAAACCAGGGATAAGTGAATTTTTTCTGTAAATAATTAAGCGGCAATGATTTCAGGCTCTGCCACCATGCAGTCTATGTTGCAAATACTCAACTCTGCCTTTGTGGAACAAAAACAGACACAGACAGTACCCAAACCAATAAATGTGGCTCTGTTCCAAGAAAAGTTTATGAATACTTAAATTTGAATTTTGTATAATTTTCACATTGCCACAAAATATCATTCTTCTTTTGATTGGTTTTCAACCATTTAAGAATGTAAAGGACATTATTAACTAACAAGCCATGCAAAGATAAGCAGCAGGCTGGCTTGGCCTGTGGGCCATAGTTTGCTTACTTGTGCTTTTTGCCATCAGTAGGTTCCTGAAAACAGCATGAGCTTCTGTCCGTAGAATCCTATTGTAACATGTTAAGGAGCCTGCTTCTTTAAAGGATATTGCAACGAATTATTTAGCAATGCAAATCTCTTAATTCCTAAACCAGGTGTCAAGCACGGGCCTTCTGAATATTTATTGCTCTCCTCTGCCATCTTTAGAGCACTTTTGCACTGAAGGCAGGGTTTTCTGGTTTCCCTGGGTCCTGAATGGGGTCTCACACCAAAAGAGCTTCCTCTTTTGCCAACACTAGCCCCCACCAAGCTGTCTGGCTGTCAGGGACTTGGCACCTGACCTGGTCTCAGTTGGAAGCTTTCAGTCCACAGTTCTGTGCAAGAAGTTGTGTGTTTTAACAACAGTGATAGCATCTGCAGAACAACCAAGATGTCAGTGTCATGTTTGCATGCTGTCACCACCATGATAAACATTGCATCCCAAATCCAAGAACTGATTTGATTTACTGACAAGGCAGCCCTCTCCACCTGAAAGACAAAGCTGGCTGCCTTGCCCACACATCTGCTTTGTCATTAGCTCGGAGGCAGAAGGGAACCACAGCCAGCCAAGGCAGTCACAGACAGCATCTTCCCCTACACTCCAGGAAAATGCAGAAATGCTCAATCAGCCAGTCATCTCCCCTACAGGACACCAGGCACCCCACTTGAGAGGTACTTCCCACTGATGTGACTAAATCAGTGGTCGTTTGGGTAAGGAGCAAACACTGGTTTGGTGTGCTCTTCAAGGAGGTTCTGGGTACTGAGCAGGTGATAGGATTTAGAAGTGTATTCTGTATGGCTATAGGTAGTGGCTTCTGGTCACTGAATCTCTCATTAATAATTCACTCTGCTATTTGACAATATTTGTTGGGTACCTGTCTTATGGCAGGCCCCATGCTGGGTGCTGCTAATGCAGAGGTGGGTAAACACCACAATTGCCACTCTCTTGGAGCTCAGCAAGAAAGGCAAAGACATAATCAATCAATTACAACACAAAACACCTGGAGAAAGTGCAGGCCTACCAGAGGGAGTAATTCAGGGTTCAGTCTCTCTCTCTCTCTTTCTTTCCCTCTTTACTCTCTTTCTTCTCTTGTCTCTCCCCTTTTCCTAAACTACCAAAAATTACTTCTAACTAGGTTCCCCACTTCTAATCTTGGGCCCCTCCTCATCCTCTTCACACATATCCAATCACTGAAACAACCCTATACTTTTAAACCTGCAAATCCAATCATGTAACTCCCTCACTCAAACTCCTTCCATGGGTGGAATTAATTTGCATTTGTCTGATGACATATGATGTGGAGCATATTTTTATATGCTTATTTTCCATCTGTACATTTTCTCTGGTGAGATATTTGTTAAAGTCTTTGGCCCTTTTAAAAATATGTTGTTTTATTATTGACTTTAAGAGTTATTTGTATATTTTGGATAACAGTCCTTTATCAGACACATCTTTTGCAAATATTTTTCTCCCAGTATGTGGCTTCTCATTTTATTCTGTTGATGGTGTCTTTCACAGAGCAGAAATTTTTAATTCAAATGAAGTTCAGTTATCAACTTTTTCTTTCATTGATTGTGCCTTTGGTGTTACATATAAAAAGTCATTGCCAAGTCCTAGGCCATCTATATTTTCCTTCTAGGAGTTTATAATTCTGTGCTTTACTTTTAGGCGCGTGATCCATTTTGAGTTAAATGGATCTGAGTTTGTGAACAGTGTGAGGTCTGTGTCTACATTCTTTTTTTGCATGCGAATGCTGTCCCAGCACCATTTTTTGAAAAGATGGTCTTTTCTCCATTATATTACTGTTGCTCCTTTGTCCAAGATCAGTTAAGTATATTTACGTGAGTCCCTTCCTGGACTCTCTATTCTTTCCATTGATCCATTTGTCTATTCTTTTGCCAATACCACATGTGTCTTAATCACTGTAGCTTCATAGTAAGCCTTGAAGTTGGGTAGTGTCAGTCTTCCAACATTGTTCTTCTCCCTCAATATTGTGTTGGCTGTTCTGGGTCTGTTGCATCTCCAGATAGACTTTAGAGTCAGTTTGCCAATATCCACAGAATAACTTAATGGGATTTTGATTGGAATTGCACTGAATCTATGGATCAAGTTGGGAGATGCCCATCTCTTCATCAATTCCTACTTTCTGTGTGGTGATGATCACATCATTAACCTCTCTGAGTCTCTGTTTTCTCATCTGTAGAATGTAGATGATAATACTTGATACCCTCTACTAAGGCATCTCCCTCAAAGTGAGGAGCATTAAAGAGATGACATACAGATGGAGGTTTACACAAGCTTGCTTGGTACATGACAAATAGTCAGTATTAGGGCCACTTTCCCTGACCCCTATTCTATCTTCTCCTGTTTTCCCTGCTTTATGATGTCCCCATCTGGAAATCCAGGACTGCTCAGATTGTGAATCAGTATTTTAAAAAATAATTTTAATTTTTCAGAATTATTCATTCATGACTTTCTGAGTCATTCTTGCCTGGCACCTCAGTCATCCTCTTCCACTCTGTCCAGTGAGGTGAAAAGTTACGTTCTCTGCTACTCTGGGATCAGTGGGTTCATGGCAGCCAAGGTCTTGAACTTCTCTTTTAATTAGACTTGGGACTGAGAGCCTCTCAGAGTGACCTCTGGATCCACATCGCAGCCTCAGTGGCACTGTCCTCTGTGCACTGGCTTTGTCTGACTCATTGATCTGCCTCTAGGCCCAGTGTTGACTATTGAAGGTCACTGGGGCCTTCATCTCAACTGGCGTTCCAGCCCTACTTCATGTCTGAACCCCAGTGGAGTGTGTGTGTTTAGAGCTGGGTTAACTGAGAGACGAAAGAGGTAGTGGTTGCTTCAGGACCTGCCTGGACTGGGAAATCTCCCACAGTGTGGATTCATAGGCATTTCATGCACACACCTCTGAGTGCCAATACCTGAAACTTGCCCTGAGATTGGATGATTGATTGTGCCTTTCTTAGAATCAGCTTTTGATAAAGGGAAAGAAGGGTAAGAAGACATGGATATGAAAATGGAATGAGCACAAGGTTTCTCTTCTTCCTTTTCTTGTGTGTAAACTGATACACGTATCCTTAGTGCACATGGAACTCGTGAGTTGATGAGAGTGCATGGTGTACCCAAATACTGAGGACTGACATCCCTCAGAGGTCTATGTTGGGAACCCAGCCCGAAAACTTATAAATGGTGTGTTTATCTTGAGGAAGAAATGGCAGCTGCCACAACACAGCCAGGAATGTGGTCTTAGAATTTTATTTAGTGCATGAATGCTAACAAGTTGCTATATGTGCTGTCTCTCTCCATCCTGCAAAGTTGAAGGCATCACTAATAGATCACAGCACATATTCCTGCTGAACCTGAACTAGGTCTTGGAATTCTTTTCAATAAAGCAAGGACTATTCTCATATCCACCTGGAAACTGAGCTATCTCCACCTGCTTGAATTCCCACCATTTTGAATTCCCACCTGCTGATCTCATACTTTCAGGGCCCTGAGTAAGAAGAAACTTTAGATTTAACTTCCTTGAACCTAGACATTAATCTGCTGCTTTTTAATTCTTACAGGTAAACTAAATATATGCATTTGAAAAAAAATCACTTGTACAATCCAGGTTGTGAAATATTGTTTAAACTCATTCATAGGTTAGTAGGAGGCAGTTTATGGGGCAAAGAGTTGAGAAAGCTCTTGGCCATGGGTCAAACAGTATTAGGGTATTTCTGGCAGGGAAATGTCTTAACGTTTTAGGGAATTAGGAAGAGGCTGTTGTGGGAAGGGCAAGAGCAATTGTATCAGTCTATTCTATTGGTTTCCAAACTTTGCTGCACATTAGAATCATTTGGGGATCTTTTAAAACTCTGATGCTCAGGTCATACCCAACACTAATTATGTCAGAATGTGTGGGGGTGGGCATCAGGAGGCATCAGTAATTCTTGTTCTTAAAGAACCCAGGTAATGATTCCCATACAGAGCCAAGTGCAGGAACACTGGTCTGGATGCAATGCTGCTTTATATCTGCCCATCTCCCTTCTCTCCAAAGGTGTCTTCAGAATTCATTTGATTCTCACAATAGCTCCATGAGGCCATCTGAGCAGGTGTCACTGCCCCATGGGACAAATAGGGGAACTCAGCCACAGAGAAGTGAAATGGTTTGTCTAAGTTCAAATTATGTGAGTTAGTGGTGAGTCCTGGGATCTTTTCATGTCAGGAGATGCCGCTACATTGTTATTTATAGAAAAAAGGAAAGATGAATGTTTTTATGTAAAAAAGATTATCAGGGTATGCACTAAAGGATTAGCATGTGGCACCCTTAATAGGTCCCATTCTGGAAGGATATTTTCCAAAACGAACTATGCACACACACATACACACACACACACACACACACGTGCATTCACACACACACTCCAGTATAACAACTAATGATAGAAAAAAGGGAAACAAAAATCAGTGACTCTCCTATCCTGGCCTCAGAACAGCCGGGGAAGCAGAAATCCCTTTGCAGGGTGGCTTCCATGGCAGAAGGTATGTAAACGGCATGGGCCTTTATGAAAGGGGAGAGATTCACAGGACACTATTTTTCAGGCTGAATCACAAGGTTCAGTAGCTCACATAATGAGATTATTTCAACCTGCAGGTCAATTGGAAAAGCAATTACAGATCATTAAAGCACATTGCCCAGCTCTTCAGCCCTGCCTGCTCCAGCCCTCCTTCTCTGTGTCTATCACTTCTGGCCCTGCTCTTCATTTCACATTTGGAGCCAGAGAGGAGAAACAGGGGACTTGATCCAGGCAGACTGCAAAGGCTCCCACGGGAGAAGATCAGACAAAAATTCCCTTCTTGCTCAGTGATCGTTTGAACAAACAACTCGTCTTAGAGAGGAAAGGATTCACGCTCATATCCCTCCATGTGCTGGACACCATGTGAAACATTTTGGGTTTTTTTGCAGGCATTGTTTCATTTAATCTCCCTTAGCTAATATTAAGCCCCTATTAGTCACCAGCCCATGAATGCCGAGGACTTGCTACTCGTGATGTTTCTTCCCAGTCTGCACATTTGCAGTCATCCCTAAGAGATCACAGCACACATTCCTGCTGAGCCTGAATTAGGTCTTGGAATTCTCAACCAACCAGGGAGGGTCTGCTCTTACATTGGCTTTAGAACCTGAGACATAGTCTACTGAACTCACTCTCAGGGGTTTTTCCATTTTGTTAATGAAGTAGCTGAGGCTGGCAGAGGGGCAGCAACTTGCCTAAGGTTTCCCTGCTGGGAAGTGGTACAGCTGGAACTCAAACCCAGACCACAACTCCAAAGTTAATCACAGTACTGGCATTCCTATCGGTCATGTTTGCTCTGACCTCCATGCTCCTGCACATGCAGAACTTCTCCCAGCTTGGCTAATTCATATTCATTCTTCAAGACCTAGTTTAAGGGTCACTTGCTATATTTGTGAAGCTGCTATTACTACCTCTCCCTGGCCCTCTGAATATTAGATGTCCCTTTTTCTCTCCCTGTTCCTGCACCACCGTGGGCACACTTTCATTATCAGATAAAAACCCCTTTATTGTAAAGTTTAGTTTCTTATCCATGCTAATTGTGGATATTGTGAAATATTAACAGATGGGTTTTCTCCAAGTATCTAGTGCTTCTTCTGCCTCTCCCCTACCCACAGAGGGATCAGCAGGGTGACGGCATCCTTTGCCAATTGCTCTTGAGGAAGGGCTGCTATGTCAGCAATGCCATTTAATTGAGTCAATGGTCAGCTTTTAAATTTCATCACACTGTTCAAATCAACAAGACAACGGCTTTGAAGGAAAAGGCTCTTAGCATGTCAAGAGCACAAGTCTAGGTCTAAACAGATTAAGAAGCTTTATCATTGTCATTTTTCCCCTGCCTGTCCATGAGTTGGGGGAGGAGAGATTGGAGAGGAGAGCAAGACAATAAGATGCTGGTGAGCACTCAGGGGAGGCCAGAGGGAAATTGTGCTTGCTTCCAGGGTGGGGAGGATTACTCAAGAATGAGAGTAAGATGCTCTGGCTCGCCCATATTGCTCCAGCCCAGGGCAGGAGTAGAATGTAGGAATGATGGATCCTGGGCAGAGAGGACCTGACCCAGCTCCTTTAAGACTTCTGGGGCTCTAGAGAGGCTGAGGCGAGCATCAGAAATTTTATGTGAACCCAAGAGGGATGTGGAAATGACTGAGAAAGAGCTCATATGAGATTATAATGTAGATGGTGAAATTGAATCAGATCTACCCACATTAGACCTAGGACAGATTCCATTTCCTTAGGACAAACAGGATCCTACCTGGACCCTCCCAAAGCCACTGTGCTCCTCCTTCAGACTGAACCTCTCACTGGGTGTGGGTCTTCTTGGCAGGACTGGTGGGACTTCCCAGCACTTGTCTTACCCCAGGGCTCTGGCCTCCAGAACTCAGAAGGTGGGAGGGGGCTTCTTATGTTCCCTGTCCATTTTTTGGCTCAGGGTGAGCTGCTGATATCCTCATCTGGTGCCAGGGCCAGTTCCATCCTTAATGGGCAATCTCAGGGGACCTGGCAGCTTGATGTGGGACAGAGAGCATCATCCATGAGGTTCTACCATGGAAAGCCTTTATAGGATAGTGACCGCAGAATGGTCCTTTAAAGGCCTGTAGAAATTAGATTGGTAAACAAGTTGGGGAGGAGCACGGAGGACCCAGAGGTAGAGAGCAAAGAGCCCAGACTAGGGATATTAGTGACATCCACCAGGCTGGAAGGAACAAGTCTGCCTAAGCCACTCAGCCGCAAACTCAGTCTTAGAAAAGGACAGGGTGACATCAGATGGTCCTCAACCGCACTCAAGGTTGAAAAAACAAAAAACAAAAAACAAACAAACAAACAAACAAACCCAGCCCCAGAGTGCCAGCATTAAAGCCAAGTTTTTTTGTTTTTGATTTTTGTTTTTTTTGTGACGGAGTCTCACTCTGTCGCCCAGGCTGGAGTGCAGTGGCACAATCTTGGCTCACTGCAAGCTCCACCTCCTGGGTTCACGCCATTCTCCTGCCTCAGCCTCCTGAGTAGCTGGGACTACAGGCGCCCGCCACCAAGCCCGGCTAATTTTTTGTATTTTTAGTAGAGACGGGGTTTCACCGTGTTAGCCAGGATGGTCTCGATTTCCTGACCTCATGATCCGCCCGCCTGGGCCTCCCAAAGTCCTGGGATTACAGGCGTGAGCCACTGCGCCCGGCCTAAAGCCAAGTTTTAAACAATGAGGGTATCCTCCTTGCTGGTGATAAGGTAATAGGGGTGAAAGATAATTTGGCATGCTTTACATTTTTTTGTTTTCAAGAATAGTTGCTGCCTGGGAACAGGCACTTCATACCCACACGTTTCCGCAAATCTGTTGGTTTCCTGAGGTTGAATGGTTGGTAGAGCACAGTGGAGGGAGAATGAGGAAGGTCTCTGTGGGGACATTCTCTTGGTCTCCTTCCCTTTGGGCCCTCAATTCTATCCACACCTATGATTCAGGTGGGTAGGTTCACAGAGCATACTGCAGGGGGACTGTGGCTGGCAAGAGTGGGGACTTGCATGGAGAAATGAGTTTCTCCATGCCCAGGGGTAGGAGAGTAGTGGGATGGTAGCTTCACCTCAGTCTTTGTGCCACTCTTTCCTCCCAGGAGATTCCGCCTTTTAAAGCCCCAAGGACATTCAGCTGGAAGTGTAAGCCTAAATTCCTGCAGCCCTATCACATATCAAGCTTCCTCCATGGGAAGCAAAGAAAAAGCAAAGCATAAGTCACAGGCTACTTCCCGGCATGACTGAAGTGACATCGGATGCAAAAAAAGTATCCGTGTGTGACCATGTGTGCGTGTGTATGTGTCTGTGATGTGGGAAGAGAGGCAGAGGTCTGACACTTCCGATTTGGGGTTTGAGTCCTCAGGGCTCTTAAGCAAATGTGAGACAGCAATGCACCATTACAAGCAGCCTCTAATTTATTGATTGACTCTTCATAAATGCCAGCTAACAATGTTGCCATAAAATAATGTGCCCGTAAAAGACCTGGAAGATTTCTCTTATGGAAATAAGGGCAGCACTGTGCTTCTACATTGGGTGTACAAGTGGCAGAGGGGTGTCACTTTAGCAAATCCTAGAACTTACTAAGCCAAGATGGATGGGAACCTATGGGCTTTATTAGCCTGTCTGTTGGGATTTGCGTGTGAGTGGCACATATGTGCAGGTGTGCGACCGCATAATTATTCATAATTTTTCTGTCTGTTTGCCTGTATAAGGATCTATGCAGGTCCATAAACAGACATGTGTGCACACACATTATGCAACGGGAGTCTGTGCTAGTAGTGTCTTTTGTGTACTGAGTTCCTGGATAGTGGGGTCTGTAGTCTCTTTATCTGTGGCTCCCAATGTCTAGTATATAGATGTTTTATAAATGTCAGTTGAAATGGGAAAAAAGTGCATATGTGTCTGTGAGTCTCTGAGGTGAGCCTTGTTGGTATTTGTTGGACTGTGTGTGGGTATGGGGACCAAGCATGGGCATTGAGGTATGACAGTGTAGGTGTGGTGTGGGCGAGTGTGTTCTCAGGAAGGCTTTTGCAAGGCTGTGAGTGTGGGTTAAATATGTGTGCCCTTCCTGAGACACTAGCCATCTCAGGCCTCAGTTCCCATCTTTAAATTTCTCAGTTTCCCATAGTGGGGTCTACAGAGGCCCTGCCACCTCACATAGGCTCCGTATCTGCCCAGCTCCTGAATCTTCCTAGGAAACTGGCCAAGGAAAGGGCACTTGTGGAGTCTACCCACTGGGTAGTTCACACGCTCTGGTTGGTTTAACTTGGGGCATGGCCCCCACAGGCTGTTGCTGAATATCATGTTGTCCCCTGAGTTCCAATCCTCCAGCACTGCTCATGAAAACCCTGGGCTGTGCCTCATTAGCCCAAACCCATTGTGTCCACACTCACCCATATTTCTTAGCCCTCTTTTTGTTTTGGTTCCTGAAAAGGTCTTGACTTAACTCACCCCTCTTTGGAGGATCTGAATTCCTCTTACCAAACTGACACCCCTTGGATAATCTTGACTATTGGTGGCTAGGGATATTGCCCAGGGCTGGTGGTACTGTTCTGCTCACCTGAGGATATCAATGTCATGTTAACTTGCATTCTGTTAGCTAATGACTGGATACCAGCTTATTACCACTCCCTAAATGAATTGATTTGTCTTTGTTTACTCGCTTTACTGTCCTTGCCATTTCCATAGAGAGAATATTAGAAATACTAGAGCTGGAAGTGTTCCTAGAATGCATCTACTCCAATCCTCTCATTTTACAGATGGGGAAACTGAGGCCCAGAAAGGGAAGTGATACCGGTTATTTTTGAATTATTTATTTCACAGGAAGTGTATTGGGTACTTATGATATGCCAAATCCAGGGCTAGTATCACAGTCTACGGGGGAGGATAGACATGTGGGCTATTATAGTAAAATCCAAGCTGATGGATGTTATTACATAGGGAAGTGCACATTACATAGGGACACTTTGTTATATAAGGAAGGGGGTTATTACATAGGGCTGTGGGAACAGAGAGGAGAGGCTCTTACACAGATGGAAGAGATGAGGGGAGACTTCCAGAGCAGGTGACACATGAGTTGTTTCCTGAGTAGGAGCTCACCAACTGAAGGGGGGGCGGGTGGGGTAGAGAAAGTTTCAGCAGGTGGAGAAGCTTCTAATTTAATGCATTGCTATGGGCTTCTTTCCAGGGCACCTGCTTCTCATTCTTAATGTTCCAAAATGCGGAGGTGAAGATGAATGGAGGGAAAAAGGGGATGGATAATAAAAGTCTAAAAGCATGAATGAATGCATGAATGAGTGAATGAATAAAACCCACACTGTTAATGTCCATCATGAGCTGATATATCATATATGTTAGCTCATGTAATTCTGGCAACATTGCAATTATTCTCATTTGACAGATGAGGCAAATGAAGCTTAGAGAGACTGAATAACTCTCAGGTCATGCAGATAGAGGGAAGCAGAATTCAAATCCAGGCCTGCTGGGCACTGCAACTAACTTTTCTACCCTACCCTGATGCCAACTGTTGCCAACCTACTTCAGACATCACATGAAAAAAGTCTGAGGGTGGTATTTCACTTGACTCTTCCCTCTTAGTATTGTAAGGGAGGGTAGTCCTTGTCCCCTACTCACCAGCCACAGAGAGGGGAAGAATCCCTCCAGCCCTCCCTCCTGCAGAAGAGGCGAACCTTTCCCATCTGCCTAAATTCACATCAGTGAATCAAATGGAGTCTCTGCCAGTAAGCATATTAATGGGGCCTTTCCCAGTCCCCAAATCTGCTGAATCTTCATCTTCACTTGAAGCCAAATGAAGTTTGATTTTTAATTCACCTTGCAGAGTCATAAAGCAAACCAGTGATTGCAGTTAATGCTCAAACTCTGTCTCTTTCCAGGGTCTGCCGCCTGCCTGCCCTCACGGCTGACTCTGCTGAGCTCACACCGCCTGGCAGGCACATCTCACTGCTCTCCCAGAGCAGCAGTGCCCCAGCGGGGCTGCACACTGGAACCACCTGGGGAGTTTTAGGAGCACCGAAGCCTGGCCCCCATGCCAGAGGGTCTGATGTCATTGGACTCTGGGCATCCGGATTCTTCGACGTTCTCTAGGTGGTGTGGGCAGCTGGGGTTGAGAATTCCTAGCCCAGGATGCATCCTTACCTGAGGCACTTGGGATTTAAACAACCTCATGCTCTGAGACGTGCTTTTGATGCTAGGTTTCCCTGAACTGTGCTTCTCTTTTGAAGATGAATCTTTTGTTTTGTTCTCTTTTGGGGGATCCCCCTACTGCCTCAGACTCTCTGAGCCTGAGTTCTGCCTTGCCTTTGTCATGCTACTCCCTCTGCCTACAGATGGCCTGAGTTCTGTGTCTCTAACCTGCTCACAGACCTAACTGGTGCTGCCTTCTGCTTAGTCTTGGATTGCTTCCTATAAAGACACTGTCACACTGTCTTGGGAGCAAGTCTCATGAAAGAAAAACAGTGCCATTTCAGAGGCAGAGAATCTTTGGTGCAAATTCTAGCCTGGACATTCACTGGTTTGTATAACCTCCCTGAGAGCAGTTTTGTCCTCTGTCAAATGGTTGCTACGGCTGTTTATTACTGTACAATAAACCCACCCAAAACTTAGTGGCTTAATACAACCATATTTATTTTATTAAATATTTATATGATCTTATTAAAATATTTATTTTCCTAAAGAACCCACGATTTGGGCAGGGCTCAGCAGGGACAGCTCATTTTTGCTCTAGTCAGCATCAACGGGGGCAGCTTGAAGCCTGGGGCTAGAGTTCTCCAATGCCTTGTTCATCCACATATCTGGCAGCCAAGGCCAGAGCGCTGCTACTGCTTGGGCATCTTTCCCTCTTTCTGCCTCAACATGGTCTATACAGCACATGGTTTCGGGGTACCACATTTCTTGTACGTTGGCTCAAAGCTCCCAAGGTATGTGTCTAAGACAGAGCCTGATAGAAGCTGCATCTTTTATTGACCAGCCTTGGAGGTCATGAAGCATCCTTTCCACTTCATTCTCTTCATCAGCGCAGCCATAAAGATCCTCCTGGAGTTGAGGGATAAGGAAATAGACTCCACCTCTTGATGAGGGTGTAACAAGGTTTATGAAGAGCATGTGGGAAGGGAAAAACATTGTTGCAGCCACTTTGGGAAACTACAATCTGCTACAATGGGAATAAGAATACTCTATTGTAAAACAGATTTATTTTGGTGATTAAAGAAATGCATCCTAAACTCTTAACCTAAACCAATTAGCTTTTATTATGAATAAACCTTTTGCATATATTACCTCACTGAAACCTCATAGCAACTCTGCGAAGTAGGTACTACTTCCTCCTTTTACAGAAGCAAGATCCATGGTTCAGAAGCCAGCTCAGGTCATACAATAGTGAGTTACAGGTCTGGATTTGAAGCTCTATGTGGCTCTGAAGCGGTGGTTCTCAACCTCAGATGGGGGAAGGTAATTTTGTCCCCCAGGAGACATTTAGCAATTTCCAGAGACACTTTTTGGCTGTCACAACTACTGTGGGTGGGGCAAGTGACACAGGCATCTAATGGGTAGGGATGCTGCTGAGCGTCTCCTCAAGGCACAGGACTGCCCCCACAACAAAGAATTATCCAGCCTAAAATGTCAATAGTGCTGAGATTGAGAAACCCTAGATGATGTTTTAAACCACTACTTTTTTGTAGGCATTTCTTAATGTTGATTCCTGCTTTTCCTTCCCCCAATTTCACTTGCCATTCCAGCTTCTTTCCTAGAGCAGCCCTTGGCTGGTGTTTGTTCTACTGGGTTTGGAATGAATCACAACAATTAAAATTGGGCATGCCTTCCAAGGCCCCATCTTGCTCAAGGGAGTTGAATCCAGGTCTAGGAGATGAGCAGTCTCAGGCTGCTTGCTTGGGGTCTACTGGGCTAAGCTTAGCTTTGCTCAGAGAAAAAGCATCATGCTTGTGGGGTGGGGAGTCTTTTGGGTTATGACCCATGTGCTATTTAGGAAAAACCCAGGGATAATGCCGTTTGAAGCTGGTGGCCTAGCTATATGCCTTTCCTAAGAAAGGCTCTTCACAGAGCTGGTAAGTATGCCTCTCAGCTCCAGGAAGGATGGAGGCTGGAACAGTGCAATGGGATTCTTTCACATCTGCACTGATGTCCGTACAATTTAGTCAGAGGTCAGATGTTTTAAAAGCACTAGAAATTAACCTTTAGCTTAAAAGTAAGTTTCTGTCACCCTCCGCTCCTCTCTCTATTGCTCATGGGCAAGCTGCCTAATGAACATAGCTCAGTTCCAATTGAAGCTGTACAGATACTTGGTGCAGCATGAAGTTAGCCTCTGAAGGCTTTTAGGAAGAGCTAGGAAACTGTGACAAAGGAAGGGAGATACATTTATGCCAAGACAATAATTGCATTAATGCTCTGTACTGAGGACTTCATGAATCTGGATGTGGTCAAGGCCTGGGATGTGAAGGGCATACTCTAGAATTAAGTCTTCTTTTAACGTGGCCATAACAATGACAGGTGGAGCTAAGTGCAACATCAGGGATCATTGCAGTTTGGGAAATTCTAATGCTGAGACTGTGACCTTGGCCATGCCAGAGGATCTCCGGCAGAGTTGCAACAGTGCATCAGTGCTCGTGCCAAGCAAACTTGGCTTTGAATCTGGGACCTGCCACTTACCTGCTGTGTGATCTTGTGCTAGTTACTTGGCTTCTCTGAGTCACAAAAAACATTAAACACAATGACACAGAACAGAAACTCAATGTATGGACATTGCTATCATTATTCTTAATTCGGTTCTGCAGAAGCTGAAAATCTAATCTGGAAAGAGAAATTGCTGGAGTCCCTAGGATTTGAATTTGGAAAGCTGTATGTCACCTCAGGCTTCGGTCTCCTGCCTCTGAATTCCCTTTGCTGCCTACCTCAAGGAGCTGAAAATCTGAGACTCTTATGGAGTTTGCAGTCAGAAACGAGACAATGATAGAGGCCCCAGCTGCCCAATATGGCAACTACTGTCCACATGTAGCTGTTGGGAGCTCAAAATGTGGCTGATGTAACTGAATATCTGGATTTCAAATTTCATCTCTTTTTAATTATATTTAAATTTAAAAAGTCTTACTAGGTTCAGTTATTGGAAGACCTTTAAGTATGTCTGGAACAAGTTGATATGTGAACCTCCCTTTTCAACTATGATGTTTATGAAATCAAAATACAGACCAGTTATTTTCATTGAAAACTGAGATGAGCTGTAAGTATAATACGCATGGCAGATTTGGCAGACTTACTACAAAAAAAGAAGGTAAACTATCTTGTTAATAATTTCTTTTATGTGGATTACATTGGTTACATGTTGAACTGATGACATGTTGAAATATTTTGGATATATTGGGTTAAATAAAATACATTATTAGCCAGCAATTTCATATGTGAAAAGAAATATCATGATGGGCATGTTGGCTTTTTTCCCCTTTGATGCCAATATACGTGTATACAAGTCAGTCAATAAGGTTTGTTCTAAGGGTAAAAGTGTAGATTCTAAGTTTACAAAGCTAAAGAGTATTAAAAAACATTTGCATTCTGAAATTAAATAAAACTTTAATAATGGAAAAAATAATTTCACTTTTTAAAAAATTATTTTTTACTTGATTAAGATTTTTTAAAGATACAGGATGTTGACATGTTACTCAGGTTGCTCTTGAACTCCTGGGTTCAAGCATTCCTCTTACCTCAGCCTTCCAAGTAGCTGGGACTACTGGTGCGTGTCATCATGCCCGGCTCACTTATTTCCTTTTACTTCACTTAAATGCGGCTGTTAGAAAACCTAAAATTACGTATAAGGCTTGCGTTATAGTTCTATCAGCTACTGCTGATGTAGACCACCCAGCCAGCTTTAGATCTAGACCCTAGACTGCCTCTCATCTAGGTACAAACAGTTCTGCCGGGAGTTCTGCATTGGGCTTTAGAGCTAATGCTTGAGATGAATAAAGCACGCACTTTTTCTGATTTGTTTCCTTGCCTCTGTGTATGTATTTTCCGTGAGGACCTTGTGGGAAGATGTGGATGGTGGGTATTGATGGGGTTTGGATAGCCCTGAATCTCTTTCTTAGTCAAATCCCATCTTAACATTGGCCCTTTAAAGCAAGTTGCTTTCCCTTTACTGAATGTGTTTCTATTCTTCCGTTGTCCCACCCCTCAAATACCTAGCTTGGTTAGTTTACTGACTGCAGAGACGAGGAGTTCTCCATCTTACTGGTTCAAAACATATTTCCTTCGAGCTCTAGGGAAAGCCTTCTCGTCCAAACACTTCCAGATGTGGAGAGCTAATCTTTGTTGAGTCTATGCACACCTCTTGGCCCTTTAATACACTTGAGGCTTGGCGCATTTTGATCTCAGACTTTCTGGGCTGCAGTGTCCAGAAAGGCCCTGAAAGCCCTGTTGAGGCCCTAGCACATGCCGACTCCTAGTAAAACCTGTGCAGTGAATGAGGAGGAAAGGCAACAGGTGCTGCCACAAGTCAAACAAGGAACAGATGAGCCAGCCTTGTTTCCCAAGTCTAATTTGCACATGGCTTCGTGATATTTAACCAAATGTGGGAAGAGAATAATATTTCTCCTATTTATCCCCAAGTCAGTCCTGAAACAGATTCATCAGCAAACTCATTTCCTTCTCAGGATTTTCGGTAACTGTTTCACTTGTTTATTGAAAGGGAATGACAGCCCTGATTAAGTTCACACATATTCTTTATCTAAAGAGAAAGATCCTTAGAGGTCACTAATCCAATCGCTGTGTTTCTCCGTGGGGGAACCCAATACCTGGAGGTATAACAGTGAGCCCCTTTCAGCTTGGAGGTTGTGAAATACTGTGGTAACAGTCTTCTGTTCTAGCTGGGAAGGTGGGAAATTGTGGGGATGCAGCATGTGATTTAGAAAGAGATACGAACTGGTTGGAATCTTGGTTTGACCACTTACTACCTATGTGTTTCTGACCAAGACCCCCTTCACTCTCTAAACGTCAGCTTCATCATCTGTAACTGGAATGACATAACCTACTTCCTGGGTTTGTTTGCAAGAACACAGAACCTGACATAAAGTAAGTGCTCAATCACTGGCAGCTCAATCCTCTGAGCTACCGTAATACCCAACATGTCTGTTAGTGGTTGGCTTATGGGCTAGGCTGCCTCTCATGTAGGTACAAACAGTTCTCCCGGGAGTCCTGCATTGGGCTTTAGAGGTAACACTTTAGATGAATAAAGCATGCACTTTTTCTGGCTTGTTTCCTTGCCTCTGTGTATGTATTTTCCGTGAGGACCTTGTGGGAAGGTGTGGCTGGTGGGTATTGATGGGGTTTGGATATGTGAGCTCCTGAGAAATTAGAAACCTATGAATTCCCCATATTTCTCATCATCTTTTACTTTATTTTAATAGATCATTGAAGCAAATCCTTCAGATTTTTCACTCTTTTCTAATATTCTTAGTCAGTGATGGCAGTGGAACCCCAGCTTCAATGTTATTCCTCAGGTTTTTGGGAAGAGAGGAGATGAGATAAACTTCAAGTCCTGAATTGATCAATAACTATGTTTATTCTTGCTCTGATTCTTGTCCATATCAACTTTTGACAGGAAGAAGCAGACACAACAGAGGTAATGTTTGGGTGGGACACTATTAAGCCAACCAAGTAAATGGCCTGGGATGTGGTTGTGAGTTCTTCATAGGTTTACTCAAAATTAGGGAAATTCTATACCTAATACCTTGGATCATGGCAGGAAAGATGTCGTTATCTACAATTTTAGGGCTCGCTCTGTTGAAAGCAGCATGGTTGAAAATGGAAAGCTTGATCATAAATTTAGTTTTAGATTTTTAAGCATGAAGTAATGGCCACTTGCTGAGAAAGTTTGAGGTTGTTTTTATTTTTAATGATCACCTCAGTTGAGAAGTGCCTGCATGCAGAAGATATGCAGTGTAGACAGGAGACCCGAGTTCAATTCTGGACTCTACTAGTGACTTTCTCTGTGACCTTGGAGAAATAGTGGCTGTGTATCCTATAGACATTTATCCTTTATTCTGCACCCTGTTCAGTAGTGGGGGCTTTATGCAGTCTTGCTTCTTATCACAGCTGTAAAGCTAACTAACTAGCTCGATGACACAAGGCTGGTAAATAGTGACAGGCAGGATGAGATTTGAACCCAAGCCTTCTGGTTCCTGAAGCCCATTTCCATCCCACTGTGTCATATTTCATTTGCAGAAGACAAAGTCTGGAAGGACTTAGAAAAATAATCATGGAAATTTGTGGGGTTGGGGAAGGTTTAAACGCATAAAGTCAAGATAAGTTTGGAAGTAGATGTGTATCTCGAGTCGAGAGTCAGAAAACTGCCTCAGAAGCCCATGCCCCAGAGAGCTGTGTCCATGGCTGTTTCTCACTCTTCATGTTCCCATAGGCCATTAGTGGGTTTCAGCTTCCAGCCGTGTCTGTGAGTAGCAGCAAGGGCAGCAGGCTGATGAGCCTTACACTGATAGTGTCTCTTCTCTGATTAGTATCGGCCACACTTCTTTCATTATGTATGTCCTTTCTGTTCCTTCATTCGCCAAACCTTTGGTCTCTATGTTGCAGGCACTGGACTACAGACCTGGACCACCAGTAATCCCAGACCTCTTCTGGGTTAGATAGAAGGCAGATCTGGGTACTCCATACACTGTTCTTTCCAGGCTTCAGCATTGGAAGTTTTTCCAGCTGCTGGCTTTTATCACTACCTCTAACTCTATCCCATGCCCATGTTTTGGTGTTTTGGGTTCTTTCTGTTGGTTTATTTGGTGTCTGATCTGTTGAGGCTGCTCTGATAGTTATATTCTATGGATGTGCCATTCTTCTCCACGTCTGGCTTCTCTCTTTGCCCCCATAACCAGCTGCAGGGGGCTAAAACTGAGGAGAGTGGATTGTTTCAAATTCAGGCAGTTTGTCAAAAGTGAAGACATGGCCCAGAAGGGTGACTTAAAAAACAGAGAAAACATGGAGATTATAAGGAAATGACCCACAGGAACCATTCTTATAAGGGAGAGGAGCAATGGGGATGGGCTTTTCCAAACTGGAGGTCTCAGAACTCCAAACAGACTACCTGAGATAAAGGGTATTATTTTTACTCCGAATGCCCAGGCGGGCCTATATACTAAGATTGGAAGCACTTATTAAGATAGGTAACTCCGTGTCCTTCAGTTTGGGGCCAAGGACTATGAAGGACATCTGAAAGATACATTGTGAAGAAGGAAATTAAAAGAAATCTCCTGATGACCATCTCAGACAGATATTAGCAGGTGTCTGTGTATATATGTATGTATATAATTTTATACTTTTAACATTTATACTTTTATAATTTTAAAATTATATACATATATATAATTTTTTAAAGAAAAAAGGCTGTATAGCAGTTATAAGTATGAGCTGATGAGCTATTGAATCAGATTCTATTGAAATATCACTCCTGCAACTTATTTGCTGGTTAACCTTGGGCAAATCACATAATCTCTTTGTGTCTGTAGTTCCCCATTGGTAGATGACATGGTTTGGCTGTGGCCCCACCCAAATCTCATCTTGAACTGTAGCTCCCACGTCCCCATGTGTTGTGGGGTCTTTCCTGTGCTATTCTTGTGATAGTGAATTAAGTCTCACAAGATCTGATGGTTTTATAAAGGGGAGTTCCCCTGCACAAGCTGTCTTGCAAGCCCCATGCAAGATGTCCCTCTGCTCTTCCTTCGTCTTTTGCCATGATTGTGAGGTCTCCCCAGCCATGTGGAGCTGTGAGTCCATTACACCTCTTTCCTTTATAAATTAGCCAGTCTCGGGTATGTCTTTATTAGCAGTGTGAGAACAGACTAATACAGTAGATGACAATATTAATGACACCCACCTCACAGGGTTGTGGATAGCATTGAACAAGGTGATATACATGTGCACGTCTCTCTCCCCGTCTCGCTCTCTACTTCTATCTCTGTATGTACACAATACCCAGCCCATAGTAAGTCCTGAACAAATGCTTGCTATTGCCATTATGTGATTCTGGAACTTCACTAAATTTACCATGTCTTCTATTTTTTGTCACTTCCCAACTGCATACCTTGCCTCCTTCCCTCTAAAGTGTAGCAGTAAATACCATATCATAAGAAGGGTCCTAGCCTTGTCTCTAGAGGCAGCAAGGTGGAACAATCAATGTGTCCCACTGAGGCAGGAGGATGGGGTCAAAGAAGACCAAAGCAATAGGGTGAATTTGGCGGTGGGGTGCTACCTAAAAAGGCAGTGATCCTCTGGGAGCACTGGATGGAAGAGGGGAGACATCTGGGATCCCCTCTGAGCCAGAGACAGAGTCCTGTGACACAATCATCATTCCATTCCTAACAGGATCCCTAACTGAGGCCCCTTTACACCCTGAGCAGGAAGGTCCTAATGTTTCCTCTAAAGCTTCATGCGCATTCCACAGCATTTCTAGCCTGCACCTAATTCTAGCTAATTAGAGCAGGGGAAAGAACTACCTCCTCTGAGGATCTCCATCTTGCTATGTCTGGCAGTTCACCACCATTACCCTCACTCAACATCAGTTTTATAATCTCATAATGGGTTTTTCTAAAATTCACAAGCACTTAAAGACCTCAAAACTATAAAAACCTAAGGTTCCTTTGGACACCATCGAATCTAAGAACAGAATCACAAAGAAAAATTCTTGGCTACTGTTTAATCCCTAAAAGAAGCTGTATCCAAATTTATCAACAAAATGTTTATAATCTTGAAGATGTAGTATAGTTCTTAAATAAAAGATATATAAGATAAATTTTAGTTATTTTTTCTACTTTAGTAATAGATATATCTAATTAAATACTTGAAAGTTCATTTAATTTTTAATTCAGGAAGTCATTCATGATTGAGGCAATTTAAACAACTCGGGAAAAACCTCAAACCCTGATGAAATTCCATTAGCTATGTGGATACTTTAATGGTACACTGAACTAATGTTGAATTATGATGATTCTCTGTTGAGATACCTATGCAGTCTACCAATTCCCTTTTGGGAATTCATGCTTTTAGCTTTTAATGATTGAATCAGTTGATTAGATGGATACAATACAGTTTCAAGGTTACCTTTTATAGTTCACTCCTCAGAGGAAGAACATTTGCTCCAGCCTTCCCTTGAAATTCAGTGGTCCCATAGAGCTTACGTAAGCATAGTTCCTCTTAGAACTGCCCTGTGCATTTGTGTTTTGCCACCTTCATGGCATATGATGGAGGGCGCAGAGACATCCCTTTTTGGGGGAGTGAGGCACGATTGGGAGCTGCTTCCAGTCTGTTTCTAAAATCAGGGCTATAGCAACTCCAACCATCTGTCCACCAACCATATGCGAGGTCCCGTGATCTCAGACTGAATTTTTTCATGAAGGTCACCTTTCCCTTTAACAGATAGATTCACAGGGCTGGAGGAACGTTGGCGATCACGTAGCCCATTGCCTTTATTTCACCAATGAGGAAACAGGCCCAGAGAGGGCAGATGGTTTTCCCAGTGTTTCAGAGCTAGGGAAGGACTGGAATACAGGTGCTCCATCACATGCTTTTTCTACCATGCCTTATTACCTCTGTGCTCCTAAGGACCAAAGGTAGTGCAGACTGGACCAGACCTTATGATTTGATTTTCATGTTCTAGGGGTGGAGTAGGAGAGATATAGGGTGGAAAAGGAGGGAAGTCGTTAAAAGGAAAGGTAGAGTCAGACATAGTGTCTGTCTACCCTCGAGGATCTTTTTTATAACCTTAATAGAGAAGCAGTACAGATATACTCCAAGCAATTAGGAGAACATTATAAGATAATATATAATTAGGTACTAAATTACATGGCATAGAGAATGGAGAAACCTTTATGTATTTTAAGAGCCTAGAAGTCTTTATGAAGGGGTTGGGCACATAAAGTTGCTTTGAATCTTGAAAGCATATAGTTTGTTGAACAGATGAGGGTTTCTTCTGTATGTTAGAAATAGTCTGAGATTTTGATGTGGCTCTGGAGTCATACAGCCTTGAGAAGCTTACAGAAATACTTCAAGCCTTAGCTTCCTTATCTATTAAATGGGAATAAAATACAATCATTGAGAGAAGGTTTGTCTAAACAGAAATATTCAGTTGCAGTCAGAGGAGTTAAACTGAGCTTCTCACACAAGGAACATTGGACAGGGAGACAAAGACAACATGTTTCCCTAGTATTTTCTTTACTTTAGACCCATAGGACTAGGTCCTGTTGCAGCTCACTCTTTTTTTTTTTTGAGACAGAGTCTTGCTCTGTCACCAAGGCTGGAGTGCAGTGGCTTGATCTTGACTCACTGCAAGCTCTGCCTCCCAGGTTCACGCCGTTCTCCTGCCTCAGCCTCCCAAGTAGCTGGGACTACAGGCGCCCGCCACCATGCCTGGCTATTTTTTGTCTTTTTTTTTTTGTATTTTTAGTAAAGATGGGGTTTCACCATGTTAGCCAGGATGGTCTTGATTTCCTGACCAAGTGATCCACCTGCCTCGGCCTCCCAAAGTGCTGGGATTACAGGTGTAAGCCACAGAGCCCAGCTGCAGCTCACTCTTATTTATGAAGGAAGGACCACCAAACAACAACTTACTACAGTATTTTTTTTTCCTTTTCTTTTTTCTTTTACTTTAAGTTCTGGGATACATGTGCAGAACATGCAGGTTTGTTACACAGATATACATGTACCATGATGGTTTGCTGCACCTATCAACCCGTCATCTGGGTTTTAAGCCTTGTGTACATTAGGTATTTGTCCTGATGCTCTCCCTCCTCTTTCCCTCCACTCCCGACAGGCCCCAGTGTGTGATGTTCCCCTCCCTGTGTCCATGTGTTCTCATTGTCCAACTCCCACTTACGAGTGAGATCATGCAGTATTTGGTTTTCTGTTCCTGTGTTAGTTTGCTGAGGATGATGGTTTCCAGCTTCATCCATGTCCCTATAAAGGACATGAACTCATTCTTTTTTATGGCTGCATGGTATTCCATGGTGTATATGTGCCACATTTTCTTTATCCGGTCTATCATTGATGGGCATTTGGGTTGGTTCCAAGTTTTGCTATTGACAATAGTTCTGCAATAAACATACATGTGCATGTGTCTTTATACCCAAAGGATTATAAATCATTCTACAGGCTTTTTAAATCTGAGGGTATTTAGTCTTCACCTATCCCTTCATTTACATATAGTGCTCTGTAATCTTGATATGCCTTTGATTCACTGAGGGTCCTCTAGGGGTTGGGATGAGAGGGCCATGTGACATCATTGGTGCACAATATGGAAAGAGCTCAAATCTATCTGGAAACCTTTTAGTCCTTGTGAGAAGGTATCATCTTTGTGAGAAGTGATCTTCCATCTTGTCACCTCATCAGTAACTTGTATGACCTAAATACACAAGAAAGAGGTAAGATTATGGCATGAAACCTCCAAGAAGAATATATGAAGAGCTGGTGAAATTGCTTGGTGGACTCGGCGCTTCCTCGTCTCCTGATGGCTCTTGGAATGGGATGTGAATGCGGAGATGAACTTGGAGTGAAATGTGAAGATGATGTGAGAGCACGTAAACTGGAAAAAAGAGGGTGAAACGTTACAGTGTTATTCGTATATGCATTGATAAAATATATTCTATTTAGTTCCACTTTGGTGTTTCATTGCCCACGCCCATAATGTAGGTGAACACAATGTAGATAAAAACAATTCTGAAAATTCTGACAACCAGACCAGTCTTACTCATCTTCTCATTAACTCATGGCTTCCAAAAGCCATTGGCTGCTAAAAGAAAGGAAGGCTTCTAGCAGAAGAAACACCTAGTTCTTAGGGTCGTGTGATGGATAAGTGAAATAGGAGTATAAAGTGTCTGTCATAGAGCCTGGAATACAGTAAATATATAATAAATGGATATTTATTTCCTAGACTGCAGTTCCCTGAGATGTGTGTGGTTTACTTAAAGCCAAAATGAACTACAACAACCACTAGTTTCCGTTGATAGGTTGACCCTGTCTCTGACTTCCAGCCTATGCACTGGAGAGAAAGGTCTTCCCTGAGAAAGAGACCCCACCTGGTCAACAAAAGGGTGGGGTTTGAGGGTAAGGAGAGAGTTGATGAGATCCACCCTTAGTCGTGGAACAGAAAAGCAGACCATTCACTGACAGCCACTAAGAAATGGAGTTAGAGACATAGAAACAGAGTGCATTGTAGGATTCTGGGAGCTTTGTCTCTTTTCCTTGTTAGCTTTGGTTCTTGATGTCTGTGTTTGTATCATTAACTAAAAAGTGCTGCAATAAGAAGGTCTCTTTTGCTTGTTTTCAGAAATACTATGGATGGGGATACAGCTGATATTGTTGTGGATAGTCACCTGGGGGAGAGCAGAAAGTGACAGCTGTGCAGATGACAGAAAGCAGTTAGACTCCCTGGGGTTTTTGGGAAGATAGGAGCAGAGTGTTGTACAATTGCTCCAAGGCAGGACATTATGTTAAACTTTTCTTTTTTTTTTTTTTTGAGATGGAGTCTCACTCTGTCATCCAGGCTGGAGTGCAGTGGTGCGATCTCAGCTCACTGCAAACTCTGCCTCCCAGCTTCAAGCGATTCTCCTGACTCAGCCTCCTGAGGGATTACAGGCCACTGTGCCTGGCTAATTTTTGTAGTTTTAGTAGTGATGAGGTTTCACTATGTTGGTCAGACTTGTCTCGAAACTCTGACCTCATAACCCACCCGCCTGGGCCTCCTAAAGTGCTGGGATTACAGGCGTGAGCCACCGCGCCCACCCTATGTTAAACATTTTTACTCAGAAGTTGTAAATTAATTCTCTTGTCTATATAAACATAATCATTTTAAAATTAAGATATATAATAATATAGCATCTACTGTTCAACCCAAAGCAGAAATATTTTCTCCAGAATCACTGAAAAGGAGGGTGATTATGCTTGCATGTGTTCAACAAAGAGGATTTCACCCTATTCATAGGCAACTTTTCCTATAACTGAGTTTTAAAAATAAATTATATTCCACTTATTAGAAAGCTCTTCCTTATAATTAAGCTGAAATCTGGCTTCCTCAGATTTTTTTTTCTTGGCTTGTAACTAAGGTCTACTACAGCACAATGGTTTGTCCAGACTTATAGATCTTCCATCTTGTCACCTCATCAGTAACTTGTAACTTCTAATTGCTTCTCTTCAGTCTTATTCTGAGAGAAGAGAAGGTAGGGTGGTCCTCTTTTTCTAGGCATCAACTTCCTGTCCTACCTTTCTCCCTCCTTTTTGTCAAAATAAAAGTGGGCCCTTCACCTGTTCTTGGCATGAGCATGATGTTAGCGGGATGGGGAGATCAGTCCCAGTTGGGCCTGAAAACAACTTGTGGTCATGTGGACCTCCCATCTCTAACAGCTAAGCATCTAGTACTATTATATTTTCTTATGGCGTCTCCCTCTAGGTGTTTTTAAACATATTTACATTAAAAAAATTTTTTTTTTACTTTAAGTTCTGGAATATATATGCAGAAAGTGCAAGTTTGTTACATAGGTATACATGGGCCACGGTGGTTTCCTGCACCTATCAACCTGTCATCTAGATTTTAAGCCACACACGCATTAGGTATTCATCCTAATGCTCTCCCTCCCCTTGCCCCCTACCCTCCGACAGGTCCCGGTGTGTGATGGTCCCCTCCCTGTGTCTATGTGTTCTCACTGTTCAAATTCCACTTATGGGAGTTATATTTACATTTCAAAAGCAAGTCCTGCAGGGCGCGGTGGCTCAGGCCTATAATCCCAGCATTTTAGGAGGCCAAAGTGGGTGGATCATCTGAGGTCAGGAGTTTGAGACCAGCCTGGCCAACATGGTAAAACCCCATCTCTACTAAAAATACAAAATTAGCAAGGCATGATGGCATGCACCTGTAATCCCAGCTACTCGGGAGGCTGAGGCAGGAGAATCACTTAGACCGGGAGGTGGAGGTTGCAATGAGCAGAGATTGCACCACTGCACTCCAGCCTGGGTGACAGAGTAAGGCTCTGTCAAAAAAAAAAAAAAAAAAAAAAAAAAAAAAAAAAAAGCAAGTCCTTACAAATTTGGCTGCCCTTTTAAGAAAATGCTGAAAATCTATAATTTATATTTGCATATAAATTATGTTGTACCTCTTCTCCTCCCTAGTCGAGATTTTTGGGGGCCTGCTCATACATATCCCATTAAGTCATGGAGGATTTTATTTCCCCAGACATGAGATTGAAATAGGTTGTGAAAACACTGCCTAATGATCCCTCCCGGATCTCTTGTGGATTAAGTGTCCCTCAAGTGCTGGGAAAGTTCCACAGTATCACTGAGTTCCTGCCTTGGTTCAGGCCAGATCCTACATTCTGGGCTACCCCGAAGACCAAGACCACACTGTCTTCCCTTAAAGGATTTTCAATCATTTCTTTTCCTTTGGATGAGACTATCATTAGGCAGATTGATAAAGTTATTATTACTTTCTTAAAATCTTTCTCTGATCTGAAGTAAAAAAAAAAAAAAAATAGAGTCCTGCAAAGTTTTGGTCAAAGAAATGTCTACTCCTGATTTGATTTGGGAACTGTCAGTGTTTGTGCATATGGGGCACTGAGCTCTGCACGCATCCACATCAGCCTCCTCCCTACTGACAGCAGGCCCGTCTCTCCCAGGGACACAGATATCATTATTCCTTGCAAGTGCATGGCACACTGTCAGGAGTTTGTTCTAGAAGAGCAAAAAGGCCCAGAAACAATCTTGAAGAGGAGAGAGGAGGGAAGGGATGGAGAACAAGACTCCCTGTTCTGTTGACTTGGAAACTCTTCGCTTTGGAGCAGCAGCAGATCAGCCCCCATGTCTCTTCCTAGCCTCTGTTTTGTTGTTGTCCTTTTTCATTTTTACCCTCTCTTCTCTTGTCTCCAAAGTATTGTTGTGAGATATGAGGAAAAGAGAGGACAAAAACCATCGTAGTTCATCACTATCAACAGAAAGGGAATAACTGGAGTTATTTCTTATCATCACCTCAACTGCTCTACCAATACTCATCTCTAGCCTTAAAAGAGGAGGGAGGACCTACATCATTGGTTAAGGATTTTGCCTTTTATTCTCCCTCAATGTAGAAATAACGTAGTTAAGTGTTGGCCTAGATAGACTAGCAAAGTGGTATCAAAATATAGCTGGTTTTGTGTGAGAGGAAAGATGAATTCTCCACAATTCCTGACTTCTCACATCACCAAGGAAAATCCAGAAATCACTGGAGACCTAGGAAGGCCAGGCATTCATAGTAACAGGGCACTAAATCATTAACAGCAGACAGGGGATCTCAGTATATCAATGTTAAACACAAGCTTGAGCCTCTGGCTGACCAGAAGGCCTAATGACAGGCAGGCAGCCTTCTAGACAAAGGCAGTTCAGGACGTTGGAGAGATACACTGGCAGTGAGATAGAGACTACAAATCAAAGGTTGAAGGCTATCAAGTTGCCCTTTATTTACACCCAGCCCTGGAATCTGAAGCCAACCAGTAGACTGCTGCAAAGCTCCAAATCTTTAGCAATAGCCAGACTTTACCGCTGTCACCTGTTAAAAGTGTCATGTTGGCATTTAAAGATTAGAAAATATCTAAAGTTAAAGTTAAGTATGTTTTTGCCACAGGATCCAGCAACTCCATTTCTAGAATATATTTACTCCAGATCAATGTATATAAATATATTCCAAGGAGTAGATTCTGAAATACATGCCAGATAATGCAGGTTTCTATGCAGGCCCTTCGGAAGGCAGGCACAATGTTTCCTTTGTGCTGTTTGATTTTTATAGTGGAGACTTAGAACCAACACGGGCACCTACTGTTAGAATATGGACAAGTAAAATATGGCAAGTACATATTACGGAATATTATGTAGTAGTTAGATAAAATTAACAAGATATATGTGTAACAACATAGATAGATTTTTAAAACACTGTTGAGTGAAACAAAGTTTGAAACAATGAGAGTTATAGTTGAATCTTAAGTAGACACACATGCATAAAGATCAAATATGTTAAAACGGGAGGCTGCATTGGAAATACGAAATAAGAAGAAAAGTAAAGAAAATTTAATTTTCTTTGATGGAGGTGGTTTTTATGGAGGGGCAATAGGCAAATTACCTCCATAAGATGATAAGCATCCCAAGGGCCAATGTTATGTCTGTTTCGTTTACCATTGTATCTCTAGCATCAAGTGCAGTATTGGTTTTATAGAAATATTCTAAAATAATTGTTGAATTAATTACCTTACTAATTTAAAAAAACCCCAGAGAACCAAAGAAGAAGAGGAAAAGGGGGTTACTGGAGTACTGAAATATCCAAATAGGCTATCTGCATTCCTTTGTAATCGGGGAGCAGATAGTATACGCTGTTTTAATGAGACCTTCCGTTCTCTTTGTCTGTGTGTGTGTGTATGTGCGTGTGTGTGTGTGTGTACCTATGTGTTTGTGTTTGTGTGTGTGCATGTGTAGAAGACCTGGGTGTTGGAGCAGAAGGAATTGTGTATCCCCCATCAAATGTCACGGTAATGGTCTCAGATAGAAGCAGCATGATGAAAAGTGGAAGAGACCTAGACCAGAAGTTAGTCTTGGCCTCTTCTTTCTGAGATTTGTGTTTGATATGTATGAAGGCATTAGTACTGCATCACAGACTTATTGCTGGTTTAAAATAATCTATTGCAGCTGGGCACACTGTCTATGCCTGTAATCTGAGCACTTTAGGTGGCCAAAGTGGGAGGATCGCTTGAGCCAAGGAGCTCGAGACCAGCCTGGGCCACATAGTGAAACCCTGTCTTGACAACAAATGATAATAAAAAACAATTAGCTGGGCTTGGTGGCACACACCTGTAATTCCAGCTACTCAGGAGGCTGAGGTGAGAGGATCACTTGAGGCCAGAAACTGGAGGCTGCAGTGAATCGTGATCATGCCACTGCACTTCATCCTGGATGGGAGTAAGACCCTATCTCAATAAACAACTAAATAAAAGTAAAATAAACTATTGCATATGGGCATGTTTAGACAGTTTAACTGGTTTGCCACATCTATATAAGTCATTATCATCTTGCCAAAGTAGTACAGCCTGCTGTCAGTATCAACTTCTGTACTGCTCAGATGTCAATCATTATCTTTTGCTTTCAAAGCCACTCATCTAGGTAGGGGGAACTTCATAGCAGAGCCAGGGCAGGGAGTTTTAGTAGCTATCCATGAAGAGTGCACTGTACCCATGAGAGCACTGTATTTCCCACTCTAAACACATTCCAGGCAAGGTCCTTTTTTAGATGAGTCTTCTTCCATTGGAGATCTCTAGAAGCTCATCAAATAACGTCCAGGCCCAGCTGTTGGTATTTGATGGTTTCTGTAATAGATAGTTTTTGTCTCATGTGAATCACGACAGATACCAGTTAACCACAGTCTCCTCATCAGTGGCAGAGTTGTAAAGGGCCATTCACTGGGGGAAGGAAAGTTTCTTTTTCCTGTGGGGACATAACAAATACAGCCAGGTTTAACATGGAAGAAGGGAAAAAGGGAGTGTACTTCCAAAAGCCCTTAACCTACTGTTGTTCCAAGGTATAAGGTAACCAATGAGACATTTGTATGCTATTTTTAGAAAGACATTAAATAACACAATTTTTAGTCTTTCTCACTGCAACAAATTTATCTTTGCCCCAAGAGAGTGCTGCCTCTGTCTCTCCGTGGAACTAAACTATGATCTTCCCAGAGGTGTAAGAAGTTTCTGAGAGCCCTCCTATGCCCAGGCAGTGTCCTGTTCACCATGTTGGCCAGGCAATGGGGATTTGGAGGACTACACCTAGGACAGTATTCCAAAAAAGACAAAAAAATAGTAAAAGGAAAAGGGGGTAAAATAAATAACTGTGTTTGGCGTGCTCATTCATATTTTCAATAAATATTTATTGAGTCTTTGCCATATGCCTAGCACTGTGGGTGTAGTAATGAATAAGACAGGTGTGATCTGCATTCTCATGGAACTTTCACATTGTGAGATTGTAATTCAAGGGATCCCCAACTTTTTGACCTGGCCTCAGAGGCATTCTAGCCTAGTGGTCAAGGGGGTTGGCTCTGGGGCCAGACTCTTTGGGTTCTAGTTCTGGCTGGACCTACTACTGTTGGTTTGCCTGAATTTGGACAGGTTACTGTATTGGTTAAAGGCAGTTAATTGCAATGCAAACCTCTTCCAACTTTTAGTCAAATCTGTTTTTCATCTCTTACACATGAATTGCTCATTCCAGCCGTCAGTACTTTGTACGTATTTTCCCCTACTTCTTGTCCGTTGATTTGTCTATAAGTTGCTCAAAGAGCTCAAATCTTGTGAACCCTAAGAAGTCTTCACTGATAAACCCCAGGTCATCTTAATTATTATTTACTCCCTCCTCCTCTCACCTGCATTTCTGTTCCAATAACCTTAGATTTCCACAATACCACTCTGACTTGTTCTCACTTCTGTTGTCATCTCTGGGTTCAGAGAAGACAAGTGACTAGCGGAAGATCACACAGATAATTTCTAATGTTAGAGCTGGAATCCAAATTCTAGTCTATCTGATTTCAAATTCTGTGACTTTTGCTATGCTCTCCTGACTTCTATCACATCATAGAGGAGTCTAATAAAATATACTATTTCAATCACTGACATTTTATTGAGTCTTCACTATTTTCCAGGTCCTGTATAAAATATACATAATTGCTATACATATTAATTATCATATTTTATTGTATTTTTTAGAGATGGGATTTCACCATGTTTCCCAGGCTGGTCTTGAAATCTTGAGCTCAAGTGATCCACCTGCCTCAGGCTCCCAAATTGCTGGGATTACAGGTGCAAGTCACTGTGCCCAGTATATGAAATACTAATTATATATTATATAATTATTAACATTTTAGAGGCTAATAATTATGTCTATCGTATATAATATGTATCCTACACACATGAATAATTATGTATATCATATATTATATATATACACACACACACACATATATAATTATCTCATTTACCCCTCATACAGCTTTTTTTTTTTTTTTTTTTTGGAGACAGTCTCACTCTGTTACCCAGGCTGGAGTGCAGTGGCCTGATATTGGTTCACTGCAACCTCTACCTCCTGGGTTCAAGCAATTCTCATGCCTCCCAGGTAGCTGGGATTACAGGCATGTGCCACCACACTTAGCTAGTTTTTTGTATTTTTAGTAGAGACAGAATTTCACCATGGTGGCCAGGCTGGTCTTGAACTCCTGGCCTCAAATTGACCTGCCTTTTTAGAGATGGGATTTCACCATGTTTCTCAGGCTGGTCTTGAAATCTTGAGCACAAGTGATCCACCTGCCTCAGCCTCCCAAAGTGCTGGAATTACAGGCATGAGCCTCTGGGCCCAGCCTACTCTTCATAAAGCTTTAAGAGGCAAATACTATTATTATCCCCATTTTATAGATAAGGAAACTAAGGCTTGCTGAAGTTAAGCAGGTTTTGGCCGGGTGCAGTGGCTCAGATCTGTAATCCCAGCACTCTGGGAGGCTAAGGCAGGTGGATCACAAGATCAGGAGTTCGAGACCAACTTGACCAACATGGTGAAACGCTGTCTCTACTAAAAATACAAAAATTAGCTAGGTGTGGTGGCATGCGCCTGTAATCCCAGCTACTCAGGAGGCTGAGGCAGGAGAGTCGCTTGAATCTGGGAGGCGGAGTTTACAGTAAGCCAAGATCACACCACTGAACTCCAGCCTGGGTGACAGAGCAAGACTCCGTCTCAAAAATAAAAAAGTTAAGCAGATTTCCCAAGGTCACAAAACAAAAAAGATGAAATTTGAATCTGAATCTGTGAATTTGTATCCTTTTCATTATTTGTGTTTTACTGTACTTAGTACACTGGTTGTCCAACAGTTATGCCAAAATAAGTGCTAACTGATCATTAAATTATATCTGAGTTCCTACAGCCTTTTCTTGAGCATTCTCTGTACTGATTACGTGGGCTGAAAGATCAATGGGCTTTGGCTTAGTGTGGATTTTCTGGGCTTCCTGAACTCTTCCCTGGTGTGATGTCAAGTCTTCTGATAAGTTTTCGTCTCTCCTTAGGTCTTTCAAATCCCAAGGTGGTATCAAGGGCTGCTGCCCAGATCCCAAACTCCTACCACGGCTTATGGGTGCCTGGGACAGTCCCGAAGGCCTAAGGTCTTGCTCAATCAATGGCCTTGCATTGGCCCTGAGATTCTGATTACAGTTGTTTTGCAAATAATGAGAAATTTGAAAAATATTGCTGTCCCCTAAATTGAGCCAGTCCTAACACTCACAAAATCCATAATGGTATAGATACCCAGATAGACCTTAACTGTGATTTAATAGTGCTCACTGTAATTTAGCCCCAGGGAAATGTGCTTTCAATTAACCAATGTAAGCACAATGTCTACTTATCCCATAAATGTTCTCCTAAATGTGCTAATTAAGACCTAGATCCAGTGCTTCTCATATTACACTCTCTTTCCTTTCTCCTAAATGCCTCTCTACTTCAGGATCACTTTATGCTTATCTGGAGTGTGGGCATAGTAGTCTATTGTCTGCCTCCAATTTTGCCCTATGTGCCTTAATTCATTCTCTACAGGGCTTAAATCTGTTAACAACGAAAAACAAAAAACAAAACCCCTTTAGTGACTCACCCTGTTTAACTACACTCTAACTTCTGGCCTCCTCCATATTATGGCCTCTCACCCACCCTTCCTGTCTCATCTTCTATTTTTCACTAACATCATCCAAACTCTTCTACATCCAGGTCTCTGTGCTGTTCTCTCTTTCTGAACTACTCTACCTCCATCTGTTCACCTGAAAACCCCACCTCTTCCAAAGCCTCCAAGAAAACCATTTGGTAACCAATCTGCTTGGATATGGCATACTTCCCTTTCAACTTCATGCTGATTTACCTGTTCTTTCCTAATGGAATTTAGCATATATGTCCTTTGCTCCTACTGCTGCTTGAGTCTAATAAAGAATTTGAAGCAGTAGTTTTGTGTTTATGTAATTATGTATTTGTCTTCTTCTCCCAACCAGAGTAGAAACTTCTTCACTAGGGCAACTTTATCTCTGCATCTTCACAGGGATTTGCACACAGATGCTTCATAAATGACTTTTGAATTAAACTGAGTTAGGTTGAAATGATAGGAAGTAGAAGGGAACACACTAACTATTGAGCTCTTTAAGAAGGCAAACAGAGTGGGCAGCCATTAAGTATCCCCAGTGTTCGAGAGTATTGGTCCTGCTTGAGTGAATGACCAGCTGAATTTCTTCATTCAGAGGCTTCACCCAGATCATGTTCTTTACCCCTGAATAGTTTTCCTAGTCATTCAGTACAATCCTTAAGACTTGATCAACTATCAGATGACACATTCTTAAAGCATCTTCTCATAAATAAATAACTACAACTGTCAATGATGATGCAATGGTGGTTGTGTGATAGTACTTGAATCAGGAGTCAGGCTATCTCAGTTGTAGCCTTTGAAATATCATTTAATTGCCGTAGAACTGGGGAACTGAGCCTGAGTTATTTTATTTGTGTGCCTCTGTACACAACAATAGTTAGATAACTGGAGTGCTAGCAGCATGTCGCTTTATGATCTCACACATGCTCTGGATCAGTGGTCTGCCATTCTGAATGCCCATTAAAATCACCTGGGGAGCTTTAAAAATACCAATGTCTGCCCCAACCCAACCAAATGTTATAGTCTCTGAGGTCTACCAAGCATCAGAATGTCTTTAAAGCTCCACAAGTCATTCCCAAGAGTAGCCAGAGTTGAAAACTTCTACTATAGACCAAGGCTTCTCAGATTTTAATGTGCATGCAAACCACCTGAGGATATTTCCAGTCTAATTTTGTAGGTGTAAGGAGGGGCCCAAGAATCTGCATTTCTAACAAACTCCCAGGTGATGCCAATGCTGCTAGTGCATGCACCACACTTTAAAGAATAAGATGCAATTGATTCTGTATAAGTTCCTTGAAAGAGCTGCTCTTAGAAGGAGCCATCTGACTAACTACATGCCCTAATAGGTGCCTCCAGGATTTAGGTGCTTGTCTTTCTTCAGATTCTGGGGAGCATCTAAGAGTGTCCAACTTCAGAACCTATGAAATGCTCCAGAAGCAATCAAGACAATAGATCTAAATAGAGTTACTGACAGAAGCAGATGCTTCAGAGACTAGCACAACAGGTGGGTACCCAGGAACATTGGGTGAAGGCTAGCACAAGGCTTTAATGATAAACTGGCCATCACATTTCTAACACCCAGAGTCCCACAGTTCCTAGCATTCTCCAAGACATCTAGACAATGCATTAATTAATTCAAGCAAAACTAATTGATCACCCATTGTGGCAGTCATTTATTTATTGTCTCCCAGCCCCAAACTCACCCTTCTACACTCTGATATGTAATTCTGGGGCTGGGACTCTGCAAACCACATTTATCCTTTGATTGCTCGCTCTAGGGTGACCAATTGTCCCCATTTTCCTAAGTCTGTTTCCCATTTTAGCACTGAAAGCCTTGTGCCCAGGAAACCCCTTATTCTCAGTTAATTATTCTAGCTGGCTTGCTGTTAGGTTCTGCAAATAGGTGACATTAGGGGGAGATTTAAAGGAGGGATAAGGGTCTGTCTTATTCCTGTTTTGTTTACCATTCCTGTCATTGCTACCTGAGTTAGTGGCAGGTACCACCCAGCAGCAGCAGCAGCAGCAATGGTTGGTTCCAGCCTCCAGCTCCTTTCAGCACACCAGAGCCAGCCTTGTTGCTTTGTCTCAGGGATGCCACAGCATCTGGGCAGCTCCGTGGACCTCCTCTTCTGAGCTTCTAGGTTCTGGTGATTCACCTCTGCCCTTGTTCTCCAGCCTTAGGGATAGGTTGCTATTTCCTGCATTTATCATATCTGGGTTATATCAGTGAGCATGCTGATATGCTCTTTTAGTCCTTCAACACCTGCATAAACTGTTTCTTCTATTAAATTCCTTCTGATGATTTATTTGGTGTGGTTTTCCTGACTAGTTTCTGGCTTATATATTTGTTCAGTGCAAACTACTCAGTTGGACACTAGAAATATTAAAATAAATATGACACAGCTGCAGTCCTCTAGTGGGAGGAGAGATAAGTGTCCTTATTACAGTGTGGTGGGGACATGCTGGGCAGACCACACACCAAGTGTTAGGGGAGCCCAGTGTGGGGAGTTCCCAGAATAGAGAGTCATTGAAACGTTTCTGGGGAGGGGTTTTTGAGATGAATTTCAACTGAGGCTTCAGCAAAACTGAAGAAAGGAGCAAAGACGCTTCAGGCATGGGAAACAGCTTATGCTAAGGCATGAAGGAGTGTATGTACAGCACCGTATACTCTGGGAATAACTCTGCATGTCCAGAATGAGAATTGTGAGTGGAGAAGTAGGAGATGTTCCCGCTCTCCATGGACCTTCAGTGCTGAGCTAAGATGTTTGGAATTTATCCTGAAATCTTTAAGCTGTTAATCAAAGGTTTTAGAAGGGGCTACCACTCCAAGTGGAAAATTGAGAAGGGGAGTTGACATCTACTAGTTGGGTTTTAAGTAAGCTTTTGTTCAATCCTATAGGCTAGGAATTCATGGTCCTGTGTTGTAAGAAATAGGTGATTGCTTTAAATAAAGACATGGAATATTAATTCAAATCAAGGTAGGTTATTCCTTTAGGTACCTGGACACACCACACACACACACACACACACACACAGAGCCTAGATTATCTTGTTGAAATAACATAAAATAATAGAATGGCTTCTTTTGAGGGCACATTAACAAAATTGGAGCATCTTAGTCTGTCATGAAGAAAGGAGTGGCTATTCTGATGGACAGGTATATATATTTAAAGGTTCCAGAGAGTATAAACCAGACTTTATAGCAAGTGGAGGATCCCTTAATTTTCAGGAACCTGGAGACCACCTGAACAAGAAAGTTACCTGAAAAAAAAAGACTCAACTGTGAGACACAATCCTTTTCTCAAGCTAGCTAGAATAATTAGCTGTTCTGGTTTACCTGAGACTAAGAAGTTTCCTGGGACAGGGCCCTTTCAGTGCTAACTACACTTGTGGGCAAGTTGTTGAAGATAACTAGAAATACAAAGACAATGTGACACAAAATTCTCTGGCAAGTCGGGGAAGGTGTAGACATGGACTCCAGAGGTCTCTGCCATCAGAATTGCTGGTTGTTTTGGGGAAGTGCTATGAGAGACTGAAAAGGCTAGTGGGAGGTTGAGATTACTTAAATGCACTGTTTAATTTTTTTTTTCAATAAAAGTCTAAAAGCCAGGCTTTAAGCCTAAAGTGCTGGAGGCTATTAGCCACCTGAGGCAAGGCAGTTAGGCACAGGTGTGCCAGGCTGCCAAATTACAATGAGTGCACATCCCAGGTTCAGAATATTTGAACCACTGGGCTCTGTTTGATGCTAAAATGACCCATTTTGAAACCAATAAAAGAAAATGCCACTTTACACAGTGAGAAACAGGCATTAGGAACATACTGTCCCTTTGGAAGAGTCCCCGTGGTATAAGCAACATTGACCAAGCTCCAGGGGTTATCTTCAGGGACAGAAGCCCCCAAGAGAGGGAGGCATCAGTCAGTCTGAGTGGTCGTTATGGGTATTTTGGTCATCATCACAAGAAATAATTGGGAAGATCTTGCTCTTGTGTCAAATCCCTATCAACCTCAATAGGGAAGGCACCAGGTTCAAGAGGCCGGAGAAGAGACCCAGAGCTAGCAAACGAGACACAGGGTTTTACTAGGGGCCTACATACACAGGAGAGAGTCCAGTGGTGGTGAGCTGGACAGAAGAGCCGCCTTATATACGGAGAATGTCCAGTGGTGGCAGGCTGTACAATATATCCACCTTATGTACGGTCCAGTGGCGGAGGGCTAGACAACATATCCGCCTTATGTATGGTCCAGTGGTGGCAGGCTGGACAACATATCTGCCTTATATACAGTCCAGTGGTGGTGGGCTGGACGACATAACCGCATGGCCCAGAGACAGCAGGCTGGGCAAGAAAACTGCAACCACACAAACAACATGCAGTTTATACAGCATTTTCACTTAACACCCTCCCCTTAATGACTTGCACCTGGCAACCTTCATTTAACGCAAAACTCAGGGCCTCAGTGCCCTGTACAGCCCATGTTCCATGGGATGGGATGGGGCCATGGGGATGGTGGTACTCAGATGTTTCTCATAGACAAGACATGGGTCTCCAGGTTGCCTAGATTCCCCAGCTCGGGACACACATTAAGATGCATCTACCATACAGGGTCATTCTAAGGGTATGCTTAAGGTATTCCTGTTAGGTGTGTTTATCCAACACTTGGAATGTGCTGCACTGAGGTTTAAATATAAAACTGCAAATATCCAGGAGATGGAGAGCTGTGTCAGTATTGAACCTGAGACAGGGCTGGGACGATTCAGTGGACTGGAAGTCACAGAGGTGGTCATGGTATTATGGGACCTGGCAACAAAGTTGATACATACATGAAAGTGGAGAAACAGAGAATTAGGAAGGAGGAGGTGATTGTCTTGTCCTGTCCTGGTCATACAAACAGTGACTTCAGGCCTTGCCATGATATATTTAGAGGGATATTGACAAACTGGAGCACTAGCTGAGGATGAAGATTGGACAGTGAGAGAGGCAAGCACTGGGAACATTCAGAGGAGAAGAAGGATGGCCCACGAGAACCCACTCACTATGTACTGACACGTGATGGGCTGTCTTGTGAAAGAGGAATTAGATGGGTTTGGAGAGGGCCCAGCGGGGAGAGCCAGGATGGATGAGTGGAATTCCAGGGAGACAGATTTTGATTTGATGAAAGGGAGATGTCTGTGGCAGTTAGAACTGAGCTCCCCAGCTATGGATTTGGCTGCCTTGAAGGCAGTGCCTCCAAAAAGTATTCAACAGAGAAAAACAAACGGGCCCTCAGTGTTATGCCCGTGCACATACGAATGTGATTATTATCTCACCCTGCTTTATTTTCATCATTGCACGTGCCATTTGCAATTGTTTGTTTCTGTTTCCTTATTGATTGTCTTTCTTCCGCTGGAATGTAAATCCCATGAGAACAAGGACCTTATCAGGCTTATTTGCTGCTGTGGTCCAAGAACCTACTATGGTGCCTGGCATATGGTAGGTGGTCAATGAACATTGGGTGAGAAACGGAAGGCTAAGGAAGGGACTCCATCACCGTTTGAAAGGTAGGTTTAGAAATAGCTTCTGAGACAAGAAAAAAATATCTTTCTTGAATAAAATTTCTCATGGGACCCCAATATTCAAAATCAATTAATGTGGCATTTTAATAGTGCACATTTATGTCATAAGTCTCACTGTTAACCGTTTATTTTACATATAGTAAGAAGAGTCACTGAGAATGATGAGATTGTTTTGATAAACATGATAAAACTTTTGAAATCAAGGCTACTAGAAGACTTAGAATGTAATGTATTCCTCTATTTTCTTCTGCTTACAGAGCACTGGGAAAACCCTGATTCATGCAGAGAAGTAGTTGCAAATGATATCAGTCTGCAATAGCTCATCTGGCAATCTCAGGGTAATTCTTCAATTAAACTGATGGAGAAGCTTGAAAAGAGAGTAGTTGGAAAATTGAGCTTGGAAGCCAAATCTCTCACAGTTTGTAACAGCAGGTTGTGCCTCTTATCATGCATTCAAAAGTCAGGCAAGAAGAGGCAAAGCTTACAATGAATGCCAATGCTATTTTGATGTGTGACATTATCATGACTCTGATGAGTTACACATTTGGTTATAATTGTACAACCAACCATTAAGCCTTGGGAGTCAAGCACCTTCTCCTTGCCTAACTCTTAACTGAACACGAGGCTGTGTCTCTGTGCTGTGGAACTGTCTAATTCTCCAGATATAGAGGTGTTCAGGCATAAATTTATCTTTTAAAAAATCAGCACAAAGATGCAATCTTCATAGCCAATAACTCATTTTCAATAAGCTCTGGTGTATATGTATAACTTTATTGGGAGAAGAGTCCTGAGAACTACACAAAAGTGTGCTGGTAATACAGGTTAATGTATTGGTGCTAAAATTTGGTACATGGCATATTTAAGTTGCATGTTATTCTTTTAAATGAATTTTACTAATTAAAATATATTAAAATGAAATTATAATTAAAAATTCTTGTAGGATGACCGTGGCATTTGTACTTAAATGTTACTAGAAAAAGCCCAAATTAAGGGTTCCTTGTGAACCTGAGATTCTCCAACACTGGATGGGATGGAGTCATAACCTTCAAGACATGTGGGCAGGACCATTTAGATCACGGCAAGGAGGGCAGAGTAAGATGGCCCTAATTATGGGCTTTATCATAAAATCGACTGTTGCCGGCATCCAAGTAAACAAGGACCATGACACCCAGACTCTCTGCCCCAACATTGCTGTTGTGACAAAGTGCTTCTGCCATATTGGATAGGTCAGGTGAGCATATGAAAACAGAGATGATAGTCATCTGGGAATGGAGAGTAACCGGTCTTCAAAACTTTATTTCACAGAGATGGTGGTGACTTGCATTTCTGTAAGCCAGCAAAGGAAGAAATAAATTTCCTCAACCAATTTAAAGAATAATCCAGCTGACAGATATAAACTGTCAACCTGTTATTTAGCTCTATTAGTGATTGCAAATATCAGATTATATTAGCTACCAATATTTATTGAATACTTACTATGTGCTAGATAGTCTCATAATATATTTATATAAATTTTTTTATTTTTCTAGCAATCCTGGGATTTCCATTTTTGAGTATCCCCATTTTACAGATGGGAAATAACAGATGTTAAGTAACACAGATGTTAAGTAACTTGGCTAACGCCATGTAGCCAATGTACAGTGAGGCCATGATTCAGAACCACATACTTTGACTCCAAAGCCTACATTTTTAACCACATTGAAAATATGAACAGATTATGGGGGAAGCTAGGTTCAGGAGCTGAATTGTCCAGTCATAAAGTACCTAGGGTTTTAGAAAAAAATTCCGGAGTTACAGAATTATCTAAAATTGGATAAGGTTCTGCAAGTCAAGTTAGTGCTATACTATTGATACCTAATTCTATCATTTGATTGATATCCAGTTATATTGATTGGTTCTTAATTTTTATCTTAGCCTATAGTAAGACCTTTTTCCATCTCATGGAAACGTACCTCCAAATTTATCATGTATGCCAAGGGAAAACTGATCAACTCTCCACCATTTTGTTTTACGAGTAATATTACCAGAATGCTTGTATTTCATTGAGTGAAGGGTGCACCTGTAAACGCAGCATTGAACTTGGAGGTATGCAGTGGGTGGTAAGAGAGCAGCCTTGAATGAAAGAGATAATATGGTATAGTGGGAAGAACATACATTTAGGAGGAACAGAGTGGCTCTGCAACTACATAATTGTATGACTTTAGGCTGTTCATTGAATCTCTCTAAGTCTCAATTTTCCAAGTTGAGAAATGGCGATAATGGAGTCTCATAGTCCTGCTGAGATGATGGAATAATCGTATTTTGAATACCTGCCAGATAGAGGCACCTTACCTGTTAGAACTCTTTCTCCCCACCTTCATCTTTCTCATGCAATGTATATACATGATTAGAATGACCTCATACATCCAGCATATAAAATAAAAGCAAGTGAATATCTTATCGTATATTGTGACAAGGGATTGAAAATTCTAAAGAGGTGTTTATAAATACCTGAAAAAAAAGCTTGTAAGGATGAGGCCACATTATTTCAGAGTCCCTATTGCCTCCAACCTTGCCAAAACTGCTATTAGCATTTAGCTGTTTAGCTAAAATGGGCCTTTTCTTCATTGTGGACTTCCTCTTATGACTTTCGTATTGGCGAGGGGACTTTGGAAAATTCATGCAAAGACCTACCACATAGTCGTTTTCTGAACTGCAGAATTTTGTCTAAGATTATAAAGGCCAGAAATGTCCAAAGGGAGGAGACACTGGATATAAACAAAATGAACAAGGGGAAAGTAGAAAGAGCATTTAAATGCTTCCATGTCCAGGCCCAGTGTGCACAGGCTTTCTGGACATGCTATGGCTTGGGGGCTCTTCTCCCGGGCCAGATAGGGAGCAGGTTCTGGGAGTCAGCTCCTCCCAGATTGTACCTGTGAGAGGAAATTCAGCTGACAGTAAACAACAGCCAAGGGTCCAGTGCTTGATCTTGGCTGTAATGCATGCCCCAGTCTCTATCAAAGGCCAATAGCCACTTGCTTCACCTGCCCAGTTCTGCTGGGTTTGACATGCTGAGTTATTTTCCCTTCTCAAGTTGGCCTCACTAATAGCTCTGATTGCCAAGCCCTTCATAATTGGCCTTGTTCTGTTGAATCTGATCTGCAGAGTGGGATGGGGGAGGATGCATGAGCTAGCTCTAAATTAAGCAGGTAAATTAAAGATGTGTATGATGCCACCCCACCAAAATGACTATTTTTCAGTTAGCTTAACTGGCATTTCCAATCTGACTCCTTTCAAAACTGGATGTTTGCCGTTAAACACACATGCACACCCACCCACACACAATAACACCGTCTACTTCTTTCACAGCTTATACCTGTGAGCAGCTAAGATTCTCAGTGATAACTTTTTTTTTTTTTTTTGAGACGGAGTCTTGCTCTGTCGCCCAGGCTGGAGTGCAGTGGCACGATCTCGGCTCACTGCAAGCTCTGCCTCCCGGGTTCACGCCTTTCTCCTGCCTCAGCCTCCCGACAGTGATAACGTTTTAAGTCTACGGTCTCTTCCCTGGGACATGATTCTCCAAGGCAGAGCCCAGAGGACCAGAAAACCACAATTTTCAAACCCACTGTGTCATCTCCTCTTATCCTGTACAATTCCGTCTCAGCTCCTCAGGCTCTCAGCAAGTTCTTATTCCCACCAGGAGAACTTTCCTAGCAGCAGCAGGAGGAGTCTCCAGTTCCAGCCAGGAACATCTAAACCCAGGCACCTAAAGGATTTGGAAATAGCTCCAACGACCTCTTTGCATCTTCTCTGGAAAACAGAGACTTCTGGGAGGCATCTAGTAGGGCAGAAAGAGGAGCCTTACAGGAGAAAGTTTCTAGTAGCTTCAGGCTCTACCATTGCTGTGCGTTTTGGGAAAAACCCACCTGTTTTCCTTGAGCCTTAGTTTTCTCTTCTGTCAAGTGGGGAGAGTAACACCCTGCTTTATCCACCTCACCCAGCCCTTCATCCAACTCTCTGCCATGAGGTTACCATCCAGTAAGAGTCAATCCTGGGGAACAGGCCTTGCAGACAGCCCCCATCATCAACACTTTCTCCTTATATGACCTGACACTCTATTTCCTGCCCTGTTTCTGCAATTCTCAGCAACTAATCTCCAGGCTCTCTTCCTGCTCATGGCTAGGCACACATAAACCTTTGGAATAAGGCTGACCCTGCTCGCTGGGTACAGTCACTCTTTTCCCACACTCCAGACAGGATACTACTGTGCTCTCAGCTTGCAATAGTATATGGGACACAGCTTACTCTCCCTGCTAATTCATCAGCCAACATTCCTTGAGAGTCTTCTGCATGCCAGGGTGCAAATAATTGAATGAGAGCATGCCTGTTATCAAAGATAGTCTAGAGGAAGAGGCAGATGAGCAAATGACAAGGCCCGGTGATGCACAGTAGCACAGAGGAAAGTACAGGCCAATGGGAGCCCAGTGGAGGGGAGCCTGGGAAGCCTTCAAGGAGGAAAAAAGAAGATCAAGTGTTAGGCAGGCAAGGGGCAGCAATGGGAGTGGAGAGTACAGGAAGCATCTGGGCAGGAGATGCAAATGCAAATATATGGGGAGGAAGAGGAGAACTCACTCCAGGCACTTTGGGAAGTGAATGCATTGTCTCTACTTGACAGAAGATAGCCAAGAGCTGGAAGAGGCAAAGAGATTTGCCTGGGGCCTCACAGCCAGTAGACTGCACAGAGAAGGTTAAAATCTACATCTGCTTACTTCAGAGCCTGAGCTCTTTGCATTACACGCTCTGCCTTTCCAAGTAGAGGGTGGTCAAGGCAACCAGAAGGGCAGCCCTAGATCAAAGCAGAAGGCACTGCAGCCTTTGCCAGAAATCCCATTCTACTGGAGCTAACATGGGCCCCCGAAGCAGCCACGTTTACATTTCATCCTTGCCAATAATGAACGTGCCAACTAAGGGGCAGGCAACCTAGGTTACCCAGTGGGGCATCCTTTTTTTCTCCTTACATGCTCAACCTCTTAGGTCTTATACCTCCTCTTCCTCTGCTCTCTTGAAAGTGAGCTACTGCTTGGGAGGGATAATGGCATTGCTCCTGCTCCCTTGTGAATGAGGGGTGTTGTAGCCCAAAAGCAACAGAGGACAGGCACTGAGCTGCTGGTGCCCTCCCTGCTTCAAAAGGGCCAAGCTTTAGAGGCTCTCATGCCCTTAGGGACTCATACTAATCTTTTTATCTAGTTATTTATACAACATTCTGCAGAGTTGACTTGTCTCGTGATTTTACAAAAGAGCAAAAATAACAACGTCAGCACTTCAGGTGCACAGTAATTCCTAATTCCCTGCTCCCCAAGGCATTCTAGGCAGTAGCTGGATGGTACAGATGAAGGAATGGAGAGGTACCTGGAAGGCAGGCAGGCTTCACTCCAGGGGCTGACGGTGTTACTGGACAAGGCCCTCAACACTCTGGGGTTCTGCCAGGCAAAATAGGAAAATATGGGAAGGGGAGGCAGGGATAAAAGTAGTATTTGTTAAACACATTATATGCACATATCTATTTTATCCTTACAACAGATAAACATTGTTCTGATTCTACAGCTAAGAAAAAGGAAGCTCTGAGAGGTGCTAATTCCTTTGTTAAAGTAACATACCTAGGAAGAGGCAGATCCTGCCTACTGGCTGATTTCTGTACTATTTCTGCATTTATGTTTCAGAAAATTGGCCTAATTTTTACAACTAGTTTGTGCTAAAGTCCAAAGTAGAACTTGAATCCTTCACCCTTCTATACCAGTGAATAAATGTGCTCATTAATTAGTGCACTCATGTGCAAACATATCTAGTGCTCACTCTAGGTGAGATCCTGTGCTGAGTCCCCGCCTGCTAGGAGCTTCTTGGTAAGAACTGGGATCCTGGAAGCACAGAGGGCCATGAGAACCCAGGGGAAGAGCAAGCATGAAGGACTTGCTGTCCGCTATTAGCAGACACTGGCTGGGGACTAGTGCTCTACTGCAGTCTTAACTGAGCCTCACCAGGGCCCTAAGAGGTACAGATCATTATCATTTCCATGTTGCAACTGTGGAGACTGAGGAATGAGGGGTGCTGTGTAACCTACTCAAGGTCCCATGGTTAGTAAGTGACTAAACCAGGATCCAAGCCTACGTTTCTCTGACACCCAAGTCTGTTCTCTTAAAAACCATGCTATTTCCCTCCCAGAGTCAGGGATGGCTGGGGGTCACCAGGGAGGTGATCATGGAAGCCTTACCCAGGGGGTGAGACTTGCCAGGGAGGAAGCCTTCCCCTTGAGTATGGAAGGGTGATTAAGAGTTAACCAAGTGAAGAAAGGGGAACTGCAAATATTCTGGAAGACTGCATCAGAGACTGGGCAAAAGGGAATAGCACTGTCAAAGCCTGAAGAAGCAAGCAGGACTCAGGCATGGAAAAACCTTTCATGCCATGAAAAGGAGTTTGGACTCCTGAAGGCAACAGGGAGTCAATAAGGGCTTTTTTCAAAGGAGGAAGCTGATCAGATTTGCATTTTAGGAAGCTCACTTTTGCTGCAGTGTGGATTGGATTGAGGCAAAGCTGGAAGCAGAGAAATCAGTGGATGCTGTTATAGTCCTAGGCAATTAATTACAAAAAGTAACAACAGTAGATATACAAAGTATTTTTTGAATTCTGCTATGTTAAAGGTATGTTGTTTCTTAAGAGGGGGAAACACATCCCGAAAGACATGGTTCTTGCCTTATCGAAGATTAGAGTCTAACTGTGCTTATCATTCTTCCATTACTGTTCTCTTCAGGTGCTCACAAAATCAGGGCTTATGGCCCACTGAGGTTTGGGGATCAGTTTTGAGGCCAAGAAGAATTGGAAGGGACCATGGGAGTGATGCAGGCCGACAAATGAACCTGTGCTGTATCCATTTCCTCTCCTTAAACTGCATGTTCATGAAAACTTCTGTGCAACAGTCAAAAATAAAATAAAGTAAAATAAAGATTGAAATGCTATGTCCTGGACCAAAGTATCTCGTCGCCACATATCCTATTTGCTATCATTTCCCCAACATTCAGAAAGACAGTTAATGGGTACCATTTTTCTCCATGTTTAGTTCTTCTCGCATAAATTTCCTTAAGCCTCTGGCTGCAATTACCACTTGTCTGCTAGAGCATACCAGCTGATGACAAAGGGAGCCAACAATAGCAAATAGATATTAAGGGGAGAACATGAAAACAGTTGATCTGCTTGGTTTGACAGCCTGTTGTTGAGTTTTGCTGGGGGAGGGGATTGTTCATGGTATGTTTCCTCTGGGCTATGATCTGAGAGCACACATATAATAGAGTCATATTTTCTGCAGGTAAAATCGTTGCTTGCTACTTCTGATGACAGAATGGAATCTATCTGCTGTTTCAGGTGCTATGCATTGAGCCCCAGGCATCCAGATCTGCCCTGGCCAGATGAATTTGAGTTCCCTGTTTAGGTCATTCGGTCACTTAATTTCCTGGCATTTGGGGCTTGCAGTATCTCGGTGCCATTACCTGAGTCCAGAAATGCAATCCCAGCAAAATGACTTGGACTTGGCCGTCCCAGCCCATTAACCTGGGGCAAGGTTGGAAAACTACACCCAACACCAATCAGAGCCAGAGGCTTGGACAGCCATGTGCAAGTGGACCTTGGAAAGATCCCTCATGGAAGAGTTAAGAGACTTGGTGCTAGTTTTGTTGCTACTTTGAATCTAATTTTCCTCATTTCTAAAAGGCAGAGATCCCCAAAGGGGTCAGGTAGGGGGAACAAAATGATTTCAAAGTTCTCTTCCAGTTTAAAGACTGTAGGTTTTTGGAGGAACTGCCTCCTGTCGGAAGGAACTAACAGCACTGTGGTCCCCAATTCTCAAGGAGAAGCTTTCTTAGGAGCAGCCATCCCACCAGGGGAGGGCCCTAGGCAGAGGGTCCCTAGTAGAACTCTCTCCTGTACCCTCCTGAGACCACCCAAGAGGACAGGGTTGATGTATTAAAGACCATGAGGCTGGGGGCAATGATGGGGGAGTAGCCGAGGGGTAGTCAGACTTACTGACTGACGTAAGTGCAGAAATGGCAGGGGATGTGTTGGGGAGTGTTCCAGAGTGAAAAGAAAGGAAGTTCTCTTGTCAAACTCAGTGCCTGGTTTCAAAAACAATCAAACAAACAAAAAAACAATCCACAACAGCAAAAGGGGAAAGGTCTTTCTCATTAATTCTTGCTTCCGCTTATTCTAGAAGATGCAGGAAAGGATTTGTTTAAAGGTCTGAATTAGGGTTCTCAATCTCAGCACTCTTGATACTTTGTTGTTGGGGGATGTCTTATGCCTCGTAGGATATTTAGCTCATCCCTGGCCTCTACCCTCTAGACGCCAGTAGTATCCCCAGTTGTGACAGCCAAAAATGTTTCCAAGATGTTGCCATATGTCAGTGTGTAGAGGAGCATAATCACCCATAGTTGGGAACCACTGCTGTCAATGGACAATCAGTCTTTTAGGAACCTCAGCTTGTTTATCTCCCAAATGGAATAACCCCTGTTCTGCTCAGTTCATAGAGTAATTGAAAAGAACCAAACAAATGAGAATCTTGTTGCTGTTTCCGTGACCAGGGCAAGAGTGCCTGCAACCCCCAAGGCTCAGAAGAAAGGCAAACAAGGGATCGGATGAAAGGGACCATTCCGTTCAGGCTGTACTCAGTGACTCAGGCCTGCGCTGCTTCACTTGGACTGAATAATCTTAGCTTGTCTTCTGCATGTCAGACAGAGAAGATGCTAGACAGCCAGCAGGCTGTGCAAGCACAGAGTGGGGCCCAGCATCTATCCATCATCAAGTAAGGCTGTTTTTTATTAAGGAGAACAAGGAGAGCTCATTTTCCTTCCATGAGAGCAATGAGGCCTTTTACCAAAGCAGTTCACTCCTTCTTGAATCTTTTAGATATGTGAAGCTGTGAAAATCAAAGGCACAGGATGTTTTCTTTGTGGCAGGCATGCATGAGCTAAACCTTCACCATTGGCTTCAGGATCACCTTACGTCCCCTTTCTGGTGGAGATCAGAGGTTGCTGACCACCTACTTCAGGTCCTCTCTGTGGGGTGAGATGGCAGGAGAAAAGCTGGTGCCTCTGAGCACCAATTATGTGAAGGCACTATGATGGATTTTACATGTGTAAAAGATTTTACATGATCTTAATCCACATGTAAGTCCCATCTACACTTAATAATTTTGAACTTACAGCCTAGAAACCGAAATATGACAAAGTTAAGTGACTTTTGTGACGAGTTAAGTGAGGAGTCAGCATTTGAGCTGAGGGCTGTCTGATTGCAAAGCCATCTTTCTTTCCCTACACCTTGCTACCTCTTGATAAGGACACTGTTTCTCCAAAGAAGAGAAACAATTTCCCCAAGTTCACACAGATCTTCGATGGATACTCAAAGGGGCTCACATTACAAATTGTCTTTCCCATTGGCTCAGGAGAGATTCTGAGAACTTGGAGAGGGCCGGTGAGCAAGATGGTTAAATAAATGGGCCACCACCTCCATGATGCCATTCTGTGGGGCTACTTTTTACTCCAGAATGCAGTACCAACACAAGCACTGCCTGAGAACTCCCCACCCTATTGTCATCCCTGATAGAGGAGTTCACCCTAAAGCCTTTCCCCCCCGTCATAGACAGTTAAAAAGCTATCAGCCTTTCCTCACAGTCATGTACAGTCTCACCCACACAAGTGAGTTGTGCACAATTTTGGAGACATTCTGTGACCCCAACTTAAAACACTTCTCCCACACACAAAGTTAACACTTCAGTTACCAGGTGATGATTGAGCAGAGATTCTTTTACAACCCAGAGCAGTACTAGGACTTTGTTAGACACCCTGGAGTGTATTTACATCCTAAGGAGGGAGAGGGGAGGTGGGGATGGTAGTAGAGGACCTCTGTGTAGAGATTCCTTTTAGCAAAGAGTCTCAGCCATGGGGAAGAAACTCCTGGGAGAAAGGGCTCACCCGGCCTGGCAGGGGACTGACTTTGGAGGGAACATCAACTGTGCCAGGCACAGTGCTGGGCACACATGCATTGATTCATTTCGGTTTGGCTTGGAGACAACAGGGCCAAAGGGTTCACAAAGAAACTGTGCAAGAAATCTATATCCCCATCTGTAAAGGGACAATGTGACCTGGACCGTCTCTAAGCGACAACTCCAGTTCCGTAAGGACGATCTCTAAGTGTCATCAAGATCCTGTAAGAGTCATGGGTGGCCCATTAATGATGCCAGTGGTCTTCTGCAGTTCCCTCTGAGGCAAGCTGAAGGTTCAAATGGATTTAATCGCAGCAGGAAAGACCAACGTGGGAGGATAAGAAGAAATCTCTGGCTAAGTTCTCCAAGGGCAGAACTCACCCACATTTGTATCCTGAGGGTCTAGCACCGAGCTTGGTCTAGAGTGGATGTTCATTAAACGCTGATTTGATAAGTAAGAGGGCACATGTGGAGATAAGCATATGAGTAGCCAAGAGACCCAGATTCTGATTCTGGATGTACCAACAGGTAGACGCTTAACCTTGACACCTTAAGTTCTCTAGACCTCAGTTCCTCGTCTCTAAACTTCCCTTGCAGGTCTCTACTTTATGATTCCATGAGTTTATCTCTAAAAAAGTTGATACATTTGCCCATCGAAGTTAAAAGTCTAAGATCTATGATTTGACAGCTATTCTGGCTAGAAGGGAATGAACTCAACAAAAGTCTATTCTGGTGCAATACATCTTCTAATTGCAGATTGTCCGCCCCAGTAAACGTCTATTGTTTGGGAAATGGGGTAAGGAGGAGGCACATTTCTTTGCTAGTTAATGGCCTAGCATCAACTCCAGCTGAATTTTGGAGGTAGAAGAGTGAGTCTGTGTGCTTCTGCACTGTAGGCATGCATGCATGTCAGTTTAGTGGGTGGCATGTCTACTTATAAGCTGATGTGCAGGCAGTATGCATGGGTATTGGTCATGTGTGCAGACCCTCAAGGTAAACATGTGTGGCATTTGTTGGATGTGCGTGTGATTTCTTTCTGTACCCACATATGTGTATATCCATGTGCATGTTTATGCACATGGGCATACTGTGCAGCAATGTTTCTGTGCAGTGAACATATATATTTAGTACATGTGGACATATGTGATGAATATACTTGCTTGGAACATGTGCATATTTGCATGTCTCTGCTCTGGCTATAATGGGGTCTGAGGATACTGCCCCAGGATTCCCTCAAAGTAGGGAACTGTGGGTGGGGGAAGCGGCTTCTTTACAGGAGCAAGATCTGCAGAAAGAGCAGGGTTGTTTCACATGTGTCTAAGCTGTGCCAACCTGCACATTTGGGTGAGTGGCCCCTGTGGATTGCCTTAATGATGTGTGTGCACAGCTGAGTCAGCTGGGGCTGAGACCTGGGGACCTCTGTCACACAAGTTGCCAGCTCCCATTTGTCATCTGCCCTGGGATGAACTTTCCTTGTGGGATTGTCCTTCCCTGTGGGTGGTGTGTGTTAGCTTGTGGTTATTAGTGTTTAAAAAAACACGTGCTGTCTCCAGAGCTCAGGGGGACTCTCTCTCCAGTTTCCTCTGGTTGCCAGGCATGAGCAAAAGTAGGAGGAACCTCTGACCCAGGCTCCTGCTAGGGGCCAACTGAGTTAGAAAATTAGACAGGCAGAGAATGCTTTCCTTCTGAGATGGGGGCAGGGGATGGAAGGGCATGCCGGCAGCAGAAAGTGTGGCCAAAGGAGAGGTCTTTAGAGGTTACCAATTGTGCAGGCCAAGTTGCTGGGGGAAGGTGAATGAGCTGACACACGAGGGAGATGATGGGAAGCTGTGAGCTGCTCCTGCAAAAGTGACCATAACTGGATCTGTGCTGCAGCAGGAAAGAGCTGGAACTAGCCAACTCCAGACTGGAGACCCTGCTCTGCCCCCTCAACTGGGTCTGTGAGTTGAAGCAGTGCCTTGTGGTGGGGAAAGTGGGCTTTGGTCACACAGAGTTGGACGCAATTCTTGGTTCTGCCACTGAATAGCTGTGTGATTACAGACAGGTGACTTTGCTTTCCCCAAGTCCCACATAAATTCAGGTATAGTAATATTATAAACCCCATATGGTTGTTTTTAGGATGAAATTAATTCATTCTGCAAAATGACTATAATTTTACACAGTTAAGAGGATAATTCTTTGGTGGAGAAGTCCCTAGATGCATTATTCACTGGCAAACTATAGATAGATGGAGTGAAAAATCTCATGTGTATCCACCTAGGGGCTTGACTGGACTGAGATGATGATGCTGATGATGGGGATGATGATGGTGATGACGATGGGGATGATAATGATGATGGGGGCAGGTTGAGGGTGGTGCTATGTGTTTCCTGATGCATTCTGAGGATTGTGCTCCCTTTTCTGTTGCCTGACCTAAGGGAAGAGATGAAAGATTGGGATGATCCCCACATCTCTTGGACATAACTCAGAATGGCCAACTCTACCAACTTCTCATGAGACAGGAGTAGCCAAACTGTGGCTCAGATAATAGCTGATTCATTTTGCACAATCCAACCCAATAGTTGTTGATGCTGGTGCTATGCCTGGATATTAAGAGATTAAAAAATGATAAGGTCCTTACTCCTGAGAAGCTCACAATTTAAAAGGAGAAAAGAAAAGGAGCAAGGAAGAAGGGGGAGAGAGAAAGGGAGGGAGAAGGAGGAAGAGAGAAAAAAGTAAGCAATGAACTATATGCATTACATTATGATACCACAATAGAAGAGTGTACACAAGGCACTGTACACAGAGAGGTCAGGAACAGGGACTCTGACATCTGACTGGCCTACCTCTTACCAGCTGGGTGGCTTGGAGCAAGTTAATTAATCTTTCTGTCTCTTAGTTTTATCATCTGTACAATAGGAAAAAGCATCAATATCAATTTCATGAGGTCATTGTGAGACTTTAAAAATGTAGAAAGCATTTAGAACAGTGACTGACATACAAATAACTTACAGTGTTTGTTGTTACAGTAAAAGTTGTATGGTAGCAGTAGCAGTGCTAGTGGTGGTGGCTGTAGCAGCAGTATCAGTAGTAACAGTAGTACTAGTAATGAGGGTGGTAGTAGTAGTAATAGTCTTATCAGTAGTAGTGGTGGTGGTGGCAGTAGTAATAGTGTTGTCAGTAGTAGTGGTGGTGGTGGTAGTAGTAGTGGTAGTAGTGGCAGTAGCAGCATCAGTAGAAGTGGTGGTGCTGTTGGCTGTAGTATCCTAACAGGAAGCAGCTCAGAGGAAGCAGGAATTGTTTCTACACCGAGGGTTAGGATAAGCTAGACACAGAGGGTGTGCTCTTTGAGTTGTGCCAGAGGAATGGTGAGTGTGAGTTGGTGTGTTGAACAAGGAGGCTAGAGCATTCATTCCTAGCAGAGGTCATAGCACTAACAAAGTCCTAGAGGCCTGAGAGACCGCGACAGGTAGTTCAGGGACCTGTAAGCAGTCATGATGCTTACAGATGGGGGTGTATGGGACAGGGGTAGCTAGAAGGTGAGGCTGAAACGGTGGCCAGGGGCCGGGTCTGAAAGGCTGTGGGTGACCTACTGAGGAGTGTGGGCTTGTCTTGTAGTCACGGAGGAGCCATCCTGGGCTTTATTTGGAGTGTGGCACCCAAGGGGACCCCACCTAAGGAGGATAGATGGAGCTTGCTTTCAGCGGCCAAGAGCTCAGGCATACTGGGGGATTAAGGAGGGTGTGCATTGCTCTCTGCTGTTCTCAGTTGCTCCTTGGCAGCCCTAAAATTGAAGGGTCTTACCCTAACCCCACGCTCACTCCAGCCAAACCAACTCTAGTTCCCCATGCCCTCGGCCCCTTTCTGCTGCTGGTCAACCAGTGCTGTCCCAGACATGACGTATCTTGACTAGAACTCTAAACCCCAAAGGTCAAAATTCCCTAAGAGTAGAATTAAAAGTCAGGGTGTAGGAATAGCTCTCAATGTCACAGAATATAATTTACAGAAGGGGAAACTGAGAAGGAGAAGAGCAGGTGAAAGGCAAGGTGAGAGATGATGGGACTCCAGGACCAGAGAGGAGAACATTCTGCCCTGCCTTTTCCTCTGTCACAGGTTCCATCCCCAATTCAGCCAGTCAACCTCAACACCTAGACCCCTTTCCGCTCAGGATGAAGGGAAGAGAAGAAGAAAAAACAAAAGGAAGTGAGAAGTCTAGGCTCAGAGGCCTCTGGGGCCACTGGTGAGACTCAGATGGACCTTTAATGTCATTAAATCCGAACTCTTATTTTGCAGATGCAAACGTCAAAGCTCAGAGAGGGGCATGAACTGTTCGAGGCGCTGAGGTATCATCTTAAGAGAGGAGTCAACAGGATTAGGTCAGTTGGTGAATCCAGGACAGAGCTGGGATTCAAACTGACAATAATCTATCCTCTGTGATATCCAACATATCTCCTTCAGACCTTCTATTTTGTAGATCCAGAAACTTCCCTTCATGGAAGAAAAGTAACTAATTCACAATTACAGAGTAAATCAGGGGAAAAGCTACAAATATCTGGGATTCTGATTCCTGAACAGGACATGGACCAAGACCTATAATGAGCAGACGCCTGTTCACAGTCAGCATCTTCCACAGCAAACCTCTGTCCAGCTCCTCAGGCTTGCAGCCTGGGTTCTAAGTGGGAGGTCAAGAGGACCTCAGGTAACACCTTGCAGTGAGTTCTTCTGGGAGAACTCTGAGCTCTAGTCATCCACAGAATTCTCACAGGCAGGTGGAGACTCTCCTCTGTCTCTCCCTAGGGCCATCTTCCACTCTGGGCCAGTTGTTCACCCCAGCCTCTACCCTGTTTCTGCCTCGTCCTTAGGTCACCTACCCAGAGGTAGGCACTGGGCCACAGCCTTTGCATATGTTAATTTATGCAGCCAACCTGTGAGGGAGGTAAAACAAACCTCACTCTATAGCCAGAGAAGCACAGCGAGTAATGCCTGAATTTCCAACTCCCATGATACCAAAGCCCTCTCTCTATACTCCCCAGTGTGGCTGCCCTGCAGGGTCCAGCCTGGTGGCTGCAGAGAAATGGCTAATGAAGGGCTCTGTGCTGCCAGTCCGGGAGCGATTCCCTCTGTGCTCTCAACTACAGAAATGAATTTTGTTTAGTTCAAAGACCTCATTAACGCTGGGGTTAGCGGGAGCAGCTTCACAGCTGATTCATCTTCAGGAATCAAAGACAGCCTGAGTCCCTGTGAGCAGTCAGGAGCCGCCAGCGGGACATCTCTGCTGCTCTGTCTCACCTCCCAGGTACTACTGATAGCCTGCAGCCAAAGCGAGAGGCCTCAGGTGCCTTTCCCAGAGGACTGGATCATGGGAGAGCAGAGCTCTGCACCTGAGACCTTTGGGTGTCCTCTGGGAATCTCCAGGGACAACCCATATGCATCGATCTCACCCAGGTTCTCCCTTCTAGACAGGTTGTTGAAGGTAGTGCAACCATTGAACCATGCCAGACACAAGGAGGCAGATGTGTACTGTGGTTGTAGGGAGACCTAGTTTTGTCACTAACTGTGTGTGTGGCCCTTGAGTCCCTACTCAGCCACATGAGTGGATTGACTCAGAAATTCCTCAAGGTCCCTTCAAGATTTGATATTGACATGGCCCAGACTGTCCAGGAACAGAAACTGCCATTGAAAAGATAAACCATATTCATTCATGTAGTCAATATCTGCTGAGTATGTACTACATGCCATTCATTATGTCAAGTGCTAGGGCTGTTTAAGACCAACTGTGTCCACACACATAAATCTCAATAATTTAAAGCAGCATGAAATAAGAAGCAAACTAGCTATAAAAATAATAGTGTTGGGTTATGTGACTTCTACCTCAATACCATAAATAATGATAGTGAATAACATGTCCAAGTTCAAAAAGATATGAAGGGATTCTCCAGGCTAGAAGCTATAGCCTCAATTCCTAGTTCTATAGCACAATAAAATTGATTCCAATATCAACTGCTTAGTAGGCATTCAACAAAGATTTGTTGAAAGAACCAGGAAAAGAAAGGAGGAAATGAGGAAAAGGGGGGAGGAACAAAGGAAGAAAGTTCATTAAAGAGAGGCAGGCAATATTACCGTCCATCTGTTACAAGAAAGAAACCCAAGCTCAATCAGAGATTAAGCAGCTTGTCCAGTATCACACTGGGAGCAACTGACAGAACTTATGTGTAGAGTGAGATCCCTGTTGGCTGGGGCTGCAGGGAAGATCTCCTGAAGGCAGAGTGAGTGGAGAAGGTATTGACTGGAATTCAACAAAAGCGCTGGAGCTGGCAGTGAAAGAGGCCATGGTGACATGGGCAGGGGATGGGTTTACTTATTTTATTTGGTTATTGTTTTGAGACAGGGTCTGCCACCCAAGCTAGAGTGCAGTGGTGTGATCATGGCTCACTGCATGCAGTCTTGAACTCCTGGGCTCAAGCTATCCTCCCATCTCAGCCTCCCAAGTAGCTGGGAATACAGGTGCATGTGCTACCACACCTAGCTAATTTAAAACAAAATTGTAGAAACGGGGCCTCACTGTTGCCCAGGCTGGTCTTGAACTTCTGTGTTCAAGCAGTCCTTCTGCCTTGAATCTCAAAGTGCTGGGATTACAGGCATGAGACACCACACCGAGCAGCCTTTTTTATATGCCATATATTTCTCACATAGCATCAGAAGAACTTGGGGACAGCAGCTTGGGGTAGTGTCATCTGAATCTTGGCTCTGTCACCCACCAGATGGGTGGCTCTGAGGAAGGCTAAGCCATGATTTCCTCATTTTTAACATGGAGATTATGGTGCCTACATTCTAGATTTTTGTAAGAATAAAATGAGATAAGGCAGGCATAATACCAGGCATAATTCTTGCTCAATAAATGGGAGGCCTTCACCTTCTTCCCTCCAGGTAGAAAGGAAGGGGAAGAGAAGGGCAGGCTGCCTAGAATTCTTAAGATGGGGGTATAAAGTCAAGCAAAATAAGCATTACCTTCCTTTCTGGGTCTGATCCTCTCTCTAGTGGTGGAGTCAGTGACCATCTATGCAGTCAGATTCAAGGGACTACTGTCCTTTCCTCCTGGGGGCCAGAGAGCCTACCCAGAAATGGGAATGAAGTGCTGGAATTATTAAGAAGCCTGAGTGGAACAATAACTTTTCTGGTCATTTCTTTCCAATGGTTGACTTTTCCATGCTTTACACAACATGGGAGTTGCTTGCTTCTCCCTAAGAAGTCAGACTATAGGCTGAGTAATTCCTCAAGTAAAAAAGATTGGCAGCTAGGACCAGAATCATATGGCATAATTATGTAGCTGAGCCTTCCAGGACTTCTCACTATGCCTAGGTTTTTATTTAGTTTTGTTTCCATAGCATGAATTGATTCTTTCACAGATATATTTTTGCTGCCATTATGAAGCTCAAAGTTAAATAGTCTATCAGTCATGTATGCAGATACATACCTGCTGAGGTAGACACCAGTTGACCATTCATTCTGTGAGCAGAAATGATTGTGTACCAAAGACATCCCACACACTGTGCTAGACGCTGGAGGTACAATGTTGAGCAATTAAGGCATGATCTCTGTCTTTAGCAGCCTTGGTCACTGAGGATCTAGCACCCACACTGTGTACTAAAGTGGGAGTAAAAATTTGCACTGTCCTTTTGGAAAGAATTCAGTACATATCTGTCAATATGTATCCAGAGTCTGAAAACTATTCTTTTTTAACAACAATAATTCTTGAAAAGAAAGTCACCTGAGATATTAAATAGAAGGAAAAAACCCCGTGTGTAACAGGTGGGTATTTCTTACATTAGTCTTATTAGCAGAATATTAAAAACAATCTCAATGTTCAATAATAAAGGAGCATATGCTTTATGGGAAAGCAGGTAGTTATTAAAAGCCAGTATAAGGAATTTCGAATAACGTAGAAAATATTTAAGGTACAATATTAAATGAAAAACGCAGAGTTCAAAATTGTTTATACAGTAATATCACAGCTATGGAATAATGCTTTTTTTCACATTTATACAGTACTTTTCAGCTTTCAGAGCAGTTTCAAATACATTCCTTAATTTTGAAATTCATGGCAACCCTTTAATAGAAGCAGACCAAAGGCTATTATTCCCATTCTAAACATGAGAAGACTGAGGCTTGCTGAGGTTTACGCATCTAATAACTAAGAATTTCATTTGTGTTAGAAGTATAGAGAGTATGAGAGAATTGTATCAGAGCTTTATGTAATGCATTAAATTTTCTTTATGTCTGACACCAGCTCAGGAACTTTGAACAGCCTACCTCTTTTCTTCCCATCCTTTCTGCCTCTGAGAGGAAGGTGAAAAGGCTATCACTGATTGAATTAAAGTAATAATTTTCCACAATTGTTTTGGTTTGCTTTCCACTACTGCTTAAGTGTATAGGAAAGTTCTGTGTGCCTTTATCCAAGTACCTCTATGGTCAGACATGATGTCTTGCTACAATAGATGCAATATCCCTGCACAGAAAACTTCACTGACAATTCCCGCTTACTCAGTTTCAAGCAATGGCAAAAGCAACTGGGAGCAGGTGGGAGACCGTGGCAAATACAAAGTGGTATTTAACTCCCTGTGCATACCAGCATGCCTCCACCTTTCTGGTCCCTCCTGCATCAAGCAGCCCCTTAAGCTTGATGCTTGAGCTGCACCACGATACTGTCTGCTCTCTGAACAAACTTCACAGGTCACACCTTTTACCAGTGTTCAAGGTTTTCCTTCACCCAGTATACTGTTCCTGTATTCTCTGCCTTGCAAGAGCAAGAGGCCCCATCCTTCAATGTCCAGCTAACATGCAGCCTCTTCGGTAGCTGAGTCAGACTCGCCATCCTCTGAGTTTTCCAAACATTTTGCAAAACCTTCTTTTAATATTTGTAACACACTGTAATCAGATTTAGTTACGTTTCAAGACTGAATGTTCAGGACCAGAGAATAGACAGTTGCATTTAGTCCTCACAAAATCATCGTAGATATAGAGTATTTATTTACTTCATTTTTCATATTTGCTTGGAATTTATGTCCCTGTTTTTCTTTTTGAAATTTTATTTTAATTGACACATAATAATTATATATATTTATAGGGTATAGATGTGATACATGTATACCACATGCAATGATCAAATCAGGGTAATCAGCAAGATACAGATTTTTAAAATCCTAATCTTATAGATGAGAAAATGGGTGCAAGTAGGTATTCCAGGTAAAATAGCTAGTCAATGGCAGCAGTATCCATATTTGAACTCACATCTACTTATGTGTCTGCAGCTCTTCCCATAATATCCAACCAGGTCTTCCATGACTGGGCTAATGAGTGAAGTGGTGAATGAGTCAAAGATGTTCCTTGAGTTTCCCTCCCCATGCACCCATACACACCTCTTCTTTTGACAAAGGTTGTCACAACTCAGAGAAGATGCCATAATGGCCAGCCTTCTAGTTCACTGGACAGTCAGGGAATGCAATTTACTAAATAGAGAGGGCAGATGGTCAGTTTCTTGACCAGCGGTTGAAGACTTGGTGAAGACCAGTGGTTCACCAAGCAGCATGAAGACTGCCCCCAGCTCTCAGAGCAGGGGAGGGAGGCTATCTCAGATGACTCACATGACATCACTGCAGCTCTTCCCCTTCCAGCTTAACCCAAACTTCCTGCATCTTTCTCCCTGAGCAAAGAGCCCTAGAGTGTTCAGGAGCGCAAGTGGCACCTGAACAGCCCAGGACTGGTCCTCTGACCTCAAGGGAGCCAGCTTATAGCTAAGTCAATCAGATGATCTGTCTTGAATATCTGTGCTTAGAGAAATAGAGCAGTTGGAAGAAGAAAGGCCACATAGCTTGCAGCAGTAGCCTGGCCATTCTGGGCCACGTGGCTGAGAAGCCCTGATGGAGAGAAGACTTTATCAGGTGGCTCCTAAAAGGGATGGAATGAGTAGCTCAGCCGCAGTTCACATAGAACTCTGGTATGATTCCTGCTTTTGAATCCATATGATGCTTTTAGCCCTAGAATGGGTTGCTTGTGGGTGTCTTACTAGGTTTATGTTTCTTGCAATGGAGAAATCCCTGAACTAAAACACTGGGGAGCACTGGACAGAAAAGCTAAGGTTGGGAATGACATGGCCAAACAACTGTCAGCAGACTCTGGAAGCATTAAGCAGAACTTGTCTCCCACCTCAGTGGAAATGGACTCAGCATCAACTTTGGAGCCTGCAACAACTGTCTGCTAGGGTCCATTCTCTCATGATTGCTAAAACCACAAAGGACTTGCAAGATAATCCGGGCCACCATCTTTTTAAATTATCCTATAGTCAGGAACTTATTTCCTGCTCAGTTCTCTGTCAGTCCATCTGGTATTGTCTAAGGAGAAATTCTCAAAGTGGTATTAATATGCTTCCGACAATCTCTAAACATTAGCTGATTTTTCTTTTTAATAAAGAAAGAACAAATCTTGGGCACAGAGCCTTGGCAGACAACAAAAATCTAGCTATAAGTTAATCATATTTTTTATTATGCTCACTTTTACATTTACAGTTACCTCTTTTTTTGTTTTTTTTTTTTTTGTTTTTGAGATGGAGTTTCGCTCTTATTGTGCAGGCTAGAGTGCAATGGTGTGGTCTTGGCTCACTGCAACCTCCACCTCCCAGGTTCAAGCGATTCTCCTACCTTAGCCTACTGAGTAGCTGGGATTACAGGCAAGCACTATTATGCCCTGCTAATTTTGTATTTTTAGTAGAGACTGAGTTTTTCCATGTTGGTCAGGGTGGTCTCGAATTCCTGACCTCAGGTGATCTGCTCCCTTCGGCCCCCCACCCAAAGTGCTGGGATTATAGGCGTGAGCCACCCCGCCTGGCCAGTTACCTTCTTTTTATGGTGAATGATAATATTTTACCATTTATGTGGTGATTTAAAGTTTCCACTATACACATATTTATGGGGAAAAAAAGTCAATTTAAAGAAAAATGTCGTATAAATAATAGCGTAGGAAGCATGCAGATATAGAACAAATCATGAAAGTGTGGAAATTACCTAACATGTGGGAAATGCTAGTTAAGCCCAGCCACCTATTTGGCAGGTGAAACAGGGGCCCCGATAGGGCAGGTAGTTAGCCAGAGACCACCCAACCAGTTCCTCTCACTCTCTTCAGCCACACATGGCCCTTTAAGAACTCTTTCTACATTTATTTTGTGATGTCAGGTATTAAAGAAAATAGCTAACCAAAGAGTTCTTTTAATGGTAAAGGGGACAGGGGCTGGGGATGAAGGTGGAGGGGAGACTGTTCTGAATTTCCCAGCAGCGAACAGGTACCCTATGCACTGTGTGGAGTCAGCAGGGTGGCAGGTGCCTTGGTGGTGTCACTGGCTACTCATTGGCTAAGCAGAGCTCAGGGAGAAACAGATCATTGGAAGCTTACAATGCAGAGGCATAGTCATGGCCTACAAAACAGAGCATTAATAAAGATCACAAAGATACACCTAAGAGAGGAAAATGAGCCTTTCTGTCTCTGTAAATAAATCCATGGCTTGCAAACAAAAACATGCCAGGAAAACCAACTGCAAATGCACTCCTAGTAAAGGAGACCAGATGTCCGTGGAATCATTTTAATTAAATTGTGAGTCAATTGTAAACCAGAGGGTGGGGGGTTGAGGGGAGTGGAATTTTGCTTTCTAAGACTGCCAGATGCAAAGTCCAATTTTCAGGATAATGTATCCAGGGTGGAGGAGCCTTTCCAACATTTAATTACATATTGCCTAGCAACTGAAGAGATGAACAGGAATGGAGTCAGGGGACCTGGGGTGATCCATTAGGATGTTGATGCCCCAGGTTGCAGGACACACATCAACACCAGGCGATGGTCAGTGTGTTGATATGGTTCGTCCCCAGGAGCCATGAGATGGTTCCAATTATGTGAATTGTAAGCCACATTTTGTTCCATTTCCATTGGGCGGATCAACCCAGTAACCTGGCAGAATTACGACCCTGTTTCCTTCCTTTTTCACAAGAGAAGCATCTTTTCTTTCTGTATAAAGTAATAGATGTTGTTAAAAATTCAACAGTACAGACATGCATAAGGCAGCAAGTGAAAATGTACCTGCCAGGTACAGCCACTATTAACATCTTGGAGCATATATTTCCAGAATTTTCCAGTCATAAGCTAATCTCCCTTGTTCTAACCTAAATGAGATATTACTGTACATATTATTTCATAATCTGCTTTCTTTCCTCTAATCTATGGTGGATGCTCTTTCTAAAAAACGTTTGTTTTTTGATAGCATTGGGAGATATACCTAATGCTAGATGACACATTAGTGGGTGCAGTGCACCAGCATGGCACATGTATACATATGTAACTAACCTGCACAATGTGCACATGTACCCTAAAACTTAGAGTATAATAAAAAAAAAATAAAAAAAAAAAACAAAAAAAAAAACGTTTTTTTATTGAACTATGTCAAACATATGGAAAAGTGCACAGATAATGGAACCAACATGGAGAATAATATATAGACTTTTACCAGCTCCCTACCACCAAGACATACTTTCTATTACTTCTTCCTAATCACTATTTTCTTCCTTCTCTTCAAAGGTAACTATTCTCTTGATGTCAAATAAATTAATTTTGCCTAACTTTGAACTTCACATATAATGAATCATACACTGTATTTTGTTTTGTCTGATTTCTTTGCTCAACATTTTGTGAAATCCAATTGTGCATTTTTATGTAGTCATAGTTCATTTTTATTTTTATAGTTTTGCATTGTATGGTTACATAATAATTGATTTATCCATTCCAATGTTGATGAACTTTTAGGTTGTCTACAGTTTTGAGCCATTACAAATAGATTTTTATGCATTCATTTTGGTACACTTACAAGACACACTTCTTAGTTATATACCTAGGAGTGAAATTGCCACTTTTCTGTACCAATTTACACCCCAACATCAGTTTTTGAAAGTTCTCAAATTTGTCCTTTTTAATGTCTGTATTATGTCAAATTCATCGTGTGCTGAATTATATTCCATTGTATGGATATCTTCATAGTTTTCTATTGATGAAAATTTTGATTGTTTTCAACCCCCCACATATTTTTTTTTGAAAAAACAATGCTTCCATAAATATCCTTGTACATTTATCTCTGAGCACTTATGTGATTATTCCTTAGGATGAATTCCTAGGAGTGAAATTCTGAGAGTCAAAGAGTATATGTATTTAAAATGTTCATACTTCCAGGTTTCTTAAGTTAATTTTATTCAACTCTCTGATTCTTTCATCTGTGTTTGACTCTCATCTTTCTGGTTGCTGCCTTGAACACACTCCAGGTACCAATCGTCCCATAAAATGTAGGATCCCTGACTGATCTCTATATGTCAGGCAACCTTGAATGGATTGAGTGAGGAAGTGGGGTCCAGAGATGCCATAGACCTACAGATGGAGATCACAGTTCACAAAATCTCCTCCAGGGCCTAAGAAGAAGCCAGTCTCTGAAATGTGCTTCTTGGATTTTGTCTGAACATCTCACTAGCCTAAAGCAGAAGACCCTAGACTTAAAGAAGCTCATTCATTCATTTGGATCCCAATGATTTCTGAATTGTGGTCCCTTGGACACATCAGTCATGCAGGAAAAAAAGAATATGTAATGTGAATGCAGATGTTCAGACACTAATTGAGGGCCATGTGCCAGCTACTGCTGCAGACGTTGATTATCCAACCACAGTTGGAATCTGGGAAACAGAGACTTAAGGCAGAAGTTCTGCAATGGAGATATGGCATGGTATATATGTGTAGAGGAGGGAACAAACACTTTCAAAAGTATCAGAAAGAGCTTCATAGAAAATTTTTTAGATTTTCTGCTATATCTGCTATATCTAAAAAATATTTTTAGATTTTCAGGCTGGCTGAAGTTTCCCCAGTTTAAAAGTAGGATATGAATATTATCAACAACTCCTCTTTCCTGATCCCCTGTAATGCACCAGGATCTTCACGGTAATGATTTATTTATCTCTAGAATTTTCACAATAACTAGATATATTTATTATTCTTCCCTGTTTCTCAGATGAAGAATGTAAGGCTCAAAGAGAATAAAATGAACTTACCAAGGTTGCACAGCTAGTCCAGGAAGAGTAAGATTAACAATCATCTCCATCCAATTCCAAAGACTGGGCCCTTTTGCCAACCACAAGACATTTTAACAAAAGGCAAAGCAAAAGTTCAATTAAGGAGGCTATGAGGGTTATCACAGATGCAGGCAAGGGGACACAAGGGAAAGACTGCCTGTCTCCTTCAGGGGGCTGAGGTTCTACTGGGGAGATTTCTCTCCTTGGGTAAATGCAGCAGTGTTTTGGAGCCCCACGAAGAGGCCTGGTTTCAGCTGCTCTGGCAACTGCTTGAGGGCTTCTGCTGTCACAGGTAGAAGACACAGGGGTTCTTTTTCTGGGATCATGTCTATATCTTTACCTTATCAAGGCAGACAGGAAAGTGCAAAAAGAAATGTGAATGCCCCAGTCACACCAGAGATACAGCACTGCTGTCACCCTCTGAAAGCTAAGCAGGGACATGGGGTTTAGGGACCACGATGTCAGTGGCTTCTTCCCAAGATGATGCATGCAAGTGGCAAAATTCAGACTTGAATTCACATCTCCTGGTTCATAATTTCTGTGTGAGAAGGTTTTTCTGCAGTAAGTCATTGAAGCCATTTGATCTTAGCAAGAGCTAGGAACATTTTTTTTTCTCTCTGAGCATTAGAAATCATAAATGTATATACTAATCAAATCTCAGCTATAATTTATTTATGTGCCCAAAAACTATTTATGGCAGGGTCAACAAATGTATGTGTGTGTGTGTATGTGTGTGTGTGTGTGTGTGTGTGAAGGAAGAGATAATAAATATTTCAGACTTACAAGTTATACAATCTCTGTAGTAACTATTCAACTCTGCCACTGTGGGATGAAAACAGCTATAGATAGTATGTAAAACAATGGGTATGCCTGTGTTCCAATGAAACTTTATTTACAAAAATAAATGACATGAAACAACTAGATAGCCATAAGCACAAGAATGAAGTCAGACCCCTACCTCACACCATTTGCAAAAGTTTTAATGCAAAATGGATCATAGATTTAAAATGTAACAGCTAAAAATATAAAACTATTAGAAAAAAATATAGGCATAAATCTCTGAGCCCTTGGGTTAGAGAATGTTTTCTTAGATATGGCACTACAAGTACAAGGAACAAAAGAAAAAATAGATTGGACTTCATTAAAATTAAAACTTTTGTGCCCAAAGGGCACCATCAAGAAAGAGAAAAGAAAACCCACAGAATGGGAGAAAACTTTTGTAAATCACGTACCTAATCAAGTACTTGTATCCCAAATATATAAGGAACTCTTACAGATCAACAATAAAAATAAATAAATAAAAATGTACAAAGGGGCCAGGCATTGTGGCTCATACCTGTAATCCCACCACTTTGGGAGGCCAAGATGGGAGGATCACTTGAAGCCAGGAGTTTAAGACCAGCCAGGGAAACATAGTAAGACCTTGTCTCTACTAAAAATTAAAAAACTTAGCCTGGCATGATGGTGCATGCCTGTAGTCCCAGCTAACTGGGAGGCTGAGGTTGGAGGATCACTTGAGCCCAGGAGTTCAAAGCTGCAGTGAGCTGTTATCTCAGCACTGCATTCCACCCTGGGCAACAGAGTGAGACTCTGTCTCAAAAGAGAAAACAAAACAAAGCAAAACAAAGGATATGAATAGATAATCCTCCAAGGAAGATATACGAATGGCAAATAAGCACACGAAGTGACGCTCACTATCATTAGCTATCAGTAAAATGCACATTGAAACCCACAATGAAAATGCCATTTCACAACCTCTAGAATAGCTATAATTAAAAAAAAACAAAGAATATTAATTGTTGGCAAAGATGTGGGGAAATTGGAACCCTCATACACTGCTGGTGGGAACGTAAAATGGCACAAGTGTTTAGAAAATCAACCTGGCAGTTCCTCAAAACTGACCCAGCAAGTCCGCTTTTAGGTATATACTCAAGAGAAATAAAAACACATGCCTACATAAAACTTGTACCTGAATGTTCATAGTACCATTATTTATAATAGTCAAAAAGTAGAAACAATCTAAATGTCCATCAGCTGATGAATGAATAAATTAAATGTGGTATACCTACATGGTGGAATATTATTCATTCATAAAAAAGAATGAAGTATAGATACATGCTGCAATATGGATGCACTTCTAAAACATCAGCTAAGTAAAAGAACAAAGTTAGAAAAGACCACATATGTTATGATTCCATTTATATAAAATATTGGGATTAGGCAAATCTGTAGAGGCCAATGGAAATTAATGGTTGCCTATGGCTAAGAGTGAGAAGTGAGAGAAAACTGGGCAGTGACTGCTAATAAATTCCTTTTTTGGGATAATAAAAATATCCTAAAATTGATTGTGATAATAGTTGCACAACTCTGTGTTTATACTAAAAGCCATTGCACTGTGCACTTTAAATGAGTGAATTATGTGTAATGTGAATTATATCTCAATAAAAGTGTTACACTGAAAAACAAACAAAACACCAGATGGCAGGCTGTATTTGGCCCAATGGCTGTAGTTTGCCAGCCCCTGATTTACAGGATGTCAGGTATAGTACTAGACACAGGGAGCATAGCAGAAAAAATGAAATGCATCTCTTGCTCTGATGGAGCATAGTCTAGTGATAAAGACAGTTGCCAAACACAGAATCATATCTAATTGATACCACATTAGAAACCGTAATAGATGCTTCAGATAAAAAATTCAGCCGAGAGAGGAATGGACCAAGTCAAGCAAAGCCTTGTGGGCTGTGATGAGAAATTCTGTTTTTTTTTTTTTTTTTTTTTTTTTTTTGTCTAAGCACTTCATCAAAGGCTCTCTGTGGTTGCTGTTTGGAGAATGGGTTTGGGAGAGAGAAAGAACGAACACAGAAAGACCAGCAAGAAGCAGCCAGAGATCCCTTGATAAAGTGCTTAGACAAAAATAATAATAATAAATTTAAAAACTAGAATTCCTCATCACAGCCCACAACACTTTGCTTGACTTGGTCCATTCCTCTCTCAGCTGACAGGCATTTAGAGGGTAGGACAAAAGGTCATGGTGGTGGGTTGAATTTGGTGAGGGTACGGGAGGAAGAATTCAGGGTGCCACCCCAGTTTTCTAGCTTAAGCAGGTGAGCAGAGGAAAGTACAATTTTCGGAATCTACTTGTTGGGATGAGTGGGTGGGTGTGGGGAGAAAAGTCTCAGGCCAGAGCCTCTTAGAAATAGGGAAAGGGAGCTATTCACTAATCAATTCTCATATATTTGAGGTTCACCTGAAAGGTCTAAGTGTTGACAACTCTTAGAACAGATCTTCTCCATCTGTGCAATTGCAATAATAAACTTACCTTGTTAGATGATTACAAGGGTTAAATTAATTAATATTGGGAAAACTTTTAGAACAATGCCTGACATATGTAGGCTTAATATAAGTGCTAAACATAATAAACTCTGATGGCTGCTTCAGTAGGAAGGCAGGAGCTAGAGAGATAAGACCTTTGCCTTGCAAACTGTCCTGAATGCGCTTTGCTTGTGCCCACCCCACCCCCTGAGATGCTGGCATGAAGCTGGGCATCTTGGCTTCAGCCAAATCAGAGTGGGTTTTCCTTTTGTGCAAGATGTGAGATGCCATGATCAAGCACAGAGTGACTGTCCCCTCCTCCTCTCCCTTCCTCCTGCATGGGCACTGAGCATCCAGCTATAGGCTCTCCCGGATAGATGCCAGATTCCTTCTAGTTCCTGTGCCCTAGGAGGATGGAGGAGTTCAGAAGCTGAATGAGGCTGGGGCACTCAGAGAGGGTGGACATCACAGGGCGGAGGGAGAATCAGACTGCAGCAAGTTAACACCTTGAAGTCATTAAAAGCCCTCTACAAATGGAAAGTATTTTGGGCAGCACTTGAAGAAATAACACACATAAAGCTAACTACCTGCGGCAAGGCAGCAGAGGCACTGCCACACCCTCCAGCTTCTCTCCACAGTGTCAACCCCACCTCCTTCTCCCTGCTCATCTTCACTTTCTGACTTTCCCAGTTTCCAGGATGGACAATGAGTGGAGAAGGTCCTGGCGGGCAGGGAGCGGCTAGGAAGGAAGGAGGGGTGTGTGTGATGCTTTTCTCCAAGCATATACCCTTGTCTTGCTCAGGATCTGGAGAGAGGACCCTCCCACCCTCTCCATTCTAGTCTAAAGGTGTCTTCTCTCAGGGCAGCCTCCTTAGTAAGGTGGGGACCTTTGTGTCCTCAGAGTCCTCAGAAGGGGACTTTGCCACCTGAATTACGGGAGGAGGAGGGATGACAGCTACCGGAAAGAGGGAGGCTGATGAATTATGTATGGCTGGAGGTGATAGTAAACAGTCTCTGGATGATGAGCTGGCGGCAGACAGGCAGCACTGGGCGCTGAGTCATGGCAAAGGGGGTAATTAGTCTGTCAGCTGTACACACCTCTGGGTGGGGTGAGGTTTTGGGCTGAGTCACACTCTGCAGAGGGAGAGAGAGAGAGCTTGGACCTCAGAAAAACAAGGAGGGGGCTCATGTTCTTGATGAGCCATGCTGTTCTTGAGATCCCTCTCTCCTCCCACTTGCAGGCTCAGGCCCCTCCGCCACCCTACCCTAGAGTCACCATCCCATCTCCCTTGCAAGTGACTCGCCTGGACCAGCCAGATATCAGCCAGGAGGGCATTAGGACTTCCCTCCCCTCAGCAGAGAGGGGGTGTAAATAGTCTTCTGTTGCTTCCTGTGTTTGAGGTCCCCCTTTAAGCCCAGCCTGAGAATCTTGGAGCTGAGCCTGAAGCAAGGAGTGGGGATGACAGACCTTACGCCACAGAACATCGGGCCACAGAAGCCCAAGATAGAGGGAAGCCAAGACCCTACACACAGCCTGAACCAAGTGTCAGTCTGAGGGGTCAGGCAGGAAGATGAGCAAAGAGATGGAGACACCAAGATGGATAGATGGATTGGCTCAATCATTCAGTCATTCAACCCGTATGTGGTTTCTGAGGACTGTTATGAGCCAGGTATTCCTTCAGATTCTAGTGATACAGAGCTCGACAAGAGAGCTCAGACACCTATTCTCATGGAACTGTTAGAGTCAGCAGATATTATTAGCTAGACCTGAGCAGCAGGGGCAGCCCTTGAGAAAAGGGAGGTCTGGAGAATCTCACACCCCAGAGATCACCTGAAACCTGCAAGCTAGGTATGAGCAGAGGAGGGGAAATACCTATGCTGGAAGGAACACCCCTTAAGACCCCCAGTAATCGCTCACCCAGCAGTTCACCTGTCAGTTTGTCGCTAGCTACATGCTGATAAGGAGGAGACGAGGGCAAAGGAGAAATTCCTTAGAGATACAGAGGCACATTAAGTATGGATCTGACCACTATACAACCTTCCTGGGTGGCGGTAATGAGCAATGCAGCCATAAGGCAGCACTGGTAACCAATACCTGGCCCACGCATGGGCACCAGCAAATAGTAAAGGAGGGTTCCACAAGCCTGGGGTGGGAACTAGGCAAGGGGAAAGGTGGGGACTGAAGGCAGAAGCAGGAAAACTAGACCAAGAAAAAGGCAGAGACTTAAGACAGAGACAAGAACTTCAAGAAAAAATCTGACATCATAAAAACCCAACGCAGAACTCCTGGGCTGTTGCCGGCCCATTCTCCTTCATCAGCCCACTCTGCCTCATCTTTCAGAGTGTACTATCTCTCTAAATAAACTCTTTGCTCTCCATTTTCCTTCAATACATTCTTTTTTTGGCTAAACTGTCTCTTGGTCAAAATCTTTCTCCCAAGACGACAAAGATAAGGATTATCCCCCTTCCCAGTAACAGAACAGTATGATGAGGAGACAGACAAATTACACGTAAGCCATGAACACACAAACTGACTTCAGAGAGTGATAAGTGCTTAGCAGGAACTAGAATGGGTGATTGACTGGAGGAAAGCCTACTTAAGCTACAGTGGTCTGGCTCATGCTGAGTAGTGAGTCAGGACAAAGGCCAAGACCTTCTGCTTTGTGGTGGGGATTCCTCTCTCTATGTCCTTGACAGGCATTGTGGTGTAGAGAAAAAGTCAGAAGGATTTGGGATCATTCTTGAGGCCATCACTTACTACTGTGTGACCTTGTATAGGTTTCTTTACCTCTCTGAGCCTCAAAATCCTTATCTGTAAAAATTGGGTAATAATATAGATTTCAGTCTTATAAAGAATTGTTGTAAAGATTAAAACGGGGTAATACCATGTACAAAAGCACCCAATGCAAACTTTCAAAACTCAGGCAGAAGTAGGATTCAAGCCCATGCCTGTCTAACCTTGTGCATAGTTCATCCCACCCCCAGGTACTAGTGATACCTCCAGAGAGAATGAGAATCATGCCCGACCGTTTTGGTGCCTAGAAGCAGATGCCTCAAGCTCCCCTCTTTGTGAGAGAATAGTCTATGGCCCCAACTCCCTTCCACTGGTCTTACCTCTGGCACTTAGGAGGAAGGGGCTGAAACCTATGTCATAGCCAGGCAGCTGGGGCTTCCTGCCTGGAACCAGTTCTTTCAGGCTGAATTCTGCTTTTAGTCTTTCTCATCTCAGAAGACTTTGAGCTAATGGCCTGGAGCCTGGGTTTTAGCCCCACGTCTTCGGGCTTGGCCTCTCCTAGGTTCTAATATTAATCAAATTGCACTACTCAACTTCACCCTTTCTCCTAGGATTCGGTAGAAGTGACCATCTAGCGATGCCCTGGTGAAAAGAGAGAATGTTGCCTCTGTCACAGCTGGCTGGGCCCCCTTGGCTCCAAGAACTCCTTAGAATGTCTATTTTACCCTTCTTGGAGCTGACCATACGAGCAGAAGGGATGAAAGGACTTTAGACCTCTGCTTCAACTAGGGCTGCCGGATAAAATACAGGACATCAACTAAATTTTAATTCTAGATAAGCAATAAATATTTTTAGTATAAGTATGTCCCAAATATTGAATGGGGTATACTTATATTAACAATTATTTGTTATTTATCTGAAATTCAAATTTAACTGGGTGTTCTGTATTTTCATTTGCTAAACCAAGCAACCTTAGTCTGAAGCCAACCATTCTTCCTGCCGTGTCCTCTTGACCTCGAGCCCCAGTTCTGATAATGGCTTAACCTCGTCTGGAACTGGGCCTTGCCCCCAGATCAGAAAGATGCAACTTTGTTCCCCTGCCACTGAGCTGCTAGATGGTAACCCCTTTCTTCATACCCCAAACATCCTGACTTCCTCTTTCTATCACCGTCCTACTGGCATCCCCACCCTCCTTTGCTGGCCTCATGCCAATCTCTGCTGGCCAGTGCTTCTCAATAGTTCCTGTTCCACAGTTCTCCATCACTTTGTTCCACTGCCTGAAGTTACCTCTGGTGGGAGTCTCCTGTTGCTGATCACCACATGCTTTTTGAGTATCTTTTTCTAACCATGTGGCTGGCTGATTACCGGGGACCACACCTATGACCAGTCTTGCCCCTCCTTCCCAGCAGTATTCCTGTCCTGATAAAATTAACTGCCCTCCCCCATCTTGTCCCATGACAAGCTCCAGTGACAAAGCTCCAAGGCAGCTAGTTTTTAAGCTCCAAGAGGGCAGGGATCATGCATTTGAGCCAATATCTACTGGAGCTATTCACCTGGAGAGCCAAAGGGAGTCCAGGAATGCGGGAATAATGCAGGGATTGGAATGTCAGTGCTGTGGGGAGTTGATGATTTCCCATGGAGTGGAAAAAAGTGGGCTCAATCACTTAACAGTACCAGTCCATAGTATATGCTCAGTTAATATTTGCTGAATAAATGGAAATAGAATAGGAAACTGAGGCTAACACATAATTGGACTCATTATTGTTAAAAATAGAAGTCCCCCTGATGGATGAGCAGAGTTTTCCAGAATACTGCTGGCCAATTTCACCCAGATCGCCATCCCAGCATCCTCTTGCTGCAAATGCTTTTTATAACAACACATTATAAACTATGTAGTTGCTTTGGCAAAAGTGGCTCAAAGTGAGAGAACTCTCAAAAGACAGAGACAGCTGAAAATGAAAACAGAAGGTTTTTAGGCCACTGCCCCTCCCAGCAGAATCCTCGGTCATATATGGGATTTTGTGTCTCCTTTACTTAACAGCCACTCAGTCCCCAAAGCCCCATTTCAGAGACTTTGGGGAGCCAAGTTCACCTCTGAACTTCTGGGCTAGTCATTTTCTTGCTCCTCTCCTTAAATCTTTTTCCTGACCTGCCCTCCCCAACTTCTATCTGTGCACTAAGAAGATGCTTAATGAATATGGCAGAATAAAAACTCTTGGCTGTCTCATTTCACTCAAGCCAAAGTGCTTGACCCACAGGAAAATGCTTAACTGGATGGATTTTTTTTTTTTAAAGAACAATCTCCTTGAAAGGGTAAAGGACCTAAGAGTGAGTGCTATAATCCCAGCTTTTGTAATACCACTCAATGGAGGTCTCTGAATTCCAGTAAAGAGCAGTGAAATTTTATTATCACAAAAAAGGAGAAAAATGTTTCAATTAGAAAAAGATTCTCAATTGTGCTACTTTAAAAGAAAATAACTTCATATCAAACATATTTAAAATAAAAAAATAAAAATGGGTCTAAACGAGTAGAGGAGCATATTATTCAAAGTACTTGGGATCGAGATTCAAAGGACTTTGGTTCAAGTTCCTGTGCTGGCACTTACTGGCTCTGTTATCTTTGTTTCTTTGTACCTCTGCATTTTCATCTGTAAAACGGGACTACGGTTATGGCCTTCTGTAACACCATAGGGACACAGTGAGAATGAAATGAAACAGGAAAGGTTAACTCATTTCACTCCTTGAGAAGTTATGCGAAGAGAAGAGGAGTCTTAGTGTCACCCACATGGAATTGCCCACCTTGGAAGACTCTCCAGACCTTGTTACTGTGGGTGCCTAGGATACCTGGTCACTTGGTGCATGATGTGGTTACAAAACAAGACTTCGAAGATCCCTTTGAAACCACAATATCTACGATTGAGCAAATGTTTTAAAAATAACTCTAACAAAACAAACTTGAGTAATTTATATTTTTGAGCTCCTTTTCTACTAACCATTTACCAGGGACCACCACTTGATTGTACTATCTCCATTTAATCTGTCCAACAACTCTGTGAGGAGTATAATTACTGTCCTCATTTTATAAATAAGGAAAATAAATCACATAAAAGTTAAGAAGCCTCCCTCACCCACACAGAGCTCAGAGTCCAGCAGTCATCTAGAATTTGAACCAAGTCTGCTTCTCATGCTCAGTTGGATGGAAAGGAAGTAGAGCAAGTCCAGTCCAGCCTCACAAGTGGACTGTGGTATCTAAAGGACAGATGATATCCATGGGCTTCTGCAGAACTGATTCTACTGATTCTCCATGCATCCAGCTGAGAACTTCAGCTTCCCTCGAAATGTTCCTGTCACCCAGGAACCCGTGCATTACGGATGGAATCTGAGTTTGGCACGCGTTCAGGTTACTTTTGCTTTCCTGAGCCTGGGAGCAGAGCTCTCTGTTATTTCTAAGCTCACAAAAGTCCAGGAATGTGTGCTTTGCCACAGCAAACACCAAAGTGTCTAAACAATTACAATAGGTAATAGAAAGCTACTAGTGAGGCCAAGGCCTCACATTTCTTAATTATTTTCTTTTTTTCTCCACAGTATGATATGCTGCATGTGCTGAATAAAAGTCTGATGAGGTGGTGGAGCCAAGATGGCCGAATAGGAGCTCCAGTCTACAGCTCCCAGCGTGAGCAACGCAGAAGATGGGTGATTTCTGCATTTCCAACTGAGGTACCGGGTTCATCTCACTGGGGAGTGTCGGACAGTGGGTGCAGGACAGTGGGTGCAGCACACCGAGCATGAGCCAAAGCAGGGCAAGGCATCGCCTCGCCCGGGAAGCTCAAGGGGTCAGGGAATTCCCTTTCCTAGTCAAAGAACAGGGTGACAGACGGCAACTGGAAAATTGGGTCACTCCCACCCTAGTACTGTGCTTTTCCAACGGTCTTAGCAAATGGCACACCAGGAGATTATAACCCATTCCTGGCTCGGAGGGTCCTACGCCCATGCAGCCTCGCTCATTGCTAGCACAGCAGTCTGAGATCAAACTGGTGAGGCTGGGGGAGGGGCACCCGCCATTGCCCAGGCTTGAGTAGGTAAACAAAACAGCCGGGAAGCTCGAACTGGGTGGAGCCCACTGCAGCTCAAGGAGGCCTGCCTGCCTCTGTAGACTCCACCTCTGGGGGCAGGGCACAGCCAAACAAAAGGCAGCAGAAACCTCTGCAGACTTAAATGTCCCTGTATGACAGCTTTGAAGAGAGTAGTGGTTCTCCCAGCACACAGCTGGAGATCTGAGAACAGACAGACTGCCTCCTCAAGTGGGTTCCTGACCCCCGAGTAGCCTAACTGGGAGGCACCCCCCAGTAGGGGCAGACTGACACCTCACACAGCTGGGTACTCCTCTGAGACAAAACTTCCAGAGGAACGATCAAGCAGCAACATTTGCTGTTCAACAATATCCGCTGTTCTGCAGCCTCCGCTGCTGATACCCAGGCAAACAGGGTCTGGAGTGGACCTCCAGCGAACTCCAACAGACCTGCAGCTGAGGTTCCTGACTGTTAGAAGGAAAACTAACAAACAGAAAGGACAGCCACACCAAAACCCCATCTGTACGTCACCATCATCAAAGACCAAAGGTAGATAAAACCACAAAGATGGGGAAAAAACAGAGCAGAAAAACTGAAAATTATAAAAATCAGAGCGCCTCTCCTCCTCCAAAGGAACACACCTCCTCACCAGCAACAGAACAAAGCTGGATGGAGAATGACTTTGACAAGTTGAGAGAAGAAGGCTTCAGATGATCAAACTACTCTGAGCTAAAGGAGGAAGTTCGAACCCATAGCAAACAAGTTAAAAACCTTGAAAAAAATTAGACAAATGGCTAACTGGAATAACTAATGCAGATAAGTCCTTAAAAGACCTGATGGAGCTGAAAACCATGGCACGAGAACTATGTGACAAATGCACAAGCCTCAATAGCCGATTCGATCAACTGGAAGAAAGGAGATCAGTGATGGAAGATCAAATGAATGAAATGAAGCAAGAAGAGAAGTTTAGAGAAAAAAGAATAAAAAGAAATGAACGAAGCCTCCAAGAAATATGGCACTATGTGAAAAGACCAAATCTATGTCTGACTGGTGTACCTGAAAGTGATGGGGAGAATGGAACCAAGTTGGAAAACACTCTGCAGGATATTATCCAGGAGCACTTCCCCAATCTAGCAAGGCAGGCCTACATTCACATTCAGGAAATACAGAGAATGCCACAAAGATACTCCTCGAGAAGAGCAACTCCAAGACACATAATTGTCAGATTCACCAAAGTTGAAATGAAGGAAAAAATGTTAAGGGCAGCCAGAGAGAAAGGTCGGGTTACCCACAAGGGGAAGCCCATCAGACTAACAGCTGATCTCTTGGCAGAAACTCTACAAGCCAGAAGAGAGTGGGGGCCAATATTCAACATTCTTAAAGAAAAGAATTTTCAACCCAGAATTTCATATCCAGCCAAGCTAAGCTTCATAAGTGAAGGAGAAATAAAATACTTTACAGACAAGCAAATGCTGAGAGATTTTGTCACCACCAGGCCTGCCCTAAAAGAGCTCCTGAAGGAAGCACTAAACATGGAAAGGAACAACCGGTACCAGCCACTGCAAAAACATGCCAAACTGTAAAGACTACTGAGGCTAGGAAGAAACTGCATCAACTAACGAGCAAAATAACCAGCTAACATCATGATGACAGGATCAAATTCACACATAACAATATTAACCTTAAATGTAAATGGGCTAAATGCTCCAATTAAAAGACACAGACTGGCAAATTGGATAAAAAGTCAAGACCCATCAGTGTGCTCTATTCAGAAGACCCATTTCACGTGCAGAGACACACATAGGCTCAAAATAAAGGGATGGAGGAAGATCTTCCAAACAAATGGAAAACAAAAGGCAGGTGTTGCAATCCTAGTCACTGATAAAACAGACTTTAAATCAACAAAGATCAAAAGAGACAAAGAAGGCCATTACATAATGGTAAAGGGATCAATGCAACAAGAAGAGCTAACTATCCTAAATATATATGCACCCAATACAGGAGCACCCAGATTCATGAAGCAAGTCCTTAGAGACCTACAAAGAGACTTAGACTCCCACACAATAATAATGGGAGACTTTAACACCCCAATGTCAACATTAGACACATCAACGAGACAGAAAGTTAACAAGGATATCCAGGAATTGAATTCAGCTCCGCACCAAGCGGACCTTGTAGACATCTACAGAACTCTCCACCCAAAATCAACAGAATATACATTGTTTTCAGCACCACACCACACCTATTCCAAAACTGACCACATAGTTGGAAGTAAAGCTCTCCTCAGAAAATGTAAAACAACAGAAATTGTAACAAACTGTCTCTCAGACCACAGTGCAATCAAACTAGAACTCAGGATTAAGAAACTCACTCAAAACTGCTCAACTACATGGAAACTGAACAACCTGCTCCTGAATGACTACTGGGTACATAACGAAATGAAGGCAGAAATAAAGATGTTCTTTGAAACCAATGAGAACAAAGACACAACATACCAGAATCTCTGGGACACATTTAAAGCAGTGTGTAGAGGGAAATTTATAGAACTAAATGCCCACAAGAGAAAGCAGGAAAGATCAAAAATTGACATCCTAACATCACAATTAAAAGAACTAGAGAAGCAAGAGCAAACACATTAAAAAACTAGCAGAAGGCAAGAAATAACTAAGATCAGAGCAGAACTGAAGGAAATAGAGACACAAAAAACCCTTCAAAAAATCAATGAATCCAGGAGCTGGTTTTTTTGAAAAGATCAACAAAATTGATAGAACACTAGCAAGACTAATAAAGAAGAAAAGAGAGAAGAATCAAATAGGTACAATAAAAAATAATAAAGGGGATATCACCACTGATCCCGCAGAAATATAAACTACCATCAGAGAATACTATAAACACCTCTATGCAAATAAACTAGAAAATCTAGAAGAAATGGATAAATTCCTCAACACATACACCCTCCCAAGACTAAACCAGGAAGAAGTTGAATCTCTGAATAGACCAATAACAGGCTCTGAAATTGAGGGAATAATTAATAGCTTACCAACCAAAAAAAGTCCAGGACCATATGGATTCACAGCCGAATTCTACCAGAGGTACAAGGAGGAGCTGGTACCATTCCTTCTGAAACTACTATTCTGATCAATAGAAAAAGAGGGAATCCTCCCTAACTCATTTTATGAGGCCAGCATCATCCTGATACCAAAGCCTGGCAGAGATACAACAAAAAAAGAGAATTTTAGACCAATATCCCTGATGAACATCGATGCAAAAATCCTCAATAAAATACTGGCAAACCGAATCCAGCAGCACATCAAAAAGCTTATCCACCATGATCAAGTGGGCTTCATCCCTGGGATGCAAGGCTGGTTCAACATATGCAAATCAATAAACGTAATCCAGCATATAAACAGAACCAACGACAAAAACCACATGATTATCTCAATAGATGCAGAAAAGGCCTTTGACAAAATTCAACAGCCCTTCATGCTAAAAACTCTCAATAAATTAAGTATTGATAGGACGTATCTCTAAATAATAAGAGCTATCTATGATAAACCCACAACCAATATCATACTGAATGGGCAAAAACTGGAAGCATTCCCTTTGAAAACTGGCAGAAGACAGGAATGCCCTCTCTCACCACTCCTATTCAACATAGGGTTGGAAGTCCTGGCCAGGGCAATCAGGCAGGAGAAGGAAATAAAGGGTATTCAATTAGGAAAAGAGGTAGTCAAATTGTCCCTGTTTGCAGATGACATGATTGTATATCTAGAAAACCCCATCGTCTCAGCCCAAAATCTCCTTAAACTGATAGGCAACTTCAGCAAAGTCTCAGGATACAAAATCAATGTGCAAAAATCACAAGCATTCTTATACACCAATAACAGACAAACAGAGAGCCAAATCATGAGTGAACTCCCACTCACAATTGCTTCAAAGAGAACAAAATAACTAGGAATCCAACTTACAAGGGATGTGAAGGACCTCTTCAAGGAGAACTACAAACCACTGCTCAATGAAATAAAAGAGGATACAAACAAATGGAAGAACATTCCATGCTCATGGGTAGGAAGAATCAATATCGTGAAAATGGCCATACTGCCCAAGGTAATTTATAGATTCAATGCCATCCCCATCAAGCTCAATGACTTTCTTCACAGAATTGGAAAAAACTACTTTAAAGTTCATATGGAACCAAAAAAAAGCCCTCATTGCCAAGTCAATCCTAGGCCAAAAGAACAAAGCTGGAGGCATCACGCTACCTGACTTCAAACTATACTGCAAGGCTACAGTAACCAACACAGCAAGGTACTGGTACCAAAACAGAGATATAGACCAATGGAACAGAACAGAGCCCTCAGAAATAATACCCCACATCTACAACCATCTGATCTTTGACAAACCTGACAAAAACAAGAAATGGGGAAAGGATTCCGTATTTAATAAATGGTGCTGGGAAAACTGGCTAGCCATATGTAGAAAGCTGAAACTGGATCCCTTCCTTACACCTTATGCAAAAATTAATTCAAGATGGATTAAAGACTTAAATGTTAGACCTAAAACCATAAAAACCCTAGAAGAAAACCTAGGCATTACCATTCGGGACATAGGCATGGGCAAGGACTTCATGTCTAAAACACCAAAAGCAATGGCAATAAAAGCCAAAATTGACAAATGGGATCTAATTAAACTAAAGAGCTTCTGCACAGCAAAAGAAACTATCATCAGAGTGAGCAGGCAGCCTACAGAATGGGGGAAAATTTTTGCAATCTACTCATCTGACAAAGGGCTAATATCCAGAATCTACAAAGAACTCAAACAAATTTACAAGAAAAAAACAAACAACCCCATCAAAAAGTGGGCGAAGGATATGAACAGACACTTCTCAAAAGAAGACATTTATGCAGCCAACAGACACATGAAAAAATGCTCATCACCACTGGCCATCAGAGAAATGCAAATCAAAACCCCAATGAGATACCATCTCACACCAGTTAGAATGGCGATCATTAAAAAGTCAGGAAACAACAGGTGCTGGAGAGGATGTGGAGAAATAGGAACTTTTACACTGTTGGTGGGACTGTAAACTAGTTCAACCATTGTGGAAGACAGTGTGGTGATTCCTCAGGGATCTAGAACTAGAAATACCATTTGACCCAGCCATCCCGTTACTGGGTATATACCCAAAGGATTATAAATCATGCTGCTATAAAGACACATGCACACGTATGTTTATTGCGGTACTATTCACAATAGCAAAGACTTGGAACCAAGCCAAATGTCCAACAATGATAGACTAGATTAAGAAAATGTGGCACATATACACCATGGAATACTATGCAGCCATGAAAAATGATGAGTTCATGTCCTTTGTAGGGACATGGATGAAGCTGGAAACCATCATTCTCAGCAAACTATTGCAAGGACAAAAAATGAAACACCACATGTTCTCACTCATAGGTGGGAACTGAACAATGAGAACACATGGACACAGGAAGGGGAACATGTTGTGGGGTGGGAGGAGAGGGGAGGGATAGCATTAGGAGATATACCTAATGCTGAATGACGAGTTAATGGGTGCAGCACACCAAGATGGCACATGTATACATATGTAACAAACCTGCACGTTGTGCACATGTACCCTAAAACTTAAAGTATAATAATAATATTAATAAAAAAAGTCTGATGAATGAATGAATGAATGAATACAAAACAGCCCCAAGTGGGTCAATTGGCCTAGCTCCACACAAGATTGCAGATTTTGCTTCTAGCACCATCCAACCAATTAGCTTAAAACTGAACTTGTATCCAGGAAGAAGCAGGTGGGGAATCATGTAGTTGTTTAATGGCAGTTAGAAGATTGAGTCAAAGCAAATGGATCTGTAGACTCATCAGATACAGAAAGACTCCATACTTCCCCCTTTCCACAGGCTGCCCCTAAGCAGCCTCATCTAGTGCCCTGTCTTGAGCCACACTCCCACACAGATGAACTCCAAATCTGTTCTAGCCCCATAACTTCTCTTCTCAGCCCCAGATGCACATGTCAGTTGCCTGCTGGCCATCTCCTCATGAACGGCCCACAAGTACCACGGACCCTGTAAGAACAAGACTCAAGGCTTAAGATCACATTCCCTTCTCCCTGCCCCCTCAACCAGCATTTCCTGCATCCCCTGAATTCATGAATGGACCTCTATTTCTGTAAAACAAAGAAGAAGAACAATAACAACAACAAAAACCAACATTCACACATATTTAACACTTATTGTAGTCAATGCACTGTGCACTATCTTGCAACAATTAGATTTTTTTTTGCACGGATGAGCAAATCAAAGCTCAGATAGGTGAAGTAACTTGCCCCAGGTCACATCATTAGGAAGTAAGAGTTGAGATTCAAATTCAGGGAGTCTGGCTCCAGAGCCCAATGTGTAGCCACGAGACTATATAGAACCTCAGGCACCATGGTGGATATTCCTTGTTTGCAACCGCACACCTATGGTCATGGCCATTTCCCTGCCTCTCTGTGTCCGGCGCTGGGTGTCAGGAGGCTGACCTCTGCACCATTCCATCTGGGCTCTCTTGCTCTTTGGCTGAAGATTGGTTGTGGCCAGTGGGAGATTAGAAGGTTGGAAGGCAGACAGGTCAGGATATTTATTTCCCCAACCCCAACCTGCTCCCTCTCTGCCTCACTCTCACACTAGCAGGAGCTGAATTCTATGGTGACAACTCCTCCATGGCTCTGGGAACGCCATTTCCCTATATTACTCCTTCAGGCCTAGGGATAGTGATAGTTCCCACTGTTGCTTGTTCCTGGATGCTTCTCCATAGTTATCAGTTCCCTGATCCCTGCTTATACCTCTGTAAGTAGCCCTTTCCTTCTTTTTATCTGCTGGATCCTGATGGATTCAGACTCTGAACTTTAGTGGCAGCTAAGATGTCTTCCTCACAACATGCCCCACATCCCAGCATTATGAAAACCCTAATTCTGTCCTTGGAGCAGCTTCAGCATTTTGTTCTCCCTCTCTATCCCTCCTGCTCTGCCTTACACTACCCCCTTAGCTTCCCACTTGGCCTCCCTCCATGCAGGCTCTTATATCTTCAATATATTGGCCACAACATTCAGATACCCCCCACCCCATCCCCACACCCCCTAAGCTAGATTCACTCTTTGACTTGCCTCTTCAAAACCCTTCAATGGTTCCCTGAAGCCCAAAGAATATAATCAAACTCTGAAGCCCACAGTAGCTTTTATTCATTTTTGTATTTCTCCCAGGGCCTTTGCCTGCATTCAGTAAATGTTGTGTTGAATGAAGAAAGCATTATCATTACTTGGGGAGTTCCGACAAAGTGTAAAGCACAGGGAAACAGGACTGCAGTGAGAACATCCTCAAAGATTTTATAATCACAACCAGTGTTGCAGTCCCCAAATGAGCAGCTTCAAAAACCCTTCAAAGCCTCATCTATTTTTGCCCTTGCCCCCTACTTACCAGCTCCACTGCCTGCGCACACAGTAGAGTTTCAGGCCTCTCTCCTTCCTAACAGGGAGGCAAGGTTGTGCATGGCTGGTAGCACAGGCTGGTGTCAAACTGCCCACATCCAGGTCCTGCTGTCCTGTGTATGTAAATAAATTACTGGACCTCTCAAAGTCTATACTTTTCCGCTGTGCCACTCTGCTACACTCAAAGTCTATACTTTTCTCTGTAAAATAAGGACAAAAATAGTACTTACCTCATAGGATTTTCGAGGGGACTAAATGTGTGATACTAATAGATTACTAAGCACAGTGTTAAGAACAAAGCAAGCTCTCAAAAACGTGATCAGGTGTTACCATCTACCCTATTATAGGGCAGGATTATTATATTACACATTACTATGTCTATTGTATAAGCTATTTGTTTTTAGCAGTACTTATACATAGACTTTTAAATTTAAACCTTCCCAGAATACTGAGATATATCATTAGCTCTACTTTGCAGAAGAAAAAAATGACATACAGTAAGTTATGTGTCTTGCTTGAGGTCACACCATCATAACTGCTGGAGTCAAGCCTGGAATATGGGACTTCTGACTCAAAAATATGCTATTCTTCTGTGTCCTATGTGCTATTTATGTATTATTATGTCCAATTAAAAGTCAGCTCACTTTTCAAGGCCTAATTCAAATGCTCCTTCCTCCATGACATCTTCCTTAATTCCTTAGGAGGGATTTATCAGTTTTTCTTCTGCACTCTGGAAGCATCTCAATTATAGACCTGTTCAGATGAACTGAAGTCAGTATTCAGATGAACTGAACTCAGTAGTGTATTATCCTTGGGAATTTTCATTTCTGGCTTCTTCACTCAACTATGATTGCTTTGAGGACATAACTTCTGTCACATTCATAGGTGCAATCTCAATGACCATCTCAGTACCTTGCATAAAGTAGACAGCAAGGCAATAAATGTGCAGCAGAATTTATCAGTCAGGATCAATAAAAACATAAACAGTTATGTTGCAGTAACAAACAATCCCAAAATTTTAGTGGCTTTCCAAAAAAAGAAGACCTATTTCTCACTTATTCTATCTTTACCTTGCAAGTTCCATCATCTTTGTTTTGGGACCCTGGCTGAAGAGATGGACAAAGGGAAGATGGTAGAAGGCACAGTAGCCCTTAGGGCTTCTGCTTGGAAATAATATACATGCTTCTATCCACATCACATCTCATTGGCCAAGGTAAGACACACGACCCTTTTTGATGTCAGGGGGCAGGGAAGGTAACATTCTTCCAGAGAGGGATTCCGATCGTAAAGGAACAGAAATCGGATCAGAAAGAGCAACAGTGAATCTGGAAACTGGCTCCATTTACAAGGAAACCAACAGCTAGTTACTGAGAAGGCTGTGATGAATCAGAAGTATCTTACACAGTCTGACATGCAATCCTCATTCAAACACACACACATATACACACACACATGCCCATGAGATTACAGATTAGTTTCAGTTGTACAGGCAAAGAAGCAAAGGCTTAAGGAAGTTAAACAAATATAGTAAGATAACATAGAAAAATAATAGGACCCAGATCTGACTTGGGTCTAAGTCACTCCAAACTCACTTTCTCCTAAATTACACTGTCCTCTTAGGGTTTTGAGGCTCCTAATTAGAATACATCAGTCTTTCTACCAAAAAAAAAATGGAGTAAATCCTTAGTACTTGACGTGTTTCCCTTGAAACAGCAGTATTGGCATCATGGGCTAGACATGCAGGTTCAGACTTCACCCCAGACCCACTGGATCAAAATCTGCATTTGAACAACACCCTCAAGTGATTTGAAGGCATATTCCAAATTGAGAAGCACTGAGGTAGATACCAAAGGCAGAAAACAAACAAACAAACTAACAAAAAAAACAAAAAATGCATTTTTTTCCCATCTTGACTTGGAATCAGGGAGCAGGAGAGAGCCGACTGTGGTGCTACCTACTGTTTGAAAACCTCATCAAGTTAATTTTGTTGAAACAGGAGAAAACGACATAAAACCTGTTCCTAGTACCCATGTGGGAGAAGCATTAACAGATGCTGCCAAAAGCCCATGACCTTAATTGTATCTTCCAACACTTTGCCTAATTCCCTGAATCTCATCATTCACTCTACATTAATTAAGACCTCAAACATGCATTGTATTGTGTACTGCTACGTACCAGAACAGTGCCAAGCACTGGACATGATGAGGGTCTCTGTCCTAGAGTGGCTTACTGTCTAGAAGAGCGAGACAGTATAAAAATGGATACACTATGATCAGGGTTCATCAAAGAGTCAACAATGCTCTTTGGGGTCCTAGAAGAAGAAGGCACTGTATTGAGGTATCAGGGAAGGCTTCCTGGAGGATATACATGCAGGAGGAGGTCTTCAAGATGTGAACAGGAGCTTACTGTGCAGGGGCTGGGAAGGGACTTGTAGCTTTAAGGCAGCACCCAGCAGGTCAGAGGCCACTGAGGCAGAAAAGCAATACTGGGTATGACTGGTGCTTTGGGTTGGTGTGCGGAGAGGTGAGACCTTTTGTGGTTCTGGGTGTACATTTCTAGAAGATTTAAGTGTTGGTGCCTTATGGGATGAGGAGTTCTTGTTAGGAAAAATCACCGGGTCAGCACCTCTCTAGGTGTCTCAGTTTTGATCACCTGTAGGCTCAGACCCTACCTTGTTTCTGAGCTAATCTGGAACACTGCAGGGAGCAGTTTTAGATTTTTTAGTGTAGCCTTTAAAAGAACATTGTTTTAATCTAGAGCAAATATATACACAGACAGTCCTTGAATTGCCATGGTTCTACTTAATATTTTGACTTTAGGATGGGTTTATATGGACATAGCCTCATTGAGTTCCTCAGGGAACTCCTTACAACTTAGGATGGGGTTATGGTTTCTGCCGATTTTGCATGTTGCTTTGTCACCATTGTAAAGTGAAAAAATTGTAAGTCAAATCATCCTAAATCGGGGCCCATCTGCTGTGCTGACCACATTAAATGCATTTTTTACTTACAATATTTTTGACTTATGATGGGTTTACCAGGGATATAACCCCATCATAAATGGAGAAGCACCTATCTATACATACATGTAATGGTTAAACAGATGGTAGTGTGAGAGTACAGAGACAGACCACCTAACCCAGCTTATTGGGGAGGTCAGGGAAGGCTTGCAGGAAGATGTGATGACTGAGATGAATTGTAAAAGACAGGTAGGGTGCAGTGGGAACAAAGGCCCAGCATAGCAAGTGTGGGGGTGCTGCAAGCTCACATGGCTGGAATATGAAGTCAGAGGTAGGAGCGAGTGGTTCCTGAGCATCATAAGATTCCAGGACTTCTTCTGCTTAAGTGGTGGAAGCTGTTCTCCACCTCCTAACCCTAACCTTCCCACTCTGTACCCCAATTTGGCTCCAAGGCTGGGGACTCCCAGCAGCAAGGACAAAAAGAACATTACTGACCACGTGGAGCATCAGGAAGGTGAAGACCAGAAGGGGAGAGCGCTGTTGAAAATGTGATGCTGGCAGGGACCGGGGTGTGGTGAGACTGCTTTAGAAGAACCCAGGGGCCAAAGGAGTGAGTCATCTGCCCACCAGCCTCTTAGTCACAAGTGATAATGTAGGTGCCCCTGGATGAGAAGGCAATTAAAATACAATTAACCTCCCTGAACTGCAGTTCTGAGTGCACATCAGAAAGAGATTTGGAGATCATTAAATATGGGGCTGTGAGTGGAGGGGCTATAGGATAAGGGTGGCAGGAGAAAAACCTTTCTTTGAGGTCATTGGCTACTTTTGTGGTTCTCTCCCACAATCGGTCCACAGTATAATAACGTAGGAACCATTGCATGGGGGAAGCAGAGGGACCCAAAAGAATTTCTTCCTCTCTTCAATCCTCCCTCCCCAGGCCTGGCCTTAAGAAGAGACTCAGCAACTGCAAATCATGTTGCTGAGTAAAAATGTTTCTTGGGATGGGAGGGGATGAGAGGGGAACCTACTCTTGATAGCTGCCTCCTAGGAGCCTGTTCAGTTTATTAAATTAGCAGGTTTCTCTCTTGTGGTGAGGGCACTGGAGAATGAAATGCCAAATAGATCAGTTTCATGGAATTGGAGACTGATAAATTTTCAGAGCTGGAAGGCTCCTTGGAGAGCATCTGGTTCAACCCCCCCTCGTTTTTCAGATGAAGAACCTGCAGCCCAGAGATAGGAAATGACTTCCCTAAAGTCACGGTTGCTACTTGAAACTCAAAACTAAGAGGCATTGAGTGAGGGAAGTGAATTCTCTCCATAATTTATCACTTCTGCATGTTTAGTGTTCTTTATATTAAATTTACTTTTGATAAGGAGTACCTGCAATCTCAGAGGTAATTTACTGTGAAAGATAATTCTTAAGATTTGCCATCATTATTAACATTGACTTGAATTATGTTGTATTTTATATCAGAACGTAGGTTTAATTTAGCCCATGGAAAACAATTCTCTCAGTTATAAAAAAAAACTTACTTCCACAAAGAGAAGGAGCTTAGCTTCTCACCAAGATAATACTAACGTAAGTTGCAATTCCTTGCCTACATCTGCCTTTTCAATCAGATGTTCACACCTGTCCTTAAAATCTTCGTTAGCGTCCATTGTTAGGTTGGGCACCTTGGGACAGATAATCAGCCCTCACTCCAGTGCAGATGCAAAGAGGCGGGAGAGTTAGCTAGGCTGAACCTGAGTTAATGAACATCAAGTGCCAGGTGCTGGGCTAGACCCTGAGGATGCAAAAGTCAGAACCATTAGGAACAATTCTTCTGGAGCTCACCACCTCATGAGGACTGGGCTAGCTTAGTGAGAATCAGAAAAGGCAGATGAAGAAGCGTTATGTTCCAAGATAAGCATGTCCTCCTTCTAGCATTTGTATAGATCTAGGCTTAGTCCAGGGTGAGGCCATGTTCCATGACCCCAGCATGGAGCTCCATTTCTCTCTCTAAAGGTGCACTGTTCAATATGGTAGCCACTAGCCACAAGTCGTTATTTAAATTTACTTTCATTAATTTAAAAAAGTAAAAATTCCATTCCTTAGTTATGTTAGCTAATTTCAGGGGCTCAATGGCCACCTGTGGCTAGTGGCTACCTTACTGGACAGTGCAGGGTTAATCCTTGCTGCCACTTAGACAATTCTATTGGACAGCTCTCTATTTGCTGACCCCAGAATTTGGTCTGTCATGCATTATAACACCAACTGGCTCCCATGTTGACTGTATTTTCTCCAAGTGAGACTGGGGTAAACACCCATCCTGCATGGGTCATTTGCATTTCCTCAAAAGCCTTTGCATGTCTTCTATTGCAGCTGCATTCTACCCAATAATAGTGGAAACCAACATTCATCACGTGTTTGCCTTATGCCACCATGATTCTAAGTGCTTTCAACACAATCCTCCTTTTGATCCTCAAGAAACCCTGTGCACACAAAGAGGAGGTGGCAGAGGCCCAGTGAAGGACTTGTCCACCTTCACCAGCCATGGATAGGGACCCAGGAGTTGGATCTGGGCATGCTGCTTCAGAGTCCAGGTCTGAACCACCGTCCATTCTATGTAGAGTTGGGCCTAGTCCTGGCCCTACCCTTTGCTGGATGTTGCCTTTAGGAAAGACACAAACACTTCAATTCTCACTAAGCCCTCTTCTCCAATGGGAGAAGCTGCTTTCACTCTCTGCAGGGGCTTTGTGAGGCTCAGGGACAGGGAGAGTGCTTTTTGAATTTTAAAGCCCTGAGTGTTAGGGGCCATTATGAAAAACAAAAATACTGCAAATACTGTCCTTCAGATCAGCACTCTGCAGGCTGGAGAATCACCTGGAGAGCTTGGTAAGCAGCAGACACTCTGATCCACCCCAAGCAGACTGTGTGAGTCCAGAGCCAGGCATCTTCAGGTATAGCAAGTGCCTCGGGTGGTCTGAGACAGGAATCCTTGAGCCCTTCTTTGAAGAATGCTGATTATAAGTTTCCGGCTTTGGTGCCTGATGTAGAGGAGTGGGTGGCTGGTTCTCTCTTCAGATTCCTCCAGGATCTCAATTTTCAAAGGCAGGTGCCCACTCCACCCTGTGCACATCTGAACAGGGAATTAGTCCCAGTGGGGAACATGATATATCACCCGGCATTCCAGAAGTGGAGGCTACCCTGTGTTCCTTACCACCCAAGTCTTAGTGTGAACTCACTTGAAAGAAACAGAAGACTATCTGAAGAACACATAGTCCTTCCAATTTTGTGAGAGATTCTCCATCTCTTTCAGGCCAGATCATTCAAAAGAAGCAAGCTTAGATAGCATGGTCTGTCTGCTTGTAGAAAGGCTTTTACTAAATTATACTTGGGCATGAGGTCATCGGCCTACTATAAGAAAAGATGCTATAATGAACCTGTCTTCTGAATATACTGAAGGGATGCTGTGGAGGATACTACATCATAACATTTTCTCCTTGGCAGGATCAACACTCAGGTTTCAGGCCCAGAAAAAAACTAACTTTTCTTTGAGCAGTCACTTTAGGTTAATCCCATAGACACTGAGGTTTGAGAGTTAACACATTTCATTTTTCCCTCTTGTTTTGGCTGTTAGGAAGCCCAGAGCCAAATTTACTACCCACCTCTAACAAGATGTTAAGGCATATGATGTGCAAACACTAATCCTACTGCTGGCTTCGTGTTTTTAAAGTTTATTTATTTATTTTAGTGAGCTATGAAGACAACTAAACATTTAAAGGGGAGGGGTGAGAGTAGGGGGCTTGCAGTACACATCCCACAGCAAACAAATTACAACTTCTTTCTTAGGCACTTCTCTACACCCACATCCCTCCCTGGAGCTATTTGGGTGGTGGTTTCATTTTTCTGCTCTATTTTTTCTTTACTTGGCATCTTTGTCTACCATTTTCCCTTCTGACATTGTGTGCAATTTTGTAATCTGCTTTGTTTATTTTAATGAGCCATGCAGTTTATGAATCTTTGCCTAGAATAGTTATTAATTGTCCAGTAGGTGTCTGGAATTGTTCTAGGTGCCAGGACTACAACAGTGAATAAACTCGGCAAGGTTCTTGTTGTAACAGAGTTATGTTTGTACTCATTTGAGAAATAGACAATGAACAAGAAAGAGAATAAATAAATAATGTAATTTCACAGAATGGTGAGATCTGTAAAGGAAACAGAAAATATGATAGCAAGGGATGGGGAAGGAGAAATATTAGGTAAGGCGGGAAGAAAGGCCTCTCTGGGAGAGGGAGTTTGAACTGAGATCTGAGTGAGAAGGAGACAGACACTTAGAGGTCTGGGGAATAAGGATCCCAGACAGAGTAGATAGCAAGTGCAAAGGCCCTGATGCAGAGACAGCATGCTGTGTTGGAAGAATATTTACGCCCACCTGGCAACCTCCTCATCAGCTTTCAAACCCTTCTCACCTCTATCTACTTTCTCCTTGAAATAATCCCATCACTCTACATTACTCAAATAGAAGGGCAACCACTTCGTGCCTTCCATATCTGTATAATCCACACTGAATTGTACCTGGCAACTGACCAGCATGCCTTCCTCACTGGACTGTAGGCACATGGGGCATCCTTGAGAATAAGAATAGCATTTTCCTTCTCTCCAACACAGTTCCTGGCACACAGAAATCACATAGTTTTATTTCTCAAAATAAGCCATAGCTAAAGTTACAATGCAGGCAGTGCTCACACTGGAGTACTACCTACATGTTTTGGGCTAAGGTACAGTTTTTCCATTTGCAGAGCCCCGAGCTGCCTGTGCTCCGCTGGTGACCTGAATAGATTAGCAGCAGCGAACCAAGGGAGCATAGCCAGCTCCCGTTTGGGAGGAGGGAGCTGGCTCCCTCCTTGCTCCAAAGAGCCCCTTTTGGGAAAGGAATGACTCTTAAGGCAGTATTGGATTTCCCTGCAAGATTTATGACCCAATTTAAAGTTATGGGGCTTTTATTAATTATAATAAACACCAATTTCATTACACTTCAACTTCCAAAGAAATTACATACTATGGAAGGGAAATAAAATGTTAGTTTTGTGCTAATGCCAGGCACACATTAACTGGCTGGGTACCCAGGAGACCAAGTTCCTGTTGGCTGCTCAGCTGGTGCAGAGGAAGGGGCATTTTGGAAGGGAGAGCCTGAGGGAGCTGTTTCCAGGATTTAAATCCATTTGGTCAAAAACAAAGTAAATTAACTGTGCTGCCACATGGTGCTTGCAGGACCACTTCCTTTATGAGGAGCTGTAATGAGTAACACACTTTGGGCCCTGAGCCTGGAGTTCTAGACCTGTCTCTGGCTTGCTGTGTGATCTCAGATGAGTTACTTCCCCTCTCTGTGTCTTGATTTTCTCATCTTAAAAATAAAGACTTAACGTAGGTCAGGTATGGCAAATAGATTTAATATCTTATGCAAATTCCAATTTATAGGAGGTAGTCACCTACAAGGCTATTTTGAGAAGGTTTCTGAAGTTTCGTCCAGGATTCCTGGGAAAGAGCAATATGATCAATTAGCAGTATCAGCTGGGGACACAAATTAGGAGGATGGAGGTCATGGTCTGGGTATTCACTATCCCAGGACTTGATGGTCTCAAAGGTCCATTCTGGATTTGTGGTTTAATTTAAGGCTGTGTTCTTGGGATCCTGGAAACTTAGTCCATAATCCTTATTTATAAAATAGATGTAGTGGATCATAAGTCACATGGTGTTGTACAGATTCAATGATGCTACATATGGCATGTGCTTTGCAACAGAAGACACTCAACAAATATTCCTATTCTTCAGCATTTCCATCCTACCCTCATAAAACCATGCTAATTGGTGACCCTCTCCATTTGTTGAGGGTTTTGGAGAACTTCCTCTTCCAAAGCCTCACCTCAGTCAAAGTCAGATACATGGGCTTTTTCAGCTACTTGCCCCTTGAGCATCATCTGAAGCCCCACAGATTCCAAAAGAAGAATTTTGTTTTTAAAGCTGATTGGCTCTATATTTTATTGTTATGGACTTCCCAACTCTGTGCTACTTTTATTTTTGCTGGGGAATGGAAAATATTTTGTCACTTCTAGGATGATAGGGCTTGATGAACCCCCTTAGGGGGTGGAGAAGAGGATTCAGCAACTTTGCACAATTGCTTCCTGCCAGATGTGAAATTAAGCTTCTGGGTGCAAACCCAGAGTACATTTGGATAATGGATGGGAAAGCCTGCTGGGCTTATGGGGAGGAAGAAGAGAAGAGGGGAAGGACAGAATGAGAGAAGCTCTGCGTGCGTGCGTGCGTGCGTGCGTGTGTGTGTGTGTGTGTGTGTGTGTGTGTGTGTTCATGTGCTCTCTGGGCCTCATGATGTTCCAGTATTACATATTTCCAAGCAGAGAACAGATATCAGCAGAGCGAGTTGTTCTCTCCTGGGTGCCCTCACCTCTTCCCTGATGCCACCACTATGAGAGTCATATCGTTGTCCCTGAGTGGTTGAGAGCCCACATTTTGCCGTTATTCAGACCTGGGTTTGAATTTCAGCCTCAATACTCACACTAGCTATGTGCACTTGAGCAATCTTTGATGGGCCTCAGTATCCTCACCTGCAAAATGAGATTAATAAATAGTGGGGTGGATAATCCATTGGTGTTTTGCAAGTGAACGTGTGAGAGAAGTGCTATGTTCAAGACACCTTATTGATGTGTTTTCAGCTTAGCCTTAAGTTACTGCATGAAAGAGACAGGACATTGACTCTTGCTGTGCCTTGGTCTCCCCAGCAGTCTACAAAGGAATGAGACAGGATGAAATCCCAGGCCCTTCTAGTTTTGACCATTGGCATAAATGATAAACATTGTCTGCACTCCTGGAGTACAGGGAGGATGCACCCCATGCATCCTGAATGCATGAACTACTCTGATGAATACTTTCTGCTGCCCACCCTGCAATTAGAGCCCATATTGGGAAATTTCAGACTTTGACGTTGCGCTGCTGGGTTGTACATTCAAGTTCTGCCTTTACTTAAATATGTGGCTATGAACAAGTCACCTATGCTGTCCAGTCCTCCTTTGGATCCAGTCTTTTTGAATAAATGGGGGTTAGTGGCAAGCATTGAAGTTTTTTTTGCTATTTTTTTTTTTTTTTAGATGGAGTCTAACTCTGTTGCCCAGGCTGGGGTGCAGAGGCACAATCTTGGCTTACTGCAACCTCTGCCTCCTGGGTTCAAGCAATCCTCGTGTCTCAGCCTCCTGAGTAGCTGGGATTACAGACATGCACCACCACACCCAGCTAATTTTTGTGTTTTTAGTAGAGACGGGGTTTCACCATATTGGTCAGGTTGGTCTCGAACTCCTGACCTCAAATGATCTGCCCACCTCAGCCTCCCAAGGCCACCACACCCGGCCTGAATATTTTCTTCCATGTCATGTGTTTAGCACCTTGCCTGGCTGGTTATAAATAGTGAAGCAGCATGGCCTGCCATTCTGGGCTTGTAGTGCCCGGACTGAGACCTCCATGCATGCTAGACTGTCCTTCTCTTAAGAAACAATAAAGCCAATTTTGCCTCTTAAGGGGTTGCCTAGTTTACTTGGAGCCAACAGACAAATAGCTTTTTAAAATCCTTCATAATTCAAGCGTGGTTGATACCTGGATGTCTTCCCAGGCTGAGTTGATCCTGGTAGGGAATCTTCTCTGATTATCCTCTACCATGCTGTGATTTGGTATCTGTCCCACAAGTCCTGAAACATTGAGATTCTCTTTAAATCATGTCTTACGAGGCAGAACAGTTGTAAGGCAAGAACATGGACTCTAGGTCCCATAAAACCAGAATTCAAATCCTGAATTCACCACTTACGGGGTGCATAACTTTGCAGCAAATACACTTAACTTATTTGAGTCTCAGTTCCTTCATCTGTAAAATGGAGACAACAGCAGCTGCCCTGTCAGGGTAATTATGACGATTAAATGAGATTAAAAAAAAATGTAAAGCACTTTTTCAGTAGGCACTCAGTAGAAACAATGTTTTCCAATGTGAATTGTTACTCTGTTTATATTGTTATCCAATCAACCTTTAATTACCTCTAGGCAAAGATATGTTAATAATTTATTTATATTTCTTTTCTTTTTGCCTCAGAGCCTGGTAGAGGACAAATGAATGCATGAGCAAGAGCTCTGCTTAGCCTGACTTCAGGCCAAGGATGTGTCTTTTCTTCTTGGTTAGAATGTTCCTTCCCCAAGGATGGCATCTTGCAAGACAGTGCAGAAATGCAATAACTTCTAGAATATTCCTTTCTCATCGCCGGCTTTATGTTTCCCACTGGTTCAACCTGCTCCATCAGATGTTTTTTTGGGGGGAATCTTCCCTTCCTGGCAGCCCAAGTAAGTTCTGATTTTGCATATGCAGAGAGTCTAGCGACTCCGCAACAGCCAGGGTATGAATATTCATTGTCAGTCCTCAGCTGTGCAATGGACAAAGAAATGCTGATGGAGGAGGATGGGCAGGGTCTGTTCGCTTGGCCTGCAGGGGCTCAGAGCTCCTCAAGGATGCATTAGCCCAATGGCCTGGCTCCTATCGGGGGCTGTCTGTAGCTTTGTAAGTTCTGGCAGTCACCCCTTGACTTCAACAGTGACTCCAACCTCACCATGACAGAGTCTTGGCCCTTTGGGCATCTCACTAATCTGAATCCTCTCAGAACCTGTGTGTAGCATTTATGATAGGCGAAACAGTTTACCCCATAGATTACAATTCACACTGTCTCCTGTGTCCCAGGGTCCCATGTCCCCAGCTTAGAAGGCAAAATTTACATTGTATTTTGTGTGTATGGTTCCCCCCAGGGTTGCACAACATGGTGGCCCTGGCCCCATCCATTGCTCATCACTCTGCTTTCTACAAAAGCCAGACATCCTGGCCGAAAAATGAACCAGACAGGATAAAGGAGAAGCTAGTTGGTCCTATTGATTTACAGTCTTGAGATGGGTGGGGGCTTCAAGATTATAAAGTTTTACTAAAGCTCCCCAAAAGATGTCCATGGGTAGGCACATTGGGAAATAGGGGTTATACCATGATAAAGGGATATTATCACCAAATGGGCTATATGTGTGTGTGGTCAGTAGGAAGACTTTGAAAAGGAGGGATTTTGGAGAAATATGAGCTTCTATTCCAAGTATTGTGTGTCAAAATGAGACTCACTCAGAGACCACTTCCTTCTTCCAACTTCAATGATATTCTGCACAGCATCTATCAAATGTCCTCTTGTTGCTCCTAAAGAAATAATGGTTTTGCCCCAAAGCCTCTCTCTCCTTCCCTCTGCATTTCACATTAAACTTTGTATTATGGCATCCCACCCCATTGCACTTTGCACTGTTCAAGGACAAAGACCATCTCTTAATCATCTTTGTGCACCCATAACATAGCACAGCATCTGCTATATGGTGGTATACAACAAATGGTTTAGAATGAAATGAAATATATCTTTATCCAGATTTCTGTAATTGGTTCATATTGACTTTAGCTAGAAATCAAGTTTGAAGCAACTTACAATATGCAAAAGCCATGGCGGCACAGTGGTAAAACTGCACTTGCAGCAAATGTACCCATGTGCTTCATTTCAAAATAGTTAATATCCCTGGAAGGCTACATACTATTCCCAACAATATTACCTTTGCTCGGATGTATCTGAAATTCTAGTTTCCTAGCTGTTGTCTTCATAGCTGCAGGGATCAGGTGGAGCCTATGGGAGAGGGGAGCCCACCAGTGGCTGGAAACTCTGGGAAAGGGGCCTGTTGTGTGAATGATTATTGCAACTGTGAAAACAAGTCTAAGAGTGAGGATAAAAAGTTGGAAGTGGATTTACACCAGAGATGCCATGGCAGAAATCGAAGATGGATGATGAATATAGGTTATTGGGACAGTTATGGTAATGGGAACTAGTTATCCTCAAACTGAAGGAGTCAGTGCCAGCAATATGTCCTGGGTGAATGAGATGAAAATATATTTCCCTTGCAACTATAAAAGTTGCAATTGGACATGCAACAGGATTCCAAGCAAGACAATATTTAATCTCATTTTATCCCCAGGGGAGGTGCTCTGCCCATATTTCTTTCTTTCTTATTTTTACTTTTTATTTGGAATAATTTTAGACTTACAGAGAAACTACAAAAACTGCCCAGAGTTCATGTATAATCTTTTTTTTTTTTTTTTTTTTTTTTTTTTTTTTTGAGACTGAGTCTCGCTCTGTCACCCAGGCTGGAGTGCAGTGGCGGGATCTTGGCTCACTGCAACCTCCGCCTCCCAGATTCAAGCTATTCTCCTGCCTCAACTTCCTGGGTAGCTGGGACTACAGGCGGATGCCACTGCACCCAGCTAATTTTTCTGTATTTTTAGTAGAGACGGGGTTTCACCATGTTAGCCAGGATGGTCTTGATCTCCTGATCTTGTGATCTGCCTGCCTCAGCCTCCCAAAGTGCTGGGATTACAGGCATGAGCCACCACCCCTGACCTCATGTATACTCTTACCTAGCTTCCCGTAGTACAATAATCAAAACCGGGAAATTAACAGTGGTATAACATTATTAACTAAACTATTGATCTCATTAGAATTTTATTTATTTTTCCACTAGTGTCCTTTTCCTGCTTCAAAATCCAATCCAAGATGCCACGTGGCATTTTGTCAGCATATCTTTTTATTGTCTTCCAATATGTGACCACTTTGCATTCTTTCGTTGTCTTTCATGATCTTGGCAATTTTGATGAGTATTGGTCAATTATTTTATAGACTGTCTCTTGATTTTGCCCCAATTCTAAATGAAGAAAATACATAGGCTTGGCAGGTTACAGGGTGCACAAGAATATTAACTTTCCATTTTTCCATACTTACTTCCAAAGTAAGTCACATGTTACTCTGATTAACTCAACTTACCCCTTCCTCCAATGGCTGTTGCCCGCTTGCCAAATTCATATTAATTCCTCCGAGGTAAAGATCCTCAAGTTTGAAGAAACAAAAATCTGAGTTAAAGCTCTAAAGAGAGCTTGCAGTGAGCTGAGATCGCGCCACTGCACTCCAGCCTGGGCGACAGAGCGAGACTCCATCTCAGGAAAAAAAAAAAAAAGCTCTAAAGGAACTCCCCAAGAGAAGTTGTAAAAAAGTTTTCAGCAGAGGCAGCTCCATTTAAGGAAGTATTTCACCTCTCCACACCCTAGCTTAGCCACATGACAGGGCGATGCTGCTGCCAGGGCCAGCTGTCAGCACCGAGATGGGGGTAGTGAAGCTGAACCGTGGGGTGGACCCCTGGAGTAAGCCTCAGGAGGATGTGAGTACCATGCTAACTTAGTTTCTTCCAATCTGTGGCCACTTCTCTCTATTTCTTGTCTTTCACGATCTTGACAATTTTGATGAGTATTGGTCAATTGGGGCAATACCGCCAGAGGGTGGCCAGGGTCTGAAACAGGCAAAGCAGAAGAGAGGCACTATACCTGAGCAACGGATGAATGAGGGTCAAAGCCTACAGGAGGAAGCCAGAGGAGGTAGACAGGACAAGGCTGGAGAGAGAGATTGGACGTGTGATTATGTGGACTACCTCTGATAAAGAGGTCTAAGTCCCTTCTCTATAAGAGGGCCTTGGAGACCCGGTATGAGATACACAAAGGGACCATTTTACTTAAATTTCAAATACTGAAACTTGTGTTCAAAATTTAATCATAGCAATATTCCATAACATGCTAGATAGATGTCTTCATGTTTTGTAGATAAGGTTGTATCTTCCTTCTTCCTTACCACCAGCACTTAACTTATTTCATATAAGAGTGCAGGTTATAAGATTTAAAGTTCCAGAATAGTCTACATGAATAGAGATCTGTGGAGCTGTGAAGTGCACAACCTCTGCAATTGTACAAAGCAGCCCTGATAGGTGATTGAATGAGTAAATGGTACAATATCTTATGGGAAGTGAGTATCCTGTGCTTACTTCTGGGACCCTAATTACTTCCTTGTAACATGAGCAATGCTATCCCTTTCTCCATGGTGATCACACATTTCAAAAAGTTAACCTAAGTGACACATGGTAACCGCACATAGTAGACACTAAGCAAAATTAGTTCCTTCCTTTTCCTCATCAATTCCGTCACATATTAATAAGTATCATATGCATTCTTTAAGCATGGGAGAGGCATGTAGCTGATGTGTGTTCACCAGCCAGTTTAATCTGGAGAGAAGGGCAGAGTTCACCATCTTCATCCCCTAGATGGAGTCTCCTGGGATATACCAGTGAGGGAAAGTTATTAGTGGTTTTGCCTTCTTGTTCTGGATATTATTCCATAGGGTCTCTGCTGAGACACCCAGGCCCCAGTGGAGCACGTAATTGTAAGACTCTAGATCTAGCAAACACCCCATCTGCATGCCCTCCCAACACTGAGAATCTGTACATACTCATTAAAATAAATGCCCTACTGTGGATTATTTATTACTGCCAGGGTGGGAGTAAAAATCTAATTACTAGTTGTATTATTTTGACTCATGAGAAGTAAAAAAAAATTTTTTAATCTCTATTAGATTATTCATCAGCCTAGTGATAAGTACTTAACCTCACAACTCAATGCTTAGTCTATTTTAATACAATTTTCTTACCAAAGTGCAATAAAGACTCACTAATAGACAGTTTTATACATACTCATTGAGGTGTAAACAGACCATAAGATGTTGAAGAAGTTGGAGGTGGGAGGGTATCTAGGGAAGAGGGTGGGGGCTGCCCATTCAACTGTCATATGAGCTGTGCTGTGAGCCACAGTGGACTTCCATGCAGGAGGATGCAAATTTCCACCTGCAAACAGGATGCATGATGAATATGCCTTTAACCAGCCTTGGCTAAAGACAGCAGGGTGTATTAAAAAGCAAGTTGGAGAGATGGGGAGACAGGTTCACAGCTTCCAGGCTCCTGGTCCTTGGCTATGGCTCTTTTGATTTAGGTGCTTCTTTTGTGCATTAGGCTCAAACAAACTCAGAACAAATCTAGCCACGTGTAATATCCTTTGCAGGTGTCCTACTATGACAAAGTCCTCCCTTTTGTGCTTCTGACCTGTCTGCCCTTTTCCTCCTCTCCTTGGCTCTCAGATTCCTTGCATTCTATCCTGTGCATGTCTTTGGGCGTCTCTTTCTCACCATTCACTCCTGCCTCTGGCTCATCCATGCCTCTTGCATATTATCACTCCCTCCTAACTTCTGGGATTGTAGTAGCAGCAGTGGCCACAGCAGGTTCTGGAAGAGAAATACTCCCTTCAGCAGCCTTATCATCAGTGGCCAGTTTTTCCAGTTTATCCTGGGTCCTACAGAGATAGAGCATCTAGACTGTCACCTGGTTCTTCCCCAAAGTCTAAGGTGAGCGGGGCTCAGGTTAGGTGAATTCTCCCATATGGGACTGATTTTCTTCTTCCATTCCTCCCTTATTCCTCCCTTATTCCTCTTTTTCATTCTGGAGCACCTACCATATGCCTGGAAGCCAGCTCAGTACTAGGGGGTAAAAAGATCGATAAGACACAGTTCCTGCAAAGCCACATTTCAGCTGGGAAAGCAGGTTTTAAAATGAAGAGTTAGCAAACCATATGATAAGCTTTATGAAATGAGGGGTCTGAACAAGTTCATCCCCAGAATCTCCTTAAGTTCCAGAATTCTAAAGGTGTAGAATTCTGATGGCATAGAAAATCTTGTGATCTTGGTAAATAGAGGTGTAGTGATATTGATCTGGTTTCCAGGACTTTCCAAAATTGTCTTGGAAGCTTTGTTCTGATCAGTGCCACTGCAATTCCAATCAGTAGTATAATGTTTGCCTTATGGTTCTATGTTTCATCAATCATTTAATGACAATGATATTGCGACTATGCTCGATCACTCCATTGACAGGTATGGTAGATTTTCTCACTTGGCAACCATTCAGATTTCCTTTTTATTACGTCTTCTAACACAGCAGACACTAGAAAAGCTAGAAATGACATGTCCCAGACTCTCTTGTACCTAGACATCTGGCTGTGAGCAAGGTTCTCTCTATCAATGCGCTTGTATGAGACCTAAATTAGAATCTGAGTTCTCAGGGGAAAAGGCAGGAGAGGTGAGATCCTGGGAGAGGTAAGGAGGATCTCCTGCAGCAGGAGATGTGACTCAGGATTGAGAATTGTTACTGAAAGCTTATCTTATTCCTTCAGCCCTACCAATTATTTTGTAAGCTACCTAAAACCTAGTAATAAATCCCTTTCCCTTGAACTACCCAGAGTTGTTTCTATTAAGTGCAACTAAGCCTTAACCAACAGAGCACCTAGAAGGAAAATAAATTCAGCATAACAGCACAAAATCCCAGTTTACACTAAAATAGAGTACATTTAAAAGTACACATCTTCCCATTTAGCTAATGCAAGAGGCTCTTAATTTTGAGGTCACCTCTGTTTTAAAGTAGATATCAAAATTCCCAAGAAGTATGTCCACTTCAGCACTGTGGTGGACAGCGATGACACATCTTTGTCCTTGTGGCTCTGCAGCCAGCCGGTATGGCTGGGCCCAGACATGAGCATTCCATGCCGGCCGGGCTGGGGCAGGTTCCAGGATTGCCCAGCCTCAGTCTAGGGAGTTAACGGGGACTCCAACAGTCAATGCAAGACAGTCAACATCTGGGTTTTCTATCTATGGGTATCAGATTTCCAACCACTGATCCAGAGTCCACTAGGAACCCATGATTTTTTAGGGTGGAACCCCTAATTCTCGAAGACCCAATTCTTCAAGAAGAGTAAGATTAGAAATTCAGCCAGAACTGTTAAGGTCCTGCCATTTCCCCAAAACCATCAATTTCTAGGAAATCAATGTCAAACCCATCTGAAGAAACAAACATCACAGCAAGCATTCTGTCACTTTCTGCATGGAATGTTTGTCCCTGCTTGCATTCCCCCTTAGTCCAGGAATCTTTTCTATTTCAAAAATAATAAATGTGAAGAGAGGAAATCCTCAACAAAGCAGTATCCATTCCATTGGCCTGTCTCCCGAGACCTTTGACTTTGCAAGAATATTTTAGTTTCAACCTTTCTCCTCAGCACCATAAACACTGCAGTGACAATTTATTCCTTTCCAGCAGCCATAAAAATCATCTCCCTTATTTCTCAAAACCATGGCAAATTAGCACCTTTGACCTTCTTTTTCTCAGGCCCTGTCTTTCTCTCTCATGGTGCAGACACATGAACAATTTATGATGTTCCATGGAGGGTTCTCCTTTCTTGAATGCTGATAGAAAATTCCAGCCAGCAATCTCCATACTAATCTGTCCCTCTGCTTATCTCAAGCCTGTAGAAATAAATCCAAAGTAACATTTTCCAAAATGTGTTTTATAGCTCACCAGGCCTATGAAATGTTATTAGGTGTCCCACAAATAAAGTATTTTGTAGTCAAGTAAGTTTGGAAAACACTGCATGCTTTCTTTAGAGTTCAGAATACATATTTGCATATTAAAGGCTCTGACAAATCCTAAAGAAATGTATTCAAATTTCAAATTTATTTAGCCCAGAATCTCCCAGTTTATTTAAACATGGAGGGTTTTTTGTTTGCTTCCTAGCTATTAAAATTCTGTGCAACAGTGTTCTGTGGGTGCAAGTTTGAGTAGATGATGACATTTGAAAATAGAAAGTTGAATTAAACAACCAGGGGTTTGGACATGAGATGAGATTCCAATTTCTATAACAACTGCTGCTGATGGGTGAGACTCATAGCCAAGGGGCTTAATACAGAGTCAGGCTGAGTAGCTTCCTCTTGCCCAAGGTTATTTCTGAAAAGGAGTATAGGACTAAATCAGCAGATGGGGCTTAAAGAATTATAGCTGGGCCAGGCACGGTGGCTCATGCCTGTAATCCGAGCACTTTGGGAGGCCAAGGCTTGTGGATCACCTGAGGTTGGGAGTTTGAGACCAGCCTGACCAACATGGAGAAACCCCGTCTCTACTAAAAATACAAAATTAGCTGGGTGTGGTGGTGCATGGCTGTAATTCCAGCTACTCGGGAGGCTGAGGCAGGAGAATTGCTTGAACCCTGGAGGCGGAGGTTGCAGTGAACCGAGATCGCGCCATTGTACTCCAGCCTGGGCAACAAGAGTGAAACTCCGTCTCAAAAAAAAAAAAAAAAAAAAAAAAGAATTATAGCTATGATGATGAGAAAAGATGGAGAGCCTTGCTACTCAAGTGTGATCCCAGGCAAGCAGCATCAGCATCTTTTGGGAGCTTATTAGGAATGCAGAGTCTGAGGCCTCATCCCAGACCCATGGAATCAGGAGCTACAATGTAACAAGATCCCTACATGGTTTGTGTACACATTAACATTTGAGTAGCACCGGTGTTAAGCTGTGGTTCTCCATACTGCCTATAACTTAGAATTACCTGGGGAACTTTAAAAATATAGGTATCTGAGATCTGTCCCCAGGGATTGCAATTCAAATGTTCTGAGGCAGAGCTATAGAGTTTGTACTTTTAAAAACTCCCTGTCATGCAACTAAGGTCGAGAACCACTGGTCTAACCCAGACGAATGCCATGGATAATGAGGATTTAGGAGTCTCAGGAGACATGATAAGAACCACCACTTTGAGCCTTTCCACAGATAAGTGCTGCCTTTGGAACCTGGTTCACTATGATAAGTTAGAACCACCTGAAGAGCATCCATGGCCTTTTAGAAGGACCCCTCATAGATGTTATCAGATGCAAAAGCTACACCACCCTTTTAGGCTCAGTTACTTCTGTAACTTCTTCCTTAAAGTTGATTTAGGAGTTGTACCATTCTATCTTCTCCGGGTCTCAGTATGTTGTCAGAACCACACTCTTCTTGCGAGCAGGCTTGTATGCCAACCAGAAGGCTAACAGCCTTAATTACAGAATGTCCTTTCCCTAGGAGTTGGTCAAAGTCATCTTGACATCCTCAGTTGGGTGGAGAATCTTGGGTTATGTAGAAAATCTCAGAGAGGGGAATCGCCTCAAATGTGCACAGGCTTGGTATTCCATCATTGGTCACAAATGTTTCTTATGGAATAAAAATACCTAAATGTATTAAGTAGTTCCTGCAGTAGACAATTTGCTTGAGCTACCTAGTTTAAGGCTTTTTTTTTTTTTTTTTTTTTTTTCCACTTAGCGTTCTTGCCTTAGGAAAGTAAACCAAGCCTCCTGGAAAGTAATTATTTTCCTGACTATTAAGTGGCAGAACTGGAATTAGAATTCATACCAGCATGGCTCTAAAGCTCCTGCTTTTCTGACTGCACTACTGACCAGAGCATTGAGACACACAGACCGGCTCTAGTTCAGACCCAGGACAGACATGACTGATCCCACATCTCACTGGAAATTATGATTTCAGACAACTGGAAAATTCTCATTCATCAGAGGATAGAGCTACCCATCAAGCCATGTAATGTCTTCCCTTGCATCATAGCTTGTCCTCTGCTGCTGGCTTCAGAGGCATGTGCTGACATAGATAAGGAGTGCTCAGTGCCTGTGCTCTAAAAGAGTGATGTGCGAGGACAGATAATATGCAAAGTAGGGATGCTAGGGAGAGTAAAATGCTAATATGGGGTTTGAACCTGTAGATAGAGAATTCAGTCAACCACCTATTATCTGCAGTTGTAAACAGGAGAGAGGTAGTTGTCACTGGTATGTCCTGAAGCCGTTCCTCACCCTGCTGGGGCAGGGAAATGTGATAGTCTGACATCAGACAAATGAGAGAATGACCAGGGACAGGTCTGTGAGGGTGGTCGCAGGCAGGCTGAAGTTCTTTTTTTGTTTGTTTTTTTGCATCAGGTTCTTGGTTCTTGCTCTGTTGCCCAGGCTGGAGTGCGGTGGCATAATCTCGCCTCACTGCAACCTCTGCTTCCTGGGCTCAAGTGATCCTCCTACCTCAGCCTTCTGAGTAGTTGGGACTATAGGCACAAGCCACTATGCCTGGCTGCCCAGCTAATATTTTAATTTTAATTAAATTTTTTTTTTTTTTTTTTGTAGAGACAAGTTCTCATTACATTGTCCAGGCTGGTTTTGAACTCCTGGGCCTCCAAAAGTGCTGGGATTACAAGCGTGAGCCATCGCACCTGGCCTTGATGTTCTTAAAAGAGGCTGTTGCTTGACAGGCATCTGCTCCCTTATTACGTGTCTGGTTGGCTTTTGTAACCAGGAGACCTATGGTCTTCTCCGGGTCTCAGTATGTTGTCAGAATGACACCCTTCTTGCAAGCAGGCTTGTATGCCAACCAGAAGGCTAACAGCCTTAATTACAGAATGTCCTTCCCCTAGGAGTAGGTCAAAGTCATCTTGACATCCTCAGCTGGGTGGAAAATCTTGGGTTATGTAGAAAATCTCCTAAAAAGTTCCCCCAGCAAACCTTGGGCCTATCTTCAATGCTGAGTAAGTATTCCACTCCTAACATTTTGGGCAGCTGAGAGAAGATGCATGATGGAAATGCACCAGTTCTGAGGCTCAACATGTGTCCTTCACTTATGAGAAACCAGGTGGTACATTAAGAGGTTCAAGGTGGAATCACAAGAGCCCTCCCTTCACTGCTTATTGTACAAACACCTGCGAGTATATTCATGCTGTTAACAAAACGATACATCACCAATCTCTCTTGAGACTACTGGTTTCATTCACCCTCTCCTATAAGGCTGTTGGAATGCAAGTATCTTATAGGACTCTCTACATTTCTCTAGGTCTTTGCATCATTTTGGTGAAAAAGGATCTGACATCAGTTCTGTGGCTTTGGCATCAAGACCTACTGGGATCTTAACGAGGAGGCTGAGCTGTTGGCACTGAGCAAAGTCATGGATAGACTGACTTCTCTGGCTACAAGTCTTGAATTCTAATTACTCTGGTCCATGGGACATGCCTAAGCTGGGACATCACTGGCTTTACTGATGCTCATGGCTGTTTGATTTCTTGGGCAGGGTCTCCTTTCAATCAGCTGAAAGATGCTCTTTTGGGTTTTAGGTTCTATCTAGGATGTAATCAGCTCTTAACAAGGGTTGGGTATAGAGAGCTCAGGTAAATCCTTGGGAGAGGGGGCTGGCTAAGTAGAAGCAGGGAGTCAGGATCTCAACCCAATAGGCCAGGCATCAGGGCAGTGGGAATGGAAGAGAAACCAAGAACCCTTGAAGCGGAGGTCCTGTTTTATGCCCTTGTCCCATAAAGACAGGTGAGGTGAGGACTACTGCTCAGTATGCACTGGGATCCTGGGGGTCAGGCGATAAGACAACTCCAGCATCCTTCCCCTGATGGGAGTGGGATGTCTTAAGCTCTGGTTTTCTTCAACACAGACATCCTGAAAGATTGGACCCTGCAGCTAAGAAGCATTGGAGAAGGCAAATGCTGGCAGTCTCACCTTGCAATTGCCATCAATGGTGCTCCATTTCCATGCACCTCCCATTTGACTATCTCTGCTTGCTTCTCAATGGTCTCTGAAAATGATCTCTCTTTGTCATCTAGTTTTGCTTCCCATGTGACCCATTACTCATTCTCCCTTTGGTCTCACTTGTCCCTCCTCTCTACCATGAGCCCACCAGGCTCATCTCAGCTCTGCTCTTAGTTGTAATTCCTATTGTTTGTTTTTCTGGAATTCTTTTCTTTCTTCCGGATGCCTCCCCAAGTTGTACATCTTGAAGGCAACGTGGAGATCTGTCTTTTCCTTAAATCCTCTGCCAACTCCTGCCGTTGACTGACCACTTCATTGTAACCCTGAATGCTTGTAGCGCTTTCACAATATGCTCTAAAATTGAGAGTTTAATTCTGTACTGTCTTTAATTGTAGGCTCTTATTTAATGTCATCCTTCTCATTCTGCTCAATTCAACAAGCATTTATGAATATTGATAATGGGCCACAGTGGGACAGCACATTAAGTTGGAGACAGTTCTTGCAAACATAAAAATAGCACCTACTCAGTGCAGGGCAGTTTTTTTCCCTCACACTGAATTTCAAGCTTCTTTCACAGTACATAACACTAGCATTCACTGAGCACTTGGTTCTCACAGACTGTACGGAGAAATTTCCCATTATCTTATTTCCTCCTTACAGTGTCCCAGTGTGCACAGCAGCTTTCCATCATTCTCTGCCCTGGAACCCCCTTTGAGAAATTCTGTGCCCGCTGTATTCTTAGAGACACGGACCCCATGGTCACGTTGAGTGGGCAGTAGGCCACATGGTATGGTCCATTAGTTGTGGCCCCCTACTCTGATGCTGACCAAAGCTGGAACAACCAGTTTCTTTTTCTTCAGTATTTGTAATTTGGACTAAAAAATTCCAATGTCTGTTGGATGACAATATTGAGCCAGGGGTCAAGGACACCATATTGGACTATCTATTTTCTGCTGTGTACATAGAGAAGCAGACAGGGGAGGGAGATGATGAATCAGCAAACATGGAGAAAAGCAGAGGGAAACGGAGAAGGAGAGACAGATGGTGAGAAAGATAAAAAGATGGGGAGATCAAGAAAGCATAACTAACTCCATTGATAACAGCGTCTCAGTTCCTGATTCCAGCCCTTGTGAGAGCTGGCAGTACTTCCTGCCCTTGAAACACATATCACTACATCTTTCCAACAGTTTCTGGCTTAATGAAGTCAGCTTACCTGAGTTACTATTACCACCCACCACATACACCTGGTTATGACACACTGTGAGAAACATTACCTTTCCATTTCACAGATTAAATAACTGATCCTTGGTGAGTTCCACTATCTTTTAGTCAAAGATTGGAACTAGAAATTGAAAGCAGACCTTTGGATTCTAATATACTGCCCTATGCTTAAAACCTAACCCAGAGCTAAACCTCTAGTAGGTCTTCAATTAATACTTATTAATCCCTGGTGAACTGGTCCAGGTCATTCTAGCCTTAATCCCCTATTCCTTCCTTTCTTCTCCCTACTGCTTACCTGATGTCCCCTGACTGTTTTCTTAGTCATTTCCTTGGCTCAGGATCAGCCTTCAGCCAAGAAAAGAGCACAGCCATCAGCTGTTGAATGGTGGCCCTGAAGATTATGTCACCATTTTGACACTGCCATTTGGGGCTGCCTGTGGTCTTGTATCATCAACTATCTTCCATGATAATTGGGAGGGGCAGTTGAAGGCAGAGGCATCTCCATACCTCAGAAAACCTTAATCAAGAGAACAGCAGTGGTGCCTGCGCTCTTGGCAGTTTATTACAATTCCTGTAACAAGAGGAGCTGTGGGGATGTAAGGCATTATCCTCTCCCGTTGTTTCTAACAAAATAGCCCAGAACAGCAGGCCTACAAGGACAAGGTGAGGCCATTCTCCATTCCAAACAACATATACTTTTTTGAAAATAAAAGAAGCAATTTAAGCATTTTGGCTTCCTGGGGTGAGTTGGCAGGCACACTTCTCATCTCAGGGATGCCTTCGGGTGAAGGTGTTTTAATAAGAGAGAAAGCGGGAAGAAGATAGCAGAACTCTCCAGAGGCAGAGTGGAACCACGGAGCATGGGCTATGGAGCCCATAGGCTGGGGGGAGGCAAGAGAGGGGAGACAGGAGAGGGCTTGAGGGGGATGCACGTGGTGGGAGATGCCTTGTTCTGCCTAGGTACATGTGCCCTGGAGTCCGAAGCTCCTGGGAGAGCCCCATTAACCACAACTCAGAGGTGAAGAATTTAATTCTATTTATTTTGCTTCTTCATTTATCCACAGCAAATAAGAGAATGTTGAAATGATCATTATATAATTTGGGGGTGAGAAGATATTTCCTCAATTACATCTTTTGAGAGCCTATACCCTAATAAGGACATGAACCAAAAGAGGCTGCGTTTCTTTGAAATGATGGATATGTTTCTCTCATCCCCTGAAGAGAAAATGTGAGGTAGTGGCTCTGGGGCCTGGCTGCTTGGGATTGAACACCAGTTCCTCTGTTTGCTAATGGTGTGACCCTGAGCAAGTTATTCAATTTCTGCAGACCTCAGTCTCTTCACCACTAAAATAGGAGTAATAATAGCACCACCCTCGTTGAATTGTTATGAGTGTTAAATGAGTGAATACCCGTGCAGTGCTAAGAGTGGTGCTTGGCATGTAGCAAGAGCCCAGGAAATGTTGGCTATTAATATTCAAACAGCTTTTGGGGATATCGCTACATATTCTGTGCCTAAGATGCAAAGATGAATAAGGGGATATCTGTCCTCAGAGCATCCATATTCCGGTTGGATGACAGACATTAGAAAATAACAATATATCAAATTTATTGAGCACTCACTGTGTGGCAGACAGTGTGTCTGGAGCTTAATGAGAGAGATGCTATTACTTATCTCAGGCTCAGAGAGGTTAAACAACTGGCCTAATGTCACACAGCTAAGCAGCAGCATAGCCAGGGAGCAAACCCAAGCCTGCCTGATACCACCATCTGATGTCTCAATTGCTGATTTTTAGCATGGATACTACTTCCTCAGAGAGGATTTGCATTATTCTTCCATCGAGATGATGGAAACATCTCATCCCCAGGTTGGCTCTTCTTCCTCATCCCATTCTGTTTTCCTTCATAGAATTTGTCACAATTTTAATTGCATTTTTATGGGTCATCTTTTCCCCCAGACTATAAACTTCATGAGGGCAGGGGGCAGATCTGGTGCATTCATCACTGCCTGTCTAGTGACTAGCACATGGCCTGACACAGAGCAGGCACTCAATAAACACTACTGGAATGACCACCTATCATGGACTGCCTCTCTGGAGGGAAGTAGGAAGTTACAGTGTCCTCTGAAATGCTAAAATAACATGAAGGAAACACATGGGGTTACCTCAGGGTGTTGGGGAAGGCAGTTCTGAGGAGGTGATGTTTGAAGTAGATCTAGAAGGATGGGGGAGCTTGTCCAGTGGAGAGGGAGTGGAGGCTATTTCAACCGTGTGCAGAAACATGTCCCCAGGAAAAGCCAAAGGGAGTTGAGAAAACAGAGGAAGCCCAGCCTAGCGAAGGGCAAGTGTCAGAAATGTCTTGGCTTCCTCGGTTACAGCTCCAGTAAAACCACAGAGGCCCCCATTTAGGCTGGGCCCAGAGCGAGCGCCTATTGGGAATAAGGTTATTCCCACATGGGGCTGAGTCTTCACACTGCAAAAAGCCCTTTGAAGATCCCTTTGAGGGAGACTGAAAGAATGATGTTTTTTCTTTATCATCCACAGAGAAAGAAGATAACAGTTTGACTAGGGACCTCTGTGTAATCTACAAATGAGCGTATCAGTTAGAATTCAGTTGGTTGAAAGAAGTAGAAAACCCCACACTCATGGGAGTTGAAACAGGATGGACACCTGGCTCCATCATGTCCAAGCTCAGGATGGGCAGTCCTGGGCCATGGTAGCTCAGTCCCATCAAGTCTTTGGGGACCAGGCAGCTTCCAGCTTTCTGCTGCCCCATGCTGAGGTATTCTCATCGTCCAGAATGAACTCTGACTGTTACCCCAGTGTTCCAAGAATCAGACTGAAGTAGGCAGGGGAAGAAACAGCTTTTGGAGCCCTCTGCTTATACTTCATTGGCCAGACCTAGGTATACGACCATACCTGTCTACAAAAAGAGGCTGAGGAATGTGATCTTCATATAGGAGACTGTGTACCCAGCTAACACCCATAGACCTTAAAAGAACTTGGAACATATATTGGGATAGACCACAGCAGACCCAGGAGTTTGCAAATTTCTGTTTGCCCTTGGTGTGTGCAATGAAATCATTACCTGGACCAGAGCTTAATGTATTCTCAAGCTAGCTAACATTCATACTTATGGATTGAATACTACGCCATGTCAATCATTTCGCATTTTAAAAGCAGTGGATCGGCTGGGCACGGTGGTTCACAGGCCGGGTGTGGTAGCTCACACCTGTAATCCCAGCAGTTTGGGAGGCCGAGGTGGGCAGATCACCTGAGGTCGGGAGTTCGAGACCAGCCTGACCAATGTGAAGAAACCCCGTGTCTACTAAAAATACAAAATTAGTGGGGCGTGGTGGTGTATGCCTGTAATCTCAGCTACTTGGGAGGCTGAAGCAGGAGAACTGCTTGAACCCAGGAGGCAGAGGTTGCAGTGAGCTGAAATCACGCCATTGCACTCCAGCCTGGGTAACAGAGTGAGACTCCGTCAAAAAAAAAAAAAAAAAAAAAAAAGCTGTGAATCACTATGTCCTAATAAACTAATAAACTTTATAGGTGATTCTGGCAGGATGTGGTGGCTCACGCCTGTAATCCCGGCGCATTGTAGGCTGAGGCATGTGGATCACCTGAGGTCAGGAGTTCGAGACCAGCCTGGCCAACATCCAAAAACCCGTCTCTGTTAAAAAATACAAAAGTTAGCTGGGCATGGTGGCGCACACCTGTAGTCCCAGCTACAGGCAGGAGAACTGCTTGAACCCAGGAGGCAGAGATTGCAGTGAGCTGAGATGGCGCCACTGCACTCCAGCCTGGGTGACAGAGGACCCTCCATCTCAAAACAAACAAACAAACAAACAAAAATAAAAAAATAAAAATAGTAAATCTTTATAGGCAATTCTGAGCACCCCCTACCATCTTTTCCCCTTGACAGCAGTTCTTCCCCAGCATCCCTGGGGAGTCCTGTGTGAAACCTCTGACTTAAGGGAATTGTCAAGTATTTCTGCCCAGAAAAACTAGAGACTGTCAATAGCATTTTAAAAATTATAGACTAGGGCCGGGTGAGGTGTCTCACGCCTGTAATCCCAGCACTTTGGGAGGCGGAGGTGGGCGGATCACCTGAGGTTGGGAGTTCGAGACCAGCCTGACCAACATGGAGAAACCCCGTCTCTACTAAAAATGCAAAATTAGCGGGGCGTGGTGGTGCATGCCTATAATCCCAGCTACACTGGAGGCTGAGGCAGGAGAATCGCTTGAACCCAGGAGGCAGAGGTTGCAGTGAGCCAAGATTTGCCATTGCACTCCAGCCTGGGCAACAAGAGCGAAACTCTGTCTCAAAAAATGATAATAATAATAAATTAAATAAATAAATAAATAAAAATTAAATTCTAATTGCTCTACCTTTTTGAGCAGCACTTCCAGCTTATCATTTTTGTAATAAATCCCCCTCCCCCCCGCCAATTTCTGCCAGTTCTCACAGATCTCTGAGCTTCTTTATTTGGGCTTACAAGGAGCCGGGACTATTTGGTACCTTAAGGGTTTAGAGGAATGAAATGACATAAAGTGTGTAAAGAGCTTAGCACAGCACTTGATGTGTAATACATTTTCAATAAATGTTAGCTATTATTATTTTCTCAGAATTTGTTCTGCTTAGGTAAAATGCAACTGTAAACATTTTTTTTTTAAGCAAAATGGCCTAATAGTGAAATTGTTGTGTCTATCCCATGGCAATCCCTAAGTTACGACTAATAAAATACAATTTATTTTTTAGTTAAATTCTTCACCAAGGGACTTTTCTTGATTCTTATCTCCTGTTATTCTGTTTATTATGGCATCAAAAGTTGCAAAGACCTCCCCTTTAGCCCATGCCAATTCTTCTGAATCATTTTCTATGATAAACTGAATTCCAGGACTTCACTACCATTAGCTTGATCTACTGAATTATATCTCTAAAATGAATCTGAAACATCAGCTCCTTCTTCCTTAATTATTCGATATAATTCACAAATAAGGTACCTGGAGATTCCTCTTCATATTTATCATAAAGAGTACACTTAGTCTTATTCTGCATATATAAGATATTCTTGCTGCCAATAATATAAATAAAATGATAAGTGTATGTCAGATACCCAATAAATGGTAACCATCACTGTCATGTTGTAATTGTTGACGATACTTTTCGTATTTATTGAGCACCTACAATGTGCCACTCGACTAAGTGTTTAATACACACAATCTCATTTTAATTTTCCCAACAGTGCTGTGAGATAGATGCCATTAATTCTATTTTATAAATCAGGAAACTAAAACTCGGAGACTATGTCTGGGTTGTCCAGAAAATAGAGCTCAGAGCCAAGCTTACTTACTAAACTTTATCGCAGGGCGAGACCATAATCCCAGGGAATCATAAATAAGGGAAAGGGGGCGTAGAGTAGAGTAGGAAGAGAAGCAGTTTCAAGGTGATGCACAACTGAGCTGGCCACAACATTGCAAGAAAACACAACTGGTTGCTCCATCTCACAAGATGATGCTGGAGAGGCCATATAGGACATCTACATTGCAAACGGTCCATTGTGGGCTGGGCAGGTGAGAATTTACTGGCTGGTTTCTTCCAGGCTCCTGTCTTTCATTACGAAAGTTGGCCCTGTAGGGTGGTGACTCTGCAGTTCTCATTTATGTTATCCAGCCTCTCAGGGCAGCCAGTGGGGAAGCCAGAGCCTCTGTGAGTCAGTTGGGGTGGACCTGGATGCTGATGGTCTGTGGTTCCCTTCAATTCGTGTGCAATAGAGGCCCTGACAAAACCCAGTTCAGTCTCAGGGGAGCCTCGATGAATCTGCAGAGTTTGGGAATCAGGAGACAGAGATGGTGGCCAGAGTTTTACAACTGCAGGAACAGGCTAAGGGGTAGGTGGTGTCTTCTGATGGGGAAGCCAAACAAGCGACCAAGAATGAAGGCCATATGGGGCCACCTGGATGTGGGGTGGCACATAAAGAAGTTGAGGACACGCAGTGTTGTAGGGACCTGCTCAAGGTTACACAGACTGTATATAGCAGAGTTGGCATTCAAACCCAGGCCAGTCTGACTCTAAAACACTTTTATTTTTCAATGACCTCAAGATGCCTTCCATTGCTGAGATTTTAAGTAAGCTGGGAAAGGGAGCCATGGTTTTCTGAGCTGTCTGGCTCAGGGCCATGAGTAGATAAATGCTTACGAAGTAGTCACAGTTGATCGATCAGGTGACAAGAATGCCCATAGGCCTGTGTTGTTCTTTTCTATATCTTAAGAATAGATACTTTCGGAAGGCATGATCCATCATGTTTAGAACTCTTCATATGGTCTGCTGTGGCTGTCTTAACTCAACCTGAAGGGTTAGCACCAAACACAGCTGGCGTACGCAGGCAACATATGACTGGACAGTGCTCTGCCCTCACCTCGGCCTGCCAGATAGATGTCAAGGGCATCAGCAATGAAATTAAATGGCTCCATTTCCTTGAAGGGTTAGGAGGAACTTGGATTATTGGTGACAAGACCAATAATCCAAGAAGTGAGGCTCAATAGCTGTGCAAATCTGAGACCTGGGAGCAAGAAGACAATACACCTTTACAGGTGTGCCTGGCTTTAAGAAAGCCCATCATTTGCCAGGGGCTTCTCAGTTCTTTTGTATTTGTCCTTCCCCCATCTCAGAAGCATGAATGGGCCCCACCTCCCTCCAGGGCTGTTCCTGCTCTCTACCCCAGCCTTTCTTGGTTCTCTTGGAAAGTGAGTACTCCTTCAATTACTGCCCTGGCATCTCTCTCACCTTCAATGTCTTCCTACTTGCCTTGGGGTCCTCTTCTCAGCTTTCAGACATGTTCAGATTTATCCCATTTAAGATGACTTTTGCCCATTTCTCCTCAAGCTACAGCCCGTTTTTCTGCTTCTCAATTTTCTCAAATGAGCATCTATTGGCTCTTAATCACACACTCGATACTTAACTGTTTCAACACTAGTTTCCCTCTCACCAGTCTCCCGAAGTGCTTTCTGCAGAGGCCGCTGCAATAAACATCTAATGTTTCTGCCACTCCTCATAGCATGCATTTTCCCTTTTTCTACAGCGAAGAAACTGGAAAACTGACTTGAGGGTAAAGGATGCAAAGGGGTTTCATTGACTTCTAGGTTTCACTATTGACTAGCTGAGTGAAAGTCAAGAGGAGAATCAAGTTTGGGATTGAGGGTTGTGGGGAAGATGGCATAGGTGAGATTGAAGGCACACCAGGCCTGAGGCCCCGTGGGGACACTCAAGAGCATGATGTCCAGCACACTGTGAGGAAAGCAAAGCTGAAATCCCCAGAGGAGGGAGACTCAAAAGAGGATACCACAGGGTGTTTCTTCCTTCTTCCAGGGAGAAGAAGGGAGAATGCAGACTATGCCTACTTTCCTACCTCCTTGACTTTGCTTATGCTACTTCCTTTCCCTTTTCCATATTCCAATTCTCCTCCCAGATAACCAGTTCCTTTTTCACTCCCAACATATGAGATTTGGTTTGGCTAGGCATGCAACTCCAGGGTGGATAATATGATCTTGACCTGAGCCAGTTAGTGATCTGTGCAGGGATGGGCACATGAGACTTTTTCTGAGGCTGCTGAGACAAAGACCATTTCTCTTTGCTGTTGGATTTAAACCTGAGAGAAGAAAGGCCTTGGGCTACTAAGTACCGGTAGGTACTTAATACCACAAGGAGAGAGAGCTGGGCTGGGCATGAAGCCCACCCAGAGAGGTGGAGCTGAGAACTGGAGAGAACCAAAGTAGGATCCTGGTGACATCATCTGAATCCCTGAATCATGCCACACCTGATGACATCCCTATTTGCTAGTCTTTTCAATTTAACTCAGTCTTTTAGCTGAAGCCAGCTCACTGGGATTTATGTTATTTCCAGAAGAAAGAATTCTAGCTGATGCAGAAATCTAATACAATCATCAGTGACCTCTGAAATACCAAAATCAAGACTCTCTTCTTAGTCTCCTTTCTGAGTATGACCCAGTGCCTAAACTTGGAAACTGATCTGGGGGTAAAGGATGCAAAGAGGTTGCAATGACTTCAAGGTTTCAGGATTCAAGGACTGACAGCAAAGAGATGCCACTAGCAGAGGAGTGAAAGTCAAGAGGGGAAGGATCAAAACCCAAACCACAGGTTTACAACCCAGTTCCCATACTTGTTACTTTTATGCCCTTACACATTGCTCTAGGCCTCAGTTTCCTCATCTGTAAATGGGGCTGCTGTGGGAAGTGTATGTGGCAGGCTTTGAGGAAATGGCAGTAGTTCTTTGGATGCTATTGGCAGACACTGGTGAGTGGTGGTGTGGGTGGTCCTGAAGACATCATCTCTCTACCATATTGAACAAGCCCACTACTGACCCACACTTGCTCCCTTCCATGTCCCCTCACCTGATTCCCCTTGACTTGGGCTGTTTGCATCGCTCCTCCTGCCTTTCTAATCACATATTCTCCAGTTCTTCTTCCTCCCCACAAATGTTGGTATTTTCCAAAGTTCTGGCCTGCACTCTGCTGTATCCTATTTTGAGTCTCCCTCCTCTGGAGATTTCAATTTTGCTTTCCCTACAATGTGCCAGACATCATGCTCTTCTTGGGTGTCCCAACAGGGCCTCAGGCCTCACGTGCCTTAAATCTCCCCAGCGCCATCTTCCCCAGAACCCTCAATCCCAAACTTGCTTCTCCTCTTGACTTTCACTCTGCTAGAGGTTTCTCTTTTCTCAGTCCCTGAGGCTTGAAACCTGGAAGTCATTGCAACCCCTTCACATTCTTTGCACCCAGATCAGTTTCCAGGTCCATCATCTTCTATTCTCTCTCTTTATATTTCTCAACACCATACCCATTCTCTTCCCCTTGCTACCACTCTTGTTCCTGCTTTCCTTGCAATAACCTACTGAATAGTTCCTGAATGGTCTTCCACACTCCGGTTTCTTCTTCTTTAATCTATTCTCATGAATGAGTCTTTTTAATGAAAATCTTATAATAAACCTCATTTCCCCAGAAACTTTCATGATTACCTTGACTTTTGAATAAAATAAATATAATTCAACAAACATTAATTATAGCACCTCCTCTGTGTCAGACACTGTGTTAGGCATTGTGAGGAAGACAAAATTAAAATGAATATTATATTTCTAGGGCCTTATGATCCAGTAGTTTAGCTTACCAGACCATAAAGCCCGGTACACACACACACACACACACACACACGTGCATGTGCACACACACACACACACACACACAGGTACTGAATAACGTGAACTCTCATTCATTCCACACACACGTGCATGTGCACACACACACACACACACACACAGGTACTGAATAACGTGAACTCTCATTCATTCCCAATCTGCCTTCCCAATATTATTTTTGCTTTCCTGTGCCTTGTGCTTAAGTAAGGATGGACGACATCCTTTTCCATGATTTCCTACCTCCTTGACTTTACTTATGATGTTTCCTTTTCCAGGAAAATCCTTCTCTCCAACTCTGCTTGGCCAAATCTTGTTTATCCTTTGTTGTCTTTTTCAAATGAAACCCTCCCATAAATCTTTTGCTGATTATCTTGTTAATGTAATCTTTTTCTCCTCTGATCTCCCAAAGCACCTTATATGAATCTCCACCTGGCACTTTCCACTTTTAAAAAAAGTTAGCTTTGTAACTTGTCTGCCCAATAAAATTGTAAAGTCTCTTATTGTTTTATTTATCCTTGCATCCCCAACAACTAAGACAGTGATTATTGATTACAGCTAAGTATGCATTTACCTGTATGAAGCAATGCATCACTCAGGGCTAGCTTTTTGTACTAAAAAGGATTCTTTGCCTGAAAAGTTAAAAAAATATTTCCAGCAGTTTCTTTTAAACACATTCTTCAGGTTCATTTTAACTTGGTTATGAATTATCAACCACCACCCTGGAAAAGATCTGTGGGTTGGGAGAAATTAAAGAAATAACAAAAAAGTAGAATTATAAGAAACTACTGCCCATTAATAATTTTCTAGAAAGGAAAAGAGGGTAGACCTTCACTGATCATGGAAGCTGTTAAGGAAACAGGATTCTAGTTTTTAGAAATGAGATTAAGACATAGCATTTACTTTACAAAACCTGTATTAGAAGTAAGGGCTTGATCTGGAGAAGCTGGCATCACAGGCATGTAAACTCTCAATGCTACTGTACATGAGTCATGCATGCGGAAGAAACTTTGGTCTTCATGGATTTCCCAAAGGGTCTCAGGACACTGGTGCTGAGTTAGCCTAGGAGTCCTGGCTGCCAACAAGAGTGGGTCTCAGGGTCGTGATGGGCAGTCTATCTCTCCTGCTTTGTGATGACCTGGGGTGAAGGATTGGGGGGTGTGCCATGATCCCCACCTGCCCCACCAGAGTTCCTGAGCAGGGCTGGGCTGGAGACTGGCTATCTAGCTCCCTGGGCAATGCTAGTGCAGGCGATGGAAGAGAAAGAAAGAACAGGCCATTTCAGACCTTCTGCCAGGACCCTGGGTTCCTTCCAGGGTTACAAACAAGGTGCAGATTTGGATCTGGGTGGTCCTGGAAAGGTGTCTGCCTGGCCTATGATTTTTCCAAGATCAGGATTCCTGTCTGAGTCCAGTCGCTGATGAGCCCAAAAACCCTATTGCTGTTCACCACACATGAAAACCTTTATTCTGCAGAAAAGGGAACCCAGAAATAAAGCCATGCATCTACAATCATCTGATCTTTGACAAAGTCAACACAAAGAAGCAACGGGGAAAGGACCTTTTATTCAATAAATAGTGCTGGGATAACTGTCTAGCTATATGCAGAAGAATGAAACTGGATTCATACCCTTTACCATATACAAAAATTAACTCAAGATGGATTAAAGATGTAAATGTAAGACCTCAAGCTATATAAAAAAAATCCTAGAAGAAAACCTAGGAAATACCATTCTGGAAATTGCCTTTGGCAAATAATTTATGACAAAGTCTTCAAAAGCAATTGCAACAAAAGCAAAAATTGACAAGTGGGACCTAATTAAACTAAATCGCTCTGCACAGCAAAATAAACTATAAACCGAGTAAATAGACAACTTACAGAATGAGAGAAAATGCTCACAAATTATGCATCCAGCAAAGGCCTAATATCCAGAATCTGTAAGAAACTTAAATAATTCAACAAGAAAATAACAAATAACCCCATTAAAAAGCGGGCAAAGGAAATGCACAGGCACTTCTCAAAAGAAGACAAACAAGTGGCCAACAAACATGAAAAAACGCTCCACATCACTAACCATCAGAGAGATGCAAATCAAAACCACAATGAGATACCATCTCACACGAGTCAGAAAGGCTATAATTAAAAAGTCAAAAAACAACAGATGCTGGTGAAGCTGCAGAGAAAAGGGAACACTTATACACTGCTGGTGGGAATATAAATTCGTTCAGCCACTGTGGCAAGCAGTTTGGAGATGTCTCAAAGAACTACCATTCGATCCAGCAATTTCGTTACTGGGTATATATCCAAATGAAAATAAACAGTTATTATATCAGAATCTTGTGGAGGGAAAAATTAAAAAAAATAAATTGTCCTACCAAAAAGACACATGCACTTGTATGTTCACTGCAGCACTATTCATAATAGCAAAGTCATGGAATCAACCTAGGTGCCAATCAAAGATGGACTAGATAAAGAAAATGTGGTATATATACACCATGGAATACTACATAGCCATAGAAAAGAATGGAGTCATGTCCTTTGCAGCAACATGGATGCAGGTGGAGGCCATTATCCGAAGTGAATTAATGTAGGAACAGAAAACCAAATACCACAGGTTCTCACTTATATGGGGAGGTAAACATTGGGTACATATGGATACAAAGGTGGGAACAATAGACAGTGGGGACTACCAGAGAAGGGAGACAGGGAGGGGGACAAAGGGTGAAAAATGACCTATCGGGTACTATGCTCACTACCTGGGTGATGAGATCATTTGTACCCCAGACTTCAGCGTCATGCAATATGCTCATCTAACAAACCTGCACATGTACCCCCTGAATCTAAAATCAAAGTTGAAATTATATATTTTTTTAAAAACCTTTGTTCTGGGCCAAAGTGGTCTTATTAGAGGCGTTGTGGTCGCCCTGATGCAAACCATTAAGCCACTCAGGGCTGTCCAGGGCCTCCAGGAGCCCCCACCACACAACATCATCCCCAGACACTTGTTTCACCTTGCATGTTTCCAGGGACCCTGAGGGACCCTCATCATCAGCTTTTGTCCTAGCCCTAGAAGTCCAGTCTTCAACAGAGGACTGTGTCCATAACTCATAAAGTTTATGGGAGGATTCAGGGAACCAATACATAGAAAGCTGTTATAGTAGTGCCTTATTTAATGTGAGCCCTTAATAAATGTTAGCTAATGTCACTGTGCACTTATTATTTTTTGTTGTGTCTCACGTTCGCTGTGTCATGAAATTAAATGACCCTCCCCACAGAGGGTTGAGGAGTATAATGGTTGATAGCATGAAGTCAGAGAGACCTGAGTTTGAGTCTAGACTCTTCACTTACTAGCTGTATGACTTGGGGCATGTTTCTTAACTTCTCTTAGCCTCACCTATAAAACCAGTGTAATGATGTCTACTTTGATGTGTTGATGTGAAGAGTAAATAAAATAATGCAAGCAGAGGTCCTACCATGATACCTGTTATTTACTGAATGATTAAACAGTATGGAAAACATATAACTTGTAATCATTGTTTTTAGTAGTATTTCTGCAGGATATGCAATTTGGTTAGGGGATGGGATCATGCATGAGGAATGCCAAAACAGTGTAACAGACCATATATTTCCAAGGAGCTTCAAGGCAAGGGGAGCTGGGACATGGGACAGAAGGCAAGTGAGGCGTCCTGGAGGGATGGTGGGGCAGGACTGGGGCAGAGGAGTAGAGAGGTAGGTGGGGTGCACGTGGAGAATTCCATAGAGAGGTTCTGTGCTGGTTAATTTTGGAAAACACTCCAGTATTTAAGGAGGGAAAAAGATGAAGATAATTGTCTTAAAGATCCTTGTGCAAAATGGACTCTGGAATTTAGATGGGGAGTTACGACCACAGTGCATTCAGTCCTGATGACCTGGCATACATCTCTGACAAGGTGGGAAGTCTGCAAGATAAATGGCTCAAACTAAGCTCATTATGGGGAATTTTCCCAGGAGAAGGAGGAGTGAATATTATCAAATGGGCTTTGCCTCCCTCTCTCTTGAAGCAGCCCCTCCCTACCTCCAACCAACCAAGAGCAATGCTGAAAATGATTAACAATGGAATTGGTGCTTGGGGTTTGCCCATAGCAGCTGACGGGCCTGGGAACATTCTCAGGCATGCACCCCTCATTGGTCCAGGGCCACTTTGCACTGTCAAAGTCTCTCATCTCACAGGTGAGGAAACTGAGACCAAGTCGGGCAGGAATTTGGCAATGTGACAGAGCAAAGTGTTAACACTTTGCTGACTTCTCCAGTTCCCATTATGACTTGGTGATTAAGACCAGTATTGAATCCTTGCTCGGCTGCTTGTTAGTGGTGGAGTCAGAGACAAGTTCAATACATTCTCTGTCCCATCATTTTCTCATTTGTAAGGTGAGGACTCCCTCCCTCCTTCCTTCCCTCCCTCCCTCCTTCCTTCCTTCCTTCCTTTTCTTTTCTTTGTAGGATAACCAACTTATTTCTACAAACCCAGACCTCTCACTGGTTTCAGACTGAAAGTCCAGCATTTCAGAAAAACCCTTGCCCCCTGGCAAATCCTATTTGTTCAAAAATACCGCCTCACTTTGTTCTAGGTGCTACAGATACAGCAGTCACTCAGACAGAGAAGATCCCTGTTCTCAAGGAGCGAACGTTCTAATTCTATAAGGTGGAGAGAGACATGGATATGTTGATGAATCAGTAAAATAATGAACATTCTACAAATGTGAACTATGTATCAGGCTCTATACTATATGTTTTACACATATAATATCATTATATTTATAAACAATTCTAGGAGATAGATAGCAATACTAACCCCACCCCATTTTCCACTGTGAAAACTGAGGATTTGTTCTATTAACAAACTTTCCTACTGCTGGTCAAAGGCAAAGCATCTAAACCCCAGAGTTCCAACACACATGTTCTCAACCTTGATATGCCACCATCTCACGAATGGCAAGTGTAAGAATTAGACAGGGTGAGGATCATGTTGATTTTTCCTATCTCAGCTGGCTGGGGATCTCTTGTCCTACCCACTAGGCTGCGTGGCAGATGCTGTGAAGGGTCCTCTAGAGCGCATTTGCTCCAGCTCCAAGCACCAGTGCAGATGCTGGAGCCCTTCTTTGCAATGTCACTTCTATCCTAGAGAGGTTTAGTGGGGAAGCCTGATGACCACAGCAGCTTACCCAGCAAACAGGAAAGCAAGAGCACATGGAACCTGCGGGATTCCTGGAGCTCGGGAGTTCTTTGGCTTTGAGTGGCTTTCTGCCAAGAACGTCTACCAGCAGAAGATGGAAAATGGGTGATGCCCTAGTGCTGGCCAGAGTTCTGTGCCAAAAGAGAAAATGAGGCCATTCCTCTCAGACCTTCAGGGCTCCTGGCAGATGACAGGCTGATGAACAAGTACTGCCTGAGCTTGAGAAATATTTGCCGTTCTCAAGGCTGACTGTTCTGTCCATCTACCCAACCACATTTATATGAAACTTATGAACTAATATTGTTGGAAGAAACTTTATTCATCACCCAGTCCAAGGGTCTCATTTTACAGATGGAAATAAAATGACTTCTCAGGGTCATACAGGTTACCAAGGAAGAGACCACAAGGAAGAAACAGGTTACCAAGTCTGGGCCACAAATTGCTGAACTCAGAATGCACAGCAGTTCTGCAAAATGCACTGCTTCTCCTTGTGGCTGGACCTTACAATTATTTATAGGGAAAATGATTTCTCTCTTATACACTTTCCATGTTTATAGAAGGAGGCTGTGGGGCCGGGGAGTGGGGCTCAGGGTTCAGGGATCACTGGCTAATAATGTCAGTTGGAAAGGGAACTCTGGAAAGTGTTTGATATGTCAAACAGGTGTAAAAATGCTCTTAAGCCACCAATGAGGTGTGAGTTAGGGCAGAAAGAAGATAGTAGAGTATGAGAGGGGAGGAGGGGCGTCCTGAGTTCTCAGCCCATGCTAGACTACAGGGAGTTTGAGTCTTAGACTCCTGCTTCACCATTGACTCCATTCCCTACCTCATGCCCACCCAGCAACTACATGGCAGAAGATACAGGGAAGAGAGCCCCGGACTCACAGGCAGAATGGGCCAGGTTCAGATCTCAGCTTCACTGCCACCAGCTGTGTGATCTTCAGCAGGTCTGAATCCCTGGCCCCTGCTCCCATCCCTCTCTTTATTTCTGTTTCCTCATCTGCTGAAACATCTAAGTTTCAGGTTTATGGGGCAGGTCAGAGAGCAAGTCTACAAAATGCTTATCACATGGCCTGGCCAAGAAAGCCCCTAATAAATGGCATTTGTCACCACTGTTGGTGGGAACCTCACAATACCTGACTCTCCTGCACTGCGCTGTGAGGAACAGCCCAGCGTGCTCCTCCTGGGGTTCTCCCCAACCCTGGAGTGAGGCTTGCAGAGCGGGCTTGCAAAGCAGCCACACCCATTTGCTCTGCTGGCTTAAGCAGGAGCCAGAGTCTGCTCTCCAGGGGCTCAGGATGGTGTCTGAAACAGAACACATGGAGTCCGCCAGGTGTGGCAGTAACTACATTGACAAAACTCTCAGCACTACAAAGTGGATAAATTAGAGGGCAGAGAAAATGCATTCATGCTAGGAAAGCATTCGCCATACACTTCCTTTAACTGGGAGCCTCTCTAGAGAACTTAAAGTCAAATTTCCACCTCCCAAAATTCTATTTCCCCGTAGATATCTAGGAACTTGCCTAGTGTGAAGTGGATAACTGTGGAGACGCTGTCATCTTTCCCTTCATCCCATTTTCTCCCTTTCCTATGGGAATTTTTGATTTAATCCGGGCATTGTGGACAGCAGAGAGAGGATGCAAGTGCTGGTTGGCCATATGTGCTTGGACAAAGCTGCCTGCTGTCTCGGGCTGTTCAATTCACTGCTGCTGTGGCCTTGGGCCAGTGAGCACCCTGTCATTCTAAGTTACCCTCAACTGGAACCCAGACTCTGCAGAGGTGTGGTGGGCAGTGAAGGAAGAAGAGCAAGCTTCGTGATGACCATGCAGACACATGCCATGACAGTCACTTCTTGTTTAGTGCCTCCTGACCCCTACACTTCAGGCAGTCAGAGGTCAGAGATCCATCATGCCCACCTCCCAGCTTACTGTCTCTATACTCAGCTGAGCAGAAGAACTCAGGGCCAGTGTACCCAGGGCTGGGCTTCCTGCCTTCCCTGCTTCTCTGGCCACCATGCTGCAGGGTTGATGCCTCAGGCCTTTCCAGTGCATGGGCAGAGAAAGGGTTGAAGGCAGCAGATCTGGATTCAAGTCCAGCTATGTGACCTTTGCCTGGTTCCTTAACCCTTCCAATGCTCATTTCTCATCTGTAAGAGGGAGGTGGTCATATCTCCATACCAACTTGCACAAGGGTTGAATGAGGAGAAGAATATAAGCGCAAAATGCACTGAAGGCACCCCATGCATGACACTTCTCGTCCTCCCCTCCAGGGAAGGCCAATGGTAACCCAGAAATCACTGGACCATAGCATTCAAATGACCATTGAGTCCCTGCTTCTGGTGTACAGAACAAAGGAGAAGGCCACATAGAGCTTCTTTCTTCCAAGACTGCAGAATGGGGATTAGACCTCTCAGGGGAGTGTGGTGCAAGTCACAATAGCTCTCTTCTCCCGATAACTGTGGCCATGTGGCCTCGTCTGCTGCCCAGTGTGACCTCAGCCTCAAAGCCCCACTCCTACCTTAGAAAGGTTGGGTTGAGGATCCCCCACTCCACATTCTGGGATTGGGCACCACGTTCCCCTCATGGCTGGGGCAGCTCTGCTTCCATGGCCCAGGTTCTTCTAAATCCAATTCTGGGTGTCTACTTTCCAAATCCTCCCAGACTGGGGTTCAGTTTTGACTTGCCCTGGCCATTCTTGTGCCCATGGTATGGAGGCTGCAATCCATTGACAGCACTGTCACTCCCCTTTTCCACCCTGCTCTACCCAAGGCTGCGTGGGTGGCCACTGGATTTCACAATACTTCTTTGGCCAGTGGAAGATCTGAGCTATAGCAATATTTAAAAGATCTTAAGAAGTCACAAAATGTGTATGTGCCCCGCAATGACAAGACTTTTTTTAGATGCAGAAGGCTCTAACTCTAATAAATTATTATCCAAATACAGGAAATAATCACTGTTAACATTAGTAGATCTCTTGCAGTGATGTTTTGGGAGCCCCATAGACTATCATCGAAGTCAGGGGGTTCTTGAACTCGGTTAGGTGGTTGAGTACCTGAAAGTTTGTGTCCTCTTTACAGAAGCAAAAATACTGTTATTTAATTCAATTGAGAGGTCTAAAAATACAAATGTAGGTCACCCTATTTTTATGTTTTGAGCACTGTACTAAGTGCTTTATATGGAGTAGTTCACTTAATCCTCACAAAAACCTTGCGGAAGTATTACAGGTTAAGTCTCCCTTATCCAAAATGCTTGGGACCAGACGTATTTTGAATTTTGAACTTTTTTTTTGGGATTTTTGAATACATATTTGCATATAGATAATGAGATATCTTGGGGATAAGCCACAAGTCTAAGCACAAAATTTATATGTGTTTTAATATACCTTATACACATAGCCTGAAGATAATTTTATACAGTATTTTTAATAGTTTTGTGCATAAAACAAAGTTTGTGTACACTGAGCCATCAGAAAGCAAGGGTGTCACCATCTCAGCCACCCATGTGGACAACCTGTGGTTGCTTTGTGCCACCATTATTCCTGACTCTGAATTTTGATGCTACCTAAAGCAACCATTTTCTTATACTGATTCATGCATAAGTACTTAAGAGTAAAAAATAGGACAGACCATTAATACGGTGGGAAAAATCATGTATTCGGGGTAACCGAGCAGCACAGTAGCATCACCAGAATACCTGTATCTGCTATTAAGCAAGAGCAATAGCAAACAATGGCAGGCTGATTACCTGCCACTGTGTGCCTGCATTTTGTTGTGTGCCTGCATTTTGACTGTGACTCGTCACATGAGGTCAGGCACAGAATTTTCCACTTGCACTGTCATCTTGGTGCTCAAAAAGTTTTGGATTTTTTTTTTTTGAGACAGAGTCTCGCTCTGTTGCCCAGACTGGAGTGCAGTGGCACAATCTCTCTGCTCACTGCAAACTCAGTCTCCTGGGTTCAAGAGATTCTCATGTCTCAGCCTCCTGAGTAGCTGGGATTACAGTCATGTGCCAACATGCCTGGCTAATTTTTGTATTTTTAGTAGAGACAGGGTTTCACCATGTTGGCCAGGCTGGTCTCAAACTCCTGGCTTCAAGCGATCCTCCCACCTTGGCCTCCCAAACTGCTGTGATTACAGGCATGACCCACTGTGCCTAGCCTCAATTTTGGAACATTTTGAATATTGGATTTTCAGATTAGGGATGCTCAACCTGTGTGATCACTCACTAAGGTCTGAATGCTGGTGTCCTCCCAAAATTCTTATGTTGGAAGAATTGACTCTCCAATGTGAGGGTAGTAAGAGCTGGGTGTGAGCTTTGGGAAAGTGAATAAGCCATGAGGGTTACATTCTCATGAACAGAAATAGTGCTCTTATAAAAGAAGTTGAAGGGAACTGCTTCACCCTTTCTGCCATGTGAAGACACAGCAATAGGCACTATCAATGCAGCACAGAGGGAGCCTTTCCAGACACCTGATCTGCTGCTGCCTTGATCCTGGGCTTCCCAGCCTTCGGGACTGTGAGCAATACATTTCTACTGTTAATAAATTACCCAATCTATGGTATTTGTTAGAGCAGCCCAAAAGAATTAAGACACTATTATTTGTTGCCATTTCATAAATGAGCAAATTGAGGCTCAGGGAGGTTAGATCACTTGCCCAGTGTCATTCAGCAAGTTGGGAAGCAGTGAATCAAACCCAGAAAGTCAAATCAGTTTCGCTGCTTTTATTCCACAGTTCCTGCCCTCCCCTGCCTACCCCTGAGAATCAGAAGCAATGTCATCAGTTAGATATGACTATGTTATGCATAAGCCATATCAAATTACAGCCGTTAACACATGGGTTGACTCACACACAAACAACAGCTCAAATCTAGGCAAGAGGTATCAGCTGTTTGATAATATTTGTCCGCTAATTTTGCTAATTGTGTGCTCATTTGTCATCCTCTAGTGAGTGACAGCAGGCAAACAGTAGGAGGCACCAAAGGTTTAAGAAAAACATATGGGAGAAAAGCTTAACTGGGAGGCTTTTCTGTCTTAGCTTTTTGGTTTTTTTCCCCCTGCCAACTGGAAAAAAACCACAATTATTGCATTTCTGAGACAGAACTACCTGCTCTGGTTCATGGAAACCCATGTTATTTCAGAGATGCCACCCTGCTGCCCATTGGCGACCTTTCGAAGGTGCTCTCCTGGTGTTCTAACTCAATGTGCTGGACAGTTGTGCCTCTTCCCACCAGCATAGTGTCCTGGTACGGCAGGGACTCTGCAGCGTGGGGGGCAGGGGCACTTCAGGGGTGGGTGGTAAAAGCTGACCAGAACTGTGCAGCTCTGTTGTGGTTCCCACCCTTTGTGGAGAATCACTGCTCTAAGGTGACCCATGCCTCCTCCCATATCCTCTACACCTATGCTCTTTATGATATGACCCACTCTTTGGTTGGACTAGGGTCAACAGCTGGCCCAAGTGCAGCCAAACCATAGACTGGGCAGGAAGCAAGGGCTCTGAGCTTCACCTCAAAAGATGAACTGTGCCTGTCAGACCCCTCTCTTGGAAATGTAGTGTCAGGGCTCCGGAGGGGTGGAGCTTCTGCACTTCAGGGGTACATGGGGGTGAGCTGGGCAATGGCCACAATGAACCAGAGTTCTCGAGGTGCAGGAGCCATGTGGGAGTCCAGGGAGTCAGCGGGTGCCAGCAGGAAAATGGAGCAGATCCACAGATGGAGGAGGGGATGTCAGGGGAGAGATGAGACTCTGAGGGACTAACCAGGCAAAATAGAAGTTTGCAGCAAGTAATAGTAGTAGAAGCCTGAAAGTCTGTTAGGTAACCGAGGCTGCAAACATCAGCCTTTCCTGCTCCTGGCCCGTTTCTGGGAGGTCTGCATGTAGGGAGGCGCTCGTTCTTGGATTCTCATGAAATTTTCCTTCTTCTTTCTTGGCATCTTTATCATGACCCACCCACTCGCATGCTTTTACTCAAACCAGATAGCACTGCCTTAACCAGGGTGCACAAGAACGCTATTTGAGTTGCTGGGGCCTAAACTGCCTCAGTAAGTGAATCTCTGCCTCCCCTCAGACCCCCCATTGGATGGTCAGAATCTGCAGGAGACTGGCTCAGCTCACCATTCCACTGTTTTGTTCCCTCATTAGCTCTGTTCCCCAGTTAGCTCGCCAGCCCCTTTGCCTTGCCCTGCCCTCCCAGCCACTGCCCCCGACCGAGCTGTTTACATGGCTTTCTACATTAGGTTAGTGCTCACTCCCAAGTTCCCAACCTCCTACTTGACTGTGTCTCCCACTGTGATCCTTTCCTTAGCTCCTGCGGAGCCTGGGCTCATTTACATTTCACTCACCAACCTCATTTAGGTAATTTTCTACAGTTAATTCAACGTTCACCAAGTAGCCCTGGATTGCATTTGCATTCATCACCTTCTGGGGCTCTGAAGCATTTCAGAGTATACAGGCTTCCCTGCTGAGATCCCCACTTACGCAAACGCAACAACAAATCTCGTGGGCTCTGAGCAGAAGATCCCGCTGCAGGGTCAGCCCAGTATTCTCTTCTGACAGCAGCCTCAGGAGGACAGGAAGTGCCCTTTGTCCTGCCAGTCTTGTCCAAGGAGGAGGTGCCCTGACTCTGGCCTTCCTGTCTCCTATTAATTCATTGTGAATCCATCTCTAGGTTTACTGCCTGCCGTGCAAAGCATTTCCTTCACCTTAGCCAAAATAGCCTAAGCTTCAGGGGGTGCCATCTAGTGCCTGTATTATTACAAAGCTTGGGAAGTAGAAAATATACGATAAAAGGCTTCACAATATCAGAATTGAAAAGGTGTGGTTGCTTGTGAACACAGTCACAGAGAGCCCTTGGCTCATAACAAGCTACTTCTTGGTCTCCACTTTGCTAACTGGTGGTGGGCGTCATGGCTATAAGACTCTCAAACCAGCACAGCAGGCCTCACTGTCGATGGGTGCTGTACAGGACAAACTTTTTGCTTTAGTCTTCTACAATTGTTCAGGTTAGTAAAAGAAAACTTGTGATAATAGAAGTTTGCAGCAAGTAATAGTAATAGAAGTCTGAAAGTCTGTTAGGTAACCGAGGCTGCAAACATCAGTAATTCGTCTTTATCCGCAAAGCAGGGAAAACGGGACTCTATCACTTACGGGTTTCCCCTGCCTTTGTTGTATTTCAGGAATTACTGGAAAGAAATTGTCTGACCTGGCTCCTTTTGTGTTTCATTTGGGCCTCAAAGGCCGTATATTTGTAAGAAGAATGTCACTGTCTATGTCAAGCTTTCTGGACAGAATTCTAGAAATTCACCTGTAGCTTGTTCTTATTCCATACTGTGCCACCCTTTCACAACCCTGGTTCAGTTTGTTTTAAGATTTTCTATCCAGGATCTCAGTGGCTGAGATGTTAGTCCCCATCGTGCTTCAGGTAGTAGAATAAGGGCTGGAGACCAGAGCCTGGGCCCACCATCCCACCATCGCTGTCTGTGAATATGCCTCATGCTGTGAGCAACACAATAAAGTTTGCTTCAAACAAAAGTATCATTTCCCTGTAGGAAGCCAGGTAAAAGTGCTGAGAAGTACCACTATAACAGTTCCTTCTCTCTCTACCCTGAGGGATGAAGCTCCTGCACTGCAGGGGTGTGTCGAAGTGAGCTTGGCAGTGGCCCCAGTGGGCCAGAGTTCTGGGGGTACAGGAGCCATGTGTGAGTCCAGGGAGTCAGCTGGTGCCAGCAGGAAAATGGAGCAGACCCACAGGTGGTGGAGGGGATGCCAGGGGAGAGCCGGGGCCCAGATTTTACAACTCCCTTGTTTCTTTGGCTGCCTAGTGCAGATTTATTTATTTGTTTGTTTGTTTGTTTGTTTATTTATTTATTTTAGACGGAGTCTCTCTCTGCCGCCCAGGCTGGAGTGCAGTGGCACGATCTCGGCTCACTGCAAGCTCCGCCTCCCAGGTTCATGCCATTCTCCTGCCTCAGCCTCTCTAGCAGCTGGGACTGATGCAGTTTTACTTTGCATCTCTTCCTATGTAGCAGGATGAGCCGCAGAAAAGAACCCCTCAGAAACCGAGTTGTGGAAGGAAAGGGCTTTATTCAGCTGGGAGCACCGGCGGACTCACGTCTCCAAAAACCGAGCTCCCCGAGCGAGCAATTCCTGTCCCTTTTAAGGGCTTACAGCTCTAAGGGGGTCCGTGTGAGAGGGTCGTGATCGATTGAGCAACCAGCGGGTACGTGACTGCGGGCTGCACGCACCGGTAATCAGAACAGAGCAGAACAGGCCAGGGATTTTCACGATGCTTTTCCATACAATGTCTGGAATCTATAGATAACACAAGCAGTTAAGTCAGGGGTTGATTTTTAACTACCAGGCCTGAAATGCAGCGCCGGGCTGTCTGACTACTGATTTCACTTCTGTCTTTTCTTTAACTCCTACTTTTTCTTTGAGGCAGAAATTGGTCATAAGACAATATGAGGGGTGGTCTCCTCCCTTACCTCTAGCTTGATGCAAAGGAGGGCTGGTATCCCTGCTTTAGCAAAGCACAGCGCTTCTCCACCCCTTAAGCTCTCTTAGGCAGCTGACAGCAGCTTATCAAACACTTGTTCTGTGTGTTGTCAACTGGGAGTGTTCTCAGGTTCCTCTAAGCCACCAGCTAGCCTGAAGGTGCAGTCTGGGAAAAGGACTGCTTTGCTGAATCCCTCTTTATGAGCTAGAAGGGCCTTCTGAACATGGGCCAGGCTCCATCAGTTTCAGAGCGGGAGGTGGTGGAGTGTATCTACTCAAAACTGCATGGGGAATGAGCGCTGTTCGGCCGTTCTCAACATTTCCTTTAAGAAAGTAATGTTGGCGCTGATTCCAGTAGACCTTTAAAAAGGCTCTTTATTCAAGTCTTAGAACTGATTAGATGAGAGCCATGCTGGGTCTGTCGGGCTCAATTTATATCCTCTCTACTTCTGGGCTCAATTTATATCCTCTCTGCTTCCCAAGAGGGAGCTGAGCCAGGCCAGGTAGGTTCCCCAGAATAGGCAGGGTCAATTCCAACGCCACCTTCCCAGGGTGATCTGGAATGGGTTCTTTCTCCCTCTCTCTCCCTTCACCAGGTGCTCCTGCAGAGGAACCTGGTGTCTTCCCCACCCCAGGCTGCAGGAGCTCTCTGTTCAATGCAGTATCCACTGGCCACATGTGGCTTTGAGCTCCTGAAACATGGCTGGTCTAAACTGAGATATGCTATAAGTGTACAGTACACATCAGATTTTGAAGACAGTATGACAAAAGGTGAAATATGTCATGAATATTGTTTATATTGATTGCATGTGGAAATGATAATACTTTGGATATATGAGGCTAAATAAAATATAGTATAAAAGCCAGGCATGGTGGCTCATGCCTGTAATCCCAGCACTTGGGGAGGCTGAGGCTGGCGGGTCACTTGAGGTCACCTGAAGTTGGGAGTTCGAGACCACCCTGACCAACATGGAGAAACCCTGTCTGTGCTAAAAATACAAAATTAGCCGAGCATGGTGGCACATGCCTGTAATCTCACCTATTTGGGAAGCTGAGGCAGGAGAATTGCTTGAATCCAGGAGGCGGAGGTTGCAGTGAGCCAAGATCATACCATTGCACTCCAGCCTGGGCAACAAAAGCGAAACTTTGTTTCAAAAAAAAAAAAAAAAAAAAAAAAAAAAATATATATATATATATATATAGTATGATAAATTAATTTCCCCTGTTTTATTTTTAAAATATGGTCACTGGAAACTTTAAAAGTGCCTTTGTGGCTTGCATTAAATTTCTATTGGGCAATGCTGTCCTAGAAGCATTTTAGACTGCAGAGGTTTAGAGATTTACAGCTGAGACTCTGGGTGAAGAGCAGGAATGAGAAAGATCAAGAAGGCAAAGATTCTGCCACTTCTCTGCTCAAAACTTTCTAAATTTTGATTCCTTCTGATTCCTTCCTCAAGACCTCTGAGGTCTCTAAGGCCCTGGAGGCCTTGCACAGGCTGGTCCATGTCCTCCCACCCTCGTATGTCTCCTGGAGCTCCAGTCAACCTGACCTTGCTTTTCAGCATAGCCAGCCATGCCCATCACAGGGCCTTTGCACATGCTGTTACTTCTGCCTAAAACACTCTCCCCTGGACAGTTGCATGCTTAGAAAGTCACCTCCTCAAAGAAGCCATCCCTGATTCACTTCCTCAATCCCAGTCAGAACCAATCACTATCCCTTCACCCTGCTTTGTTTTTCTTTAAAATTCTTATTACTCCCTGACATTGAATTGCATGTTTACTTTCTGTTTCCTCCAGACAGGGAGCCTCTGTCTCTTTTATTCACCGCAGTGCCTGGCACATACTGGATACTCAGAGAATGCTTGTTCAATGAACACAAACATCAATGCTGCAAGGCCAATGAGATTCAGCCATTTTTCAAATGAATAAGCTCAGGCTTGGAAAGAGGTGAGTACGGGACAGAGCAGGAATTGATTTCAGCGACTGCACCGAGCTGTGAGGGACAGTGGCTGGGTGACCTGGGAAGTCACCTCTTCTAGGACCTCATGCACTGGGAATGTGCCCTAATCCAGGGGATGAGGACCAACTTAGCAGGGAAGAAAATAAAACCAAGAGAAAAAGGCCACTCTGACTTGCTCTGGACATTTCCTGTGGGAAACAGATGTCAGGATTAAAAGGAAAGAGCAGGTGTGAGGTCTCACTCGTTCATACTCCGGCATCACAGAATCCTTTGAGGAGGCACGTGGGGCCAACCTAGACAGGCTATCAATAATCAAGGTCCTTCCAGATGCACGAAACAGGCCTTAGAGCCTCAGAGCTGCAGGAGATTTTCATGCCTGCCCCTTGGGCACATCCCAAGATCAGGAGCTCACTCCTTCCAAGGCAGCCGAGCTGTTAGTTTTTCTGTTCACTTTAATCAACAGAACGTATTTGATTCTTTCGGGTCAGCAGCGACTTTCTTGTAGTTGATGTTTTTCAGACACTTGTTCTAGTTTTGGACTTCTGGGGGCACATTGAACAGACTAATTCCTGCTCCCTAGATCAGCCCTTCTGAGACAGAAGGTCACGGTGGCTGAGAAGCTGAACTTCCCAGGAAGCACATTCTCGGCAGGCCTGCCCTGTGATCTCACCTGCAAGGGGACAATTTGGAAATCAAGTATTATGGCTTAGCAATTCGGGGGCTGATTCTCTGAGGCCACAGCCTTCTCCTTGCTCACCCAGAGTAATGCCAGTTCGAAACGGCCAGCCCGACTTCTCTTCTGACTTCCAAACTCAAACTTGCATTTTCTTGTTACTTTAGCAACATTGATTCAAGCACTTGTGTGTGCCAGGTATGATGCCACACCTTGAGGATAGAATAATGAAGAAGATATAGCCCCTGGTCTCGGGGAGTTCATAGTCTTTGTGGAAAGGCTGACAAGTCCACAAGGTATTAAAACCCAGCAGGATCCAGGCTGGAATGAAGGCAACTCTCAAGGGCACAGGCCGTGGGCACCGAGGAGGACCTGACACACCCCGTGGGATGCAAGGAGGACACCCTGGAGGAGGCAAGGCCAATGCTGCCAATTTCCCATTGCCTACCGGGGAGTTCAGTCTGTAAGTCCCACAGATGCTTCTAGTGAAACCCATTTGTCATCTTAATCAAGAAAGTTCAAAATCATCATCTCATGCTTTCTTTCCACCTTAGCCTATCTCCAACACACTTGCATACACCCACATGGGTGCCCATACATGCAAACAGAGTCACTTCTATCTCCTTGCCTAATCTTTCTCAAACCTGTCCCTCCCCCTCAAGCTTTCCAGCTCCTATCAATTCTCACAGACCTGTAGTGCCATACTCCCCACTGCTCCATCCCTCTGCCACCCCATTCTCCACTGTGCTGGAAAGGTCCTCATACATACTGACATGCAAATGACCATGGATCCCTATTTCCAGCAGGCAAGACTCCCCAGAAGCTGGCTGTCTAGGGCCCTGGGCAGCCTGTCCAGCACCATCCCTGTGAGCCCTGCCTGCAAGCCTCAAGCGCCAGCCATGCTGGCATGCTTGCCCTGCCCCAAACAATCATGTCACACTCGTTCCCACCTCTGTGCTCCTTTACACACACTGCCCCCTACATCTGGAACACCCTGCCCTTTCTTTTCAGCCCCCAAACCTCCTAGTCATCCTTTAAACCCACTCAAATGTCACCTTTTCTGTATAACCTCCCTCGGACAGTCAGTTGCTCTTACTGAGAAAAGAATGCTGTGCCATCATAGCCATTATCATCAGCCCACTAGCCAAGGGGCTTCTCCCCACCTCCAGGCTGGGACTCTCAGAGAGCAAAGACAGTGTGTAATTCATCTGTGAGCCCCAGAACATAGCAGAGAACTTAGTAATAACATTAATAAACAATGCTATTATTTATTAATGATGAATACAACCAGCAATAGCAATGAATAAAAATACTGATGAATAATAAGGAATAGCAATGAAAATACCTGGCATCATCATGATGATATTACCATCCATGGTGCCAAGCCCCTTGCTAAGGACTCTATAAGAAAGATCTCATTTAATCTCTCGGTATCCTCTAAAATCCTGCTCCCACATTGTGGATGAGGAAACTACAGCTCAGAGGGTATAAATCCCTCTCCTGGGGTCATACTTTTTGTAAACAGCAGAGACGAGATTTGAAGCCATGTCCATCTGATCTCCAAGCTTGTGCTGTGCGCTTTAGCCACTGTGCTTCTCTGGGACACAAAAAGGGATACTGAATTAATTACCACAGGTGCTAGAGAGCCAGTTCCTCAGAACACCTTATCTGCTGCAATTCCTGTGACCTTTCAGTATCAACTCAAAGTTATCAATTAAGCTCTGTCTCTAGGGAGGTGAGACAGGGCTCTCATTCCATGAGATCTGGCTCTGCCAATCTCAGGCTGTGTGATACTGGGCAGGTGACTTACCTCTCTGGGCCTCAGGCTCCTCATCTATAAAATGGGGACATGCAAGTCCCTAACCCAGAAGGTCAGTGTGGGGATCGAACAGGAGATAGCACATGAAGAGCACAGGTTGAGTTTGTGGGGTGCGGGGGCGTTTGGTAGGACAGTCAGTGGTTTACCAAACCAAAGTGCAAGCTGAAAGTTTCGGACCCCAGGGATCAGTGAAAGAGCTTAAAGAGCCCAGTCTCAGGGATCAGTGCCCACAAAGGTCTGGAATTCTGGATGTCAGGATAAAGAGAGTTGACAGGGAGACTGAGATTCACCCTCACCCTACACGGGGATGTTTTCCTCTGACCCCTTTTAGCTTCCTTTTTTGGACTGCACGTGGTCTCAGAACGGGGCCTCCACAGCCCAGGCGAGGTGGTCTGTGGACATGGCTCCTGTAAGTGCCCACCAGACAGAGTGTGAGGCAGCCAAGCTGAGGTCGGCACTGGAAGAGCCCAAGAGAAAGCTTGGGAGGTCCATGGTGGCCACTGAAGTCCAGAAGACAAGACAGACTTAGGCAGGCCAGAAGGGAAACTACTCCTCTGTGAGGGGCTGGGAGGACAGAGGAGGAGCCCAGGTGTCCTGTGGAGAACTGAATTTCAGAAGAATTTCTTGGGGGCTCTGGAGCGCCCCGCAGAACCACCTCAAGGCAAGAGCAGGAACCAAGAGGCCTCTGAGTTCTTGCTGTATGACTTGGAAAAATGTTCCGCCCCTCCCTGGGCCTCGTTTCCTCCACTGTATGATGAGGGAGTGAACTCTGAGATCACGTCTATATCGATCACCATCATTCCATGTGACCTGAAGAGACAAGCATGAACACATCGCTCTAAGCCTCAGTTTCCTCATGTGTACAGCAAGACTAGAAATGGCTGTCTGTTAAGGCTGCTGTGCGTACAGTGCCTGGGAGGTAGCACACAGTAGGTACTCAATTAATTCCCACCCTCCACCTCCACCAAGCCCAAGCGGAGAGAGTTAGAGTCCTCCTGTCTGTCTCTCTCCCTTCCTCAGTGACTCTGGGAGGCTGGGGTTTTCACCCACTATGCCAGCCTAGCAACTGGCAACTGGGCCATCCCTGCTGGGAAATGCCTCTTTTTGGAGATGAAGTCTCACTCTGTCACCCAGGCTGGAGTGTAGTGGTGCAATCTTGGCTCACTGCAAACTCCGCCTCCTGTGTTCAAGTGATTCTCCTGCCTCAGCCTCCCAATTAGCTGGGATTACACTCACGTGCCACCACACCCAGCTAATTTTTGTATTTTTGATAGAGATGGGGTTTCGCCATGTTGGTCAGGCTGGTCCCAAACTGACCTCACGTGATCTGCCCACCTCGGCCTCCCAAAGTGCTGGGATTACAGGTGTGAGCCAGCATGCCCGGCTGAAAATGCCTCTTTTGAATCAGAGCTCTTTTTTTTTTTTCCCCATCAGAATGTAATGTATACTCATTAACAGAGAAACTGGAGCATATTGGAGAAAAGAAGAAAAATAAATCACTTGTGACTCTACTAACATTTCATAGCATGCCTTCCTTTTTCTATGCAGAGTACTCCTTAAGTGGGTAAGGTCATTTTCAATATTCAATGTCATTTCCTGGTTTCTTCTACTTAAGGCTATCACAAACTTTCCTATGTTGGTATAAACATATTTTTAATGGCTGTCCTGAGATTTCCCTAGCCAGCCCTATCCACATTGCCAGGTATTCATGAAGTTTCCAAATGTCCAGTCTTCTAAAAGCAAAGAGCCACGGATATTTAATTCATTGAGAGTTTTGTTTGTTTGTTTGTTTTCCCCCACTGCTTTTAGAAAATTTTTTTTTCTCTTAGCACAAACTGCCAGAAGTAGGCTTCTGGTACAAAGCAGATGATGACTTTTAGGGCTGGCAATTTCTGTCCTTTGTGGGCAACATTGCCATTAACTTACTGATGACTTGGGGTTTCCAGAGTCCTGGATAAAGAAGAAAGGAGTTTCCTAGGGAACAAGCCTAAATCTCCTGGGAAGAATCAGTGAGAGCCTTTAAGTTTATTTCCTCCTTTTCTGGCCTGGTTTGAATAGAGCCCCAGGGCAGGAGGGTTTTTCTGAGCTACCTGAACTTTAAATACCTGCCTGGGGCTTCCTTTACTGAATCTTATATTTTCCTCCCTGTGTTATGCCAAGGTCTGGGAGTTTGGAGGGATGCCCTAAACGGGACAAAAAGGGGTTACTGGGGATCAGGGAGTAGGAAGCTGGGCCAGCACCAGAGCCCCTGATTTCTTCAGCTGGGGGCTCCCTCCTTATCCACCTTCAAGTTCACTGCCCCCTACCACACCCAATGTCCCTGATATTCCCTCCCACCAACGCTAGAGGCTGTTTCCACCATGGCTAGACTCTGGTGACAGTCCATTTAGCTGGTGAGGGCTCTGAACCCTTACCAGCTCCTACTAGCTCCCTTCTTCTGGAAAAGGTGTCATGTTCCCTATATTCCCAGTAATAATATCTGAGATTTATAAAGCACTTGTCCTTAATACTCTGATAAACTTCCCTTGTATCATCTCCAGTCATCCTCACAACTTCCTCCAGATGAGCTCTATTTGTCAAGGGAGAAATGGAAGACTTAGAGATGGAGAGTTATTTGCCCAAGGCAAACAATTAGCATAGGGTGGAAGTGGGATTTGATCCAGGAGGGCTACTGTGTATGCAGTGCCTGGGAAGTGCCCAGCCTAGGAGCTGGCCATCAGTAGGTGCTCAATTAATTCTCACCCTCTACCCACCTCCACCAAGCCTGAGAGGGGACAGCTAGAGGCCTCCTGCATGGCTGTCTCCCTGCCTCAGTGACTCTGGGAGGCTGGGGTCTTTACCCACTATGCCAGGTGGCAACCTGATCATTGGACCATCCCTGCTGGAAAGTGCCTCTGTGCTCAGACTCTGGCCTCTGCTCTCTCCCCATTGACCGGGGTCAATAACCATGCAGTACAGACTGTGCTTATTATAACTTCTGTGGGCACTGCCCGGGGCCAGCCCTCCCACCCAGGCAGTTCCTGCTGGCCTAGGTCCTCCTTTGAAGGCTTACTTTTCATGGTCCCTGCCAGCCCATTGTTGGGGCCTCACCCCTTCTTACTGCCCAGACATGGGATGGGACAGAAATTTCTGTTGTTCTCCATAGCTGTTGTCACAAGATAGTAAAACTATAAGCTTCCTTAAATATCACAAGGACATCTCCCGTTTGCCTCATATTCAATATAGAGTCATGCCATGATTATCTCATTAATCCCCCCAATTGCCCTGTGCAGTAGAGAAAACGAATCAGAGAGGTCAAGTAACATTCTCAAGGCAGTACTGCCCATTGGAAATTGAATCAGAACTAGAAACAATATCTCTTGGCTCTAGGCCTGGTGATTTTTCTTTTATTCAATCTCTTGTTTTTTAGAAGAGAGCTGAAGTTCAGAGAAGGGAAGAGGCTATCTAAGGTCACAAAGCATGTCAGCTGAGAAAGCCTGGAACTAGACTCCTCTAATTCCCTGGATCCCCTGCATAAAAAGCAAACAGAGCGTGAATGAATCAAGAAAATGCACACTACAGAGTGCAGGCTCTTCCAAATCCTGGAGACAAACTGGCTGTACTGGATTTCTACAGTGGAGTCAATTCCACAGAGCTGGTGTGACCCACTGTGGACTCCAGGGCTGGGATGAAGTACCACAGGATGGTGAGCAGGCAGCTGGAACCAGACCGCTGTGGCAACAAGGTGTCCATTCACTGTTGCCCACGGCAGAGCAGGGGTGTGGCCAGCAATGCTTTCCTCTGAATCTGGCTCATGGGACACATGATTTCTGTCCCTGCTGCAGTAGCTCCCTTTAGACACAAGTTGTAAATAGGGCATTTGGGAAAGGTGGTGCTGCTGGTTACTGTTGAGGAGACCAGGGTTCTTATTTGCCCAGAGGAAGGCCAGGGTATCGGTCATCTCATCAAGGTGACTCCTGAGAATTTGGATGTGAATAATGGCAGGGATAAAAGAAAGAAAAGGAGGAGAAAAGGGCCTACCCTGCGTACTCATGCATCCTCTCCTTTAATTTCTCACCTTGACCTAGGAGAGCAATACGCTACTCTAGGTAAGCCATTGTCCAAGGTCATGTGGTCAGCAAACAACCCTAACTAGGCAGCGTGCCCAACTCCGAGGATCATAAGGTTTCTATTCCACTTCCTGTCCCCACCTAACCAGTAAGTTGGCCCTTGGGCTTATCATGAGTGAGGACTTCAGACTGGTTCACTCCATGATTTCTATGGTAATCTTTAACATATTCTGGGTTCCCTGTAGAAGCTGGTTGGCCAGACTGTGCCATCCAGCTGCAACAGCAGTTTCCAGAGGGATCACCCTGAAGCATCTCTATCATCTAGTGCTGCTCTTCACTGAGCAAGGCCTAATCTCAGGATTGAGGACCCCACAGTGGGCCTAAAGGCAGAGCATGGATAAATTGCACTGTGGTTTCAGATATGAGTGATACATAACCCCCTCCCTCCCTCCTTCACTCCACATCCATCCCTTCCTTCCTTCCTTCTTTCCTTCCTTCCTTCCTTCCTTACACATTAAATTGAACACAACAATGCACTGTAGTAGGTACAGTGCTGGAGATAAAACAGTTGACAAAAATATAGTTCCTGGCTTCCCAGAGCTTGGATCCTAGCAGGGGACATAGTTATCTCTCACATAATCACAATACACAAATCTTTGCAAATTGAGACAAGACTGTTAAGCAAAACACAGAGTATTTTAAAGAACACAATGGGGGATCTGATCTAGTCTTGGGGTGTCAAGAGAAGCTTGGTGTTTGACCTGAGACTCAAAGGATGGTGGTGATGCACTGTAGGGCATATGACCGCCCCGTGGCCTGCTCCCTAGAAAACAGAAAGAAAGCCAGGGCAGCTGTAGCCCAGACGGAGTGGGCCTGAGGCCAAGCACAGCCTCCAGGGCCAGGCTGAGGTGTTTAGATTCCATTCTAAGTGCGGTGAAGAACTATCTAAGTGCTCAGGCAGCGACTGGCAGTGTCAGATGAGCAGCAGGAAAAGATCTTCCTGGATGTTGTGCAGAGTGGAGAATGAGGGGCCAAGAGCTGATGCAGCATGACCAGTTAGGAGTCTAAGTGCAGGAGCCTAGGTGAGCTCAACTGTGGTGGAAACTCATGAGGGGCCAGACGAGCCTCCAGCCCTGCCAGGGAGTCCTAGTGAGTGGTTCAGGGATGAGCAGGAAGGACACTTGCAGCCCACACAGACAGGAGAGTCTTTCAGATCATCCCTCTCCCAGACGCCCTCAGAAGAAAAGCTTCAGATCTGCCCCATCCCAGTGGGATCCTGCAGGATGAACCCAGAGTGGTGGCAAAAAGGGTGCAGGCACTGCAAGGGAGGCAGCCGTACTGCACTACCAGGGGCTTCCCCAGGGCTGAAAAGGAACCCCACCTTATCCATAGCAGCATCCTGGAGCCCAGGTGGCTCATCCCAAGTGGGACCCCAAGAGAAAGGCCAATAGAGACATCATCTGCTCTCAGTCCCAGACTTAGAGATGCAGCTATATCCAATGGAAGTAGATAGAGGGAGCTGGGGGTCTCTGGCTCAGCATCTTCTCCACTGGGGGCAAAGAAACTGGGACAGCAGCAGTGGTCCAGAGAGAGGCCAGCCCACAGAGCAGTGGCTATTTCTATCTATGTTGGCTCAGAGTGGAGCAATGAAAGAATAAAGGAATGAAAAGGAGGTCAAAGGGAGTTTGGGAGGGGATCCCCTGTGCTTCTGCCTGGGACATAAGAGAGAGGTTTGCTCATGGCTGGAGTCTGAAATCAGAAAGCACTTGCACCAGGACAGGGCAGGATGCTGCTGTGAGCCTGCAGCTTCCACTTTAAGCCAGAGAAAGGCTGTTTGGCTGCTGTTACTACCACCCCGGGGCAACTCAGGCTAGGAAGGCAGGTGTTGTTGGGGAGATATATAACACAACATTCCCACAGAGCGTTTTCAGGGCTAGAATATACGTGTACCGGGAACAAATAAACGAGGTATCTGGACAAGACTGGCAGGAAGCTAGGTGCTTTGAGTAGGCTGCAGGAAGAGACAACAGCTGGACCAAGTTTCCAAGGACAGATGAGAGGTCGCCAGTTGGGGAAGAAGGGAGAAGGCAGAAAAGGTACCAAAGTTGCGAGGAGTAACTTAAGCAATGCCTGAAAGCCCCTGGAGAGCTGGGGAATCCAAGTGTCACAGTCACAGCTTGATAGGTGGGTTCCTGCAGCAGCAGCATCACTATTCACCTCCTTCTCATGCTGAAGAGGGGAACTCAACCCCTCCTAGGCCCAAGTAGGGATGTGCCCTCTATCCTAGAATGTCTTAGAACCTGTGGAAGTCACCTAATGATGGAGGCCTTATTTCACAGATGAAGAAATTGAGACCCAGAGAAGTGCAGGGTCTAACTCAAGTTCACACAACAGCCAATGGAAGAGCCAAGGCCAGAACTCAGACCCTCTGCCTTCCACCTCCTTTTCTCCTTTACAGAAGCTGCCCTTTTTCTGGTTGGGTGACATGAGAGTGTGCGGGAGGCAGGAATTGGACAGGGCACACGAAGTCACTGATTAATGAGTGGTGAGTCATCTCTCAGTGATAATCACTATGGAAACGAGTGGCAGAGACAAATTGGGGCCCTGAAGTCAGGGGTCTAGTTTTTTCATTCCTGACTTCACATTTTGCTAGAGGAAGATGGTGTGTGTTGCTAAGACATGGTTTAAGTTGAACAGCAAGGGCTGTACTTAGCTTCATCAGCCGAGCAATGAAGGCCAGCTACCATCCCAGTTTTAGAAAATGTGCTCTGTGTCACAGGACTGACCCCAAAGTCCCAAAGAGGAACTTGCCTTTAGGGCTTTCAGACCTATGCTCTCCACAGTAATAGTTGGGTATCACCATTCCAGAAGCATTCGTCCTTCCCAAAGTCTCAGGATGTTAACTTTGCAAAAGATCTTAGAAGGTGTAAGTTCCGACCTTTTATCTTCCAAACAAAATCTCATTTAATCTCATGCAACTATGAGGTAGGTACTATTGTACCTATTCTGTATATGTGAAAGCTAAGGCCCAGAAAAAGGAATGATCTAAGATCACACAATGAGGAAATGATAGAATGGAACTTCTGAATTCTGGACGAGCCTTTTATTCTTTTATTATCCAGTACAGTAAAAATATAAGGTATTAGTCTATCTGTCTTTGCCCCTGCAAGGGGGAAAGAGGAGAAGCGCAGGGAAGAAGGTTGATATTGTAATGGAGAAACCGCAGAATGAGAACCCACTTCCCCATCTGCCCTCATGTCCGCACTTCATCTTTGAAAACTCCCTATACCGCATGTTTCAAGAGAGACACAAAATGGGAGACAACGGAAGAAATGAAGAGAGAATATGATCAGGTGACATTTGCATGGCACTTTATAGTTTGCAGAGTGCTTCCACAGCCCTCCCTCCATTTCATCCTCAAAACAACCTTGCCCAGTAAGAGCAGGTGCAAGTACCTCTGTCCCAATTTACAGTTGAGGCTGCAGACCCTAGAAGGTTAACAGACTTGGATTCAAATTTAAACCTCCTGACACCAAATCCTGCAGTTTTTCCATTTACATTGACTTTCTTTTGCCTGTGCACGAGTGAAAATATAGGAGAAAGAAGCCAACATTCATTGAATGATAATAGTAAAAAAAAAAAAAAAAAAAATGGAGAAAATAACCACAGCTGCTAGCTCTCATTGTGCATCTGCTGTACACACCAGGCCTTGTGCTAAATACATCACATGCACCTGATCTCTTAATCCACACACCACCTTGGTAGGGTGAGTATTGTTATCCCCGTTTTATTGGTGAAGAAGCTGAGATTCAGGGAGTTCTGTGCTTGCAGTTTCTTCTTCTGATTCACCCTCGGAGTGTTTTGTTTCCTTGTAATTCAGTTATTTTTAACTATAAAAATTCTTAGAGGTTTATTTGTGGAAACCACTTGCGTCTGAGGATGAAGGCGGATCCTAGATAGGATTTGTGTCAGCTTTTGACAACCTGAGTTACTCTAAAAGAAATTCTTGTCTTGAGGTTTTCAGATCACTCAGGTGGTATCACAAGTTCTGTCTGAAAACCTGTATAAGGACTTGCTGATGTTTCTGAATTTTCAGCTGCAATTTATTGACCACTTCCACTCAATGCCTACATTTAAGATTGTTTATTTTCCTTGCACTTCCCATGGAGAGATAATATCTGATTCATTTGTATCCTGAGGGTGTGACCCATAGGGTCTGAGCTTTCTGTGGAGAAGAACTCCTATGAGACTACCCAGCCCTGGGCAGCAACAGCAGGAGAAACAGCGCCAGTTTAGCATGAACTTTCATATCCCTATCTCATTAGCCTCAGGAAGGAGCCTTGATCATTAGGAATGCACCAAAGCATCCATGGTGGTTCAGAGAGGAGACTGGTGCTCACAGGGAGAGGCAGACAGATAAAAGTAAGAAGAAGTGGGGAAAGGAGGTGAGGCCAAGGCAGTCGAGTAGGGCTGGATGGAGAGGAGAACCTGTGAGGAGAGGAAGGTGAGTCAGGGGAGCGCCAAGAAAACAGGGTTTCAGGAGCGTGTGATGTGGGCTAGTCTCTGAGCTGTGCTTTCTTTCTGTGCCAAAGTGAAACACTTCTGCCCTGCCTGCTCCTCAGGGTTGCCCTGCCAGAGAGATGTACTGAGAATGAGATGAGCTAATCGTGCTGAAAGTCCATTGCACACTGCAAAGTGCTACCAGACTCAAGGCTGCAGGGGTTGTGGCCTCTGTCCCTCTTGGCCATGATCCGTGCCTCCAGAAGAGTGTGATGGAGGTAGATCTGATGGTAATCTCCACCAATGCGTAAAATGGACTGGCTGGGACACCATCCTTTCTGCTTCCCTCACCCCTGAGTCTCTCCTGAAGCTGAACATTGGTTCCCCAATAGAAAAAGAGCCTTGTCCTGCCAAGGGTTGCTGAGCATCCACTGGAAACTGTGTATCAGCTCTTAAGGGCTGAGCAGATGCCTAATTTAAGTATGATCTCATGTGATTGCTGCTGCCTGCTGTAGGGCAACTCTGTAGAAGACAGAGGCTGATGCCAGGGGCAGCAGCTTGGCTTGAAAGCTCAAGGTGCTGCTTTTCCAATGTGAAGTCTTGATCTCCAGTCACTTAACATCCCGAACCTGTTTTTCCATCTTAGAAAGGGAGTTACAATGTCGATTTCACAGAATTGTCTGCCAGAGGAGTGACATGGGTAACACATTCACAACCTCAAAGCTCAGCACAGGCATAAGGGCTTGCCCATTTTTTTTTTTTTGGTGGTCTCAGGACTTGTGGGCTCACTGATACAGAGCAGCACTAGGGTCATGACCAGGAGGGCTGTTAACTCAGATGGAACAAGGAGGCATAATTGGTTTAGCAGAAAATAAGTTTGGAGCCAGGAAAATGGTACTAGACGACAAATACAAAGGATAAGAGAAATAAAAATGGGAGAATGGGCAGCAATGTTGCTAACCGAGAATGCCCAAATCAGCAGGCTTAGACATGGCAAGCAGATTAAGCGGGCAGTTCAGAGCTAAGATCAAGAATGCCTTCTGAGCCTAGAGCTTCCTGATTTAGGCTGCATATGGCTTCTGTGTCAGGGGACACCATGGTGACCTAAATGAATCCCACAAATCTTCACCAGGTCTGTTTAGGTCTCCCTGAAAGTTTGGCAACAAGAAGCTCCGTGATCTGACTCAGCTCCCCACAAAAATACATCAATCCACTTTCCAACGATTTGCTTGCATCCAGAGCCAGCTTCTGGTCAGAGCAGCAGGCAGTCTCAGAAACAATAAACCAGGCCCTGATAAGTGGAATTCATGCCCCACTGACCACAAGTCTCAAAGTGGACAAGACAAGGAGATTAAAGCATAAAGATCCATAATCAGATTCTGACAGGGAAATCCCATTTGTGGTGCTTAGGAGGCATCCTCCAGCATGCAAGATGAAAGTCAGAGACCATCAGACCTTAGCATACGACATGCCACTGGGCAGGTGGATCATTAACTGTGATTAAGGCACTATGCACCTCCTAGGTGGTGAATTGGAGGAGGGGACCAGATCCTATTACTGGTCACTTTGATCTCCATGTCACAGTCAAGGCGGCCACTGCAGCTCAAGATCCTGCACATAGACCTGCATAAGTATATGAAAACTCTTATTTGGAGATACTCAGAAGGCTGATGATGTTGCCATCTGTCCATCTTTTGAGAATCCTTCTCTTGTCATCTTACCATGGGTGAAAGACGACTGGGACAGGTTGTTGGGTCTGGGGGGCCCGAGGCTGGAGGGAAATCACAGTGCCCTCTGCTGTAGCAAAAGTGCCAACATTTCTTTGAATGCTAAAAAAAGGTGGAAACTGTTTAGCCTGGCCTTGAATCAGACCTCTTCTGAGCAAATAAAGACCTATTAAATGCATGGTCATCAAGACTTAGTCATTGGTTCATTTGTGCATTCACTGATTCATTTAACAATCAGTGAATATCCTCTGTGTGCAGGCACAGTGCTCAATGCTGTGACTTCATATAGAAATGAACGAGACATGTTCACTGCCTTCTAGGACTCATAGGCTAGTGGGGCTCACTGCAGCTGGCAAGAGAGGGAGCAAAGAGAGATGGAGAAGGCTGTCCTATTCAGAGTCTAAACCCAGAGTCAAAATGAAGGGAAGCAACACTAGAAACAGGCAGTTCCATGTGGGTCCATTGGGAAGGTGGGGCCAGGGGACAAGGGTCATGGATAAAGCTGGCATAGATTGGCTTACATATAGGAAAGAGTAGCAGAGACAGGGCCAGGAAACCAGATTTGAACTAAGATTGGGGAGCTCCCAGAAGGATGCAGGAGGATGTTAGTCTGGCAGTTTGGGGTGAAGGGGAGGAGATGGGGCATATATGTCCTCTCCATCCACATCTCTGATCTGCCCTTCCCTGCACCTGCACCCACTGAGATTATTGTTATAAAGTTCTGAGTTCCACTGAGTAATAGAGGAGAACCAAAGTTTTGCAAATCTGATGGAACATGAAATAAGAGAGGACATGAAATCTGATGTGTAGATTGTAAAGCAATTCACAGTTCCGTCTGCCCTGTAGCAGTGTAAACATCACATATTTTTAATCAAGATGGAAAAGTAAAATCAAAGGAAAACTATTAGCACCATCTCATGGGGAGATCTATCTTTGCCACTCCAGACTGTGTCTCCCCTCCCTCTAGGCATGAGTAGTAAGAGTGTTGCCTGTCTGTGGAGACACAGGCAGATTCTCCAGGAAAAGGAGTACAGCTCCATTGGCGTTTCGCTCTAATTACTGCTCTTAGTGGGACCTCTACTTAGGCCTTAAAGATTCCAACATCAACAGTGAACTCAATTATAATAGATTAAATGCTCTAATAAGACTCATGTACAAGGTGCTGTGGGAACATAGAAGAGGAATTGAGGATACAAGGAAGGCACCATAGAAGTAGTCATATTTGAGCTGGGTTTTGAAGGATAAGTAGGAGTTCACAAAACAGAGAAATGGAGAAGGAAAGCTCAGGCAAAGGGACATTCGCATGCAAAAGCCACAAAGAAGGCATGTTCGACTGGGGACTGGATAGCAGTCCAATAACTCAGGATCCATTGAGGATGAAGATGAATGAATTTCCATCCATCCTTCAAAGAGATGAATTCTGAAAATGTCTGGAGGGCCTAAAGCACAAAGATAAGTTGTGTTCAATTTTATTTTCTGGTCAAAGAGGACCATCAAATTGCAGCTATTTTTCTTTCTTTGTTTGGATGGGGTTGTTCTAAGTTACATATTATGTATTTTTACCAGTGTTAAATATTTTCAGTTTCTTATTGCTTTAAACATGAATTAAGATTATAACTAATATTTACTGGATATTCTAGGTATTTTAGATGATTTATCTCTCCTTGATCTTAAGTGCTAACTAAGCACTATATTATTTCTATTTTGCAGAATAGGATGTGAAGGGTGAAAGATATTGGCAGCCCCTTGACTGAATCTTGAAGCCTGTAAGTGGCAGAATCAGGATTTGAATCTAGGTCCATCCAATTTCCACTGTACTGTGCTAGGTGGGTGCTAAGGGCTGGACTCTGATGGGGCAGAAGGGAACACTCCTGCGTGGGAGGAAGAACAGAGGTGGCTGATAATCTATAAGCTGAATTTGACCTCTGCTGTCTCCAGCCTGCTTTACCTCATTCTGCAAAGACAAATCATCTGGAGAAACAGATTCAATGCTCTGAGCCTCACTCGGCACCACAGAGCTCCAGAGAGACTGGCTGGAGTGTGGGGATCCAGGCTCCCGCAGGAGCCTCATTTTGTCAGTGAAGCCTTTAGAGATGGCATGTGGCCTGGCCCTTTGCAGAACTGGCCAGAGATCACACAATCACGGGCTCAGAGAGTTGAAAGGGACCTTAAGGTCACCTAATCCTCCAGATGGAAGGCTTCTGCCCTGGGATGCCCACTCCCGCCAGGATCACAGGCTTACACCTCAAACGCCACCTGGCCTCTGACTGCATGGTGCCATGGCCTCAAACACTAAGTCTGCACTACACAGAGAAGGCGTGAGGACTGGCCCTGGCTTTAGAAAACCTGGAATCCAAGAGCTGCCCTGGCTTCCCCGCTTAGTAGCTGTGGACTTCGGCAAATGACTTTTCCTCTTGGATCCTCAGTTTGAGCATCTGTAAGGAAGATTGTCAATGCCTACCTTACACTGTGATTGGGAGGATTAGACAAAGCAAGAGAAGGGAGACAGTGGACACTGCATGAAGATAAAAGCACCAAGATAAAGGAGGATGAAGAAGAAGGCAATGACTTATAGCAGAAGTTGTCACACTTCTTTTGTGAAGGGCCAGAGAGTAGATCTTTTAGGTATGCAGGCCAAAGGGTCTTCGTTGCAACTACTCAATTTTTTCACTGGACCATGAAAGCAGCCACAGATGATTTGTAAAGAAATGAGTGGGACTGTGTTCTGGCATGTCTTTATAAATGGACATCTACATTTGAGTTTCATATAATGTTCACGTGGCACAAAACCTTCTTCTTTTGATTTTTTTTTTCAACTATTTAAAAATGTAAAGACCAGTGGGCCATGCAAAAACAAGTGGTGGGTCAAAGTTTCACTAACTTGACTTGTGGGTGAGTTTTCTTCAGCGTAATAGGAATCCTTTGTGGACACAAAGTGATTGTGCCATGTCTTTTGGGAAAATCTCTCCCATGGCAGGGCACGAGCGAGAACTGGTCACTTCTCTGAGGACCCTGCTCAGTGCAGATGTCACACTGCCCCCTAGCTGTTCGCTGGCCATAGACTAGCAGCTTATCCAGGCCAGACCATGGCTTTTCCAACTCAAATCTGCATAGCCTGGCACCACACTGGACACAGAAGATACTCAATAGATTCTTCCACAATAAATGACTGTGCTTTTGTAAATTTATAAGTTTTATTTTTAGAAAAATTAAAGGTACCGCATACCTTTTCTATGCTGCTTTGGATGTCTATGATTTCTTATTTTATTCCAAGGAATCAAAAGAATTGATGAGGATTATTTAAAAATACACATTAGGTCCATTTTTACAAACCATGCGTCATGTCCTCCCTCAAATTCCATAGGCCTGCTTGCCAGACTAATTGGACAGATAAGCAAAGTTACTGGCATATATGAACCTCAGTTTCCTCATCTATAAATGTGGGATCGTGTTTGGTACCAATCTTATCAAACGGTTGTACAAAATGGAAGAGATAGTCATAGAAAGCACTTAGCACACTGCCTGGCACCTAGCAAAGGCTTAGTGAGGATTAATTATTATTTTATTATTCTCCAAGACAGAAGTTACTGTCTACAATTCCCAATGAGAAATGAAAACTCAGAGAGCCTAGAGATGTACCTCCAAATCAGAGTGTCCACTTTCGAATCCTGGTGTGGCCAACCCCAGATCCTGATCCTTGGTAGGTGGCTGAATCAAGACTCAAGCCAAGTCTGACTGTGCCTCCTGCAAGACCTGGGTCTTGGAGAACAGTCCTGAGGCTGCCAGAGGCAGAGGGCTCTAAGAGGTTGAACCATAGTCAGAAGCAGCTACCTCAGAGGGTGTGTTAAGAAATCCTTCAGGGTCATTGTCTCTAATCAGGCGCTTTTGCTGCGTGGCCTTCCTGGGAACTTCAATTTCCCTCTCAGCCCAAGCACCTCTAGAGTTGATTACCAGGGAGGGCCTGCCCACTCTCAGTGCAGACCCAGAGGCTGCCGGGTAATTGGGCCTACTCCTCCAGCTGGAGCTGACCTACAGGAGGACCAGGCCTCTTCCTCCACACACAAAAAGAAGTAAAACCAAAATGAAATCAGATTCCGTAATAAATGCAGACCACGTTCCCTCAGCCAATATCGAGACAAAGTCTATTCTGCTGCCTGTCACTGGAAAAGTAATAAAGCAATAGAGAAGTGAGTTATAAAAAACCCAAACGACGGATCCCCCTTCTGAATACTGAAGGGAAGGTGGGGTTGGGAGATGGGGCAGCAATGAGTGGGGACCTGGAGTCCCAGCTTGCTGAAGCAAGCCAGGTCCACAGACATCACCTCCACCAGAACTCCCCATGCCCACTGCCTTGGCCATGTGGAGGCTGAAGTTCAGAGAGGGGAAGGGACCAATGACAGCCACCTGAAAGGTCAGAAGAAAAGTCCTGATGAGACCCTGGGTCCCCTCATCTGGGTCCAGTGCTTTCTGGGGAATCTGCAAGGGCTGGGGTGCTGGGTGGTCCTGAAGGCAGCTCCAGCCTTTTAAGCACCATCCCTGTTGCCTTTTGCACTTTCTTTTTGGGAAAAAGCAAGTGCTGGCCTGCTGGCACCAGCTCAGTGGTGGCTTAGCACTTACATCTCTTATTATATTAACTGTCAGTTAACAAATTGATCTTCAGAGGTATGATTTAGTCCCTCATTTGTCCAGGCCTGATCTATTCATTGGGAGGTAACAAGTTTAGAGCCAGAAAAACCTGATTGTGAATCCTGGCTCTGTTGCTTATTAGTCAATTAATCTCTTTATCTCTCAGGCCATCCATTTTCTCCATTGTAAACAAGAATAGTAATAACATATATTTGGCAAGATTATTATGATTAGTAATAATAATAACAACAGGTATCATTTCTTGAGTGCTCACTATAAATTAGGTAACATAGTAAATGATTTACAAATACTAACTCCTTCCACCTTCACAGTGGCCCTCGGTGGTAGGCCCTGTTATGATTTCCATTGTACAGATGAAGAAAATGAGGCTCTGTGAGGATAAATATCTTGCTTAAGATCATAAAGCACATAAAAGGTAGAACTGAGATTTCAATCCAGGACTCTCCGACTCCAAAGTCTATGGTGACCTGGAAGCTGTGCCTTCCTGTGCTGTATTACCATGGTCCCCGTTCCTTTATGCTCTGTGGCCAATTTCCATTTTCAGCTTAAGAAAGAAAGCAGGGCCACTGAGATGATGGAGCAGCAGACACTGTGGGTGCCTATACGCTATACCTATTCTTCCCTCTTTTTTCTTTTCTTTTTTCTTTTCTTTTTTTCTTTTTTTTTCGATGGAGTCTCACTCTGTCACCCAGGCTGGAGTACAGTGGCGCCATCTCGGCTCACTGCAACCTCCACCTTCTGGGTTCAAGGGATTCTCCTGCCTCAGCCTCCAGAGTAGCTGGGACTACAGGCGTGTGCCACCACGCCTGGCTAATTTTTGTATTTTTTTTTTTTTTTTAGTGGAGACAGGGTTTCATCATGTTGGCCAGGCTGGTCTTGAACTCCTGACCTTAAGTTATCCACCCGTCTTGGCCTCCTAAAGTGTTGGGATTACAGGTGTGAGCCACCCTGCCTGGTCTCTTCCTCCTTTCTTACTGAAAGAACCCTTTTCTTTTCAATATCACCCTTGATACATTTCAGAGGAGGGGAGCACTGGTTACACACGTGTGATCAATTTGTGGAATTCTATTAAATTGCATACATATAGTAAATGCATTTTGTGCAAGTATATCATATTTCAATGTTAAAAGTTTTGAAAAAGAGAAATAGACCCCATGATATCTTCAAATTGCTTTCAACTGGGAGAGAGAAAGAGAATGAGAGAGAATGAGAGAGAGGAGAGGAAGCAAACATGGCAAATGTTGAACAATGAGTGAAGAGAAGTGAATACTGGTGCTCATTCTAATATGCTTCCAAATTTTGTGTAGCTTAGAAATTTATCAAATCAAAAAGGTGGGGAAGAGATAGAAGGAAGAGTTAGATCCTTCCCTCCATCTGGATAATGGAGTGAGGATATGATGTCTGGAACCTCAGTAGGCCCATCTCTTATATGCGGTGCTATGTGATCCTAGGCAAGGTACTTCGCTGAGCTTGTTTCCTCATTCTTATCATGAGAATAAAAATAGGACCCCACTTCTTAGGGCTGCTGTGAAGAGGAAAGAAGCTAATATATGTAAATTATTTATTATGATGTCTATTCACATCATGCATTAAAGAAAACAGGAGCAAAATGATGGAAGATGCCTGGGTCCTTGATGATATCATCAAGTCACTGAACTCGTCCAAATACAGCCTCATTTGCACTTTTAGTCATGTGAGATAACATACTTACTCTGAGTCATTACAATTTGGGCTTTTAAAAAATTGCTGATCAAATTGCACTCCCTAGCCTAAGGAAAACATTTAAAATTCAGATGAAGATGTATTGATAATGGGAAAAAAGTAAAAAACATCCTAATTATGTAGAAATAAAGGTAGGATTAAACAAACTATGTAGGGTAAAATATTATGTAACCATCAAAAAGTGATGTCAGAAAATTGTTTCATAGCATAGGAAAATGCTTTCACTCTAATGGTGATTCCTGAAATATGCAAAAATGTAATTATAAAAGGTTGGAAGAAAATAACCCCAAATATGTATAGTAGGCTAGATTTGAGTATTTTAATTAAATGCCTTAATATTTTTTGTATTTAAAATGACTATCATATATTATTTTATAATGGGTTAAACAGTAGGTTTCTAACCTTTATTTATGACATACACAAATATTAGAAACAAAACTATATATTTGTATGAGATCATCTACATACAATGCATTTAAAATTGAAAAAAATAATGTGTTAAGAGTAATTACCACTGAGATGTGAGATTTTGAATGACATTTCTCCTACCTTTTTATATACACGTGCACACATATTACACATTTTCTACAATGAGCACATGCTGCTTTAAAATCTGAAACAAATCCAATTCTTAAAAATACCAATTTATAACTTTTACATCCAATATCATTGCTTCAAACCCTATGTCTGGTACTTAAATCAATCCAATAGATTTTCATTGAGTGTGTAATATGTACCTAATACTGTGTGATAATAATCAGTACCCTTTATTAGACACTGTGATCGTAATTTTGTATATATTATCTGTAATATTTTCAGTAAAGTATTGAATATACATATCACAATAGACCAGATTCAAATCCTGGTCTATTGTATCTACTTGGTTGCTTGCTCTCCTCCAGCTGTAGTTAAAAAAAAAATCATATAAATCAATGCAGTGTATAAACCCTGTCAAAAAATAAAAAATCTCAAAGAAGGATGAAGTGCTTTCAGCCTGGTAAGATCCAGGGAAATTTCAACAACAAGGTGGCAATGTGCAGAACCTTCAAGCAGGGTTGAACAAGGAAGAGGCCAGCTTCCTGAATGAGGGGAGTGTTGTGGGTGGTGGCTTGGACGGGAGAATGTGTCATTCAATGCTGGGGATTGCAAACTAGACCATGTTGGTTGGGGTAAATAAGTATATTAAGAGGAAGGATCAAGAATAGAAACTATAGATTAAGATGATAGAGAGCTCTGAATGTGAGGCTTTGGAATTTAAATTTCATTTGCTGGGCAATGGGGTTCCATGGTACATTCTTTGGGCCACAGAGGGTGGGGATGGGTTTTGGAGCACATTGCTTTGATGAGTATTTAGGCAGGACCACAGGAGTGAATTAGAGAAAGGAACCTGGGCTAAGCCTGCCAACATCCATTTCTTCTTTTGGGGAAACAAAGGGACAGAAGTTTTAAAAACTGTCCAGAGTTAACAACCAAGAATGAGACAGGTTGGAACCCCAGGCTATCTGACACTGTTGCCTACCCAGCATCTGTGGAGGTGGGATGCAGCAGCGGTCAATGCAAGGCCAGGCAAAACCGTGCCCCAGCCCTGAGATGGGGAGGAGTGTGTTGTGTGCAGCAGAATGTGGAAAGTTCTCAGGAGTGTGGTATCTGTGACCCAATCACCCATCAGCATGTGTGGGAGCAGTCAAACTGGGCCACACATGATCCTGTAGATTTAGGACCCTCCCTGTTTTTGCTCACTGCTCCATGGCAGCCAATATGCCTAAAGCTGGGAGCAAGCTCCCAATCCCACCTGGGGCATCCCGGGAGGCTTATTACATTGAAGCAGCAAGCAGAGCTCCAAGGAGCAAAACGTCTCTGTTAAAGCAAAACATCATTAAGATGAGAAGAGGCAGTGTCTTCAACACCCACACAGTGCCACTGGGGCTGTAAAATGTGCCTCAAAATTAGACATGGGAAAGAGCTTCACCAGTGCTGACTGTTCATCCCCAAGGACAAGGGTAGCCTGATTCCCTCTGACTTCACCCCCAGCTCTGCCACGAAGCTGTGAGTGTTTTGTCTGAGTCTATTTGAGATGTCTTATGCAACAGAACCTCATTTCTGAGAGGAAATGGTTTGCTTTCTTTCACACAACATTCACATTGTCAGGAAAGTTTCCCTGACATGCAGCCCGGTTTGCGCCTTTCTTGCTTATAAGAAGAACCTTGAAGTCTCCAAGGGGATATGTTCCTTAAGAAGATGTTCAAAACCCTAAATAGACTGAAATGTTCTTCTGTGGGGAAGAGTATTACACTGAGTACTAATTCATTGTGCTGCATTTGAGAGGCAGGATACAAGGTGTAAAGTTCTTATACTTGCTTTATTACACTGATTTCTTGCTTGCATCAAAGGTAGGTAGGTAGGATGTAGGTCAGGGGTTATTTTTGCCATTTTACAGATAAGGAAATGAAAGCTTAGAGATATTGATGACTTGACCAATAAGTCACACTGAAATTAAGCAGTAGAAATGGGTCCATTTACTCCAAATCCAAGGTCTTTCTAATACCACACTCTAGCCATCACTGTTCTGGGCACCATGGAAGTATGGCCAATGAAGGGTCACCTGTCCCATATGTGTTCATCATTAAGTTACTGTCTTTCCATTTTAAATCCACCCTTCTCTGTGCAGCTTTGTCTTACTGGTGCTGCCAATCCTATTTTCTTGCCATCTGGGTTAACATTAGGTTGTGCTAATAGGGGGCACTAGAGGAAGGTTGCAAGGATGGAGAAAAAAAGGACTTCCAGCTTGCTTCCTGGTGGCTTCCTGCCTGCTTCTGTTCCTGGAAGCTTCACCCCAGTGGTGCTGCTTCATCTTGGCAGGGGTAGTTCCTTCCTAAAGCAGCAGCTGAACTCAGTATGTTTTTTTCAACACTTGCAGAACCAGTGGTATGCATTCCACCACCCACCACCAAAATACCAGCACCAGCTGGCAGGCACCTTCTTCTCAGTGGTCTGAAGCCAGCCCCACGGGACCCCTCCTATGTTGAGCTCAGAGACACCAGCACTAGCCAATCAGCATCTCCCTCTCAGAGGTCTGAGCTCCAGCCCAACAGGGCCCCTCCTCCAACGTCCTGCATTTTAATAATCCCAACTGCTTATGTTTTTTCCTCCAGCCCAAGGGACAGTGGATGCTTTCTGTAGTAGCTACTACTTCTGTAAAACCTTAGTGTCCTCTTTTACTTTTTCAGATACCTGGTTAATGAATTTACACCTAGTTAAAATTTTTGTATTATGTTCTCTCCATTCAAATGCCTGGGATAGTTCCTATCTCTTGAGTGGCCATTGACTGATAGACAAGCTGAGGGCCCATCATTAGACTATTATAATTAATATAATATAATGAGTGATGGACTCATGAAACAAGGTAGAGACAAGTCAGAGGTAGAGTGCCTGACACATAGTAGGGCTCAAGAAATAGCTAATGAATTGAAAAAAATGAATCACTGAATAAAGGAAAGTCTTAGTGTTGAAGGAATGCTTGGGCAGTGATCCAAGCAGGAGAGTCAATAGGAGCGGGAGCGCTGGGAAAGCGCTCTTGAAGAAGAGTTTCCACCATTCAGAGAATGAGGGTTCAAAGTCTGAAGTGGGTTGTATCTCAAGAATTGACCTGAGAGAGGCTGTAGCAAGGCGAGGCTAGGGTTGTGGCACAAGTCTAAGTTCTTTCATATTTGTGAGGGAGTGAAAAACTCAACCAAAGGGAGTCGGGTAGCCCTGGCTGCCCCTTCAGTCAGGAAGGTGTCACGGAAGCTCTGAACCCAATGTCTCTCTCCACATCTACTTTCCAACCTCCATCTCTGCTTTCCAAGCTGCACCCCTGAGAAGGAGTAAGAACCAGCTGGGGAAAAGCCAACTCAGGAGCCTACCTACCTCTTACTAATCCTTCAATATCAGCTTAAAACTCACGTCACCAGGGAGACATTTCTCAGCCCCAGAGGAGGCTGGTCCCCCACTGTCAGAACCCCATAGCAGTTTCTCCTCCTAACAGTCAGCACACTTGCAGCCATGTGTTCAATGCCTGCCCCTACCCCAGAATGCAAGCCCATGAACAAGTCCAGTTCTGTGGGTCTGCCAAATACCGTCTGAGATTCTCAAGTACTGACATCATGGCAGATCTTGACCTGGTCCCCAGCTAGATGAGCCTGCTCCTTTTGGTTCTGATGGCATATGCCTCACTCATCCTACAGCTCCTGAGAGCTGGGACAGTTGCCTACCTCTGCAAGTAGCGAGGCTTCTGTAGAGAGGCAGGGGATAGCTGCTCTGTGGCCACCTGGCCATGGGCCTGGCAGCTGCTGCCCTGACTGCTCACCTGGCTCTGACAATCAGAATAATGGGGATTTATTGTCCCTTCTCTCTGCTAATCCTAGAGATGAGGGATGAGCATCTGGAAAAGCTCGTTTGGGGTTGGTAATGACCTCCAGGAGGGAATTCTCACACAACTTCTACCATGCCCCCACTCATACACCTACCTGTCCCTACATATCCAAAGCTCTGAATTCGACTCTGACCCAGATGCTACAACTATCTTCTTTAATCCAGGTGCATTTCTGTCCAGGCAACCTCAAGCACAAAGGCGTAGAAGAGAAGAGAAGCAACATGCCCTTGGAGTCCACAGAATATGGAAACTAGCCTGACTGGAGTTGAAGGTCTCTTGAGGATTTATGTAGTAGGTACTTGCTGTATTAGTCTGTTCTCACACTGTTATAAGGACATATCTGAAACTGGGTAATTTATAAAGATAAGAGGTTTAATGCACTCACAGTTCCACATGGCTGGGGAGGCCTCACAATCATGATAGAAGGCAAAGGAGTAACAAAGGCATATCATACATGGCAGCAGGCAAGAGAGTGTGTGCAGGGGAACTGCCCCTTATAAAACCATCAGATCTAATGAGACTTATTCTCTATCATGAGAATAGCATGGGAAAATCCACCACCATGATTCAATTACCTCCCACCAGTTCTCTCCCATGACACGTGGGGATTATGGGAGCTACAATTCAAGATGAGATTTGGGTGGGGACACACCCAAACATATTATTCCACTCCTGGCCCCTCCCAAATCTCACGTCCTCACATTTCAAAACCAATCATGCCTTCCCAACAGTCCCCCAAAGTCTTAACTTATTTCAGCATTAACTCAGAAGTCCACAGTCCAAAGTCTCATCTAAGACAAGGCAAGTCCCTTCTGCCTATGAGCCTATAAAATCAAAAGCAAGTTAGTTACTTCCTAGATACAATAGGGGTAAAGGCATTGGGTAAATACACTCATTCCGAAAGGGAGAAATTGGCCTAAACAAAAGGGGCTACAGGCCCCATGCAAGTCCAAAATCTAATAGGGTAGTCATTAAACCTTAAAGTTCCAAAATGATCTACTTTGACTCCATGTCTCACATCCAGGTTATGCTGTTGCAAGAAGTGAGCTCCCACAGCCTTGGGCAGCTCCATCACTGTGGCTTTGCAGGTACAGCTATCCTCCTGGCTGCTTTAATGGCTGGCATTGAGTGTCTGTGGCTTTTCCAGGTGCACGATGCAAGCTGTAAGTGGATCGACCATTCTGGAGGGGTCTGGGGTCTGGAGGATCGTGGTCCTCTTCTCACAGCTCCACTAGGCAGTGCCCCATTGGAAACTTTGTGTGGGGGGTCTAACCTCACACTTCCCTTCTGCACTGCCTGAGCAGAGGTTCTCCATGAGGGCTCTGTCCCTGCAGCACACCTCTGCCTGGACATCTAGGCATTTCCATACATCTAGGAGGAGGTTCCCAAATCTCAATTCTTGTCTTCTGTGCACCCACAGGACCAACACCACATGGAAGCTGTCAAGGCTTGGGGCTTGTACCCTCTGAAGCAATGGCCTGAGCTGTACCTTGGCTCCTTTTAACCATGGCTGGAGCTGAAGCAGCTGGTATGCAGGGCACCATGTCCAGAGGCTGCACACTGAAGGGGGGGTCTTGGACCCAGCCCATGAAAGCATTTTTCCTCCTAGACCTCCCAGCCTGTGATGGGAGTGGCTGCCACAAACGTCTCTGATACACCCTGGAGACATTTTCCCTGTTGTCTTGGTGATTAACATTTGGCTCCTCATTACTTATGCAAATTTCTGCAGCTGGCTTGAATTTCTCCCCAGAAGATGGGTTTTTCTTTTCTACTGCATGGTCAGGCTGCAAATTTTCCAAACTTTTATACTCTGTCACCTCTCCAGTGCTTTGCTGCTTAGAAATTTCTTCCACCAGGTACCCTAAATCATCTCTCTCAAGTTTAAAATTCCACAGATCTCTAGGGCAGGGACAAAATGCCACCAGTCTCTTTGCAAAAAGCATAACAAGAGTGACCTTGGCTCCAGTTCCTAAGTTCCTCATCTCCATCTGAGACCACCTCAGCCTGGACTTTATTGTCCATAACGCTATCAGTATTTTGGTCAAAGCCATTCAACAAGACTCTAGGAAGTTCCAAACTTTCCCACATTTTCATGTCTTCTGAGCCCTCCAAGTCTCTAGGAAGCTCCAAACTTTCCCACATTTTCCTATCTTCTTCAGAGCCCTCCAAACTGTTTCAACCTCTGCCTGTTACTCAGTTCCAAAGTTGCCTCCACATCTGTGGGTATCTTTACAGTAGCACCCTACTCCTGGTACCAATTTACAGTATTAATCAGGGTTCTCTAGAGGAACAGAACTAATAGGATAGATGTATATATGAAGGAGAGTTTATTAAGGAGCATTGACTCAGACAATCACAAGGTGAAGTCCCACAATAGGCTATCTGCAAGCTGAGGATCAAGGAAGCCAGTCTGAGTTCCAAAATCTCAAAAGTAGGGAAGCTAACAGTACAGCCTTCAGTCTGTTGCCAAAGGCCTGAGAGCCCCTGGCTGACCACTGGTGTAAGTCCAAGAGTCCAAAAGCTGAAGAACTTTGAGTCTGATGTTCAAGGGCAGGAAGCATCCAGCATGGGAGAAAGATAAAGGCTGGAAGACTCAGCAAGGCAAGTCCTTCCAGCTTCTTCCTGCCTTATTCTAGCCATGCTGGCAGCTGACTAGATGGCGCCCACTCAGATTGAAGGTTGGTCTGCCTCTCCCAGTCCACTGACTCAAATGTTAATCTCCTTTGGCAACACCTTGACACACATACCCAGGAACAATACTTTGCATCCTTCAATCCGATCAAGTTGACACTCAATATTAACCATCATGCCTGCTGTTCTTGCATATGGTGTTCCAGCACTCATTCCTCAATTTTCTAGTGATAGAGCCCAATGTCTCCTTTTTGTGGCCCACTGCTCTTCTACTCTTAGTCCATGGACTTTGTCTATGCTAATCACACTGCCTAGGTCCAGTGATGAGTGTGTGATCCAGCCTGACCCATCAGCATAGTTCAACCTAGCTCCAGTTGTTGGTTTAGGAATGAGCATCTGACACCAGTGGGATAAATTCAATCAATGACAAGGCTCTTAATGTAATTATTAGGGAAGTGTCACTGTCTTTCTCGTGTGGAAACTGCTGCAGTGAAGTGCTAGCCCGCAGCTGCCAGCAGCAACCTCTGTCTTCTCATGAGCAGAGCCTGAGAATGAAGCCAACACAGAGGATACCAGACCCAAGAGATGGAGAGGGACATTTGAGCCCCTAAATCTAGATCTGCCTGGATGCTTCAATCTTTGCACCAATACATTTCCTTTCTCTCAAACCACTTTGAGTTGTGTTTTCATTGCCAGAGATGGAAAGAATCCTGACTAATGTACATACAGAGGTGAATGAGTTCCATGCCTAAATGCTTGACTGGAGATTGATCCTGGACCATTACACTCATGGAGAACTGTGAGCTCTGTTAAAACTCTTCAAAAGTTTCCTGTTGCTGTCAGGATATAACCTCAACTCCTTAACCATGGTTTTAGAGCCTTCAATGATCAGGACCTTGCTGATCTCTGGCCTCATCCTGAAGCACTTTTCCTCCCAATTTATATTCTGGCCACACTGGATTTTCAGTTTCTAGAATGTACCATTGTCTCCTGCTTCTGGAATTTGTCCTCTTCCTTGAGCATGCTTCACCTACCTAAGTCCTACGATTCCTTCAATATCAGCTTAAAACTCACCCCATCACTGCCAGGGCTCCACAGCAGTTCCACCTTCTAACACTCAGCACACTTGCAGCCAGGCGTTCAATGCCTGCCCCTATCCCAGAATATAAGGCCCCGCGAGAGTCAGATCCGTGCTGCTCTAATCTCCACGCTATCACTAGGACATGAATAGAGACCCAACAAATAAATATTTGTTGAATACCTGAATGAGATAAATAATGCAGGCAACCCTAAGTACGTGGAAGTGGAGGAGATCTAAATTAGGGCTGAGATCTGTGGGTCAGCCAGCTAGGCATGAGATGATCAACGCCCAGGCCAAGGTGGTAACTTTAGTAAGAGAAAGGCACAGGGAAGGGAAAGGAAGGAAAATCTATGTGGAAACTGAGAACAGAAGAACCAAAATAATTTGACCGGCTTTGACCAAAGCTAGAAAAAGAATCTTTAAAGAGACACCCAAGCCCATGAACCAAGTGCATAAGAGGAATGTGCAGCTATTGGCAGGGGCAGGGTCACTGCTTCAGGACACAGTTATGCTGCTTATGTAGGACAAAGCCTCAGCATTTTGCAGGACCCAGCAGGGATAACAGGGGCAGAAGATAGGCCCTTAACAGGTGGATCCTGAACAGGTCCATCACAGTTGGTGGTTGGAGGCTAGAATAGAGCAGAGAGCTTAGCCCGAGCTTATGTCCCTGGGAATTGAGAGAGTATCATGGGAAATTCTGCCCTCCAACTCCACCTGGCTGAAGCTGAGCTGCATAGTAATGGGTGCTCCTCAAACAAGGTGCCTGCATCGTCCTCACAGGGGCAGCCAAAGAGGTGTTTACTGTTTGGATTTTCTCTCCAGAGCAGACTTGCTGTTCTGGGAAGATCACGGAGTGATTTGCATAATTGCCTTCTCAGGTGATGATTGCTCAGACCAAGGAAGAATTTCAAAAAGCCCACCTGCTTGCCTTGCTGGGTAGCATAAGGGACATATTTGGGAGGGAAAAAAAAGTCAACCAAAGGGAGTCAGGTAGCCCTGGCTGCCCCTTCAGGCAGGAAGGTGTCAAGGAAGCTCAGAACCCAACATTGCTCTCCACAGTTGCTTTCCAACCTCCATCTCCACTTTCCAAACTGTAGCCCTGGGAAGAAGTAAGAACAAGCTGGGGAGAAGCCAACTCAGGAAGCTACCTAACACCTACAAATCCTTCAATATCAGCGTAAAACTCACATCACCAAGGAGGAATTCCTCGGTTCCAGATGAGGCCGGCCTTTCATTCTGAGGACCTCACGGCAGTTCCTTCTTCTAACACTCCGCACACTTGCCGCCATGTGTTCAATGCCTTCTCCCACCCCAGAATGCAAGCCCATGAACAAGTCCAGTTCTGTGGGCCTGCCAAACACCAACTGAGATTCTACCATTTGCTAGTGAAAGAGACCAAGGGCCCCACAGTCAAATGAGGATGGAGGCACAGAAATAAAACATGGGAAAATAAGTAGTAGTAAACATAGGGTTCTTTGGAACATGGAGGAGGAGCTTTGAGGCCAGCTGAGGCAGGGGTGTGTATCAACAAAGCCCTCCTGGGGGAGGTGACATCGGAATAGAGTCTTGAAAGAGTATAGTGCCTGGTACATAGTAGATGCTCTAATACCCAAGGATGAATGACCCAATGGCAGGATGGATGGGGAGGCAGATGTTCCAGGAAAAGAAAAAGCTGGCTCAGTCCGTTCTTCATCCCAGAGCCACAGTGAATTCTGAAGCTATTCTAATGCCTTGTAAACTGCACAACATTTTCCATGGTGTGTAGAATGTGGGATGTCTCTTCTGTTATCATTTCGGGTCAGGAATGAAGTGCTCATGTTCGCTTGTACTGGGGGCTACTGAGTCAGAATAACCAAGGCTCAGCTGACTCCACCTCAAATCAACAGGATGCTCTTTAAGTATGTGAGAGATTCACCGGGCCACTGCCTGCACTGTCTAGTTTTCTTCGAAGTGCCTATGAAAAATGTGCTTAATATTCATGCTCCATTCCAAAGAGGCACAGATGGGGGCCAAAGAGGAAAAAACCATTTTTAGTAAAAAATGACTAGTGTCATGTCTCCCAGCCCAAACTAATATATTTCTTGAGGCTGACCTTAAGCTACCTCCTACAGGAAGCCTTCCTCAACAACTACAGATTCTGCATCCCCCTTCCTTCCTAAGTTCTTTTCACTTCACTCCTTGCCACATCTCTACTTGGGGTGTCAGCTATTTTGTTGTTCACTGAATGTGTGCACATCTTGTGGTCTCTCCACCTCCCAGGTTCCCGGAAACATATGTAAGAGGAGCTCAGTTTTAAGGATAAGAACATTGAGATCTAGAGAGGTGTACAGCACCCACTTGCCCCAGGGTTGCACAGCTCATAACTGCAGGAGTCAGGCTTCCAACCTGGACTGGTGCCCAGACTCTGCTCCCAACTACACTTCTACCAACCCTCTTCCCATCTCGCAGCCTCCCCATCTCATTTCTAGTCCACTGCTCTCTACGTTGCATCGCTGTTTTCTGGGTGCATCAGGTCCCATTGTCTTGCCTCCTGAAGAATAGGGTGAGTGGCTTAGGAGCACAGAACCAAGTATTCACATTTTCGTTTCTGCCCCATGCTATTTCCCCATTTCTGGACGCAGAGTAGGTGCTGATAATATGAAGCACAGAGAGAAAAATGTCAGCACAAAAAGGAAGCATCTGTTCTTGAGCTTTCATTACTCAGATGAGAAAACTGAAGCTCAGAGAGGGGAAGTAACTTAAATATGCATTGGACAGAACCGAGAAGAAAGCAGGCTGGCTCCTGCCACTGTACTTCACACATAACAGGTGCTTAAATTATGTTATTGTTATATTATATATTATGTATATTCCATATAATATATAATAATATGCATAATATATATCACCATCATTGTCATAATTTTATTGTTGTCTGAATGAGACCTTTAAACTCAGTATGTCTTGTCAGTGGGGAGTTCGGAGAGTTTTCACAAACATGAGTCTTTAGTTCATGGAGCAAATCAGAAGGACTGAGGTGACTGACTTTCAGGAAAACAAAGGCCAACAGAAAGATGAGAAGACATTCTTACATTTGTAAAGTATTTTACAGCTGACAACTTTCTTAAAAGAAAGATTGCTAAATTTGGCATTAGGAAATCTGGGACTGAGACCCTTTCTGCCACTGGATGACCTTGACAAAGTCATTTGTTTTCTTTGAGCTTCAGTCTCCTTTGTAAGATAGAACTGTGGGATGCACTCAGAAAAGAAAATTATGGAGCATACAGGGCCCAACTCCCCATTGCTGTGCTCATGGCAGCCATCACTAATTGGTTACCACACTCTTTGTGCTATGCCCAGGTGAGGCTTCAGAATCTGTCCCTGGAAACCACTACCCATTGGCTGGCATGAACGTGTTAGATGAAACCAATTTGTCAGTTTCAGTAGATGCCTGTACAGCCAACTCCAGCTTCGACTTTCTGACTCCACGAGTCTATCACACATACAGCAACCTGACCAGGTTAGCAGAGCAGGGCTCACCCCTCTCCCCCAGAGGAACAATCTGAGCTCAGACCAGCTCAAGTTTAGATAGTTGGTGAATGGTGATGGAATCAGACACTAGACCTCTCTAAATTGGCCTGGCAAGAACACTCAGTAGTCTTACATATTCCCTGGCTACAAAGGACTCCCAGTCCCTCAGAGTCAAGGACCATGGTAAAATGAGGAAATAACCAAAAGCTTCATTCTCCCTTTCACACCACAAGGTGGCTGAGTGAGAACCTCCCTTCTGGACAGGTGATACCACGCTGCAAAACCAGGAAGTAGGTGAACTTGCTGATTTCTTTCACTTTCATCCTTGTGTCATTAGAAGCCCAGTTCCTCTTGACAGTATCTCCCAACCACCACCCCCTCTGCTGCTACACCCCATCTGGCCACATATCCCTCAGATTGTTGCCAGAACTTTCTTATTTCATTTGAAAGGGAAGTTTGTTGATAATAGCTTAGAGTGAGACCTCACTCCATTGAAGGCAGCCGCCTGCGGTGGTGGGAAGAGAACTGAGGCTGGAGTCAGAACATAGGCTTCTTGTCCTGCTGCTGTGGCCTTGGGGAAAGTTGCTGTTCTTCTCTTGACCTCAGTTTCGCTTCCAGCCTATGATTTCCAAGAGAGAAATGTTGAATTCTTGGCTAACAGGACAAAGTGCTCACGGACCTCATCCCTACACTGGTGGCTGGGTGAGTGTTAGGGGAACAGGGAGTTCCAAGAGCCTCTGAATCCCACTTTCCATACTCCTTTTAAAATCCATTTAGTGGCCAACATTCTATGGGGCCGTGAAAAATGAGAAAGAGGAAAGGAAGGGAGACGGCTCTTATTGAATGCCTATCATATGTCAAACATGTCCATGTACTAGCTAATGGGAAAAGTGCTGATATTCCACTTTATAGATGAGCAAATCAAGGTTCAGAGGGGTTAAGCGACTTGCCTCAGATCAAACAGCTGGTAAATGGCAGAGCTAGGATTTATATTGAATACTGCTGATTCTAAAGCTCCTGCCCTTTATATTCCACTGTGGATTTTTTTTCTTTTTCTAATTACATAGTATGAAGCATGGAGAATAAACATGAAGCCACACCTTGCAGGGTTCCCAGCCTATCAAAAAGGTAAGCCAGCCTCCTGAATAATTGTAATATAAAGCCAAGCATGAAAGGATGGGTATAATCCAAGAGTCACAGATGAGAACAGACTTCATGAGGAAGTGGCATCTTTTCAGGTTGTTCCGGCCTCCCATACAACAATGACAACAATAAGCAATGAGAGTAATGATGAACACTTATCTGTACTAGCTCCCTTGCTCGTGAAATAGGTACTCTTTTTCTTTCCATTTTAAAGAGGAGGAAAGCAAGACACAGAGAGGCCAAGTAACATATCATAGATCACAAGGCTTGGAAGTGACGGAGCCTGGATCAATTCCCAGGCAGATTGGCTCCAGCATGCACACTCTTGATGAACCTCACTCTGCTGCTTCTTGTAGTATTTTCTCACCTTGACCACCACCTGGGGAAGTAGCAGGAGATCTGGGGAATCCTGTGAGAGCATTTAGGCTACCTTCCTTTCATGCCAGGGAAGGGACTAGCCCAAGGGGAGCAGTGGCTTGGAGGAATAGAGCTCAGCTCCTCTCCTCCCAGCTCAGACCACTTGCCTATGCTCTCCTCCTCCTCTGCAATGCTGGAAAGATGCCAGCCTGCCAAGGCCTTCACTATGCAGGCTCTGCATAGAGAAGAAGAACCCAAGCCCCTGTACATGGGCTATTGTTCAAGGCATTTTAGTAACATGAAGATAGCAAATTACCCACAATGAACAATTCTGTAGAACAAGGTGTTCCCTGGTCTCCATCTGAGTACCTGTGCGGATGGTATTGTTAGCAGGTATACAGGAGAGGAGCCAAGCTTTGTGAAAGGGAGCTCTTTTGGGTGATTTGTCCTGCCTGTCTTGCTTTTGCTAAATAATGAGGATAGCATGGGCTTTGGAAGGAGGCAGGCGTGAGTTGGAATTCCACCATGTCATTCTGTAGCTGTGTGACCTTGGGTAAATTACCTAACGTCTCTGAGCATCCCATCCAAAAATGGAAATATCACTATTCCATGGAGAATCCTATGAGGATTAAAAGGAGATAATGTATGTAAAGTAGCTTATATAATACCACATTCATTCTGAAAACAAACATATCCGAACCGCCATAAAAACTGGTAACATCATAGAATGTAACTCACTAAAAAGATCCAAGAATCAGGAATTAAAGCAAGAAGAGGATTACACTGTGTTGTTCACTAACCACACACCTGATAGTATGAGAAGTAGTTCTCACTTTACCCTTTCATCAACACTGTGGGTCGGATGACACTGTACCCATTTTACAGATGAAGAGATTAAGGATCATAGAGGGTCAAGATCTTCTGCAGGAATGCTGCTTCTTTGACTCCTTCTGTTCTCAGATCAGTTCAAAGCTCTCAGCTTCACTTGCTAATTTTATACAGAGTTGATTTCCGGCTCTGTTTTATCCTTAGCTTCCGCAATCTGGAAATGTGCTTTGCACTGATAATTTTATCTATTCTGGTACATCAGTCGTTTCCATACAGGTCTCCATGACCCCCCGCACCCACCCCAGTCTTCCTCCTAGCCCAAATGTGGGCCCTGCTCCCCTGTTTCTAGTGTCCTGTTTTATATCCATCCACAGTGGTCCCAGTGACACCTCACACTCTATGTCGCCAAAAGCAACTCGCTCCACCCCAACTCTCCTTTTCCTGGTTCTCTGAGTTTACGCATAGCACCTCTCTTCAGTGACCCAGGAAGGATTTCTTTGGTGTCTCTATTTATTTATTTACTTTTCCCACAATACTCATATTCAGGCAGTACCCTCTCTTCAGCACCCACCCCCCAACCACCATTCCCTATTACCCACCTAATGTTCTGATTAGAATTCTTTTTTTCTGAGAGAGAGAGAGGGTCTTGCACTGTGGTCTAGGCTGGAGTACAGTGGTACAGTCTCAGCTCACTGCAGCCTGAACCTCCCAGGCTAAAGCAATCTTTCCACCTCAGCCTCCCAAGTAGCTAGAACTATAGGCATGCACTACCATGCATGGCTAACTTTTGTATTTTTTGAAAGACGTGGTTTCTCCACATAGCCCAGACTAATCTTGAACTCCGAAACTCAAGCAATCCACCCCCCTCAGCCTCCCAAAGTGCCAGGATTACAGGTATAAGCCATCACGCCTGGCCTGATTCGAATTCTTAAACACAACTTTGAAGGTGGCTCAAAAGTCTTCAGTTACACCCCACTGTTACCTTATAAAGTCCTAACTATAGCTTGCCATTGGAGACACCATGAAATTCCATCTTAATCTATTTCTCCCTCTAATATACGCCATAGCAAAATGGGTAACACTGCTCTCGACAGTATATCTGATGCTCAATTAGTAGTAGTAATAAAGGCTGCCAGTGTCAGAAGCACTTGACATGCAGTGTCTCATTAATTCCTCACCACACCCCTGTGAGTAGACAAGATGTGACAAGATGTGTAGTTGCACAGGGCCCTGTGCTCAGAAGGCTGTGCTCCCATGCCTGGTTTAATGCTCTGCTCTCACTGTGTGGAAATTGTTAAAGCTTTTTCAACTCGGGGCCTCACATTGTCATTCTGTTCAGGGCCCTGCAAACTATGTAGCCAGTCCTGGAAGCAGCTGCTATTATTACCCCCATTTTACAGATGTGAAAACCAAGGCCACACAACTAATGAGCCCAAGACTCTTGTCAATACCCGTATTGTGCCAAGGGTGGCAGACCCACACTCTGGGCTTACTGTGTGCCATCTACTGTGCTCCCTCCCTTCCTCCACATCCCCATGTTGCCAGAGCGAGTGGCATTTCCTGTCCTTGAGGTTAAATGACTTTCTCACAAGTTTGCCTGACTTCAAGCCCAGTGCCCTTCCTGCTACACTGATCCAAATAAAACGGTGCCTGCCCCCCAACCCCCAATTCCAAAGCCAGGCCTGGTGTCTGGCGAGACCTGAACAGGGGGCAGAATCTCTGCGGAGACCTCTAAAAATAAAGCCCGCCTGCAACTGTGTTCTGAGACCTGAAGCTTCCTTCTTCCTCTTAAAAGCTGTTCCCATCTCTGAAAGCAGCTTCTCACCATGGGCTGTGGCTGCTGCTTTTCCCGCACTGCAAGGGAGAAACGGAACAGATTGCAGGAGCAATTAAACCATCACATGGAAAGCCCAGAGAGATTGGGGAGAGGGGAGGAGATGCTGTTTCTTAATGGCCTGCCTCTATATTTAGCCTGAAATACCTCAATCTCTGACCCTTCCAGGGAGCAGGTAGAGGTGAGAGTGAAGTTGGGGGCTTCAGCTCCGTTGGGCTTCTGGGTCAGGAAGCGCCCATCTGCCAGTGTGCGGCCCCATTACCGCCATGCCTTACAGGGACTCACCATATGGCAGGACAGGAAACCCCAATCATCAAACAAGCAGTGAAACCACAGCACAGCCTGTCTAGGTGGAATTTGGCAAGATGACTCAGCAAAGATGTCAAGTCAACAACAGGGAGCTGGCCTGCCCCACAGGATGCCAACTTCCCCAAGGGGACAGGGGGCTTGTGACAGGTGGTGAAGGGTGGTCAGCCTTTAGTTTCAGCCCCAGTTACAGAAGAGCCTCCATTCCTCTCCCTTGCTGCATCCTGAGTCAGACAATGTGTGTGGGGCGGATGGCAGTGAGTTTTAAAAAAACACAGAGGCCCGGGCCCAGTGCTAAAGACAGTAATTGATTCTGGAGTGGGGTTCAGACGTCTGTATTTGCATAAGACTCTCCAGGTAATTACAAGCATGGCCCGTTGAGAAACAACCAGTAGTAAGATTAGGCATAAGATGCATTTGACTTTATATTCTAGTTTTGGTCCCTCGCTTCTTGGGGGACTTTGAAGAAGTGTATGTTTATCTCAGAGCCTCAGTTTCCCCTTCTCTATATGAGTATGAAATTCTCAATTTCTGGTACATAGCCAATGCTCAGTAAATGTTGTGGGCTGACAAAATGAATGAATGAATGGAGGATGTAAGCAAATGAGTAAACACATAACCTAGCACAGACGATGTTGGTTCCTGCAGGCACAAGGATATGGCTGCTTCTCTTGGGCTGGGCTGTCTCACAAGCAGGCTCAGTCACAAGGAATGAAGTAGTCTATCTGCAAGGTGGTCCCAAGTGACATCAGCAGAGGATCTGGGGAACAAGAAAGGGGAAGGCAGGAAGCAATGCAGGGTGCATTAATGAGCCCATTACTATTGTGGACAATTGAGGCTCCGTCCCACTGGGGTCTCTGGGCGACAATGTGAACATGCTGCAGAGTTGTCTCACCCGAGGGACGGGAGCTGTACCTATTCTCCAGCTCCCATCATCAATGACAGAGGGCCATTCCTGGGGGCAGGAACTCCAGGGCACTTCTGCTCTGTCCTGCTTGTGGGCTGAGAAAAAGCCCTGGGGCAGAGAAGTGGAGAGTCCCAGGTGCTTGTTGTAGAATGTCATCGGCAGCTACTGCCATGGTGAGTGCCAAGGGGATACAGGTGAGGCACCAACAGCACCTGCCTCGCTAGGCCTCCGATATGTAACTTTCCACTCTGGGCTAGGGGTCTGGGGGAAGAGGGAAAGGAAAGGCCCACTCATGGTCCAAGCTGTCTTACACCACACAGCTGCCGGTACCATTAGGATCTAGCAATGCAAAGTCTTGTTTATCTCAACGTGCCTATTTCCTCGGCAGTTCTGAGGCTAGCAGTGTTTCTCAGTCTCTGAACTATTGACATTTTGGGCTCATTAATTCTTTGTTGTAGGGAGCTGCTCTGTGGATTGTAGGATGCTAAGCAGCGTCCCTGGCCTCTACCCACTAGATGCCAGTAGCACCTTTCATTATGACAACAAAACTTGTTTCCAGACATTATCAAATGTCCCCTGGGTGGCAAAGTTGCCCCCAGGTGAGAACCAGTGGGGTAGTTGGATACCTTTCCTCATTCTCGAAGCCCAGGCAGCACCCCACTTAAACTTCTGGAGCTGTGGATGCATCTTGACCAGGCCACGCTCTCCTTGGTCTCTGCCTAGTGGGATGCTGCACTTGGAACACATCCCAGAGACAGGCAGTGCCCACACCCAGCTGTGAAACACACTGCTCCCCTGCTGAGCCAAGCCCTGATCTATGGGCAGAGGAAGTTAAGCAGCAGCCGTGGCATCACAGTTGGACTATGGGAACCGCAAAAGACAGGGAAGTTAGGCAGCTTTGGCTCCAGCGGCCTCCACTCCAACCTGGGTCCCAGAGGCCAAGGAGGAGGATTTATCAGACCAGCCCCTAACACAGACCCAGGGAGATTTAAGGCTAACTCAACAAGGAGTTTTTGTGAAGAGTTGTAAGCACTCATTGAGGCTATGCAATTATCCTAAGAAATGCGGTGAGCACACGCAGAGCCAGCAGGGAAAGGTGTCCAGGCTGACTCCAAACTACTTGCTTTCATCATTAACCCTGGTGGCATCTGGTGAAAGGTGGGGGTGAAGTGGGGGCTGAGAAATCTTCCCCCAACAGGCAAGGGGAGATGCTCAGAACAAACCCAGGTGTCTGAGTCACTCGTGCTGACAGCAGATTCATCGCCCTTCAGTCCTGCAAAAGAGGTAGCCAGCCTGCCTTTGCTATACCTATCATCCATCAAATCTGAGAAGCCAAACTTGGGCGTAACAGGGTTGCATTTCTCCTCTGGGCTGCTTCCTCCACTCCCATTTCTTTATGCTTCCCTCCAGGATGCGTGTGCAATGCGCACACCACTCAAAGGGCACACAGTGGCACGCAGTCCTCCAGCAGAAATGATTCACAGCCAAATACAGAAGCCGGCTGAGCACAGAATCCAAAGACAGTGGGGCTCCAAGCCGGCTGTGCTAGCGGCACACCAGCTCTCCTGCCTTCGTTTCCTGGGTTGTCAGTGCAGTAGCCTACCTGGTCAAAACACGATAAAACACCAAGCAGAAGCAGAGAAACCTCTGTTCTCTGGCCTGGCCCCTGCTGCAACCTTCAGAAGGCTTGAGAGAATATTTGGCACCTGGAGAAGAGCAACGGCAAGTCTAAAGGCAACCAGGAGAACATTTCACACATATGCACACACACAAATGCATACACAAACATACGCTCACACACCAGCTCCTGAAAGTGACAGTTTGTGAATCCCTGTCCCTGCCCTCCCATTCATGCATAATGAACATTCCTCTGAAGAGAAGAGAGGTGGGGAAGAAGCAAGGGATGACTTTTGCTGGAATGAACTCTTTGGAAATGCAAGATTGTGTCAGGACATGCCCATATACATGTAAGGACACACAAACACAGAATTAGAACATTTTCTACCTACGAATCTACCTATTTCATCTGTATTTGTGAAAAAAAAATTATAACCCAAAAAGATTAAGAGGCTTTGATAAGATTATACAGAGCTGGGACTCAAACTTGGATCTTCAGACCCAGACCTTGTGATGGATTTAGAACAATCTGCATCCATGATTTAATTGGGAGAGGGACAAGGGATTGAAATTCTTGGCCTGTCTTCCTGTAAATAGAAGCTGTGATTCTGTTGACATTAGTAATAATTCTTCCCCGAGACTGAGAAAAACAACAGAAGTAATAATAATAACCACCAGGCTCAGCGTTCTTACAGTTACTAAGTGCTTTCCCATTTGTAACCTCAGGCGATTTTCCCAACAATGCGGGATGGGGGATTAATGGTATCACCACCTCCTCCTTACAGATAAAGAAACAAAGTCTTCAAAGGTTGAATAATGTTGGGAACAACTATAAACTATAGACTAATAAATGTTAAGTTAATATTATCAATGTCATCAACATTATACACCTTACTTACCAAACATGTCACATGATGTCTTAAGGATGGAGAGTCATGCCTTGTCCATGTATGAATCCCCCAAAGGTCCCAAAAGAGAACTTGATGTACAGTAGGTGACCAATATACATTTGACGATTGATTTAGTTACTGAATGCATGACAGGAAGGACGATAGAAAAATACTCACATCCAGTCTCTCTGTGGGCTCTAAACTCTAAAAGAGTAGTTTCTGTTTCTTTAAAAACAAAACAAACAAAGGTCAGTATTGCCCAGAGCTCCAGTGATCTCTAGGCTTAGATTAATGGTCCGCTAGTTCTTTGCGTAGGACTGGTCCAGCTATGTGGTTTCTGACTATACAGCATGCTTTAAGGAGCATCAAGAAGCATTCTCTGTTTGGAAAAACAAAACAAAACAAAAAAATCCAAAAATCCTTTATTGCTTGAAATTTGCACCTTCCACTCCCTCAAGCTAAGGTGTGAAAAGCTCAATTAGTTGTCTGTGATCACACATCACGCCTTACTAAGGATTAGTTTATAAGACTAGCTCCTGCCACATGGCTAATCCTCAAAAAGAGAACACAGAACAGGTCACTTTTGATGAAGAATAAGCGTGTTAACACAAGCTTTAGGTCTCATAACACACTGTGGGGACTTGGGCCCCGTCGCAGACAATGAAAGAGTCCCAGCCAGCCAGCACTGGAGAAAAGGAGACTGCAAATGCAGACAAACCTTGCCAAGCTTCCTCCCTCTCTGGGTCACAGTTTCCTTCTGTGCAAATCAGAGACTGAGACTGAAAGAGGGATGTGCTGACAGAACTAACCCAGGTCAGGTGGTCAGCACCAGAGTTATGCCTAGGGCCAGCCCTGAATGTGGCACACCCACAGTGAGGGAATCTCTACCCAAAGAGGGGATGATCTGAATCTCTGCATCATCTCTTGGGCTTGGCTGCTAGAGTTTCTGGGCTGGAAGCAGGAGCAGAAACCTTCTCCACAGAGACTGAGGTGGAACACACAGAGCTCAGCTCTGAGTTGTAGTCCAAATCCCAGAAGCTACCAAAGGGCCAAGGGTTATTCAGCTGAAGGGATCAGAAGCAGATGCTAGGAGCCAAGGATTTAGGATCTAGGGAGAGCAGCCAGCACAACCCAGTGGAGACATCAACAGAGGGGCTGTGGTTCCTAGCTTCCCATTCAGGTGCAGGCGGAGGCAAGCTGCCATTGTTGGGGGCGGGTGGAGAGGATAGAAGCTGTGCTTAAAGAGCCCTGGCAGAATGGCCAAACCATGCTTCCTCCTGTAGCAATAGGCCCAGACTTGGGCAATTGAGTGCTTTTCTCACTGCCCAGCAGGGCAGGGATGCAAATTCCAGAGTGAAGATTGGGTAGGCAGGAGCGCTCTAACTTTCAATTACAGTGTCACACCAAATGGAACTCCGCAGCTCTCTCTCTACTCTGGGGTGTATTTGACTTTGAATCAAGCGACCTCCTGAACATATAGACACAGAGAGGAGTGGCTTGTTCCTGCTCACTCACCCCACCAGGCTGCCATGGGACATAAGCCACAGCCCATCGTTTACACACAGGCTTATTAAAGCAAATAGGATTTGGCCTAGATTGCAAACAGGTTCTCCTCTGGGTAAGCGTATTTGCTGTGATCCTTGGGGTGTTTCCTGTGGAGCACAGGACACCCAAACAGGGCCTGCTTGGTTGCCCTGGGCCTCAGGGATGCCTTGCCAGTCCCACTCCCCTTACCCCAGGAGAGCTCGAAACATTTGCTTAAGACATCTCCATGCATCATCCTCCCACCTGGTCCAGGGGAAGGAAAGTTCTGATTTTCCACCTTCTACTCTGTCCTCCAAAATTTCCTGCCTTTTTCCGTCCACTAATCCCCATTCACTCAGTCTTCTTCCCGGCTTCAGTTTCTTCAGCTGGGAAATGGGACGATTCTGTGAGATGCTTTCTTAGGTTTTTTTTTTCTCCTCAAACCTCCTGTGCTCTCTGGAAGCTCTGGGAAGTGGAAAGCAGTCTGGCTTGCAAGTCAGGAGCCCTGCAGTCTATTACCAAACTTCCCCTTTCCTGAATAGGTGACCATGAGTAATTCCCTCCCAATTCCCAAGTCTCAGTGTCTTCAGCTACAACGTTAAGGAAGCAGATTTAAAGATCTCTGAGCTCACTTCTCTTTGGTGTCTTACTCCAGCAGCCATTGTGCTTATGTGTGTGTATGTATGTGTGTACAACCTCAGCTGGCTTTGCCTGCCTGGCACCCCAGCCCTATCCCTGGATTTTTCCTTGGGCAGTCACCCTCCATCTGGCGGCATGCAGTCTCAGTGGTGGTATCCATCAAGGTATGCTGCCCGGCAGGTGGACAGGAGACTTAGGCAAGTCCAGCCAGCTTCTCTTTTCCTAGACACTGACCTGAATTGAGTGCTGTTAGGTGATAGGAACCTATCTATCCATCCATCCATCCATCCATCCATCCATCCATCCATCCATAGAGCCCTGCCACAAAGACAGTGCCCATGAATTCCTCCATCCTAGATACTCAGAGGTTCCTGATTCCTCTCTTTTGTGAGGCCACACCTATTTTAGCCTTAGTTCTGATTTTGTGGATTGCCCAGTATCCATCCATTCACATCTGTGTCTAAGTCCTACAAGTCTACTCGAATGTCATCTTTTAAATGATGCCTTCCCTGGTTTCCCTATATAAACTTGCAGCCCCACCCTCATCCCTCAGCTTTTCCTGTCTTCCTCTCCTGCTTCAATTTTCTCCATAGTACTTTATCATGTTTTAACAATTGTATCATCTAATTTACTTATTTATGTGGTGTGTTGGCCATCTCTCCCCACTAGAATGTAAGTTCCCTGAGGCCAGACATTTGTGTCTGCTTTATTCATTGGTATATTGCCAGTGCTCAGGATAGTGTCTGACACGTGGCAGGCACTCACTAAATATTTGTTGAATGAATGAATGTATGAAATCATGCTTGAAAGTTGACCTCAGTTGGTTTTGGCCACTAATCCTAATTGAGACCGTCTCCTGTTCTTCCCTGTGGATCCTTTCTCCCTCCCCAGGATGGAAGCCCCTTTGCTGATATGGGATGGCAAAGCCTGAACAGAAGCAGGGATCAGAGCCCAAATAAAGGGTTGGGCCTCCTGAGGTGGAGGCCCAGTCTAGTCCTCTTCCAGGGGAAGATGGCTCAATCTTCGCCCTCTATCTTCCTCTCTCCCCCTTTCAACCCCTTGTCCTAGACCCACCTCTGCAATCTGAACCACTTTCATTTAAGGAAACCCAAAGTCATGATCTGTTTTCTAGGAAAGTCAGAGCCAAAGACATGAACAGAAAAGAAAAAAAATGCTGACAAGTCTCAGTGGGCCAGGACCTGAAAATCAATTTGACACATCAATTTTTTGGATTTAATAACTCATGCTCCCATGGAATCAAGGTCATAAATAGTAAAGAGAGTTCCAGGCAAGCCTACCAAAATCTGTTTGACTCGGCTGGAGACCTTGATCTCATCTCTCTGTTCTGGTCCCATCAATAATTTCCTCTCCTAGATGCTTCCTCTCTTTGGTTTGGCTCCCACATCATTGCCCTGTCAATGATGTTTGCCTACATTTCTGTCTCTTCCTTCTGTGCACCTCACCTCTTCTTTCCCTGTTCATTGAATGAAGTCATCCCACAAGGCTCTGTTCTTTGCTGTCTGGGCTTCTCAGCCTACATTTAATCCTCAGGAATGTAAGTCTCTCCTTTTACGGTACCATGTTGAAGATTTCCCCAAATTCTTCTCAGTACCCCCAAAATCTCTAATCACTGGATGGCCTCCTCAACTGGAAATCTGGCTTATCCTTTGCCTATCTTCAGACCTCCCCTTTTTAAACTTCTCTGCCCTCAAATTGGATGGACGCTCTTGGATCATCTGCTCGAATGTCACGTTTTCAATGAAGCCTTCCCTGGTCTCCTTATATATTAATACCCCATTTACAGATGATCTTGGATCATTTACAGATCCAAGATCATCTGTAAATGGGGTATTAATCCCTTTCTCAAATAACTGTTGAGTGAGTTTAACAATATGATTCATCTAAAGGTGCTTTGAAATGGTACGAGTGTTACTTGGTCTAATTCAGTCTCAGACTTCTGGTTGTGGAATGCCTGCCCTTTATTTCCATAGTCTCATATAGTGAGTCCAGCTGTACACTCAGGGACTTGTGTCCCCATCTCCACAATAACCTGCCCAGGCCTGACCCCACATTCCAACTCTGGATTTTCATCGTGCATGGACTCCTTGTATGAGCCCAGCCTAGTTTTCCAACTCACCTGTGCTCCACCCTCCCAATTGCTCTCTTCCAACTGGAGAGCCCACGTGGGCCCAAGGAAGGCAGGGAGGAAAGTGACATTGTTGAGCCCTGTGCCCGGTGAAGTACGCATGTGAGCTCATCCAATCTGCAGCCACTCCAGGAGGAGGGCATCATTATCCTCAATAAACAGATGAGCAAACAGAGGCTCATGGAGGGTCAGCGACGTGTCCAAGGTCACTGACTCATCAGAAGGCTACTTTGTTCTCACTCCATCAGGTGGCCCAAGGAGAAAGGTAAGACAGAAAGAGGAAGCCACTAGGACAAACTTGTTCCTGCTGTGATACCCTTAAACATCAAATCATGAGATTAGGTCGTCCTGGGGGTGGGTGTGGGCAGGGGAGGGAAAAGTGGCTATACCGAAGCAAGGATGGAGGGAGGAGGGTGCCTGTGATCAGCCATGCTAATTTTGACATTTTCCTGTGCGTCTGCTTGTCATCATCAACTTATAATTTAACCTCGTTGTGGCGATGCCTCTGGAATGTCAACAAGGCTTGCTGGAATTTCATTACAGCCAGGCAGCTGGCCCCTGGTATTTCTGATACAAATGATGTGCAGCTGCATTCTGGCCCTGCTGTCTTTATCCCCCATCTAGCAAATGGCAGCATTAGGCACACTTAATCCGGAGAGATATTCCCTACACCGAGAAGAGGGCTCGTCAATTCCACCGGGGGCATTTCCTATGGACTGCTCTGCCTGAGCCAATTAAACTAAAGTAATTGCTGAAAAGCAATGGATATTGATGATGGATACAGGGGGCTGACCACAGGGGTAGTTGGAGGGAAAGTGCTGAATAATGAAACCTCCCCATATCTGCACAGCATTTGCCACTTTCAGGGCACCTCTGCCTGCATCGTGGCAGTGGTTCAGTGATCTGTGCTGGGAGGTTGTGGCATTCCCATTTTGCAAAAGTGAACATCAAAGCTCAGAGGAAAAAATGATTTCAAGTTAACCAGAATTAGGAAACAGAAATCTGGGTACACAAAGTGCACGTCTAGATTTCACATTTATCCAACAAATATTTATTGAGCACCTACTGTTAGCCAGGCCTTGTGCTTGTTTGAAGGATACAGTTTTTCTATCCTCGATAACCATGGCATTTTTCTGTAGGATTTTCCTTTCAGGCCCTCTCCTAAGAGAGATCTTTCCCAATCCCCTACATCCTATACCGTTTACTTTCCCCTTCCCTCTGGCCCCAAAGAGAAGGTTTTGATGTCTGTCGATTCTACCTGAGTATACGTAGGTTTCCTTTTCTGTCCCTCCCAACAGAAGCCTCATGACACTGATTGTTCCCAGGGACAGAGAAGGCCTGCCCTGTTACAGGACTCCTGCACCCTGTGAGCAGACTGGAGAGGAATTTGGGGCCAGCGGTCTTGTTGGCCCTGAAAGCACGGTGTCTGCAGCTGCCTGCCTGGCACATGGGTTCAAGCAGCCTTGCCAGCTCATGGCATCATGGTGCAGTATGGAGGTCCCGGGCCATGGTTTCAGTGCTGTCTATGACTCATGGGCTGTGGAGTCCTGGTGCCAGCCCTTGAAGGTGGGGCAGGAAAGTGAGGCACATGAGTGAATTCATAGCTGAGACCACGCCAGACCTGGATCTTTCCCAGGTTTGAAGGTTGAATGTGCCTGTGCTGGCCAGGGCTTGGTGAGCTTCTCCACTGGATGGTAAACCCCACTCAGTGTCTTCCCTATTATCACACTCAGGCCCTAGCTGCTAGAAGCCTCATTTGCCTAAGTTTTTGTCCCAATGTTTCCGTGAAGGCAGAGAGAGGAGCTATTTGCATGCCAGCCCAGGGCTACGTAGAAAATATGGCAGGGATCCTCTCACACTGCAGTCGAGTCAAGGCAGTCCAGGGTGGCTGCTGGGGCCAGACTGCCCCGTCAAGATCCAGCCTGCCTTTCACTGACTGTGTGATTAGAATGTCTTGCCCTATCCCTGGACTTTAGTTTCTGCAACTTCAAAATGAGGACAAGATAACCTCCAAGGTCCAGGTTACTTTCCTATACAGAGTCTGGAACTGTGCCTGCCCGCATAGTGCACACTCACAGCCAGCTAAAGGATGGTGTGCCTGGGGTGGGTCTGCAGGGCAAGCCCTATTTCATAGTTTAACATTTCTGACACCACCTGTGTCAAATTCCTATGCTTACGGTGTGCTGGGAGAGTCGAGTCAAGGCCAGACTGAGGGTGACTCTGGCCCTCTGTGCTAGGCCTACTGTCTGCAGATGCCTCCAACCCTGCCTTGGACAGAGGGAGGAGTAAGGAGTGTTAGGAAGGGCCTGGGGTGTCAAAGAGCTTCTAACCCCACCAGTGAGTCCTGGTGCCTATGGAGGGAGAGCGAGGAGGGCTTCTAAACATGGGTCATAGATAAAACCAAAACAGAATAAACACACTTGGGGGGCTTACAGGAGAAACATTATCACAAAAGGGCTGAGTGTAAGTACAGAAGGGGACAGGACAGGCTTATTGTGTCTCCTCGGTGACAGATCCAACCAGAGTCAGTTTACAGACTACATGTAAGGTGTCGGGCAGTCAACCCCCAGCTGGTTCCAGGGCCTTGGTCCCTCCCAGCAGCTGTCTTCCCCAAGTCTATGACTCATGACCAGGAGAGAGGAGGGTGGGCAGTGAGTTGCATGAAGGCAAGACACCCTCTAAAGCCTGGACCCAGGCCATGACACCAATCCATCAGAGCCGTGACCTTGGCCTGGCGTTGTCTTGGGGGCACAAGAGTGACCATTCACACTACCTGCCTCTATCCGTCCTTCCTTCCTGCATGAGACCTGGTATAGCTGCTGCTCCATGCCTACCACTGGGTCATAGAGATTCAGAGTCTCCCTGGGGCAGTTGCCAGGGAGTGAGGCCGTCAGAAACCCTGACTTCTCCCCTCCACCCAGCCGAGCTCCACCAAGCCCAGGAGTGGCTCTCCCGGAGCCTGGTGTCCCCTGTATGCACAGAGTACTTTAAGAAATCCAGAAAAGTCATCACCCCCAGGAATCCACACTGAATGTGAGCCAGCATCAGCCCTCTCTGCACTCGACCTCCTCAGGTACCAAGATGGGTTATATTTGGGGTAAGAGGGGACAGAAAGGCCTCATGTGTCAGGAAAAAGTTACAAAATCCCACCCCTCATACAAGAACTCTCACTTTTTCCCCTTCTTAGCATTCTGCAGAGCTAGAGTGAACCATGTTGGCCATTGTGAAAGTACAAATTCAGGAATGCTGAGGTCATTACTCAAGGTGACATCACTTATAAGTGGCCAGCCCTTGACCTACAAGGTCTAAATCACATTTCTATCTTCACACTTAGAGGTCTCAATTTCTGCTTACACACCTTCAATAATGAAGAACTCGGGAACTCAGTCTCTCTTGAATGGAACTCCACATAGAAGAGTCTCAAGTGGTCCAAAGTAACTAGACTTCTCTCTGTGCCCCTTAGGCCTCCTCTCTTCTTTCTCTACTGGACACAGCAACAGCAAGTATCCGAGTCACTTAGTATTCCTGGTATTCTGAGCTGGGCTCCAGCTGGGGTGAGCCTTGTAGATTCTCAGACAGCAGCATCAAGGAATGTGGGCTTCAAGCCAAGTCAGATAATAGGAAAATAATAATAATAATAAAGATAGAGACACAAACACAAGGACACTGGGACAAGCATAAGCGGTTAGATCCACAAACAGAGACAAATAGGTGCTGGGAGCATGGTGGAAGGACACACCTCCACTGACAGCCACATATTTTCAGGACTCAAGAGCCCAAGGACAGACAGAGCTCAAGCAAGTCTCTGAGTGAGGGAGGTGAGAAGCCGGATGAGGGCTGGCCTTTGTGTCTCCATCTCTACCACTTGACCAGGATCAAAGAACTTCCCCAGATGAGCTTAGACACTTAGACATCTAGAAATGACTCAGTGGGCGAGAAGAAAGGGAGACTAGGAAGTGAAAGAATGAAGTGAAAGAAGTGAAAGAATGGGCCACAACACATATGGAGATGGGATGGCAGGGGAAAGGATGAGAATCTTGGGAATGGGAAGAAGTTTTCTGGGAACTTGGGTAGGTTGAGGCAACAGGTTGTGGTGGATGCTGTGATGTGCTTCCCAGGTCCCTCTTCAAGAAGGAAGGATTTATCCTGCTACCTGCTGGGGATGCTGCCTGCAGAAAGTTCTCAGCTGCCAGCTCCCCATGGGGTTTGCCCTAACCCTGACTGCAGAGAGCTGCCTTGCTCCAGATCATGCCTTCTTTACAGGGTGGTTCACATCCAATGATTGATCCATGGAAAGACATTGAGGCCTGAGCCCCTTTCCCCAGTCTGGAACAACTCTGAAGGCTCATTCCATTTCACATTTCCCATGGCATCAGGTAAGATGCTCATTGAGACTGCATCACAGCTCAGCTTCTCCCTCTGTCTAATCCTGCTTTCTCCCCATCCCTTCCTCAAGTGTAATTTTTTTTTTTTTAGACAGAATCTTGCTCTGTCACCAGGCTGGAGTGCAATGGCACAATCTCAGCTCACTGCAACCTCTGCCTCCTGGGTTCAAGCAACTCCACTGCCTCAGCCTCCCAAGTAGCTGAGACCACAGGCGTGCACAATCTCGCCTGGCTAATTTTTTTTCTTTCATTTTTTTTGTATTTTAGTAGAGACGGGGTTTCACCATGTTGGCCAGGATGATCTCCATCTCCTGACCTAGTGATCCACCTGCCTCGGCCTCCCAAAGTGCTGGGATTACGGGCGTGAGCCACCGCACCCAGCCCTCAAGTGTAATTTTATGAGTTCTTCCTAATAAACCATTGCAAGTAAATATCTATCTCAGAGTCTCCTTCCTGGGGACCCAGTCTGTGACACAGGCTTAAACTCTGAGCAGGAAGTTTTCATTTTGCCTGGCCCACAGTTTACAAAAACATTGATGACTGCGATCTCACTTGATCTTCACAATGATTTGGTGAAGTGGGTGGTACTGTTCTTACTTAACACACGAGGAAACTGAGGCTTGAAGTTCAATGGCTGTTCGAAGACCAAAACAGCAAGGAATTGGTGGAACCAGGACTTAAACCCTGGTCTTTTGGGCTCTCAAATGTATGTTCTTTCCTCTCTTGCACAGTTTCTAAAGAAAAGAAAGAAGGAAGGGAGAGAGAAAGGAAGGGAGGGTGGAAAGGGGGAAAGAGGAGAAGAAAGAAGGAAGGAAGGAAGGAAAGAAGGGAGGGGGGGAAGATTAGCTAACATCTAGCACTTATTCTGAGCTAAGCACCATGCTTAACATTCTACATGCATTATCTTATTTAATCCTCACAATTTTATGACATATGTATTATTTGTATCCCTATGTTATAGATGAGGAATTTGAGGCCCAGAGAATTGCAACATTATCTAAGGTCACATAGCCTTGTATGAGGAAGTGGCTTGATACAAACTCACTTCCGTCTGATTCCAGGCCAGGCATCTTAACCACTACTATCAGGGAGAATTGGCACCAACCGGAAGGTTGAGGAGCCTCAAGAAGCAGTTGTGGGCTAGAGTATTGGGGAATCCAGAGCAGCTAACTAAGATGCTAAGCACCTGAGTAAATGGGAAGCTTAGACAGATCTGCATCCTTGTTCTCCTGGGAGCAGACTGGGCCTGCTTTGGGGCTGAGCCAGTTCATGCCTGGAGCCATTGCTTGGAAATTGCACCCAGCCAATCCCCAGCCGTAATTACCACTAGGCTTGCAGCACTGGGCTGAGAGCTGGAAATAGCTCTGTATTTATTTACCCTGCAATTACATGCTACATTAAATGCTCTGCAAGAACATGGCGATCACCCTGCAATTAACTGGTCCCTGCTTCCTGGGCAAGAGAAGGCTGGAGACAGTTACTGGCTGGAATCAAGTGCTCCCTGGTTTCTTAATGGGCCTGGGGTCACCTTGTAACTTATGCTGGTGGGCCTGGCCAGAGGCTGCAGCTCCAAGTGGGAGCTTCTTTAGCTCCTGAAGGAGACAGATTAACATCTGAGTCAGATCTGAGTCCAGCGTTGCTATGGGTTCTGTGACAAGATCGTCCATTAGTGGGTCCTTGTCCATATTGTCTTCTCTAGCTCCTCCCAAGGCATCTAGTGTCTCTCTGTATTTTATTTTTGGAGTTCCTGAATTCTACCAGCCTTTGCATAGGTCGTTTCCTATCATGTTGACCTGGTAAATTCCTATCTACCTTTGAAGATTCAGCTCAACTATCATCTCCTCTGGGAAGCATGCTTTGAAAGGAGATTGTATAGGAAAGTGAAAATCAGACATACTCGTGACAAAATACCAGCTTCATTACTTGATAGCTATGTGACTTTGAGCAACTTACTTGGCCTCTCTGAACCTCAATATATGTGTGTATGTGTACATGGGTGTATAGAACTCCCTGATATCATATGCTTATACACATTATGTGTATACATATACAAGAACTCAAAGTCTTCTAGTTAGGGACAGATTTTAGCAAGGTGGAAACAGCATGGTGCCTCACACACAGTAGGTGTGCACCAAATCTTTGTTGAATCAATGAGTCAGTGAGTAAATCAACCATCAATCAAAAGAAACCAATTAGGAGCTGTGAGTGTGTGTGTACCCATGTTTATCTTTGTGGCTGTCCACTTAACTTGCTGCATATAAACAAGTATACCAGTTACTCAAAAACATAATATGTGCACATGATGGTAATTGGTCTCTAGTTGCCTGGAGATTTCAGAGAACTTGTTCCCAGGCTGTGTGGATAGACTAAGAATGCCAGGAAAAAGCACTAAGAAAAGAGTTAATTATATATTTACTACCTCTGTCATTTTCTCCTAATTATGTCTTGGCAAGCAGTGTCTCCTGGATGAGTCTTAATCTCAGTGTCTTTAAAAATATAATAATAAATCAATGTGAGATGAAATGCTCCCAACAGCCAAAATGCACCAGACAGTTTCCAATCAGTGAGAGCACCAGTGAACAGTTCTGGACCCAGTTTCGATGACGTTTGGGCCTCAGGTACCAGATATGGAGCCAGAAAAACAGTCAGAGAGCAGAGCAGTGTCTAGAACGTGTCACTGAGGCCTCTTCTCAGTCTTCTGAGGGTCACCTGGAATCCCTATGGCCTCTGCCTGCTGCCAATGTACCATGAGGCAACAGAGGAGGAAGTTAGGCGTGCAAATTCGTGAGCCACCCTGGTGCATTTTGCTTGGTTTCTGGACTGAGAAGACAGGGCCCATTTACTCAGCCCTCTGTATGTCAGCGGCTCTCAACTGGGGGCAGTTCTATCCTCCTAGCAGTCATTTGTACAAGTCTGGAGTTATTTTCAGTGGTTACCACCTGGGGATTTTGCTACTGGCATCCAATGGGTAGAGGCCAGGGGTGCTGCTGAACATTCTACAATGCACAGGATACTCCCACCCACAGCAAAGAATTATCTGGCTTAAAATGCCAGTAATGCCCAGGTTGAGAAGCCCTCTGTTTGTGCTGGCAAGCTTGGGCCCTGGCAGCATGTGTCCATGCTGTCTGTTCTTGTTGTCACTAGTTCTGGTTTTCAGACCTTTTCATGCTCTTTTCTATTTTGGTTTCTAACAAGGGACACAGGCACACACATGCTCAGAACAAATGCACAGCCTTCCTTCCCCATAACCCCTTTCTGGCTGCAATCATATTCACTGAGGATTAGTCAGCCCTCTCCAATGGAGGGGAGTGGACACTCACCTTGACATCCTGTGGGCGCCTGCAGATGCTGGCTCTTTCTCTCCTCCCAGGGATAAGACCGCACTTCTCTCACTGGTCCCAGTGGGCATAGCAAAAGCAACAAAGCTGTGGGGCTTGTTGGTGCTTCATCGAACAGGCCTAGGCAGGAGGCCCAGTGCAGCCCTGTCTATGAGGTGACCTGGGAATCTGTGTTTCTTATCAAGTGTCAACACATATGCCCAGCAATTTCACTCTGTTCCATACCAAGCAATCAAACACGCCTACATCGTGCAAGCAATTTTTAGGTCTCCTAGTTTCTATTATTAGAGCCTCTTGCCTAGGATTAAAGGCCCATGGCACGTAAAAGGGCCAAGAGGAAATTTCCCAGGATTTTCTCATGTAGTCCTCACAACCACCCGACGATGCAGACACTTGTGCATCCCCTTCACAATTGGGGGAAAGAGGTTCTAAGGACAGAACAGTGCCTTTGCACTGCATGAGTCAGATCTTGTCACTTGTCTGTCTAAGCTGGTGCTGGAAATAATGAAGATGAGATGGAAACACCAGTCCATTTGATCCTAAGCAAGGCATGGGCTCTTGACACTATAGCTGTTGCTGAAAGGAGATGGAGGAAGGAGAGGCAAAGAGAATAGAAAGGGATGTTTCTGAGCACAAGAGTGGAGGAAACAGAAGGCATGGATCACCTCTTTAACCCTGACATTCTCCTAGCTCATAAGCACATCCCTGTCCTTTAACATCTGGGTGTCTTTCTAGAGGACACCAGAAACTTCAGACACTGAAAGGAAAGACATTCTAAAAGGTGGAAAGAAAGTGGCATTTGGGGACTGCTATAGGCAGTCTGAATATAGATGTGAGTGATAAACATATGGGGCTCATTACTCCAAGAGGCCCAGGCTTCTTCTAAACAGGTGTCAAGAGAATTTTAATTGAAGCCTCAAGCCATGATGAATTATTAAAGGCATGGAGGGATGTGAGTAGGACATTTCAGCTCAGTCAGTCAGCTCCAGGAACACCTTGGATAGACCATAGGCAGATGAGCACTTGGGAAATGATCTATATAAAGTACAATAAACTTCTCTGAAAATTATGCCCACCCCAACCTCCCCCCACTCACACATACGACTTCTTTAGAATCCAGCATTTCTCAACATGTATCCCATAGAGCAGTACCTCGTAACTTTAGCGTGCATAGAAACTTTAATGTGTCCTCGGAGTGTCCAGGGTGGGCCTGACATTCTGCATCTCTAACAAGCTCTCAAGAAATGCTGATGCAACCGGTCTACAGGCCATACTTGAATAGAGAGGTTTTAGAATACTGGCTAAGCAAGATGTTAATGGTCTTCAAGGGAAAAGAAAAGATTCCAGAGGCAAAATGTTTGGGACAGACAACATTAAGTTTAACGAGTATCTGAACCACCAGGGAAAGAGGGCAGAGTGTAATATGCTTAAGGCTGTTAAGAGGCTTTACAGAAAACAAAAGGAGTTCCATGGTCAAACACTTTTGGGAGGACCTGGGTTAAGTTAAAGGAGTATGCAGAACTTCTCAGTGCCTTTACACTGAGCCAGATCTTGCCACTCCTCTGTCTAAAGCTGGTAATGTAGAAGTCTTTACATTGGCTGAAAAAGCCCCCAGGACTTCACTCCTTCCTTCTCCCTATGTCCAGGTCCACAGGCCTTCCCTGAGAAGACACAATAGGCATCCCTCAGCCTCAGGGCCTTTGGCCTGGGTCTTTCCTCTGCCTGAAACATTCTCTGACAGCTAATTGTCTAACTCCATTGCCTTCTTCTTTTCTCAAAGGCCACCTTTTAGATGAGACTGCTCTAACCACCCTATGGAATTTCATAACCCACACCTCTTGCCCCTGGCATTTGCAATCCCCCTTATTTGAACTTTCTTTTTTCTTTTCTTCCAGTGCATTTTCACCTTCAAAGACACCATACAATTTCATAATTTATTGTGTTTATTGCTTATTGTTTGTCTTTTCCATTAAACTGTAAGCTCCATGAGAACAGGAATCTGGTTTTTTTTCCTTGCAGTATTATGAGTACCTGGAACAGTACCTGTGCTATACTAGATACTCTAAATATTTGCTGAATCAGCAATTGGGCAGATGTCCAAAGTGAAGTTCTTAGTAGGAGTGGAATATAGTAAGCATCATTCTCCAAAGGCTTTTCACTGCAGAACCTATTTCTTTCTTATTTCTTTTCCAACGGAGCATCTCAGCATGACCACTATTCCTAAATACACATTTTCTAGGAAATGGCTGCTGTAGTAACTCACTGAGAATCCAGCCTTCATTCATTTTCCTAAATCCTTCTGGGCCTATTCATATTCATCCCCTGACAATCCCAAAGTGATGAATTCCATAAGTTTATTACCCACAGTATAAATTTATCTTTAATTCTGCAAGAACAATGTCATGGGAGGGACACTTACTTCCTGCTCTCCTGCAAAGGGCCCCTCGATGCCACCACAGAGAAGAGGCATAGGGTTTCACACCATGCCTTATAAGCATGGTGCTCCATAAATTCATATTTAACCCTCAGAGTAATCCTTTGAGGTGAGTCTTAATCCCCCATTATACAAATGAGAATCTGGGTCTCAGGGAGATTAAGTAGCTTACAGAGCTGGGATTTGGATAAAGGTCTGCCATGCCTTGAAGCTCATATACTCTCCACAACACCAATGTGGCAAAGCTCACAAAATGGCATTTTTCAAATGCCAAGGTACGGAATCAGAGACTTGGGAGCTGTGTGTCTGTCCAGAGTGTCTCCCTCATTAGCAGTGGCCATAGAATAGCAATAATAGCTACTGCTTATTGAGTTTTTACTATACACCAATCATTAATCTAAGCATTTTACATGCATTAAGGCTTTTAATTCCTAGAACCCTATGGACCTCACTTTACAGATGAGGAAGCTAAGGCAATTAAAAAGTTACATAGCATATTAACTTACCCAGGTCACATGGCTGTAGAGCAGTACTTAGGCCAGAATCAGGGGAAAAAAGTCAGGCAAGGTGCAGTTTTGAACCAACTCGGCTGCTCCCATGACCACCTCACTATGCTCTGGTGCTCAGTGCCAAATCCAGCTCCTTCTTCCCTCTTAGGTGCACCCAGTGCTCCACAGCAGTCTTGCCCCAGCCTTTGCATCTGTCTCCCAGCACTCTGATATATGAGAACCCTTTTATGGATGGGAGTGCAATTTACAGACTTCTGTTTGCAATCCCTAGCAACACTTTCCCACACAGCTTCCCCAGATGATCCATGCTGGGCAGCTAGGGACTGGCACCAAGAAGGCACTTGGAGACCGTCATATTCAGTCACCTCATTTGAAATCTGGGGAACCTGAGATGCAGAGGAGATGATGACTTGCTGAACACACACAATCAGAAATAAACCTGGACTAGGACACAGGCCTAGAAATCCCATTCCAGTATCATTTAACCCATTAGCCAACCAACCAACTAACCAACCAACCAACCAACCAACGAACCAGAAAGCATTTACTGAGGCACTGTTAGGTGAAAGTGCCAAGGAATGACCAGGGTTTCTGCTCTAATGCCCACTGACTTATCATTTGTGTTCACCCATGCTTTCACTCATTCATTTCCTTATTCAATAAATCATTAGGCTCAAGAAATAACATGATAAAAAAGACAATCTCTTCTAATGCAGATGAGACATATTTTAATAAAAATAACAGAGGTATATTCAGAATAATAAACAGTAATAAGAGCTTAAAGAAATAAAAAATGTTTAAGGTCTTTTGACAGCATGTAATTTGTGAGGGAGACAGGAAGGAATGTGACCTAGCCTGGAAATCAAAGAAAACTTCCTGGAAGAAGTGGCATCTGGAGTGAGATTTAAAGGAGAGTAAGAGTGCATTAGGCTAGAAGGGATTGGGAGGAAGAGCATACATAAGAGACCTGAGACAGAATGAATGTAACACATTTAGAAATATAATAGTGTAATTGTGAATCGTATAATATAGTATGGTGTGGTATACATGCAAACACATATAAAATACAAGGCACTTTCCAGGGAAAGCAACTAACATTTACTGAATGATTGCTACATGCCAGTCCCTTTATTACCTCCTTGCTCAGTGGAAGGTAATTGAATCACGGGAGCAAGTCTTTCCCATGCTGTTCTCATGATAGTGAATAAGTCTTACAAGATCTGATGGTTTTAAAAGAGGAGTTCCCCTGCACAAGCTCTCTCTTTTTGCCTGCTGCCATCCATGTAAGATGTGACTTGCTCCTCCTTGCCTTCCGCCATGATTGTGAGGTCTCCTCGGCCATGTGGAACTGTAAGTCCCATTAAACCTCTTTCTTTTGTAAATTGCCCAGTCTTTATCAGCAGTGTGCAAATTGACTAATACATCGACCCTTAGCAGATGCTGCTGATTTTCCCCTAAGTTGCTCCCATTCCTCTTTACCATTTCTGCTTGCCTTTCCTCCAGGGGCTGTATTTTTGTTGTTGTTGTTTTGGTTAGTTTTTGCCTCTAATCTAATGACCTCTTCCTAGTGTTCTCCTCACAGGCCTGCCCTGAAGCTCCTAGATCCACTTTGCCATTGCTCCCAGAGAGCTATCAAGACCTGGGAGCTAAGTTATCCCCCTATCCCTGGTGACTCTTAGACAGTGACTGGTTGGGAGCAGGAAAGCCCAGCAACCTTGCCCAGAGCAGGGGCAAAAGCAGACATGTAATTTATACTCTAGAGCTCTGAGTCAGGCTGAGCCAAAACTTTGCCCCAAATTGTTCCCTTGCCTGGCTTCTTCCACTTCTATGCCCCTCCTCCCACCTTCCACAACTTCCTTATTTATTTTTCCTGCAATTTCTCCTTAATAAATCACTCAGACAAGAATTCTCACTATTCAGAAACTGACTCTGGGGAACCCAACCTAAAACAGAACCCACATCTGTCTGAACTTGAAGCCCTTTTTCTTGTTAGTGAGACATGATGTTAAACAGAGTCACACCAGTGAAGGGTAAAGGAGTAGGAATGATGGTAAGGTCAAGAGCTGGGGAAGGTTTTTTGAGTTTAGAGATGAAGAAGAAAGCCCTTGGGGACAAGAAATCTCAATTAAGCATCCAAAGACTGGCAGGTTTTAAGCTCAGTGGAGAAAGCAGGCCTCCAGGATTGGGAGGTGTGATATCAAACAGAAGGACACGGCAAAGGTGACCGAGGTGCTTACACAACAGAGGGACTTGGCCCATCTGGAAATGGACTAATTTCCAGGAAATTGGAAAAGAGTGCACGAAAGGAGATCGGGGCCAGACTGCCAAGGGTTTCTTTGGTATCAGGCTAAGGAGGCAAACAGGAGTGGAGAGAATATACTCTTTTGTGGTAGGCACGCCTTGGTCCCAGTGCCACACCCACCACTTCCCGGCTAAGACCTTTAACAGGTAATTCAGTTGACTCAGCAGTGAAATCAAAAGACCTACTTTTGAGGATTAGATAAGAATAGCACAATTAAAATCCCTAGCCCATTACCAGAGACTCAAATGACACTGTTGTTTTTTTTCTCATTCTTGAAGTTTGGGCTTAATTTTGTACAAGGTGTCACTGCAGAGACTTTGATCAAGAAAATGAAACATTCAAATATAGAAAACTCGTATTAACAGGAGAGAAAAGGACAACTTAAAGAGGCACACAGGAGACCTGGAGACCAATGAGTTTTTGCAGGAAACTAAGCATGAAGGAACTGAGCCCAGTCTAGGGTTGCAGCAGTGGGAAGAAGGGGAAAGAGGCACTTCCGGTGATATTGACAAGGACAGCTGGTCAGCCCTTCGTGCATAATTAGCATGCAGGAGTGAAAGAGAGGCAGAAGCCCAAGCTGTCTTTGAGGTTTTGACCTAGTGCCTGAATGCAAAAGAATGAGAGAAGAAGGGCTAGCTTAAGGGTGAAGGTGGGGAATTTGATCTGATGTATGTTGAGCTTGACTTTACATCTGGCCATCCAGAGAAGCAGCAGTATATAAGTCCAAAGAGCCAGACAGGCCTGGTCACAGCTCTGCCTCTTACTAGCTGTGTGACTGGATAAATTTCAGGACCTCTGTGTGCCTCCATTTCCTCACCTGCTAAAAGGGAAAACAGATACAGGGTTGCTTTAAAGATTGAGGCATAGAAAATTGTCTGGCAACAGATAGATGCTCAACAAATGCTAACTTTAAAAAAAAATTTTAATATTCATCAGGCAATTGGGATCGAGTCTTGGAGTTGGCCTCAGAGCTAATATTGTACATTTGGAAAGCAAAGGACTAGAGGAAATGGCTGAAACATAAGCACAGTTGAGATCAATTACCTTTTGGAGGAAAATGTCCTGTCAAAGACCAACAAGCACTGAAGATAAATGTTAAGTTAGTTGGCTTCTTCTGTTTTCCCACAAGGAGCACAACTCAATTTAGTTGTACAAACATTTACGAGCCAGACACAGTGGAAATGGGGACCCTGAGATGAAGAAGATGTAGTTCTTTCCCTGAAAGGCTCACAGTTTCTTGGAGGGATGGACATATAGAAAAACCAAGCAAAGCGCAATGTGAGAAGAATTATGCAAGAGGCATAAAGGGTGCACCAAGGAGGGAGTGATGAATTTTGCCTAGAGGATTTGGAGAGGAAATAACTGAAACACTAACATCTCTCCCACAGCATTAAACACAAATAAAAAAATTTCAAATAAATGAACTATGAATAATCACATACACTTAATTATTAGTTCAAAGATGATCATTCAAAGACAAGAAACTCTAACAAAACTTGTAACTCCAAATGTTTAGGTTATTGCAGTAAAGAGAGTAGGGGATAAAGAATTGCAGATCTGGAAGCATCAAATTCTCTAGCTTCTAACTCAAACAGCTTCTAAACCACATGGGTTGTAGATGAAGTAGTTAACTAGGGCTGACTGCTATAATAAAAACATCAATCTGGATTTTTATGAGTTTATGGGTGTGAAGCTTGGTGTTGACATGTGAGAAGAAAAATATCTTTTCCTTATTAACTGAGTCTTGAGTAGCCACTGAAAAGATGAGGATGATGGAGTCAGAGAAAATATTCATAGATTCAACTAAGTCAAACCCCTCTTTTGCTTTACTGATAAAGAGAAGACATCAGAGAGGGGAAGTGACTCATGCAAAGTCACCCTGCTGGGGAGAGCCAGGATGAAGTGCCAGGGATCCTGACTCCCAGTCAAGTTCTCTTTCTACACTACCACTGTGTCTTTTAAATGAACCCTTAAATCCAGATTCCCCCAATCTATCCTGCCACCGGCTACATGTGCACATACAAATACTCCTAAATTGGCCCCAACTGGCCCAGCACCTCCTCTGCATGGAGTAAGGGTCTGCTGCATCCTTGATCATATCACGTAGGCAGGAGGCTTAGAGCTAACCACATGGTCTGGCCTCCAGGGGACCATCAACCAGCAGGAAGAATTCCCCAAGGCAATGCACTGTTGGCTTTCTCAACGTTCCACAAAATAACTGCACCTGATATTCCCCACCAACTAAGGCAGGAGGCTCTGCTAATTTCATTAATAACTTAATGAGATTATTAACCACTACCCAGTGGGGGCAGATTTGGTTTTTCCTTGGTTATAGGAATGTATCCATTTTTCACACAATTACAGCCTGAGAGGATCATCACTGAGGCTGACAATTGTGGGCTTATTAGGAGCAATTTAGACACAAGATTGGATTTCCTTTCTGCCCATAACCTTTTGTTCAAAGCAAATGAACTGGTGTTCCTCATATTAGTATATTAATAAAGGTTGTCCAGGAGGTGTTTGATCTTTAAGATTGGCCCAGTAGCAGAGTAGTAACACTGCCCTGGGAGGCAGGGTGCCAGGCTTCTCATGCCAGCTTCAAGCAGCCAGCCCAAGCCACTTGGTGTCTCTGAGCCTCAGTTTCTCATTACCTACTGTGATAGAACTGGACCGGTTTGGTGGTTTGAACTAGAGACCCACAAGCTATCCACCATACTTTAAGATAACTGATGGAATCATCTGTATTGCTGATCTAACGCTGCATAGACTAAGTAAAATTCTGATATCTCTCCTTTTGGGCAGAATTATATCTTCTCAGTGCATAATACCAGCTAGCTCAGCCTAGTCAGATGCTGACTGGCTGTCGATGACATCATGGGTATTTGGAAGCCATTAGAGAAAAACAAAAGGGGACACCTGAGAAAATTGATTTCTAAGGTCTGTCTCTCGTGAGCAATTCATTCATCGAAACTCAGCTTCCTTGACCCTGCCAGGCTGAATTTACTTCTTTCCTTCCAACAGCCTTCATTTGGGATTTCAGTTAACTGTGCACACATGTGTCTTTTCCCAAAGAGTCTCTGCTTACCTTAAGGGTGCGGGGTGAATTCACTCTATCCACAAGTGTGTTGGAGCTAACTCACATTGGCTCGCAAAAGCCAATTACCTGCATTTCTTCCAAACCCTGAGTTCAGTGGACTCTATGTTGGCAGCTTGAGATCAGTCATGGTGGGGATATTTATAACAGAGAAATCGGCAAACACTACAAATCAGGATTTGTTTCTTCCCACAGCGCTGGTTGTTAAATATTCACCAACACATCACTGACTATATCCCCACTGCCAAGCATTTAGGATGTAATAAGAACGTAGTTGAGATTTGATGAATAAATGAATGACCAGAGTCAGCAAACCTGGGTACTGACGGGTTTCAAGCAGGCTGAATGCTATGTATACATGAGTTAGAAAGTGTCCCGAGTAGCTTGCATGAGAGGTATACAACTAGAGCAGTGGCTTGAAACCCTGGCTGTATGTTAAAATTACCTGGTGCCCAGTCCACAGCTCAATCCTGAAGTCCTGGAGTGGGTATTGGATATCAGTATTTTCTATGCCCACATGATTTCATGTTTGAGAATCACTGATCTAGAAAAGTTCCTGGACTAATCATGGCCACCATAACACCCAGCCTCAGTGCTCCAGTGCCCATGACTGCCTACCACTTTAATTCAGGGAGCCTGAAAGTCAAGCAGAAATATAATTTCATTGGTAGATTGGTAGCTTCCCTGTAATTAAGCAGTAAGGTTACAAGGAGGTACTCCTCCCCAGTTGGTATGGTTTCAGTTTTTTTGGCACATGTCCAGAATGATGATTTAGTTAGGTAGCCATTTAAGAGACAGCATCTTGACTTGTCCAAAAGAGAACAGCAGCCTCAGCCTACAAGTCACTGGTACATGCCCATGACCCCACTCTCCTCTACTGCCATGCGCCTCCCTGCACAGCCACATGGCTGTTATTTTTCTCTCTTTAAAGGACCAGCACAAATACTGCCTCTTCTTTGAAGTTCTTTGAGGCTTTTGCCAGTGTGTCTGGCTGATGGCTGGAGAGATCAAGGAGAAACAGACTCTGAGTTGAAGCTCCAGCTCTAGAATTCATAGCTGTGAAAATTTGGCAAGCCACTTAGCTTCTCTGAGCCACATGTTCTGCCTATAGAAAATGAAGTGGGTAGCACATAAATGGATACATCTGGATGTGTTTGGTATCATGTACTGGAAGTGGGAGAGAACTGAACTGTGATAGTTTAGTCTAGTGTCTGTTCTGCCCCCTCAGTAGACATTCATTTTGGTCAAGTCACATTCCTCTCTGATCCTCACTTTCTTCCTCAGAAAATGATGGAGTCTGGTTAGATGCTGTGGACGGGCTTTTTCAGTTAAAAATGAACTTACTGTCTCTGCCTCTTGCTTGGCATGTGTCTGCCTTCCACAGTGACTGATCTTTTTCTATATACAACCTGTCTTTCCAACCAGATTAGGGAACCCCAAAGAGTAGTGAATGTGTCTTTTTTGCCTGTGTATCTCCAGAGCCCAGAACAGCGCTCCAAACTTAGACATGTATTAGATTAAGCTCCTATCACCTTAGTTCTCCCCTGCTTTGCAAATATTTCATCAAATGAAGGGGCCAGCTCAAGCCTATTACAGAGCTGTCTGAGGCTGGTGTATCAGGGTCCCGTGCCCCAGAGGATCTAAAGCTGCTATAACTACTTGTATATTGCTCAATATGTGTCAGCTGCCAGCAAAGGACTATGGGTAAGTTTCCCAAATTATAAGAAGAGCCATGTGGTAAATCACCAATGGATTAGGCACAGGATGCAAAGAATGTTCTTTCAAATGTCACCCACCTGGAATGATGCATGGTGCCATGAGGAACACGGCACGGTGTCACTTGGACATGACCAAAGTAGACCGTCAGAAGTCACAGCACGCTGTAGGGCCAGATGAATTTCCTGACCACTCCTCTGTGGGTCCCTAAGTCATGAGGTACACTAGGCAATATCTACTCAGTAATTGCCTCTTTCCCTAAGTGAGCCAGACCCAATGTGTTTTTTATTTCTCCTTAAATGAGAATTTGCTAGCAGGCCTGTATTTTTTCTCGCCTAATAACAAGTGACAGCAACGTGCGAAGTTAGCTGTAGCAGGCACCGAGGACTGAATTTTGCAAACTCCCAAACAAGCTGAGAAATCAGTAGCTGACCCTCAAGGTCCAGTGGTATCTAGTGGTCTTCTTGACTGTGAACCCACTAGAAAGGATTAGGGAAGCCCTTGGTACCAGACACTCATAGACTTTGGAGTGGGGAAACTGATGATTCTACACCTACTAGGAAGTTTTACTGATCCCAGATTGGCCTATTTGACCCAAGTATTCTGAAGGATTGGGGACAATGCAGAAAAAAAACGGTGCTTCTTGAGATGAGATTTCAAATATTGCTCTCTCAAGGAGGTGATCTATATGTATGATTTCAACTTTTCACATATAGACCCTTCCTAGCATTGGGGACATCAAAGAAATCCTGAGATGTGTTAGAGGACTCCACATTTCTCATAACTAGCTTGCCTACTAGCTGCATGACCTCCATCCAGGACTGTACCTATGGCCATGAAGCTCAAATCCCACACAACACCAGGCTGTGTCATCCCTGTAGACAGTAACACCAACAGCTCCCACTGGAGCTGTGAAGCATGGCAGGGAGATTTTATCTCTCTGATAAATTTCTTCATTTGTAGAGACAACAATGTCTTATTCACAGGACAATTGGGTGGATAAAATTGGGCAAGTGGGTGAATTAGGCCCTTTTCCTGTCCTCAACACAAAGTCCAATCCTGACCTCTTAACCTTCAAGGCTTGAGACCTGGAACCTGGCAGAAGGAGAGTCTCCCCTGTCCATCCTTTACCCACCTCTTCTACCTCATCTCCTCCTCACTCTCTGGCATGTACCCTGGCTCCTTCCATAATGAACTACACTCTCTTTTCTCTGTGTATGTATGTGTATGTGTCTTTTTTAAAAAATTGTTCTTATTTTATTCTATTCCAGCTTTATGGAAGAACAACTGATGAAGAAAAATTGTATATATTCCCGGCATACCATGTGATATACATATGTGTGTATGTATATGTTTGTATATACATACACACGCATATAAACCACAATCTGTGCGTGTATATATGTGTGTGTGTATATACACACACACAAATGCACGTATATATACCACATTGTGTATAAATAAAATACCACATTTTCTTTATTCATTCACCCATTGATGGACACTTAGGTTGGTTTCATATCTTAGCTATTGTGAATAATGCACAATGAATACAGGAGTACAGATATCTCTTCAACATACAGATTTTATTTACCTATTTTTGGATATATATCCAGAAGTAGGATTGCTGGATCAAAAGAGTTAATCTTTTAAGGAACTACCATACTGTTTTCCACAATGGCTGTAGCAATTTACATTCCCACCAACAGCGTACAAGGGTTTCCTTTTCTCCATATCTTTGACGATACCTATTGTCTCTCATCTTTTTTATAATATCCATTTTAACAGGTATGAGGTAATATTTTATTGTGGTTTTTATTTGCATTTCCTGGATGATTAGTGATGTTGAACATTTTTTTTCATATACCTTTAGGCCATTTGTATGTATTCCTTTGAAAAATGCCATATTTAGTTTCTATGACCATTTTTAATCAGGTTATTTGTTTTCTTGCTATTGAGTTGTGTGAGTTCTTTACACAGTTTGGATATTAACCCCTTATCAGATGTATGGTTTGCAAATATTTTATCCCATTCTGTAGGTTGCCTCTTCATTCTTTCAATTATTTCCTTTGTGTGCAGAAGTTTTTTAGTTTGATGCAATCTCGTTTGTCTAGTTTTGCTTTTGTTACCTTTGCTTTTGGGGTCATAGCCAAAAAAGTCATTGCCTAGGCCAACACCAACAAGCTTTTTTCCTATGTTTTCTTCTAGCACTTTTACAGTTTCTAGTATCATTGTTTAAGTCTTTAATGCATTTCAAGTTAATTTTTTACATAGTATGAGATAAGGGTCCAATTTCATTCTTCTGAATGTAGATATCAAGTTTTCCCAACACAGTCTGGGAAAGAACAAAGACTGTCCTTCTCCCATTGTGTGTTCTTGGTGCCTCTGACAAAAATTAATTGATAAAAAATGCAGAGGTTTATTTTGTGCTTTCTATTCTGTTACATTGGTTTAGATGTTTGTTTTAATTTCAATACTGTGCTGTTTTGGTTACTATAGCTTTGTAGCATATTTTGAAATCAAGATGTCCAAGGCCTCTGGCTTTGTATTTCTTGCTCAAGGTTGTTTTGGCCATTCAGGGTCTTCTGTGGCTCCATGTAAATTTTAGGGTTGTTTGTTCTAATTCTGTGAAAAATACCATTGGAATTTGGATAGGGATTTCACTGAATCTATAGATCACTTTGGATAGCATGGGCATTTTTACAATAGTAATTCTTCTTACCTATGAACATGAGATCTTTTCATTTATTTGTGTCTTCAGTTCCTTTATCAATGTTTTCTAGTTTTATGTGCAAAAATCTTTCATCTCCTTGTTAAATTTAGTCCTAAGTATTTGTTATGCTATTGTAAATGGTATTGTTTCCTAAATTTATTTATTTATTTTTATTTTTATTCTTTTTGAGACAGTTTCTCACTTTGTCACCTAGGCTGGAGTGAAGTGGTGCAGCCTCGGTTCACTGCAGTCTTGACCTCCTGGGCTCAAGCTATCCTCCCACCTCAACCCCCAAATAGCTGGGACTACAGGCACTTTCCACCATGCACGGTTAATTTTTTTTTTTTTTTTTTTTTTTTTTTGTAAAGACAAGGTTTCGCCATGTTGCCCAGGGTGGTCTCAAACTGCTGAGCTCAAGCGATCGGCCAGCCTTGGGCTCCTGAAGTGCTAGGATTACAGGTGTGAGCCACCATGCCTGGCTCTACATTTATTTCTTTTAGATATTTTTTTCATCATTGAATACAATGCTACCTGTGGGCTTCTCATATATGGTGTTTATTGTATTGAGTTATAGTTTTATACCTAATTTGTTGAGAGTTTTTATCATGAAAGGATGTTGAATTTTATCAAATGCTTTTTCCGCATCTATTGAGATGATCATATAATTTTTATCCTTCATTCTGTGAATGCGGTGTATCACATTTGCTGATTTGTGTATGCTGAATCATCCTTGCATCCTAGGGATAAATCCCACTGGATCACAGTATATGATCCTTCTGAGGTGCTGTTGAATTTGGCTTGCTAATTTTTTTTTTTGAGGATTTTTGCTTTACATTCATTAGGGATATTGGTCTGTGATTTTCCTTTCTGTAGTGTTCTTGTTTGGCTTTGGTATCTGGGTAATGCTGACCTCATTAAATATGTTTGGAAGTGTTTTTCTCTCTTCAATTTTTTGAAAAAGTTTGAGAAGAATTGGCATTATTTTTTAAATAATTGAATTATTTTTTAAATGTTTGCTAGAATTCATCAGTGAAGCCATCAGGTCCCAGGCTCTTCTTTGTTCTGAGATTTTTGTTTACTGATTCAATCTCCTTTCTTGTTATTGGCCTGTTCAGATTATCTGTTGCCTCATGGTTCAGTTTTGGTAGATGGTATGTTCCCTAGAAGGTTATTCATTTTTCCTAGGTTATCTAATTCATTGGCATGTAATTGCTCATAGTACTCCCTTATGATCCTTTGTATTTCTGCAGTATTAGTTGTAACATCTTATTTATTTATAATTTTATTTGAGTTTTCTCTTTTTCTTAGTCCAGCTAAAGGTTTGCCAATTTTATTTATCTTTTTAAAAAACAACTCAGTTTCATTGATATTTTTCATTGTTTTGCTCATTTGCTTTATTGATTTCTGCTCTGATTTTTATTATTTTCTTCTTTCTGCTAACTTTGGACTTTGTTCTTCCTTTCTAGTTCCTTGAGGTATACAGTTAGCTTGTTTATTTAAAATCTTTCTTTTGTCTTAATGTAGGCATTTATTGCTATAAACCTCCCTCTTAGAGCAGTGTTTTTCTGTATCCCATAAGTTTTGGTATGTTGTGTTTTCATTTTCATTTTTCTCAAGATATGTTTTGGTTTCCCATTTTATTTCTTCTTTAATCCATTGGTTATTAAGAATGTGTTGTTTAATTTCCAAATATTTGTGAATTTTTCACTTTTCCTGCTGGTTTTGATTTTTTATTTCATAGCACTATGGTTGAAAAAGATACTGAATATGATTTTAATCTTCTTAAATTTGTTAATACTTGTTTTATAGTGTAATTTGATTTATCCTAGAGAATGTTCCATGTGCACTTGAAAAGAATATGTATTCTGCTACTGTCAGATGGAATGTTCTGTATGTTTGTTAGGTCCATTTGGTCTATAGTGTTGTTCAAGTCTGTTGTTTCCACATTGATTTTCTGTCTTCATGATCTATCCATTTTTGAAAGTGGGATATTGAAGCCTCCTACTAATGTTGTTGTCTGTTTTACCCTTTAGTTCTGTTAATATTTCCTTCATATATTTAGGTGTTCCAATGTTGGATGTATATATATTTATAATTGCTATATACTCTTGATTAATTGACCCCCTTATCAGTATGTAATGACCTTCTTCATCTCTTGCAACCATTTTGCACTTAAAATCTATTTTGTCCGATATAAGCAGAGCTACTCCTGCTTTTCTTTGGTTACCATTGTCATGGAATACCTTTTTCTGTCCCTTGAATTTCAGCCTATGTGTGATCTTAAAGCTGAAATAAATCTCTTGTAGGCAGCATATAGTTGGGTCTTTAAAAAAAATCCATTTAGTCACTGTATGTCTTTTGATTGGGGCATTTAATCCATTTACACAAAGTAATTATCAATAGGTAAGGCATTACTATTGCCATTTTGTTAATTGATTTCTGATTGTTTTGTAGTTTCTTTGTTCCTTTCTTCCTCTCTGGTTGTCGTCTTTCATGATTTGATAATTTTTCATAGTTGCATGCTAGGATTTCTTTCTCTGTGTCTTATCTGTATGTACTACAGGTAGTTTACTTTTGTGGTTACCATAAGTCTTACGCAAAATAGCTTAGAGTATAACAGTGTATTTTAAGCTGATAACAACTTAACTTCAATCACATACAAAAATTCTTCACTTTGGCTTTCCCTTTTCTCACATTTTATGTTATTGATGTCACAATTTCTATCTTTTATATATTGTATATCCATTAATAAATTGTTGTAGCTATAGTTATTTTAATATCTTTTCCTTTAACTTTTATATTAGTGTTAAAAGTGGTTTATACACCACCATTACAGTATTAAAACATTCAGGATTTAGCTATATTTTTACCTTTACAGTGAGTTTTAAACTTTCATGTTTTTATGCTGTTAATGTCCTTTTATTTCTAATAGAAAAACTTTCTTCAGCATTTCTTGTAAAGTGCTCTAGTGGTGATGATCTCCCACAGATTTTGTTTGTCTGTGGAAGTCTTTATCTCCCCTTCATTTCTCAAGGACAGCTTTCTTAAGTATAGTATTTTTGGTTGAAAGTGTTATTGTTGTTTTTTTTTTTTCTTTCAGTCCTTTGAATATATCATCCCACTCTCTTCTGGCCTTCAAGTTTTCTGCTAAGAAATCAATTGATACACTTCTGGAGGTTCCCTTGCATGTGACAAGTTGCTTTTCTCTTGATGCTCTTAAAATTCTCTTTGCCTTTGAATTTGAGAATTTGATTATAACATATGTCAGTGGAGATCTATTTTTTTTTTTTTTTTTTGAGACAGAGTTTCACTCTTTTTGACCAGGCTGGAGTGCAATGGTGCGATCTCGGCTCACCGCAACCTCCACCTCCTGGGTTCAAGCAATTCTCTTGCCTCAGCCTCTCAAGTAGCTGGGATTACAGGCGTGTGCCACCCCAAGCCCAGCTAATTTTGTATTTTTAGTAGAGATGGGGTTTCTCCATGTTGGTCAGGCTGATCTCGAACTTCTGACCTCAGGTGAACCACCCACCTCAGCCTCCCAAAGTGCTGGCATTACAGGTGTGAGCCACCACACCCAGCCAAAGATCACTTTATATTTAATCTATCTGGAGTTCTTTGGGCTTCATAGGTATGAGTGTTCATTACTCTCTCCAGGTTTGGGAAGTTTTATGTCACCATTTATTAAATAAGCTTTCTGCCCATTACTCTTTCTTTGCTCCTTCAGGGACTCCTATAATGCAAATATTGATTTGCTTGATGGTATCCCCCACGTCCTGTAGGCTTTCTTCACTCTATTTCATTCTTTTTTCTTTTTATTCCTTTGAATAATTTCAAATTACCTGTCTTTGAACTCACTAAATCTGCTTGATTGAGTCTGCTGTTGAAACTCTTTATGAACATTTTTAGTTTAGTTACTGTGTTTCTCAGCTCCAGAATTTATCTTTGGTTCTTTTGTGTTTTTTCTGTCTCTTTGTTGAACTTCTCATTTTTTTCCATGTATTGTTTTTCTGATTTTGTTTACTTTTCTATCTGTATTCTCTTATACTTCACTAAGCTTCTTTAAGAGGATTATTTTAAATTATTTGTCAGGCAATTCATATAGTTCCATTTCTTTAGTGTTGGTTACTGGTGCTTTATTTTGTTCATTTGGTGGGATCATGTTTCTATGAATATACATAATCCTTGTTGCCTTGTGTTGGTGTCTGTATTTGATGATGTAGGTACCTCCTTCAGTCTTTACAGACTAGCTTCAGCAAGTTAATCTCTTCACCAGCTTACTTTCTCAGAAGTTCTGGGTGGGCCATCTGATGAGGTCCATGGGTGGGCTTGCTGCTGGAGTCCTCATGTGGGAGGTCCTAGAGACTGGTCCACTGGTGTGGGCCTGGAGTTTGGGTCTGTGTGGACAGGCCTGGTGTGTGGGTCCATGGGGGCAGGCCTGAAAACTGAATCTATAGGTGTAGGCCTGGACCCTGGGTCCAGTGGGGCTGGTGCTGGTCTGGCATCAGCATCCACTGAGGTGGTCCTAGCAACTGGGTCCATGGAGATGCACCTGGAGTCTGGATCTTCAAGAGAACTGGGGTGGGTCTGAAGCCTGAGTCCCTGGGAGTCGGCTTGTAGCCGGGCTGGGGCTGTCTGATCTGGCCTGGAGCCTGGGTTAGGCCTAATGCCATGGTCCATGGCAAAGATGGATGATCGCTTCACTCTTCTTCCCCCACATAGAGGGTATCTCCATGATGTATTGCCTGGGCTTAGGAGAAGGATGACACAGGTAATGTGAAACTGTCCTTTCTACCCTGTTTAGTGCATCTTTTCTTATTTCTGTGTTCCACTTGGGTGCTGTACTCTCTCTCCTGGATTCCTTCAGCTCTTGTGAAGATATTTTTGCACATGGATAGTTGTTCAAATTGATGTTTCTGCAAGGATATGAGTTCTGAAAACTCCTATCCCTTCATTTTGTTGACATTACTTCTATGTGTGTCTTTTTATGGGTTTTACTTTTATTTATTAAAACAACTCATGTCACCATTAACATTTTATCCTCTTACTCTGTTCTACTCACATCCCTCAAGATTCAAACTCTCCTCTGAAAGTGATGCCATGCCTTCCAGGCAGCCTTCTCTAACTCAATCAGTATTTTGAGTCTCTATTCTTGTCCACGATTGTCTATCAACTTCAAACCCATCCTTCTATACACTGTTTTGTGATAGGACTCTACAAACCACATTTCTGCTTTTCCAGCCAGATTCCTGTTGAATGTTGCCAACAGAGGGAACTATAAGGAGGCTGCAAGGTAGGAGAAAAAAGAAGAAATTCCTGTCTTTCAATTTACTTCCTGTAAACATTCTGTCTGCTTCCTTTTCTTAGCAGCATCATGCCAGTCTTGCATTCCATCCCAGAAGTAGTATTCTGGTCCTGTAGCATCAGTTGGATCCAGGCTTCAGATTTTTCCCAACATTTAAGAACACATTTTATTGTATTTCCTCAGCAACATCAACAGCAACTGGTTGGTGGTCCCTTCTCAGAAGTCCGAATTAAACAGGTTGCCTCCAACATATTCAGAACCACTAGCACCAGCAGGAAAGGTGCTCTCCTCAAAGAGCTTAATTTCAGCTCTGCAGGGTCTGATCTCCAAGATTCTATATTTTAAAAATTCCAACATCTTCATTTTGTTTCCTCAGTCCAAGGGAAACTGTGCTGTATCCGGAATAACTTATTGTTTTCTCTTTGCCCTTTGAGTTACCTAGTTAACAATTCATTATTCCTAGTGAATAATTCTTTTGATTGAATTCTCTTTGTTTAAAAAAAGCTGGTATGGTTTTTTTCTCCTGACTGGATACTGACTGATACCTCCACATACAATTTATGATTTACATCTATCAAATGTATCAAACAAATACATTGCTGTTATCTATCATTAATCTCACTCCTGTCTTTCTTCTTTCTATTCCTAGGGCCAAAAGTAGTGTCTGACTCAATAAACACCGCTGAATTTTTGAATAATAGCAGAATAAAAAGGAATGAATGATGCCTATCAGAGACAACACAGTTCAAGGTATAATTGTTGGGACTTCTGCTCTGGTCTCCTTGCTGGGATGGTTGTGGGTCAGAGTTTATCCAGAAATGTTCCAATACGACAAAAAAACCTCACAGTTGAGAAGCCATGGAATCCTATCTCAAGTAGTTCACGAGAAGTCGAGTCAATAAAAGAGAGGGCCCTGTGGTCTTGATATCAAATCCTGGCTCTGTAACTTAATTACTATGAGACTTTGAGAAAATGACTTAACCTCTTTGACCTCAGTTTTCTCATTCATAAGATATGGATGATAAGACAGATTTCACAGGATTCTCATGAGAAATGAGATGAAGAAAAAAGTATGCAGGTGAGCCTTTTGTAGTAGATGGTACAGAGCAGGAGCTAAATATTTGAGTCATCCCCCTTCACCTCCCCAACCCATCTGTTGCTTGACACAGCTTAAAGCATTAGTGGGAATCAAAGAGATTTCATTTTCCAAATTTCTCAAAAAGAAGGGCAGACTGTGATCAGTCTTCATCACCATCATTAACACCATTATCATCATTATCATTGTCATCATCATGATCATCATCATGATTAACTGATGTTTCCAGCAAGGCTAGGTGCTTTGCGTGTTTTCTTTTGTATATTTTTCACATCAGTATTTTCCTCACCATTTAAAGGTGAGAAAACTTTCAGAGGTTAAATCACTGCACGAGGTCCCACAGCTATACATTATCAGTGCTATAAATTGAACCCATGTCTGTCTGGGCCCAAGACCCCTGCTCTTCTCTCTCACTGCCTCTGACCACAGCGAGCAAAAGTCAGTCAGATCTATCCTGTGTCCTCCCATGAAGCAGATATTGGCTCTAAAGACTGTGTGTTTCCGTATCATTGGCACTTGGCCTGACTTGCAATCCTCCCTGGCTTCCTTTTTTCTGCCCATGTCCATGCAACAAGCATCTTAAAACAGCCAGCATGCAATTGGCCATCTGATGCCTGAACTTGAGGTCGACTACAGAATGCTGGCATCTATGATTTGAGTGCCTTCCTGAAAGACCTCCTTCATGCATTCCTTCCTACTCTGGTTACCAGTTATGGTGGGACCCTTTGGATGAGAGTTTGTTGAGTACTTTATCTCTTATCCTCAGCCGTGATGACCAGTTGATAAAAGGAGAAGGAGTAAAGTATGGGAGATGGGAGAAGGAAAAGGAAAAGGAAAAGGAAAAGGAAGGCTGTAAGTCTGTTTTAGTCATTTTGGTCACCAGCTTTGGAGCCACCTCCTTAGGAAGATCATAAACCATCTAGGAATGCGAAACCAGGCTTTTTTGGTTCTGCATCCACCATCCCCTCCCACCACATCACTCAGTGAAGAGCCAAACCCATAATAGACACAGACTAGCAACAGCCCAAGAAGTAGTGGTATGCAGTAGGAATTAAGCGATCTGTCTTGTCGTTCTTGTTCTGCCAACGATTTGCTTCAGGCAAGCCACTGTTCATCTCCCTGGACTATAGTTCCCTCCTCCAAAGGAGGAATAGTGTGCTGCTGTAGAATAGACATGAGCTATATTCAGAGAGACCTGACTTTGAATGCAGTCATGGCCTTTTCTGTGACCTTACGTGAGACACTTAATCTCTCTTGGCTCAGTTTCTGCTTCTGTTTAGTGAGAATAAGAACAATACCTACCACATATAGTTAGGACAAAGACTAAACCATTGCAGAGTAAATATGAGCTTCTTGCCCATTCAATGATAAGGGATTGGACTAGATGATTTTTGAGGTCCCTTGTAGGCCTGCTTTTCTGATGTCCCATGTGGCAAACAGTGCATTTCTGCACACAAGAAAGACCCCTTACTTTATAGCTAACTCTAAGCATGGCAGCATGAGGGGTGGGTGGGGGTAGGGAGGTAGAGTTCCCAAGTTCACTGCATTTCACCTTCCTGCCATGAATGATGTTCTTGTGATGTGCTAGGGGACCACAGGAGGTTTCTGGAGGAAGCCATCAAACATTCATGCTTATGCCTGATGCTAGACTAGACCTAATGCTATGCATTAGGTGCTCAGCTCTCTTTCAGGGGATGAGGGGTGAGCACAGCCCCCTTTCACATCTCCCATAGCCCACTGCTTGCCCTTGCCTAAAAGATTCATCTTCATAAAAGTTTCCAACATCCTTTACCTAACCTCCATCTAGGCTCAGGCCCTCATCAACTCTCCCTTTTTACTCCTGTAAGGCTCATAAAGGGCTCTTCTGCCTCCAGTCCCAGCCTGCTCCAACCCCTTTCTCATCCTGGTGCTGGACACACTGCCAGTGGGGCTCACCTACATGCTGGCCACAGATCATTGGTTTCTCGATACGTTTCTATTATCTTCAAACTTTTCTACAGTGAGTATGGATTATTTTTATAATTTAAAAAAGTTTTTAAAAGCTAAACTTAAATATGATTATTCCTCTACTGAACACCTTTTTCTCTCCCCCTGTTATCTTTAGGATAGTGTTGAGTCTCCTGAGCTTGGTACAGTTGGCCACTTCTAGTTCCCCCCGCCCTCAAAAGCTCCTCTATACACATCACATAAAGACACTTACTTTCCTCCAAATGCCTCATTCTCACTTATTCTCCACACCTCTGGGCCACCATTCATATAGATCCACCTTTCTGGGATGATTTTACCTGGAGCTCTCACAAATAAATCTCTACTTAGTCTTCAACATGTAAACCAAAACATTATCTCTGCTGCAAAGTCTTCCCTGACTACCCACGGTGGCCCTTGCCTGCAGAGTTAACAGTTGTGTACCCTGATGCTGTAGTGTCACTTACTTACATCTACTGGAGAAAAGATCATACTCAACTGTGGCCATCTCTTTGTGCCCCTTCCTGATTTGATCATGAGATCTTTGAAAGCAAAGACCTTCATCTGAGTCATGTTTGCATTGCTGGAGCCCTTCAAACATGTCTGCTTTCCACATATGCGTATGCCATGCACTGTGTTAGGCACCGGATCCATTGGGGTGAATAAACAATCATGGCTTCTGTCCTCCTGGGGCTTATAGCCAAATGGGAAAGACAGACCAAAAATAAATAAGCCAGCAACTCAATAAGAAATTTAAATTGTGAAACACGTGAAGGATGCAGTTGGTGCCCTGATAAAGACTAATTGCTAGAAGGGGATTACTTAGGATTCTCCTAAGAGGCTTCTCTGAGGCGATGGCATTTAAAGCTGAAGTGTTTAGGATTTGAAGGAGCCCTCCAGCTGAAGAGCTGGGAGAGCTTTCCAGGAGGAAGAATCAGCATGTGCAAAAGTTCACGGAGTGGAGAGAGTCTGGCATGCATGAACGAGGCTCTGGCAGAGGCCAGGGTGGCTGCAGCCCAGAGTGTGGCCCAGTGCAGGATGAAATGGGATGGAGGAGATGGGCAGAGTGTGGATTCATTTCCAGGTGCAATAGGAAGGTGTTGACTTGTTTTAAGCTGGGAAGTGACATGACTGAATTTGAGTTTTAAATGATTACTCTGACCTTCAGGTTCCTCACCTGAAAATCAGACTCATATCACCTACTTTTTAGGTTTTTCTTAGGTGAGAGCCATTGTTATCTTATTTTTCTTAAGGTATTTTCACTTATTTTTAAAAATATTTATTTTTTAGTTTTGATTGATACAGAATCATTATATATATTCATGGGGAACAATGTGATGATTTGATACATGTGTAAATTTTGTAACGATCACATCAGAGTAGACCTCTAAGACAAAACCCGAAATATCAAAAGGGGCTGACCCATGGAGAGGGCAGATTTACACTCCTGGGCATAGGAACTAGATAAGTTGGTCTTCGTTGTTGTTATTGTTGTTGGTGGGTTTTTTTTCTTTAGTTGTTTGTTTTGCAAACTGAAGTCTGAGTAGCTTGAGATTTGGTCAAGGTCTACTCTGTCAGAACTGATCTCTACTTCTGGCAGCTAAAACGCCTGATCATCCAGTGGTGATATTTTACAGAGATGAACAAGCTGCCTAGAGGAGTGGGAAACCAGCCAGATATCCCCATCCTGGTTTGACCATGCCTCATGGAAGGGACATGACATGGAAGACCACAATATGAAGGACTCTGAAATAATCAAAGCAAATGGCATCTTTTCCTGGAAGGTAACAGCAGCCCAGAGGGGGGAAGGAAGATTCTGAAGTGACAGGAGAGTTAGCATCAAAATCGATTTTAGAGCTCAAGTCTCCTAACCTAAGTCTGGAGTTCATTCCCCTACACTTACTTGTCAAAAAGGGCAACTCCCATATTGGAGGATGTGCCCCGTCAGGGAGCCTTTGAACTCATCTTCTGCCAAAGTCAGGTTTCAGCAACTTCACTGTTGCTAAACTACTCACCCTGGGGAGGTGAATGTGCTTGTGAAGTGAATGGAAATTCACTCTTCCTGACTGCCAACCCAGCACACAGAACTTCTTGCTTTGGCAGAATAAGGAGGTAGCTGTGTTCTAGACTGGGAGTGCTGGGATAAGCTGCTTACACTTAACTCAGAGTAGTGCTCAAAGGGCCAGAAGACATTATCTGGCATTCAACATCAACCTTAACAGAGGAGGTACCCAAGCCCAGAGGGCAAATGACTTGCCTGATATCACATGGAATGCATGGCAGAGCCAGAATGAGGTCCCAGGTCTCCTAACTCCTGGTCCAGTGCTCTTTTCAGCATTCTGTGCCACCTCTCCTCTTCAACACTGCTTTGAAACTGCATCCTGCCTCCTTCTAGAGCATGCATGTCCAAGAGCTGGCATCAAACCTCGTTTCTCCCAATCCCTTTGCAGGGTGTTCCCAAAAGCATCCCCAAAAGAGCTTGCTGATTTTAGAAGCAGAAACGCTTTACAGTTGCCTAATGGTAATTCCTAGGTAAGATGCACTAAATACCCCCAATGAAAATGTATTTAGTATGTCTTACATAGGAAGGCTCCCCCACCCCCTCCAACACACAAACATACTCCTTGGTTCATTTTTCAATCACTCAGTTTCTTTGAGTTTCTAAATAGGTAAATCATTAGTTCTTCCTTTAGCATGGATGGGGCTGGGAAGGTGGCTCATGTGCGTATGTACAGTATAGTTCCTCATTTGGCTCAAAACAATCAACAAAAAATCAGGTATTTTTATTCATCCCATTTTACTGATGCATACATTTAACCATTCTCCAAATGCAGTAATTATGTCACTATACTATTCCAGACACTGTGCTAAGCAGAGTTCCTATTCTCAGGGAGATGGCACTATGTCAGAATGGAGAAACTAAAGACCAGAAAGTTGAAATGACCCGCCCAAACTTGTTCTACAGTAAGCCAAGCCATGAATCAGTCTCTTTTTTAAATCTCATACTCTATGCTTGGCACTGAGTTACAGCTTGTTAAGATTGAGGCTGGGACAAGATGACACCCAGGGGAGGGACTCATTCATCTTCTTTGTCCTTTCTGAATCTTAGAGTGATTCTAGGGCAAGAAAATCATCTCTTCTTGCAAATGACTGGTATGTAGTAGCTCCCTACAAACCATGCCATGATTAGGCAGAAAGGAGAGAAAATCAGCAAGCTGAACCTGGGTTTGTCTGTCTGAGAGAGAAAGAGAGAGGGAGAGAGAGACCAATGCTGCAGGAATGGGCCTGAGGAGTCATACATATCTAGGAATTTGTTATTGTGACAAGGGAAGGGCCTTCCCTCCCTGTACTCACACACTTGGCCCCTGTATGGAGGCCCTTCCCTCCCATTCCTCCACTCTTTGAGAGTTCCAGAAACCCTTCTCCAGCACCCTGGTTCTTCCTTGCCCAAAGCGAAGGCTGCAGCTCCCCTAGCCATCCCAAGCATGTACAGAGTTTGCAGAGAACATGTGCATTTGTTTTTCAAAAATGAAAAGTCTATCAGAGTGGAGATTATGGAAGTGGAGAGAACTGACAACAAGGACATTTGGGCATGAAAGACATTTGCCTGGGGCTTCACATTTGGATTTAGCCTCAAATTTAGACTTTTGATTCCTAAATGAGGTTATAGAAACAGATGTGGCCATTTTGGGATATTTGAGACAGAGATTTGTTAAATGCAAATATTTAGCACAGTCCACCTTTTTTTTTTTCCCAGCCCACCATTTTGTAATCCTGTTTTATCATTTCTCAGAATAACAGCCCGGAAAATGGGAGTCCTATTCGACTTGGAGAGACCACCTCTGGGAAGTCAAATGAACAGAGACTATCGCCCTCACTCCGCAGATGGAGAAACTGAGATCCAGAGCCCTCAGCTCAGCATCATCTAAAAGAACAACCATATTCCTTGTGTCTAGCAGCAGCCTAGAGATGCCCCAAGGCTGCATCATCCAATGTGAAAGCCACCAGCCACACTAGGTTATTGAGCGCCTGCAGTGTGGCAGGTCTGAAATGAGAATGGCTGTCAATGTAAAATACTTATCAGAGTCCTGAAGACTTAGCTCAAAAAAAGAATATAAAATATCTCTTTAATAATTTTTTATACATATTACATGTTGAAATGATATTATTTTGGATATATTGGGTTAAATAAAAGACATTATAAGAACTAATTCCACCCCTTGCTTTTAACTTTTTAAAATGTGACTATTAGAAAAATTTGAATCACATATGAGGCTCACATTATATTTCTATTAGACAGCTCTGCTCTGAGGGAAGTAAGTACCATTTATCCCAAGCACATGCTGGTTTATATTGCAGCAGGGGGCATTTCTGCTAAATGTTTAAAAACAGGCCTTGAGGAGTTTAGATCAGCTCTTGCCCATCTCATTGGCAATGACCTGAATTTGGGGATTGGAATGAGCTAGAGCTTTCAGAACCCCAGCCTTATTTCTCTATTTCTGAATGTACAGATATCCATTGAGTGAGGTCAGGGCAGTAACGGGAGGGGTGCATGAGGAGCTAACATTTTGAATGAGACCATCACACTAAATGCAGGCTTGCTCCCTATAAATCACCTTGATTTGTCACCAAATGAGATGACAAAATGAGACATCCAGGCGGAAATGAAATTCCCGCTGTAACAGCAGCATCGACCCACTCTGACTTGCAGTGCACAGAGGGTTGTCACACATGAGTTTGAGCACCAGAGTATCAGGGGAGGCTCCACGTATCTGGTTTTGCTCCTGGGCTGGTGGGCAGGGGTGAGTCAGCCCTTAACTATTGGGCAGTGGGGATATGAATCACCTGGTCATTCCTTAGGTTGGGCTTTACCCAGGGCTCAGGGAAAATGTTCCGAGGTGACTTTGACCTATCTGGGGCTGGACCTTTGAGTTCAGACTGTGGAACAATTTTGATATAACCCAAATGAGCACTGGTAAAGAAGAGCACCAGCCCCTGAGGTGCCAGCAAGCTCTAAAGCCTCTAGTGGCCTCCCCTTCTGAAAAGAACTCCACCACTGGGCTGTATCCTGGGTGCTCAAGCTGTGCACAGTCCATCTGGAGACCAAAGTGCAGCTGATTCTGTCCTTTGTTCTCTGGGACCTTGAGTTATCCCTCCATGTCTCTGGGACTGATGCCTTCTTTTGATCAACTGTGTTGACGTTGGCCTAGATGATGTCTCAGGGTTTTTTCAACTCTGACACATGCCCTATGATGTGATTCTAACACACACAGATACGCACAAACATACAAAAACACACAGAGAGGCACACAGAAACAGACACCCACCCACACACAGAAATACACACAGGGATATACACAGACATAACCACACAGACACACACAGACATGTACAGAGAAACACCCATACAAACACTCAGACCCATAGATACACACACAGACACACCCACCCACACACAACCCACTGATTCAAGTGGCTACAAAAACCTAAACAACTTACCAATAAAACACTCCAGGCTCCTTCAATCCACTGCAACCCCTGCTCAGAGTGTTGTCTTAATTAATGCTTCTAGTCAGACACATGCACAAACACACATACACAGACACACACAGATTCCTGCAGTCAGACACATGCACACGCACACACACATACCTCTAGTCAGACACACACACACACAGATGCCAAAGTCAGACACATGCACACACACACACACACACACAGACACACACATGCCTCCAGGCAGACACATGCACACACACACACAGACACACACAGATGCCTTGAGTCAGACACAGGCACACACACACACACATAGACACATAGAGATGCCTCCAGTCAAACATGCACAGATGCACACACACATAGACATATACAGACACAGACCCACAGACACACTGAAACAGAAACGCAGCCACACACATAGACGCACATACCTTGGCCCTTTCTGTTTTCATGCCCGTGCCTTCCTCCTACCTGCCCCCAGCCTTGCTTCCCACTTAAGGTCTATTTTTTTGGGCTCAGGTCACTCACTAAGGCAAGGGCTACACTCTATTTTGCAGGTAACTCCCAGCAACATATCCAGTTCACAGGCAACACTGGCTACCTCTCCACCTCCCATTCATAGCCCAATGTCTTTAACCTCCCCCTCCCATGGCTTCTTCTCAACAACCCACAATGTGTTTGAATTCCCTACATGCTAGAAATCCTCCATTCCCCGCCCTCCTCCCTAGCCCATCTCTCCTTCCCTTTGCCGCTGAGCTCCTTGAAGGAGAGGTTAATAGGCATGGCCTCCGCCTCCACTCCTCCCAGCACTCCTCAGCCCTCTGCCTCCACCACTCCATGGAAACCTCTCCAGCAAAGTCACAAAGGGGCTAATTGCCAAATCAAATGCACTCCTTTTAGTCCTCATATTACCAGACTTTTAAGTAGCATCTGACCCCATGGCTCGCTCCCTTCTGGCTCCTGTGACACCACTCACCCCACTCCCCGCCCCTTCTCTGAGTGCTCCTTCTCAGTGTTCAGCAGTTTACCCTTCAGACACTCCTGTGTCCCAAGGTCCTGGCCTCAGCCCTCATGGACACCTGTGCCTTGCACCTGACATCTCAGGTCAATAGCAGTCAGTTGGGCATTTTCACTCATGGTTCCTGCAGGCACCTCCAGGAGGCCAGACTGAACTTACCAACTTTTCTCTGTTCTGCCACCACCTCCCTCCTTCCTCCCTCCCCTTATTTTGGTTATTTGCAACACCATCCCTGCCTGACACCAAGCCAGGGGGAGTCTAGAAGTCAATCCAGATTTCCTTCCCATTCCTTGTAATCCATTGCATTCAAGCGGTCACGGAAACCTGAACACCTCATTGATGAGAAACTCCAGGCCCCCGAACCACCATGACCCAACCCACAGAAATATCTCGATGCCTCCAATTGTAACATGCCATCCCAAGCCACATTTAGACAGTAGCTACCTGTCTGAAGGATGCAGTCCCAGCATCTTTATAGCCTATCTCCACTAAACGTCTCAGCCTTCTCTGGTGCCACTCCCTTGAAACATATGCAATACCACGGATTTTCCAGACTATTTTTACTCGAACATTTTCATGCGGTTGCACATCCCACAACTGGCCTGGGTACTGCTACAGGCTGCATGGCCTCCCTGTGATTCTTGGTCTGCTTTAAATAATTAAATATTCAACACCACTGTTGCCCCCTTTAGGGAGCTTTTCCTGATGAGCCCTCTCAGCCTTTAGAAAGGGTTAAATGCCTCTTTCTGGTCTCAGAGTGCCCTGTTTAGATTTTCAGTATAACCCTCATGCGGCCCAATATCACCTTAGATTTGCATTTTTTTCTCTCCTACTATATTGAACTCCTTATGGACAGAGAATGATTTTTTTTTTTCTAAATTCCCGGAGACTACCACAGTCACAGTACATAGAAAATGTTTATTGAATAAATGAATGAATGAATGAGGCAAACTAACTCAGCCCAGGGAAAGAGTTCAGGTCTCACTCAGAGCCCTGCTTTTTTCCTGGGAAGGTCAAGCGCTAGTGTGGGTTCCTGGTGACACCTAGCAACAGTTGCCATGACAACAGAAAGCACCATTTTCTCAGGGCAATGTCCCCCACTTCCCCACCTGGCTCTGGAGGAGGCAGCCCCCCTGCTTTGAGTCAGGAAGCAGTGAGGGGGACAGCCTCACTGAAATAGTTGATCATGTGCCCTGGCTCAACCCCCCTGGAGAGGGGAACCTGATGGAAAGGGAGAAAATTGGATTTGATGGAATCAGATGTGCCTGGGAGCTCCAGGCAAAGAAAGGAAGGATAGACGGGGGCCAACTGGCAGTGGAATCCTGGGGTAACCAGAGGGAGAGTTTGTCAGAGGAGTCTCCATGTCAACAGGGAGCTGAGACGAGATGTTGTCCCTGGGGTTGGGTGGAGCACAGCATAGGAAGGGTGGGAAAGTGTGGGCCTGAGAGATCCAACTGGAACACAGACTGTAGAACTAGAATGCTCCGCCTCCCAGGCCCACCCCCTTCCAGGTCCTCTGCAAAGGTCTCTTCCTGGGGCAGCTCCTACAGTTCCTAACGGTCCCCTTTGCAATTTGCCATACATGCAATGGAGTCAATAAGACCCTTGAGGAGAGAGGTTGTGTCTGTTTTAACCATCCCTGCATTCCCAGTGCCTAGCATAGAAGATGCAGAATAAGGAGTTTATGAACAAATGAAAGGCTGTGCTGAGACAAGATGAGGGGCTTCAGGGCTAGGTGGCCAGGAAGAGAAGCCACTGAAGGCCTATTCCTTGCCAGTCACACCACATGGGTGCTGTTATGGAAGATGAGGAAACTGGGGCTCTGAGAGGGTAAGTCGCTTCTCCAGGCCACATTGCTAAAGGGTAGAGTCAGCATATGAAGAGGCTTCTGACTGGAGGGCCCAGGACTTCTCTTTACCTGGTTTCCTTGTCCTACCTTTACCCTCAGACATGTGCATGCACTCTCCAGGCAGGGGGCACCTGAATAATAGATCAGATGGCCTCTGCTTTCTTTACCCCGCAGCCCTCAGTGTGCCTGGCCCTGATAGATAAGGGGTATGGGATACATCGTGGACAGATGGACACCAGGCAGGTTCAAAGCAGGGAGTCTGCCAGTCTATCCGGCTAAGAGACCTTAGGATAGCCAGCACCCCAGAGGGGAGAGTCAACTTGGTAAAGGGAGTCTCCCCTTCCTTTTCTCCTCTCCTAGAGCTGCTCTTGGTTCATTACTGGACATGGTGATAGTTTGGGGGAGTAATAAAGGAAATTCCCATTTATTGGGTACTTACTATGTGCCAGGCACTATTCTCAGCTCTTTATGTGAATTAACTTACTTCATGATTTCAATAAACTAAATGAGGTAAGTAATGCTTTTAATCTGCTTCTACAGGAGAGGAAATCAAGGCACAGAGAGGTTAACTTGATGGTCACCCATAGCTACCATGTGGCAAGGCTCCAGATGTGAAACCAGGTGGTTTGGCCGGAGCCTGTGCTCTAACCATTATGCCACTCTTCCTCCCTCATCTGGCAGTAAGTTTCTGGGCTTTGCATTCAGTTTGGGGTGCCACCATCAGGAGCTCGAGACATTGGCTATGCTATGTAACCTCCCTGAGCAGAATGCAGGGAGTGGGTAAAGTAAGAAAGGGTGCCCTAAATATGAACTCCTTTTCTCAGGCTTTGGGTAGCTTCCAGGCCCCGTCCACAGACACCTAGGTGCAAGGCCCAGCCCTGCTCTGCTCTCAAACACCAAACGTGGCCACAGGCAGGCAGAAACCAAGCAGCTTCAGAACAGAAGCCTAGAACACCCTAGCTGCCAATCTGGTCCAGACCTTGAGGCCCACTTCTGAAAACTGAGCCCTTGAACCTCTGCTTCCTTATCTCTGAAATGGGGACATGGATAGCTCCCCATGCATGTTGCAAGGCTTAATGGGAACGATGCATATAGAATGCTTGGCATGTGTTAGGTACTCACTCACAATTAGTAGTTTCTTTTATCCCAGATCCCTCCGCCTTAATCCTCTTGGAAATAATATCGCTGCATTTTTTTTTTTTCTGAGTCTTGCTCTGTCACCCAGGCTGATGTGCAGTGGCACAATCACGGCTCACTGAATCCTCGACCTCACAGGCTCAAACAATCCTCCCACTTCAGACTTCCAAGTAGCTGGGACTACAGGTGTGCACCACCACACTTCGCTAATTTTTCTTTCTTCTGCCTTTTTTTTTTTTTTTTTTTTTGTAGATACGGGGCTTTGTTACATTGCCCAGGCTGGTCTCAAACTCCTGGGCTCAAGAGATCTATCTGCCTTGGCCTCCCCAAGTGCTGGGACTACAGGGACGAGCAACTATGCCTAGCCTATCCCCGCTCTTCATCTTTAAGTCTGGGGCTACAATTTGGGGTGACAGAAAGGCTCTTACTTCCAATGTGCAAGGGTAGAGACTCCAGTTTAAACCTCATCACAGTCCAGTTTCCCTGTAGTGGTCTTGGGCTGCCCTGTCAAGGTTTTAGTTCACAGCTGAATTCCACAGGAAATGCAAGGCTCCCACAGCTGAGAGCCTACCAGGGATTCCAGGCCAAAGAATGTTGAGTGTGATCCTGTTGGAGTGCCATCCGGCCAGGCCATGTATGGCTCATCTCAGCTTCATGAGGCCCAGGGGCGAGGCTCTGCTACAGAGCATCTGCTCTCCTATCTCAGAGGCTGCTGCCTCCTCCCTTCTCACAGGGATGTTGTGGAATTTTTTTACAATAAGCCCTCATCTTCATCATTTCAAAAATCTCATGTTCTGGAGAAATCAGCTACCCTATGATGGCCACAGAAGAGTACATGAATGAGAAAACTCTAATTCTATATTCCTTTCGTAATAAGATTTTCTTAGCATGTTTTAGGTTTGGACTTTGCCAACTCCTTTGGTCCTTGTGAAATAGTAAGACGTTTAGGTTAAACAAAATAAAAAACAAACAAACAAAACATTTTACTAGTTGTGTGACCTTGGGCAAATGCCCAACCTCTTAAGATTCAGTTTCTCTTTTTATAAAATGGGGAGATGACCAACTCACGTGCCTACCATGAGGCTCATATGGGATAATACATTTTAAGTATATAGAGCAGATGCTACAATGGTCACAAAACTCTTTTTATATTGGACTGTCAAAATAAATGTACCTCTCAAAACATAAAATGAACATGTCCTTTCGTCCAGAACATGCAAGCAATATCCATCGATATGTAAGCAAAAGTATAAGATGTGCTCATATGTATATTCAGGATTAGAAACAATGCAACTGCCCATGGCCAGGCACAGTGGCTCATGCCTGTAATCCCAGCACTTTGGGAGGCCGAGGCAGGTGGATCACCAGGTCAGGAGATCAAGACCATCCTGGATAACACGGTGAAACCCCGTCTTTACTAAAAACACAAAAAATTGGCCAGGCGCGGTGGTGGGCACCTGTAGTCACAGCTACTCGGGAGGCTGAGGCAGGAGAACGGCGTGAACCCGGGAGGCGGAGCTTGCAGTGAGCTGAGATCCCGCCACTACAATCCAGCCTGGACGAAAGAGCGAGACTCCGTCTCAAAAAAAAAAAAAAAAAAAAAAAAGAAACAATGCAACTGCCCATCATGAATCCATCTTTACAGCGCAACATTATGAAATAGGTCCCCAGATGATGGAAATGTGTTTGAGGTAAACAAATAGTGAAAATAAAACCCCACCAAAGTGCAAAACAGTATATTTAATACAGTTGCTATATATAAAAAAGGAGATGGTTATAGATATTGGCATAGCTATAGATATGCATGTGTGTGTGTAACCTATCTTTACTGGAAGGATCCAGAAGAAATTTTTAACAGTGTTTAACTTTGAAGAAATGGATTGGGGATCTAGGTGTGGAAGATGACTTTGACTTTCATTTTCTACCCTCCTGCAGTGTTTGGATATTTGTATCATGTTTATATGTTACTTTTAAACAATCGGAAGGATAGATCACAGATCAACAACAATTGTAAGTGCTTTTAAAAATTTACAAAGCCTAAGATATTCATCAGGATGCTTAACATTTTAGTTTATCAGAATAAAATGAAAACCTGAAATGTGCCTCATTATTTTGGTTATCTATTGCTGTGTTACCAACTACTTTAAAACACAGTGGCTTAAATAGCAATAGTTTCATCACAGGCATACCTTACTTTATTGCACCATGATTTAATACACTTCACAGATACTGTGTTTTTTACAAGTTAAAGGTTATGCATGGAGCAAGTCTATTAGCATCATTTGTCAAATAGCATGTGCTCACTTTGTGTTTCTGTCTCACATTTTGGGAATTCTCACAATATTTCAAACTTTTTCATTACCATTATATCTGTTATGGTGATCTGTGATCGGTGACCTTTGATGTTACTGATGTAATTGTTTGGGGGCATCATGAATCTCACTTATATAAGATGGCAAACTTAATCAATAAATGGTGTATGTGTTCTGACTGCTTAACCAACTAGTCATTCTCCTATCTCTTCCCCTTTCCCCTGGCCTCACTATTCCCTGACACCCAACAATATTGAAATTAGGCTAATTAAGAACCCTACAATGCTTTCTAAATATTCAAGTGAAAAGAAGAGCAACACATTTCTGACTTTAAATGAAAAGCTAGAAATGATTAAGCTTAGTGAGGAAGGCATGCTGAAAGCCAAAAAGGCCAAAAGCTAGTCCTCTTGCACCAAAAAGTTAGCCAAGTTGTGAATGCAAAGGAGAAGCTCTTGAAGGAAATTACAAGTGCTATTCCAGTGAACACACAAATGATAAGAAAGCAAAACAGCCTTGTTGCTGATATTCAGAAAGTTTTGGTGGTCTGGATAGAAAATCAAACCAGTAACAGCATTCCCTTAAGCCAAAGCCTAATCCAGAGCAAGGACCCAGTTCTCTTCAGTTCTATGACATCTGAGAGAGGTGAGAAAGCTGCAGAAGTAAAGTTTGAAGCTAGCAAAAGTTGGTTCATAAGATTTAGGAAAAGAAACCATCTCCTTGTATGTATCTTCACCTTGCATAAAAGTGCAAGGTGAAGCAGCAAATGCTGATGTGGAAGTTGTGGCTAGTTATTCAGAAGATCTAGCTAAAATAATTGACAAAGGTGACCACACTAAACAGTAGATTTTCTATGTAGATGGAACAGCCTTATATTGGAATAAGACACCATCTAGGACTTCCATAACCCAAAAGGAGAGGTCAATATCTGGCTTCAAAGCTTCAATGAACAGGCTGACTCTCTTGTTAGGCTCTGAATGCAGTCAGAGACTTTAAGTTGAAGCCAATGCTCATTTGATATCTGAAAATCCTAGGGCCCTTAATAATTATACTAAATCTACACTGTCTGTGCTCTATAAGTGGAACAACAAAGCCTGGATGTCAGTATATCTGTTTACAGCATGGTTTACTGAATATTTTAAGCACACTGTTGAGATCTACTGCACAAAAACAAATATTCCTGTAAAAATATTACTGCCATTGACAATGCATCTGGTGACCCAAGAGTTCTGATGAAGACGTACAAGGAGATTGATGTTTTCATGCCTGCTAACACAACAATCATTCTGCAGCCCATGAATCAAAGAGTAATTGTGACTTTCAATTATTATTATTTAAGAAATTCATTTCATGAGGCTATAGCTGCCACAGATAGTGATTAGTGATTCCTCTCATGAATTTGGGCAAAGTAAATTGAAAATCACCATTCTAGATATAATTAAGAACATCTGTGATTCATAGGAAGCAGTCAAAATGTTAATATTAACAGAGGTTTGGAAGAAGTTGATTCCAACCCTCATGGGTGACTGTGAGGGTTTCAAGACTTCAATGAGGAATGTAACTGCAGATGTGGTAGAAATAGCAAGAGAACTACATTTAGAAGTGGAGCTTGAAATGACATCTTTCTAAGGTTTAAGAAGAATCATAAAGTTACTTCACTGTAGTTCTCACATTGACTGAATTGCTGCAATCTCATGATATAATCTTAACAGATGAGGGGTTGTTTTTTATAGATGAGCAAATAAAGTGACTTCTTTTTGTTTGTTTTTTTTTTTGAGACGGAGTCTCGCTCTGTCACCCAGGCTGGAGTGCAGTGGCGCGATCTTGGCTCACTGCAAGCTCCACCTCCCAGGTTCATGCCATTCTCCTGCCTCAGCCTCCCGAGTAGCTGGGACTACAGGCGCCCGCCACCACGCCTGGCTAATTTTTTGTATTTTTTAGTAGAGACGGGGTTTCGCTGTGTTAGCCAGGATGGTCTTGATCTCCTGACCTCATGATCCGCCCTCCTTGGCCTCTCAAAGTGCGGGATTACAGGCTTGAGCCACCACGCCTGGCCAAAGTAGATTCTTGAGACAGAATCTACTCCTAGCAAAGACACTGTTGAAATGACAACAAAGGATTGAGAATATTCCATAAACTTAGTCAATAGAGTAGCAGCATGGTTTGAGAGGACTGACTCCAATTTTGAAAGAAGTACTACTGTGGGTAAAATGCAGTCAAACAGCATCGCATGCCACAAATAAATCTTTCATGAAAACAAGAGTCAATCACTGCAGCAAACTTCAGTGTTGTCTTATTTTAAGAAATCACCAAAGCCACTCCAACTTTCAGCAACTACCACCCTCCTCAGTCAGAAGCCATCAACACTGAGGCAAGACCCTCCACCAGCAAAAAGATTATAACTGGATGAAGGTTCAGATGATCATTAACATTTTTTAGCAATGAAGTATTTCTAATTAACGTATAAACATTGTTTTATTTAGAAGTAATGCAAATGCACATTTAATAGACTACAGTATAGTGTAACAATAACTTTTATATGCACTGAGGAACCAAGAAATTTCTGCGACTCACTTTATTGTGACATTTGCTTTATTGTGGTGGTCTGGAATCAAACCCACAATATCTCCAAAGTATGACTGTATTTGTCATGATTCTGAGAGCTGGCCAGATAGTTCTAACCTGAGCTTGCTCAAGTGGCTGCATTCAGCTCCAAGTTTTCTGAGGCCTGGGCTCAGCTGGGACACCTGGGCCTTTGTCTTCATGGTCTTTCATCTCAGACTTCTTTATGGTATGATCTCCAGGTTCCAAGAGAATAAAACAGAAGCTACAAGGACTCTTGAGGCCTAGACTCCGGAAGCATTACTCCTGCCACACGCTTTGGCCAAAGGAAGCCCCAAAGTGAGACTGGTCTCAGGGATAGGGAAAAATGCCTCATCTCTTGATATTTTTTGCAAAAAAATTGTGGCTACATTTAATCTACCACACTAATATTAACAGCATAATTGCAGTTTGCATGACCAAAGTCATTATTTTTATCAGTGTATTTTGCCCTGTTTTCCAGTATCTGGTGGTCCCTGGGCCATAGTAGACCTGGCTCAATAAATACGTGTTGAATGAATGAATAAATGGCTCCACTCCGCCTGGCAGCCTCTTTACTCTAACTGCCTTGACATCTCAGATCTTCAAATGTCATCAACTCCAGTTCAGCTAGCCCTTGAGGGCCACTGCCCCAGATCCAAGTTCAAGAGTATGGCTGAGTTGGGCTCTGGTGGGGAGATCATGGGAGGTAGTTTCCATAGAACTCATCACTGCTTGCTCTCCTTCCCAACCTAACTTCACATGAGATCTTGAAAGCAGGGAACTTTCTCTCTGAGTCAGACCTGTCGAGCAGAAGAAGTTAGAGAGATTTGAGTGATAGAGGAACTCAATGTACTGTTGTCAGAGGGAGTAATATAGAAAGCATGAGAAAAAACCAGAAGCCTCCAGGAGCAAAGCCCAGCTCCCAGCTGACAACCTCAAGAAAATGAGGACCTCAGTTCTACAACTGCAAGGAACTGAATTTGGCCAACAACCTAAAGGAGCTCAGAAACATTCTTTCCCAGGACCTCCAGGAAGGAATGCAGCCCCGCCCGCACCGTGATTTCAGCATCCTGAAACCCTTACTGGAGGAGCTGGTGGAGCTCATCCAGACTTCTGACCTACAGAAACTGAGATAACAAATGTGTATTGTTTTAAGTTGCTAAGTTTATGGTGATTGGTTATATAACAATAGAAAAGTAATACAATCACCATCACACTACCATCACCACTACCACCAAATTATTATCACCCAATACCATGACTGTCACTCCCACCCATTCCTGTCTCCATGTTCCTCACCAGTATCAAGACTACTGCCATCATAAGAATGATACGGTGGACTCTGGGGACTCGGGGAAAAGGCTGGGAGGGTGTCAAGGGATAAAAGACTACACATTGGGTACTGTGTACACTGCTTGGGTGACGGGTGCACCAAAATCTCAGAAATCAGCACTAAAGAACTTACTCATGTAACCAAACACCACCTGCTCTCTAGAAACCTATTGAAATAACAAACAAATTAAAAAAAAAAAATAGACTACTGCCATCACTCCCTACCACCATCACTCAGGGCCCTGCAATCTTGCATAAGTACTAGACTTCAATCTCTCTGGAAAAGTCTATATGGCCCCTGCCCTGGATCTGCCTCTAGCATTATCTGGCCGATACCTGCCTTGGACTCTTGCCCACCAGTTATCAGGTCTGGCCCCTCAACCTAATTCTCATCAGTTCCTTTTCCCTAGGGCAGGGCTCTGGAATCTCAGCCCCCAGGCCTGAGTTTAGTCTTGCCAGTGACTGGTCAGGTCTTTTGGAATCTACAGACCCAGTGTCCACCTGAGGGAGGAAACTCTTGTTCCCTTGAAGTTCCTGCTATTTCTGTCATCTCTCTCCCCCTTCCTCTAAACATGGATCAGATCCCTACAGAGTTAGCAGATGAGATCAGCGTTGAGTTTGCCACACCTTAGAGCAGAGATTCACAGTGTTAGGTCACATAGGGACATCTTAAAAATACTGATGCCCAGACCCAGTCTCAGAAATTATAACTCAACTGACCGGGGATGGAGCCAGGGGCTTTTTTTTGTTGTTGGTTTTGTGTTTTGTTTTGTTTTTTTTTTTTTTTTTTGAGACAGAGTCTAGCTCTGTCACCCGGGCTGGAGTGCAGTGGTGCAATCTCGGCTCACTGCAAACTCCACCTCCTGGGCTCACGCCATTCTCTTGTCTCAGCCTCCCGAGTAGCTGGGACTATAGGTGCCCGCCACCACGCCTGGCTAATTTTTTGTATTTTTAGTAGAGACGGGGTTTCACCATGTTAGCCAGGATGGTCTCGATCTCCTGACCTTGTGATCCGCCCACCTCGGCCTTCCAAAGTGGGGGGTTGGTATTTTTAAAAGTACTCCAGGTGATTTTTATGTGCAGCCAGGATTAAGCACCACTTCCCTGGGGCTTTATTACTAAGACTCCTCTCTACCTCTGGTCAGTTTCTGCTGTGCCTAACCCTAAACTGATTTTGATTGCTTTGTCTGCACTTGCAGTTCCCAGCATTCTGTCCAAGTTCACCCAAAACATTAATGACACCAGACTTGCTTCCTAATTCCCCTCTATCTCTGGCTGTTCCCAGGGTACGGTTTTGGACACAAATTTCCTGCACTTAGGTATCTCCTCCCATCCCACCTATACAACCTGCTCAGAGTTAACCTTTACTTATCCTACATAAAATATTACTAGGAAGTAAGATGGGCAATCACTGAGTATCCACCCTTGAAATTCTCTATATCTCTTAATAGCTACCACTTAATTAGTATCTGCTATGTGCCAAGAACTATGCTAGACACTTCAACTGTGTAACCCAAATATAATCTAGAGCTCCCACAGTCTGGTCTTCATGCAATTTCCCATGAAAAAAAAAAACAAAAAAAAAAACAAAAAAACAGCCCAGTAGCCAATAGAATATAAAAGCAATTGTGATTTTTACTGATCTTTTGGCATGAAGAAGTGGTTCATTAATAAGCCATAGCAACCCTTGTTAACTCTTCTTTTTACATTCCTCTTGCCCTCATAGCTTTCCTGCAGCTCCTCTGATATGATTTGAATTTGCGTCCAGGTCCAAATCTCATGTCAAATTGTAATCCCCAGTGTTGGAGGAGGGTCCTGGTGGGAGGTGACTGGATCATGGGGGCTCTTCTTATGATAGTGAGTGAGTTCTCATGATATCTGGTTGTTTAAAAGTGTGTGGCACCTCCCCTTTCTCTCTCTTATTCCTTCTCTGGCCACGTAAGACATGTCTGCTCCCCCTTTGCCTTCTGCCATGCTTGTAAGTTCCCTGAGGACTCATCCACCATGCTTCCTGTACAGCCTGTGGAACTGAGAGTCAATTAAACCTCTTTTCTTTATAAATTACCCAGTCTCATGTAGTTCTTTACACAATGTGAGAATGAACTAATACACCCTCTATTCATGCCCCAAATCAACTCCTCATCCCAAAGTTTATCTCCTAACTCACTGACCTTTCTCTTTCTTCTCCTCTTCCTTTCCTTCTGCTTCTATTTGTCTCTTTCCTAAGTAATTCTTGGCTCTTTAGGATACAAATCCCCATGATACTTTCTGCAGTTCTCTGTTTCTCTTTCTCTCTCTCTCTCTCTGTCACAAACACACACACACACACACACACACACACTTCAGATTTTGATTCTGAACTGCTGCAGAGGCTCACACACTGATCTGGCAGACTTTGCTATCATTTGAATGTGTCCCCTCCAAAATTCAGGCATTGCCAATGTGACAGTATTAAGAAGTGGGGCCTTTCAGAGTTGCTTTGTCCATGAGAGCCCCTCCCTCATGATGGAACTAAGGCCCTCGTAAAAGAGGCTTCACACAGCATTTGCCTCACTTGCCCTTCCACCTTCCTCACCATGTGAGGACCTCCGGAGGTGCAGCATCAAGGTGCCATCTTGGAAGCAGAGAGTAGCCCTCCCCAGGCAACTGAGTCTGCCAGAGCCTTGACTTTGGACCTCCCAGCCTCCAGAACTGTGAGAAATAAATTTCGGTTCTTTATAAATTACCCAGTCTCAGATATTTTGTTTTAGCTGCACAAAGGGTCTAAGACAGACTCCAAAGACAAGTTCTTTACTGGGTAAATGTGGGCAGATGGGGTCACAGTGGATGGAAGACTGCAAATACAATGTTTGTTATAACTTACTGTATCCCTATAACATACAGATCTAATCTCATTCAACCCTATGAGGCAGGTGTTACTACTCTCATTCCACAGATAAAGAAACTTTGACAGAGGGAAACTAATCAAGTCATGGAGGCAGGATTTGAACCCAGGCCTGTCTTACTCTTAACCTATAAATCAGCCAGCTCCTGAAAGGGCTTTATAGAGGGGCTCTTGAGAACCTGGACTCAGTGTATGAAGAGCTGGAAGCCACAAGTATAGACATCCAGCCAGATTGGGCTGCTCAGCACCCACTGGCTGTCTCTCTGACTTCCTGGAAGAGCTATCAAGACTCCCCTTACAGAAACAGCCTCTTCATGTTCCCAACAATGGCTCTTAATCTCAGCACTACTTAGAAACTAATGAGGCAGAAAGGGTTAATTTCAGATCCCCCAACACATGCACAAGTGGATCTTGGAGAATCCCTCTCTCTGTAGTTACAAGGAACCTGTTTTTCCCTTCTCTTTCTTCCTTTTAGGCAAACCATGCACTGGGCGGTGGCCCCAGGGGAAGGAAGGGTTTCCTGAAGCATGGTCACTGTCGATAGCATTAGCAACTTTGGGCTGTTTTCTTTCCATTTACTTTCCCTCCTGGCACTAAAACCTCATTAGAGCTCTGACAGAAGAGAAATGGCTGGAGTGGAGAAAGAAACTCTTGCATTTCCCAGAAATTCTGCTCTGGGTTTCCATTGCCTGTTTCCTAGCAGGCTGGACCGGCAGTGACCCCAAGAGACATGCTCAAAACCTGGCCAGCGTGGGGAGGGGTGCAGGGCAGGCCTGAGGCCCAACCAGACCCATTTAGTCCCTCTCCATCCTGCAGGAACTGGATTTCAGAGTCCATTTTTTTGTGGTTTAGGATCATGTACACCTGGATAGGACAGGGTTTACTTGAATCCTCTCTTGGAAGCCATAGTCTGCTGAGCAAATGAATGGTGTAAATGAGGCTGGGGAGTGGGGGAGTGTTTAACCTAATTAAGAGAAACTCTTTTCTCAAGCACTTTAGCACTTTCCCTTTGCACTGTGGAGAATGACTCACTGAATGCAGAGCTGGCCAACATGGGGCCTCTTGGAGGCCCCCAGTGGACAGCACTTTGTTGTCACTACAGAAGTCCCTGTGATCACATAAAGGAAGCAACACTGCTCAGGGGAAATCTCCTGATCACCTTGGCAGAGGCTGAGAGACCAGCTCCTAGACCCTGCTCTGCCTCAAGCAGATCTGAGGCTATTGCCTTGTTCCTTCTGAGCCCCTGAGTCTTTGTCTGGAAGGTATGAAAGCTAGAGAGATTTCTGAGATTCACTGCTGCCCTTGCTAACATTCAGTTTTTGTGGCATCATAGAACCTTTAAAGAATCAGATTAGTTCCATCAACATTTACTGAGCACTTGCTGTGTGCCAAAATGGTGCTGGGTGTCAGAGATACCCCTATACCTTAGAAAGTTGCACCCCCTCGTGGAGTGGACTGCTCAGTGTACACACTTGTTACCCTGAGTGAAGCACTTACACACAAAAGCACCCGACCTTGCATAAACATTCAGGAAGATCCTGGACCCACTAAGTCCCACCTAGCACCTCAGATGACCAATTCCTGGTTTAGATTACCTCAAAGGTTTTCTCAAAGGTTATAATGACTTATATTTCAGAAAAATGTGGTTTTTTTGCATTAAATTTTCCTTATTTCCCACTGTTAATTGTAAATAAGACAGCACAAAGCCAATGTAATAGCAGGTTAGGATCGGATTTTAGTTTTAGGTCTGACTTACTAATCCTTTAGCCATGGGGCCTTGAGCCAACCACTTAAACTCTCTAAGCCTCAGTTTCCTTATCAACAAAAGAGGGATAAAATACTGCCCTCATGCATCATGCATGTCAATAAAAGGTCATGAGAATCTAGTGAGACTACATATTCAAAAGGGCTTCTGAGAGTATAAAAATCAAGAATGATTATAAAATGCTGATGCTGTCCTTACCAGGATTGTGTCTTTATCATAGCAGCTGTGCAACTTTGTCTAAGAAGCTTCACATCTCAGGCTCCTTTTTCTCATCTGTGAAATGGGTATGGTGGGTTTAATCTCACAGAATTCAGAGGGCTGGAGATAGCCTACGCAAAGGTTAACTTTTAAGGGCTCAGTGCACTGAAAGGACTTACAGAACCTGCAACTGCTTGATGCTACGGTTGTGCAATTATTGGATTTGGAGTCTTGCAATAAGTTTGCTGGTATTTTTTGCAGAGACTGTGGAAAGCAGTCCTTCTTTCTCAGCCACCTTCACCCCTGGAATCTATGTCAAGGTGTGTATTCCCAACAGCAGTATGCCTGCCCTGAAGTCTTAATGAGAATGAGGAGCCCTGCAGCAGCTAGAAGGTGCAGCCGCTAGCCATGCATGAAGTTAATTTAGCTTCTGTAAATGTCTGGCGGCTTAGGTAGCAAGAGACAGGCCTGGCCTGCATAGATGATCCGTGCTCTGCCTTGGAAATGATGGAGGAGAAACAGCTCTCCCAAACCGATGAGTTTCATTCCTAAAGTGACTGCACCATAACCTGGGGAGACTGGGCTTGTTTTCATCTTAAGCTGAAAAGGTTTCCAAAAACAATCATTTCATTGTTTTTCTACTCACTGCTAACTCAATAAAAGTGGTTCTTTTAATTAATTTCATTGTTCCTCATTGTGCTGTTTTTGAACTAATAAAAACGTTCTTTCTGCTCTCTCCATGGCTCTTGCAGCCTCCAGCCATTTCCCAGCATTCATCAACTCCCCAAATGCCAAAGGTGGATGGGATGTCAGACCATTTAAGCCAATTCACCTCATTTTGCAGATGAGAAAACTGAGGCCCAGAGAGGGATAGTGACCTATTCAAGGCATACACTGAATTAGTGGCCAAGTTGGGATTCAAACCCACTTGGGAAAGGCTCGGCCATGCAGCTAACATCTGACAGTTTTTGCACAGACTGCGTTAGAACCTTTCAGCAACTCCTTTCTTTCTATTGATTTTTTCTCATAAAATCAAAGCAGTAGATAGTTGTAAAAAGAAAATTGGCCTCCAGATTTAACAAAATTACCCAGGAATGTGGCAATCCACACCAAATACCTGTTTAAAGAGAAAACAAAAACACTCCAATGAAATATTAGTAAGAATTCTGAAAATATTAACAATGCCTGATGCTAACAATGATAAAGTAAAAATAAGAAAGGTGATAAATGTAGTTCAATACCCCAAAAAAGTGGCAATTTAATAATCTGCTCACTGGGTTTCCCAAGTTCCTTCCACTGGCAAAGATGTATTCCTTGGAGAACTAGGAATCAGCAGAGTTTACCCCCACCTGAAAATATCTCAGTACCTCCAAGTTTCCACCTGAAAGAGTTATTTGAAGCATTCTCTACTTTTGCAATCATTTAAGTTCGCTGACATCTTTCTAAATATCCTTCCTGGTTACACGGCCATGGGCTTTTATGTCATCACGGGTCAGACTTGTGTTAAGGAGGGATGCTGCCCCCCTATAACCATTTAGTTGCCACCTCTTTGAAAAAAAAATCCTGATTTCTAGAGTCACAAGTTATCTTTTGCTCCCCAAACCAACCTGAGCACTTTATTCAAAACTCTCTAGAGGCCCTAAGAAGTAGTTGCATACTATTTCAGTTCAGATACAACTTCTTTTGTACACTGCTAGTTCCCTTAGGACTGAGGCCGAGCCTGATTTCTGCTTAAAGGGGATGACAGAAAAAGTGTAGGATCTAGAGATAGAAGTCATGAGTTTGAGCCCTAGCTCTGTCGTTAGCACACCCTCCATTGTCACTGATGTGTCTGTGTCTTTATCATCCCTCTCCTACACTGCAAGGCAAGAATCATCTTCCTCTCACTCACTGCTATATCTCTAGGACCTAGAACGGTGCTTTATTCCTAGCAGGCTCACAGTAGGTTTTTATTGATTGGATTTTTGAAAGGAGGTACAGATTTGGGCCATGACATTGTGTCAGATCTTTACCTATGAAGTGGGAATAACGATATGCATTATTTTATATCCACAAGACCATTCAATCTTACAGACAGCCCAGGGCAGCAGGTATTGTTATCATATTCCACATATATGAGGAAAATGAGGTTCAGAGGTGAGTTTTCACAGCTTGAAAAGAATGGAGCAGAATATAGTACGTAGGTAATCAATACCAAATTTGGTGTACCTGTAGATGTTATCTTTCAAAATGGAAGAAAGCCCCCATGATACAATCCATTGCCCCCCAGCCTTAGAAGCAGAGATATTTTAGTTTGTGAGAGCTCCATTAGGTATGGAAATGCATAACCCACTTCACCTCCATGGAGGTCGGTGCTGGACCCCAGTCCTGCTCATTAGGAGGAACAAAGAGTTCTTGCTGCAAATTAAAGAGAATCTCCTTTCTTTGCAATTCCTAACATGTGCTTCTTGGAGAGGCTGTGCTTTTAGACAAACACTTTGAGAACCTATATTGTCCTAGGAACTATATTAGTTGCTATGGTTGACACAAACCTGAGCTCCACACTCAAATGAGTGTGTAGTCTGGTTGGTGTAGGAAGGCATTATGCTCGAGTCAACCTTGCTTCATACACATTCACTTCCAGCTATGAATTTACTCTTTTAATAATGCATGGATGCTATCTCATTTACATACTCCGCTAGGATCATTATTTCACCAGCAGCCATTCACCACAGTTTCACAAGAGGACATATCTGGAGTCATAAAATATTGGAAGAAATTTCGGAGCAGATAAGAACTGACTCCCACAGGTGTTCCTGGAGATGAGCACAGATCCTCAGAGAATACATGAAATCCTCTCCTCACAGAGAAGCGATTTCCTGCTCCTCTCACTGTTGCTGCCCTGGCCTCATCAAATGCAGACAGCAAGTCCTCTTCTTGGATTGAATCTTTCTGGTTCCATCTCCTACCAGTCCCCCCATCTCTCATTCAGCTCTGGCTGCCCAGCTCTCATGGCTGTTCCTTGAACATATCTGGGTCTCTCTTACCCCAGGGACTTTGCATAGGCTTTTCTCATTGCCTGGAATACTCTTCTTTAGATAGCCTTGTAGCTCCATCAACTTCTCAAAGACTTGAAGTCTTTGACTTCGTTCAAACGAAGTCTTCCTTGATCATCCCCCTCCTACCTCCCCCACAACACCAATTAGTTACAATTTAAACTATTCCTCGCTATGTGGCATTCTCAATCCATTCCTTTACTTTATTTGTTTTCATACAACTCTTCCCCATCTTATAAATTATATATTCTACTTGTCTATCTTTCTTGTCTACATTCTAGGAAGTAGATAGGCTCTGTGAAGATAAGGATTTTTGTCTGTTTTCTCTATTACTGTCATCCAGTGTCAAGAAATGTGCCTGGCACAAAGTAGACATTCAATAAATGAATGAATGAATGCCCTGAGGAATGTCTCACAGTGCTAAAACCAAAAAAAAAAAAAAAAAAATAGTAAAATTTAAAAAAAGACTCTCACTACCTTCTAAGTGGGTACAGCCCTTCATAGTTTCTGAAACATATTTGCATGAATAATCTCACTTAATCTCCTTGTATTGGACTGAATTCTACTCTCCCAAAATTCATATGTTGAAGCCCTAACCCCCAATATGACTGTAGTATTTGGAGATAGGATCTTTGGAAGACAATTGAGGTTAAATGAGGTCATACCAGTAAGGCTCCAATCTGATAAGACTGTAGCCTTTTAAGAAGAGAAAAAGAAAGATGTATTTTTCTCTCTGTCTGCACTGTGAGGACACAGTGAGAAAGCAGCTATCTGCAAGTCAGGAAGAGAGCCTTCACCAGAAAATTGAATCTGCTGGCACCTTGATTTTGGACTTACAGCCTCTAGAACTGTGAGAAATAAGTTTTTGTTGTTTAAGCCACCTGTCTATGGTATTTTGTGATGGCAGCCTGAGCAGACTGAGACACCCCACAAAATAGACCCTGCCTGGCAGATTTGATCACCCCATTTTCAAGACACAACAGCAAAGGCCCAGAGGAATTGAATTCACATAAGTAGTAATAAGTCTGCCCTGATTCCACTGAACCAGGCTAACACAGAGCATGGTCAACCTCCAAAGCCTGAATCCCACACAATTGGCTCTTCCCTTCACAACTACCCCCTACTACTAGTGTCCATTTGCAAAGGGCCTACAAGAAAATACAGCATTTTTCAAACACATCCTTCAAGGAGTGAAAGTTATGAGGGTTTCTAGTGAATGTGTTGCATATAAGCCCAAGAAAGAGTGCACACTTTAATTGAAGAGCAAAGATTTCATGCACTTCTGCCCTGCTCCTCACAGTCTATACCCTTCCAGCACCACTTTCAGTTTTCTAGAAATCCACCCATACTTTCATTGATCCATAATCCATCCATTCGAAATTTTTGAGGGCCTACTATCTGAATTAACACCATCCGAATGTTTGAGGAGAAGCCAAGATGGCTGAATAGGAACAGCTCCGGTCTACAGCTCCCAGCTTGAGCAACGCAGAAGATGGGTGATTTCTGCATTTCCAACTGAGGTACCAGGTTCATCTCACTGGGGAGTGCCAGAGAGTAGGTGCAGGACAGTAGGTGCAGTGCACCGTGCGCGAGCTGAAGTAGGGCGAGGCATCGCCTCACCTGGGAAGCTCAAGGGGTCAGGGAATTTCCTTTCCTACTCAAAGAAAGGGGTGATAGACAGCACCTGGAAAATCGGGTCACTCCCACCCTAATACTGCGCTTTTCCAATGGGCTTAAACAACGGCACACCAGGAGATTATATCAAGCACCTGGCTTGGAGGGTCCTATGCCCACGGAGTCTTGCTCATTGCTAGCACAGCAGTCCGAGATCAAACTGCAAGGCAGCAGAGAGGCTGGGGGAGGGGCACCCGCAATTGCCCAGTTAGTTGTTTGATTAGGTAAACAAAGAGGCCAGGAAGCTCGAACTGGGTGGAGCCCACCACAGCTCAAGGAGGCCTGCCTGCCTCTGTAGGCTCCACCTCTGGGTGCAGGGCACAGACAAACAAAAAGACAGCAATAACCTCTGCAGAATTAAATGTCCCTCTCTGACAGCTTTGAAGAGAGTAGTGGTTCTCCCAGCACACAGCTGGAGATCTGAGATCGGGCAGACTGCCTCCTCAAGTGGGTCCCTGACCCCTGAGCAGCCTAACTGGGAGGCACCCCCCAGTAGGGGCAGACTGACAATTCACATGGCCGGGTACTCCTCTGAGACAAAACTTCCAGAGGAACGATCAGGCAGCAGCATTTGCGGTTCACCAATATCTGCTGTTCTTCAGCCACCGCTGTGGATACCCAGGCAAACAGGGTCTGGAGTGGACCTCTAGCAAACTCCAACAGACCTGCAGCTGAGGGTCCTATCTGTTAGAAGGAAAACTAACAAACAGGAAGGACATCCACACCAAAAACCCATCTGTACCTCACCATCATCAAAGACCAAAGGTAGATAAAACCACAAAGATGGGAAAAAAACGGAGGAGAAAAACTGGAAACTGTAAAAATCAGAGCGCCTCTCCTCCTCCAAAGGAATGCAGCTCCTCACCAGCAATGGAACAAAGCTGCATGGACAATGACTTTGACGAGTTGAGAGAAGAAGGCTTCAGATGATCAAACTACTCCAAGCTACAGGAGGAAATTCGAACCAATGGCAAAGAAGTTAAAAGCTTTGAAAAAAAATTAGACAAATGGATAACTAGAATAACCAATGGAGAAAAGTCCTTAAGGGACCTAATGGAGCTGAAAACCAAGGCACGAGAGCTACGTGACGAATGCAGAAGCCTCAGTAGCCAATGCGATCAACTGGAAGAAAGGGTATCAGTGATGGAAGATGAAATGAATGAAATGAAGCGAGAAGAGAAGTTTAGAGAAAAAAGAATAAAAAGAAACAAACAAAGCCTCCAAGACTTATGGCAGTATGTGGAAAGACCAAATCTACGTCTGATTGATTTACCTGAAAGTGACGGGGAGAATGGAACCAAGTTGGAAAACACTCTGCAGGATATTATCCAGGAGAACTTCCCCAATCTAGCAAGGCAGACCAACATTCAAATTCAGGAAATACAGAGAATGCCACAAAGATACTCCTCGAGAAGAGCAACTCCAAGACACATAATTGTCAGATGAACCAAAGTTGGAATGAAGGAAAAAATGATCAGGGTAGCCAGAGAGAAAGGTCAGGTTACCCACAAAGGGAAACCCATCAGACTAACAGCTGATCTCTTGGCAGAAACTCTACAAGCCAGAAGAGAGTGGGGGCCAATATTCAACATTCTTAAAGAAAAGAATTTTCAACCCAGAATTTCATATCCAGCCAAACTAAGCTTCATAAGTGAAGGAGAAATAAAATACTTTACAGACAAGCAAATGCTGAGAGATTTTGTCACCACCAGGCCTGCCCTACAAGAGCTCCTGAAGGAAGCACTAAACATGGAAAGGAACAACCAGTACCAGCTGCTGCAAAAACATGCCAAATTGTAAAAACCATCAAGGCTAGGAAGAAACTGCATCAACTAATGAGCAAAATAACCAGCTAACATCATTATGACAAGATCAAATTCACACATAACAATATTAACTTTAAATGTAAATGGGCTAAATTCTCCAATTAAAAGACACAGACTGGCAAATTGGATAAAGAGTCAAGACCCATCAGTGTGCTGTATTCAGGAAACCCATCTCACATGCAGAGACACACATAGGCTCAAAATAAAGGGATGGAGGAAGATCTACCAAGCAAATGGAAAACAAAAAAAGGCAGGGATTGCAATCCTAGTCACTGATAAAACAGACTTTAAACCAACAAAGATCAAAAGAGACAAAGAAGGCCATTACATAAAGGGAAAGGGATCAATGCAACAAGAAGAGCTAACTATCCTAAATATATATGCGCCCAGTACAGGAGTACCCAGATTCATAAAGTAAGTCCTTAATGACCTACAAAAAGACTTAAGACTCCCACACAATAATAATGGGAGACTTTAACACCCCACTGTCAACATTAGACAGATAAACAAGACAGAAAGTTAACAAGGATATCCAGGAATTGAACTCAGCTCTGCACCAAGCGGACCTTGTAGACATCTACAGAACTCTCCACCCCAAATCAACAGAATATACATTCTTTTCAGTACCACACCACACCTATTCCAAAATTGACCACATAGATGGAAGTAAAGCACTCCTCAGCAAATGTAAAAGAACAGAAATTATAACAAACTGTCTCTCAGACCACAGTGCAAGCAAACTAGAACTCAGGATTAAGAAACTCACTCAAAACCACTCAACTACATGGAAACTGAACAACCTTCTCCTGAATGACTACTTGGTGCACATCAAAATGAAGGCAGAAATAAAGATGTTCTTTGAAACCAACGAGAACAAAAACACAACATACCAGAATCTCTGGGACACATTCAAAGCAGTGTGTAGAGGGAAATTTATAGCACTAAATGCCCACAAGAGAAAGCAGGAAAGATATAAAATTGACATCCTAACACCACAATTAAAAGAATTAGAAAAGCAAGAGCAAACACATTCAAAAGCTAGCAGAAGGCAAAAAATAACTAAGATCAGAGCAGAACTGAAGGAAATAGAGACACAAAAAACCCTTCAAAAAATTAATGAATCCGGGAGTTGCTTTTTGAAAAGATCAACGAAATTGATAGACCGTTAGCAAGACTAATAAAGAAGAAAAGAGAGAAGAATCAAATAGACGCAATAAAAAATGATGAAGGGGCTATCATCACCGATCCCACAGAAATACAAACTACCATCAGAGAATACTACAAACACCTCTACACAAATAAACTAGAAAATCTAGAAGAAATGGATAAATTTCTTGACACATACATCCTCCCAAGACTAAACCAGGAAGTTGAATCTCTGAATAGACCAATCACAGGCTCTCAAATTGAGGCAATAATCAATAGCTTACCAACCAAAAAAAGTCCAGGACCAGATGGATTCACAGCCGAATTCTACCAGAGGTACAAAGAGGAGCTGATATCACTCCTTCTGAAATTATTCCAATCAATAGTAAAAGAGGGAATCCTCCCTAACTCATTTTATGAGGCCAGCATCATCCTGATACCAAAGCCTGGCAGAGACACAACCAAAAAAGAGAATTTTAGACCAATATCCTTGATAAACATCAATACAAAAATTCTCAATAAAATACTGGCAAACCGAATCCAGCAGCACATCAAAAAGCTTATCCACCATGATCAAGTGGGCTTCATCCCTGGAATGCAAGGCTGGTTCAACATATGCAAATCAATAAATGTAATCCAGCATATAAACAGAACCAAAGACAAAAACCACATGATTATCTCAATAGATGCAGAAAAAGCCTTTGACAAAATTCAACAACCCTTCATGCTAAAAACTCTCAATAAATTAGGTATTGATAGGACGTATCTCAAAATAATAAGAGCTATCTATGACAAACCCACAACCAATATCATACTGAATGGGCAAAAACTCGAAGCATTCCCTTTGAAAACAGGCACAAGACAGGGATGCCCTCTCTCACCATTCCTATTCAACATAGTCTTGGAAATTCTGGCCAGGGCAATCAGGCAGGAGAAGGAAATAAAGGGTATTCAATTAGGAAAAGAGGAAGTCAAATTGTCCCTGTTTGCAGATGACATGATTGTATATCTAGAAAACCCCATCGTCTCAGCCCAAAATCTCCTCAGGCTGATAAGCAACTTCAGCAAAGTCTCAGGATACAAAATCAATGTACAAAAGTCACAAGCATTCTTATACACCAATAACAGACAAACAGAGAGCCAAATCATGAGTGAACTCCCATTCACAATTGCTTCAAAGAGAATAAAATACCTAGGAATCCAACTTATAAGGGATGTGAAGGACCTCTTCAAGGAGAACTACAAACCACTGCTCAATGAAATAAAAGAGGACACAAACAAATGGAAGAACATTCCATGCTTATGGATAGGAAGAATCAATATCATGAAAATGGCCATACTGCCCAAGGTAATTTATAGATTCAATGCCATCCCCATCAAGCTACCAATGACTTTCTTCACAGAATTGGAAAAAACTACTTTAAAGTTCATATGGAACCAAAAAAGAGCCTGCATCGCCAAGTCAATCCTAAGCCAAAAGAAAGCTGGAGGCATCACGCTACCTGACTTCAAACTATACTACAAGTCTACAGTAACCAAAACAGCATGGTACTGGTACCAAAACAGAGATATAGATCAATGGAACAGAACAGAGCCCTCAGAAATAATGCTGCATATCTACAACTATCTCATCTTTGACAAACCTGACAGAAACAAGCAATGGGGAAAGGATTCCCTATTTAATAAATGGTGCTGGGAAAACTGGCTAGCCATATGTGGAAAACTGGCTAGCCACATGTAGAAAGCTGAAACTGGATTCCTTCCTTACACCTTATACAAAAATCAATTCAAGATGGATTAAAGACTTAAACGTTAGACCTAAAACCATAAAAACCCTAGAAGAAAACCTCAGCATTACTATTCAGGACATAGGCATGGGCAAGGACTTCATGTCTAAAACACCAAAAGCAATGGCAACAAAAGCCAAAATTGACAAATGGGATCTAATTAAACTAAAGAGCTTCTGCACATCAAAAGAAACTACCATCGGAGTGAACAGGCAACCTACAGAACAGGAAAAAATTTTTGCAACCTACTCATCTGACAAAGGGCTAATATCTAGAATCTACAATGAACTCAAACAAATTTACAAGAAAAAAACAAACAACCCCATCAAAAAGTGGGCAAAGGATATGAACAGACACTTCTCAAAAGAAGACATTTATGCAGCCAAAACACACGTGAAAAAATGCTCACCATCACTGGCCATCAGAGAAATGCAAATCAAAACCACAATGAGATACCATCTCACACCAGTTAGAATGGCAATCATTAAAAAGTCAGGAAACAACAGGTGCTGGAGAGGATGTGGAGAAATAGGAACACTTTTACACTGTTGGTGGGACTGTAAACTAGTTCAACCATTGTGGAAGTCAGTGTCACGATTCCTCAGAGATCTTGAACTAGAAATACCATTTGACCCAGCCATCCCATAATCCAAAGGATTATAAATCATGCTGCCATAAAGACACATGCACACATATGTTTATATCGTCAATATTCACAATAGCAAAGACTTGGAACCAACCTAAATGTCCAACAACGATAGACTGGATTAAGAAAATGTGGAACATACACACCATGGAATACTATGCAGCCATAAAAAATGATGAGTTCATGTCCTTTGTAGGGACATCAATGAAACTGGAAACCATCATTCTCAGCAAGCTATCGCAAGGACAAAAAACCAAACATCGCATGTTCTCACTCATAGATGGGAATTGAACAATGAGAACACATGGACACAGGAAGGAGAACATCACACTCTGGGGACTGTTGTGGGGTGGGGGGAGGGGGGAGGGATAGCATTAGGAGATATACCTAATGTTAAATGACGAGTTAATGGGTGCAGCACACCAACATGGCACATGTATACATATGTAACAAACCTGCACGTTGTGCACACGTACCCTAAAACTTAAAGTATAATAATAATAAAATAAAATAAAATAAAAAATAAAAATATAAAAAAAGCACCATCCATGCAAATTTTATTCCATCACAGAGATTAATGAAAAGAAATGGTCCTACTAGCATTTTATCAAGGGCTACTTGTGGACTGTATACTATATTGATACTTTGAATTTGTTTTTTTTTTTTTTTTTTTTTTTTGCATGGACAGATGAACCTTTATTTAAAAAAATAGCACTTCAAATAAATTAAAAGGGACAACCGTCAAGTGTTCAAATTGTGAAGAAATAGTTGAAAACCTAGAGGGACTCCAAGCTGCAGTCTTCTAACCTCATTCTTTGTCCAATGGCAAAAACCCACACATCTCAGTATTCCCACTCAATTTTTTCCCTACTGAGATGAGGGAAGCAATTGCAAACAGGAGACCAGACGAAGGAGAAAGCTGCATCTGATTGGAATGAACATTGCCACGTACTTGCTAATACGGGTTTCACTTTATGACCAAATGTATTCTTTCAAAAATAAAAAAGAGGAGAGGGAAGCTGCATGTTTTTAAAAATTGAAATTATTTAGGGAAAAAACACTAACTCTAGTGCCTTTAACGGGCAATAGCAACTTTTTTCCTCCGAAGTCAAACACCATCCCCAGCTGAGCCTTTGTGCTACAAGCTTTTCAGGAGATGTTACCTAAACTTTATTAAAAGAAAAGAACAAGTTTAAATACAGACACTGGACTAGCCCAGTCTGTATTTTCAAGTCCACATTCTTCATCTGAATCAGGGACCCCCCTGAGTCTGCATGTTTTCAAGTTCACAGTACATGGAACCAGTTTTTCCTTTTAATTTTTTCCTCACTCAGAGCAGCCACACACAGTGGCCGTTGACGCTGGAACCTCGGGCGGGGCCTTTTCCTACAAGGCCTGGCCGGAGCTGCCCAAGGTTTCTCCTCAATGAGAATCGATGCTGTCATGCTCTATGGATGGGAAAAAAGCAAGAAAATAGAAGCACCTGGTACAGGTTTCATCAGATCCATTCGGATTCGCTATGTTCCAAACCCGCTGCTGAACGCCATTTGTCCACTTTGTGTGTGTTGAACAGTTTGTGGCCTTGGAGTCAGTCTCAATTAGAAGAACTGTTATTGGACGCCCCAGAGGTTGATGCAATAGCAGCTCCAGCAGGGCTACTCGTAGAGACTGACTTTTGGATGTGAGGCAACAAGTAGGGATCACAGGCCAGCTGCTGGACATCAATGCGGTCCTCCTTTCGGTAGGCCAAGCATCGTCGAATCAACGCCTTTGCTTCAGGTGTTACTACCGGCTTTGGCGGGAACTGCACTTCAGTAGCTTTAAGAATCGTATTCTCTTGTAGGATGTCTTGCTGAGACTGGTTATGGCCAAAAGGCTTCCTTCCATAAAGACACTGATAGAAGATCACACCCACCGACCACACATCAACTTTATTTGAGATCTTTGGTGGTTCTTTCCCAACCACAAAACACTCTGGTGGTAAATACCAATAAGTACCAGCACCTTGTGATGTTAGCTCCATGCCATCCACTGAATTGTAGCTATCATCATCCATGATCTTCGAAAGACCAAAATCTGTAATTTTTATCTCTCCACACCCTGTACCATTTTCTAAAAGAATATTACCTGGTTTGAGGTCATAGTGTATGATGGGAGGTTTTATTTCATTTAAGTACTTTAAAGCATTCACAATCTGCATGATAATGGACCGGGCCTCTTTCTCTGACATTAATTTGTGCTGTTTCAGGTAGAAGTCCAGATCATTTCCCTCACAGTATTCTAATACTGTACAAAACGAGTCAGTATCCAGTGAAAAGTAATCATACAGCTTAACTATTCTGGGATGGTCCAGCTCTTTATGAATCCGGTATTCCCTACATGCATGCTTGTGGTAATTCTCCTTTTTCTCATCTCTCCAGTTTTTATTTAACTGGTGAATTTTCACAGCTACGTATCTTTGCTCTGTTAGATCAAATGCCTTGTAAACTTCACTGAAACCTCCTCTACCCAAAAGATGTAACAACAAATATCTGTCATTTAGCGTTGGATGATATTTAAATTGTGAATTATCTTCATTATGTATCCTTTTTACTTCCCTGATATGTAGTTTTCTAACCCTTTCTAGCCTCTCCAGCTCTGCCTGGATCTCTGCTTCCTCCTTTTTAAGATGACCTAATCTGAGTTTGAAGATTTCTTCTTGTTCATGGTATTCTTTTAACGTTAACGTTTCATTTTCAGCTCCATTGGTCTTGCTTTTCCACTGTTTCTGCTCATTGGTTGCAGGAGGGGCCTGACCCATGGCAGGAGGTTTCCGCTTTGCTAACATTTTCCGTTGTCTTTCTATCTCTTCCCTCTGTGAATTTATCCTTTCCTGTTGCTTGATAAGATTCTGAAAAGCATAACCATCTGTCCACTGCTCAGTAAATTTGGCTCCGTGTCGGACGTAGTAAAGTAGCCCAGTCTCAAGCGGTCTTGCATGCTCTTATCTCTACACGCCATCTTCTCTTGTTTTGACTTTTCTATAAGGAGTTTCTTGCTCATTGTCACACATCTATTTAATCGTTCCTTGTATTTCTCTAGCATCTTTTGCTGTTCATCAATCTGCCGTCTCAAATCACAGATGGCTCTTAATAAATCATCTATTCTTCCCTCCTTCTTCTCTAAGTCAGAATTCTTACTGTTTTCTAGTGCAGATATTTTTTCTATTGTGAGGTCGGACTGGGTCTGTCTGTGCTGGATGGAGATCTGTTTTTGGGAGCTGCAGGAATGCTCTGTGTTGCCAGATCCCGTAGATGAGGGACTGTTTTGCTGAGCTGAAACAAAAGTGAAGCAGAGGCCAGCTCCCCTTTGCGCCAGCTGCTCTGTGTCAAGCCGAGGTTTTGCTAGCATCACTGACATGAGGGTTGGCAGAGCAGACTGCTCCTCCGTTGCCTCCTTTGCAGCACTGCCATCTAAACCATAGAGGGGCTGTTCTACTCGTCGCGGTAAGGGATTGGATAAGGAATGTTGCAGTGAGGATCGTGCAACTGGTGGAACACTTCTGCCAGGGCTGGTTCCCGGCCCGCTTCCCCCAGCAAACTCAAAGTAATCACTAATTTTATGTCCCCTAGGAGTGCCTTTCCCTTGGCTACTTTCATATGGTTCAGCTTTTCTTTTCCGATTTCGCTGGTCATTCTGCTTTTTCTTGGGAGTCTCTACTTCTTTATCACTCAAGGATCCGACGCTGCACAAGCTCTGGTTGGAAGACTCACTATTAAGTGGTCCCTTACTAACACCTACTCCAGTAAACCTGGCCTCCAATAATTTCTGCCGTCGTGGGTCCAGGCTATGCAATTCTTCCATCATTTCTACTGCCGCCGCCGCCGCTGCCGCTCCACGCTCCTCCCTGGAGGGACCCCGACCCGACCCGGCTGCGGACCGCTCCGCTCTCCCCCTGGGCAGGCCCGGGGCGGAGCCGGGGCCTCTCCTGAGCGCCGCAACCCCCCGCCCGGGCAGCCACCGCCGGCGCCGGGCTCCACGAGAGGGCGGGCGGGGGAGGGGGGGCACGAAGGCCGCAGATCCCCGGGCTCGCGTACAGAGCCAGGCGCCCGACGCGGCCCCGGGCCCGGGCGGCCACGGGACCGGCCTCCTGGCGCCGGACAAAGGCCAAGGGAGGCGCAGGAGGGCCCAGGCCAGGTCAGGAGGTGGGGGCCCGCTCGGCTGGGGGCCACTCGGGTGCGGCGCGGAGGGCGGGGGTGTCGGAACCGCTGGTGCCCAGGACCTGCCTCCGGCCCCTTAATCCGGATCGGTTCGGTCCGGATTAGTAGTGATCGGTGTAAACACACTAGTGAAACCGCGTGTTTCCTCGCGAGATTTGCACGGCTGGGAGGCAGGGGGGGTCCTGGGGGGTGGGGGAAGCGCCGACAGTGGGGGAGGAGGGGGAGGGGACGAGGAAGGTGGGGGGGGTCCCCGCTGCCCCCTGAATTTGTTTATTCACTTAATCATCCTGCCAATTTTATATGGGAACCATCTACCTATTACAGAGGCAGAAAGTAAGGGTTAGACAGGGTAGGGTGACTTGCACAAGCTAACAGTGCTGCCAGGTGAGAGAGTCATCATTGTTGGGCTTCACAGCCTGAGTCCTCTTCATTGCATGGTGCTGCAGGTGACAGCCATGGGCCTGGAACTGCTTCAAGGGTAGTTTCCAGTGTCCTCACCTCTCCCCTTCCCCAGCCTCACCTCTCACATTTCCAGAATTAGCCAGTTCCTATTATTACTGAAGCAATAGTTAAGTTTGAGGGAAAAACACCAAATATAACTACAGTAACAAAATATAATAAGAGTTAACATCATTAACTAGTCATCATGCAATTGCCACAACTATCCTAGGAGGAAGCTATTACCGTTTTGATCATTTTACAAATGATGGAACAGAGTATCAGGGAGATTAAGTAATTTGCACAGGGACACACAACCACTCCAAGAAAAGATGGAGATCCAAATGTTGCTCTTTTCAAGAGGCAGCTCAGCTTAATGGGGAAGTGGGAAAGCATATATCTCAACAAGGAGAAATACCAAATGGGTCTACCATATGCAAAGCACAGTGCTATGCTCTGGAGGGGGATGCAAAAATGAGTAAAGGAGCATATGGTTCTCTGCTGAGAAAGAGAAGGCTCTCACAACACAAGAGTTGAACTTGGGCAAAAGACAGTAGGGTTCCACATTACCGATGTGACTACTGGAAATTCTTTCCCAACTATCCTGGGTCGGAGGCAGAAGAAGAGACTGGTTGGAGAGCCCAGGAGAGCCTCTGAACATTAAGCCAACAGTCTTGAATCATGACAAGAGCCTCTCCACAGAGTCCTCAAATGCACTTCTATTCAATCACTCAGATTTTTCTTCTTTGAGCATCTAAGAGGCAATATGATCAAAGGGAGACAAGGTCGTGAAATAGAAAGAATGATAACTTTGACATCAAACTTGTTATAAACTCCACCTCCCCTTATTATAAGCTCCGAGACCTTGGGAAATTGCATATTTCCCTGAGGCTCACTTCCCTAGCTGTCACTTGTGGATATTAACTCCTCATATGGTGTCAGAGAAGTAAATACTATAACAAATGTAGAAATACATAGCACACACTAACCCTCAAACCAAGTTAGTTCTTCCCCCCTCTCAGTGGGGCTAACACTTGGTGTGAGGTGCTGGCAAAGAAACAAAGACTTTTAATGCTTGTTATCGCTTTCTAGAAGCTTAGAATTTAGTTGGGATTCAGGAGACAGGGACTAGCAGAAGAAAACACATACTGCAATCTCCTAAGTAGTCTTTCACCTTTAATATTCCTCCCTCTGATCCATCCTGTGGAGTACCCTTTAGTAACACAAACCTGATCATGTCCCTTATGACCAAGGAATTATTCTGCTAGGCATATCCCCAACAGAAATATGTCCATATGTTCATCAAAAGACAGGAAAATTTGCTCAACATCATTCTCATTAGAGAATTGTAGGACAAACTCACACGAAGATTCCACTGCACACTTACTAGAATGTTTTAAATCCAGAGGACAAGCTTTTGATAAGTATGTAGAGCACTATAATCCTCATATGCTGCTGGTGGGAATATAAAATGGTACAACCACTTTGGAATCCAATTTAGCAGTTTCTTAAAAATGTAAACAACCACTTATTATATGACACAGCCCTTTCACCTCACATATTTACCTAATAAAAATGGAAGCATATGTCCCCCCAAAACTTATATATGAATATTTAAAACAGCTTTATGTGTAATAACCCACAACTGGTAACAACCCAAACATCCATCAACATGTGAATGATAAACAATAGAATACTACTCAACAATAAAAAAGAACAAATAATTACATACATAAACAGGAATAAATTTCAAAAGTAATTATCCCGAGTAAAAGAATCCAGTCTAAAAACAGCACACGTTGTATGATTCCATCCACATAATATTCTAGAAAATGCAAATTAGTATCTAGTAAGGGAAATCCAATCAGTGGAAGGCTGGAGACAGTGGTAAGGTGTGGGAAGGACAGGAGGGAGGAATGACAAAAGGACAGAAGAAAACATTGATGGGGACTATGAATTTGTTCTCTATCTTGATTGCTGTGATGGTTTCATCCATATATATCCGAACTTATCAAATTGTATAATTTGGGATAGCACTTGGTTTGAGCTGTTGCGGAGAAAGAGTTTTAGTACTTTTTATTGCTTTTTAGGAACTTATAATTTAGTTGAGATTTAGTTTATTAGCAATTTATGCCAATTATAATACAATAAAGCTATTTTAAGGACATGCATTGGAATGTTTACAACAGCTTTATTCATAATAGCCTCGAACTAGAAACAGTATAAATGTTCTTCAACAGTAAAATAAATAAATGTTGATTTATATATTTGCAGAATACTATATAGCAATGACAATAAACAAACTGCAGTTACATACAGCAACATGGATGATTGTCACAAACATAAAGCTGAGCAAAATAAGTTAGACACAAAAGAATACATAGTGCATGATTTTACATGCAGAAGGATGAAAATATACATGAAATAAACCCATGGTGTTAGAAATTAAGAGAGCATTGACTTTTAGGGAAGAAGGAAGGGCATGGTGGCAGGGTAGGATGGGAGCTCCAGGGATGCTGGTGATGCGGTATTCCCTGGTTCTGGTGATTCATTTATGGTGGTATCCTCTTATCATAATGCACTAAACTGTAAACTTGTGAATTTTCTATTTTTCTATATGTATGCTGTGCTTTAGTAAATAGGTTTATTTTTTAAAGGTTATTACATGGTATGTGATAAAAGGCAGCATTGATTGTGGCTAAACAAATGCCTTAAATGGAGGGGGGATGGGAAGCAGTAACATTATTAGGAGGAAGAGCAAAAGAGGTCTAAGGCTGTGTAGCCAGGAGTAGATGCCTAGGCACTTTTGGTTTGACAGACATTTTTCTATTCCTACAATGCAAAATGATTTCAAATATATAAATTTTAAAACCTTCCATTTGTTTAGTGCTTTAGAATTTATAGTTTGCATGGTCACAATTCTGCAAGGATAAGAACTCTGTTAATCCATGCAGAAAGTAGACATTCAGCAAATGTTTACTTGAGTGAATTTAAAACACTTTTACCTTCACTAATTTAATGATTTCTCACAAGTGTTCTGTAGATGAGCAGGGTGAGGGTTATTAGTTTCTTTTCATAGAGGGGAAAACCAAAGCCCCTAGGAGCTGAGGCCTCCTGCAGATGGGGGCAATGGACTGGGTGTGTTTTGAATCCTGGCTGGTGGCCTTTGAGCTCTGTGACCTTGGACAGGGCTGGAACCAAGAGTGCAATTCCCTGCCTTCAGCTGCAGTCTCCCTCCCTGGCCCAGTCATGAAAGCAAAAATGGGTCAAGTTCTAATTCCCTGATGGAGAGGCACACAATACAAAATTGGTGACCTTTACTATTCCAAAGGCATGCATACCCTCCCTGTTGAGGACACACAAAGATGCAACAAATTATCTTTGTTTTTATGGATAAAACAGCTCATACAAAATAAAAGTGGGCCATACCCTTGAATCACACACACACACACACACACACACGCACGCACACACACACACACACACCAAGAAGAAGGCCTGAAGGGACAGCAGCCAATCCCTTTGGAAGAACTGAGGGCTGTGTTGCCAGAGGATGCCCAGGTAGAAGCTAAGTCATGCTGTCCCTGGTGAAAAATTGCTTAGCGTAATTATATCCCCAGAGAATGCAGGCTTCCAGATGGGCCCCAGAGCATCCTTTACATACAGTATTTTAGGCCAATAACATGATTCTAATGAAGTAGGAAGGAAGAACAAGAATAATAAAATTAAAAAGTCAAATTTTCATCCTTAATCTCGAGGGCTGCAAATAGGATGCGGCTGTGGTTCAGAAGCAGAGAACGGAGAGGTGGGGGAAGAAGCCCATTTTGAAAGCGGCCAGGCGTTCCTAAAATGGTCCATGACAAGGGTGAACTTTAATCTCAATTTCTGCAGCTTGACCCACATCCCCTTGGAGGAGGACAGAACTTTTCAATGAGGAGGCACCTAGAGGAGGATCAGAAAAGTAAATACCAAATTCGTCTGTTTCTCCATCTCTCTTCCACTTGAGAAGTCCTCAGAGGATGTGGCCTTTAGTGGACGTGTTTGTCTGGAGTTGAAGGAACGGTGCCTGGGGATGAGTCCAGGAGCCCTGGTTGGAGACTTTCCAGCAGGCACATCCTCTCATCTGCAGTGTCCTGCTGATGAAGACTTCACATTCCTCTTGGGCTGCCCCTCATCATCTTGGCATCCCATGGTTCAAATGCCTCTGGAAGACTATTACTTGGAGTTACTCTGATTTATTTATTCAGCGTCTTCTCTGAGACACATACTAAGTGTCCAAAGATGAACAAAACTGTTTTCTGCCTCTGTCCTCAGTGAGCTCACAGTCGAACACAGGAAGTTGGATGAGGAAAATGATTCCTAGGTGTGGTGAGTCCTTCCATAGAGGGACGTGCTTAATGAGACCAGGGGTTGGGAGGAATGTGGACGTGGCACCATCTACCCTTTCCTTCCAGATCCTGAGAACCTGTGCAGGCCTGTGCCTGGCACCATCACAGCAAACAATCCTGCCTAGCATCCAAAAAGACTCCACCACTCTTCCCCTCCATCCCCTCTTCTTTACCAACACAGGTAGTAATATTCCCAAAGCACATCCTCCCCATCCCCATGTAAGGCAAACTAAAATACTACCCATGGGCAATGTGAGCCAGAGTTATGCCAGGGAACAAGACAAGTTCCACAGTAGCTACTTCTACACGAATTAACACTCTTAAAAGAAGATAATTAAAGCTGTAGTCTTCTTTGAAACTGGGAGCCCCTAATCTCTCTTCTACCTGCTGAGACTATACCAGGAATTCCACCTTTGGGTTCAATGATTTTCAGTCTTTCCCAAGAAGATTAATGGAAAAACTTCAAGACCACTGACCAAGGCCTCAGGAAGTGTAGGCTGCATCCCCACTGCTACTGTCTGTCTATATGACTTTCGGCAAGTTACTTTCCCTGCATGGACTTCTGTTTAGTCTTCTGCAGAATGAAGGGATTAAAGAGTTGTTTTATGTTCAGAAGAGGTGAGGCCTTAAGGGTCATAAAGTAACACATCGACAAAGACTAGTTTACCTCTGGCTGAAAGCAAAATTGGTCCTGCAGGAGAGAAGGGCAGGAAGAAGAAAACTGGGGTAGTTCCTACACAAACAAGGTCACTGACAATTTCTTATAACCCTGTATACAGACACCATTCCTCGCATTAAAAGATTAAATGAGTCTCTTTCCCTCAAAACTAGGCTGCCTTGCAAATTGCTTTGCTCAATGGAATATGGAGGTAGTATCACCATGCCAGTTTAGAGTATAGGGTTTTGGGGACCAGAAAACTCCCACTTTTGCCCTCTTGGAGTCCTGCACCACAATGTCAAGAGGCCTGACCACCCTGCTAGAGAGACCAAATGGGGTGCCAGAGATGCCTTTTTAGTTTCCCACTGTTTCAGCCATCTCTCTGCTGGGGCATCAAGCATGTGAATGAAACCATATTGAATTTTCAGCCCTAGTTGAGCTCCAGATGTTTACAGTCACATGACCAGGTAAGATGAGCAGAAGAACTTTCCAGCTGAGCCCTAACCAATTTACCAATTTGCGAGCAAATAAATAGTTGTTATGTTGAGCCACTAAGTGTTTGGACTGGTTTATTACGAAGCAACAGATAACCAAAACAGGTGCCAGAGGTAAATGTTATAAGTGACAACCTTACAAAGGCTGGTGACTATAGTTAGAGGTTTGGATTAGGGTTAGGAGCTTTGGGTTGTGCAATAGTACTTGAGAGAAATTGATCATTGAAAATTTATTTGTTAAAAAGACATTTCATTTTCATGGGATATGTTGTCACAGGAATTAATCAATGCTGGCTGGCCAAGCCCATGCAGATGACCTTCTGCCAAGGACTGGAAGCCAGCTTGGTTCCAAACATGGAGGAGGTAAGATTTTTATCCATAAATTCCCAACTTATTTCCATGCTGCCCTCCTCCCACACCAGTACCTACCCCAACTCTCACTCAAAGGACTAGAGATGAAAAACCATGGAAACGAATGGCTTTGTATAGTACTGAATGGGAAACATAGCAGCTGGGACTTAGAAAAGCAAAAGCTGTTATGTTGTTAATAACATTTTTATGGGTGATTTTGTTGTCTTTGATTGTAAAAGAAGAGTAATACAAGCTCCAGTTTGTTCTTTCAGGCCTGGGGGGTAGGCTTCCCTTATAGAACTCCCTGTCTGTTAGATTTACTCCCAGCTGAACCACATATACCTTCAATCCTCTCCCTCCCAATACTAATCACAAGAGCTACCAATTTTTGAGAACTCTCCATGCCAGCCATTGGGCTACAGAACTTATTTATGCTATCTCATTTAGTCCTTAAAATGAACCTTTGAGGACATACTATTCCCATCTTTATAGATTAGAAAACTAAAGGTCAGAGGTATTCATTAATGTCTTATACCTAATAAATGGTACAGCTGATATTTAAAGTGAGGTCTGCAAGGCCCCAAAGACCATGCACTTAACCATTTCTCCAAACAGAATACAGCTCCCATTACCAGGGCTACCCATTCACACATACATACGTGTATGTATTCAACATATTCATTTATTCAACATATATATAATGAGCACCTACTTTGTGAAGTAACAAATCATACATTAATGAACAAGACAGATATCATCTCAACCTTCATGAAGCCTACAGATTCCTACCGTGACATTCACCATAAACCCTCATTTCACAATGTCCCAAAACCCCCTTTCATATTTTAACCTCCCAGCCCTTCATCCCTACTTCTAGCCATGATTCTAATATTCTATAACATGGCTCTGACTTTGATCTTTGCTATTCTTAACATGATGTACACCTTTCTCCAGAAAAAAAAAAAAAAAAAAAAAAAAAGACTGGAGTATATTGATTACACCAATGGGCCAAATTTCCCACCCCTGATTATATCCATGCCCTTTGCGGCATGACTTTGTGGTTCTTTCCACAAAGTGTTGGAATCTTTCCATTCCCTGAATCTGGGCTGTTCTGCTGACTTGCTGTGACCAATGGAATGCTGCAGAAGTGACAATGTGCCAGTTCTGAGCCTGTGTCTCAAGAGCTTTGAATGCATGGGCTCACTCTCTGGTACCTCTGCCTCCACTGTGAGACTGCAGCCCTCATAAGTCAGTCAATATTCTAGGAACTGAAGATAAACTTGTAAAAGAAACAAGCATGGTCCCCACTCGGACAAAGTTTACACCCTAGTAAATCAATAAATCATAAATGAGAATCCTGGATTTGCCAGGTCAGAAGGAAACATTATACAACCTCAAATAATGCTTAAACTCCACACCATATCCTCAATAGGGCTTTGGACCCTTTCAAAAACAGGGAGCTCATTATGAGCTAACACAACAGTTCCAGTTTTTGATGGAACACTCTTGGAGAGATTTTTCTTCTAGTGAACGGAAGCCCATCCATTGGGAGTGTCCACACTTTGATTTATGGATATTTCTCAGGGCCACACACAGCATGTCTAACTGCCTGTGTGTTCTGAGTTCTCTCACTTCTAGGATACATCTTCTTCATTCTCTTAGCTATTTCTAAATGTCATGACTTTGAGACCCCTTGCCATTCTCTCTCCTGAACATGCTACCTTATTTTTCTACATTCTTCTAAAATTTGGTTCGGAGAAATAAACTCAAAACTTACCAACTTCTTGTACTACATTCCTCTTGGTGCTTCAGATTCCTTCATTTTAAATTAAAGAAGTTGAACTCGGTAGCTTGCAAGGAAAGATAGTAGATTGCAATGGAATGAATCCTAGATGCTCAACAGCCTCTCTCTGCTCTGCTTTATTTTCAGCACTGCTGCTGAAGCTGCCTATCTGCCTATCATCTCCCAAACCATCTTTACCTGTAAAGTCCTATTGTGCAGTAAAGAGACTTGAAATCAGAAGAACTGGTTCTGAATCCCAGTTCTGGCACTTTACAGCTAAACGACCTTGGACATATTACATAACTGCTCTATCTCAATTTCTTTATCCATAAATCTAGACCATCACTCCTTTCTTTCCAGCTCACAAGAATTGTGTAGGTTACAAGAGAGGGCATGGCGTGCTATGTGTGAACACAGTCTTCCATCGGATGTTGTGCAGATAAGAGATGGTATGTTGGTGCTGTCGTGGGAACTATAGACCAGCAACATAGTGAACACCATTCTATTTATGAAATATATTTATTGATTGACTTGGGGGCTCTGCTTCTCTGTGAAAATTAAATATGATTTTAATAATTCCAGAGAACAGACTGTGCGGTAATAATCGTCCCTCCTGATGGGTATATCATGTTTTGTGATGTTCTGAGGTAAGAATGACATTTAGGAATATGTTGTGGTGCCCAGGAGCAGTAGCTCACATCTGTAATCCCAGTACTTTGGGAGGATGAGAGAAGAGGATCACTTGAGCCCAGGAGTTCAAGACTAGCCAGGGCAACATAGACTGTCCCTACAAAAAAATTAAAAATTAGCCAAGTGTGGCGGTGCATGCCTGTGGTCCCAGGTGCTGAGGAGGCTAATGTGGGAGGATCACTTGAGCCCAGGAGATCGAGGCCACAGTGAACCATGGATTGTGTCACTGCACTCCTCCCTTGGGCAACAGAGCAAGACCCTGTCTCAAAACAAACAAACAAACAAACAAGAAATATGTTGTAGGCAATAGTCCTGGAAGGGGAAACTCCAGGATGGTAGAAGAGCCCTCCTGAGTTGAACTAAGGTCCAAATGGCCCAAGGTTCTGTCTTGTCCCGTTCCAGGAACAGGCTGCATTCCCTGCTGCACATCTCACCCTTCTCCTGCCCACCCACCACACTGCTCTCACATTGTCCTTCTCTGCTTCCACCTCTCCTTGGCTCCAAACTCCTCCATGATCAAGCCCATCCTCCCCAGTGGGGCTCATGAACACCTTGGTCACTCTGGCTTCCCACCTCCCAGTCAGATCCAATGGTCATGCACTTCTAAACTCCATCCTTTATCAAAACCCACTGTAATATTTCACATCTGCATGATATAAAACATGCAGTTCCTTTCAACTCAAAGTCCCTCTCTCTGCCTCTATTCATCTGATCAATTCTACTTACCCTTTGAAACTTCAAAACCCTTCAGAGAATCTTCCTCCGACAGGAATCCCAAGCTGATAATCTCCAGCAAACCTGCTCCACGGTGGTAATTACTCTCTCCTCTGTGTTCATGTTGGACCTTCAATAAACCCTGTTTCTCACATATTGAAATTCTCTGTTTACCTGCCTGACTCCTCAACTGTGAGAGCAGAGTTGAGTCCCCAACTATTTCTGAGTCTCCAGCAACAAGCATGGTTTGGCACATGGAAAATGTTTGAAACAGATTAGAAGAAGGTATGAGTATATCAAATAAGCAAAGATACTGGAATGATTTTGCATAACAATATTATACTCTGATCCCCATCCCAAAACTGAGCACCATTATCTTTCCACATGCCTGAACCTTGGGAGGCAAAGAATAGCCCAAGAAGAAAACAGAGAAAATATAACACAGTCCATCTTCTCTCATGAGACAAGAGTTTATGATTGCCAGGAAATGTGTAAATTGCAGCAGAGATTATTTGTCACCACTTCGTGAAAGGGCAGAAAACGGAGCTATTTTTTACAACTTCAAAAGCATGCACAGGTTGGGGCTACTGCAGTGGAAATGCCAGGTCTGTTATATGCAGATACATTGAGGTGGCAAAAAGACCTGCTTCTCTGGGGGGTGGGGAGGGGATGTGAAGGCTGGCACGGTTACTCATAAAGCTGCCTGGCTGCACAAGATTCTTGAAAAATCTCTTCCCACTTAATCAGAATATCAGAATCACAGAACTCAAAGATCAGGGTCCTGTGAACATGTTCTGTATTGGAGAATTTCTGTCCGTTTATGGATTTTAATCCTCTAAAAACTGATATCTATTTTTAGTTTCCATCTCATTAAATACAAAAGACCTTCATTGAACATCTACTCTGTGCTTGATGAAAGGAAGAAGCAACTCTGAATACATCACCCGAACCTCAAGCAGCTTATAGACCACATAGGAGCATGTGTAAGTTGTGTTCACAATCACACAACCACTTTAATGCAGAGCAAAAGATGATAAATGAGAAATTCAAAATGTTGTGAGCACTCAGAGGAAGACAAAAGGAGCACTTTGGAAGGATGAGGCCAAGATGTGGATGGCCAGGGTTTCAGCTCTAGTACCCAGCTCCTCACTATTTCCAGGAAAGGACAGCCTGCAGATGCCTGAATGCCTGCATGACCACTTCAGATGAAATGGGTTGTGATTGAGGCTTGCAGATAGGTGTTTATTTCCATGAATCAAACCTGCTCTCTCTGCTGCTGATCTGGAGAAAGAAACACTTCCAGACTTAAGATTCTTTATTGTGCAATTGCTTTCCTGCAACTCTTGGGTGTAGGTTGGTTTGTCCAGAAATGCCAAATTCCAGAGAACAGCAGAGAAAAAAGAGTGATTTTGCTTGATACTAGCAACATCACAACTAATCCCTTTCTCAAACAAGCTCATGGCAGCAAGCAAACTGGTGACGTGTGACTCCTCTTTAATCCTCTTAGCTCATCTCCCTCTAGTGAATCCAAATGTTACCAGTGCCAGGGACTAGCATCCTGGAGCAGGGCTGTGGTGGAAAATGCACAGGATCTGTTCTCGGAACACTTGGGTGGGTCCTTAGCTCTACCACTTTCAGCTGTGCACCTTTGGGTTAGCCGCAACCTCCCTCAGCCTGCCTCAATTCCCTCACCTGTAAAATTGGATTGGTGATCTGGGGATCAGAGTAGAAAATGTGTATGAAATTGCCTTATTAATTGCAAAGATAAGTCAGGACTATCAGTTATTTTCAAATTGTGCATATCCACCCTTCTTAAAAGGCCTGGTGCCCTTCTGAATGGGCATGGAGGTTCATGCCTCCTTTGCTTTTGGATTTCCTCAACCTCACACAAGGTCTGACATTTAATGAGCACCTCAGTGCATTCTTGTTAGATTAATAAGTGAACAAATTGCAACATGTTACCCTGGAGGTTAAGGCTTCTGTCTTCCTTCCAAGCTGAAAGGTAAAGAGAGAAAAATTAATTTACAAAATGTTTGGAATCATCAGCATGAATTCTAAAATAATTAGAATTTTCTGAACACACACACACACACACACACACACACATACACACACACAGAGAGAGAGAGAGAGCGAGAGAGCGAGAGAGCGAGAGAGTGAGTTTTTTCCTTCTGGTAGCTGGAAGTCTACATTAAATTTGAAGAACATCTTGCCCTAAAATGGTTTGGCTCCTGGTTATGTGAATATATTTTGCTTAGCACTAAGGGAATAGAGATGGATTAGTAGGTCAGATACTTGGTTCTCATTCTTGATTGATTCATCCACTCTTTCATCCATCCATCCATCCCTCCATCCATCCACTCATTCATTCATTCACTCACTGGCAACAATTTGTTCCAAAGCACTGACTGTGTGAAAGCTCAGCCTCATTACAAGATGAAAAATGTTGGAGCAGCATTTTGGCTGACAAACCACCACTGATCCTTCCAGACCTTATTGCCCCTGAGCCAAGAAACATTTGAAATCGTACTACTGCCCCCACATACGGCATTTAGTGCCACCTCTTATCTTCAGTTTGATAGTTTCAGGGACCAAAATGCTGAGACTTTCTCCCTTTAGATAACATTCCTGTGACTGGGATATATTGCCACCGGAATCCTCCAAAAATCCCATCTCCGAAAAGACTGTTCATGGCAAGTGGGAGTCTACACGGAGAATGGCGACGATTACTTTGGACTGTAGAACATGTGACTGGACTGTATACATGCTGCACTTATTGCCTCCCCACCATCCTTCCACCCTCTTTCTGTGGCTGTACCCAACACAACTGCTCTGTCTTCCTCATCCCTAGTAAATAACCCTGCCTATGAATCTCACTTTTTTTTTTTTTTTGAGATGGAGTTTAGCTCTTGTTGCCCAGGCTGGAGTGCAATGGCGTGATCAAGGCTCACTGCAACCTCTGCCTCCCGGGTTCAAGCGATTCTGCTGCCTTAGTCTCCCAAGTAGCTGGGATTACAGATGCTTGCCATCATGCCCAGCTATTTTTTTTGTATTTTTAGTAGAGATGGGATTTCACTATGTTGGCCAGGCTGGTCTCAAACTCCTGACCTCAGGTGATCCACCCGCCTCGCCCTCCCAAAGTGCTGGGGTTACAAGTGTGAGCCACCATGCCCAGCCAAATCTCACTTTTCCATCCCTCATCTTTTCTCCCTTCTCCTTCCTTCCACCCTCCTTTCCTCTGACTATTCCAATTTTATACTTAGTTCTCATGCACCAGACCTAGGCTTGGAGGGATAAAATCTCTTCTGCAGTGCTTGCTGTTCCAAGCTGCTCACCACATCCTCTGCCCTTTATTCCACTCCCTTCATGTTCCAACCACTGATCAACCCCTAAGAAAAAAAACAAAACATTTCCTTCTTATGCTTTATGCCTCCAAATTTTGTTCTCCCTGGGTTGCTGCCTCTCTCTCAGGCTGGCGGCTCCATTGTTATTATGATCGTATATTAAGTTTAATGCGTCCACAGGCATTTTACACACTCATAAAAGTCAGGCCCTCTAAGAGCTCCCTGTGCTGAAGACACTGGAAATGCTCTCCCAGGCCTTAGTGCCATTATGGCCTCTGTGCAAAGCTGGGTGGGTGGTGGCTGTTTATTGTTGTCTTTGTAACTCTTGATGATAAATACAGCATTTTGAAAAAGATCAAATCATTTCCCAGGTTATAAGCAGAGCTGAAGTGATTACTTCCATATGGGCAACATCCCACAGTATTAAAGATATTAATAATAGGTGACCTTTATTGAGTATATACTATATGCCACACTGTGCACTAAACATTTTTACATGCATTAGCCCACATAATCTGCCCAATTAACCTGTGTGACAGGTAAGATTTAATTTCAAATAAACATTTGGTAATAAAAGGAAATTGAGAGACAGAGAAATTAGGTACTGAGTTCAAGATCAAAGAGCATAGAGGTGGAAAAACTGGGATTATTCAAACTCAGGATGTCTGGCTTCAAAGCCCACCTGCTTAATCATATGCAGGTACTGGCATTTGGAAGAAGTCCATCTTTAAGGTGGAGGAAACCAAATATAGGTGGGACTAATTGGCAGATATTGTTGGTGTGCTCCTCTGTCTATGAAAGCCATGCCCAGAGTCTTCCTTTCTCAGTCCCTGACAAGACTCAGGTACCTATAAGACCTCCATTCTGTACAGGGTTTGTCTTTGTTTTCCCCAGCATAAGAGACAATGGAAAACGAGAGCAAAGGACTCAGACCAGAGCAGACCTTGTAGAGTGGGAGTCATAAGTACCGCAAACCTGCACAAGAGATGAAAGAGCAGTCAACCGTATGTTCTTTTCATGGAATACTAACTCTGTAAATAATCTTGCATGTGCTCTAGTCCAGTTTCCTAACAACAGGTACATGGATTGATTAGCCAAATTATTCCCATTGCTTCTCTGTCATAATCAGTGTTTTCATTACATGCGTCCCTTTCCCTCATTGCTCTTCATTTTCCTCACTCAAGACATCTATGAGCTACAATATCATTTTACCTGGGAGACATTGATGTCAATGAAGTACGTTTTTGAAGTACAAAGCTCCAAGAGGCTGTTATTTGTCCAGAGCCATGAAACATGTTAATGCAGAGCTTGAATTTCTACTTCCTGGCTCACAGTATAGTGCTTTTTTCAAGCAATGAGTGGAGATGTATGGGTACCCTCCTTTCCCAGATTACTTCCATCACAAGGACCAGCTGCTAAACTCATACTGGTAGCATCCTACCCAGTACCAGCCTTTCTGAATAGTCTCCCATAGTTCCAATTCACACATACACATTTGCCAGATGGTCTTCAAAACATGCCAAAATAGTTATCATGTCCTACCCGATATTTGCTCCAACTGCATCCTCAGTCTCATGATCTTTAAATTTACTGCTGACCATGGTGCTAGTCAGAGCAACATAAAAGGACATGCTTAACCTCAGGGCTGAAGGAGATGACATAGGTGAAGGATAGCACTCACTGATGCATAGAGACTCAGAAAACAGAAAACAAGGTGCTGTTCTAGGAATTTAGCATAAAATGGCAACTGAGAGAGACATTATGCATGCCTTCATAGTCTGTCTTCTAGTGAGGAGATAGATGAGCAAGTAACCAAAATGTATCTATTGGGAGGGCTTCTTGAAGACTTAAAGCACAAGAAGAAAACAATCATGTGAAGAATGGAAGAAGAGAGGTCCATCCAAAGAAATGACTCATCCAAAGGCCCTGCATTTGGAAAAATCTTGGCATACTTAGCTACCTCTCAGAGAGTCCAGTGGGACTAAAGGACAGGAAGACAGGAGGAGAGAGGAAGAGGATATAAAGTGGCCAGCAGTTAGATGGTGCAGGACCATTTAAATCATAACATATAGCACAGGCTTCACTCTGTCTGCAGTAGAAAGCCATTAAATTGGTTTAAGCCACGAAGAGACACGATTCGATTTATATGTTAAAATAACATCTTATTATGGAAAATTTCCAACATTTACAAAGTAATCCAAATAATATAACGAACCTTCATGTGTCCATCACCCAGATTCAACAAATTATCAAAAATTTCCCATTCCTGCATCATTTACAGATCATTTACTCCCTGCCCTCCCACTTGTTTACTGTCTTTTTTACAGTTTTATTTTCCTCTTTTTGAGGTAAAATTTACTTACAATAAAATGTACAAATCCTAATTTTGACAAATGAAACTCCGATTGTTATCTCAGAACATATTCATCTTCCCAGAAAGTTCCTTCTTGTTTCCTCTTAATCAATCCCTACCAATTAACCCCCAAGAAACAATGATTGTGCTTGCCTTTTTATCTTAGTTTTGCTTATTCTAAAAGCTCATATTCATGAAATCACACGGTATTTTCTTGTGTCTTTTACTCAGCATGTTTTTAAAATTCATTTATGTTGTGTGTGTCAGTAGTTTGCTTTTTAAAAACTGATTAGTATTCCGTTGTATAAATATACAATATGTTTGTCAATTAACTTGCTGATGGACATTTGGATTGTTCCCAATTTTTGGCTAATGTAAATAAACCTGCTATGAATGTTGTACAATTATTGCTGTAGACATATGTTTTTGTTATTCTTGGCTAAATACCTAGGAGTAGAATTAATTTACACGTTTTTAAGCATTGGGAATAGAGTAGAGGGGGCAGGGATGGTGGCAAGAAAAGCAGTTAAGAGGCTATTACAGTAGTTGAGAAAAGAGACTAGGATGACTTACACTGGGCAGTAATTGTAGTAAGACTGTCAGGGGACAGATTTGAAATATATATTGATAAATACGGTCAAGAATATTTGCCAGTGAATTAAATGTGAGGGGTGAGAGAAATGGAAGAATGGTCTCTAGCTTGAAAAACTGGGTGCCTATTAGGATCTTTTACTGCAATTAAGAAAGTGGAGGAAGAACAATAATTTAGGCAACATCCAAGGATTTCCATTTGCAATGGCTGAGGCATGGCAGAGTAGACATTAAGCAGACACATGGAGCCTGCAGCTTGGGAAAGAGGCTGACCCACCATCACCTGGCACACAGCTTCTGCACTGCTCAGGTCCTGCCTTCTCCCTAAAATACCTCAACATCTTGTGGAGGGATGGAAAATGGGTTTTGTTTTATGAACCAATTCTGGTAATTGGTAATAGCTACCTGTGACACTGTGCAAAGAAAGATTCTGAGACCACATTCTGGGCTGGTAGGTAAGGAGTGCTGTGAGTGGTAAAGCATGTCCTTCTGGAGCATGGAGTAGCAGTACAATGGAAACAACTCAGATATTTTCTATGCCTGAGAAAATAGAAGTCCACAACCAAATCAACCTAAAAAGTGAAGAATTTGCTGTGGAATAACTAACTAATTAATAATACAGACAGAAGTCCAAACTGTGCAAATATACAGATTGACCCATATAGGTCAATCTATATTATTTACTTCTCAATTTCAACTCCTCTACCAAATAACCTACTGATTCAGTATCCTTCAGGTCCTCAGTAAATGCTTCTGACTTTTCACCTGATCTCCAAATTGCAAAAATCCCAAAATATGCTGAGTTCCTCATCGTTGGCTGGGATCCTCTCATATCTTGAGGTTAAACAACCCATTCGTGTGAAAACACAGTTCAAAGGATTTCAAACTTTTAAATACAATGATGAATCATTTAAATACCCTGGGGGAAATGTCAAAGAGTGGATTAGACAGATAATCAATGTATAATAGTTGCCTCGTCTTTTCATTCCCAACTGAAGCCATAGGTGAGTTGTTCTCATTATTAATAAAACTATCTATTCATTCATTTATTCATTCATTCATTTAATCATCAACCTTTTGTTGGGCACTAAATTTATGCCAGGCCCCATACTTGGACCTGAGTAGAGAGACAAATAAGTCTATTTACACATAGAGACATGTAAATGATCCCAAGGAGAGTTAGATACCACATTCCTCTGTTAAATATTCCAAAGACAAGTGAGAGAAACTCTTCAGGAGGTAGAAAAGCTAAACTCAGTCTTGAAAAACTATTAAATTAAAAGTTTCTCTGAAGGAAGTATTGGGAAAGGATATTCTAAACAGAGAAGCCAGCATGAACAGGTCTGAACATGGGATGGAGCAACTGGTGGGTGTTAAAGCCCAAGGAGGGTGTGATTGAGGAAATGGGCTGTCGCAGTAGAGGTGTGAGTGCCTGTCTGATGATGGGACTTGGTGCAATTATGGCTGCAATGGGAGTCATTACTGGAGCTTTAGTAGGAGGACGGATATAATCAGATATGTATTTTAGAAAGATTTTGTAGTAATGTGGTGACTGCAGGAGGGGAGGAAATACAACAGAAAGAAAATTGCAGGCAGGAAGCAACAGGAAGTGAGGAAGTAAGGAAAAAGAGGGCGAGGCACAGAGGCAAGAGGGTCAAGGATTAGGACTGCGGGTTAGGATTAGTGCTAGTGCTTGGCAATAGAAACTAAACAGAGAAGAAGGTAGAAGTTCAGACTATGAGAGAGTGCATGTAGCTGAAAATAGAAACCTCATAATGTACCTGTGCAGGGTACTTTGGAAATGCCTGTGATAGAACCAAAGTCTGTCTAACTCCAAAGCCAATACTTTCCACATTTTCACACTCCCAGGTAGCTTTATTCTTGTTCCCACCTCCTCCTGCAGTAGTAACAAACCTCCAAGAGCCCATAGTCCCAGACATTTTGACACCTACACCCATGTACTTGTGTGCGTGCACAACTCTACCTACCTAAACACGGTCTAATCCTACTTATTTTTCTCTAAAGCCTAACTCAACTTTCTCCTTGTCCAAGAAGACTTGTCACAGCTCCTTACCTGAAAATTACATATTTCTAAGTGCTAACCTCTATATTTACTCTCATCTCTTTTTACATTTTACCTTATATCTGAGTCGGTTCTGTACATGTCATCTTCTGGCTAGACAGTGAGCTTGCTGAGGCTGCCTATGTAAGATGCACCTCCGAGTTTTCTTTGAGGGTTCAATGATACTGAATGACATAAGCCCTTGCTGCATGTGCCACCTCACTGGGTCATCTCACCTTCCGAACCAAGCTTATCAACAGTAGATTATAACCACCTTATAGATGAAGAAACAGCCTGGAGGAACAGCCCTTGAATCCAGATTTTCTCATTTGTTCTCTTATCTCTGGTGGTCCTCATTCCCAGGATTACCCACTGTGAACTGGATACCAGGGCTTCATGGGTAAAGCATATTATTAAAACAAATGCTTAGCTCAGACTTTCATTCCTGTAGCACTAGCTGCTCAATTCAAAGACAGGTAGCAGGCCTTGAAACGCTGTCCTTGAAACCTCCTTCTCTTCTTTCTCCTCCTAGATCAACTGACTGTATGGATCTCAGGGAAATGTATTAGCATTTCCTCCTACATATTTAGGGAACAGAAATGTGGATCCCCGTTTTCTTTGTGGGAATGCAGATACTTAAGATAGGAGGGGAGGGGAGGAGAGCAGAGCTAGCTGGTCTTCCAGGGACTCCATGAGGTGACATCATGCTCACTGAGCATTTTCCATGTGCCAAATACCGCACTAAGCATGTCATTTTGGTTCTCTTCAGATAATCTGCTAGGTAGGTATTATGACCTATATTTCATAGAAGAGGAAAGTGATGCTAAGTGATATGAAGGAACTTGTTCAAGTTCATACCACCAGCAAATGGCAGAACCAAGATTTAACAATTGTTTAGGGATCATGGCAGACAGGAGGCAGGACTAGATTGCAGCTCCGGACAGAGCAGCATGTGGAGGCTTGCACTGTAGATTTGAGCTCTGGATCAACTGCAAGAACAAACTAGCAATCCCAAGAGGACCCACAGACCCTCTGAAGGAAGTGGACTGCTCCTGCAGGACCTGGGAGACACCCCAAATACTGTGAGTGCTCTAACTGCGGAAATGAAAAAGGGAGACCCTTCTCTCCCAAACACACACCCCCACTGGAGAGGTTGAAGGTCTGTTTGTGGGAGAAGCTTCTGACTTTACCTGAAGCTGAGTAAAGTTAGAGAGCTGAGCAAAATACAGGGGTAGAGGAAGCAACAGAAAGACCCTGGGTCTCTAAGCAGCCCATTCTTGCCTGGCATTACAGGGAACCATCAGGAGGGTGGCGAGAGGAGCAGAGGGTAAAACTCCACAGGGAGAAGAAATTCTCTAGCTGAGCTTTTTAACAACTTCAGTGGGGTGAGAAGCCTCCTGGCCAGAACTCAGGGCAGGGCGCAAATTGGGCGTGCAGACTTCATAGGCAAGGAAAGAAGTAAAGCCCTTTTCTTTTGCAGCTGGGAGGCAGATAGCTTTGGGCAAGTTTTCAAGCCCATCTCACCCTCCTCCTGCAAACAGACTTGGTGCTGCTGTGGGAGGGGCACGGTGAGAATGCGACCAGCCCTTTGGTTGGCATAGGAGCTGGGTGAGGCCTGTGACTGCCGGCTTTCCCCTACTTCCCTGACAACCTGCGTGACTCAGCAGAGGCAGCCATAATCCTCCCCGGTACACAACTCCAGTGACCTGGGAATCTCACCCGCATCCCCCACAGCAGCTGCAGCAAAACCCGCCCAAGGAGAGTTTGAGATCAGACAGGCCTAGCCACGCCCCCACCTGAAGGTTGTTCCCTACCCACCCTGGTAGCAAAAGACAAAGGACATATAATCTTGGGAGTTCTAGGGCCCTGCCCACCACCAGACCCCTCTCTACACTACTACAGCTGATACTTTCTGGAAAGTGCCACCTCCTGGCAGGGGGCCAACCAGCACAAAAATAGAGCATTAAACCACCAAAGCTAAGGAGTCTCACAGAGTCCATTGCACCATCTGCCACCTCCACCAGAACAGGTGCTGGTATCCACAGTTGAGAGACCCATAGATGGTTCACATCACAGGACCCTGTGCAGACAACCTGCAGTACCAGCCTGGAGCCAGGTAGGCTCACTGGGTGGCTAGACCCAGAAGAGAGACAACCATCACTTCAGTTCTGCTCAGAGGAAGCCACATCCATAGGAAAAGGGGAAGCGTACTATATCAAGGGAATATCCTGTGAGAAAAAAGAATCTGAACAACAGCCTTCAGCCCTAGATCTTCCCCCTGACAGAGCCTATCCAAATGAGAGGGAATCAGAAAATCAACTCTGGTAATATGACAAAACAAGGCTCTTCAACACCTCCCAAAAAATCACACTAGTTCACCAGCAATGGATCCAAACCAATAAGAAATCCTTGATTTACGTGAAAAAGAATTCAGGAGGTTAGTTATTAAGCTAATCAGGAAGGGACCAGAGAAAGGTGAAGCCCAATCCAAGGAAATAAAAAAAATGATACAAGAAGTGAAGGGAGAAATATTCAAGGGAATAGATAGCATAAAGAAAAAACAAGCAAAAATTCAGGAAACTTTGGACACACTTTTAGAAATGCAAAATGCTCTGGAAAGCCTCAACAATAGAATTTAACAAGTAGAAGAAAGAAATTCAGAGCTCAAAGACAAGGTCTTCAAATTAACCCATTTCAACAAAGACAAAGAGAAAAGAATAAGAAAATATGAACAAAGCTTCCAAAAATTCTGGGATTATGTTAAATGACCAAACCTAAGAATAATCAGTGTTCCTGAGGAAGAAGAGAAATCTAAAAGACTGGAAATATATTTTGGGGAATAATTGAGGACAACTTCCCTGGCCTTGCGAAAGACCTAGACACCCAAATACAAGAATAACAAAGAACACCTGGGAAATTCATCACAAAAAGATCTTCGCCTAGGCACATTGTCATTAGGTTATCCAAAGTTAAGATGAAGGAAAGAATCTTAAGAACTGTGAGACATAATCACCAGGTAATCTATGAAGGAAAACCTATCAGATTAACAGCGGATTTCTCAGCAGAAACCCAACAAACTAGAAGGGATTTGGGACCTATCTTTAGCCTCCTCAAACAAAACCATTATCAGCCAAGAATTGTGTACCCAGTGAAACTAAGCATCATATATGAAGGAAAGATACAGTAATTTTCAGACAAAGAAATGTGGAGAGAATTTGCCATTACCAAGCCACCACTACAATAACTGCTAAAAGGAGCTCTAAATCTTGAAACAAATCCTGGAAACACATCAAAACAGAATCTCTTCAAAGCATAAATCACACGGGACCTATAAAACAGAAATACAAGTTAAAAAGCAAAAACAAAAGACAAAATACAACCAAAGTACACAGGCAACAAAGAGCATGATGAAAGCAACGGTACCTCACATTTCAACACTAACATTGAATGTAAATGGCCTAAATGCTCCACTTAAAAGATACAGAACCACAGAATGGATAAGAACTCACCAATCAACTATCTGCTGCCTTTAGGAGACTCACATAACACAAAAGGACTCACATAAACTTAAAGTAAAGGGGTGGAAAAAGGCATTTCATGCAAATGGATACCAAAAGTGAACACGGGTAGCTATTCTTATATCAGACAAAACAATCTTTGAAGCAACAGCAGTTGAAAGAGACAAAGAAGGACATTATATAATGGTAAAAGGCCTTGTACAACAAGAAAATATTACAATCCTAAACATACACGCATCTAACACTGAAGCTCCCAAATTTATAAAACAATTACAACTAGACCTAAGAAATGAGATAGACAGCAACACAGTAATAGTGGGGAGCTTCCATCCTCCACTGATAGCACTAGACAGGTCATCAAGACAGAAAGTCAGCAAGGAAACAATGGATTTAAACTATACCTTGGAACAAATGGACTTAGATATGTACCGAACATTTCATCCAACAACCATAGAATACACATTCTATTCGACAGTGCATGGAACTTTCTCCAAGATAGACCATATAATAGGACATAAAACGAGCCTCAATAAATTTAAGAAAATTGAAATTATATCAAGCACTCTTTCAAACCACAGTGGAATAAAACTGGAAATCAACTCCAAAAGGAACCTTCAAAACCATGCAAATACATGGAAATTAAATAACCTTCTCCTGAATGAGCACTGGATCAAAAACAAAATCAAGATGGAAATTAAAAAATTCTTCAAACTGAATGACAATAAATGACACAGCCTATCAAAACCTTTGGGATGCAGCAAAAGTGGCGTTAAGAGCAAAGTTCATAGCCCTAAATGCCTACATCAAAAATTCTGAAAGATCACAAACAATCTAAGGTCTCACGTTAAGGAACTAGAGAAAGAAGAACAAACCAAACCCAAATCCAGTAGAAGAAAGTAAATAACCAAGATCAGAGCAGAACTAAATGAAATTGAAACAAAAAAAGATTACAAAAGATAAATGAAACAAAAAGCTGGTTCTTTGAAAAGCTAAGAAAATTGATAGACCATTAGCAAGATTAACCAAGAAAAGAATAGAGTAAATCCAAATAATCTCACTAAGAAATGAAAAAGTATATATTACAACTGACACCACTGAAATACAAAAGATCATCCAAGGCTACTGTGAACACCTTTACGCACATAAACTAGAAAACCTAGAAGAGACAGATAAATTCCTGGAAAAATACAACCCTCCTAGCTTAAATCAGGAAGACTTAGATACCCTGAACAGATCAAAACCAGCAGTGAGATTGAAGTGGTAATTAAAAAATTAGCAACAAAAAATAATTCAGTACCAGACGAATTCACAACAGAATTCTACAAGACATTCAAAGAAGAATTGGTACCAATCCTTTTGACACTATTCCACCAGACAGAGAAAGAAGGAACCCTCCTTAATTCATTCTGTGAAACCAGCATCACCCTAATACCAAAACCAGGAAAGGACAAAATCAAAAAAGAAAATTACAGACCGATATCCTTGATGAACATAGATGCTGAAATCCTTAACAAAATACTAGCTAACTGACTCCAACAACATACCAAAAAGAGAATCCACCATTATCAAGTGGGTTTCATACCAGGAATGCAGGGATTTTTTAACATACACAAGTCTATAAATGTGATACACCACATAAACAGAATTAAAAACAAAAATCACATGATCATCTCAATAGATGCAGAAAAAGCATTCAACAAAATCCAGCATCCTTTATGATTAAAACCCTCAGCAAAATCAGCATACAAGGGACATACCTTAATATAATAAAAGCCATCTATGACAAACCCACAGTCAACATAATACTGAATGAGGAAAAGTTGAAAGCATTCCCTCTGAGAACTGGAACAAGCCAAGGATGCCCACTTTCACCACTCCTCTTCAACACAGTACTGGAAGTCCTAGCCAGAGCAATCAGACAAGAGAAAGAAATAAAGGGCATCCAAATCAGTAAAGAGGAAGTCAAACTGTCACTATTTGCTGATGATATGATCGTTTACCTTGAAAACCCTAAGGACTCCTCCAGAAAGCTCCTAGAACTGATAAAAGAACTCAGCCAAGTTTCCAGATACAAGATTAATGTACACAAATTAGTAGCTCTTCTATACACCAACAGCAACCAAGCAGAGAACCAAATCAAGAACTCAACCCCTTTTAAAATAGCTGCAAAAAATAAATAAATAAAAGACTTAGGAACATACCTAACAAAGGAGTCGAAAGACCTCTAGAAGGAAAACTACAAAACACTGCTGAAATAAATCACAGACAACACAAACAAATGGAAACACATTCCATGCTCATGGATGGGTAGAATCAATATTGTGAAAATGACCATACTGCCAAAAGCAATCTAAAAATTCAGTGCAATCCCCCTCAGAATACCACCATCATTCTTCACAGAATTAGAAGAAAGTAATTCTAAAATTCATATAGAACCAAAAAAGAGCTCACCTAGCCAAAGCAAGACTAAGCAAAAAGATCAAATCTGGAAGCATCACACTACCTGATTTCAAACTATACTATAAGGCCATAGTCACCAAAATAGCATGGTACTGGTATAAAAATAGGCACATAGACCAATGGAACAGAATAGAGAACCCAGAAATAAACCCAAATACTTCCAGCCAACTGACCTTTAACAAAGCAAACAAAAATATAAAGTGGGGAAAGGACACCCTTTTCAACAAATGGTGCTGGGATAATTGGCTAGCCACCTGTAGGAGAATGAAACTGGATCCTCATCTCTCACCTTATACAAAAATCAACTCAAGTTGGATTAAGGACTTAAACCTAAGACCTGAAACTGTAAGAATTCTAGAAGGTAATATTGGAACAACCCTTCTAGACATTGGCTTAGTCAAGGATTTCATGACCAAAAACTCAAAAGCAAACACAATAAAAAGAGATAAATAGCTGGGACCTAATCAAACTAAAGAGCTTTTTTTTTACAGCAAAAGGAACAGTCTGGAGAGTAAACAGGCAACCCACAGAGTGGGAGAGAATCTTCACAATCTATACATCTGACAAATAACTAATATCCAGAATCTACAACAAACTCAAACAAATCAATAAGAAAAAAACAAACAATCCCATCAAAAAGTGGGCTAAGGGCATGAATAGACAATTCTCAAAAGAAGATACACAAATGCCCAACAAACATATGAAAAAATGCTCAACATCACTAATGATCAGGGAAATGCAAATCAAAACCACAATGTGATACCACCTTACTCCTACAAGAATGACCATAATCAAAAAATAAAAAAACAGTAGATGTTAGCGTGGATGCAGTGAACAGGGAACACTTCCACATGGCTAGTGGGAATGTAAACTAGTACAGCCACTATAGGAAACAATGTGGAGATTCTTTAAAGAACTAAAAGTAGAACTACCATTGGATCCAGCAATCCCCCTACTGGGTATCTATCCAGAGAAGAAGTCATTATTTGAAGAACATACTTGCATATGCATGTTTATAGCAGCACAATTCACAACTGCAAAATCATAGAACCAACCCAAATGCCCATCAAACAAAGACTGGATAAAGAAATTGTGGCATATATATGTGATGGAATAGTACTCAGCCATGAAAAGGAATGAATTAACAGCACTTGTAGTAAGTTGGATGAGATTGGAGACTATTATTCTAGGCGAAGTAACTCAGGAATGGAAAACCACACATCGTATGTTCTCACTGATATGTAGGAGCTAAGCTATGAGGATGCAACGGATGTTGGGGACTTAGGGGGAAGAGTGGAAGGGGAGCTAGGGATAAAAGACTACAAATATGGTGCAGTGTATACTGCTCGGGTGATATGTGCACCAAAATCTCACAAATTATCACTAAAGAACTTACTCATGTAACCAAATACCACCTGTACCCCAATAACTTGTGGAAAAATTTTAAAAAAATAAAACATATTTTTTTAAAAAAGCAATTTTATCTGTTTCCAAAGCCTATACACCTTTCTTTATGTGGCTTCCAAAAGTAAAAAAGACCGCTGAGGGGTTGTTATTACAGGCTGCTTTCTGCCCAGGGCAAACTTTCACAACTAGAATGCTGAAAGGAAGGAAGGTTTTGCCTACAGTCTTGATCATTGCATTCTGAGGAAGAGGGACGTAGATGAATAAGAGGAAAACAGGGGCATGCAACAAGTTAAAAAGTCAAGCTTAAGGACAAGAGAAGAGTAATCAAAAGGGAGAATTATAAAAAGAATTGCTTGGTTTGACTCTGAAAGGCCTTTCTCCCAAGTGGTAAAAATAATGCTTACAGAGTGTTCATGATGGCCAGCCCCTCTTCTAACACCTTTGCATCCTAGAAACTTATTTAATCCACCAACACTCTCGAGATAGTATTAGAACTGTCCACAACAATAGGTGACAAAACTGAGGGCACACAGAGGTTAAGTACTATTTTTCCCATGGTCTTACAGGAACTAGATTCGAGAACAGGAATTTGAGACCAGGGGCCTGAGTCTCAGTTCACACTCTTAACTACCGGACATGGTGCCTTTAGAATAACTATGAGTGGGGAAGGCCTGACTTAAGGAGATGAAAATCTCTAATTTGAGGTCCAAGATCCCTACCCTTAAAGGACTGAAGAAGTTCACAAACCATGGAGATAACATTGTGACCAACACAGGCAATGGTCTGGAACCACTGGTTAATTAAGTCGTTCATCTCTTTGTGATCTCTCTAAGCCACTGGTTCCTGGCCTTAGGTACACATTAGAACCACCTGGGGAGTTCTTACAAAATGCTGCTGCCTGGGCCTCATGCCAGACTGATTGAATTGGAACCTCTTGGGGTGGGTCCTCAGCATCTATGTTTTTTTAATGTTCTCCAGGTGATTTCTAATGTGCCACCTGGGCTGTGAACCACTGATGCAGGTAACTGTGGACGAGGTCATCACTGAGTGGAGTGCCAACTCTGCCCAGCAGCTGAAAGCCTTTCACATGGCCTGCAAAGACATTCTCACAAAGCCTCTTCAGCCTGCAAACACCTCAAGGACAGGCATTATGTCCCATACAATTATTTGGGTATTGTCCATGACATCTATCATGATGACAGCTGAGTCATGGAGTCAGAAGCTGGCTGGGACCTCTCCGCTCATTGTATCCAGTGTTTTTGAATTCCAGGAACTTACAGAAGGGCCAAAGTGGACTGCTTTGGGTGGTTGGGCATGGAGATGTGAGTCACTGGTTTGGTGAAGTTTCCAGGGAACTCGAAATCAGAGAAGGTCAGCAAGACCACCCAGGAAACAACACACAATGTCTTCAGCTCCTCGGACAGGTGGGATTCTTTATTATCAAGCTCCAGCTCTGAGAAAAGCCCCTGTGTCTAACCTCAAATCTGAGAGAACTAAAGTGACGGCACTACCAATTTAGAACTGCAAGACGGAACACTGCTGCCCTCAGGCAGCTGCCATGTCCTCTTCTCCTGGGTTATGTGAGCACGTGTCCGTCTCTCATACTAGACTTTAGGAACCTTCAAGAATAAGCACATTGTGTCACATTTCTTTGTATTTAATGCCACACAACCACACACCTATTACACAGTGGAAAACTAATAAAGGCTTCTTTGGTAGAATAAATACTAGGGCTGACATTGCTTGCTCTCTGAAGTCCTTTGTAGTGGTAAGTGTTTACACAGAGGCCTGGGCATGTACAAGTATGGACTTCAGATGAAAGAAATTGAAAAAAGAATACAAATAGCTGATAGATTTGTGAAAAGATTCACATCCTTGCTGAAATTTAAAGGAAAGCAAATTTTTTTAAAAATGGAATTTTTTTGACCTATCAAACTGACAAATGATTTGGATCAGTAATACTGATCCAGTAATACTGAAGGCTAACAGGAGTGTGGAAAAGAGACTGTTAGTGAGAACATGAATTGGAATAGCTTTTTTAAAGGGCTTACTGCATGACAATTATAAGTATGAATACTTTGGCCCAATAATTTATTTCTAAAAAAACTATCCCAAGAAGATTACTGGATACCTGTACAAAATGCTGTTTATGATTTTTCAAATGGAAATAACTTAACTGTCTTTAAAAATAGGATTGAGTAAATAAATTGGGGTATACCCACACAATAGAATATGCTACTGTTGTGAAGGATGAGGAAATCTTTAAATGGCTAACGTGGAAAGACATCCATGATATGTTTTTAAATGAAAATCCCAGATTACAAAGTAACATGATTAATATGGTCAAATTTTTACCAGAATGGGAATCTGTAATATACAATATGGTATAGCAATATATAGATACACAGATGATAGACAGATGGATAAATGAAATTATCTTCAAGGATAAACATTATCCTGTTAGTCCAGCTGCTGGGTTTATCTGAAGACATCCATTTACTACCACACATACATCTCTATTATTTAATTTCTTTAACAATCTACATTGGTTGCTTGCTTTTACAATCCAATAAATCTATTTCTGTTTCAAAAGGCAGACCAAGAAGTGGAGGCATTAGTAAAAGAGGTTACAGTGTTCTGAGTGAACTCTAGCCCAAATCGGGTAGGTGTGGAGGACAGCCTCCACAATCCTCTTCTCAACATTTCTTTCTTCGACACTAAGGTCTTTATGGGCAGGCACCATTAATGTATGATGGAAGGAAGAAAAGGACAGGGAAGGAAGGGAATGAGAGAAGGGGACCAGGAATCAGCTTTCGGGGTCTGCCTCGACTTAGGGTTTTTCTGGGTTACAGGGAAGGACTTTCAGTGCTAATAGAAAACTCATAGGAAAATGGGGATGAGTTGATCACCTTAGCAGGAGGAAGGGAGATGCCTATCTTTCCCTGGTTCGATAAGCTATTATACCTTCCAACAGCCCATTCTGCAGCAAAAGAATTGGCTTCTAGATGTCAAGAAAGATGGATTCCAATCCCACCTCTGCCACTAAATAACTTTGTGACCTTTAGCAAGCCACTCACCCTCCCAGGGTCTTAGCTTTTTCCTGTAAAACAATGGAGTGGAACCAAATGGTTTGAAAGTCCCATGAAGCTCTGTCACTCAGCACTGAGGCCTCTGTCTAGACTCTGGCATTCTTCCAATAGTGTTTCTTATGAGAATGTTCATTGTTTCCTGACAGCAGACCTTTAGCGTTTCAAAATTAAAGACAATGCCTTTCTGTTGATAGATGCCCCACCCCAGGCCTGGCATGGTATTGGACTTTCATGAGTTGGCTGTCCAGTGGGCCCTCAGGGGAGCAGGTGGTGGCTGTCTTCCCTAACTCACTCCTGGACAGTCCAAGTAGGGCCCAGCTTGGCAGGAAGAACTTGATTAATGTCAAAGGCTTTTAGTAAGCAAGTGAAGCATTTTAACTGGGAGGAAACAAAAGCAATGAGTGACAAACCCATTAGCCACGCCACTCAAAGCCAAATGAAAGGAAGACCACGATGTGCTGAAGCTGGCTCCCACTGACACAGGAGAGTGGGCTACTCCTACCCCTCTGAACTCCACTTTCAGTGGTCACCTTGGTGGCTCGAAATGAGCCGTGATGGGAGTATTTACACTGCAGAAGCTGGCAAACGCTAAAAATTTAGGATTTATTTCTCCCCTCCCTCCCTTCCCTTCCCTCCCTCCCTCCCTCTCTTCCTTTCCCTCCTTTCTTCCCTCCTTCCCTCCCTTATTCCTTTCCTTTTCCTTTCTTCCTTTCCTTCTTCCTTTCTTTCCTTCTTCCTTCCTTCCTTTCTTCCTTTCCTCTCTTTCTTTTTCTTTCATTTTTTTCTTTCTTTTTCTTTCTTTCTTTCCTTTTTTTCTCTTTCTTTTTTTCCTTCTTTCTCTTTCTTTCTTCCTCTCTTTTCTTCATTTCTTTCTTTTTCTTTCAGAGAGAGAGAAATTACCAGGGCCTATCACTGACTGAGTTAGTTCAGGGAAAGAGGAAGCTCCTCCCGGCCTTGGGCTCCTTCTTGAAGATGCAGGAACAGCCTCAAGCTGAGCTACTGAGCTTGCCCTTTCTTGAGTGAAGACAAGGGAGTCCCTCCATCCAGGGCTAGGCAAGTGTCAGAAGTCAAGTGATAGAAGGTGAGAGGAGGAGAGGGAGGAGAAAGAGGGAAGACTAAGCACATGTTAACAGGCCTAATCAAAACATTCAAACCTCTCTTAGCCATTCATTGGTCATCTGGGGTGGTAGTGAGTTCAAGTCCAACATAGCAGGTGTTCAGGCAACCATTTTGCAGAATGATATGAAGACAGAGGGAGGCTTTGAAAGTAGAAAAAGCATGAACGTTTGAGTAAGAGTGGTTTAGGCTTGAAGCCCAACCTGACCATAAACCGTCTGCTTGACCTCAGGTAAAATTATTTAATCTCCGTGACTCAGTGCCCAAATTTATTCCATGGTGATAATCAAAATTTAATTAATAGAATTTGTACATGCTTGGCCCATAGTAGGTATACTGGCTGAGTAGAATGTAGTAACTGAACTATAAAAAAAGATATCTGATACCTGACACCTGTATACTTTAGAGACAGTTTTTCAGCCTGACTATGAAGTTCGCAAAGCAATCTCCACTTTTGATGGACATAAATTCCTCAGTGACTCTTCACAATCTCTAAGTTAAGCTGGTGCACGAACAAGTTTTGCCTTCAAAGTGACCATACCAATAAAGCAGTACCCCCTGGTGATGTGGTCTTACAGCCCCCAGCAGTCTTCATTCAGGCCTAATGGGTACTCAAGCAAGCAGAAGCTGGGATACTGAGTATCAGGTTTGGGGAAGATGTGAGGTTCTGCTTGAGACCTTCAAAACTTCTATCCATTTGGGTACATGATTCCCCTTCCTTCTTGAGCCACAGGTAGCTCATGGTACCTTCTAGAAACTCAGAGGAGGTTAAACCCCATGGTCTGGGAACAAAAGGTAAAGACAGAAGTCAGAGCTGGGACTTAACGTCTCTGTTGCTACATTGGGGAAAAGTTTCCAAGTCTCTACCGAAAAAAAGCAAGAGCTGGAGGAGAACTCCATAGGCTCCCTGAGTCCCATGTAGCATAGAGATACAAGATGGCCTCATCAGGACTGGGACACCTGCTCCTACGAGGAATTGCTGACCACTCTCTCCCACCCCCACCACATGGGAGAAAAGAACAGCAAGGACACCAATAACCCTGGTCATAATGGACCCACAAACAGGCCACAAGCCAAGAGAGTCTGTGCCATGTCTCCTTGTGTGCTAACTCCCTGCATACTCCATGATACCCACCTTGTTCCATAGGTGCTTTCTTAAGCTGGGTACTCTGACTCCAAGAGAGGTTTAGGGACAGCGCCACAGAGGCAGAGTCTGCCCTCCCACTCTTACAAAGCTGATGATGGATGAGTTGGGGATTCTTATCTCCACTGCTCGTAGTCCAAAACATGCCCCTCTAATTCCATGGCCCAGTCGTCAACAGATTCCCTGAAACTCCAAGTTCTGAAGCTGTGGGAAGATATGACGTACTTCTCAGAAGTCCAGAAGTCAGTAGGTCCCCTTTTGGCTTCTCAAGTGTGCACACACCCTTGTTACATGCAGCACTCTGAGTGATGAATTGTGATTAGGCCAGATATCTCCATACCCCTGGACAATATGTAGAATAGAGTAGATAAGTGATATATCCAGGTATTGAGATAGTCTAGGGGCCGCAGGGATGTAGGCCTAGATTCCCTGATCTGTCCCTTGGTCAATTACATAACCTTGAGGCATGTCACTGGCTCTTGGTGGGCCTCATCCTTCCCATATGTAACTTCTGTGGATTTTATCCATTTCTAGTCCAACACATCCACTTCTCACCATCTGCACTGTTCTCTTCTGAGACCATTTTTCCAGCCCTCTAACTGGTCTCCCTCATCCACTCACCTTCCCTACCGATGATCAGAGAAAAAAATCCAATAAGGACACTTATAAAAGAAGAGGGGGCGGGGAGATAGAAGGAAGAAACGAATAGAAAATCATTACTTAGCCGGGCTCGGTGGCTCACGCCTGTAATCCCAGCATTTTGGGAGGCCAAGGCAGGTGGATCACTTGAGGTCAGGAGTTCGAGACCAGCCTGGCCAACATGGTGAAACTCTGTTTCTACTAAAAATATAAAACTTAACCAGGCATGGTGGTGTGCACCTGTAATCCTAGCTACTGGGGAGGCTGAGGCACAAGAATCGCTTGAACCAGGTAGATGGAGGTTGCAGTGAGCTGAGATGGTGCCACTGCACTCCAGCCTGGACAACAGAGCGAGACTCCATCAAAAAAAAAAAAATCATTAAGTATAGTCTCAAAGACATTTTCTAGGGAGAGAAAGAAAGATTCTGGCTAAGAAAAAAAGAATGTCTAAGTGGAAGGATGAAGGTTGTCTTTTTTCTTAAAAGTCACATGGCAGGCGCAGGCTGACAACAGGTGGCGAGAAACAGCACAGGGTGGGAAGTGCAGAAGGGCAGGCACTGGCCACGTAGGCTGGGGACAGCTGATTCAGGGTGAAAATGAAAGACAAAGAGCAGCTGTGCTTTGTGCTGAAAGGAAGCTAGGGGGTTTTTGCAGCAGGGCAGGCATCGGGGCGAGAAGTCCTTTCCCAGTCAGTAGTGCTGGTGCTGGGCTGGGGACGCGATTGCTGCATAGCTGTGAGTCTGCCTCAGCACCGCTCTGTGCATCGCAGCTCTGCCTCCCTCTCAAGGTGCCAACTCAGTCTCCGTCGTGTGGCTCCCAGATGGTCCCCATTTCAATGCTGAGCCCAGCTGTTGCAGCAGCCTGTTAAGAAGAAGGGCATTTTGGGGCTTGCTGTGTTGTTTTTAAAAAACCCTGTGAAGAAGGCTGTATTTCCCCATATTTTATAGATAAGGAAACTGAGGCTAGATAAATTTTTAAGGCGGTACAGTTAGAACGTGGCAAAGCCAGCATAGAGCCAGCTGCTAGTGCTTTAAAAACTTGAATTTTTACCCCAGGTTCTAAAAGCAATATATCCTTATAATGAAAAATATACAAACTAATAAAATAACAAAATGAAAGTCACCCATAACCCTCTACCTAGAGATGAATAAAAGTTGTGTATATTTCCTTCTAGTCTTTTTAATTAATTCCTCTGCATATTATTTTTACTTATTTATAAAAGTGCAATTATATTATAAAAACCATTGCAAAAATCTTCGCTTCATGTGATGGACGATTTCTCTCAGGCATTTTTATATTCCTGAGAAACTCATTTTATTTGTTACATAGCAATACATCATAGGGCTACACCATAATTTATTTGGTCTTTTTTCTACTCTTGGACGTTTAGGTTTCTTCCCACTTTGGGGGCTTAGTGGATAATTTAAGAAATGTTTTTTTAACTGTGCGTGCCCTGGTACTAAATTTTGTAATTTCAAAGAGAGGTCAGCGTAGACACATAGAGTCAATGAGAAAAAATATACATGGAAAACCATTATGCCAGGTAACGTATTCACAGATCAAAGAACCAGGAGGTGATAGGAGAAAATGAGATGAATGCAACTCGGTGGGATTCCGCAAAGTTCCATGGAGTAAATGACATTTGATTTAAAATAGGGGTCAGGAAACTTTTTCTATAAAGAGTCATATTGCAAATATTTGAGATTCTGCACACTCTATAGTCTCTGTTGCAAGTATTCAAGTCTGTCATTGTCATATGGGGCCTAGTGTGCCCACCCTATTGAAATCACCCCGAAAAGCAGCCATAGACAATACAGAAAGAAATGTACAAGTATGTCTATGTTCCAATAAAACTTTATTTTCAAAAACAGGCAATGGGCTAGATATAGCCCACAAGCTATAGTTTGCTGATCCCTGATTTGCACACCCAAAGTAGAGATAGGTTTTGTTACGACCTTATCAGAGGGAGAAGGACTGTAGGGAAAGTTAGATATTTTATGGTTGGCTGGTATAGGTTGTGGCCAAACCATATGGGGTCTGAGAGCCAGGTTGTGGGATGCCAAAAGTCTATGAACTTTCTGTAGCAGACACAGGATCCATTAATTTCTATGGAAACATTTTCAAGTATCGGGGACCCATAATGTTCCCAGAATGATTAGCATCTCTGAGAAATTATGGGAAGGAATCCTAGAAACCTAGAAAGACTGATTTTGACTTACCTACTTTATTTTCTTGCTTTTCTTCATTAGCATCTTATAATTCACTCAGCTTGTCTATCTAGAGGTCAAAACTTATCCAGTCAGAAGAAACGGGGTTGGGGCAACAGTGGGAGGGGAAGGAGCTGTTTGCTGGCTGCCTCTCATCGGACTGTGAATCTCAGTGCCTGTGATGGAGTAAAGTGAGAGCAGCTGGCCACCCAGGTGTGTGAAGTCAGCCAGCTCCCTGGGCTGAAGAACAGGCCTCCTTCTGCGTAAGGCTCTAAATGTCTCTCTCCAACTGGACTGTCTGCACATGCAGCCAATATACGGCCTTCAGTTCCTTCTCTCCCCAGAAACCTCATCCTGGTCTAAGACACTGGCTCTTAGACCAAGATGAAGTTTCATCTCCCAACAAGTAGCATTTGCATCACTTGGGAACTTGTTAGAAATGCCAAAATCTCAAGCCCCAACCCAGACCTACTGATCAGAAACTCAGGAGTGTAAGAACCAGCAACCTATATTTTAACAAGACCTCCAGAGGATGGTGATACACACTGTATTTTGAGAACCACTGGCTAGGATCTCTGTGCTGCCATTAGAGCTCTATCCCAAGGGGCTAGGCACTGAACTAATGAACATTGCATGCAATGTAATTCTAACGATCCCCAAATCTAGTTATTATTGCCCTTTAACAAATACAGGCACCGAGGCTCTGACATGTTAAGAAATTTGATCTGAACCTGGGTCATTTTTATTCCAAACCCCACATTATTGACCATTCTGCTCTAGCACCCTCTCTCTATGCATAGGGCTAGGAGGTCTGTCTTTACAAGTGTACTTTTCCAAAGACTGTCATGATTTATTTTCTTAATAACATTCACTGACCACCTCTCCCATGCCAGGCCCTATCCCAAAGTATAGCGTTTATTGTTAAGCTCCATTCTAGTCCAAACCCTGCGAGTAGGTAATTTGCTTTAGCCCCTACAGAGCAGAAAACACGCTTAGGAAGGCAGCATTACGTGTTTCAGGGCCACTGTAGCTCTGAGCATTATAAAGTTTCAAATGTGGGTGCCTTGCTGGCCCAAGTAATCAGAGTGTGGCTTTTTTCTTTCTTTCTTTCTTTTTTTTTTTTTTTTTTTTTGAGACAGAGTCTCCCTCAGCCACCCAGGCTGCAATGCAGTGACGCGATCTCGGCTCACCACAAACACCATCTCCAGGGTTCAAGTGATTCTCCTGTCTCAGCCCCCTGAGTAGTTGGGATTACAGGCACCTGCCATCACGCCTGGCTAATTTTTGTATTTTAGTAGAGACAGGGTTTCACCATGTTGGCCAAGCTGGTCTTGAACTCCTGACCTCAGGTGATCTGCCCACCTCGGTCTCCCAAAGTGCTGGGATTACAGGCGTGAGCCACCGCGCCCGGCCAGAGTGTGGCTTTAAAGTGAGGAAGAAGCTGCTCTGGGAATGGACCATGTGCTTGTGAGAGAGGAGAAGTCAGCACCCTGAGCAGAGCTTCATAGGCTCGGTGAGCCTAAATGTGGAAGGTCTGGGCATCCAGCTGATTGAAACTCAGGTGGCCTGTGTGTCACAAGCTCTGATGCAGACTCCCAAGACCTCCCATGGCTCTGACGCAGATCATAGAAAAAGCCCTTTCCCAATGTCCCAGGTTTGAGATCAGTTTCTTCCACAAAATTAGCTGTGTGGCCATGGATAAGTCACTGGCCCTTTCCGAGACACAGTTTCCCCATTGGTACTAGACTCAATCAGTGGGTTTCAAACACTTTTTAAGTTGCAGAAAGCTTTATCTAAATAATATCTGACACCAGATTCCAACACATTAAATAGATAATAAAGGTAGTTGCTCTAGTTAATTGGAGGAAGGGAAGGGAGGAAGTGAGGAGCTGAAAACCATTAGCCTTTCCTGACTCCCTGCAGTACATATGGCACCACATGAAGAAGAAGCTACAACAGCCCACCCAATCTAGCCCCCATCACCATGTGATATCCCCTGTTACTCTCTGCCTTCCTCCTCTCCAGCCTTCTTTCTATTCCTCAGCCGTCCCAGTCACACAGCCTCCTTAGAGCCTTTGCACCGGCTGTTATCTTGGTTCAGAATGCTCTTCCTCCAGACATCCTCACCTCTTTCAAGTCTTTTTCTTTTTCCTTTTTTTTTTTTTTTTTTTTTTTTTGAGACAGAGTCTTGCTGTCGCTCCGGCTGGAGTGCAATGGCGCCATCATAGCTCACTGCAACCTCTGCCTCCCAGGTTCAAGTGATTGTCTTGCCTCAGCCTCCCAAGTAGCTGGGATTACAGGTGTGTGCAACCACACCTGGCTATTATTTTTTATTTTTATTTTTTTTTTGAGACAGAGTCTCACTTTGTTGCCCAGGCTGGAGTGCAGTGGCATGATCTCGGCTCACTGCAAGCTCCGCCTCCCGGGTTCATGTCATTCTCCTGCCTCAGCCTTGCGAGTAGCTGGGACTACAGGTGCCTGCCACCATGCCTGGCTAATTTTTTCGTATTTTTAATAGACACGGGGTTTCACCATGTTGGCCAGGCTGGTCTCAAACACCTGACCTCAGGTGATCCACCCGCCTTGGCCTCCCAAAGTGCTGGGATTACAGCTGTGAGCCACCACGCCTGGCCCTCTTTCAAGTCTTTTGCTCACATACTGCTGGCTCCATGAGGCCTAGTGTGCCCACCCCATTAAAATCACAGCCCTCTTCACTCACTAGCACTTCCAATCCCCTCTCCCTTCACTCTACTGTTTTTCCTTTCTCCAAGCTCATATCACTTTCTACCTTCATATCTACCTTTTATTGTATATATAGTTTATGGCCAGCCTCTCTCTGCTGGTAGGCAACATCCTGAAAAAAGTATATCCCAGGTGCTTAAAGAAGTGCCTCAGAATGTAATAGGCCTTCCATACATAATTGTTGTTATGAAGAATGGAGCTTTGAGGGCTCTCATTGTTCATAATTTGTCTTCCCATGTGGTCGCCCAACCTAATATGTGCTTCCACTGTCCTGAAACTCATTCATTTTGTCTGGTGCAGAGCTAGAGCCCTAAGGGCACCAAAACCCAGCTGGTCTTTCTGACTCCATGAGGCTCAGAGCAAAGCCACTTGCTTGCTTCACACCTTCAACAACCTTGTATTATAGTCAGAGAGTGAGACAGGAAGAGTGGGAAGGGCACAGAAGCAGGGCTGGAAAAGCAAGAAGGAAGGAGGAGGGAGGAGAGGGCAGGCAGTACTATTGTGGGTGGCTTAGCGCAACACAAGATCAGCACCTGCCATGGGCCAGTTCTGCAGCTGGCCATTTCTCACGGGCTGTCTCATCTAGCCTCCTGAAAACACCATATATTGCAGGTGATAACTAAGGAGGTGAACCCCAGAGAAGTGATGTAATTTGCCCAAGATGGTCCTGTGAGTAAGGGAGTACCTGGGATTCGGATCCAGGCCATCTGGCTCCAGAGCCTCCTCTTTCCTCTCTACCGGTATTACCCACAGAGCCACAGTGGAGACGTGATGAGTCTTTCTCAGGGAGATGGGAAAGAGGCCAGGAATCCACTGTGTGTAGCTGTGCTTTCTCTGCCTCATTCCTCTCCTGCAGCCACATGCTCTGGTCTGCAGTTCAGGGACCTCTGGCCCTGGGCTCCTCTCCTGTGATCGAGCCCCGGGAGGCAGCTGCGCTCATGGTCCTTGTGATCACAGTTCCTGCAATAACCTAGGAGAATGTTTGCCCACGTCATACCCTCTCCCTTTGGTGTCCGCGGAGGCTGTGAAGCCAGCAACACGACGTTTTGTCTGGCTAAGCTTTGGGGCTGATTGAAAGTCTTCAGAACCTGCACTCCTCCGGTGCTGCTCTTCCTGGAAACGGTTACCATGGAACACAGCCACGATGCAGCCTTCACTGTCAGAATTAATGAAAGTCAGAAAGCTATTAGGGGAAGGATTTTTTTCCTCCCTCCCTCTTGCACATAATTCTACTCTTCAGTGAGGTGTTTGCATGTCTGCCCTGCTTGTGAGATGTTAATTGCGTCCTCATTGAAATTCCTTGCCCACTGCCATCACCTCCTTTTGAGCTCCAGCCCCTGAAGCTGGCCTTTTTGAGATAATGAAGCTAAGTGCCCAGAGAGAGTGCGTCCCAGCCTCTCTGAAGAAGCATGCATCTTATCAGGCCACATCACAGCCGAAAAGCATTGTGTGGCTCCCAGCGACCCCAGAACATGGCACTCAAAGACTCTCAAAACCAGGTTGCAGTTGCACTTTGCAGGCTTCCTCCTTCCTCCAGGACATCCTGGGTTAAAGTTATAGAGGGCCAGCTCTACTCTCTGATGACATCTTCACATCTCTGTGCCTCTTAGGCCCCTACAGCTTCTGTCCAGAATGCCCTCCTCCTGGCCTCTCCGTTTCACCAGCTCTCAGTGTTCAGCTACACTGGCCATCTTCTCAGTAAAACCCTCCATCCCTAGAGAAGCATAGGTCCAGGTATACCTATGGCTCCTCCCTGTTCCCCAGGTCACATGTCTCATCACAACTATTTGCTGCAAACCTGCCTTTCTCTCTAAACAGTGAGTTTCTTCAGAGCAGAGGTAGGCTCTGATTCATCCTTCAATTCCCAGAGCCTAGCACTGTACCTGGCACTTCACAGATGCCCCATAATGCCACTGCTTCCTTGCTCCTACTCCACCTGTTAATAGAAGGAAAGTAAACACAGCTGAGCCCATGAGGGGGCGAAAGAACATAGCGAATATAACGATGGATTGCTGTGTAGACTCTACCCACTCTCTACTGCCCAACCCACCGCAGAGGCACTGAAAAAGAAAAGCCAGGTCTGGGGCCCTAGGAGCTCATTCTGGCTGGTATTTATAGCAAGGTAATTAGCTCCCTTCCCTAGCACCCCCGGAAGTGCTGGGAGACAATCTAGAAGCAGCAATGAGGAAAGCAACATAAAGGGATTGCCATAGAAACATGGGGATGGGGCTGGGGGCACTTGGGGGAAACAGAAGCAGCCCCCAGCACTTTCTGTGTTTCTCACCCGTAAGTGCAGGAGCTCAGTCCTGAAAGGAAGATTTCCCAGGGGCGGTCTCTGGGCTCTTCTTTCTGTGGCCAAAGGCACCCCTCCTCCACTCAGCCCAGGCTTGAAAGGCACTATCTGGTCCCACCACAGCAGACCCTGGGTCTGCAAGAGATTCTACATCATGGAGCAGAAAAAGTCCCCCAAGTTCTCCTACCTTGGACTCCTGGAGAAGCTTATCCTCACCCAGATAACTGAAACTTCCCTGCCAGAGCTGGAGAAGGCTGGAGGCAATTTTCCTTCCTAGTAGTGACGCAAGGGAGTTATGACAGTGGATTGGATCCTTTCCATCTTGGTGCCCCTCACCTGGACTCTTGCAATCATGGTCTAACTGCTCATTCTGTCTCTGTTCTCACCTCTGTTCAGTTGAATCTCCACATTTCCACCAGAGTGATACTTCTAAAATGCAATTCTGATCATGTTATTTTCCTGCTCAAAATTCTTCAGCAGCTCCCCACAGTTTTCAGGATAGAAATTCTTATAATTTTGCATGGAATGCAGGCTCCATCACGCTTTGCCTCTCTGGCCACTGCCCACTCCCTCCCCCCAGTATGAAGCCCATGCAATTTTCATCTCAGTCATACTAATCAATGTGTGGTTTTCCAAACTCATCTCTCTCTTGCCTTGGGGACTTTGTCCATGCTGTTCTCACTCCCTCCCCTTCAGACTCCTCCTCACCTTTTAAGTCTCTGCTCTAGGACTATATCCTTTCAGGGAAGGCTTCTCAACCTCCCAGGTAGACCAGGTACCTCACTTGTTGCTCCATTGGAACTTCTGTGTTCCCACCTAGTGAATCTCAAGGCAAGTCAGAATCACTGGATTTCCTGATGGCCTCTCCAACTGTATGTCAAGTCCTTGTAGGCAGGGCCATATTTTCTTGATTTCTGTACCCTAATACCTAACACAGGACTGACACCCAAATAGGTGATTTAAATGTCATAGGGTTGGCACTAGAATGAGGTGAGTGAGCCACCCAGGGTGCAGAATTTAAGGAAATGCTCTCAAATTTGTGCAAGACAGGCTGGCATGAATTGTCATAAGGGGATTTTCACCCTTGCTGTTTTGCTTGTCAGGTCACAGCAAGTCCTGGGTAGGTGAAAGGGCATCAACGATTTGGGAGATGGATAGAGGAGGCTGCACTTTTCTGGAAGACCTTGACCTTCTAGCTCCATGCAACACTAAAAAGCATCTTCCACTTTACCGGAATTTCTATGGAAATCTCCAACTTCTTGCATGTAGGGTAAGATAGGGAAGATGATCCCCACTTAAATGCAGTATCATGAACTCCTGAGCTGATGGCTTCTACACTTAGCTAAAGTGGACTCTATGAATACTGTCTGTGTCTACCATGGATTGCTATATTCAAGAGCTATCCACCTAGCTTTCTGTAATATGCAAAGATAGTTTCTAAAAGGGACCATTAATAGCCTCTTGAAAGGAAAAGAAAATACCACCAAAACTATGATGCACTGCCAGGGACATCACATAAAACCACTCAGATTCCTCATAACACAACTCCAGGGAGCACCTTCATATAGGTTGCAATGTCAATTGTGCCCCTGGATTTGTGCAATGTGGTGGCCATTTCCCCATGATCTCTCAGCTATACATGAACTCAGCCCAGCTTCCCTGGCACTAAATTCAAAACACTCAAAAACATCCTTACCACCATCCACAGTGAATGAGAAAGGGGAACAAACTTAGAGCTGGTGAGCTGGATCCAGACTCCACAAATGGTCAGCTTCTCTCACTTTCCAACTGGATGACCTTAAACCAAATCTCTTTAATCTGCTCTGTGAATGTGAGGCCCCATGTTGGGCTCACAAAAGAACATTAGCCTGAGAGGTACCTGCAGAGGGAAGGATGGGCAGCCCCTCTAAAGTAGGCTAGGTGAAGGGAGAGTCTTGCCTCATGGGAGGCAGAAGGAGATTATGAGGGTTAACAAATGTGTCAGAGAACCCGGGCACCTTAGGTTCATTTACTTTGATCCCTTCAGTTTTCAGACATAGGAACTGAACGGAGCAATCAAGACAGTCCTGCCCAATATCATTGAATGAATTAGCAGCAAGGAAAGGTCCAATATTGCCAGGCCAGGGCTTATTCAGACACATAGTTGCTTTATTTTAGTGATGGAGTGGGTCTGGCTGACAGCTTTTGTAGATCTTTATTCAGAGTCAGCTGGAAAAATTAGTCCCTGCTCATTGAAGATCCTCCCATTCCCAGAGTGAAGACTCCCTTCTTCTAAAAATGGGCCAAGAGACAAGGAATAAAGTACCTAGTAAGGCTTTGCCAAGCAGCCTCTATTGGCATCTATCTGAATCGCTGGCTTATAGCCCATGAAGAGATGCATACTTTCTGGAGTCAAGCTTCCCTAAGTGAGCTCCAGGGGCCAATTGCACTGAAACCCCCTGGGGCTTATTAAAATCTGGCTTTCATAGATGCACCCCAGATCTACTAAATTAGAGCCTAGGGGTGGGAGGATACCATTAACAAACTCCACATGGGATTTTGGCACACAATAAAGTTTGAGAACCAACACCCAGACATTATAGTGGTAAGAAGGAACCTAATGGGTATCAGATATCTACTTTGCTAGGCACTAGATAGATAGATATCCTTAGAAGTGATAGAAAAGGCAGAAACAAGACATTATTTCTTTGCCACACTTAGGGAAGCTTTGCACCAGAGGGTACGCATCTCCTCCTTGGTTCTACACCAGCAATTCAGGTAGATGCCACCAGATGGTGCTGGAAAGAGCTTTCCCCAGCACAGGAAATTAAGACAATATTATTGGGCCCTTGGGTCATTGGATAGCGCTGAGAACAGCATCTAGAACCCACCACCTCAAAATCCTTCTCAAAGGGAGGGAATGCATCCTTGAACTTTCACTCAAGTTCGTACTCTCAGCCCTTAAGGCTCTGCACAGAATTTCACAAATTATAATTTGCTCTATCTTTTCCCACCTAAATTTTACCCTCTCTTCTCAAAACTTCTTCTGTCTTAACACTCCTGCTACATTCTTGGCTCTCCCACTTACTGGTTATATGAACTCTGACAATTTGTTTTATCTCTATAAGCCTCAGTATTTTTATATATAAATTGGAGATAATAGTTTCAGAGTAGTAGTAAGTATTAGAGATAATTGTAGCTCAATAAATGTTTAGTCTCTTCTGTACTTAACCCCATTTTCAGAACGACAAGCCCCTGTTTAAGAAACCCCAGTGGCTTTCTGGTCTCATTTGCTTCTCCATGACCCAAACTCTCCGATTTAAGTTCTCATCACACCTCATTCATGTCTGCTCCTGGTCCTTTGCTCATGCTGTATCTTCTACCTAGGATGCCCTCATACTTTCATCCACGAATACAAATCCCAGCATGCTTAAAGGTCTTTCTCAAGTTCTTCCTGCTGCTTCAGGAAGCCTTCTCAAAGTCCAGGCCAACAGACTCTTCTGTCCCCTCTGCTCCTTCAGGCACTCTCTCTGAATGCTCCACTCTACCTCCTGGAGATGAGAACACTAGAGTCATGGAAGTCAGTGATCTCTAGGTATTGGAATTTTATGTACAGAATTTTTTATTTTTTTGAGGACCAGCACCAGGCCACCACCTTTTATTTTGCCAGGTGAGAATATACTATTAAATCTTGTATTCTAGTATTACCATCGTATCACAAAACTGTGACATTTTAGTAAAATAAAAGTTACAAAGGGAAAAAAATCTCATACAAAAGCATTGTCCTTTAAACGGAATAAACTCCACTTCCTAAAATGCTCACTGCATTGCCTGTTTTTTGCTCCTTTTGCCTTGGACTGATAAAAATACTACCAAAGGCCAGCTTCTGCAAAAATGCGGGGGAGTCCCCAGTCCACTCAATCACCTGTCCCCGCCCCCTGGCAACATAATGACAACCTCCACAACAGTTTCCACTTACTGAACACTTGCTATGTGCTAGACCCTGTGCTAGGTACTTCATGCATTACCTTACTAAATCCTTTTGCACAACCTCTGAAAAATAGATCATTACTGCTACCACTTTTAAGTTGAGGCTTAGAAAATTTAAGTAACCAGTCCAGGTCACCGTGATGGTAAAGTAGTTGAGTTATGCTTACAGTAAAAGACAGTTTGACCCCAAAATCTGTGCTCCTTCTTCTGCTTCATTTCTTGTCTCCTACAATGGGAAGAAGTTTTTGAATGCAGGAGCATAAGGAGATATGCTTCTCTTTCTTTGTATAGTCCATACTCACAGCATGCATTTATTTGTTCTTGTTTTTTTTTCCTTTGCATGCTATTTTTTTTTTATCATTATACTTTAAGTTTTAGGGTACATGTGCACAATGTGCAGGTTAGTTACATATGTATACATGTGCCATGCTGCTGCACTGCACCCACTAACTCGTCATCTAGCATTAGGTATATCTCCCAGTGCTATCCCTCCCCCCTCCCCCCACCCCACAACAGTCCCCAGAGTGTGATGTTGCCCTTCCTGTGTCCATATGTTCTCACTGTTCAATTCCCACCTATGAGTGAGAATATGCGGTGTTTGGTTTTTTGTTCTTGCGATAGTTTACTAAGAATGATGATTTCCAATTTCATCCATGTCCCTACAAAGGACATGAACTCATCATTTTTTATGGCTGCATAGTAGTCCATGGTGTATATGTGCCACATTTTCTTAATCCAGTCTATCATTGTTGGACATTTGGGTTGGTTCCAAGTCTTTGCTATTGTGAATAGTGCCACAATAAACATACGTGTGCATGTGTCTTTATAGCAGCATGATTTATAGTCCTTTGGGTATATACCCAGTAATGGGATGGCTGGGTCAAATGGTATTTCTAGTTCTAGATCCCTGAGGAATCGCCACACTGACTTCCACAATGGTTAACTAGTTTACAGTCCCACCAACAGTGTAAAAGTGTTCCTATTTCTCCACATCCTCTCCAGCACCTGTTGTTTCCTGACTTTTTAATGATTGCCATTCTAACTGGTGTAAGATGATATCCCATTGTGGTTTTGATTTGCATTTCTCTGATGGCCAGTGATGGTGAGCATTTTTTCATGTGTGTTTTGGCTGCATAAATGTCTTCTTTCGAGAAGTGTCTGTTCAGGTCCTTCGCCCACTTTTTGACGGGGTTGTTTGTTTTTTTCTTGTAAATTTGTTTGAGTTCATTGTGGATTCTGGATATTAGCCCTTTGTCAGATGAGTAGGTTGTGAAAATTTTCTCCCATTCTGTAGGTTGCCTGTTCACTCCGATGGTAGTTTCTTTTGATGTGCAGAAGCTCTTTAGTTTAATTAGATCCCATTTGTCAATTTTGGCTTTTGTTGCCATTGCTTTTGGTGTTTTAGACATGAAGTCCTTGCCCATGCCTATGTCCTGAATAGTAATGCTGAGGTTTTCTTCTAGGGTTTTTATGGTTTTAGGTCTAACGTTTAAGTCTTTAATCCATCTTGAATTGATTTTTGTATAAGGTGTAAGGAAGGAATCCAGTTTCAGCTTTCTACATGTGGCTAGCCAGTTTTCCACATATGGCTAGCCAGTTTTCCCAGCACCATTTATTAAATAGGGAATCCTTTCCCCATTGCTTGTTTCTGTCAGGTTTGTCAAAGATGAGATAGTTGTAGATATGCAGCGTTATTTCTGAGGGCTCTGTTCTGTTCCATTGATCTATATCTCTGTTTTGGTACCAGTACCATGCTGTTTTGGTTACTGTAGCCTTGTAGTATAGTTTGAAGTCAGGTAGCGTGATGCCTCCAGCTTTCTTTTGGCTTAGGATTGACTTGGTGGTGTGGGCTCTTTTTTGGTTCCATATGAACTTTAAAGTAGTTTTTTCCAATTCTGTGAAGAAAGTCATTGGTTGCTTGATGAGGATGGCATTGAATCTATAAATTACCTTGGGCAGTATGGCCATTTTCACGATATTGATTCTTCCTACCCATGAGCATGGAATGTTCTTCCATTTGTTTGTATCCTCTTTTATTTCATTGAGCAGTGGTTTGTAGTTCTCCTTGAAGAGGTCCTTTACGTCCCTTGTAAGGTGGATTCCTAGGTATTTTATTCTCTTTGAAGCAATTGTGAATGGGAGTTCACTCATGATTTGGCTGTTTGTCTGTTATTGGTGTATAAGAATGCTTGTGATTTTTGCACATTGATTTTGTATCCTGAGACTTTGCTGAAGTTGCCTATCAGCTTAAGGAGATTTGGGGCTGAGACGATGGGGTTTTCTAGATATACAATCATGTTGTCTGCAAATAGGGACAATTTGACTTCCTCTTTTCCTAATTGAATACCCTTTATTTCCTTCTCCTGCCTAATTGCCGTGGCCAGAACTTCCAACACTATGTTGGATAGGAGTGGTGAGAGAGGGCATCCCCGTCTTGTGCCAATTTTCAAAGGGAATGCTTCCAGTTTTTGCCCATTTAGTATGATATTGGCTGTGGGTGTGTCATAGATAGCTCTTATTATTTTGAGATATGTCCCATCAATACCTAATTTATTGAGAGTTTTTAGCATGAAGGTTGTTGAATTTTGTCAAAGGCCTTTTCTGCATCTATTGAGATAATCATGTGGTTTTTGTCTTTGGTTCTGTTTATATGCTGGATTACATTTACTGATTTGTGTATATTGAACCAGACTTGCATCCCAGGGATGAAGCCCACTTGATCATGGTGGATAAGCTTTCTGATGTGCTGCTGGATTCGGTTTGCCAGTATTTTATTGACGATTTTTGCATCGATGTTCATCAAGGATATTGGTCTAAAATTCTCTTTTTTGGTTGTGTCTCTGCCAGGCTTTGGTATCAGGATGATGCTGGCCTCATAAAATGAGTTGGGGAGAATTCCCTCTTTTTCTATTGATTGGAATAGTTTCAGAAGGAATGGTACCAGTTCCTCCTTGTACCTCTGGTAGAATTTGGCTGTGAATCCATCTGGTCCTGGACTCTTTTTGGTTGGTAAGCTATTGATTATTGCCACAATTTCAGCTCCTGTTATTGGTCTATTCAGAGATTCAACTTCTTCCTGGTTTAGTCTTGGGAGAGTGTACGTGTCGAGGAATTTATCCATTTCTTCTAGATTTTCTAGTTTATTTGTGTAGAGGTGTTTGTAGTATTCTCTGATGGTAGTTTGTATTTCTGTGGGATCGGTGGTGACATCCCCTTTATCATTTTTTATTGTGTCTATTTGATTCTTCTCTCGTTTTTTCTTTATTAGTCTTGCTAGTGGTCTATCAATTTTGTTGATCCTTTCAAAAAACCAGCTCCTGGATTCATTAATTTTTTGAAGGGTTTTTTGTGTCTCTGTTTCCTTCAGTTCTGCTCTGATTTTAGTTATTTCTTGCCTTCTGCTAGCTTTTGAATGTGTTTGCTCTTGCTTTTCTAGTTCTTTTAATTGTGATGTTAGGGTGTCAATTTTGGATCTTTCCTGCTTTCTCTTGTGGGCATTTAGTGCTATAAATTTCCCTCTACACACTGCTTTGAATGTGTCCCAGAGATTCTGGTATGTTGTGTCTTTGTTCTCGTTGGTTTCAAAGAACATCTTTATTTCTGCCTTCATTTCATTATGTACCAAGTAGTCATTCAGGAGCAGGTTGTTCAGTTTCCATGTAGTTGAGCGGTTTTGAGTGAGTTTCTTAATCCTGAGTTCTAATTTGATTGCACTGTGGTCTGAGAGATAGTTTGTTATAATTTCTGTTCTTTTACATTTTCTGAGGAGAGCTTTACTTCCAACTATGTGGTCAATTTTGGAATAGGTGTGGTGTGGTGCTGAAAAAAATGTATATTCTGTTGATTTGGGGTGGAGAGTTCTGTAGATGTCTATTAGGTCCGCTTGGTGCAGAGCTGAGTTCAATTCCTGGGTATCCTTGTTAACTTTGTGTCTCACTGATCTGTCTAATGTTGACAGTGGGGTGTTAAAGTCTCCCATTATTAATGTGTGGGACTCTAAGTCTCTTTGTAGGTCACTCAGGACTTGCTTTATGAATCTGGGTGCTCCTGTATTGGGTGCGTATATATTTAGGATAGTTAGCTCTTCTTGTTGAATTGATCCCTTTCCCATTATGTAATGGCCTTCTTTGTCTCTTTTGATCTTTGTTGGTTTAAAGTCTGTTTTATCAGAGACTAGGACTGCAACACCTGCCTTTTTTTGTTTTCCATTTGCTTGGTAGATCTTCCTCCATCCTTTTATTTTGAGCCTATGTGTGTCTCTGCATGGGAGATGGGTTTCCTGAATACAGCACACTGATGGGTCTTGACTCTTTATCCAATTTGCCAGTCTGTGTCTTTTAATTGGAGCATTTAGTCCATTTACATTTAAAGTTAATATCGTTCTGTGTGAATTTGATCCTGTCATTATGATGTTAGCTGGTTATTTTGCTTGTTAGTTGATGCAGTTTCTTCCTCGTCTCGATGGTCTTTACATTTTGGCACGATTTTGCAGTGGCTGGTACCGGTTGTTCCTTTCCATGTTTAGTGCTTCCTTCAGGAGTTCTTTTAGGGCAGTCCTGGTGGTGACAAAATCTCTCAGCATTTGCTTGTCTGTAAAGTATTTTATTTCTCCTTCACTTATGAAGCTTAGTTTGGCTGGACATGAAATTCTGGGTTGAAAATTCTTTTCTTTAAGAATGTTGAATATTGGCCCCCACTCTCTTCTGGCTTGTAGAGTTTCTGCCGAGAGATCAGCTGTTAGTCTGATGGGCTTCCCTTTGTGGGTAACCCGACCTTTCTCTCTGGCTGCCCTTAACATTTTTTCCTTCATTCCAACTTTGGTTCATCTGACAATTATGTGTCTTGGAGTTGCTCTTCTCGAGGAGTATCTTTGTGGCGTTCTCTCTATTTCCTGAATCTGAATGTTGGCCTGCCTTGCTAGATTGGGGAAGTTCTCCTGGATAATATCCTGCAGAGTGTTTTCCAACTTGGTTCCATTCTCCCCGTCACTTTCAGGTACACCAATCAGACGTAGATTTGGTCTTTTCACATAGTCCCATATTTCTTGGAGGCTTTGTTCATTTCTTTTTATTCTTGTTTCTCTAAACTTCCCTTCTCACTTCATTTCATTCATTTCATCTTCCATCACTGATACCCTTTCTTCCAGTTGATCGCATTGGCTACTGAGGCTTCTGCATTCTTCACATAGTTCTCGAGCCTTGGCTTTCAGCTCCATCAGCTCCTTTAATCACTTCTCTGTATTGGTTATTCTAGTTATACATTCTTCTAAATTTTTTTCAAAGTTTTTAACTTCTTTGCCTTTGGTTTGAATTTCCTCCTGTAGCTTGGAGTAGTTTGATCATCTGAAGCCTTCTTCTCTCAACTCGTCAAAGTCATTCTCCATCCAGCTTTGTTCCATTGCTGGTGAGGAACTGCGTTCCTTTGGAGGAGGAGAGGCGCTCTGATTTTTAGAGTTTCCAGTTTTTCTGCTCTGTATTTTTCCCCATCTTTGTGGTTTTATCTACTTTTGGTCTTTGATGATGGTGATGTACAGATGGGTTTTTGGTGTGGATGTCCTTTCTGTTTGTTAGTTTTCCTTCTAACAGACAGGACCCTCAGCTGCAGGTCTGTTGGAGTTTGCTAGAGGTCCACTCCAGACCCTGTTTGCCTGGGTATCAGCAGCGGTGTTTGCAGAACAGCGGTTTTTCGTGAACGGCGAATGCTGCTGTCTGATTGTTCCTCTGGAAGTTTTGTCTCAGAGGAGTACCCGGCCGTGTGAAGTGTCAGTCTGCCCCTACTGGGGAGTGCCTCCCAGTTAGGCTGCTCAGGGGTCAGGGACCCACTTGAGGAGGCAGTCTGCCCGTTCTCAGATCTCCAGCTGTGTGCTAGGAGAACCACTGCTCTCTTCAAAGCTGTCAGACAGGGACATTTAAGTCTGCAGAGGTTACTGCTGTCTTTTTGTTTGTCTGTGCCCTGTCCCCAGAAGTGGAGCCTACAGAGGCAGGCAGGCCTCCTTGAGCTGTGGTGGGCTCCACCCAGTTCAAGCTTCCCGGCTGCTTTGTTTACCTAAGCAAGCCTGGGCAATGGCGGGCGCCCCTCCCCAGCCTCGCTGCAGCCTTGCAGTTTGATCTCAGACTGCTGTGCTAGCAATCAGCGAGACTCCGTGGGCGTAGGACCCTCCGAGCCACGTGCGGGATATAATCTCCTGGTGTGCTGTTTTTTAAGCCCGTCGGAAAAGCGCGGTATTTGGGTGGGAGTGACACGATTTTCCAGGTGCCGTCTGTCACCCCTTTCTTTGACTAGGAAAGGGAACCTCCTGACCCCTTGCGCTTCCCAAATGAGGCAATGCCTAGCCCTGCTTCGGCTCGCACACAGTGCGCTGCACCCACTGACCTGCGCCCACTGTCTGGCACTCCCTAGTGAGATGAACCCGGTACCTCAGATGGAAATGCAGAAATCACCTGTCTTCTGCGTCGTTCATGCTGGGAGCTGTAGACTGGAGCTGTTCCTATTCCGCCATCCTCCTCCTCCATTTATTTGTTAATTCAACCAATATTTATGAAGCATCAATGCTCAGGCAGAGGCTGTCCTAGGTGCTGAAATACAGTGTTAACAAGGGTAGATAGAAGTTTTGCCTTCATAGAGGGTACACTATGACACATATGCACATGCCAAATGGTGATCAAAAATGCAATGCCTTGTTAGTAACTCCTTGCTCTATTCCAAGGGCTTTTAAAATACCAAGGTGATAGCCAGGTGGGTACAGATGTTAAAACATGCCCTGGGCCTCTCTGGGCTCAGTAATTACCTGGTTCTCATATACTGCCTGCCTCTGCTATGGAAATTGATGAGCCAAAGGCTCTTTTCAGACTGGCAATCCTGTGAACTCCAACTCCACTTGCTTTGTTAGAAAAAGGAACTGAATTTAAAAGGGACAAATGCAGGATTGATTCTGTACCTTAAAATATACTTCCCTCACCTCTCTGCTTGGCCCCAGGTCCCCAGGTCACCTAGCCCCCAAGCCCCCATTTGCTGCAGAGAAGATCACTCTCTTCAAAGACTCATTTCATCCCCTCAGACTCACTCTGATCTTACACCTCTTGAAATCTGCTCTCCCCTTTCTCAGATTCCTTGTGACCTCCACCTGCCTTTTTCTAACAGCTCCAGGGCGATGGTCCAGATCACTCTCTGTGCCACTGTTTCAGACAGCCCAGCAGTCGTGGCAGCAGTGTTAATTTATTCATCCCTTAATACCAAACAGCTCCTCAGTCAGCTCATTCCCAGCTGTCTTGGTTCCTGCAGGACAATGTTCTGAACTTACTAACCTCACACCTTGGGCCTCTGACCGGAGCCTCATCACATCACTGGCATACAGATCACACCACAGTCTGATGGAAGCTTCACAGCACTAGGCCTGACAGATGAGTCACAGCTGGAAGGGTCTTCACAGAGTCCACCAGTGCTATTCAATGAGAGCTCTACTGACATTTTAGGTGGAGGGCTAGGGGGATGTGGTTTCTCTTTGTGTGGAGCTCCCTTGTATGGCAAGGAGACTTAAGCATCCTTGTCCTTCTTCCCTGAAAATAAATCCCAGGGACAGCCAAACATGTGCCCACACATTCCCAAATGCCTGTAGGAGAGAACAAGTTGAGAAGCACAGTGCCTATTGTATTTATAAATGAAGGAACTTTTCCAAGGTTACTGAGTAAGTCAGCTGCAGACCTGGTGTTCTGATGGGTGATAGGCTACAGGGTTTAATGGGAAGTGCACTGGAGTAAGAATCAGACCTTCTGACAACCATGCCGGTTGTGGTACAGGGGGCTGGGGTTGGGGGTGGGGCAGTTTGAGGAACTCAAAAGTGTAGAGTTGGAACCAATTATTCAGCCTTCCCTCCATCTGGAAAAGCTACCTTCACAGGTCTGTCTAGCACATACCTTGGAGGAATTAGCATTTGGTTTCTTCATAAGGTAACTCAACCCAAGAAGGAAAAAGAGTACTTAAGGTGGACTAAGACACCATCCATCTGCTAAACTCTGGCAACTTCCTATAGACCCTCAGTAATGGGCCACTCCCCACATCCACACTCCCCATTCTGGGCTGGGACCCCAAAAGTACTCAGCCAGAGAGACTATGGGCTCTCCAAATAGGAGGGGTCTTGGCTACCCAGTCCCCACCTCTTCCGCTTTTATTCCTTATCCATGCCCACTTCTGCCTGTGGGATTTGGAAGGCTCCAGGAGAAAACTTCAGGCTCACCTGGGAGGAGCTAGCAGTCTTTCCATCTCCCTTGGCATTTGGGTGACATGTAAATACTGGACTAGGGCCAGAAGCTTGAGTTGCTCCATCAGCCTACCTGGTACCTTCCAACCTGGGCCTCAGTTCTTCCCACCAAGGGTAGACCTGAAGATGACTGCAGTTCCTTCAATCCTAAAATGTTCTATTCAAGAATATTCTTCAATGAGATACCAACTCCAGTCCCTGAAGATCAAGACCCCCTTGGTAACTAATCATCCAGCCCTTGTCCACATTGCCAATCTCAAAACAGACCTGAGATAAAGTCTCAACCTCTTTGTGCTCCAGTTTGTCTTTTCACATAATCCAATTGTCTGGAACTTCTTAGAGGCCTTATGAAGATGTGATAACCACATCCAGGAGGGAGCAGTTTATGTAAAAACAAGAGGGGATGAGTGAGTCAAATCTAAATAGCCTCGGGCATTTCTGCCATGTCCCTGGCAAGTGATGATTGAGGCAGGGGGCCTGTAGGAGGCAGTTCCCCAGGTTTGGGGCTGGTGCCCACAAACTTGAGTGGCAGTAGTTAGGGGTTACCCGGCATCTCCCCATTATGCAGCCAGGAACTGGGGAGTGGGAGAATCCCTGGCAGCTCTGGCCCATGACAACTTTTCCCAAAGTGCTCCGTGACAGGTCATTGCAGGGAAGGGAGATGATGGATGGTGAGATCCCACCACCACTTTTCTTTCTCAAGTGGAAAGCACTTGAAAAGAAGTGAATGAGAGAAAGAACATAACAGAACAGGTTTAAGAACATTCACCGAACCAGTCCATGGCACTATTGAATCAAAGTGAAAATGAGTTGAAGCTGTCATTGAGAGCTTGTCAGTTGACTTCCAAGAGGCAGTTAATACAGTGTAAAGAGTATGTACAGGCTTTGGAATCAGATTCATATACAGATTGGAATCCCAGTTCTGTATTTTATTAGCTACATGACCTTGAGCAAGGTATTTATTTTGGCCTCAATTTCCTCATCTGTAGAGACTACAGTAGTGCATGTCTTATATGGATGAAAAGGGAAGACATTAAGGTTTTCCTTTCCCTACTTCCATGGGGGTAGGAGCTTAGAAGCAGCTCAGCGATATACTGTGGCTGTGGCAACAGTGGGGAAGAAAAGAGATGCCAGGAAAGAACTGTGGGCAGAAAATTCTAGGGGTGGTAGTGGATCCCGGACACCAGGTCTACACCAGTACACCCCCAAAATGAGGTCATGTGCAGTGAGCAGAAGTGTTAAACCTTTTGGCTCCGGGGCCAGTGTCAGGATCAAGAGGCAATACAGTAGAGGTTTCAGGCAAAGGGCTGGGAGGAACAGCCTCATCAGTGGACAACTGGAAGGCAAAGTGGTATTGGCCAGATGTACTGGTTAAACCAGTGAGAGGACAGACTGCTGGGGTAGTGATGGGCTCCAGCTCCTTTAACCACAAGGCCACTTTTCTCTGTAGAAAGAAAGTTGGTAGAGTTCAGAATAGCTTCTGAGTCATTAGAAGTGATTAAGTCCCACCCTTGTCCCTCATGTCCAATGTCATTGTGTTGTGCCAAGGGAGGGCTGAGTGGGAGGGAGAGGGAGCTGGTCTGGCCCTGTAGGCACCCTATGGGAGCCACCTTGTTTTGCATCTTTGATCAAGGCTTTGGAAAGAGACTCACGTGTGATGCCTGACTTCTAGAGGCAGTAAAGGGAGGCTAGAAAGTAGACTCTTCCTTTCCCAGTCCACACAATTTGCCTCATTTTAGTTTTTAAAATAACTTTTATTATGCAATATTTGAGAAATATAAATCACAATACAACTGGCAGCCATCCACCTACCACCCAGATTAGGAAATATAGCTGAAGCCCTCCATGGCTCTCTACATGACAATACTCTCCCCATCCTTCAGAAATCATCATGATCTGGAATTTAGGCTTTACTGTTCCCATAAATGACTTTATACTTTTATTATGTATTTATTTATCCCTGGACAACATATCGAATTGTTTTGCATGTTTTCAAACTTTATATCAATGGTATCATAAAATATGCATATTTGTCTGAAGCTTGATTTTTTCCCCTCAACATTAGGTTTGTGTGATTTATCTGTGTTGACATATGCAGCTCTGGTTTATTACTTTTCCCTGCTGAAACGTTTATTATTTCAGAACACCACAATTTACTTATTCATTCTTGTTAATAGGTAATAGAAGCTTTATTTTCCCAAAGTTTTTCTCTTACAAAATGCTGCTGGGAACATTCTCGAGCCTGAGTCCACACACATATGAGGAGATAATGCCTTTTGCCCCATTCCTAACTCCTTCACCTTTTCTAGCTCACACCTTTCCCACATCCTGCACCCAAGCCACTCTGTTTGGGCTCCATGCTTAGACTCCTGTGGTCTAAGCAGTCTCTTGTTTCCCTGAACTGGTTTGGGAATTGCCAACTTGACTTTGCCTTTGGGAACTTTCCCAGGGATTCATATTTCTGTCCTCCAGCCTCAGACAAAAAGCGGTGGGTTAGTGACCCACGTCAAGCCCCACAAAGTCCTATGTGACTTGCCTCGGTTGTGCCAACTCCTTCCTGGCTCCCACCTGACCAGACTGTAAACTCCAAAAGGCAAGAATCGGGACTGACTTATTTCATGCTGTAGCTCCAGTTCAGGCATAGGACCTGATACACTTTGAATATTTGTTGGCTGGATGACTGCATGAATTAATGCTCTATGGAGAAGGGATGTCAGATGATCAGGATTACAGATGCACTTAACTTGCAATTATCTCTACCTGGATGTCTTCAGTCCCCCACCATGGGTCCTTGGCCATTCTAGTTAATCTTATCTGGACTCTGGGCCTTTTGTGTGAACTAAGACCACCCGTCACTTGGTGAGGTCTTCTCAGATAGGCAAAGACATCCAGTCTCTCCCACATAGGATGAACCCTAGGGCCCCTAGTCATTTGGGGGCACAGGAGGGGAACTACTTTCCATTAGTTGGCCTGAGGTACTCCTAATGGCGAACCCCTGGAGCCCTTACCCTGTAGAAGGCAGCAGTCCCCTTTGTCTGCTCAGGTTGCTTTTTAATGCAGCGCACATGCTACAACGGAGGCACCTGATGGTAGAGCCATACCTGAAAGTGGATATTGACAGGAGGAAGAAGAACGAACTATAAAGGGCTCTTGAACAAACAAGTAATAAAGAAACATTCTGGTGATTGCGGAGAGGTGGGTGGGACTGAGATGCAGACAAGGGAAACCAGGGTCACTCTGGGCAAATAGCAAGTCACAGTAGGACAAAAACCACAGAGATGGATAAAGAGGAGTTGCAATCAATCCTTCCACTGGCCCTTACTAATCTGAGACCTTGGCTAGGTCATTTAGCCTTACGTGATAACAGAAAACTACTATGTGTCCACTACAGCCCATGACTACATGCCTCATATGGCAATTTCTAACTGAATCAGAACATCAACTCAGGGTGCTCAAACTCAGACCTCACAGCCAGACAGGCTGCATCTCAAGCAGGCACATCTAACTGCTGCAGGACGCTGACTCCTCAATGGATTGTGATCCAGTGTGGTTCTTACAACATCCATGATGGACAGATGAGGATGATACATGGGAAACCAAGGCACACAGTTACACAGTTAGTGAGGATGCTGCAATTCAAACCCAGGGTGTTCAGTTGGGTTCCACAGCACAAGTCACTTTGGAGATCATGAAGCAATTGCTCAAGAAAAGGTTATCTAGCTCAACCTTGCAAATTATCTCCAAAGTCCATGAGTCCAAGCCCATCTCACAGGAATTTCTCCACTGAATCCCCTTTATCTAAGAGCACATTCAAGGAAATTATGGTGTCAATGAATTCATGCATTAGTAAATTTATTTCATAAATATTAAACCCCTACTGCATGCAAAGCACTGTTCTTGGCTCCACAAATACAGGGAATGAAAAACCATAAAGTCCCTCCTTTTGAGATTCTCATGCTGGAATGTGCAAAGGTCCATAGCTCAATATAATGCCAAGAAATTTAGCAAGATTGTGCATTAGGAACAACGAGGAAATTTTCTGGAGGAAAGCATATCTGATTGTTCAGTGTCCTAGGTGCAGCCCATGGGATATGGCCTTGAGCAACTCATAACTCATGTCCCACCCCTGGGTCTTCAGTTTCTCCATATATAAAATGGAAACATTAAACAGGATGATCTCTTGAGTTCTTCTAGTCCTATTGTTCTCTGGCTCCCATTTCAGGGCTTTTATATATCAGTAGCAATCAAACCCTGGGAGACCATCAGAGGGTAGGGGATAAAATGTGGCCAGGTGAACAGAGCTCTGGAGCCCCAGGTGGGCACAGTGGATCAGCCTGGCTCGGACTAAGGGAGCTCATGCTGTCAGTCTCTTCAGAACAAGACTACTCTTGGCCTTTTTCCAGGCACCTGAGGTATAAAGCTGGCAGTGCCATCAAAGACAGGCTGGTGGCTACAATATGAAAGGGTTGATAAATAAATTCTTTTTCTCCTTAATAGACAAGCTGGTGGGTTTTATTGTAAGTGGTTTGCACTCAGTGGAGAGCCAGGACTGGCAATGCTGCATCTTTCATCTCCAAATATTAATTAATTTTCCATGATGCTTTATTTTAATCATGAAAAAATGAGATTGGTAGGAACCAGCCAAGGGAAGAGTTGGGGAGAAGCAGGCAAATTTTATATATATATATATATATATAATTTTATATATATATATATATATATAATTTTATATATATATAGAGAGAGAGATATATATAATTTTATATAGAGATATATAATTTTATATATAGAGAGATATATATATAATTTTATATATATATATATAGTTTTAAAAGCAGCACAGATAATGTAGGGGAAGGCAGTTAGAGATGGGGAGGGTTCATAGACAGAAAGTGAAGGGTTGGAGGAGAGAAAGGAAACTGATATTTTATAAACACCTACTATGTGGCACTGTACTAGGTTCCTTGCCTATATTATTTCAATCAACCCTGAAACCAATTTGTATTACTATACTCATTTTACAGATGAGCAAACTAAAGCTCAGAAAAAGTAGATAACTTTCCCAAGATCAAAATCAAATAAATTGAAAATACAGAATTCTAACCGTAGCTTTCTGACTTCATGTCTCAACCTCTTTCAACAACATCCATTCAACCTTTGACAAATATTTATCCAGTAATGATTGTGCCTCGGGCATAGTACCAGGCACTGTACACCCTCCAGCCCTAACAAACACACAGAAGGGTATTTGAATCAATCTTGGTAGATCTTGAAGGCCTCTCAGAGGAAGTGATTTCTAAGCCGTAACTTGAAGGATATGGAGGAGTTAGCCCTGGAAAGGAGGAGAAGACTGGAGGAGAAAGGACATCAGGTATAGCATGAGTTAAAGGTTATAAGGTGAGAGTTCAGGATCCATTAAAGTAACCACAAGAAGCTCATATGGCTGTTAAGTCTTGAGTTAGAAGTCAGGAGGGGTAAGGCATAAGGTGGGAGGGGCCAGATCATGCAGATAATTATGACATCAAAGGTGCCTGGATTTTAACCAGAGAGCAATGGCAAAGCCACAGAGATGATGCCATGATTTTAGTGTTATGGAAAAATCCCATTGATCATAGTGCAGAGAATGGATTTAAAAGGAGGCAGGATTGGCCGGGCATGGTGGCTGTAATGCCAGCACTTTGGGAGGCCCAGGCAGGCGGATCACGAGGTCAGGAGATCATGACCATCCTGGCTAACACGGTGAAACCCCGTCTCTACTAAAAAAATACAAAGAAGTTAGCCGGGCAGGGTGGCAGGCGCCTGTAGTCCCAGCTACTTGGGAGGCTGAGGCAGGAGAATGGTGTGAACCTGGGAGGCGGAGCTTGCAGTGAGCCGAGATCATGCCACTGCACTCCAGCCTGGGTGACAGGGTGAGACTCCATCTCAAAAAAAAAAAAAAAAAAAAAAAAAAAAAGTAGATAGGACTATGGCAGCTGCCCAAGTGAGAGATCATGGTGGCCTCCAACAGGGTAGTGGTCCTCAAGGTGGAAAGAAATGACTACAGACCTTATGCAAACTCTCTAAACTCATTTTTACTTAGAAGCTCATACAAGATGAGGCTAGTTTAAATAAGAATAATAATACTCTCTAAGCACACAGAGGAAGGACTTTAGAGAGAAGGACAGCATGGAAGAAAATGTGATCAATATTTTCTGCTCCTTTGTTATTACCCAATCCATTAGCACATATTGAGGCCTCAGGATATGCCAAGCAGTCTTTTAGACGCTATAAGGATGCTTTTACCTCTTTACCTTCACAAAGCTTCCAACTAGTTAGAAAAGGAGGGCATACGTTCTTAAAAAGACACCTAGCAATATACATCAGAGAGGCACAGACAAGAAGTAGGATGCAGGAAGAGTAGTTTGGGTTGGCATAAATAGGAGTGGAGGGGGTGGGAGAGAAGAAGATGGATTATTTACTAGCACATTCTCTACATGTTGTGGGTTGAATAGAGTCCCCCAAAACAGACAGGTTGAAATCACAAACCTCAGAATGATCCTATTTGGAAATAAGGTCATTGCAGATCAGTCATTGCAGTCAAGCTAAAGTGAGGTCACACTGGAGTAGGATGGGCTCCATTTCAATAGGGCTGATGTTCTTGTGAGAGAGAAAAAATGGTCATGTGAAGACAAGGCAGAGATTGGAGTTATTTTTAAATTTGTACTTCTAATTGTTATATCACTAGTTTTTTTGTGGTTTTTTAAAGATATTTTTTATCATAGTTGGTTGAATCCACAGATATGGAATCCATGATGTGGAACTCATGGATACAGAGGCCCAACTATGCTTTATTATGGCAGCCCTAAGAAATTAATACTGTGTATCTCACTTTACCCTCCCCCAAACTGCATGAGGTGGGCATTTTCAGTTCCATTTTACAGGTCAGGAATCTGAGGCCCCAGAATTAACATGGCAGACCACTCCACCAATATGTGGTGGACCTTTGCTCGGCTGCCCACTATGGGAGTAGTTCTGGAGGTAAATTTCAAAGGATACATAGGAAATAGAAGTTACCAGATCTGATCATGTGGAGAGCAGGAGAGCTTTACTCCATTTTGTCATGCATTGCTTTTGTCCCCAAGAGAAGCAAGTGTTTACTGGGTGTCAGGGGCGGGTTTGGAGCTGAAGAAAAATCATGGTTGAATTAGACATGGTTGCCCCTGAGGAATTCACAGTCCAGCGAGGGAGAAAGATATGTGACCAGACACAATGAGGTGAGCAGCCTGTCACTGTGCAGACAAAGCGCATGGAAGCACAGCCCCTAGGTACTCACTTATTTTCCTAACCAAGAGACATCTTGACAATAAGGCACCTACTGACTTAACAGCTTGCAGAAAAAGGAAACTTGATGACATCAAGTGAACACACCACAGTTCAGACATCAAAATTTTAAATTCCCAATTGAAAAACAACAGCAACAGTAAAATATGGGAAAGTGCACATCTTAGAATCAGGGAAATACTATAGCTTTGCCCAGAACAGGGATGGAAGGTTTTCTAAAGATTACAGCACTTGAGTTGAATCTGAAAAATGAGGGCGAATGTGCTCAGGGAAGGGCCCTGGGAGACAAGTTACTCACAGGCTGGTGATGCTTTTTCCCAGAAAAATCCCCTAACAAAATGTCAGCTCCACAAAAGCAAAGGCTCAGACTGCTTTGATCACTGCTCTATCTGCAACACCTCAAAGAAAACATAGGAGGCTTTCCGTAACTGTGTGTAGATAGAAAGAATTAGCATCATTAGGGTGAGACTGTATATGAACCACACTAAAGGCGACTGGAAGTTTGGCTTGCATCATCTGAACACTCATTTTTTTCTCTTATGAAACCTCTACCCTATACCCATCCAGAAGTGATTTCTGGGAATGCACGGTTGGGTAAGACAAACTCTAAGGGTTCTCAGTTGACAGAGGAGATGACTAATAAGTGATTTCCATACCGTGTGATGCCCCGTGATACTGTGTGATACATGCTCTGATGGCAGGAACAAGGTGAGGAAAAGCAGGCAAGTTTGGTGGGGGAGGTGACATTCAACAGGGATTTAGAGGACTCTGGAGGATGAGCAATAGATTAGCCTGCTAGAGGAAAGAGGGCGATGCTCTAGAAAGAGCAGCAGCTACATTAAGAGAGAAAAGAGAGAGAGAGAGAGAGAGAGAGAGAGAGAGAGAGAGAGAGACAGAGAGAGAGAGAGAGAGAAAGAAAGAAAGAAAGAAAGAAAGAAAGAAAGAAAGAAAGAAAGAAAGGAAAGAAAAGAAAGAAAAAAGAAAGAGAGAAAGGAAGGAAGGAGGGAAAAGAAAGAAAGAGGAAAGAAAAGAAAGGAAGGAAGAAAGAAAGAGAAAGAAAGAAAGGAAAGAAAGAAGGGAGGGAAGAGAGGGAGGGAGGAAAGAAGGAAGGAAGGAAAGAAAGAAAAAAGAGAAAGAGGAAAAAAGAGAGGAAGGAAGGAAAGAAAGAATGAAAGAAAGAAGAAAAGAAAGAGAAAGAAAGAAAAGAAAGAAAGAGAGAGAAAGGAAGGAAGGAGGGAAAAGAAGGAAAGAGGAAAGAAGAGAAAGAAAAAGAAAGAAAGAAAGGAAAGAAAGAAGGGAAGGAAGGAAGAGAGGGAGGGAGGAAAGAAGGAAGGAAAGAAAGAGAAAAAAGAGAGAAAGAGGAAAGAAAGAAAAAGAAAAAGAAAGAAAGAAAAGAGAGGAAGGAAGGAAGGAAAGAAAGAAAGAAAGAAAAGAAAGAGAAGAAAGAAAGGAAAAAAGAAAGAAAGAAAGAAGGAAAGAAGGAAAGAAAGAAAGAAAGAAAGAAAGAAAGAAAGAAAGAAAGAAAGAAAGAAAGAAAGAAAGAAAGAAAGAAAAGAGAATCTCATAGTATTCCGAAGGCTGCAAATAGTTCATTGTGACTTGGAATGAACACTGGAAGGTAGAATACATGGTATGTGTGACTGGCAGGTCATACAGGGGCCAAATCACAGGGACATGCCTAGTGAGAGGTCTGGATTTTATTGGGAAAGCAAAGGGAATTCCCATGATATTTGCTAATGGATCCAAGTTCCCAGACACTTTCTACCTGCTTTGCAAGGTGATCTCCTCTGACCAGGCCACATTCTCTCACCCCAGGAACCGCAAACACATTGTCCCTGCAGACCACCAAAGAGCAGGATTGAAAACAGTATCAGGAAAGGGAGAAGCCATGTGTAACATTACCTTAATTTAACATTCTTCCTCTCTTTCTTGTTTTTTTTTTTTTTTTAAATCAATTGGTGATTCATAGGCACTATATTTCCCCCTCAATCCATTCGCAAGAGAAGTGTTATAATAACATGTCAGGGAGGTGTGGATAAGCGGCATCATGGAGCCTGGTTTATAATGCAGTTTGTTAACAGATGCTAACGTCCCGATTATGCATTCCAGCATCATTTATACCCAGCTCCATGGCACGGTAAGGCTCGTCACATCATAATTCTCCAAAGCAGTTGCTATTAATCACTCATTCATTATTAAAACACATTGTATTCATTCCGCTTGGCAACTGGAGCAGGGCAGGCTCTATTTATCCAGAGCAATTATCTTCAGACTTTGTCAACCTCAGCCCAGAAGAGCGTCCGGCCCTCCAGGATGGCTGAGAGCTTTGAAGAGACACCTCAATGCAGAAGGGAACACAGGACTCACAGAAGACATGGATCTCATCCAAAGGGCCATCCATCCCTGAGAGGGCTGAGGGCTCCCAGGAACCAAGACCATCTGTCCCCTGGTTGTCTCCTCCTACTGCGTCTCCCTTCAACTTGAAATCTCTTCCCTTTAAGTGAATTCTGCTGGGCTTTCTTCTGTTCCCAGGTATCTCAATATCACCTGGGGAACCAGAGCTACTCCCCACTTCCTGGGCTCATATCCAAACTTACTTGATCATAGGAAGCCATGGAGTTTTGTAGTGAAATATAAGGGCTATGGGGACAAATCCCTTGCCTTCTAGCACTCATTGTGTGATGTTGAATAAATAATTTAACTTCTTTGTCCCTCAGTTTTATCAGCTGTAAAAGGGGGTTGATAATAATAGAACCTACTTCATAGAGTTTCTGTTAGGATAAAATGAGTTAATTCTGACAAAAGTCCTTATAAAATGCCTGAAATATAATTCACATCAGCTCTTGTTACTACTTATTAAAACCATCCTAGCATTTCCTAAATGTTCCCCCGCCCAGCTGTTTATAAGCATGGGCATGGAGATCTATTCCTCGACTCTGTAAATGGCTGTTGAGCATCCCAAATGTATCCGGTATTGTTTTAAGTACCAGAGACACATACATATACAAGGCTCAGTCCCTCCTTCAAGGGGCCCACCCACTAGTAATGTAGTGTTGCCAAAACAGTACTCAGACCTTTAGAGATCTGGAAGCCCCTCTGTTTTTCCCCAAAAGTCTGTATTTGGTTACGCTTTCCAGTTCACACAGTACTTTTTCTGCTTACCACTTCGTCAAGTGCTTACCTGAAGGTAACAAACACACGGCTCAACTCTCAACGTCAAGTGAGTACCCAGGGTCACTGAGGGTTCCCACGCTTTTAATGAAATATGCCAGCCTAAGAATGTACAGAGGATAATTTAATGATTTAATAATATATTTTATTTAAAAGATTTTAAAGGCCTGTGAATCTCTCCTTTTGCACCATCCAGTAGGAACCACCAATCTCAAATCCGGTGTTTATGATTTCCATGATTATTTTTGTTAACATTTATTATACAAGTGTATGCCTATAAACAATATGTAAGTCTCCGTACGTGTTTTCAAACTTTATATAGATGATACCACATTGTATATATCCTGTCGCTTGCTTTTTCTAAGGAATGCATTTTATTACGGAAAAATTCAAACGTCTGCAAGTAAACAGAATAGTCTAATCAACTCCTATGTATCACCTGGCTCCAACAATTGTCGACATTCAGCCATTCTTGATTTACCTATGCCATCACCATACCCTACCTCCCATCAATCAATAATTATAGCTTACAGTTCTACTTTTACATTTTATAAACACCTAAATGCATAAACAATAACTGTATGCTTAAAAAAAAAGTAGATACAGCCAGGTGTGGTGGTTCATGCCTGTAATCCCAACAATATGGGAGGCTGAGGCAGGTGGATCACTGAGGTCAGGAGTTCGAGACTAGCCTGGCCAACTTTGAGACTAGCCTGGCCAACATGGTGAAACCCTGTCTCTACTAAATATACAAAAATTAACCGGGTGTGGTGGTGGGTGCCTGCAACCCCAGCTACTCGGGAGGCTGAGGCACTAGAATCGCCTGATCCCAGGAGGCAGAGGTTGCAGTGAGCTGAGATCGCCCCACTGCACTCCAGCCTAGGTGACAGAGTGAGACTCCGTCTAAAAAATAAATAAATAAATAAAAATAAAATAAAATATAAAGATAAAAATAAAAAGTGGATGCATCATGTATCTCTAGCCATATCAAGATACAGAACACTCATATCTACAGAAAATTTCCTCCTTTGCTGAAACTCCTCTTCCCCTCCTGCCACCTCACACCCCAGAAAACCATCATTTTGGCCTTCTCACCTCAGATTACATTTTCCCATTCTATAACCTCATATAAATAGAATCATATGGCATATAGCCTTTTGTGTTCCTTTTGGGAGAGGGGGTTCAGCACTGTCTCTGAGATTTACCCATGTTATTCCATGTATCAATAGATGCTTACTTTCTACTGCTAAGTAGTATCACACTGCAGGAATATAGCACAATTTTGTATTCATTTTCCCATTCATGAGTATTGGGGCTGTTTCCAGTTCTTGGTAATTGTGAATAAAGTTGCTATAAACATTTTCATACGGTACTTTTTGTAGGTATTTGTTTGCATTTCTCTTGGATTAAGGAGTGTTCCTCTTAACGGTTTAAGAAATTACCAAAGTGGTTGTGCTATTTTACATTTTCTCCAGTAATGGACAGGCATTTCATTTGCTCTACATACTCCCCAACCATTGTTGTGAGCTGATATTTCATTGTTCAAGACTTTTGCTTACTTTTATTAAATTGTCATTTTATTGTTGAGTTGAAAGAGTTCTTTACACATTCTGAATAGCAGTCTTCTGTCAGAAATATGCTTTGAAAATATTTTCTTAAGTCTATTTATTTTCTATAACAATGATATATTTTGTTGATCAGAGTTTTTGTTTCTTTTGATTTTTTGCAGGGGAGTGGGAGGGGGGACAGTCTCATTTAGTCACCCAGGTTGAAATGCCGTGGCACTATCATGCCTCAACGTAGCCTCAATCTCCCAGGCTTGAGCCACGCTCCCACCTCAGCCTCCCAAGTAGCTGGGACCACAGGCATGTGCCACAATGCCTGGCCAATTTTTTATTTATTTTTATATTTGCAGAGATGGGGTCTCATTATGTTGCCCAGGCTGGTCTCAAATTCCTGTGCTCAAACAATCCTCTTGCTTCAGCCTCCCAAAGTGCTGGAATTACAGGCATGAGCCACCATGCCTGGCTTGTTTCAATTTTTATGAAGTCTAATTTATCATTTATTTTTTATTTTATTTCAGAGTTTTCAGAGTTTTGTCTTAACATTTTTCGTTATCCTGTAAACATATTTCCCTGTTTTTTTCAATAAGCCTTATAATTTTAGCTTCTATATTTAGAACAGTCATCTCTAATTAAATGTGGTGTGTGTGGTGTGAGGTCAGAGATTGGGCTCACTTTTTTTTTGCACAGATATCCTGTTGTTTCAGCACAATTTGTTGAAAATACTTTCCTTTTTCCTTTGAGTGACTTGCTGTTTTTGTCAAAAATTAATTCACCATAAACATGTGTATCTATTTATGTATTCTCTGGTCTGCTGCAGTGATTGATGTGTCTATCTTTATGCCAATATCTAACTGTCTTAATTACTGTAGCTTTATATTCATATGTCTTGAAGTCAAGTAGTTTGAGTTCTTCAGCTTTCTTTTTCAAGATTGTTTAGGCTATTCTAGGTCATATGCATTTCCATATAAATTCTAGAATTGTTTTATCTATTTCTATTTTTAAAAAGCCTTATGGAGTTTTGATTTGAATCATGTCGAGCTATGGATCGCTGTGGGAAGGTTTGACATCCTAACAATATTGAATTTTCCAACCCACAAATATAGTATATCTCTTCATTTATTTATGTCCTCTTTAACTTTTCTCAGCAATATTTTGTAGTTTTCAATATAGAGGATTTACATATCTTTTGTTAAATTTATCAAGCATTTTACATTTTTATAAAATTGTGAATAAAATTTTAATTTTATTTTCTATTGCTTTCTGCCAATATATAGAAATACAACTGATTTTCCGTATGTATCTTATAGTCTGAGATATTGTTAAGTTTATGTAAATCGTTCTAGGAGTTTTCTTTGTTCATTCCTCAGGCTTTTCTTATAAAATTGAATACTATCTGTGAGTTTGAATTAATTAAATAAAACTTTTGTTTATAGAAACAAATTCTTCCTTTTGAGTCTTTATGCTTTTAGTTTTCCTCGCATTATTGAACAAGCTAGAGCCTTCATACAATATTGAATAGAAGATTCAGCATTCTGGCCTTTTTTTTCTGATCTTAGGGGAAAAGCATTCAGGGCTTCCCCATCAAGAATTAACAATAGACTCTTGCACATGCTCTCTATCAGAATTGGGATTCTAGTTTGTTAGAGGATGGCTATTCCAATTTGCTGAGAATTACTGTCATTAATGAGTGCTGGATATTGTTAAATGCCTTTTCTCCATCTATTAAGATGATCATATATGTTTTTAACTTTAATATATTAATTAACCAGATTACATTGATTAATTTTTAAATGTTGAACCAAACTTGTATTCCTGAGATAAAATTTAATTGGTTATAATATTCTTTTTATATATTTCTGAAAAATATTTTGCTACAGATTCTTGCATCTATGTTAATGAAGAATATTTTCTTCCCTTTTAATGTCTTTGTCATGGTTTGATATCAAAAATCAATTCATAAAATGGGTTAAGATGTTAAAACATGTATTTTCCTCCTCTATTTTCTGGAAGAGGTTGTAAAAGATGGTACTACTTCCTCCCTGAATGTTTGCTAGAATTCACCTGTGAAGGCACTGGAACCAAGAGTTTATTTGTTGAAATGTTTTGATTTAAAAATTCAATTTTTTTCATGGGTATAGTTATTCAGAATTTCTATATCATCTTGTGTTAGTTTTAGTTTCATGGGCAGTTGGTCAGTTGACTCAAGGCGTTTGCTCATTTCATCTGAATTGTAGCATTTTCTTGCATGATTTTTTAAATAGTATTTTCTTTTTATCCTTTTAACATCTGTAGGATTTATAATGATATTCATTTCTTAATTCATGTTATTATACTATAGATAACTTGTGTTTTTCCTGTTTTTGTTTTTTGGTCTAGCTAGAAGTTTATCAAATGTATTAATCTTTCCAAAAGCAATTTCTGGATTTCTTGGTTTTCTATTTTTAATTTTTAAAAATTTCTGCTGTTATCTTTATTATTTCCTTTCATCTACCTTTTTTTTTTTTTTTGCTTGTTTTTATTTTTGGTCTTTATTGGCAGAAACTTAGATCATTAATTTATACCTTTCTTCCTAATATAAACATTCAAACTTAACATTTGTTTCCTCTAAGCACTGAATTAGCTTCATCCCTTGCTTGTTTGGATACTAGTTAATAATTACAAAAAATAATGACAGTTATTAAAAAAATAAAAAGGACACTAAAATATTCTTTGTACAGATTCACCTCTGTTAATATTTCTTGACATTTCAAGTTCTCTCTTGCTCGTTCTTACTATGTATATGTGTGGGTGTATTTTCTGAAACATCTGAAGGTGATTTATATATATTGTAGACATTTATCACTAAATAATTCAATGTGTTTCCCAAGAGTAGGAGTACTTTCTTACATAACCACTGCAATTATTAAATTCATACATTTACATTTATGTTATACTTCAATCTAGTATACCATCCATATTGTAATTTTGTCATTTAACCTAAAAATGCCTCTTATAATGTCTTTTTCTCCTGTAGCACAGGATCCTATCTAGTTGTCAAGTTTCTTTAGCCTTAAATAGTCTCGAATGTTTCCACAGTCTTTCCTTATCTTTTATGACAATAACATTTTTGAAAAATACAGCCCTACTACCATTTAATAGAAAGTTATTCATTTTGGGTTGTCTAATGTTTCCTTGTGATTAGGTTCAGGTCACACACTATCTTAGGATATCACAATTGGAGATACACAATGTCCATCTTCCCTCATTGGTGATGTTAATTTGATCATTTGTTCAAGGTGTTGCCAATTTTTTGAAAATATAGTTATTGATATTTCTCTTTTAACTGACAGTCAGTATATGAAGTATCTTTCTCTCATCAAAATACCCCTCCCTAGATTCAGTATCCATTGATTATTTTTACCCATTTTTACTACGATGATCACAAAATGATGATTTCCAAGCTCCAGCACTCCTTCCATATTGATTAGTTGGCCCTCAGCATTCTAATGCCAGGAAGAAACCTCCCCTCTCCTGTATGTCTGCATGTATGTATGTATGCACCTATTTATCAATCATATCTATCTATCCATCTATCTAATCTATATACTCAATAAATGTGTCTACCTACCTAATGAATCTAATATGGATATTGATTCATGCATTTCTATTTTTCCATGATTTATCATTCATTACTATCCTTAATCATTTTGGCGTTCAAATTTTTAGAAATTTGGTCAGTGAGAACTCCTTAAAGCTAGTTCCTGTGTCCCTGTGACATCCTCCCACCATGTTTTAAAGCACTTTCTTATTTTCCTACATAGTGAGATATTCCAGGTTCATCTTTTACCCCAGTTCCAGCCCTGGAATATGAAAAGTCCTAGTTTCTTTAATTGAGAAATGGTAGTAGAGACAAAATTATGGGTGCTATTTATACTTATTATTCCAGGAGTATATTTGCTTCTTGGCTCTTTAGCAAACAGAGCTAAGAAATACATGCATGGACATATATATGTACATGCATATTTACATAAATATACATATGCGCAAACCTAGATATGCATACATGCAGGTGCATACATATATGTTCACTTAAACATATATACACACATATATGTACATATTTAGAGATATCTCCAGTTCCAATCCATCCTCAGGATTATTTTGTGACTTCTCCTGTCCCATAGTATGTTTGTATACCTTCTTTCACAATGAGAACTTTGACCCTCGGTATCATTTACACATCTACTCTTTTGGCTTGGCACAGTGGCTCACAGCTGTAATCCCAGCACTTTGGGAGGCCAAGGCAGGCAGATCACTTGAGTCCTGGAGTTTCAGACCAGCCTGGAAAACATGGCAAAACCCCATCTCAACTAAAAATAAAAAAATAAAAAATTAGCTAGGGGTGGTGGTGATCGCCTATAGTCCCAGCTACTTGGGTTGCTGAGGGAAGAAGATCACCTAAGCCTGGGAGGTGGAGGCTGCAATAAGCTGTGATCACGCCACTGTACCCCAGCATGAGTGACAGAGTAAGATCCTGTCTCAAACAGAACAAAGCAAAACAAAACCATTTACTCTTTTGTTCAGTTCTACAGTATCTTAAAGTACATTCAGAATTGCTTCACTCAAACACTATGATAGGCAAACCTACTAAAAGGAGTTTATCAATTATTTTCAATTCTCCCCCACCACAAGTCCAATCTGACCAAAACTAAAGGTAGTCACAAGTTGTGTTCATAAGGTACTCAAAATAGTTTGTTCTTTATTCCCTTCCAGCTAGTTATGGTATTAATTTGAAATATAATTAGGTTCATTTGTCAGTTTGCTTTCAGTTTTAGGGTTCTCTCCTTTACATTTTTCGGCTTTAATTTAATTTGGGGGTTATACTGACATTTTATTATTAGCATGCATCCGAAAGTCAAATATTTGAAAATACGTAATTAGAAAAGTGTCACTCTTTCTCATACTTTTCCATCCCACCTCGCCTCACACTTTGTAGGTATCCAATTTCACTATTTTCCAGTTTATCCTTCTTATGTTCTTTATGTAATGATAAGCAGATATGTGGCTATTTCCTTACTTACCCTTTTTCTTACACATGCTCATTTGTATCTCGCTTTTTTTTACTTATAAACATCTCTTTGAAATCATTTTGTATCAGTTCACAAGGATCTTCCTTACTTATTTTCAACAACTACATAATACTCCATTGAGTGACTGTGCCATAGTTTATTCAACAAAACTGCTCTGCTGAAACTTTCTGGAAGTTCCAATTTTTTGAAATCTCAAATATTGCCACAATAAATATCCTGTTCATGCATTTTTTTATATAGTTGTAGGTGCTCCTAGATGTGGCTCTCACAAATTGTGATATGATAAATTGTCTTTATCATTTAGATTGAAATATTTTATAATTTTTCCTTGTGATTTCTTATTTGAACTATAGTTTATAAATGTATAGTTTAATTTCAAAATATTTACTTTTATTGGTTTCAAATGTAATTATGCCACTGTCATATAACTTACCCTATTACCCTATAAGATTTCAAACTTTTGAAGTTTACTATGACTTGTTTATGATATTTACGTTATATGGTGTATCGTGGTGAACACTCCTCGTACATTTGAAAACATTTTGCAGTTATTGGGTTTAGTGTTCTATAAGTGCCAATTAGGTCCAAGCAGTTTACTGTGTCATTCATATATTTCATATCATTGTTGATTCTTTGTGTAACTGTTTTATCAATGACTAAGAAGAGTGTTAAAATCAACTCTAATAGCAGATATGTCTATTTTGATTTTAGTTCTGTTATTTTTTTCTTCGTTATATTTTGAAACTCTGTTAAGTGCATATCCATTTATAATTGTTATGTCTTCCTCACTTATTGACCCTTATATGTTAAAATATGCTATTTTTCTTATCCATAATACTCTTTATCTTGAAATTTATTTTGTCTAATGTTATTTTACCCCCTATATCTTGGTTATGGTTAGTGGTGTTTGCATGGAATATCTTATCTTTTTACTTTCAACATATTTTGTCTATTTTCTTTTTTTATTTGTTGATTTATTTTATTTTATTTTATTTTTATTTTATTTTATTATTATTATACTTTAAGTTTTAGGGTATTTTGTCTATTTTCAACCTATGTGTTAACCTATTAAAGTGGATTTCTTGTGAGCAACATGTAGTTAGTTGCGTCTTTTCTTATCTTTTCTGGCAACTTCTGTAACTTATTATTTTGTTTTCTGTTTAACTCTTTGTTTTTTGAGGATTATGCATGTAGACGATACGTATAGCTCTAGTTCATTTATTGTCATTGCTCTGTAAAATACTATGGCAGGAATATACCAAAATCTAGTTTTCCATTCTGCTTCTGGGCTGCCACTTGGGTTGTTTATGATTTTTCATATGTACAAACAATGCCAAAAGTATACAGTCCTGTGCATGTCTTCTACGTACATGTATGTTCCAAGACAAAGGTAAGTGTACAATTCCTAGATCTTAGAATATGAGAATCATCTGTCTTTACCATATAAGCATTCACTGATATGGGTAAAAAAAAAATGCAGTTTTGCCAGTTTATACTTTCATCAAGCGTAAATGAGAATTTCTCTTGATCGATATCCTTTCCAACACTTGGTAACGTTACACACACCCAAACACATGCCCACCACATGTGCTATCTGACAGCTTTTAAACGGAGTCTCACTGTTATATAAACCTGCATCTTTTCATGTGTATATTGGCCATTAAGCCTTCCTCATTGAGGACTTGCTCATTCATATACTCTACTCTCATTTTTTAAGCTGAAAAATAAAAATTTGGAGGCATGATTTTCCCAAGATCACACAGCAGTCATGGATTAGACATGAGTCCAGGTATTGTAACACTGAAAATAAGTTTTTCTCTCTCTTTATCTATCTATCGTGATACTGTATAGATTTTATGACTAGGTATATGCGTGTGTGTGTGTGTTTGTGTGTGTGTGAGAGAGAAAGAGAGAGAGAGAGATGAGATGAGATGAGATGAGATAGTATGGGATAGTATTTCTAAAATTCGTATTTTGGCTTGAGGTTTTCAGATCCAGTTCTAATAAATAGAACATCCAAGACAAATCACCTCTGATGTACCCCTTCCCTCCAATCTTTTTCCCAAGTAAAATAAAAATAAAGTGAAAGAAAATCAAGAACAACCTTAAGGAGATGCTCTGAGAAGAGAGTCCCCAGTCTTGCCTATCTTATAGGGTGGGCTTATGGGCTGAACAAACAAACGTGGGCATCAAGTCAGCCCCAGCAACCACTTTTTTCTCTCTTTCTGGAATACTTTCTAAGGTATTGCCCAGATTAGGATAGGGAGCCAGGGCGCTGGCCTAATTCCTAACCAGGAACAACTCTGGGAAGGCTGCCTTCTGTGACTGCCCTAGGAAACCTAGCTCTTCCTCGCCCTCTCTCTGCCCCTGGCTCTCCCAGCCTCTCTGCTGCCGCTGCCTCAGGATTGATCATTAGCCTGGGATTAGCAGCTGTGCCAGCAGCAGGCGGGACAAAGCCCTGCTGCCCTGGGCTGTAGCTGCAGAGGGCTGGCTGGGGAGGGAGGGCTCAGCTGCCCAAGTGCCAGGCATATGTCAAATCCAATTTGGGAGAGGATCTTGTTAAGCCTTCGTATTAGATGACATCCTCCTTAAAAAAAATCATCGGTTAGGAAGGCTTTGCAATGTCTACCAAGCACCCATGCTGAGGTCAGATAGTGTTTCCTGTCAAGAATAGATTCTTTATATCCCATCGGTCCCTGGGTTCAAGGGGATTTGATTAGTCAGATATGGCTTACCTATAAGCCTTGCTGGCCCTAATCAGTCTCTGCCTTTCAAAAGCTTTGTGACTCATTTTTTGTGATCATATCGTCCAGCATCTTCACTAGTAAAGGGCACAGGGCTCTTTTCATTCCCGTCCTGTTACCCTTTCAAAATTATAGGCACAAGCCAGACACGGTGGCTCATGCCTGTAATCCCAGCACCTTGGGAGGACGAGGCTGGTGGATCACTTGAGGTCAGGAGTTCGAAACCAGCCTGGCCAACATAGTGAAACTCTGTCTCTACTAAAAATACAAAAAAGTTAGCTGGGCATGGCGGCAGGCACCTGTAATCCCAGCTACTCAGGAGGCTGAGGCAGGAGAATCACTCGAACCCAGGAGGCAGAAGTTGCAGTGAGCGGAGATCATGCCATTGCACTCCAGCCTGGGCAACATAGCGAGACTCCATCTCAAAAAAACATATATATACACACATATATATAATAGTATATATTATATACAACATATTATATAATTATATAATATAATGTATATATATTATATTATATTATGTTATATTATATATACAGGCACCAAAAATGATAAAACAGATTCTGGGTCTGTGGCAAAACAGTACTTTTATACATGGCTTGTGACAGCATAAATTGTCCTAACCCTTTTGAAAAGATATGTTACAGTAGGTGTCAAAATTCAAAAGTATATGCACTCTGACATTCTACTTACGGAGTTTTCCCATTAGGATAGTGTAACTAAAATTTATTGCCTATCTATTCTGAGCTAGGCACGTTATTCTGCTGCTAATTCTGCAAGTCAAGCCTTTGACACTTATTGTTTTTGATGAGGAAATTAGAACAATGGCTAAGTGACTTACCTGATATGGCACCATTATTATAAGGGAGAATCTGCATTCAAATGCAGTCTGATTCCAATCCCGTTTCTTCTCCTACAAAACACTGCTTTGGGAGAAGGATTTCTATGTATGAACATCTTCACTGCGGCATTATTTATGATAGCAAAAGCTGAGAAAAACAAGTGGCTCATAATAGAAGAATGTTCTAGTAAATTATGAGAATTTAACCCAATGGATTATTTTTCCATCTTATAAATTTTAGTGATTATTTAGTGATTTTGGGAAAAGCATATCATATATATTAAGTCAAGATAATAGAATACAAAATTATTTCTATATAATGATTATAACTATATTAAAATGCATAGCCATATGGAAAAAATTCTCATGGGAACTTGGAATATAAAAGACTTTTTTTTAAGGTATTAGTAACTAAAAGTGATTTCCCAAAATAGTCATTGTTACAAAGTTGTATTTGAAGAAAGACACTAGTCTTAGTGGAAAGAATAATATATTCAGAATAGAAGAGACCAAAATCTGAATGCTATCTCTTCCACAGTCTAAATTTATGAAACTGAGCAACTTCCCTATAATCTCTGAGCCTCAGTCTTTTTCATTTGTAAAACAGTGATAATATTTACCTCATAGGATCACAGTGCAAGTTAAATACATTAGAGTACCAACAAATACTGAACTCATCATAATAAATTCAATAACAAAAAAAGACATCCCTGATAAATGTATTAGCTAACAAACTAAATACAAATGATGATCCTTCTCAAGCTTCCACCACCTCCAAAGTTTTCTGCAGATTTTCAGACGCAAGACAGGCCAAAAAAAAAAAAAAAAGGAAAACTTCAGCCCACACACATAAGCATGTGTATCACAGGGCAGCCAAGGGAGATGGCTAAGTACAAGAAACTCACTCTTTGACCACATAATTCTTAGCTGAAACCAGCCACAGATCAAATGCTTCACCAACACGGAATGCCTTATGTATTAATCCCTAGGCTCTGCAGTGAAGCCAGCATGTGAAACCAACCCTTCCCTGGTCCTCTGGGCATTTACAAGATAAGGCCTTGTTACAGGCTGGGTAGTGATGCTCCCTGAAGCCTCTTAGGATGAACGTTCTCACTCCATAAGACATTGTAAGCTCGTGTCTGTGGGATGTTGTGGGATGATTTCTCTAGCTTCAATATTGCTAAGAGTACAGGACACACTCAATAGGATGAGACCTATTAATGTTACTTCATGGTCTTATGGCTGAGCAGCTGTACTCTCTAGGCTTGGGTTGCGTCAATCATGTCCCTATTTCCCAAATCAAGAGTAGGGTCAAGTAGATTGGGGAGTGAGAAAGAGTGGAAGGCATCAGACATGAAACACATTCATCAGGGGCTAAGCAAGCACTGATGGGTTTCAAGTAACCAACAGTATTTTGATCACAGTATCTTCACTGTGGAATCTTCATCTGGGCTCTGTGCAACAAACCCCAAGTGACCAGTGAATGATGACCCTTTGGCTGGAGTGAGTAGACTGCAACCCCAAGGAGAGGAGCTCTTTGCTTCCAGACATTGCCCGAAGAGAGGGGCGAAGGAAGCTGGAGGAGTGGGGTGGAGAGAGAATATTATTGAGATTACTAAGTGTCAAGTATGTGTCAAGAATAAAATGAGTCATGCCTGTAATCCTAGAACTTTGGGAGGTGAAAGCAGGAGGATTGCTTGAGCTCAAGGGTTTGAGATCAGGCTGGGCAACATAGCAAGACCTTGTCTCTACTAGAAATCAAAAAGTTAGTTGGGCATGGTGGTGCACACCTGTAGTCCCAGTTTCTTAGGAGGCTGAGGTGGGAGGACAACTTGAGCCCAGGAAATCATGGTTGCAGTGAGCTATGATTGCACTACTGCACTACAGCCTATGGCAACAGAACAAAACTCTGTCTTAAGGAAAAAAAAAAAAGGAAGAAGATGAAAATTAAGCCAGGCGTGGTGACTCATGCCTATAATCTCAACACTTTAGGCGGCCAAGGCAGGAGGATCGCTTGAGCTCAGGAGTTCAAGCACAGCTTGAACAACAAAGTGAGACCTTGTCTGTACAAAAAAAAAAAATTGCCGGGTGCAGTGGTGTGCACCTACAGTCGCAGTTACTTGGGAGACTGAGGCAGGAGAATCACTTGAGCCCAGGAGTTTGAGGCTGCAGTGAGCTATGATTGGGCCACTGCCCTTCAGCCTAGGCAACAGAGACCATTTCTCTGAAAAAATAAAAATACAAAAAGAATAAAATGAGCTTGCTGATTTAGTACTCACTTCCTGCTAGGAAGATACAGTTATCCTCATCATTTAAAAGATGAAGAGCTTGAGGCACCAGATCTGCATTTAGTCATCCATCGTCTATTTGTTGAGCACTTACTATAGTCTAGAAACTGCCTCAGAGGAGACAGGAAGGATCATCACAAGGTGGAATTTCTCATTTGGTGCAAAGCTAGTTCATGAGGTTCCTCAGAACACACTATTCCCTGAAGCAGATGCTCTTAGATCAAGAAGAAATTGGCAGTGCAGTTGTCCAAGCTGGCTGATCCTTCCTGCCTGCACCTAGTTGAATGAAACAAACCTGAACAGGATTAGGAAAAGTGCTTTAAATGGTTGCACTTTAAGCCATCCCTTAGCACAACTCTTGGCTCATAGCAAAGGGAGGCACAGCTGGCATTCATCAACTGGGAGGACAGCATGTTCTGTCCCACACTCTAAAACCAAGCAGGTGGCTCTGGGAAGGTCTGTGAGGGTGAGAGAGAGAGACTTCTGCATGGGGCTAGCCCTTTTCCCATCAAGTAGGAAGAACATGAGATTTGGAGCAAGGACAAGGAAAAAATAATACCCAATTGAACCTGACTCTGCCACTCACTTGCTGTGTGTTTTTGGCAACATTCCTAACTTCTTAGATCCACATCTGCAGAAAGGATTTTTTGGGGGGCTAAAAGCAAGTCAGGGATGTACTACAATTTGCCCAATACCTGGTACCTAGCATCATTCTTTTTCCCAGAATAATGTTTCTGTGTTGAAAACAGTGAGGGTTAAGTGTTATCCTGAGAAGTGGGGAGCAGGTTCAGCCTATGATGCAAAGGGTGGAGGCACAGACACAGCCAGCATTATTCCCCAGAGCTCATGGAGCAATCGCCTGGAGCCACCAAAAGCTGTGGGTAAGAGGAGGCAGACATAAGGTCAGGAGGCAGGGCAATTAGTTAAGACAGTGAAGTCCAGCAGGTGCCAGGACAATTTGAATAATTCTGTCCAGCTCTGACTGTATAGCCCAGGGCCATGTCTAATGAGCACCCCGTGATTATTGTCTTGTAGAATCGGGTACCTAGAGATTTCAAGGAACCACTTGGAACAGAGAAACAACTTTCCCTCCGTTGCTCATTTCAGTGACCAGTAACCTTCAAGGTCAACACATTCTTTAGAGCCAACTCCATTTTGCTTTTGTTTCAGCTCTCTTCTCATCTAATTCTCTTGGGGCATGGAAAACAACTACTTGCTTAGTCACCCCATTGCACACCGACTATCCAAGTGGATAGCACAGTCATGTGCTACATTAGCCAACTAACCTGTCAACAATTAGAGCATGTAGTATCCTACATTAAGTGTTTTGGATGGTACAAAAACAAAGACATCTGTACCTATGTTTAAGGAGCTTTGGGAATCTGAATTGCAGTGCACTAGAACTCATGTTTCCCAATCATCCGTTCAGTACTAGAATCTCCTTAATGTTGCCCATGACAAGTAGTCACTCAACCCCTGCTTGAATTCTTCCTGGGACTGGAGGTTGCCTACCACCCAAAGAAACCATTTCATATAGACCTTAGTGCTGAGTATGGAGGACAGTGGATTCTCAACAGATGTTGAAGAGATGAAGGCCATTAATTGATGGCTTTAATTGTTTTTCATTCATTCACTAATCCATTTGTTAACACTCCTTCTCTTAACTTCTATTCTTGTGTGGCTTGGAGCTGCTCAAATATTTGCAAGTCTAACCAGGCCGAACATTTTCAATTCCTCCAAATATTCCTCATATGGCTTTGTTCCTAGACCCTGTCCTATCCCACTTCCCTCTTCTGGATAATGTTTCTTACAGGATGTGGCACTTAGAATTTAACAAGTTGAAAACACCATATTTCAGCTGTAACTTGACCAACACTCCCCTTATTCAGGTATATCTGCTTTTATCCAATAGCGCAAGAGTACATATAACTACATAAGTGAAAATGTGTTCCAAACACATATAACAATTTTAACAGCAGATAATGGGGAGAAGGCTGATGGGATCCACTCTATATGGGTTTTGAAGCCCCAAACTAGAGACACAAACCCAGAGAAGGGCAGGAAGAAAGGGAAAGCATATGATACCCAACATGGAACAGCATGAGATTAACACCCAAACCACTTGGTGTGAGAGAGTGTTGAGAGTATAGACAACTCTTGACAAAGTCACAGAGAAAACCGTTTGACCTTTGGTCTCCTGCAGTCCCTTTTCTGAGCACCTTTCTCCCTCTCAATTCAATGGGCAAGGTGGACTGACCAAGATTACAGTTGCATTGACCTGAGTTTGAATCCTTGTTTTACCAGTATGTATAATGTCAGAAAAATGCCTTTCTCTCTCTAGGCCTCTGTTTTTTATCTGCATAATGGGAACAATAATGTCTCCCTCCTCAGGTGGCTATTAAGGAAGGTAATAGATAGAACCTAGCACAGGGCTGGGAATTTACTTCAGTGTCAGTTTTTGCACTCTCCCATGTGAGTCTCCATCCTCATTAGAAAACCCTGCTCTGAGTAAAGGCTTTATGGCAGTGATTCACCCCTCAGTGTAGGCCAGTGAGGTGGTGTAATTCCTGCTGGAGTATGTCTGCTAAGGTGTTAAAGAAATCTTACATTCTAGTCAGGGGGTGGCAGTCAGGCTGGTGGTGGCATTTTCTTTCATTTCTTACCAATCAGCTTTCATGAAGCCTCTGAAAAAGCTTCTGCCTGCTCTCTCTCTCCCTAGACCACCTGTCTTTCTCCCTAGGGGTGAGATTTAAAAGATGCCACCCACAAGCTTGTGATTGTTGTTAGTATGTCTTACCTAAAGGGTAGCATTTCCCATGGCATGATTCTGTTAAGAATCTTGGGCCTCTTGGCAGTAATAACAATTCCTGAGACTCCAAAGAATTCCTTCTGAGACTCCGATACCTTTTGCAAGTGTGTGTGGGGGGAGGAGGGCGTATAATATGTGTGTGTGTGGGTGGGTGGGTGTGTACCAAGTGTATGCAATGTGAACCAGCCATTGGTTCAATGTGTGCACGGAAATAAGTATGTGTAGTGTGTAGCATGTAGTATGTGTGTGGTGCATGCATATGATGTGTTCTGGCAGAGAATATGCACCTGGAAATATGTATCGTGGGTTTGTGTATATGGAAAGTGTGCACACACACAGGTTACTGTCAGACTCCACTGTTTTCCCCAGATTCATCCCTTCAATTCATCAATCTGTCAGGATTTTTCATTCATTTAACCAACAGTCTTTATATAACATCTATATGGGCTACACAGTATACTAGGGAAGAGGAGAGAAAGATGAATAAGGTCTTATCTCTGGTGGAAAAAAGATATATAAACAGACAAATTATAGAACAGCCCAGTTTGTGTGACCCACATGTATAAGTGAGTACAGCCAGAGCACAGGGAGGGCAGTGAGCCATTCAGAGAACTCACAGAGGAAACGGCATATGGTTGGGGTTTTGACAGATGAACAGGAGTTTCCCCAATGTTGAAATGGAAGAACAACATTTGAAGCAGAGAGAATAGCCTGTGAAAGACTGAGAGTCATGGATAGGCACCTCATTTTGAGGGAAACTTTAGTACCTGAAGCATGGGTCTCGTGGGATGTGGTACCAGGAGAGGTAACCTAGGGAACCTGGGGTCCAGACTGGGAAGGGCTTTAGTTAAAGAGACGTGACTGCAATCATCCCAACAGAAGATGCTGAAGTCCTGGGCTCAGACCATAGCTGTGGGGGTGGAGAGGAGAAAGGCTGGATTCAAGATATGTTTCTTAGATACAATTGGCAGGACTGGTGATGGATTATTTGGGGGTGGGGCCTTAACAAGGAGGGAAGAGTTGAGGATGACTCTGAGGTTTCTGGTTTGGAAGATCCACTAGATAATGTCATCATTAACCAAGATTGAGAAAAGAGGAGGAGGAACAGATTCCAGGGGAGATTAGATAAATAACAGCAAGGAGCAAATCTCCCCATCAGCTTCAAGGACATTACACTATCCAGTCCTCAGAATGAAAATCAGCTCCGCAGTGCCTTTGAATGCCATTCTCTAGTGCAACTTCTTAGCCAGGACCTTGGAGAATTCCTGTAAGGCTTCAAGGCTCTTCTTCTGGTGTCAGGCTGGGGGGTCTCCTGGCTCATTTTCATGTGTCATGGTAGTTAAGCATAGTGATTAAGAGCTTAACCTCTGGATCAGGCAGCCATGGGTTTAAATCTTCCACTGTCACTAATGGATTGTATAATCTTAGAAAGTTTACTTAATTTTTCTAAGCCTCAGTTTTCTTATCTATAAAGTGAGTATACTAATAGTATACACCTCACAGAGCTACCAGTGGAATCAATGAGTTAATGTATGTAAGAGGCTCAGGATGGCATCTCACACATAATAATAATTCATGAAAGAGAAGTGCTATTGTTAGTAGCATGTTTTTTCTTTTTCTTTATTTTCTTTCATGTGTATGTGCTGGGAGTGGGGTTGGAGGAGACTATTGATCAGAGAAGGAAACAAAGACCAATCTTCTACAATTCCCCACACCGACATTTCTTCCAGAAGATCCCATTAAGGTTGATGCAGTGCAGTCACCATGCACTGCCCGTTAGACACACAGACCAGCCACGTTCTTGGCCACTATCAGCAGAATATGCATCTGGTCCCTTTCCTGGATGTGGGATGGATTTGTGATTATTGTTTTTGGATCTATGACCAGGATCCCTGTCCTGGAACAAAGGCCGGTCCGGGTTAGGAAATAAAGCAAGATTATCTGACCCTCTTGGCCACTGTGTTCCAGCCAGCTGAGTCACTCCTTCCCCAACACAGGAGGTGAGTGTGTCCTTACATCTCTGCAGGTCTCTTGTGAGATGTCCAGACTGTTTGGCTCCAATCCAGGGAACGGGTGCTCTAAGGTTGTGCTGTCCAAGCCTGAATTTCTGGAGCAGCTTCAAGTGGCCTTGAGCATGGATAAGAATCAGTCCTGCCCTGGCTGTGTTCACTCTGCTGACAGACAGATGATCTTTCATGATCTTTCATTGTATTACATAGACATTTTCTCTTGCCCATTCCATAATCTCCATTTTGGAGGCCAGGAAAGTGTGGCAAGAGAGATGTTTAGCTTGGGAACAGAAACGGTTCATCCTATAAGCTGTCTCCATCCTCTTCCCCAGTCATGGCTACTCAGTGGAGCCCACAGAATTCCTTCTGGGCTAGTATTTCAAAGGAAGCAAGTTTTAATCAAGTGTTGAAGAAAGAGAGAAAAGTAATAAAGGGAACATAATAGAAGGGTTATGGGCTTTGGAGTCACATGACATCGATTCGAGTCCCAGCTCTGCCATTTGCCGTCTGAGCTTGCCATGCTACCTAACTCTCCCAAGCCTCTGTTTCCTTACCTGAAAAAGGGGAAAACAAGATCTCTTCTACAAAGCATTATTGTATCAAGTGAGACAGCATAAATAAAAACACTGCTTTGTTAGCCTAATTTTTATACAACATGTATACAGTTTGATGTCTATTTTTACCTGTTAAATGCATTATGCTCCCAGGTTAATGCTTAGAGGATCTCTTCCTTTACCTCTTATTTTGTGTGCCTCCAAAGCCAGCCTCCACAACCCCATCTCCTCATGCCTGAATGTGACTCATTCTTCAAAGTCCAGCTCTAAAGTCAATTCCTCTATGAGCTTCCCTTTCTCTACACAGACACACACACACACACACACACACACACAAACACACACACAACCAGCCCTGGAAGAGCCCACTCCCCCTCTCTATGAATTCCCACAGCAATTTATCAGTTCATTCCTTCTGCTGGTTCATACTTTCTACCTTGTGTTACAACTGTGGACTACAAGCTCCTGTCCAGCCACAATTCCCGTCTGTTATGATTGTAAACTCTGAGGATGGGATTTGTGGACAGTTTGTTTTGAAGTCCCCCATGGTGCCTGACATAGGGTGAGCACTAACGTATATTATCCAATTAATAGACAAATTAACATTCAAAGCCTTGGTTAACCAGCCAGAACCCCTCATTCCACCTGTTTTTCTCTCTTCTCCAGATGCACCTCAGAACAGCAGGCAGGCTCATTCCTCATTCACACGATTTCCTGTGCACCCCTGACCTCAAAGCAATTGCAGTTTTTGTCATGAGGTTTCTTGAGCTCCATGCTCCCATTCAAGTACTAACCAGATTTGCCCCTGCTTTGCCTCCAAGATCACGTAAGATCTGGCACGTTGAAGGTAGTATGGCCATAGATTTGAGCTCCTTTCTGATGACAATTATGGGGGAACTGGATAACAAAGTCATAAGGATATGCAGTACCCAACTACCTGCTAGCGGTTTCACTTGGTATCCCATGAGAGCTATTAATTCAACACATTTAAAACTGAACTCCTCAGCCATCCCACCTCTGCCTCTCTCTGGTGCCCACTGCTCCTCCTGCTTTTTTCCCAGCTCAGTGGAAATCTGATACAGTATAGAGTGTGTCTGTGCACACGCATATGGCTCATTTAGATGAGATATTAGACTTAGAGTTGATAATGGAATGGTTAAGACTTTGGGGGATGTTGGGATAGGGTGAATGTATTTTGCACATCAGAAAGACACATATTTCAGGGGGTAGGGGAGAAGAGGATCAATTGTTATGGGTTGAATTGTATCTTCCCAAAAGATATGTTGGAGTGCTAAATCGCAGTAACTCAGAAGGTGACTTTATTTGGAAATAGGGTCACTGCAGATGTACTAGTTAAGACAAGGTTATACTAGATGGAGTAAGGTAGGACCTTAATGCAAAATGACTGGGGTCCTTCTTTTTTTTTTTTTTTTCTTTTTTTTTTTTTTTTTGAGACAGAGTCTTGCTCTGTCACCCAGGCTGGAGTACAATGGCACCATCTCGGCTCACTGCAACCTCCACCTCCCAGGTTCAAGCGATTCTCCTCCTTCAGCCTCCCAAGTAGCTGAGATTATAGGCGCCTGCCACCACGCCTGGCTAATTTTTTGTATTTTTAGCAGAGACAGGGTTTTACCATGTTCCCCAGGCTAGCCTTGAACTCCTGACCTCAAGTGATCCACCCGCCTCAGCCTCCCAAAGTGCTGGGATTACAGGCGTGAACCACCGTGCCTGGCCAGTACTGGTGTCCTCCTAATAAGAGGAGAAATATACAGGGAGAAACAGCCATGTGACAACAGAGGCAGAGATTGGAGCGAGGCATCTATAAGCCAAGGAACTCCAAGGATCCCAGCATCACCAGAAGCCAGAAGAGGCAAGAAAGGATCCTCCAGCCTTGAAGGAAAAGCATGGCCTTGCCGATACTTTGATGTTAGACTTCTAGCCCCCGATCTGTGAGACAGTAAATGTCTGTTGTTTTAAGCCACCCAGTTTGTGGCTTTGTGATGGCAAGCTTAGGAAATGAATGCACCCACTATCCTTCCAAACACTGGAAAGGAACTTCGCCTGTACTCTCCTGTCAACCCCACAACCACCCTTGTCCCAGTATTACCCCTCCCTCGTCTCTCCCATCTGCCTTCTCTGACCCATTTCCACCATCACACCCTTAGTTCAGTCCATCCTATCTTCTCACATGGAGCATTAGAAAGGCCTTCAAGCAAGTGTCCCTGCTACATATTCAAGTGCCCTCCAATCTACAACCCACGCTGATGCTGGAGGGACCTTTTTGAAATATCAATCTCATCATGTCCCTCCTCTGATTAAGACCTTGAAATGTCACAACAGCTCCTCCGAGTCTTCAGGACATTGACAAAGGAGTCTAAGCTCAAGATACTTCATGATGAAGGCTGTAACCATCACCCTAGATCACCTCCTGCCCCTACATTCCCATGCACCCTTTGCTCCCAGCCTACTAAAATACTCCAACATCAAATGATGCCATCCATCTAAGGAACTTCACATATTATCATCTTCTACCTGGCTTCTCTTGTTCACATAACAAACATTTACTTTCTTCAGAATTAGTTCAGCTATCAACTCCTTCAGGAGTCTTCTCTGAACCTTCTCCCTCCTATGATGCCCTTCTCTGCACTTTTAGAGGGGTCCCCTAGGCCACAGTACATTTCTACCAGGGCACTCAGTGCTTTGCTGCAGGGAGCCATCTCTGTATGACCAAAGCCCATATGGGCACAGAGCAGGTGCCCAACAAATGGTTGTTATCTTTTATTTATTTCATCTGTTATATTTATTTTACTTGTTGCCTTTTAATACTTATTTGTATTATTTGGGGCCAGCCAATGTGCTAAGGACTTGCTTGCATCATTTCATTTCCTTTTCCTACCCACCCTGTCAGTCAAGCATCATTATCTTCCTGGTATTCCCAAGGAGGCTGAGTCTCAACGAGATTAAATAAGTGCTCAGCACACCCAGATAGCAAGTGGCAGAAGGGGCACAAGGGAGCGAGGGTCCAGCCCAGGCAGCCGACTCCACCACACTACCAGAATGAATGAAGGAATGAGCCAATCATGTCAAAGTCTCGCAATTAAAAGTTATTCCCTGTGGTTCACGGTTCATCGGAATGCAAATGGAGACCTCCCCAGTTCCACCTGCCACTTCGATATCGACTTGTTTCTCATCTAGAGAGAGCGAGTCTTTCTCCCATGGTCCTCATCCGTCACACCCAGCTACATGTGTCTGTGTCAGGGGAGGAGAGGAATGAACACAAATGTTATAAACACTAGCAGGGGCAAAAGAGGAGCTATTTTATCTTCTCAGAGCAGAGCATAAAACCATAGCCAGTGCTGTATCCCAAGCTTTGTTTACAGTGTGTAGTGGTGAACAGAGTCCAGGCAGGGGAGGCACCCTCCCCCACTCACACCCACCCCACACCTTGTTGGAGGCAAAGACCAATTAAAAACACAAGCTGCTCAGGGAGAGATAAATCAATTTTCATCAGAGCAGCGCTCCTGACACCACCCTGACAAATCAATATCTTTCTCCATAATGGAGTCACTAAAGCTGCAACCAAGTCACTGGGAAACACAAAGCAGCCTCATAAAGAATATCGTCAAGTAATAAAATATCCAAATCTGAATTTCAATTATCCACTTTAAAGGGCACACTAATATCTTCAGTAGGGAAGTCCATCAAAAATTCATGGAACCAGGCTCCACCACTCATTCCCAGTCAACAGCTCTGTGGGCATCTAGGGTTCCAATTGCTCCAAGTTGTCGGAAGACAAGTCTTGCCCAGCCTATGAGAAGAAGGTAGAATCCCCTAGAACATGGCCCTCTCCAAGGGTGATAACAAGCTCTGGGCAGACAATCTGGTCTATTAAGATTCTCTCTGCTGGCCCTGGAACTAGGGAGAGGATTCATCTTCGCCTGGATTCTAGGCAGGGCAACGAAATGAAGCTGCTGAGATCAAGCAGAGCTGGCACCATTACCCAGAAACCCCACAGGAACCCGCCCAACCCAGTCAGGAGGAAGGCTTCGGCTCCACTGCAATGTCATTTCCTGCTTCCCTATCACCTCCTGCCCTCCCTTTGTAGACTACCAGGGAGGGAGAGGGGCCAGACTCCTGGGGAATGGCAGCCAGCTCCTGGCAGGTACCTCTTGCTCAGCAGTGGGGGTACCCTGGGAGTCACCTTGTACAGGCACCTACCTCTTGCTTTCCACCTCTGAGTCACCATGACAGTGACAATGACTGCATAGGTGGTGTATTGGCTAAGAGCCTGGAGTCTACAACCAGATAGTCTAGGTCCAAATCCAGCAGCTGTCACTTACAACCTGAGTGGTCTTGCAAGTCTCAGCTTTTCCGTCTGTGAAATGGAACAATGGTCTCCTGCTTCTTAGGATCATTGTAACCAAAAGCAACCTTTACTGAAGGCTTGACCTGGACTAGGGATCATTTGAAGCTTTTTAAAAATAGTAAGTTACAGGCTGGGTGTGCTGGCTTACACCTGTAATCCCAGCAGTTTGGGAAGTTGAGGTGGGCAGATCACTTGAGGTCAGGAGTTTCAAGACTAGCCTGGGCAACATGGCGAAACCCCATCTCTACAAAAATACAAAAATTAGCTGGGTGCGGTGGTGTGCATCTGTAGTCCCAGTTACTCGAGAGGCTGACACAGGAGAATCACTTAAGCCTCGGAGGTGGAGGTTGCATGAGCCAAGATCATGCCACTGCCCTCCCGCCTGGGTGACAGAAGTGAAACCCTGCTTCAAAAATGAATAAATAAAAATATTAAATTATATAATCTTCAAAACAACTGGGTGACATTGGTATTATTTTTCTCACCATTTTACAGACAAGAAGGTTGAGGCACAGAGATTATGTAACAGAAAGAATACAGGAAAGCACTTAGCACAGTGCCTGGCACCTTGTAAAACTGTAATGGGTGACATCACTTACTATTACTATCATATTTAATATACTTTCTAAGCAGTTTAAAGGCTGCTTCACGCACCGAAGCACCACTGACCTACACAATAGCATTTTAAAAATTCAAAATACTACAAAATAACCACTCCAATCCATACACTTTAGTACTGCTAGGGAGATCACTCTAAAACACACATATGGTGATACCACTTCCTTATTTATGGCTCAGACTTCTTAACTTTGCAGCAAAAGAGCCCCCTTAATCTGATGGGTTTGCCTGTTCAGCTTCAGTTATCATCCCACTTACAGTCAGTTCTGGTTTCTGTAACAGAATACCACAGACTAGGTGGCTTAAGGAAAAATAAACAAACAACAACAACAACAAAAACACATTTATTTCTCACACTTCCAAGTCTGGAAGTCCAAGATCAGGATGCCAGCATGGTCAGGCTCTTCTTGGGGGCCCCCTTCCCAGTTTATACGTGGCTGCTTTCTTGTGACATTCGCACATCATGGAGAGAGAGATCTCTAGCCCCTCTTCCTGTAATGACGCTAATGCCGTCATGGGGTCTCCACACTCATTAACTCATCTAAGCCTAATTACCTCCCAAAGGCCACACCTCCTTATATCATCATATTGGGGATTAGGCTTTCAAGATACAAATTTTGGGGGATCACCAACATGTAGTCCATAAAAATCCTCAGTGTTCCCCATGTCATAGATCACAGGAAATGTCCTGTTCACCCACACATCAGGACTTCTATGTATGTCATCTCTGCTTGTAGTGCCTTTCCTTCCCTATTCTGGAAAAACGTCTTCCCTTCCCTTCCAGAGACACCTCCTCCACAAAGCCTTACCTATACCCCAGGACAGACTCATGTCCTTCTTCCTCCGTGTCCCCATTGAGACTTGCATGCCCTCACCACAGTGCTACTGACACACAACAGCACTGTATGCCCAGTGTCTGCCCCCCGCTTCACAGGCCAGCATCCGCTGAAATGGCCAGGCCTTGTCATTAGTTTATCCCAGGCACCCAGCACAGGTCCTGGCACACAATGTGTATACGTGTGCGCATGTGTGTGTGGTTTATATTGTTTTTATTTCTAATTAACTTGGGTGCAGATGATGAAACATCATAATCTTGATCAGAAGACAACTGAAGGTCTTAATGCAGTCTTGGGGACAGCACCAATTCCACAGAACCCACTCTAGCCAGTGTAATCAGAAAAGTAATTTGTTAGAGGATGTTAGGTAGCTCATGGAATCTCCAGGAGACCAGAGAACCAGTCTCAGAAGGGAATAGACTGAAACGATACCCAAATGACAGTGCCAGACTGTCCCATGGGATCTCTGTGGCTACCATCTCTGGGCTGGAGCACTTCAGATCCTCTCAGTGTATTTTAATAAATGAGTAAGACGATCTGTAGGAATGATTCCTATCTTATAAAGGAGGAAGTTGAGGTGTAACATGATTATATGAATTGCCCACAGCCCCACAAGTAGTAGGTTGTGGGATTGTGTTCTCATGCCTAGATGTCTCCACAATACCACAGCCGCTAAGACATGGTTTGCGGGTGAGCTGGAGCTTCTGAAACTGAGGATCCAGGTACGAGCTCAGATACCAAATCCTGAGCTCCAGAGAGCAGCCAGAGGGCAGGGAGGTAACTGTGGAACACAGGAGGCCATGCCCCCCATCCACGTCACTCCCCTTGGTCACACGGCTATCCCACATGTCACAGCCTCCACTGGAGCGGAGTGGGACTGTGGACTAAGCTTTCTGCTCAATGAAGTGTGAATGCAAGTAAAGTGGGTTACCTTGGGTAGGCACATTCAAGAGCTGGTGTGTCTCCTCCCCTCATCTCATGGCAAGACATAGAGGACCCAGTGGAGGACTGAAGGCTCCAGGGGAAGACAGAGCCATTATACAGGAAGAGGCTTGGCCCTGAGCTGTCATGAGGAGGACTGCCTATCAAAGCCTTGATTGGATTGTGATGTAAGCAGAAAGGAAGTTTATTGTGACTAAAGGCTACACCAGTGAGACTTAGGCATCATCTGTGACAGTTATTAGCCCACTCCACTGCCTCATACTCAAAACCAAGCAGCCAAGCCTCATTATCCCACAGCCTGGGGTGGTGGAGGAAAGTACGGAATAAATAAAGCACCCCAGAGGTGAGATCTATGCCTGCTTTTCCCAGACTCCACCAGCCTGCCTTTCCTGCATGGGGCTGTTTAGCCTCAGCCTTCTGAACATGCCAAGGACCTCAGTCCTGTACGGCAACATCAGGGAGAACACTGAGAGATGTTCCCTCTTCTCCACTTCTCTCTCAGCCTCCCTAGGGAGTTGGCTGATCCATTACCTCTCATCCACTGTCAGGACAGAGCTACCAACTCTTGGTCAGCAGTACCACCGGCCTGCTGCTTAGAGCACAGATGAGGTTCTCTGACTCTGAACGAAGAGGCAAGGCAGGCACAGGCAGGGGATGGAGGTGGATGGGACCACACAGTCTTCTCACAATTTAGTGGGCACATGAGTCACCTGGGGACCTTGTTAAGCTGCAGATTCCGTTTCTGCAGAGCTGAGCGGGGCCTGAGGCGCTGCATTTCTACCCAGCTTCCAGGTGATGCTGATGCTGCTAGTGCGTGAACCATGTGCTGAGTAGCCCGGGCACGTCCCTGGAAAATACACATCCCTGACAGGGAGCACAAGCCTCTTCCCAGATTATTCCACCCTCCAACTCAGGACAGAGGGGTGCCCTTGAAGAGTGTCTAAGAAATTAAGGTGGGAGGGCCCATGGATAAGCAATGAAGCAGTCTGCCTGTAGGCTCCCAGTAAGCGTTTGCATTTGGCAGAATCCACAGCTGCAGGTAACAGTCACACAACTCAAATCAGCTTCAGTAAGAGGGGGTTTGTTTTTCGTTATGAGTAAGTTTTCTATGTGAAAGGCCAGGGGGTCAAAGGAGGCAGTATGAGCATCGGGGCTTTTCAAACTAGAAATGAGGACTTCCTATCACAAGATCTGGGTCTGCCTCTGCATCTCCCTGCCTCCCTGCCTTGCCCAGTCTGTCTCTAACTCTCATGATTGCTGATCTCTCCTTAGCTTCATTCTGAACTCTATAAAGCAAAAAACAAGATGGTCTTGGGTTTACCCTCCATCTATGACATTCTAGAATTTGTTCTGAGTCCGTAAAACACCAGGCTCCAGACAATGTGGCCCCCACAGCCAGAGTTTCAATTTAGTTGTGGATGCATCCCCTTTCTCTTCCCAGACCATCAGCCTCTTCCCATTTCCAAACCAGTCATGCAGCAATCAATTTTTCTCTACGTATAGGTAGCAGAATCGAGAGGGAAGGCATGGAGTGCAGGGACCCCTCTTCTCAGCCTGGACACACACTCTCTCCCTCAGTGGGGCAGCTGGGGGCTTCAGCTCCCCTGCTCTTCCTGCTGCAGGACGGATGCAACAGCTCCAGGGAGGAGTCCGATGCCACCTGAGCCCTCCACAAGAAGGGAGGGCTGAACTCAAGAATACAAGAAACTGTCCCATGCAAGGAAAAGAATATGATAAAAGAGGAGGCTGTACAAAGAGCAAATTCAGGGATCCCTGGACTGGCACTGGCTCAGAGCCAACCTGGCTTTCTCTATGCTGAGCATCCCGGGCCTTGGGCAAAGGAGACTGGGCCTGCTAGATCCATGTGTGAGCTCTACCTTATTCTAGCTGTGTGACTGTGGGGAAGTTACTCAACCTCCCTGAATCTCAGAGAGGCAAGGAGAGCACACTGACAGCCACAAATATATAATGATGATGATACCACATCCCACGGGTGCCTAACACCTTGTACAATCTTAATAAATGTTTGAGAAAAGGAGAATGAAGAAAAGAAGGAGGTAGAGGATGAGAAAAAGGGAATCAAATGGGGAGTAAAAGGCCCAGGTCATGGGTGTGAATAACTAACACATCAGAAGCTGTGAGGGTTTATTGGGTAAAGGGAGGCAAAGTAGTCTTATCAAAGTGGCCCGTGGGATTCCACTCTGCCACACCTTGTCCCTATTGAGAAGTTCAGCTCACTGAATTCCCAGGGACCCCAGGTGCAGGGAGCCTCATAGGACCTGGCAAAGCAGGTGAAGCTGTTCTTGTAATGCATCAAGGGAACCATGAACCTCCCTGGTCCCACTGTGCCTGCCTTGGGCCACCCGCTGCAGTGTGGTTCACTTTCCCCTGCAAACCACACTTATTCAATGTGATAGTAGAGGAGGAGGGGCCTGTTTATGTCACTGCATGACCTGAGGGATGTCACTTAACTTCCAAGAGCCTCAGTTTCCTCATCCTTTCAGTGGAGAAGGGAAAAAGTCCCTGCTCTGCCTACCCCACATTTATGGGAGTAGTTCTAGCACTAGAACTGTGCGCTAGATAAGCAAGTTATTATTGTTACTGCCTCCAGCACTCTCTTTAAATGAAGCATTTCTTGATGCCGTGTTACTACATGCAAAAAAGTCAGCATTGGCTTTTTTCCCCTTTTCTACAGAAAGTTTGGGGCTGGAGGAAGAATGAGGTTGTGTCAGCAGAGGGGGTAGTCTCGGTCTAGCTCAGCTCCAGCTGCACATCAGAGCCTCCTGGGGAGCTTTAAAAGTTGCCAGATGCCCCAGCGCCACCATCAGAAATTCTGATTTAATCCACCTGTGGTTGGGGTTTCGGCTAGTTATTTTTCATATCAACAAGTGGTTTCTTATATTGAGAACTCCTGGGCTCCACAGCAGAGGGAGTGAACATGAATACACCGAAGGAAGAGAACACTCTAAAGATCAGTGTGCAGAGTGATGCCTGACCCCCTACCCTCGAGAGCACGGGCTCATGAACTATGAGAATAAAAAGCGTATGAATCTAGTTTTTAATAGCTTACATCTACTAAATACCTATTACACGTCAAGCACTATGCTTAGCATGTGATGTCCTTTATCCCATTTAATCCTCACAACAGCCTAATGAGGTGGGGACTAGGATCACCCCACGTACAGGTGTGGAAACTGGCAGAGATGACTTTATATGGTGGAACCAGCATCCAAGCCCCACTCTGCCTCACTCTGAGGCCAAACTCTCCACTTGTACAGCATAACAAGCCTTGGAATACAATTTCTTTTCCTGTAAAATGTAAGAATTCTGGGGAATTATTGTCTGTCAGAATCAACTTTGGGAATCCTGGTAGGACATGACCGCATTTGATATACACACACATACCACAGGGTAGGAACCTCTTCCACACTCTTAAAGGGCCATGTCCCATGTTATACCTGGAACTAATAATTCCCAAAATTATTCTCTAGAGTGTTAAAAGGTTCTTGGCTAAGAATAAACATCACTGCCTATAGTACCCCCTCATGGAGACTCACAGTACCTGTCAACCACAGCAAAGGTGATGGATGAGAAGTCCTGCCCTGAGGAAATCTAAGTAGTTCTATTTCACCAAGATCTTTCTCAAGCTTCTTTGTCTACAGAAGCCTTTTATAATGGAATACCTAAAACAGGGCATACTAGTAGCTGCTTCCAATCTTCTTGGATCCCCAGATCAAAGCTTCCTTAAAATCTAGAAGACGGGGCATCCTATTATCAATGAACCAAGTACAGAACAAAGGCTAAAGCTATTGTCACCCTCCAGACATACCATGTCCTGCCTCTCAAGGGGGTCCACTGAGCTGGGAGGGATGCACCTGAACCAGCAAGGAGCTGGCCCAGTGGAGCAGGAAGTACTGTCATCCAACAGCCAGGTGAGTCCAATTAGAGAACGATAAAGCCACCATGGAAACTTGCACCTTGCCATTTACTTTAAGGCTATTGCTCTGCACTCTTCAGGCTATCTGTGGGGTTTAGGAGTTAATATTCATTTGCACATCATGAAAGGACTAAATTAGAGACATGAAGAAAGACAGAATGCTCTGACTGAGCCTGTCACACACTTTTCAAGGCGAGATCATTAGAGGCAGTCACTGCCACCCATGACTTCACCCAGCAAAGCTCCTTAAACCCTTACCCTGTGCAGGCTCCAAAGATAATGCAGTGAATCAGATTCAACCACTGCTTTCCAGGTGCTGAAATCAGATTCAACTACTGCTTTCCTCCTCATGGCTTACGAGGAGATGCAACAGTTATGATTTTGAATCCGTATAAATGGGGATATGGGCAAGGGCTCAAAGGAGCCTGGAGAACACAGAACCTATATCTAACTAGTCCCAGTGCAACACACATTTACTGGACATCATCTATGTCCCAGGTGTTGTCTGGACACACAGGGAAAGAGACAAGAAAGATATAGTCCCTGTTGAAAGACAAAGGTGTCTTTGGTCTTATAAGCTTCAATGCCCACACCTTTCCTCAAACAGAGTAAAGCATTTCCTCTTCCAAACTCTGGAATTCCCTTCCATGATGCTTCTCACACCATAATGAATCTGTTAGGATGCGTTTTCCCATCTGGGCAGCAAGCTCCCCAAGGGCTGGGCCCTGCATTACCCATGTTTGCATAACTAGTGCATCCCTTAGCAACTGCCTAGAAGAGAGCAGATGCTCAACAAATGCTTTTTGAAATGAAAAGATGGGTTTCAGGGGAAGGGAAGCTTATACATGAAATTATTATACGGCCACTCTGATGCCTGCCCTTAGGTAAAAAGCACCAAGGCATTTATTCAATGGACAGAGAACAAGTATTTAAGGAATGAGTACAGCGAGTAGGGAGAGATCGAGAAAGCCTTCGCGGAAAAAGCTGCATTGGAGATGGACATTAGCAGATGAGCAGACTTTCAACAAACCAATGCTAAGGGAGAGAAAAAGGAGGAATTCTGAGAATGAATAGTAGGAACAAAGCTGAGGGGCCAGTGGGGAAAGAAAGCCTTCGGGAAAGAGTGAATTGTATATTACGGCAGAGTTAGGCTTTGCACCATGAAGAATTGGAAACTGAGCCTCGAAATGCAGATTGGCAAGACAATAGAGAGCCATTGATGGACTGGGACAAAGTAGTGACATATTGAGAGCTGTGTTTCAGACAGGGCCATTTGGTCATGGGAATAATGGGGATGGAAGAGAGAGAGGAGCTGGGGAGGAATCAATTAGAAATAACCATTCTGAGTAGGCCATTGTATTCCCTAAATAAACTGCCAGCCCCCCAAGCTCCACTGCCTAGGCCCCAGAAGAGTCATTTTGGCATCAGGATAGCTCCCTTCCTTTGGCCATCAGGACCTATAAATAGCCACATAAAGGTTTCTGCCCCCAGCTCAGCCACAGAGGCTCCAGGGCTGAGCTGTCACCCTCCAGGACCTGAGCAAAGCCAGCCCTGACTTACCCCTGCCTGGGCACGCAACCATTCCTGGGGGGAAGCCAGCTTGTGGTCTGCTGACAGCAGGGACATCTTCCTGAGCCTAAACCCTGTCCACAAATGCTCTAGAGATATTTCACACTCTACCACAAAAACAAAGGAGAAATATTTCAGTCTGTGGCTCTGCGTGCCTTTCCTTTAATCCCACTGAGACCCAGGGTCTGCTGGGCAGGGGCCATTGCCGAGGCCCCCTGTCCAAATGGGACCAGATAAACAAGAGGCCCTGAAAGGTCTGAGAATCTGGATCCCAGCGTGTGAAAGCCTGAGTGCTGGCCCACTGACGAATTACCTTGGGTCTAGCTTCTCCATTCTTCTCTGAGGGACATTTAGGAACTCTGGTCTCTCTTGGGGCAGTGGGACGGGGACATTTTGGAAACTTTTGTGACAATTGTAGGTGCTGTCCTGGAATTTGAGACACCATCTCTTATGCCCTATAAGTTTGATCTCTGGGCTTTCTACAGGAGGATCATAATGCCTCTGCAGGGGACACAAGAATGTAAAGCCTGGCTAACCTCAGCTGGGATCTCAACTTTGCCACTTACCAGAGTATGGCTTCAGAAAAGTGCTTTAACTTCCTTGAGTTTGAATCTCCTAGTGTGTCCGGAGTTGGTTCCTCCCGGTAAGTTCGTGGTGTCGCTGACTTCAAGAACGAAGCCGGGGACCTTTGTGGTGAGTGTTACAGCTCTTAAAGGTTGCGCAGACCCAAAGAGTGAGCAGCAGCAAGATTTATTGTGAAGAACAAAACAACAAAGCTTCCACAGCGTGGAAGGACAGGTAGACGGGTTGCGGCTGCTGGCTGGGGATGGAGTGCGAGCCGGGTGGAGGCCAGCTTTTATTCCCTTATTTGTCTCCGCCCATGTTCTGTTTTTGTCCTATCAGCGTGTCTTCAAGGGTCTTTCTTTTTTCAATCCTCCCTGCAACTGGCTACTTTTAGGATCCTGCTGATTGGTGCGTTTTACAGAGCACTGATTGGTGCATTTTACAGAGTGCTGATTGGTGCGTTTTACAGAGCACTGATTGGTGTGTTTTACAGAGTGCTGATTGGTGCATTTTACAATCCTCTTGTAAGACAGAAAAGTTCTCTAAGTCCCCACTCGACCCACGAAGTCCAGCTGGCTTCACCTCTCACTAGCCTGCAAAATAGGAATAACAACTACCTTCCCTACCACTGTGGGCTGTTGTTAGGTAACAAGTGTGTGTGTAGGTGTTCTTTATAAGCTGTGAAGTCTCAGGTAAAAAATCAGGCCATACTTCAACCATCCATCCTGGAAGCCTGTGCTCAGCTGACCTCTGTAGACAGTGAGGGTAGGGCTCCCTAGAAGCACAGTCTCCTCCACAGAGGGACCTAGGCCCCAATCTAACCCATCGCGGCCTGTTTGGGGTCACCCCAATTTAATACCACATCTCCCTCTTTCATTGTGAGAGGGAACTGAGATGATATATGTAAAGGCAGAAGAGAACTACCAAGTATTTATTACTTACTGTTAGCCAGACTCAGTGTTGGGCATCAATTATCTGATTTAATTAAATGTTCATACTGACTCTGGGATTGATAAATAGATGTATGATATGATATAAATACATATGATTGATTTCCCATTTTAGAAGCAATGAAAGGGTATGAACTCAGATTTCTTTGCCTTCAAGCGTCTTTCTTTTTCTTGGTTATTTTCTACTTTTATTTTTGTGGTGTAGGGGAAGGGGTAGTGTCCCTGGGTGGGTGGGGGGCAGAGCCATGGCAATGCTCGGTAAATGGTTCTTTCCTCTCACCTAAAAAAGGTGCTGGGAGAAGCTACACCCCTGGGAATCCCTCATGCTCTGGAATTGGCCCAGGGTCAGGCTGTCTCTGTTGAGCTGGCTACAGAACATCAGTGCATTCTCCCAAGAGCAGCCCTGGCTCTGAGCTGTGGGACAGAAGCCCAGGAGGCTGACATTCACACGCATGGCCACAGGCCAGGGTACCAGTGATGCCAATGAGCCTGGTACTCACCTGGCTTGAGGAGCCTTCGTAGGGCCTGGCACCAGCAGGTGAAACATTCTTGTGAGGCAGCCAAGGAAACCCACAGCTTCCCTGGGCCTCACTGTGTCTGCTAAGGGCCACCTGCTGTATGCAAAGTGATTTCTCCTGCAAATCACACTTATTTACACCTAAGGTCAACTAAGTGACATAGGGGTTTTACATCCCAATTTACAGGTAAACCAGTGGTTCTCAACTGAGGACAGTTTTGCCCCTCAGGAGATACTGGGTAATGTCTGGAGCTTTGCAGGGTGAGGGGTGTGGGAGGAGCACTTCCAGCCAGGGATACTGCTAAGCATAGTGTAATGCACAGGACACTACAGTTTGTCCAGCCCCCATCACAAAGAATCCTGTGGCTCAAATTGTCACTAGTTCCAAGACTGAAAAACCCTGAGAGAAGGAAACTAATTCTGAGAGATACTTACCAAGTTCACATAGCTGATGAGTGCTACAGTCAGCTTCCAGGTACTGATTCTCTAATTCAGAAGCCAGCATCCCTTCTTTATATCTGTAATGGTTAATGCCCCCTTGAAGTCTGAAATGCCCCAAAAGGAAATGCTGTGAAGCCTTCTAGAGTCATGTTGTAGTTGGCATCAGAGGTTTGGGGGTGAACAATGATTTAATTGCATTTGAAATGTTGTAAATGGTCACTTCTCTCTGTGACCGCCCTATCACCCTCAGGCACAACATCCATCTTTAAGTACTAATGGTCTTGTCAAATGCCCCAAAGTCCCCAGAAAGGGGCCACATTGTCCTCTCACCAGAGCTGGACAGTCACCTTTAACCAAGTCCATCCGGGCAAGTTAGATATCCATGCCTGTCCCCAAGAGAAATAATCCAGGTCAAGTCCCTGGCAAAGAGTAAATGCACAATGCAGGAAGGAGAGAATGGAAGGAAGAGGAATGGGAGTGCAGCCATCGTAGAGATGAGGCTGGAAGCACCAGCAAAGCCCAGGCCACAAGTGCCAGAGAAACCTAGAAGGGAGACTTTGCCCTGAGTCCAGTGATGAGACATGGAGAAGTTCTAGGTCAACAAGTTATGTGATTACTTTCTCAATGCCAGTTTGCACCACATACTCCAGAATCTGTTTCTATTTGCGCCAATCCCAAGATTAATCAGGTCTGACCTCAGGAAGGAAACCCTCTGCTTATGACCACTCTCGTAGACAGACATGCAGCCAGTCATTTCTAGGAGAGGGAGCTCACAGTCAAACTGCACTCCTTACTCTGAATCCTGGGGCCACCCCCTACCTTCGCCCACCCATACGTAGGCAGTACCTCCTTGGGCCCCTTCAGTTCATACCCCTCACTCTGCCAAAAATATAATAATAGTAATGCCTTGAACTTTGGAATTCTAATTTTCTGAACAGCTATAGCCAACCACAGGTCATTACTAAAAGACTGGTGACTGTAGAGTGACATTTGAGACCCCACAGACAGGCTTGTCAGAACTCCAAAGCCAAATGGAATGCTTTGCTAGAAGTGGAGGCTCTTTCTGCTAGATAAGTTGGAAAGCTCTTAATTAATAATTCCAAAACAGAACTTCACAACTTCTCTGAGTTCTGGCCAGCAAAGCCCAGCCAGCGATGGCCTGGTCAGCCTACACCAAAAATTGCACTTGTCTTCCAACTGTGACCAAGCAGTCCCAAACAGGCCTGCCTGCTGGCAGCTGAATCACTGAAAGCAGGAACATGGCATAGAAGATGAGCTAGAGATAGAAAGTGGCTGAGGACCAAGTCTAGGGCTAGCATCTTCGTAGGAGAAGATCAGTCAGCAAACCTAGCACTAGGTTTGGCTTCCAACTCTCCAGACTGCTGGTTCTCTTGCTAGTAGTTTTCAATCTTGGCTGGGCATTAAAATTAACCTGGTAAGCTTTTAAAGTCCTGATGCCTGGACATCAACCCAGACTTCTCTGTGGCGAGACCCAGACATCTGTATTTTTTTACAGCTCCCCAGGTGATTCCAATGTGCAGCCAAGGTTGAGAATCATAGACTTAAATCTTCCCTTTACACCTTGATTAATTCTTTCAGCACAGGATGATGAAGTTTCCCACCACCTGAAATATTGTTTATAGTCTACAGTCAGTAATTCACATCAAGGACTTGCACTCCACAAATATATGATTAAAAGGTGAAATATCCACTAAAGGCAGGACTTGTATTTTAAATAATAATAATATTAATAGTAAAACAATCAAACAGAAGCCATTCCTTTATAGTATCTTTCATATCTAAACCATCCTCAACCAGGATGCTGCCAATCATTATTCTAAAAAAAATAATAATGTGGTCATGTCATTGAGAATGCTCAATAGCTCCCTATTGCCTGCGTCAATCAAAAAACAATTATAAGCACCCCCACCAACTGAATGGAGCCCTCTTGGCCAAGAGGATCCTGGAGAAACCTGAAAAACTAGTTCAGGCTGTCATGACAGGGCAGGAGTCAGACAAACCTAGTTATACCCTCCTCCTTTGGAGTCTAGGCACAGCTGACCAGCATTAACATTAAAACAAAGATTATAAGACTGACAAAGCAGACTCTTTGTAGCAATAACATACTAAACTCCAACTTGACTCTGACGTAACATCACATGACAGCAGGCCCTGAAGGAAATCTCAGTATTTTACCCCAAAATACATTTTCTTTGACTTATTTTGAAATGGCCCTGCAAAGCCATCTCTTATGGGGAAAATTTGCATTCTGTAGAGAATCCCTTTCCCCTTCCACATATCTTCTTGATCCAGGAGAGATTTTACTAAGAGTCTGACACCTTTTAAGAGACATTTACTATCCATTATCTCTGAAGCCCCTTACCTAGAGGCTTTATCTACATAACAAGAACCTTGGCTTCCACAACCCTACTTACTTAATTCAATGATTTCCTTATGCTGACTTCAACTCTTGAGGCAAAGCTTAATTCTTTCAATCAATTGCCAATCAGAAAATCTTTGAATCCAATCATGACTTGGAAGGCCCCCTTCCCTTTGAGATGTCCCATCTTTCTGGGCTGGACAAATGTGTTACTTACATTATTGATTTATGTCTTTGCCTGTAACTTCTGTCTCCCTAAAATGTATAAAACCAGGCAGTACCTCAACCACCTTGGGTACGTGTTCTCAAGACCTGTGTCATGAGCCGTGGCCACTCATATTTGGCTCAGAATAAACCTCTTCAAATATTTTGGAGAGTTTGGCTTTTTTCATCAGCACAGACAATACTCAAACATAGTGGGCCTCCCTCACAGCCTGTCTCTGGCCTGCTCATGCAGCATTGTCTCCCAAGCCCACATTTTGCATACTCTGGACCCACCTGTCTTGTAACTTCATTGGCACATTTCCCTGGCCCTGGAAGATCCTCACCTGCTCTTTTCACTTGTTATATTCTACTCCTTTTGAAGGCAGAGCTAAAATGCTACCTTTCCCATGAAGTCTTTCCAATCCCCCTAGAAGGAATGAATCACTCTCGCTCCCTCTGCACTAGCTTCCCCTGCCATGCACAGTATAGATAATTCTTTCATGACAGTTCTAATTAAAATTATTTGTTTGTATATCTGTAACCTTCTAAAAATATGAGATTCCACTGAGAGCAGGGGACATGCCATATCCATCCTGGACAAAACAGACAAAATGAATGAATAAGTGGACATCAGGTTGAATTAACTGCACATGGTAGACATGTGATTGATCCTCCACAATTGAGACTTTAGCCAATATGTGCTATTTGATTCCAAGATGCTTTCCCAGCAAACAGACTGAATTATATTTTCCCAGGAAGGTAGCTTTAAATCCATCAACTGAAATCATCATTATCCACATTCCATGTTAATTCTCTAGGTTTGTTAGCATGCCAGATAATTAGTGTCCCTGTGGAGGCAAGGCAGAGAGCAGGTTGTGTGGAGGAAACATCTCATTTGTGGACCATCAGGTGGAGGGCTCCTGGGCACAGTCTTCTTTGTGTCCGTTGGGTGTTTCTCCCCTCTGTAAGCTCCACCCCACATCACTTTTGTCTTAGTCTGTTCAGGCAGCTATAATAGAACACTATAAATTGGGTAGCTTACAAACAACAGATTTATTTCTCACAGTTCCAGAGGCTGGGAAGTCCAAGCTCAAAGTGCTGGCAGATTCAGTGTCTGGTGAAGGCTCGTTTCCTGATTCATAGATGGTGCCTTCTAGCTGTGTCCTCATGTGGTGGAAGGAGGGGTGGGTCTCTCTAGGACCTCTTTATAAGGACACTAATCTTACTCATGAAGGCTTCACCCCCCATGACCTAATCATCTCCCACAGGCCCTACCTCCTAATACCATCAGCTTGGGGTTAAGATTTTAAAATATGAATTTAGTGGGGGACCCAAACATTTAGACCCCTTTGCACCCACAAGTCCCACCTTCTAGAGTCAAAGCCAGTGAGCTGTTGAATTATCTAATTATCCAGGGAAATGCAAACTGGGAGCAGAAGAATACGAAACTAACTCCTCCGAGCAGAAGCTCTTCTTCATGCACCCCACCTAGAAAGGCAGAATAGGGGAGTGCACGAGACCATGAGCTGTGAGACCTTGTCAATTGCCTTCATCTTTTGTACCTCAGTCCTCAATACAGAATGAGAGGAGTAAAAGTACCTCCCCGATTGTGTCCCTGGGAGGATGCAATGCATTAAAACACATGCGGTGCTTTAAACATTGCCTGGCACATAGCCAATGCTCAGTAAATGTTTTACCTTCATCATTAATTCAGGTAGTTTAATTAAATGAAATCCACATGTGAAGTTTTCCTTTGCTGCCCCACCTCTCCCACTCCCACTGAGGAGGGTCTGCTGCATGAATTCCCTGGAGATCCACACATGGAAGCACAAGCATTGGGTGCCAATTAAGAAAAAGTGCCAGGGAAGAGACAAGATGAGAAGGGGCAGGCTAAATGATTAGGATCCTTACACTGGACACTTTCTGAGCTGCCTTATGCCACATGGTCAATGCTGTCACTGCCCTTCTCCACCAACCCTAGTGCCTGCCACCTCTGCTCCAGCTCTGCCCAGGCTCTGGACTAGTGAGAGAACCACATCTGAGCAATAAAGAGTCCCACCATGGGATATCACGGGATCCAGAGGAGTCTAGTTGCCTTGACTACGGCTGAGTGGAGTCCTACCAACCTTCGCTCTCTCCTTTCACCCACAGTCATTCTTTCAGCCATTGTTCGACTCTAGTGAATACCTTATCCCTTGTCCATCTGAGAATTAATCATCCCTCAAAGTCCACCTAGGCAATGATCACACAACCCAATCCTCTGAAAACCAGTAATTAAAGGATAGGAATAAGCATCTATCTTGCTTACATAGGAGGAACTGTAGTTTTTCCCCAGTTGATGAGTGAAAATTCTTCCTTATAATACAATGTCAGCTGATACATGTAGAATGATAGAATTGGGAAATCACTATTTTGAAACCTCTAATGAAATTACTGATTCAGGTTCAAATTTTAGCACAAACTGAATGTTTAAAGGTATTGTGGTGTCATCTGACAAATGATGGGAGATGATTTGAAGATGGGAGAGGAGGCAATGGAGCTACCTAGCAGTTATTATCTTAGCCAAATGATCAAAAACTAGCATCTCTAGTGAAAGATCTAGCATCTCTATTGAAAGAAATTCTCAGTTTGGACCTGAATCTCACCATGTTTTTAAATCTAACTTCTACTTTATGAAAAATACAGGGAAGGGAGGAGCAAATTAAGTGATACCACATGGAAATAAACAGATAGATTCATATGTGGGATCATTGTATAGGAAAACTGGTTTGTTTTCTTCCAAAAGTCAACACTAAACGATGTATGAATAGCAGCATTATTTATAATTGCCAAAAAATGGAAATGACTCAAATGCCCACTAACTGATGAATGGATAAATAAAACGTGGTATACGATGAATGCGTAAATAAAATGTGGTGCATCCATAGAGTGGAATATCATTTGATAATAAAAAGAAAAATATGAACACATTCTAAAACATGATTAAACCTTGAAAACATTGTACTCAATGGAAGAAATCTATCACAAAATGCACATACTACATGACTGCATTTATACAAAATATCCAGAATGGGAAAATCTATAGAGACAGAAAATAGATTAATGATCACCTAGAACTGGAGGGGGGGGGATTGATGGAAATTGGGGAAGCAGGGTGATTGATAATGGGTACGGGGTTTCTTTCTGAGGTAATAAAAATGTTCAAAAATTCAGAATGCCTTGAATGCACTTAATACCATTGAATTGTACACTTTATATGGGTGAATTGTATGGAATGAGAATTACATTTCAACAAAGCTATTTTTAAAACTCTGTGTGTGATGTGGATTGGGGGGGTGAGCTTTTTCATTAAAAGAGACAAAATAACCAAATGCAACACATGAATCTTGATTGTATCTTCAATGGGTCTTGAATTTTAAAAGTTAGAAAACTGTAAACAAGTTTTGGGGACAATTGGGGAAATTTGAATATGAATGAAGGGCAGGCTGGTAGCAGCCAGAGTGCACACAAGGAGGGCACCAGAGCGAAGGAGAAGAGGGCATCCAAGCGGAACAGAAGCCCAGTGGGATAGGAAGACGGGCGCCATTCAAGAGAATTGAGTGTAAGTAAATAACCTGAGGGTAACACGACACAGGTTTCCTACTGCTAGAGAAAGCGGGGACCAATATGGAAGGAGGAAAAGCCAGAGTGAACCCTGTGCTGTTAGACTGGAATAAGCGGCATCTGTGTAAATTCCTGGTTTGAGATGTACGTGTAAATGTAGATGTAACTATCCTAGCTCTGTCCACTGAGAAGGTCTGGAAGCAGCTACACCCTAGTAGTACTGAGCATACCTACAACTCAGATCTTGGTTCTAAATAGCATTTCCTGTTCAAATGAACCAAGATTTGTTAGAGAACTGGCTGATTAAAGGGCTGAGGAAGGAAATGAAGAAAATGAACCTGAACATCTAGCTGCACAAGAAAGAAAAAAAACTTTCAAAAAATACAGGGAAATGTCAAAAGCACACAAAGTCAGCTGGAAGGGGTTCCCAAATGTGGGAAAATTTGAGTTTCAAAATAAACAATATTATCAGACTGTAACCTATTGAATAAAATAGAAATCTATGAGTCTACACCAATGTAAATAAATAAAGAGAAAAAAGAGAAAGCTCTTCTGTATTTCAGAAAACCAACTAATAAATGTAGAAAGGATGATGGAATTCAAAAACCATCATTTGGCAAGGTTCATTGTAATAATTCAAGCAAGAGAAATCAATGGATGATAAAACCAGAGGGTGAGACAGTAATAAGAAATGGAATTTTACATAGTCTCAAAGTATCTCCCCAGAAGAGACACCTTCATCAAGTGATAAAACACTATCAGTATTAGGACAAATAGATATTGCATGCCTCCAGATAGGCTATGATGAGAATTCTGCATCAGTTTTGTGAAATTCCAGCCAAAAAATCATATCTGGTGTCTTCAAGAGGAAACATTGAACAAACCAAAATTGAAGATCATTGTGCAAGATGACTGGCCTTGAATTATTAAAAAAAAAAAATCCAGTACATGAAAATCAAGGTAAAACAGAAACATTGTAAGAATAAAGACAGAGTAAGGGGAACCTTGACAACTGGGAATAAGGAGTGGTCCTGGATGGACTCCTTTAGCCATGAAGGACCTTAGTGGACCACTGTTGAACTTCTGGGTGAGGGATACACAGGAATTCTTCAAACTAGTTTTGCAACACCTATATGTTTGAAATTGTTTCCAATTCTTTTTTAAAAAAAGAATAAAATTTAGCTATTATCTCCTTTTGGAAAATTTTCAGAGCCTACCATGTGTTACCTCTGGACCTTGGGCAAACTTTGGTTATTTTGTGTAAAGTAATCTTTTATTTACTGTTTAGCTTCCCCACTAAACCACGAGCTCCTTGAATGTCTAGACTGGGTATTATTCTTTTCCACTTCTCTCGAGCCTAGCACAATGTCTAGAACATAGGGAACATCAGTAAATGTTTGTTAAATCCATGTGCTGGGCAACTCATAACCCTGGAGATTGGCTGGTAGATTCCTGGACATGCTAAGCGTTGGTAAATTCTTGCAGACATAAAACTGAAATACGCCTCTCTGCAAACCAGAGAGCATCTGTCTGCCCTGCAGCAATGAGCTATGTGTCCTGCCTGAAACAGTGTTCTGCATGTAAGGGGCACATTGCCTGAAATCATAGCCTCCAAGAAATGGTGTTCTTGCCTCATTGCTCTGGGGGGAACAATGGCCCCTGTTTGTTTAATCTCAGCCCATTGTGGCAGCCTTGACTGCACAGAGCTCACCTGTGATTCATGTGAATGTCACTTGAGCTCCCAGGAGTTTGCAGCCATAATTCAACATTTTGTTAATAGCCACTTAAAATGTCCCTGAAATAGCTAACAGGCCCGGGGGAATGAAGTATTCTGCTAGGAAATCATTCCAAGAAAGCCATCTTGGCCCAAACTTTAGAAGATTCTATTACTTCCAATGCCTTCTTGCACTCTGTGAAAATACAAATGGGCATCTCTCAGGGACACCAAGGAAAAAGTGGAAACTGAAATTACCTACACATCATAGTGGGCATGCTGGAGACCCTGCCCAATCACTCCTGCTCCAAGAGAGGCCCCTCAACTGCTATATCCCGTGAGGAAGGGGAAATACAAGGGAACACAGTCCAGAGTATTCCAAGAAAAAAACCCTTTTCAGAGAACAGAAAGAAAGAGACAGAAATACATATAGTGCTGGATTAGAAGTCAAAAAGTTTGTGCGTAGGTGGGGATGACAAGAGAGAGAACGGTGAGAAAAATCTCACATAGGTTGAGGCCTACTGTGCTATGTAGTTTACAAATTATTTAATTCTCCCCAAATCTAATTAAACAACATACTCAGGGTCATCAAAGTTGTATACAATTGTAGTGTATAATCATTAGGTCATTCAGATAGTATATGAATCAATAAATAGTCTCTCTCCAGAGCTCCAGCTCTTATTCACTGCCATTTGCAAATTTGTCAATTACAGCAAACTTGGGCTGGACATTCAAAATCAAGTCACTGATTCAGAGGCAGAAGTTGAAGCTCTCAATGCTGACCTCTTGCCACCTGCTTCCTGAAACATATCTGTTTGCTATAAAGTTATCATTTCTTCCACCTAGAGTGAGATTTAAAATGGAGAAGTGGAGGTGGAAAGAGCTAGTACAGCAGAATCACATGCACACCTGGATAGGGATACTCATTTCCTCATGTGAGACCCCTGAGCCCACTAGTTGGCAACTTGGAGAAATGTCAAGTGTTACCCTGGCAAGAAGAGACTTCTCCAGGTTCTCTACATTCCTGAAGCAAGTGCTATAGAATGGCTTGGCACTCCACCTGCACGTTCCCAAGCACAGAATCAGGGTAAGAGAGAATGAAGAATTAGTGCAGACTGGCAGAGCTGGAAGGTTAGGAGTATCGTAATTATATGCCCAGCTCTCAGAGTGACTGGCCTGATTTCATTCAGCTCAGCCCTGCACAAAAAAAGCATGATGTCTTCACAGAGAACCCCTAAAGGGAATCAGAAAGCATGAACTCTAATCCCTAATGGTGCCACTTTCTTACTGAGTGACGTTGTGCCAGTCACTAAGCTTCTCTGAGCCTAACCTATGTTCAACTGTGAAATAGACATATTGGTACATGCTATGGTTTGAATATATATAGTATGTCCCCATAAAAACTCATGTTGAAGCTTGGTCCCAAATGTGATGGTGTTGGGAGGTGGTCCCTTTAAGGGGTGATTACATCATTAAGATGAATTAATGTCTTTCTTGCTAGACTGGGTTACTTCTTGTAGGAATGAATTAGTTCCCATGAGAGCAGATTCTTATAAAGCAAGGTTGCCTATTGTGTTTTGCCTTTTTTGCATGCATCTGGTTCCCCTCCCATTTCTCTGCCATGTTTTGATGCAGCACAAGGCTCTCAGCAGACCTTTTCTTTTGATGAATATTCAGGTGGTTTCTGGGCTGATGTCATGCATCTTTGGAGATGCTGGTTTCAATGGGAGTACAGCCAGAACACTGGGCGTCAAACTTGTGAATGAAACTTTGCCTTTTCAGGGAAAGATGGGCTTAGGATCTTATAGTCATGATGTTTGCATATCACAAGCACCATGTCTCTGGGATCTGGGCATATGTCTGTAGTAGGCCTGACTTTCCAGAAGCTTCCAGATGTGGCTGCTCAGTGTTGAGTTTCACATCCTGCAGAACCATAAGTTAACTAAACCTCTTTTTTTTTCTTTTTATAAATTACCCAGTCTCGGGTATTCTGTTATAGCAACACAAAACAGACTAAGACTAAGACAATACATTTTCCACTTTCAGAGTTATTGTGAGGATCAAATAGCATCTTAGAAAGCATTTAGGATATAAAATCAGATACCTCATTCATATCCTGCTTCCACCAATTACAAGATAAGTGACTGTAGGCCAATTCTTCCACTTTTCTAAACCTCAGTTTTTTCCATACAAAAAAAAGATATGTCAACTATTATATATTTCACTTGGCTGTTGTGAAGACCAAATGAAGTATTCCATGTAAAGTGCATAGAACAGTGCCTGGGATACAGTATGTGCTCAGAAAATGTTAGCCATTATTAACAGGTTTTGTAAGCTACACAATGATGAACAAATAAAAGAACTTTTATTTGTGACAAGACCTGCATGTCTATAGTAGCTTAGGCTCAACTATAATAGCAGGAGCTGGGTCCCTGGCTTGATCACAGCCTCATTCCCCATACTTTCTGGGGACTTCCTGATACTACACTGTCAATATAGATTTCCAAAAAATCGTCTTGCTCCTGGATCTCCTGTCACTATGTTGTATCACCAGCTCATCTTAGTAATAATAATAGTAACAACAGTAACAAAACAGCTGACATTCCACATCTGGGATAACTTTTAAAGTTTTACTTATATTATTTCACTCAATTGCTGCAAACAATCCTATGGGGTACCAGTATTATTATTATTATTTAATAGATGAGGATATTGAAGTCTGGAGGTGTTAAGTAATTTGTACAAGGTCAGGGAAACCTGGAACCTACACCTGTCTGGCACTAAATTCCATGATTGTACCACGAGGCCAAAATACCTCATTATGTTATTATCTCAAGTGCCAGAGCTCTTCATTCTTCCAACATTTGCCAAGCTCCCCAAGCTCAGATATCCCTTTGTTGTCTGTTATCAGTGCTCCTGGGCAGGACATTCTCTCTGCCAGATTAGCCTCCTTCCAAACTCCTATAGCTGGGTCTATCTCTAGCCATACTAAACCTAGAGTTATCTCTAGTCCATAAACCTCTCAGTCTCTGCAGCCCTCCACATGGAACCCGGCCATGCCCAACCACAACCCAAGATTTGCTCTCTAGGGTTGGCTCTAGCTCCCAGAATTTATGACAAATTCCTCTGGGAACTGCCTCTTGAGGAGCCATCCATACACACTTTAGGATGCCCAGGTCATTTAACAGCCCCTTCAATCCTTGGCTTCCACCAGCCACCCACTTCCCACACTTTCTCTGGATGAACTGAAATATCCACTCTTTTGTGTCTACAGTCTCATATGGCACCATTCTTATTCCTGACTTCTGAGACACTTAGCTTCAAGACTACACAGTATTGGGAAATGGGGTGATTCTGCAGTCTGGATGTGCTGGATTGCATCTATTATCAGTTTTTTTTCCAGTGCTATCTGCCAATGTCCCTCACCTCTGACCCCAACTATCTGTGCAGGAAGGAAATAAAGACTCTCAGAGTTGGAAGTAACTTTAGAGGTCATTAAATCCAACCCTTTACCTGACATTGATCCACATCTGCAGCATTGCCAATAAGCAATTGTCTGGCCTCAGCTAGAGCTGATGGCAGGGTACAGGGTGCTCTAGACTCCTAGGACAACTCCTTCTAGTCTGCCGATATCCACTTATCTAAACTTTTACCCACACATTGGTGCTAGCTCTGCTCCCTGGCTTCACACAGAGAAAGTCACATTCCTCTTCTCTATGATTGCCTTCGAAGTGTTTTAAAACAGCTCTCATATTGCCCGTGAGCCACCCACTTCGCTTTTCATGCTAAGCTGTCTGAGTTCTTTCATACGCTCCTCATCGCTCGTGGTTTCTGTGACATATGAGGAGCATCACCTCTGGTCAGCCATACATCTCTCACTGCCTTCTACTTTATTGATGGGCCCAGGACACTGCCAACATCAAATGCATAGCCTCCTCTTCATGGCTTGAAGCCAGGCTGATGCACATTCAGGAAGAAATGGAAGTGAAGGCTGGTAGAAGGGTAGGAAAGGGAAGTTTTCAGAGAGAGCAAACTTAGGAAATGAGAATGCAGGTGCTGATAAAAGTGTATGCTAGAATGTGAGCAGCTGAGAGTCACGTAACAGCTGGGAGAATGGGTATGGCTCAGCTCTTCGGAGAAGGGAAACCTTGGGAAGGGCTTTCTTTGGGCAAACAACTCTAAGGGGAACAAACCAGCTGTGCTTAGAGTAGTGAATCCCAATCAGAGAGATGCTCATTTGAGTTATGAGGGCCACCCTTGGGAATTGTTATCGCCGTCTTGAGTTGAAAACACAGATTTTGAAAGTCCCAGGTTTAAAAGATTTTTGAAAAAGGTATTTTTTTCTTTCTAAACCAGACTTAGGTCCACATGCCTAGACTATTGTCCATGTTACCATATGGATAAAAAAGCTAAAACTAATCAATACACAGGTTGGGTTCCCTATCAGAGCCTGAGATGGCACACCTTCTACAGGTGATTTATTGAGGGAGTGTTCTCATAAAAAGCCTAGAAGCGGGAAGGGGAAGGTAGGGCGGGGGAAAAGGTAAGCATGAATGTGGTTTCAGGAGAAGTCCAGCTCAGCCTGATCCCACGGGAAACACTGAGTGTAAACTGCACCACAATGTATTCCATCTTGAGGTGAGATGACTGGCATTTCCTAATCCTGTCAGTCAGTCACTGGCCACTGGCTGCCCCCAGGTGGTGGGGAGGTGAATAACTTCCCAGGTATCTCCAGAAGAGGCAGCACCTGTCAACCAAGGGCCAGCCTCCCCACGAAGGGGACTGATTAAGCTGTTATGTGCTCTACCTACAGGTGCAGTAAAGAGGATCTGGGCTGACCAACAGTGTCTTCCACAGATACACTTGCTAATTCACGCATGGAAGACCCAGAGTGTATCACTCCCCTCAACTGCTGGACTACTGTGCTGCAAACTTTGAGTCAGAATGATGAGCTTCAGTCAGGCATATCATGGCTCCTGAACAGGATTTTGAGAGCAAGATTCTGTGCCTCCCTCATCCTGCTGCAGCCTCTCAGTGCATCTAGGTGTTTCTGCTTCCATTGTACATATCTATCAAAATAAAATTGTTATAATTAAACAAACAAATAAATAGATAAATAGATCTGGTGGCAAATGAGCAGCAACTCCTCCCCACTCCCAACATAAGTTAAAGTTTGAGTTTCAGCAACAGATGTAGGATCAGAAAACAAATGTTTAATATGTTCTGTTGCATTAGAGCGGTACAGGTTGGCAAGTCCTTAGAAACCACCTAATTCCACCCCTTCATTTTACAGATAAGCAAACTGAGGCCCATTGAGGCTTATTACCTTCCCAAAGGTTGTGCAACTAAATCTACAGAGGTCATAAATCCAGGCAAATACGTTGCTTCTGTTTTATATGCTTAATTTCTTCTGAGCATAAATTTCAATGGCTACTGAGGCAATCAATAGAGAATATATCGAAATCAGAAGAAAATAAGTACTGGGAGATGGAAAGATGCTTCAGCATCCAAAGAATGGCACTTTGGGGAATGCTGTCCTCAAATAAAGCCCAACCTGATAAACAGGCTTTTATCAGAGAATTTCAATTTATCAAATAATAACCATGTAGTATTTCTGAGCATTGGAGACAGCTGCTATCCAGCAACCCCTAAGCCCAGTCTGTATGGTTTTAAGTCAAATGCATGAGTGAAATATGATATATGGAGTTTCAAACTGGGAGGGGTGATGTAGGCTTGGTCTCAGGTTGTAATAGATCATGGGTCAAATGGCCTTGCTGGTCAAGGTAGATATTTTAACTCAGCTCCATCAAACATAAACATCCTACAAAAAAGAGAAAGCACACAGCAAATTTTCAGGTCTCTCTAGACTCAGGTGGTATCGTTTTAGTCTCATGGAGGGAATGGGGTGCGTGGCACTTTGACATATGGGCTGCTCTATGGAGCACCACCTCTAATGGCAAACTTAGTGCTAAATGCTACCAATTCGGTCTTTGGGAGATTTTTTAATGGGACCACATCTCAGCTCTTACAAAAGAAATCAGTAGCAAACTAGGATTCACTTTACCAAAATTTTGTTAAATTCATCTCTTCATTAATGGAAGAACTTTCTATAGAGAGGAAAAGAGAACTACAATACAGAGGAGGAAAGGAACCAACACCCCAGCCAATAAGCTTCCAGGTAGCCTTCTAAGCAGTTCTGGATGTCTAAAATCTTCCAGAGAAAGAGACACAGACATGCACATTCACCCAACAATCAACTAGGCATTATTTAGGAACTTGTGCAGTAGCTTCAGTTTTTTCTTTGCAAGTAGACATTGTGGGTCATCAAAATAGTCAGCTCTCAGTCATTGTCTTACCCCTTCATCACATCAGAAAGAATTTTATATACCCCTGAAAGCACGACTTCCAGAGAGCTTACAGCTTAAAGTTCTAAACTGGAAGATCCCAAACGGAGGCTGACATTATGGAAAACTTGCTTAGCTTGACAAAGGTTGCCCCCATAAGGGCATGCCAAATGTTCGCAAGACTTCAGAGCATCCTAAGGAATATGAAAAATCATCTATTTTGCATTAGTTACAATTTAGGCCATTTTGACATAGAATCTAGAGACTTTACAGACGGGAGAGTCAGGATCTACATCTGTGTGCTGAGGTGGTCTTGCGAGAAGTGGATGGTTTTGCAAGAAGAACCAGAGTTGACTCAAACTTGGGCCTCATCATGGAGCAGGGTTGGGCCTGTCAGGATGTGTGACTTTGTGTAAAGGAACACATCTCTGGTGCATCTTAGCAAACATTCAAAAAACAGTAGGACCAAGATGGCATCAGATAAACAAGCAGAAATACTATCAATAAATTTCCATCAAAGGAGAGTAACTGGTGCTCAGTTTTGAGCCTAAAAGGAAGGAATCTCCTAATGACCTCAAGACTACCCAGGAGACTCAAGAAGAGAGCAAGCTAACATTGATTGGATGTGTACTGTGGAGCAGACATGACACCAGATGCACAAAAAGTGAGATCCCAGGCCTAGTAATACACACACATGCACACAATACATGGCTGAATAGGAGTACTCCCAAAATGCTAAAATAATATATATAATTATATCTGGGAAGCAATTAATGGCGATTTTTCTTTTCTTTCTTTTTTTCTTTTTTCTTTTTTTTCTTTTCTTTTTTTTTTGAGACAGTGTCTCGCTCTGTTGCCCAGGCTGGAGTGCAGTGGTGTGATCATGGCTCCCTGCAGCTTCAACCTTCCAGTTTTAAGCTAACCTCCCACTTCAGCCTCCCAAGTAGCTGGGACTACAGGCATGTGCCACCACTCCTGGCTCATTTTTGTATTTCTTGTAGAGACTGGGTTTTACTATATTGCCCAGGTTTCTCCTTTCTTTATTATTTCCCACACTTCCCAAATTTTCTCCAATGAGCATGGATTACTTCTATAATCAGAAAGTGTATTATTAAATAATAACAATAATGGGACAAGTCATCCCAATGCAGGTGGAATCCTGGCTACCCATGATGCAAAAAGAAGCTTGAAAACAACAATTTCACCATATATCAACTAGACTTACTTAACATTAAACAAGCTTCAAACCCACTTTACCCAAACTCTGAAGAAGCAGTTTGACAGCTATGTGCTAAGCAATTCTAGGTGCCAAGAATACAAGGATGAGTGAAGACATCAGGCCTTATGAGGAGGGGAGAAAAAAGAAATATGCGATTTGTAAAAAGTTAGCAATGCGATATTACCTCACACTTGTTAGAATAGTTGTTGTCAAAAATACAAAAAATAACAAGCATTGGAAAGGATGTGGAGAAAGGTGAGCCCTTGTACACTGTGGGTGGGAATGGAAATTAGTACAGCCATTATGGAAAACAGTATGGAAGTTCCTCAAAAAAATTAAAAATAGAAGTACCATATGATCTAGCAATCCCACTACTGGGTATATATCCAAAGGAAGTGAAATCAGTATGTCAAAGAGATTCTGCCCTCCCATGTTTATTGCAGCACTAGTCACAAAAGCCAAGATATGGAATCAACCTAGTGTCCATTGATAGGTGAATAAATAAAGATTTGTGATATATATACACAATGGAATACTATTCAGCCTTTAAAAAGGAAGAAAATCCTGTCATTTGTGACAACATAGATGAACCTGGAGGACACTATGCAAAGTGAAATAAGTCAGGCACAGAAAGACAAATACTGCATGATCTCACTTCTATGTGGAATCTTAGAAAGTCAAACTCATAGAAACAGAGAGTAGAATGGTGATTACTGGGGACTGGGGAGTGGCAGGGTGGATAGGTGAGATATGGATCAAAGGACATAAAATTTCAGTTCAACAGGAGAGACAAGCCCAGGAAATCTATTGTACATCATAATGCCTAGAGTTAATAACAATATATTGAACAACTGAAAATTGCTAAGGGGGTAAATTTTAAGTGTTCTTACCATCCCCCCAAGAAAATGGTAAGTATATGAGGTAATACATATGTTAAATAGTTTGATTTAGCCACTCCACAATGTATACATACTTCAAAGCAGTGTTGTACATCATAAATATATGTACCTTTTACTAATAAACTTTTTAAAATTAAAAATTATCAGTGGCTAAAAAACTAGGGTGTTAAATCATTTCTAAGGTCATTTTTAGCCCAAGCACTTCATGATTCTAATGCAAGAAAAAGAATAATGACTGTTCTAACAGAGGAATAAACCAAAATGCTGTTTAGAAGACAGACGAGAGAGTAATTTAGATTATGGGAATGGGAAGGGGATGGGCAATGGTTTCCTGGAGAAGGCTACAGTGATGGTAAAGCTGGATTTTGAAGGATGACTAGGATTTAGATAAATAGACATGGAGAAAGAGGTATAAAAAGTAAAGAGGGTGGCGTGGTGGCTCACACCTGTAATCCTAGCACTTTGGGAGGCCAAGGTGGGCAGATCACAAGGTCAGGAGTACGAGACCGGCCTGGCCAATCTGGTGAGACCCCATCTCTACTAAAAATACCAGGCATGGTGGCAGGCGCCTGTAGTCCCAGCTACTCGGGAAGCTGAGGCAGGAGAATCGCTTGAACCTGAGAGGTGGAGGTTGCAGTGAGCTAAGATCGCACAACTGCACTCCAGCCTGGGCAACAGAGTGAGACTCCATCTCAAGAAAAAAAAAAAAAAAAAAAATAAAGAGGTAGAGTAGGAAAGGTCCGTGAGTAAAGGGTTCTGGGTTTATTCCAGGAACAGCAAGTAACTATTCAATTAGCAAGCCATGCCTGGGTCATGGTATTTCCTGTGGGCAGCCCCCATATTTAGCATGATGTATGCAGAGTCTGGGTTTAATGAGACTGCATTCTTGCACTCAGCTATCACCTCATCTGGAGGGGGTGGGAAATGGGCTGGGAGTTCTACAATGGCAAGGCTTTAGGCTATTTTTATCACACTGCACAATAGGTGCTCTATTTGATTGACAAAGGAATAACCATGCATGAAGCACTATGACACACTGCTATAAAAGCTGTGCACAGGGTGCATAGGTCACCCATTCCTGGCGTGGGGAGAGGGGCTGGCACAGGACAAGTGAGCTTCCTAGAGTTGAGTTTGGGAGCATGGGATTCGATGTGGAAGCCAAGATGGTGGGTAAGGAGAGGACGTTTGAGCAGCAGAATTAATATGAAGAGCACAGAGAAAAGTGAAAGCTTAATATATAATGAGAATTGAGAATACCACCAACACAGCAGTTGCCTGTGCTCCAAAGCTGTTGGTGAAGTTATAGTATGGAATAGTGAGCAAACCACTGGACTGAGAGTTGAGTGAGCTCCTGCGGGACACTAAGCAAAGCAAGAGGCCTACCCTGCTCTAGGCACCTGCCACATAGTAGGCCTTCACATATTTTATGGCACTGAGTCAGCACGATAGCTCTAAGTGATAGGTATTATTGTTCCTAATTTAGAGATGAGACAATCAAGGTTAAGAAACTTGTCCAAAAATATACAGCAAATTGGTGGCAGAGTTGGAATTCCAACTCAGATTTCTCCCTAAAACTCACATTCTTCACCTACATGTTCCTAGTATAATAATAATAATTTTTTTAAAAAAGATAGACTAGATTAGCTATGGACCCATTTGGCCTTGTGCAAGAATTCCAAAGATGTGATCTTCCTAAACCTTCACCTCCACCATCTCTATAATGTTAGGTGATGTCAGTTAACAAGATCTACACAATGCCTCTAACAAGATCTCATAGTGGAGAGACCTTTCTTTTGTTAAGGAAAGAAAGAAATGTATTTCCTAAGAAATCTCAAATTTAAAATACAAACACATACAACTATGAAAGTAGGTTAAGTATGAAACTGAAATGTCATTTGTATTTCTGTACTTGGAGTCAGATGACCCCTAACATGATGAGCAGAGAAAAAACATAAAATAACCATGTCCTGGACACAAGCAGTAGGGCCACCACCTGTCAGCAAGAGTTAACTATCGAATCCAACTGTGACCTCCATTCTAAGAAACCCCATCTCAGTCAGGTTGGATGTAAACCCACTGCTCCAAACAGAGAAAGCAGTAGCCACCTCTCCCTCCCTGGTTTCATCTTTCATAGCTTTACTCATCAGGTCTGACTCCTGTGAATAGCCCGACTACTAATATGGAAACCAACCCCACCTTCCATCTTTGTAGCTGGCACAGTGTACACATATATTGCCTCCCAACATCCCTGTGGGTTAGTAAGTCAAATATTACTATCACATGTTAGATGACCAAGTCGAGGCCTAGAGAGGACGCAAGATACAACCAGGGAATAAGAAAGACAATGTTGTAGCTGGGCTTCAAACCTTTGTCTTTCTGCTCTTAATCTTGCACTCACATTATCCAACACCATGGGCAGAGACACAATCCCTCCTCCTTCCTTCCACTCTAGGTCAATGAGGCAACCTCCCTAAGTAGACAATCTGGAATCAAAGCTGTCTTCTGCTTTTCCAGGAGGGAAAAAACGTGTGCTTATCTGAAATCAGATTGTCCTAGTTGAGGGCTAAGAGTGTACTTGCATGAGCATGAAGCACACCTGTTTACATTGTAGTCAGCATCCCACACCTGGCTTCCCTGGGACTTTTACCCTCCGCAGACAGCCTTCTCTCACTCTGCTAGAATCATGGCTCATTCACTAATTAAAGGGTATTACACACTTCATTGCACATCAGCTAAGAGCTTGGAATAAGAAAGCTTATGCTAGAGCATTTGCACTGGAGATGCCACTAGATATGCTTCATAGAAAAAGAAATACAGAGAAAAGCCATCCCCTTGTGACATCCCTTCCCCCATACTTAACTTCTCTAATAAGTCAGCCACCGCACTTAAAGAAAGAAGTCACCTAGCATGGTACAATCCTAGATAGAGCCTCAAAAATAAGCCAACTGGAGAGGGATGCACAGCAGAGAAAATGAATAAGAGAAGGCGGGTCAAGTGGCTTCTCCAACAACCACCTGTCCAGGCTCTCTGCCCTCTTCTGGTATGGCAGCCCAATAAGAAGGATGCTTATATCCCAGGCCAAAAAAAGACAGAGGGACAAAGGATGAGTTGGGAGGAGTACTCCTCACTACAAGGTCTTGAGCAAACTCAGCATCATGTTCCCTCTAGTAAAGGCTCAGCATTGCTGCCCACTGTGCCCAGCTGGGGCCAGAGACCAGCCTCCCTGCTGGAGCCTCGTTGGGCTGTCCTGGAGTAGATGCTTTTTCTGATACTCCCTGAACAACTTGAACAGCAGCACTGAGGCTCACCCCCTTTTCAATGATGGGGAAGGTCACACATAGAGGGCCAGCCTGAGGAATGGACACTCAAATAGATTACTCTTGAACTTGCTGAGGACAGCAGATAATGACATGCCACTGACAGAGTAGTAAATATTATCCATAGGCAATTTCACTATTTGGGAAACATTACAAAGAGGTCAAAAGCTCAGGCGAACTTTAAGGCCTGATCTTAAAGACCTCTTGGGACCTCAGCAAGTAAAAAGATGGTCCAAGTATAAAACAATAGCCTGGGGTCAAAAAACATTTACTTCTAAATGGAACTTAGACATGGATTCAGAAGAAGCCACCAGTTGGACATGCAGTCAGGAGGAAGCTAGAGAACTCAACCCAGAGTCTGCTACTTATTACAGTTTCTCTCTGTGTCACCCTCTGTGTCGTCTGTGTGTTCCATGTGTGTTCAGGCAGACAGAGGAACAGCTGAGTGCATTTCCAAGCTGCACGGTGCAGTGGTGAAGCCGAGCGTTGCCAGGCGCTAGAAAGAACGGGGTGGAATATAGTGATGGCTTCAGCCTCCAAGAATAAGGCATTTTCTCTATCTCTCCTCAAGCCACCTAAGACATCATTTGTGCATGACATGTTTTAGGATCCTGTTTGCTGCATTTAGAAGAGCTTCCAATATTACTGGTCCCTTCTCCCAGCTCAGACTGGCTTCCTCTTTAGCATACACTACTGCCGATTTTGCTGTGCTCTTCCTCACAAGGCTTAAAAGGGATAATACAAAACAGCTCCTCCAAGAAACAGAGTTCTAGCACACAGACTGCGAGAGGCAATGCCCCCGGCACTCTGGGCTTTTTCAGAATCAGAGATAGCCAACAGCAATTACAGAGGCTACAGGCAGAGACTGGTTATGGCATTAAAAGAACCTCAGATCAAGAGGCTGGTGAATCCAAGAGGGGGTAGGGAATGGATGCAGCACAGGAAAGGTAAGCAATGTCTTCATTAGGCAGAGGACCCTAGACAAGTGCTGGATCACAGGTCAGCCCCTTCCCAACTGCTATACCTGCTATTCCCAACTTGCAATTGCATTTTGGCTCAACGTTCTGAGACTCAAAAGCTCTCAATCCTCCCTAAGGCAGCTATGGGGGAAGCAGCCACACTGGACTTCTGGAGGGTCCCACAGCCCCTGATACCCAGACGTGCCTGGCAGCAAACAGTAGTCAGCAGCTGCTGTATGACCTATTATGCCAAGTTATGCCTAGCAGCCCACTAACTGGAGAACCCTGGCAGCAACAGTGCTCCTCTCGTCCTTTCCTCTCTGCCCCTCCAGTAAGCCCCATCCTGAACGTAAGCCACATCCCCCTCCGCTTTTCCTCTTTACTCAGCTCCACACTCCTCCCCCAGGCTTTCCATTCCCACAGCTGTTCGCCCCCTCCCTGCACCCCTCCTCCTGCATCCACGTCGTTAAGTGATTATACAGAGAGAAAACCGAGCCTTTGAGTTTCAAGCCAAAGCTCCCAGACAAGGCAGCCGGGACTGGTTCACCCTCACAGGCATCTCCCTGACCCTCTTGCACACGTGCCTCCGCCCAGACCCTCCTCTCTGCCCAAGCACTCTGAACATCTCTTGGCTTCAACCTGCCAACAGATCAGATGGAGCCCTGGGGTGCCCGGCCTCTCCTCTCCCCACATGGAGCTTAGAATTCACACAAGGAAAGGAAGCAAGGAGACTTCCACACCTCTGCAGCATCACCTGCTCCAGCAAGCTCCCAAAGCCACCGGAGCCAGCCAGACTGCCTGGGCCCCACACCCCCTTCTCTGACGGCTTTAGCTCCAGCCCAGCCCACAGGATGCAGTGCCTGATGCCACTTCCGAGCAGAGAGAGACACACACGCACACGCACACGCACACACACACAGAATGCCACCTCGTCAATGACAAGCTGTTCCAATCACACAGCTCGGACACCAAGCGGACCGGACAACGGACAGCCCAGGCCTCCTCCCTCTGACTGGGAGGAAGCCAACTGAGCACGTCTGGGGAAGTGATCCCCCACCGCAAGCCCCCCACTCACCCTCCATATTTGATCTGACAGCAGTGCTCTATCCTGGCCGGTAGCCTTCCCTGCAACCAGCTCGCACAACTCTGACCAACTACCCTCGTGGCCTTCAGGTGAGGCACTGCTCTCTCTCCTGTCCCAAAGCACAAGGAAACCCCAAACCAAGCAGGAGACCACCGGCGCACCACTTCTCCAGAGGACCAGACAGAGTGAGCTGAAAACCAAGTACTCACTGTGGTGAAGTCTTGGTGGCCGCACTCCTGCCCTTTGAACTTGCAGTAGAGCATCATATCCTTCAGGTCATGGCCCACACGGTGCAGGAACTCCAGCATGCTGAACTGCTTGGGTTTGTAGTGCTTGAAGTTGGCCTTCTGCCGCAGGGCCTCCAGCACGGAGGGGTCAGCCAGATGGGGGTCCGGGATCTGCAGGTTGACATCCAGCAGGGCCAGCAGCTCCCCAGCATGGTACAGGTCATTGGTGGTGAGCCTGGAGAACCGGAAGCCATTCAGGTTACAGAGGGTCACAGCTGGGAAGACCAGGCTTTGAGCCACCACTTCGTCCACCTTAGTGACATGCTGGTAGGAGAAGTAGTAGGACACCCTCTCAGAGCTCTCCACCAGCAGCAGGCCCAGAGAGCCCACGAAGGCCACTGCCCACAGCACACGCCGGATGGTCAGCGGCCCATACACGAAGATGTGGCGGATGCCATGGAGGGTGGAGGTGTTGGCAAAGATCTGGATGCTAGAAGGTTGCAGGCTGCCCTCACTGGGGCTTTCCTTGAGGTCCATCGGGACCCCGTGCAGTTCCGCAACTGGCTTCAGGTTGATCGAATTTCAGAGAAGAGCTCCCAGTCCTCGGGCTCTGCTTAAACCTTGACGTTCAGGGGAGAGAACGCAAGGCAAGCATCGCGCCAGATGCTGTGAGTTTATCCTGAGAGCCCAGCCGCACGCTGACAGGGGTGAGTGTTTATATAAAACCCATTCAAACTCTAGCTCTTGATTTTTTCCAGGCGATAAGGAGGGCTGGTTTTATTTAGGGAGACACCAAGGTGATGTGGAAGAGATGTGGGTGGGAAGGGAGAGCTTAGCCAATGGAAATAAAGTCCTCCCCCCTACACACGCCACTAGAGACAAGATTAAAAGCGAGAGCGAGAGAGAAAATGCTTAAAACAAGTCGCTGAGCAGCTCGGAGCCTGTTAACCAGCGCATAATGCCCCATGTTAACCATCCTGGGGGATGTCAGGGCGGCCACGCTGATGCACTGCGGTCGGGCGCAGCGGCACAGCCTTCAGAGCCGCCGCCGCTCGGTTCCTTTTCCCATGATGTTTTGGACTCCGAATGCCGTTTCTCGCCGCCGGCCTCCGTCCCTCCTCTCCTCCTCCTCCAGGCCCCCTTTTGTGGGCAGAATTCCAAATGCCAGCGGCCGCTGCTAGCACCGGGGAGAGGAGGCAGCGCGCGGCGCGGAGAGGCGAGGACCGGTATCTGGAGACTGGGGACGGAAGCGGGGAGCTCAGACCGGGATCCATTCTCTCCTCGCCTCCTGGGAAAAAAGGGACAACCCCCAGGTCACAAAGCCTGCCTGCTTCCCCCGCCCCAGCTCCCTGTCCCTGCTAGGCTGCCTTGGGGGGAAGGGCAGGGCGGGGGAGAAGGGCTGGTGGGGGCTGGGGACTTTCTCCAAGTTTTCTTTTTAGCCTTTTTTGAAGGTAGCTAGTGGGGGCTTCTTCGAGGGTTGACATGACACCCCGCCCCCCAGGTGGCAGGAAGACAGTGCTAAACTCCTAGGAGCCAGGTGTGAGGTTGGAGGCGGCATTCCTTTGCATCAATGTCAGGGATCCCAGGTTAGACCCAGCCTGGGATCTCCAGAGGGGAGAATGCTAAAAATGCAGAAGGAAGGGGGCGATCCAAACCCACAGTGCCTCTGATGCAGACAGCGAGGGGGCATTCTAGGAGAGCAGCCAGGAGCCCCTCCTGAGACAGAAAAGCCAAGTTGCCCCTGGAGCCTCAGAGAAGGAGCAACAAGTAGTCGCCTCCCCCACCGCCACATAGCTGTCGGGAGAGTCTGTATTTGAAAGAGAAAGGCAACTGGGACTCCAGGTGGGACTGGCTGCATACCATTCCATTTGGGCAGTGTGTGTGTGTGTGTGTGTGTGTGTGTGTGTGTGTGTGTGTGTGTGTATTCTGATCCTGGATTTGTCAGATGGAAGTACATTTGGGCAGTGTGTGTGTGTGTGTGTGTGTGTGTGTGTGTGTGTATTCTGATCCTGGATTTGTCAGATGGAAGTACAGCCGGAACTATAGGTGGGAGCAAAGAATTAGCCTTTCCGCTGCCTACCTCTTTTTTCCTGAAACTCCACTGGCAGTCAGCTCCTGCTAGCAGGTGAGTGTGGCTCGCCCTATTGGCCCATGCCAGAGCTCAAATGGCTAGAACCTACTGAATCAATGGTGCTAAATTCCCATCAGAAGGAAGGGAACAGAAAGTCTGAGTGGCCATCCCAAGCCACACTGCCAAGCTGGGGCAGAGCCACATGGAGTCACCTTGATGAGCCAAGCTCTCATCTTCAGGGCTTTCCAGGCTTAAATCATACTCCTTGGACAATGTTGGAAAAGAAGGCAGCTGAGGGCACGTCCCTCTAGGTTTAGCTCTACTCTGAAATATGTTTTCATTCCATCTGGACCCCTGCTAAACTAGGTCCACTGACAAAAACATCCAGGTGCACTCTGAAGCAACCTGTAGCATTAAATCAGTGGTTTATTGATCCTGGGAGCTCAGAGAACAGAAGCATCACAAGCAAGCACAATGGCAAAGATTGATAAACTTCACATATTCGTTAACCAAGAGGTCCTGGACTCCTAGGATAGGACACAGGTTTTTAAAGCAGGAGGACCAAAATTAACAAAGGTCTACCATGTGTCAGGACCTGTGTGAGGGTGTCATATCATCTTACTTATCCCTCTTAACTATCTTGACAGGTACATGTTCTTGTTATTATCCCTATTGTACAGGTGAGGAAGCTGGGGCTCACAAAAGTAAAGTGCTGTGTCCAAGTTACAGTTAGTGGTGTCAGAGGTGGGACTTGAACTCAGGCATATTTGTCTCCAAAATGCAAGTTGTTAAAGCAGATCCGGAACACTTCTTCCCAAATTTAGGAAAGGAGCAGTCCTTTCTATGCTTTGTCCCTGATTACACACACACACACACACACACACACACACACATCAGTTCCTCACTTGTATTAAACATCTCTATGCCTTTTTTTCTACCACACCACATCTCTGTTGTCCTTTTTTTTTTTCCCCAGCTCCAGGCCCTCTCCTACAGGAAGACTTCCTGGATTAATCTGCTAATCTTCAGCTCATCCACCTGTTTAATAGGTATGTTGGCCTCTAACTCTATACCAGGCACTGTATGGTTTTGGGGAAACAAAAGTAAATGAGATACATGTCCTGCCTTTGATAACTCAAGGATCAGCGGGGGAGGAGGCAGAGAGATAGGTACACACACAAGTCCCTGCTCCATGGTGTGGATAGCGAGAGAAGCAACATGGCTCATGGGTTCCTGGGATTAGCACTGCCCAGCTGGAAATCATGCTGCTCCATATCTGTTCATGTTCCTTCCACCTCCAGCCCTCTCCCAGGCTGTGTTCCGCCCTCCTCCCCAGCAGCCCAGATCTGTTTTCCCCATGAAGCCTCTTCTTTTCACAGGATCATATTTTCTCTCAGTTCGTGTCCCAGACATGTTTTCTCATGTGTGCCGAGATGGGTCTCAGAGTTGCTCTAATTGCTCCTTTCCCATTTAGACTCTTTGACTGCTTACCTCTACCCTTCGCCATTTGTTTGTTTTGAGGATTACAAACATAACGTGATGCTCTGTGACCTTGGGGGAAGTGACTAAACTTCTCTGAACTTCAGTTTCCCCACCTCCAAAATGATGGAGCTTAGAATGCCTGCCTCACAGAACTTTTGTGCAAATGAAACGAGATATAGATTATAAAGTGTCTGGTACAATTTAGACACTTAGCAATTGACACTTTCTCTTGATGACTACGAAGAGAACATTCGTTTTTGATGTTGGCACTCTCTTACAGGTGATTGGAGAACCATTTATAGCTCTAGAAGACATCATTTGCCCAGAGCAGTGTTTACCTGTTAGTGTCACCATCCCTTCCTGTAGGCCAGTGTCAAACACACTCCTCACACTACTCTGCTTCCTGTCCATGGCCTTAAGGTCTTCTCAAGGTCTTCTGAAGCAGCTCTTGACTAAAGCTTTCCAAGAGGGTGAGGCGATTTAGGGTGGGAAGGGGGGACTAGAAGAGAATAGCTCTAATGGTGCATTTCACAGCCGGGCACTTGGCTCTGTGCTTGACATTTGGCGGACATTATCAGTAACTCTGAGAGGAGGGTATTGCCAAGCCCATTTTACAGATGAGAAAGCTGAGTACAGAGAAAAAAGCTAACTTGCCCAGGGTCCCTCAGCTGAAAAGTGGCAGAGGGCTTAAATGTCAAACCCAAGTGTGTCTGAGTCTGAAGGGTGTGGTCCACAAACTCAATAGAAATGCTTCAACGAGACCTCAATAGCACAGACCATGATGGCAACAGTCTTGAACAGGAACTGAATTATAGAATATTCTTTAAGAAATACTGCTATAACATTTTCTATCACATGTAGCAATTCAACTTGATGGCTAATAAAACGTTTCCACATATCTTCTTAAAAACACTCTTTAATTGATAATACTCACTCGCAGTTAGCAGTATGGTTTACATAAAGGCATCAGATATTCTATCATTCTTAAAAATGCTTTTGTGTTATTCAGTTGGTTAAGCATTCCCCTCTTCAATCAGGTTTACAATACCTATTTGCTTGGCACTAGTGGTAACAGAGATTGGTTTTAGAGTGGGTCAATTTGGCCCAGATTTGTAAGCATTGACCTAATTGTGTATAATTATGGTCTTTTTGGTGAAGTGTATGACAAGACATTAAAGAACTTTTCAGACAAACTCATTTGCAAATCAGGCAGTTTAACCCCCTATTAGACCACATGCCCATATTTCTGCTGTGGCAAATTTATTCACTTATGAATGAAGTCAGGAATTAATTAACTTTCTATGACCCTGAAATTGCTACTCTGAGACGCAAGGAGGGGGACCCTCTTCTAACCCTGGGGAACCTAAGGCCAGTCCTGAGCCTGGTTTCTGGGGAGGGTTAGAAGCTCAGGGTGCAGCCTCCTGCCTCTGCAAAGAGTAACAGGCAGGAGAGTTAAGGAAACTGAGATCTACAATCAGCTCAGCTCGAATGCTAATTTGCTACTTAACATGTGCTAGGTACATGCCATGGCCACCACCTGCTCATTAAAGGGGAAAAATCATTCTTTGCTAATAAACAGATGACATTATAATTTGAAACTCGGTGATCTCAAAATACAACTTTTCCCTCTGATTTGTCATTCCCATAAAGAAGGGTTAAAGATCAACTATTGTAAAACCAAAGCATCTCTTTGCTGTTGGTTGGTTTATAAATAAACGCCTCATACAACACGTATTCCCATTTAGTCAGCTGGTGAACACTTAGCAAGTAATTTGTCATGACAGGTATACCAGGGAAGGATGTGAAGCAAAGCCAGACGTTTAATGGGTAGTTTACTGAGATTTTGTCTATAGCTGGTTTTCTTTTTTCTTTCCAGGCAAAACCTACAGAACTAGTCCACACTGAGTGGACCTCTGGGGCTCCCAGCTGCCGATTGACCTGAACCCCAGAGTGAACTCGTGTTGCTTTGTGGCTTCAGGAAACCTTGGAACATCTCTGTGCTGTTTTTTCATTTGTGCTCAATCATTCCTGAGGCCTCCTCCTCCTGCTGCAATTTGACAAGACTTGACCAAATCATTAACTCCCAGTTAATGGGATAAAATGAGTTTGAATCTGGGATTCTGGTCATTAACCCCATGTCACCATCTGCTCCAGCAGTTTGATGGCAGGGCTAGGTGAATTCTAATCACCCAACACTTGTTAAACTGCTGATTCCTGCTTCCCCACCTCTGCTGACTCAGCATCTCTGGGGTGGGGCCTGCAAAGGCTCTCTTCCTTGACGGGGTTATTGAGGGCAGCTCTAGGAACCCACCCAGGACCAGACCTGATGAGGAGTTCCTCCTATGCATCAGGTATGCTGGGTCGGTTTGCGGAGTTTCATAACTTGCATTTTCCTCTGCCTGGAGAGTTCCTTGCAGCTGGCTTCTTCTGTGTCACGGCCCCACAGAGATCTTGGCTGGTCTCCCTATCTCCACCCTCCACCATGCTCACTATTCCATTACAAGTTTCCTTTTCTACCCAGTACTAATCATTTTCTGCAATTCATCTCATTTCCTTGTGAACTATCTGTTGGTCCTACCAGAATGTAAGTCTCCACCTGGGGGCAGAGACCCTGCCTGGCTTGTTAGAAGCCATATCCCCAGGATTGAAGCATATGAGAGATGCTCAGAAATACAAGAATTCATGAACAAATGAACACGAGTGAATTCATTCAGCTCTGATGCTGAGGCTCCCTCTCTGAGATGAAAGAATGGGGAACCTTCTTCTAATCCTGGGGAACCTGGGGCCTGCCCTGAGCCTGATTCCTGAGGCAGGTGAGAGGCACCTCCTACCTCTCAACCCTGTCTATTGTTACCCCCAGCACCCAGGGAAGACCTCACTGGAGCCTGAGTCAGTGCAGGGGGCCAAGAGGAATCTGTGCACCCAGAGAATCTTGGCTGAGTTACCTGATTTTAAAACTCCTGACTTAAGGTGCTATTGACCAAGTACTCCTTAGCTCCATCGCCTACAAAACCACAGGTGCAGGTGAAAGTTGAGTTTAGGTATGAACTGAATACTGTTTAGCTACCCTATTTAAAAAATTGTTTTCATTTGTTTGTTTGTTGAGACAGGGTCTCACACTGTCACTCAGGCTGGAGTGCAGTGACATGGTCATAGCTCACTGTGGTCTTGAACTTCTGGACTCAAGCTCTCCTCCTGCCTCAGCCTCCTGAGTAGCTGAGACTACAAGGTGCCACCACATCCAGCTAATTTTTAAAACCTTTTTTGTAGAAATGGGGGCTCTCCCTATGTTGCCCAGGTTTGTCTCGAGCTCCTGGCCTCAAGGGATCCTCCTGCCTCAGCCTCCCAAAGCAGTGGCCACAGGCATGGGCACTGCACCCGGCCAAAAGAAATATTCTGTCTTCGCTTCCAACTTGAAATGGACTGCTTACCTTGGCACTTCCCATGCCGGCTTCTCTCCACTTTCCAATCTAACAGGATAATGATGTCATACAGAAATAACTTACAGTAGGTATTTAGTAAATGCTGGTGTGCAATATGGAATAAAATTCACAAGAGGAATTCCAAACTGTTCCTTATCCTCAAATCATTTTTTAATAGCCAAAAAATTAGTCTGAAATTTGAGTCCTCGCCCTTCAGTGTAAAATCAGTAGCTTTTAATTTTCCCTTATTTTGTTTGCTTTAAAGAGGCACACCTACCTATAGTCCCTTAGTCATGTAAGGGCTGACCCCTCCCACTGGTCTAAAGCGGGGCTTCTGGACCATGCCTGACCACAGCCATCTGATCCTGAGGAGCCTTTAACCCAGTACTTCTGTTTAAAGAAACAAAAGTCCTCTCCTAAATAAACAAAGCAGGCCTGACTCAAATCTCTCCGATGGGTAAAGGAAAGTACCCAGGAGCAGGAGGCTTGGATTTCTGATTTTATTTCGTGTCATTTCCCTTCCTCAAAGGTGTGAAACTCCACCCCACGCCACTCCTTTCCTATTCATCCTCTACTGGATGTTTTTTCCTCTAAATAATTTTTATTTTCTATTTTTGTCTGTATGTGTTCTCCTCTTTTAGTCTACTTCTGTCCCTCTTTCCCCTGCGAAGGAAAAATAGAAGAAAGAAGCCATCTCTGTTTGCTTTCTCCCTGTCACTCAATCTCTGGAGCCAACTGCTTCACAAATAAAGAGAAGTGCACAGAGAGTCCCTGAAGCCCACCATCAACAGACAGGCTTTCAACAAAACTGTATCAGCACCGCCTTGGCCATAGCTACACTCTACAGAAAATGGGAGAGAGGAACAGCGCTAGAGAAGTTTGTCCTTGCCTGGTTCCCGGGTGGAACTTCCTCTCCCCCTTGTGTTCTATGCGTGTGGTTACAGCTGCCTCTGATCTTTGGTGACCAGCGGTTGGCAGTGGTGGTATTTCAGCATACCTTGATCATCGTGCTTATTACACAGCCTCCTTTACCATCAACCCTACCTACCTTCTTCTAGCCATGCCCCCCACCTCCTCCCGTCTCTATCCATCTCTTCGCTCTTTTAAAAAATACTTAAGTGTGTACAGATCACAGTGACTTCATTTGTGTGCCCATTCACATTTGATGACTTCCATAACCCCCATACAAGTAGTTGTGTATTCGTTTTAATTCACTTTATTTATTTCCTAGCTCTTTCATAAAATAAAATGAAATATAAGTAATGAAATGGGAATAAAAAAGAGAAAAATAGAATTGAGGGGGAAAAGGAGAAATGCATCTATGTTTGTGATCACGTTCATCTTTCTCCATGCATCAATATGCATACTATTATGAATTCATTGCACGTATTTTAACATGTAGGCACTACATGGGGATGTGGTGTCTACATACCACCTCTATAGTGGTAGGCACTGCAAAGGGACATACAAAAGGTAAAAAGCATAGTCTCTACTCTCATAGGACTTTTCATCTCATGGATGTGGCACTCATAATGTCTTTTATCTGTGTCCCACTTGATGTGAAACTCTTTAGTAGGCATGATCCTATTTGATTTCCATAAGCAGAAGAGGGGTCACTGTTTCCATGTTATGAGAGAGGAAACTGAGGTTCAGAGAGTGAAAGGACCCTGATGAGATAATGGAACTGGGGCTCAAATCCTGGTTTCCCGACTCAACATTTCACATTCTTTCTACTCTGTCATTATTCATTAGTCAAGTTTCTCCACAGACAACTCACTGAGCCACAACATATGAAGCAGCATGGTAATGCCACTAGACTGGTCATGATCAGAAGATGTGGCCCCAGGGAAGAGAAAGCAAGAGAGCTGGAGATAGCAGAGAAAGCACCAAGGAAGGGCTTGGCCGTGCAGCTCTAGCAGGGAGGTCCTTCCTTTCAGCCCCCAAGTGTCCCTCTGTGTCTCATCTAAAAAGCAAAAAAAGAGGAGAACTAGAGCTTATGGTTGAAGGCGTGAGAATGAGGTGTCTTTTCCCTCTATCTCTGTAATATACAAGTATAAATACTATATATACATATGTATATGTGTTCCTTTTTTCTGTGTCTGATTATGCATGCAATTTAGCAAGGATTTATTGCCTAATTTTGGTCTGGGCACTTTGCTAACGCAATGGGGGAGGATACCAAGAAATTAGGGACTCAGCCTCATTGTCCCCAGAGACTCCTGGGGGTGGGCAAGGCACGGTGTCTGTGCATACTGCTGGGGGAGCTCTGGATTAGGGGACATCAGGAGACATGACATTGAAATGTCCTACTCAGTTCTCTGTACAGATTGGATTTCCGTGGAAGAAAGAAAATCAACATGTATTGGGAGTCAACATCTCATTCAGTCCTGTGAGTTTATTCTGCCTATTTTTCAGACAAGGAGACTAAGGCTTCAAGACGGTAAGTAAATTGCCCACAGTGTCACTGCTGGTGTGGGAATGAGCTTCAGGGTCATTGAGTCATGCTGCTGCCCAGGTACCCTGTAAGGCCGTCAAGTGTTGTGGGTAAGGGTTTTGGTGCTGACGTTCAGGTGATTGTGAGTTTAAAGCCTGGGCCCACCCACACCAGCAGTGTTATTTGAAGCATGCTATTGAACGTGCCTAAACTTCCGTTTGCTCATCGGTAACATGGGAACAGTAACAGTGCCTACCTCATAAGACTGATGGGAGGATGTGATCAGCTAAAGTGTGTAAAGTACCAATAAGTATCTAATAAAGTTCAGTAACTATGTCACTATTAATACCACTGTTATAATCACTACTTTTGTCTAAAGGAGACCCAGGTGACATGAAGCTATTATGCCCTGTGGACTTGAGATCTTGAATTAGGGTTTGATTGTGAGACTACCAGACAAGCAGTGGGATTTAAATATTCATGGACCAGGGTCCATCTAGGTCTGATGGGACAAGGAAGGGACCCTCACAGTTGATTACCCTGAGATGGGAGAGGAAACTCTGCTAGAGGCATTTACACCTTACTAAGCATTTCTGGTGTATCAAGCTCTCTGCTAGCTTGTGAGGATGTAATGTTCATTAAGACATGTTCCCATAGGCTCTGGTCCAGCTTCTACCAGTTTTTAGCTGGACCACTGGTTTCTCCTAAGACAAACATAGGAGCCAGATGACTTCTGTAGTGCCTTGTAGACCTAGTCCAGTCCTTGGTGGTTCTGTGAACACTCACCTTGGCTCTGTCCCATAGAAGTACCAGGAGTCTTCCCAGGGGAGAGATTAAGAAACTCTTGCTCCTTCATCCTCTGTGATGGTTTGGAGCCTGAACAGCCTCCAGCCTAGGCCAAGTGTTCTTGGAGGATTCGCTTCTTTATCCCAGTCCCTCATCAGTGCCTCCTATAAGAGCCCCACCTGCTTTACTGAGCAATTGACTCCTACATCCATATATCTCTACCACTCCTCAAACCAAACTGCCAACCACCTCTAAGGCAGCTATTGATTTCACTGACCATAATGGAGTGTGTTCTCCATTATGCTGTTTAGTCACAGCACTAAACATCAGAAGGGATTCAAAGAGGAATCAGGCTAATGCCTTTCATCCAAGGAGCTGACAGATGGATGAGCCAGACTGGCATGCACACAGTCAGCACAAGGGAATAGGCTGTGATGGAGCTGGGTGTGCAGGGGACTGAGAGTGGAATTAGCATCCAGTTTCCAATCCTACTGCTGTAGCTGGCATTAAGGCATTCTATTACTCTCTCCAGACACAATCAACTTTATTCTTCAAGGTAGACACTTGCTATATGCCAATAACTATGCCAAGAATGTATACGCATTATATTAGTTAATGAGAGTTTCTCAACTTTAACACTGTTGACACTTTGGGCTGGATAATTATTTGTTGTGGGGAGCTGTCCTGTGCATTGTAGGATGTTTAACAGAACCCTTGGCCTCTATCCACCAGACACCAGCAGCGCCACCCCCCTTCCCCAATTGCAACAACCAAAAATGTTTGCAGACATTGTCAAATGTCCCCTGGGGACAAAATCATCCTCAGTTGGGAACCACTAAATGAATCCTAATATAGACCAGTGACATAGGTACAATGATCATTTCCACTTTACAGTAAACTGAGGCATAACAAGGTTAAACCATATGTCCAAAGTCACATAGCTAGGAGCTGGAAGCAGGGCCAATCTGTTTCCACAGCCCTTAAGCTTACTGTCCTCCCTGTTTTGCCTATCTCTGCATGCATGGAGCTAAGGACTCTGTAATACTCAATAAACCCATGCAAAGATGAACCATTTCTAATGGCAAACCCTGCTGTTTATATTGCATTTACTATCTTACCTTCCATAAACCACACAACAACTCTTCAGTGTAGCTCCTGCTCCCATTTTATAAAGGAGCACACTGAGACCTGGATTGACAGAAAGGGATTGCCCCAAGTCACAGAGCAGAGCAGCTACCAGAGGCTGGCTTTGGGCCCACGTCTTGTAATTCTACACTCTCCAGTACTCAGAGAGTTGAGTAAACACCGATTAAACTATAGGAGGCTGGCAGGCAACTTAATAAAAAAATAAATGCAAATCCAGCATGATGGATATATTTAGCAGATAAATTATTATGTGATGGTATAAAAATAGATCAAGGGAGAGCACATGAAATTGCAAGCCTGACTGTGTGAGAGACAGGGAAGGCGCATGGAGAGCGTCGGGTACATTTAATTAACTTTGCTGGGAAAACATTCACAGGCTGCCACCTGAAACCAAAACATTCATGGGCTCCACTTAAAGTCACAATACATGTAGTCCTATTGGGAAGAGTTATAATCCAATAGAGCTTGAAGTCATTGATTAAAACAATGTCAGTGCTCAAATGCTTTGATGTGTAAACCCAATTCTCACCCGTATATAAGATAACCAGGCATGCATTTGTGGTCTGTGTGACCCATAAGCTCACTGACATTAAAATGTCCCACTCAGCTTTCTGTACAGATGGATTTCCACGGAGAGAAGGAAATCAACATGTATTGAGAGTCAACATCTCATTCAGTCCTGTGAGTTTATTCTGCCTATTTTAGGCAAAGAGACTAAGGCTTCAAGAGGACAAGTGAAATGCCCATAGTGCCACTGCTGGTGCAGGAATGAGCTTCCGGAAAGAGTCAGGTTCATTGAGTCATGCCACCACCCAGGTGCCTTGTGAGGCCACTGAGTGTCGTGGGTAAGGGTTTGGGTGCTGCCATCCAGATGACTGAGTTTAAATCCTGGACCCACCCACACCAGCTATGTTACTTGGAGCATGCTATTGCCCTTGCCTAAACTTCAGTTTGCTCATCTGTAAAATGGGAGCAATAAGTGCCCACCTCATAGGAATGATGGGAGAATGTAATGAGCTAAAGTATGTAAACCATTGATAAATATCTAATAAAAGCTTGCAATGATAAGATGCCGTTATTAATTACTATAATACTAATGTCTAAAGGAGCCCCAGGTGGCATGGAGCTATACCCTGTGGACTTGTGATCTCTGTTCCATGCCAAATGGAAAGCATACAGTCATGAATCAGGGTTTGAGTGTGAGAGCAGACAAAGAGTGAGATTTAAATATTCATTAGTCAGGGTTCATCTAGGTCCCTGGGGACAGGAGAGGATTCTCATGATTAATTTCAGGGGCCTTTTCCCTGAGATGGGGGGGGACACTCTGCTATGGTCATGTACACCTTATTAAGCACTGCTTGAAATCCTCCCTACCACAAAAGTGCTGTGATTTCAAGGTTTCCCTCTTTTATGGGAAAACCATAGCACAAGAATCTACACTGTAAACCCTATGCCTACTTAAGCCCAGAAGGAGCCTGTTACCTCATAGAATAATCTTATTTTGCCTTCAAAAGAAGCAGTTATCAAGTGCTCGCTGGGCTTCAGCTGTTTTCACATCCATTTTATTTTGAAAGCAACTGCCCTGCAGATCTTGTGACCCTTGACTGATAGGCGAGGCACCCGAGAACATGGGAACGAATGCATGTGCTCGTGGTTTTCATAGAATTTGGGGCATTGGAAAATGGAAGGTAGGTGCTTCTGGGTCTCAGAAATTTGCACGTCAGAACCCCTCCTAAGGGGCGTCATACGTGTCTCTGAGTCTTGTATACAGAGATATCCAAGCAGGAGTGGAAGAATGCTTTTTAAAAAGTAACAAAGTCAGGCCTAGTAGATAGAGTCTGAATGACTCATTATAACATAACATTTTCTCCTGTCTCTCAAAACAGGAGAATTAGCTCACTAACTATTATATAAGCTCTTTGAGGACAGAGAACAAGTCTAATTGAGCATTACATCCTCAAAGACTGGCAGAAATCTCAAAACATCAGAGATGCTCAAAACTATGGAAAGAAAAAAAAATGTCCTCAAAGAAAACTTCAGCGCATATTCTTCTTTTTATTCAAGTATCCACTGATTCACCTTCATGGGCCAGGCTCTTGGGTACAATGTGCATGAGGCAGTTCAAGTCCCCACCATCCTGGGACTTGGTCTAACTAGTGCTTCTGCACAAATGAGCTTCCAACAGTTGTGTATTCTCTGATATTGCAGGATGAACCATAGGCCCTTAAAGAAGAAAAGAAAAAAAAAAGAAAAAGAGTACTTAACAATTGCATTCTTTGTGTTTCTTGCCAGAATGGACCAGAAACTACTAGCAATTATGTTGAAGCCATTAGTGCAAAGCCAATTTGCTTCTAGAGTTACAGTTGCACTCCAGGAACTTGAGCTACACTCCAGAGAGATCATTAGTTGCTGCAGACATGTTACTGAGGGCAGAGGTGTCATTTCCAGTCTGGAATGTCCTCAGTCAAGTGTGGGAGCAGAAAATGGGGGTCAAAATAATTAACCTCATGTGATTTTGGCAGGACTTCTTGCAAAATCACCCATATACACTTAACATTTATTTCAGTTGAATAATCTCAATGTATCAGTTTTATCAAAATATTTCTTTTTCTCTTTTATTTTCCCACCTGGCTGACCTTTTTTTTTTTAATTTTTTTTATTTTTTTTTTCTGGCTTTCAATACAAACACCTTTAACTTACTTTCTTTGATTCCATTCTCCCTTCCCATTCCCAGTAATAGATGATTGTAACTAATGGAACTCACAAGTATTGCTGGTTGATGCCTTTGCTAGGATTTTCAGTACCATAATCCTCTCACCAGATCATAAGTCTCAGGAGAAAACACCTAATTTCTCCCTTTGTAAAACTTTCCTTGACTTCGTTTCAATTAAATCACTTTCACCGACCCCAGGCCTCCATTAACTATATCCATCGAAATCATCTGTTTCACCACTCTGTGTCCGAGGCTGAGGCAGACACCCCGGCAGCATCCCAACTGACCGAGGAGATGACAGAGTGGGGCTGGCAGGGGTTCAGTTATCAACTCTGGGTTCCAATACTGTTTCCACCAGTCACTACTGGAGATGGGTCCTTCAACAGCTCATCGGGAGAATGAGGATAACAACATTTATCAGCTTGTAAGAAATAAAATGGATAAGTATGTGAAGTTTCTATCAGTGTGGATTTTGATGAGCCTTAATTCCATCATCTCCATTCAACAAACATGTCCTGAAATCCACCTATATGCAAAGTGTTGCACACGACATAAGTTTGCCAGCTGGGTGCATTGGCTTACCTCTATAATCCAGCACTTTAGGAGGCTGAGGCAGGAGGATCGCCTGAGCCCAGGAGTTTGAGACCAGCCTGGGCAACATGGTGAGATCCTGTCTCTACAAAAACTTTTAAAACTTAGCCAAGCGCGGTGGCATGTACCTATGGTCTCAGCTCCTCAGGAGGCTGAGGAAGGAGGATTGCTTGAGCCCAGGAGTTTGAGGCTGCAGTGAATTGTGATCACGCTGCTACACTCCAGCCTGGGTGATAGAGCAAGACCCTGTCTCAATAAATGAATAAATAAGTAAAATATTTAAATAAAATATTTAGAACTGGTATGAGATATTTCAGTAATTGGGGTATAATTACAGTCACATATTTTTGTTGTTATTAAATGAATCACTCAAGCCATTTCTTCTAATCAACATGAAGTCCAGAATCTCTCTCCTTGCTTCTTGATATTATTTTATCTTCCCTGTATTTATTCTCACCACTTATCTAAGAGCTCCAGGGCTTTGTCAGTCACTCTTGCTTTACAGGGATGCCCAATCTTTTGGCTTCCCCGGTCCACAACGGAATAAGACTTTGTCTTGGGCCACACGTAAAATACACGAACACTAACGATAGTTGATGAGCAAAAAAAAAGAAAAAAAGAAAAAACATGTTTATAATGTTTTGAGAAAGTTTACAAATTTGTGTCGGGCCACATTCAAAACTGTCCTGAGCGGCGGGCTGGACAAGCTTGCTTTAAAATATCAATCAGGGCCATCTCCTCCAAGGCCAAGTGCAATTGCCCCCAACTACCACCAGAGGTCACTGTGGAAGAATGATCTCATACAGGTCTAGAGACACTTCCCACCACAGCCAAGGCCATGCTGGTGCTGGCCTAGATAACCGCACAGTGGGGAGCTGCGGTTATATTTCCCTTAGTTCACAAGTACACATGTTCAACTGTTGTTACTCAGGTCTATACACTGTGTCAGGGGAACCAGGTGCTGAGACCCTTCCAGACGCGTTTATACACTGAGCTTCAACTAGATCTCCCTGAGCAATCTACCTGGCCCCTTCTCTCCAGTCCATGAACCCTGGTGAGTGCCACCACTCTCTGCCTTGTTTATTCCCCTCATCAAATGTTTCTAGGATCATAGTTACCATCTTGTTCCCTTTCGGCCGTGTGGATCTACAGGATCCATTTGCAGATTGGTCTACACCTTCTCAGGTCCCTACATAATAAAGAGAGACAGCTGCTATTTCTCAAAAAGTGTCTCCAACAGTATCCATCCCTCTTCCTGACAACACACACACAAAGTCCTTGTTACAACCTCAGGAAAATGACTGCCTCTCATAAAAGAAAATGTGGTTGTCCTTCACAGAGAAGGGCCACCGTTTTTTTGTTTTGTTTTGTTTTGTTTTCCCCCTAAATGATTGCTGTTATATCTGGCCAGATGCTCAGTCTTAGGTACTAAAAACACAAAACAAGCAAACAAAACATTGCCCTGGAGAAGCTTAAAATCCAGAGAAGTCAAGAAACTCCCAGACCACTCCAGGCAGGAAGGAATTGCCCCGTTTGATTAATTCTCATCCCATCAGACATGCCTCCAAGGAGACCAAGAAATCCTAAGTACCAAGGACCATGAGAAGAAGATGGCTGAGGAGGCATACAAACAAAAGGAACCTTGAACAAGCAGACCTCTATCATTGCCCTATGGGCTCTTTCTACCTGCTGCACAGACAAAACCAATTCACTGAGACCATGGTACTGCAGTAGAGAAAGAGTTTAATGCAGAGTTAGCTAAGCAGAAGAATGGGAGTTATACCTCAAATCAATCTCCCCAGGAACTTAGAAGCTAGGATTTTCATGGATAATTAGATGGACAGGGGGCTAGGGAATGGATGCTGCTGATTGGTTGGGGATGAACTCATAAGGATTCAGTCCTCATGTGCTGAGTCTGCCTCTGGGTGGGGGCCACAGGACCAGTTGAGTCATGAGTCCCAGATATGGGTGGAGTCATTTGGCTGTCAGAATGCAAAAATCTTGAAAACATTTCAAAGAGCAATCTGAGGCCCCACAATGGTGACATTATCTATAGAAGCAACTGAGGAAGTCACAGATCTGGTGACCTTTGGCCACATGACTCCTGAGCAGCAAGGGATTATAGAAAGGCAAGCTAGGAGACAATGACTAGTAATCCTTTAGCTACATCTACATCTTTGCAGAATTCAGGCCCCTCCCATAATCCTACTCTTGTGGCCTTTCATTAGGCTTACAAAGGAAATTTCATTCCCTCAGCAAGCAGGGGATTCATTTTAGGGAGGAATTATTATCATCCATGCTTCTTCAAAGTTAAATATAAACTAAATTGCTCCTATGGTTAGCTTGGCCTATGCCCAGCCTGTGAGGCTAGAAGGAAGATGGGGTCAACCATGCTAGACTTCTCCCACTCTTGTAATCTTTGCAAAGGCAGTTTCAACCCCACCCCAGCCACCCCATCAGGAGATATAGCCCTTCATGCAGTTTTAGGGAGGAATGAGGTCCATGAGTTAGCTGTGGGTAGGCCAGGAGAAAAGCCAATTTCAGAATCCATCTACCTTTACCATCCCTTGCACATTGTGAGTAAATGCAGAACTAAGGAAGTGAAGTGAGTGATATCAAGGACAAACATCCCCTCACCTTCTAGTTAATTCCTTTTGACAACACAAGGCCTGAGGCACTTCAGCCTTAAACTGCGTTCAATGCCTTTGCTTTATTTCCAGGGAAATGCAGCAAGGATGTTGCCATGATGTGCGTACTCAGGATGTGGGGAAATGCAAGGAGGAGGGGTTCGAAGGCTTTGCATAAATAAATCAAATGAGGTTGAGCAACTGTTGAAATATGAGGAAATTGCTTCCAGCAGTTTAAAGTCTTGGCTTGACTCGTAATTTAACCTTGAATATAGTTTTCAAAAATCATTAAATCCCCAAAGCCTTCATCTCTAGCAGTGATTAGCCATGATGCAGTAAGCAGAAAGTTAATATATTTATGAGAAGGTATGTAATGCACGACAAATCTATTCATTCAGCACTCGTGTAGTGAATACTGACTGATTGCTTGCTCAGTTACTAGCACTGTGCTAAGTGCTGAGAGGTAGGATAGTGAACAAACACAGCCTCCTTCCCCACAAGGAGCTTACAATCTAATAGCAGGAGGGGACAAGGAGTCAAAATTTATGGAATACTGCTGCATGCCAGAAATTCTGCTAGGAATTTTTCACACATTAACCCCTGCAAGAACCATGCAATTTTCCCTGTATTATATATTAGTCAGGTGGTGCAGCTGTCTGGGGTAAATACCCAGGGTTCATCATCTCACGCCAAGAAGATGATGGACACGGGCACACACAAGGAGTGAGTTTAGGAGTGGAGATTTAATAGGCAAAAGAAAGAGAAAAGAGAACAGCTCTCTCTCTTGTGAGAGAGAGGGCTGCTTGAATGGGAATTCTGGCCCATGGTTGAGTGCACCAGATTTTATAGACAGGCTTGAGGAAGCAGTGTCTGATTTACATAGGGCCCACAGATTGGTTGGACCAGGTGTGATGTTTACATAGCACGTGGGGAACACTGGCCACCCCACCCTAATCTTATGCAAATGGGCTTTTCACTTGGCTGGCGCCATGTTGTCTACTCCTTACTGTACACATGGCTGGCAAAGAGAAGGGAACATGGAGCCACCATTTTGAACATTCCTAGTCCCAGGTAGCCTTCACTCATGCAAGCTTCCAGCTTGCTTGTCTATGTCTGCCGCTCAATTTTACAAGTTGCTGTTTGTTAGAAAAGAAAATGATTTTGGGGCTACTTTTCCTTAAAAAAGGAAAACCTTACCAAGGACTTCCATATCCTCACTATCTGCCTAAATAATTTCTTCTTAAGTCCTATATCATTAGTAAACTCAGGCACTGAGAGGTTAAATAATTTACCCAATGCCACCTGGTTACAACTGGAAGATCCAGACTTCAAACCATGGTCTGTTTAATTCCAAAATCTGTGCACTTCTTATCACTTTCTTCAAGGACAGAGCCAAACAGGAACAGAGGCTGCCCAACTCCCTTCTGTACTGAGCTCTGTTTTCCTGGTTTGCCATCTGTGTAACAAAATGGTGAGTGCAAATGTTAGTCGGGCCTAAGCAAGTCATGGTCCTCTTCCTAACAAAGTGAAGAGTTTTATTTTAATTTAGAGTTATATTAAGAAAACTAAAGAGATGGGATGAGAAGGTAAGAACTCCCTCTTAAGGATAATAGGAAGGAAATAATGTGTTAACAACATCAATAGTTACTATAGTGCTCGCTGTGCACCAAACACATGCTAGGAGTAGGGCATGAATGGCTTAAAATTCTCAAACAACTCCATGGGGTAGATACGGTTATCATCCTCACTTTACAGAAGAGAAAAGTGAGATGTGGAAAAGATAAGAACTTGCTCAAGGTTACACAGCTGGTTAGTGGAAGAGCTGGATTTGACTCCAGGGTCTAGAGTGTTAGAATGAGAAGCAGTCATTGTATTGATGGCAGTAAAGACAGATAGATAGATAGATAGATAGATAGATAGATAGATAGATAGATAGATAGATAGATGATAGACAGATGATAGATAATAGATAGATGATAGATAGATAGATGATAGATAATAGATAGATGATAGATAGATAAATGATAGATAGATAGATAGATAGATAGATAGATAGATAATAGATGGATCATAATCTGAAGTACACAAGGACCTACCCTCCAGTCGAGCTTTGAGCCTGCTACTCTGGCAACATAAAGGCAAGTTGGTCCCTGTGGCAGTGGTCGGCCAAGATTGACCCCAGCCCTTCTCCCAGGGAAGAAGGTCTTGCATCTGTGGTCATCTCTAGATAGTTATTGTGTATCTGGGAACTCATGGCTCTGCTGCTTCTTTGGTGACCCAGCACCCTGATCCTACTTACCTGACCTGTAGCAGAGAAGAAAGCAACTCCTATGCAGGGCTCTCAAAACTTGCCTTCTGAATATGCGTCACTGAATGGGACCTTGGTAGGGCTGTCCCCTTATTGGTTCTTGGGACATTTCACCAAGAGGTGGGAGTGGGTGGGGAAGGGCAAAACTTCAGTGCTACAGGGTATTCTTTCTCTTCCAAGATAAACGCAGTTAAACCTGAATGGGTTGATTGCAGACGCTCTGAAGCCAAACTCTTGCTTACCTCACTTCCTAGCTTGTGTCATCTCACCCCGTAAGTCTTAAAATACTGGATCACTGCCCATAGTAAAACAGCTAACACTATTTACAGAGCAATAACATAATTAGCATCCAAACCTTAGATACTTTGCAAATGTAAAGGGAGCCATTCAACAATTACCCTGGAGAAACAGGCAAAAACAGGACTATCCTAGACATATCAGATATAAAGTCACCCTGCTTCTATAGGACCATCTACATGACAGACATGAAGTGTCACACAAGTATGAACCCATTTAATCCTCATGGCAGCCTTTTTTATGTAGGAAGAATTATCATCATTTCTACGTTACTAATGAAGGAACTGACAGTCAAAATCACATAGCCAGAAAGCAGACATTGCTGTTAACCTCTGTGTTATATTTTCCATCCCCCTCAAACTAGTCATCCCCCAGCAAAAGAAAGGTATGCCTTTTCCTCTGGTCCTAAGCTTGCCTTCTGACAGAAGCTTGGAGAAGGCGGCAAAGGAAGAAAAGTGTGGGCAGAGAAGAGGGCAACCAAGCCTATGATAGGAAGAAGGGCCACAGGATCTTTCTAGTGCCAATCTTTAGTCACATCACACATCTTTATGACTTCAGATGGGCATCTGGGGCCTTGAGGTCACAAAATGAATAATGATCCTTACATTCCTGCATCTGCTTTTGGGGCTCGCCCTGTTAAAACCACAGGTGAGGACAACATGGGAAGATTTATAGTTCTCAGCCTGTGTACCTACCTGCCCCACCTGATGGCCCTCCCATCTCTCCTCAAGCAATTGTTCAATGACACCCATGCAGCCTCCCAGTTGCCATGGAAATGGCAAGAATGCCTCTAATAGGAAGTAAGAATGGAAGAAGATGATTGTACAGATTCCTCAAGCAATTCCTGAGCAAATTCTCCAATTACCCTTCGCATCCAGAGTCAAGGATTTCTCTGGGTTACAGGAACAGCACTGAGGCTTTCAACATCCTCACCCTGGCAAGCTGGTTGCCTCCTTTTGCCCAGCAGTGCCACAGCACTACTATGCACAGCAACTCGGCTCCCTTCTTTCAGCTGGATTCCTTTTGTGAGACTGTAATTCTGAAACACCCAGTGAAACTGGAACAGGAACAAGAAAGGGGATTCTTCTGTGATTGCCCCAAACCATTTGTTGTCTGCAGAAAACTTACATTGGTGCATCCATGGGCAGGGCATGAAGAGAGAGTCCACAGAGGAGCTTGACCCTCTCATCTTCCCAGAGATCTAAAGAGCAGGTGTGGTGAGGACCATCACTGAGGTCAATCAGAAATACCTGCTTGCTCCTGCCTTCATGAGAGATGGCTCTATTTAGCCACACAGACACATCCTTTTTCTACCTAGGCCTATCAACCTAATAGGAAATGGAGGCTCTGAAGACTAGTTTTACAAGGGGGTAAAAGAAAGTCTAGGAGGAAAATGGGGAGGAGAGTGGAGAAGTTGGGCACCAAGACAGCAGAAGTGTTGAAAATGTTTGGGACTAGATGGGAGACAGCCAAGGTCGGGGCGCTGGTGGCGGCAGATGGGAGAAGAGGGTACAGAGCAACTGGGCATCTGAAGGCCTGTCCAGCCCTGGGGTGCCCACTCCTGTGTTGTCAAGCAGCTCATTCCCTTCCTCAGACCTTGGATTTTGCCTCCATGGAGATCTCTTCCATCTCCGACATTTAATGTTCTAGAGATAGAGTGAAAAGACACAGGAAGTTGAAGCAGTATCAGAAAGTTTCAGAAATGCCCGCAGAGCAGCAGAGGCTTGGGCTCCAAAAAACACACTGCAAGGACACTTCTTCCCACGATTTTCTAAGGACCAGATGTGCCTCTTCTTATACTGGGTATTAATCCCAAACTCCCTTATCATACATTTAAACTGTTTGCCTAACTGTCCAGCTCTTAATTAGGCATGTAACTGGGGAAACAGGGACAATATACAAATGAGCAAACAATCCCCAAACTTTATTTCTGTTATTGCCTACAACTTCCTCCCACAGGCATTAAGTAGCCAAGCTGAATTTTTTGCCCTACAGTCATTTCCTTTTCCACTTCATTTTCTAATCCAAACGTTTGAGGGTCAAGTGTTTGGGGCCTTATTTAAACCACCAGCTGGAAAACAGTCCTCAGCAAAATAGAGGCATGAATAAGAGGCAAACATACATGTAGACAGACAAATTATTGTTGTGTGAGACTCATCTTTGATTTCAATTTGGGAACTGAGTTGAGTTCAATGCTGTCTCTTCATCTGTTTCTGTTATAACTGCAGGAAGCAGAGGGTTTCTGACTTCTCAACATGGTAAAACAAACAAATAAACAAACAAAAACCAAACAAGCCCCTCACCCACAGGTGACTGTCAAGCCTTTGTTCCCTTTGCTGCCACTGAAGCCAGACTGGCGCATCTGAGTAGGTTTCTGGGCTCTCTCCTACCTCTATGAAGTAATTCTAGGCTCACTGAGAAGTGACTCCTCCCACTACAGCTCACCCCCTAATGCATCAGGCCCACAACTGACCAGAATAGACTTCCTTTCTCTTTTCTGTCTGCTCCCTATGGAGCAGTTGAGAAGGTTCATTTGCATACATCTTCATTTATTGTCCTTCCAAAGCCTTTGATACCGAGCACGCTAAGATGGGTATCCTCATTTTACAAAGATCAAGGCAGAGAGAAGAGAAGGGACTCGCCTAGGATCACACAATTGACATGTCATCGCTGTAAGTATTTTAAATGCAGGTATGACTCCCAAACCTATGCTCTCCAGCACTCTGCTTCCAGGTTTTCAGGTCCTGATTGTTGGAGAAGAGAGGGCAAGGGGTGGAGTTGGAGGTAGGAGGAAGTAGGTCAGAAATAAAAAATATGCTAGAGAAAGATACGTTGCTTACTCTATTCTGCAATTTTTCCTTGGGTCTTCTTTCCCTTCTTGGCTGAGAGCATGCATTATTTATCCCTCACACACAGAATTTTTGTAGTCGTAATAAAGGTCAGAAGGGGAGGAGACAGTTATCTAAATCTGCGCTATATCCAGGTGCACTTAGAATGACATATTGAGTCTAATGGAATCTTTTGAGAAACAAAACAAGACATGAGCCTCAATGTTTCTTTTTTCAGTTTTTCCTTTCTTCTTCTTCTTTGCTCCCTTTCTCCTTCCAAAAAAAAAAAAAAAAAAAAATTTGTTGGCAAGTTGGTATCCCTTCCAGACCCATTTTCATTCCTCCCTCCCTGAACTGTCCTTTGAGATAACCTCAGTGCTCTTTTCATACCTAAATCAGGGAGCCTGGGATGAGCTATGTCACTCTGATGCATTCTGGTGTAAGCTTTCCCTTCTCTGATTTTGGAACCCCCTTGGATAGCTTCAAAGTTCTCTTTTAAAATCCTCAAACCTATTCACTTTAATTAAAACAATAAATATGTGCTCTGTAGCGTTTGGCAAGAGTGACTTTGGGGATATTAAGGCATAAAAGTGAACAGATGGGATGTTGCAGTTCCGGAAAAGATGGACCCCCCCTTAGGCGGGTACTTGCCAGTTGGGTGATGCGCCTCCATCTACAACCAACAGGGACATTTTCGTTACTGGTTACCGACCTTTTTGTTCTCCTCGGTTGACTATCCCTGACCTGATTTTCAGTCGTGTTCAGCCACAGTAAGCTGTCAAGCTGGTCTGTCTGCATTAGAGGCAGAAGACCTGCCGCTTTTACAAAAGATCCCTGAGTATAGGGCTATTTAGTTTTTTTTTTAGTATCTGAAGGAAATGAGCCTGGCTCAGGAAGAGGGGTTCAGAAGCGTTTCATTCCGCTCTCATTCCTGGGACTCCACCAAAAACAACCACCAAAAAGATAAAATATTGTTTTAATTGCTGAAGCAAGGAAACTAGCAAATGTCTCCAAACAATAAATTATTAATTATATCTGCCAAATGCTGTCTTGATGGAGATGTGAGAACCAGGTGGGAGACCGCATTTACTGCCTCCGGTATCTGGAAGGGTGAGGATTTCCCTAGGGGAAGTGTCCTTGTCCCAAAGTTGATACCCAGGGATTCTCTGAGTGGAGTGGCAGTGTCTGGCATCATCTACAAGCTACAAGAGAGGTGGACATACATTGTAGAGAACAAGTTCATGTGGAATGGAGAAGAGTGGCTTTAGGAGTAATGATGGTAATACATATTTTTAGATATCCAGATAATGAATAAATGACAATATAGCATAAAGATAAAAAATAAGATTGTACAATATTGAAGGAGAACAAAGTTGGAGATGCTACCTGATTTTAAGACTTACTATCAAGCTACAATAATCAAGACTGCATGGTACTAGGGAAGAAAGAGACAAATGGATCCATGGAACAGAATAGAGGGCCCGGAAATAGACCTACAAAAATAATAGCCTGCTGATCTTTGACAACGGAGCAAAAGCAATAAAATGGAGGAAAAAAAAGTCTTTTCAACAAATACAGCTGGAACAACTGAACATGCACATGCAAGAAAAAAAAAAAAAAACCTCACGAATGTAGACACAGACCTTACACCTTTACCCAAAATTAACTGAAAATGGATCACAGACCTAAGTATAAAATATGCAAAATGAGAAAACTCCTAGATGATAATAGGAGAAAATCTAGATGACCTTGAGTTCAGAGATAATTTTAGATACAACACCAAAGGCATAATCCAGAAAAAAGAATTGTTAAGTTGGACTTCAGTAAAATTAAAAAGTTTTGCTCTGCAAGAGACCCTGTCAAGAGAACACTGTGATGTTACCTGGCCACATCCTGAAGAAAATAATTGCAAGAGGCATATCTATTTGATAAAGAACTCTTATCCGAAATATACAAAGAACACTTAAAACTCAACAAAAAGAAAACAAACCTGATTCTTAAAAAAATGATACAAAGACCTTAACAGAAATCCCATCAAAGATTTTCAGATGGCAAATAATTACATAAAAAGACGTTCCACATCATATGCCATGAGAGAAACACAAATTAAAACAATCAAAACAACAGTGCAATACACTGCACACTTATTAGAATGACCAAAATGCAGAACACCAACAAATTCTGGCTAGAATGTGAAGCAACAGGAACTGTCATTCATTGTTGGTATTGATGCAAAATGGTACAGCCGCTTTGGAAGACAGTTTGGTGGCTTTTTACAAAACTTAATATACTCTAACTATGAGATACAGCAATCATGCTCCTTGGTATTTACCCAAAGGAGTTGAAAACTTATATCTACAAAATCTTGCTCACTTTTATTTATAGGGCTTTATTCATAATTGCCAAAACTTGGAAGCAACCAAGATGTCCTTTAGTCAGTGAGTGAATAAATAAACTACCATACACGAGACAATGGAATACTATTCAGCACTAAAAATAAATGAGCCATGAACAGACTTGGAGAAAATGTAAATGCACATTACTAAGTGAAAGAAACCAGTCTGAAGAGGCTACATCCTGTATGATTCCAACTATACGATATTCTGGAAAAGGCAAACCTATGAAGACAGTAAGAAGATCAGTGGTTTTCAAGGATTAGTAGGAGGGAGAGATGAATTGGCAGATTACAGAGGAGTTTCAGGGCAGCAAATCTATTCTGCATGATACTATAATCATAGATACATGTCATTATACATTTGTCTAAACACATAGAATGGACAATGTCAACAGTGAGCCCTAACATAAACTTTGGGTGATAATGATGTGTCAATGTAGGTTCCTCAGTTGTAAAAAATGTGCCTCTCTGGTGGGGGATGTTGATAATGGGGAGGCTGTGCAGGTGGGGCAGGGGTTATATGAGAAGTCTGTGTTCCACTCAATTTTGCTGTGAAACCAAAACTGCCCTAAAAAAATAAAGTGTATTAATAAAAATAATTTCATTAGAGAAGGATGAAGAAGAAGAAGAGAGAGAAAGGGAAGGAGAAGGAGATGAAAAAGAAGTCGGGATTCAGAGATGGAAAGTAAATTTTAGTTGACCATTTCCCTTGTGCCAGGCACTGTGCTAGATACTTTAAATATACATCTTATTTTGCTATATTCTCAAAATAGTGCAAGATCAAGATTCTTATCTCTATGTTAGGTATAATTAAATTGATAGTTATAGAAGTTAGATCATTATAACAAGGTCAAACAACTAGTAACAGACATTTTAACTCAGCTGTACTGATGGCAAAGCCCAAGCTCCTTCAATTACATCCTCCTCCTCCTCCTCATCATCACTCACAGCATCTTCACCTTCATCATCACCGACATGCATTGAGCTCTCAGATGCATCATCCCTGTGAACACACAATCTTTTTATTTAATTCTCGCAACAACTCCATTTTGTAGTCAAGTACACTGGTGTTCAGACAAACTTAAATAACACTTTCCAGATCGCACATCTGGTAAGCAGCAGAGCCCAGAGCTATCTGATTCCTTACTTTTAACCATGCTGATCTACTGTTTGTCACTATTTTCAGATAGAGCCCATGGTTCCCCTTACTGGATAACAAATCATTTTTCCTCTCTTGGATGTAACCTCCCCATCTACAAAATGAGCAGTTTGTACTAAATGATTTAAGATTCCTTTCCAATCTAATCTGACAAACTAATCTAATTTCAGAGCAGCCGCGTGGAGGGAATGTTTTTGCTTTGGGTTTGTATTTCTGAAATAACCTGTCTTCTCTCTTCCCAGGAGACCAGCAGTAAATACACAGATGGATAAGACTCAAAAGAACCTACAAATCCTGTACAATGAAATCACGTGGCAAGAATGTGGTTATTCTGAGAAACAGAATAAAGCAGCATTTTGCTGTGCCTTTTCACACAGCTGCCAATCAATGGTACATGCTGGCATACTTTCAGAATAGCTGCTCTGTTTAACCCAATGACCCAGAGGCAGCAATTTGGAGCTTAGCAAGTCACATCCCATGACATCCAGGATGCCCTCTCCACCTACCTGCACCCAGTCAATCACCAAGTCACAGGGATTTCACCTCTGGAATAATTTCAATCACCACCTGCATTCCCAATGGCTTCGTCCAGGCTCTTATCTCTTAGCTGCACTATAGCAGTAACCTCCTAACTGCCTCTGCACACTATAGTCCTCCCTCCTCTGTGCTATTAGAGTAATATTTTTCAAATGCAAATCTGATCATGACACTCTCTCTTTTTTTTTTTTTTTTTGAGACGGAGTCTCGCTCTGTCGCCCAGGCTGGAGTGCAGTGGTGCGATCTCGGCTCACTGCAAGCTCTGCCTCCCAGGTTCATGCCATTCTCCTGCCTCAGCCTCCCAAGTAGCTGGGACCACAGGCGCCCACCACCACGCCCGGCTAATTTTTTGTATTTTTAGGAGAGACGGGGTTTCACCGTGTTGGCCGGGATGGTCTCTGTCAGGCCTCTGAGCCCAAGCCAAGCCATCGCATCCCCTGTGACTTGCACGTATACGCCCAGATGGCCTGAAGTAACTGAAGAATCACAAAAGAAGTGAAAAGGCCCTGCCCCGCCTTAACTGATGACATTCCACCATTGTGATTTGTTCCTGCCCCACCTTAACTGAGTGATTAACCCTGTGAATTTCCTACTCCTGGCTCAGAAGCTCCCCCACTGAGCACCTTGAGACCCCTGCCCCTGCCCACCAAAGAACAACCCCCTTTGACTGTAATTTTCCATTACCTTCCCAAATCCTATAAAACGGCCCCACCCCTATCTCCCTTTGCTGACTCTCTTTTCGGACTCAGCCCGCCTGCACCCAATGAAATAAACAGCCATGTTGCTCACACAAAGCCTGTTTGGTGGTCTCTTCACACGGACGCGTATGAAATTTGGTGCCGTGACTCGGATCGGGGGACCTCCCTTGGGAGATCAATCCCCTGTCCTCCTGTTCTTTGCTCCGTGAGAAAGATCCACCTACGACCTCAGGTCCTCAGACCCACCAGCCCAAGGAACATCTCACCAATTTTAAATCAGGTAAGCGGCCTCTTCTTACTTTCTTCTCCAACTTCTCTCACTGTTCCTCAACCACTTTCTCCTTTCCACTCTTCAATCTCTCCCTTGTCTTAATTTCAATTCCTTTCATTTTCTGGGAGAGACAAAGGAGACATGTTTTATCCGTGGACCCAAAACTCCAGTGCCGGTCACGGACTGGGAAGGCAGCCTTCCCTTGGTGTTTAATAACTGCAGGGACACCTCTCTGATTATACACCCACGTTTCAAGGGTGTCAGACCACGCAGGGATGCCTGCCTTGGTCCTTCACCCTTAGCGGCAAGTCCCGCTTTTCTGGGGAAGGGGCAAGTACTTCAACCCCTTCTCTCCTTGTCTCTACCCCTTTTCTGCTTTCCTGGGGCAGGGGCAAGTACCCCTCAACCCCTTCTCCTTCACCCTTAGCGGCAAGTCCCACTTTCCTGGGGCAGGGGCAAGTACCCCTCAACCCCTTCTCTTTCACCCTTAGTGGCAAGTCCTGCTTTTCTAGGGGGCAAGAATCCCCAATCACTTATTTCTGCACCCCAACCTCGTATCTCTGTGCCCCGACCGCTTATTTCTGTGCCCCGACCCCTTATTTCCATGCCCCGACCCCTTATTTCTGAGTCCCATCCCTTATTTCCATGCCCCGACCTCTTATCTCTGCGCCCCAACCCCTTTTCCCACTTTTCTGGAAGGTAAGAACCCCCGAACCCCTTCCCTCCGTTTCTCTACTCTCTCTTTTCTCTAGGCTTGCTTCCTTCACTATAGGCAACCTTCCACCCTCCATTCCTCCTTCTACTCCCTTGGCCTGTGTTCTCAAAAACTTAAAACCTCTTCAACTCACACCTGGCCTAAAACCTAAATGCCTTATTTTCTTCTGCAATGCCGCTTGACCCCAATACAAACTCGTCAATAGTTCCAAATAGCCAGAAAATGGCACTTTGAATTTTTCCATCCTGCAAAATCCAAATAATTCCTGTCGTAAAATAGGCAAACGGTCTGAGGTGCCTGACGTCCAGGCATTCTTTTACACATCAGTCCCTTCCTAGTCTCTGTGCCCAGTGCAACTCGTCCCAAATCTTCCTTCTTTCCCTCCCACCTGTCCCCTCAGTACCAACCCCAAGCATAGCTGAGTCTTTCTAATCTTCCTTTTTTACAGACCCATCTGACCTCTCCCTTCCTCCCCAGGCTGCTCCTCGCCAGGCCGAGCTAGGTCCCAATTCTTCCTCAGCCTCTGCTCCTCCACCCTATAATCTTTTTATCACCTCCCCTCCTCACACCTGGTCCGGCTTACAGTTTCGTTCTGTGACTAGCCCTCCCCCACCTGCCCAGCAATTTACTCTTAAAAAGGTGGCTGGAGCCAAAGGCATAGTCAAGGTTAATGCTCCTTTTTCTTTATCCCAAATCAGATAGCGTTTAGGCTTTTTCATCAAATATAAAAATCCAGCCCAGTTCATTGCTCGTTTGGCAGCAACGCTGAGACGCTTTACAGCCCTAGACCCTAAAAGGTCAAAAGGCCATCTTATTCTCAATATACATTTTATTACCCAAATCTGCTCCCGACATTAAATAAAACTCCAAAAATTGGAATCTGGCCCTCAAACCCCACAACAGGACTTAATTAACCTCACCTTCAAGGTGTACAATAACAGAAAAAAGTTACAATTCCTTGCCTCCACTGTGAGACAAACCCCAGCCACATCTCCAGCACACAAGAACTTCCAAACGCCTGAACCGCAGCAGCCAGGCATTCCTCCAGAACCTCCTCCCCCAGGAGCTTGCTACATGTGCGGGAAATCTGGCCACTGGGCCAAGGAATGCCCGCAGCCTGGGATTCCTCCTAAGCCGCGTCCCATCTGTGTGGGACCCCACTGAAAATCAGACTGTTCAACTCACCTGGCAGCCACTCCCAGAGCCCCTGGAACTCTGGCCCAAGGCTCTCTGACTGACTCCTTCCCAGATCTTCTTGGCTTAGCGGCTGAAGACTGACACTGCCCAATCACCTCGGAAGCCCCCTAGACCATCACAGACGCCGAGCTTCGGGTAACTCTCACAGTGGAAGGTAAACCCGTCCCCTTCTTAATCAATACGGAGGCTACCCACTCCACATTACCTTCTTTTCAAGGGCCTGTTTCCCTTGCCTCCATAACTGTTGTGGGTATTGACAGCCAGGCTTCTAAACCTCTTAAAACTCCCCAACTCTAGTGCCAACTTAGGCAATACTCCTTTAAGCACTCCTTTTTAGTTGTCCCCACCTGCCCAGTTCCCTTATTAGGCCGAGACAGTTTAACTAAATTATCTGCTTCCCTGACGATTCCTGGACTACAGCCACATCTCATTGCCGTCCTTCTCCCCAACCCAAAGCCTCCTTCGCGTCTTCCTCTCATATCCCCCTACCTTAACCCACAAGTATGGGACATCTCTACTCCTTCCCTGGCAACTGATCACATGCCCATTACCATCCCATTAAAACCTAATCACCCTTACCCCACTCAACGCCAATATCCAATCCCTCAGCACGCTTTAAAAGGATTAAAGCCTGTTATCACTCGCCTGCTACAGCATGGGCTTCTAAAACCTATAAACTCTCCTTACCATTCCCCCATTTTACCTGTCCTAAAACCAGACAAGGCTTACAAGTTAGTTCAGAATCTGCGCCTTATCAACCAAATTGTTTTGCCTATCCACTCCATGGTGCCAAACCCATATACTCTCCTATCCTCAATACCTCCCTCTACTACCCATTATTCTGTTCTGGATCTCAAACATGCTTTCTTTACTATTCCTTTGCACCCTTCATCCCAGCCTCTCTTTGCCTTCACTTAGACTGACCCTGACACCCATTAGGCTCAGCAAATTACCTGGGCTGTACTGCCGCAAGGCTTCACAGACAGCCCCCATTACTTCAGTCAAGCCCAAATTTCATCCTCATCTGTTACCTATCTCGGCATAATTCTCACAAAAACACATGTGCTCTCCCTGCTGATCGTGTCTGATTAATCTCCCAAACCTCAATCCCTTACAAAAGAACAACTCCTTTCCTTCCTAGGCATGGTTAGTGCGGTCAGAATTCTTACACAAGAGCCAGGACCACACCGTGTAGCCTTTCTGTCCAAACAACTTGACCTTACTGTTTTAGCCTAGCCCTCATGTCTGCGTGCAGCAGCTGCCACTGCTTTAATACTGTTAGAGGCCCTAAAAATCAAAAACTATGCTCAACTCACTCTCTACATTTCTCATAACTTCCAAAATCTATTTTCTTCCTCATACCTGACGCATATACTTTCTGCTCCCTGGCTCCTTCAGCTGTACTCACTCTTTAAGTCCCACAATTACCATTGTTCCTGGCCCAGACTTCAATCTGGCCTCCCACATTATTCTTGATACCACACCTGATCCCCATGACTGTATCTCTCTGATCCACCTGATATTCACCCCATTTCCCCGTATTTCCTTCTTTCCTATTCCTCACCCTGATCACGCTTGATTTATTGATGGCAGTTCCACCAGGCCTAATCGCCACACACCAGCAAAGGCAGGCTATGCTATAGTACAAGCCACTAGCCCGCCTCTCAGAACCTCTCATTTCCTTTCCGTCGTGGAAATCTATCCTCAAGGAAATAACTTCTCAGTGTTCCATTTGCTATTCTACTCCTCCTCAGGGATTATTCACGCCCCCTCCCTGCCCTACACATCAAGCTCGAGGATTTGCCCCCACCCAGGACTGGCAAATTAGCTTTACTCAACATGTCCCGAGTCAGGAAACTAAACTATTAGACCTCTTAGTCTAAATAGACACTTTCACTGAATAAGTAAAGGCCTTTCCTACAGGGTCTGAGAAGGCCACCACAGTAATTTCTTCCCTTCTGTCAGACATAATTCCTCAGTTTGGCCTTCCCATCTCTATACAGTCTGATAACAGACCAGCCTTTATTAGTCAAATCAGCCAAGCAGTTTTTCAGGCTCTTAGTATTCAGTGAAACCTTTATATCCCTTACGGTCCTCAAGAAAAGTAGAACGGACTAAAGGGTCTTTTAAAAACACATCTCACCAAGCTCAGCCAACAACTTAAAAAGGACTGGACAATACTTTTACCACTTTCTCTTCTCAGAATTCAGGCTTGTCCTCAGAATGCTACAAGGTGTACAGGAGCCCATTTAAGCTCCTGTATAGACGCTCCTTTTTATTAGGCCCCAGTCTCATTTGACACCAGACCAACTTAGACTGTGCCCCCAAAAAAACTTGTCATCCCTACTATCTTTTGTCTAGTCATACTCCTATTCACCATTCTCAACTACTCATACATGCCCTGCTCTTGTTTATACTGCTGGTTTACACTGTTTCTCCAAGCCATCACAGATATCTCCTGCTGCTATCCCCAAACTGCCACTCTAAACTCTTGAAGTAAATAAATAATCTTTGCTGGCAGGACTATGCTGAATCTCCTTAGGCACTCTCTAATCAGATGTCCTAGGTCCTCCCAATTCTTAGACCTTTTATACCTGTTTTTCTCCTTCTCTTATTCCATTTAGTTTTTCAATTCATACAAAACCGTATCCAGGCCATCACCAATCATTCTGTACGACAAATGTTTCTTCTAACAACCCCAAAATATCACCCCTTACCACAAGACCTCCCTTCAGCTTAATCTCTCCCACTCTAGGTTCCCACGCCGCCCCTAATCCCGCTTGAAGCAGCCCTGAGAAACATCGCCCATTCTCTCTCCATACCACCCCCAAAAATTTTCGCCGCCCCAACACTTCAACAGTATTTTGTTTTATTTTTCTTATTAATATAAGAAGGCAGGAATGTCAGGCCTCTGAGCCCAAGCCAAGCCAACGCATCCCCTGTGACTTGCACATATACACCCAGATGGCCTGAAGTAACTGAAGAATCACAAAAGAAGTGGAAAGGCCCTGCCCCGCCTTAACTGATGACATTCCACCATTGTGATTTGTTCCTGCCCCACCTTAACTGAGTGATTAACCCTGTGAATTTCCTACTCCTGGCTCAGAAGCTCCCCCACTGAGCACCTTGTGACCCCTGCCCCTGCCCACCAGAGAACAACCCCCTTTGACTGTAATTTTCCATTACCTTCCCAAATCCTATAAAACGGCCCCACCCCTATCTCCCTTCGCTGACTCAGCCCACCTGCACCCAGGTGAAATAAACAGCCATGTTGCTCACACAAAGCCTGTTTGGTGGTCTCTTCACACAGACGCGCATGAAAGTCTCGATCTCCTGACCTCATGATCTGCCCTCCTTGGCCTCCCAAAGTGCTACAATTACAGGCGTGAGCCACCGTGCCCGGCCGACACTCTCTTAAATTAATCACTTTGAATAGTAAAGTTAAAAAAAAAAAATCACCAGCTCATATTAAAAAGCCATTTATGGGCTGGGCACGGTGGCTCATGCCTGTAATCCTAGGACTTTGGGAGGCCGAGATGGGCAGATCACGAGGCCAAGAGATCGAGACCATCCTGGCCAACACGGTGAAGCCCCGTGTCTACTAAAAATACACAAATTAACCAGGTGTGGTGGCGCGTGCCTGTAGTCTCAGCTACTCTGGAGGCTGAGGCAGGAGAATCGCTTGAACCCAGGAGGTGGAGGTTGCAGTGAGCCAAGATCACACCACTGCACTCCAGCCTGGTGACAGCGAGATTCCGTCTCAAAAAAAAAAAAAAAAAACTCATTCATAATCCGACCTTTACCTCCTTTACCTAAATATGTTCAGCTTCACCTGTCTCTCATTCCAGCCTGTTATTTCTCAGCTTTACTGAACTTATATCCATATTCCTCAGAGATGAATGAATTTTCATGCTTTCATGTCTTTTTTCTTCTCACCCAGAATGCTCCTTATTTTCTCTCCGAGTCGTGGACTCTATGCCTGCTCATGTGTCAAGACGTAGCTCAACTTCCAACTTCACTAAAATTATCAACCTCACGGTGGGTTCTCAGCTAGAGTTAGGCCTTCCCATAGCTCTAAATCTCTAGCACTTAACAGACAATATTTTAGATAGTTGGTTTTGCATTCATTGTCTTTATTGGAGTGAAAGCTTTCTAAAGAAAAGGAAGGTACCTAAATATTTAACAGATGTATCAATACCTAAGACTAGACTATGCAAGTGGCTCTCCTGGGTGAATTAATAAATACTCAAATAAATACTTGAATGAAGAGAAGAGCCAAGGAGCACCCACACCAGAATATTCGAGAAAAGTATTTGATAAGATCATTTTGCAAGAGTTTATGAGGTATATCCAGGAAACACATATTAAATGCTATTTGACCACAGATTCCATAAAATTATGCAGAGAACAAAAGAATTATAGATCAAGAACTTCTCCAACAGTTTCTGATGATCTGGTGAAGAAATCAATGTCCACAGTCATGAAATAATAAAAAATAATTCAATATATGACAATTATGAAATTAATTATGAAATTAATAAAATCTTATTAAATTATGAAATTAATAAAATCTGAATCAAAAATCCAAGGGGATTTTTTTATTAATTCTTGACAGAATGAAGTTAATTGGGAAGATCAAAAACAGACGAGCACAATCTCAATAAAAAATCACAGCAGGTATTTGTGTGGTAATTGATAATCTTATACTAAAATTTATATAAAAATCCAAAGACCCAGGAATAGCCAAGGCAACCTTGCAGAAGAATAAAGCTACAGGGCTTATATTACCAGTGAGTAAGATCTATTTTAAAGTTTTAGTAATTAAGACATTTTTGGTATTTGCACAAGAATAGTTAAATTGATAAATGAGATAGAATAGAGACTGGGCATGGAGGCCCATACCTGTAATCTCAGCACTTTGAGAGGTGGAGGCAGGTGGATCGCTTGAGCCCCAGGAGTTTCAGACCAGCCTGAGAAACATGTCAAGGTTCTATATCTACAAAACAAAAACAAAAACAAACAAAAAAAACACAACAATTAGCTCAGGCGTGGTGGCATGTGCCTGTAGTCCCAGCTACTCCAGAGGCTGAAGTGGGAGAATTGCTTGAGCCCAGGAGGTTGAGGCTGCAGTGAGCTGTGACTGCACCACTGCACTCCATCCTGGGTGACAGAGTGAGACTCTGTCTCAAAAAAAAAAAAAAAAATACAGTGGTTACAGTCTTCCACATACATGGCTGCCTGATTTGTGACATACAAAAAAATCATATTTGCTGCCCTTTTGTATGTGTCTTCCTCCATTCAACCTTGTTAGTGAGATTCATCCATATCGTCAAATATAGTTTTAAATCATTCATGCTCATTGCTGTGTAATATTCATTCATACAGTGTGCATCTCTTAGGCAGTGGAGAAAAGACAGGCATCTTAATCAATGGTTCTGGGTCAGTTGGATACCCATATGAAAGGATATATTTTATCCTTCTACCTCACATCATACACAAAAATCAATTGATAGCATTAGGAGATATACCTAATGTAAATGACGAGTTAATGGGTGCAGCACACCAGCATGGCACATGTATACATATGTAACAAACCTGCACGTTGTGCACATGTACCCTAGAACTTAAACTATAATTAAAAAAATCAATTGCAAGTGGATTGCACATCTAAATCTGAAGATAAGAAACATTAAGCTTATATAAGAAAACATGATTATGATATTGGAGACGACAAAGATTTCTTAAACATGTTACCAAAAATGCAACCGTAAGAGAAAAAAGTAATGTATTAGATTGTATTAAAACGTTAATGGTGTCATCAAAGGACACAAAAGAGTGAAAAGGCAACCCAAAGAGTAAAAGATGATATTTACAACATACATATCTAACAATGAACACAAATCCCAACTATATGAAGATCTCCTAGTAGTCAGTTTTTTTTTAAAGCAACTCAATAAAAAGAAGGCAAAAAACTTGAAGATACAGTTACATAGATATAAAAATGACCAATAAAGCTACAAAAATGTGTATGGCCTGATGAGTCATCATGAAAATGGAAATTCAAACCTCAGTATCACTCACACTAGAATAGCTAAATAAATAAGACAGAAAGTACTAAGTGTGGGTAAGGGTGTAGGCAACTGGACATCTTAAATACTGCTAATGGGATTGTAAATTACTACAACCACTCTGGAAAGCTATCTGTGAGTATCTGCTATAAAGAATATATACATACTCTGTGACCCAGTAATTCTACTCCCAGGAATAGATTGAACAGAAGTGCATACATATGCTCACCAATGAATTGCATGCATATGTTCACATAAGGTACTAGAACATTCATAGCAGCATTATTTGTAGTAGTTCCAAGCTTGGAAACTACCCAAATACAAATCAATAGTAGAATGAAAGAATCAATCATGGCATATTTACACAAAGAAATACTATACAGCAATGGGCATGAACAATTTAAAACTATACTCAACAATATGGATGACTCTCAAAAACATAAAGTTGAATGGAAGAAGACAAATACAAAAGGAGAAGCCATATGGTTCTTATTACATAAAGTCCAACAATAGGCAAAACCAATCTTGATCAAAGTCAAGACATCGTCACCCTTGGAGTGGGCATCAGCTGGAAGAGGTTGATGGTTTGATGGTAGGATGGTGCTTCTGGGGTGCTGGTAATGCTGTATTTCCTGATTTGGCTTAGGCTGACACAGTCAGTCTGTGAAAATTTATTGGGCCATTCACTTATGAAATGTGGACTCTTCCTATGTATATTACACTTCAATAAAACATTTAAAACAGTTTTTTAAATTTTTATGTAAGGAAACAAATATTAAAACATATAAACCTACAATAATGTAAAAAGTGTTGTGTTGCCACAAGACTAGGAATATAGATCCATGGAACGCAATGGAAAACCAAGAAAAATAGCTTGGTAGATTTAAGAACTAAGTATACGATTAAGATGAAATTTGGGATCAGCAAGAAAAAAGGGAATTCACCAACAACAGTGTTAGGACAAATTTAGTAATTTGTTGGAAGGAAAAAAAAATACCTTCTTTAAACCATATACTAAAAAATGTCCAGGCCAGGGGTGGTGGCTCATGCCTGTAATTCCAGCACTTTGGGAGGCTGAGGCAGGTGGATCACTTGAGATCAGGAGTTTGAGACCAGCTTGGGCAACATGGCGAAACCCCATCTCTACTAAAATACAAAAGAAATTAGCTTGGCATGGCGGCGGGCGCCTGTAATCCCAGCTACTCCGGAGGCTGAGGCAGGAGAATCGTTTGAACCCGGGAGGCGGGGGTTGCAGTGAGCCGAGATCGAGCCATTGCACTCCAGCCTGGCGACAGAGCGAGACTCCGTCTCTACAAAACAAAAACAAAAATAACCACTACAAAGATAAAGTGTTTTAAGTAAAACTAAAATGTAAATTAAAGATTGGAATGAAGGATTACTTATGACAAGAGATTACTGCGCTTTAATCCTAAAGAGCTCTTTTTTTTTTTTTTCTTTTTGAGACGGAGTCGCACTCTTGTTGCCCAGGCTGGAGTACAACGGGGCAAATTCAGCTCACTGCAACCCCCGCCTCCCGGTTTCAAGCGATTCTCCTTCCTCAGCCTCCGGAGTAGCTGGGATCACAGGCATGCACCACCATGCCCGGCTAATTTTGTATTTTTAGTAGAGACGGGGTTTCACTCTGCTGGTCAGGCTGGTCTTGAACTCCTGACCTCTGGTGATCTGCCCGCCTCGGCCTCCCAAAGTGCAGGGATTACAGGCGTGAGGCATCATGCTGGGCCATAAAGAGCTCTTTCTAAACAACATTATTAATATTAATAATAAAATAAATGCTCTTAAAAATATGTACAAAGTATAAAAGCATACATCCTATCCTACAAAGACACAAAATGTCTAACAAACTCATGAAATTCTTTCATCTCAGTTAGTAAATAAATACTAATAAGGACGGTAATGAGATAGTATTTTTCATACATCAATGGCATTTTTTATGATACCATCCAATATTGGTGAGGGTGAGATAAAATGATGAGATTATTGTTTAGTACTTTCTTTCTGAAAGATAATCTGGCATATATATATATAAAGCCATAAAATATCTATACCAATTGGCCTGATAAATTTACATCTAGAACTTATCTCTAAGGAAATAACTGGAGATACAAAGAATTATGTAAAAAAAGATGCATTGCAGTGCTGCTTATGATAATAAAGAAGAGTTGAAACAAACTAAATGTATGAGAAGAGGAGATGAGTTAAATAGCCACGGGATGGAAAAGTTAAATTTAAAGACAAACAAAAAATGCTGAAGACCATTAGGGTCCAGAAGAGGCCACCAGAACTTCCCCCAGACCTTTGGGGATTCAGGATCACACCCTCCTTTGCCGTTAGGGAGATTTCAGTGGAAAAGTTTTAAGAAGCCCTTCTCGGCATGACGATCTGCCACCCTGAGATTTTAAAACCTGGGGGAGTTGTTTACATGCAGAATGTTCCATTTGCAATGTTTACATGAATATTCAATGTATTAAAGTGACACATTTTAGAAAAAAAACCCCAATTCTCCTTAAACTTTAAGGTTGACTTGTATTTTTTTCTATTAATATGCTTAATAAAATAACACAAATAATAAATCATCAAGAGTCATGTTTTAAAAGTCAACTAATGACATGGGAAAATGGGCTGTGTTAAGGAAAAAAGACAGGACACGATACATGTACAGTATATTTTGATACACACATACACTCCAAATTGTCTAAGGAGTGATGAGATTAATGGGTGACTTTCAATGTTTTATTCTATAATTTTGGATTATTTGAATCTTGAAAAATGTGTAGCTGTCACTTTTACAAGTATAAAACAATAAAGCTATTTTCATTTTGAAAAGAAATTAAGCAGAAATGAGAAAAATGTTATAGATCTTGATTTCCGTTTTTATTTTATTTTTGGTGATGGAATTCCTTTTTTAAATGCTATGTTACACGAGAACTGAATCTTTGAACAAATAAAAGGAGCTCTGTTGAATGAGATTGACAGATACAGACCCCAACTGCTTGCCCTCTTCCTGCCTTTCACCTGACCTTTATATTCTCCCCTACTCTGGTCCCCAACACCTGAAGCATCTACCAAGAGCCTCAAGGCATCACAGAACGCAATTGTAAAACTGTTATTCTACTAGATGACCATTCATTGGCATAGTAAGCCTTTCATGATATATTCCAATACTCCATAAGTGTTAAAAGTAGATTATAAAATAATTTGTAGGGTAATATCCTATGTTTTAAAACTCCACATGTGCTATATACAATTATATGTGTGTCTGTATATGTGTGTATATAGACACACACATGCACACACATATATATGCATGGGTGTATATATATAGATGTATATATACATCTAAATAAACAAAAAACGTTTAAAAAATAGTAAAAAGAAATACACTAAAGTGTAAAGTGTCGTATCAGAGCCATGGCTGTATTTTTTTGTATTTTTGTTTTTATATTTATTTTTATATTTTATAAAAACATTTAATTTTATATATGTGGAATACACACATATATATGTGTGATATGTGTATATATAGAGATGTATATATTTAATGTATATATACATCTAAACATTTAGTTACTAAAAAGTAGTAAAAAGAAATACACCAAAGTCTAAAATGTTGTTGTATCAGAGCCATGGCTATATTGCTTTTGTAATAAGAAAAAAATGCATTTTAAGGCTGAGCAGGATTTGAGAGAGTGATTTACTCTTGATGAAGTCTAGTGTGATTTTTCTGCCAATAAGAGATCCAGGTGACATTTGAGAATTATGGGTTTAGGTCTAATTACTGTTTTTTTAGTAGCAGTAGTTTATTCAGGCATATTTTACATGCATTAAAATTCTCGAATCCTAAGTGTAGAGCCAGATTATTTTTGGTACACATATAGTCACATGAGTATAATTATTGTTTTGTTGTTGTTCCTCTCTTTAATCTTTATATCTGATTCTGGATGATGCTTAAAAAAAAAAAACAGCTTTATTGAGGCATGCCTGACTTACAATCAACTGCATATATTTAAAGTGTACAATTTGATCAGTTTTAACATGGAAAGAAGAGTCAGTTATTCCTAGGTTTCAATCTTGGATATGGATCTTTCTTGACCTTAGATAAATTATTTAATCTCCTTAAGCCTCACTTTTCTCACCTGTGGCTGATATACTTACCTTGCAGGATTGTTGGGAAGACTAAGTAATGTGTGTGACTCTTCAGTACAGCCCCTGCCATACAACAACCATCCAATAAGATAATGGCTGTTGTGGATCTCATCTGTTTCCAAACAGGGAACCTAAGATTCAATGAGGTTAGAAACTTGTTTACATTCCCACAGCTGGGCTGAGAAAGCAGCTGACTGCATGACCTGACTCTTCTTGCTGGAAACTCTTAAATGTGTCTTCTCCTGAGGGGCTCCCCCGAGCAGTGTAAGAATGGCCTTGTACTGGCCGTGAAACTGGGAGAACAGGTATCTCCTCAGCCCTGTTGCTCCCTTGCCTGTAACTCTGACTTCACAATGAGTGATAGCAACCAATCCGCCATGTTGCCCCTGGCAAATTGCCCAACTCACCAACCTCAGTTTCCTCATCTGTTAAAGGAAGAAATTACATCAATGGTGGCACCTTCTGGAGGCTACTGAGGGATCACATAAGATAACAGTTAAAATCAATTCTTAAAGCTCTGCAATTGTTCAATAGTTAGCTCTTTGAAAGAAAAGAATGTTGGAATTTTGTAGCAGAAAGGACCTTGAGAATCATCTCGTGCTAGATTTCTAGTCCCCGCTAGTGATGTACTAGTAATCATGTTAATTATCAAAACACCTCCCATATGTCAAGGGCCTACTAAGAGCACTGCTAGGCAGTTTTTCAGGCATCACTTCATCCATTCTTCACCACAACCAGGCTACGTAGACAATATCAACCACACTTTACAGATAAGAAACCAAAATCCTAGAGTTTAATTGTCCAAAGTTACAAGGTTAAGAATCTTCCTAGTCCACAGCTTGCCCTTCTATAACGGTATATCTCAAATTCTTTCAGGAAAGAAAGAACAAGGAAACACTTCTTAGCTCATCTCATAACTGCAGCAAGACCTTTATAACAAAGCCTGTCAAGAAGACTACAAGCAATGAGAATTATAGACCAATATTACTCATATAGACACAAAAATTCTTGAAAAATAAAAGCAAATTGAAACCAGCAATATATGAAAAACATATCACAACCAAGTAAGGTTTATCCTAGAAATGTAAGGATGTTTTGACACTTAAAAGTAAATTAATATAATTCTCCACATGAACCAAAAAAGGAGAAAAATCATGTAATGATTATCTCAAAATATGCAGAAAAGATTGTTTGATGAATTCAACATTAATCCATGATTGAAAACAAATGTACCAGTAAATGAAGAACAAAAAATAATGTTCTCAGTCTGATAAAAGTCAATAATTTTAAAATCTGCAGGTAACAAAATACATAATAGTAATACAGTAAATACTTTCTATCAAAGACTGGTACCAAAACAGGGTATCTGCTGTAACCACTTCCATAATGTAGTGCACTGGCTATCCTAGCCAGCATAATAACACAAGATAAAGAAATAAAAGGTATACAGATTGTACAGGAAGAAAAAAAGCTGTCCTTGCTCATAAATAGCATAATCTTTAACGTATAAAATCCTAAAGGAATCTAAAATATGAGAACTAATAGGGGAATTTAGCAAGGATTCAGCATACAAGATCAATATACAAAAATCTATTTTAATTATGTTTACTAGTGACAAAATAAAAAATGATAAGGAATATCATTTACAATAGCATCTAAGGGTATAAAATTCTTAAGGATGAATTTTACAAAATATGTACAAGATATCTACACTTAAAACTTTAGGAGAAATTAAAGAAAACATAAATAATTGGAAAGCTATACCATGTTCATGGAATAGAAGCTTAAATATCAATTCCGTCAATTTACCAGTTCAAAGCAATACAGTGAAAATCCCAGCTGATCTTTTTATAGAAACTGATAAGCTATATAATTCATTTGAAAATGCAAAGGACCTACAATAGTCAAAATAATTATGAAAGAAGAATAAAGTTAGATACTTTCAAACTGATTCAGGGGTTACTATAAAATTACAGAAATCAAGACACAAAGTGGCATGGACATAGTAAAATATATCAATGAAATAGAACAGAATTCAGAAATAGACCCATATATGTATGCTCAGTTGACTCTGTTGAAGGTAATTCAATGAAAAAAGATAGTCTTTTCAATAAATGGTGCTGGCTCAATGGATATATATTTGAAAACAAAACAAAACAAAAGCCTCACATCATACCTTACACTGTACATCATTAAGTAAAAATTTAAATCACAATTACAGTCATGCATTGAATATACCATAATGGTCCCATAAAATTATAATATTGTATTTTTACTGTACTTTTTTAATGTCTAGATACGTTTATATACATAAATACTTTCTGCTGTGTTATAACTGCCTACAGTATTCAGCACAGTAACACGCTGTATGGTTTGTAGCCTAGGAGCAAGAGGGTGTAGCAGTAGGCTATACCATCTAGGTTTGTGTAAATACACTCTATGACATTTGAACAATGATGAAATTGCCTAACAATCCATTTCTCAGAATGTATTCCTGTCATTAAGTGACACTTGACCATGTAAAGTTTTTAAAAGAAAACACAGGAGAGTATCTTTGCAACCTTAGTTAGACAAATATTTCCTGAAGAAGACATAAAAAACACTAATGAGAAGAGGAGAGGACAGGAGAGGAAAGGAGGAAAGAAGAAAAAAGAAAGAAAGAAACAGAGAGAGAGAGAAAAGAAAGAAAAGAAAGAAAGAGAAAAGAAAGAAAGAAAGAAAAAAGAAAAAGAAAGAAAAAGAGAAAGAAAGAAAGAAGAAAGAAGAAACAGAAAGGAAGGAAGGAAGGAAGGAAGGCAGGGAGGGAGGAAGGAGAAAAAAGAAAGAAAGAAAGAAAAGAGGAGGAGAAGGAAGGAAGGAGAAAGGGAAAGACAGAGAAAGGAAAGAAAGGGAGGGAGGGAAAAGAAAAGACAAGAAAAAGAAGTTGCTACATTGGACCTTAACAACACTGAAAACTTCCCTTTGAAGACACTAATGTGAAATTGAAAAGACATGCCACACGATGGAGAAAATACATACATCTGACAAATGACTTATATTCAAAATATAAAAGGAATTCTTACAAGTCAATACTAAAGAGGGCAAAATAACTCTAATAGCCACTTCCTAAAAAGACACACAGATGATCAATAAGCACCTGAAAAAATGATCAGCATTGCTAATCATCAACAAATTGCAAGTTCAAACCACGATGTGATGTAACTTCATACATTAAAATAGCTAAAAGTTAAACAAAGAAAACTAGCAAGCTCTGGTGAGCATGTGGACAATCGGAATTCTTGTAGTAGGTACGTAAATGGCATAATTACTTTGGAAAAATGTTTGTCAGTTTCTTACACAGTTAAACATGCATCTACCTGCGACCCATCAATTTTACTTCTGGAAATTCGCCCAAGATAAATAAAAACCACACAAAGGACTCACAAAGTTCACCCAAAGACTTATACACAAACGTGCCTGCAGTTTTTTGCACCACAGCATAAATCTGGAAACAGTCAAAAAATCTATCAAGAGGATGGATAAATGAATTATGTATTTATTCACTGAAATACCACTTAACAATAGAAGAAAACAAACTGCGGATACCTACAAAAGCATGGATAAATTTCAAAAACAATTTGTTGTGCTAGAGAAGCTAGACACAAAAGAGTGTATACTGTACACTTCCGTTTATATAAAGTCCTTGAAAGGGCAAAACAAACTATAGCAAGAGAAGTCAGATCAAGGATTGCCTGGGGTAGGTAGGAAGTGGTGAAGATTGACTACCAAGCGCCATGAGAAAACTTTGTGGGATAACAGAAACGTTCAATATTTTGACTGGGGCGGTGGTTCCACGTGCATATACAGTTGTCAAAACTTATCAATGTGTACATTTAAAGAGCATGCGTTTTGTTGTGTGAAAATAAATTGTATGTGAATAAATGTGATTTTAAAAAATAATAAAGTTCTCCACATATTTCTTAGGTCCCTTAAAGAGTGAGCACTGCTTGTCAGTGCCAGAGCCTCTGTCTCATTAATCTTTTAATCGCAGTCTATACAATATCTGGCACTTGGTAAGTGCTCCCCAGGTAGAGTTTGAGAGAAGGTAGGTCGGGAGAGCACGCATTGTTGGAGGGGTGTGAGGAGGAACAGAACACAAGCAGGACTAGACAAATATGCTCTTCTGCTAGAAACCTCTTTCACCATAAGGTGGCAGCAGAGAGCACCTGGCAATGTCTTTACCTACTTAATCCAGCAGGTGACAGCAGACCCACACTAACCTCTACACGAAGTTGCATTTTCCCCTCTCTTTCCTACGGTTACCACAATCTCAGCCCAGCCACTCCGCCAGGCAGAAAAGGGAGACTTAAATGGAAAAGAATAAGAACATACCCATGATCCCCATATATGACGGGCACTGTTCTCCATGCTTAATAGGCAACATGTAATTATACTTAATGTAATATCCATGCTTAATAAACAGTATTTCATTTCCATGCCCATCCTTTATCATGGGTATGATTTTCTTTGTTGTAAAGACAAGTAAACAAAGCTTCAGAGAAGGAGAACATGTTCCTAATCACGGATCTAGAAGTGATAGCGATGGAGTTTGAGTCTGCTTTTTCTTTCCATGTCATCCTGTCCAAACCTATAGACCAAAATGATCCATACAGAGGTTATGTATTGGTGTTCACTGCAGCAGTGTTCTAACTGCTCATGTGCATTAGCTCATGTAATCTTCACAACGAGTTGAGGTAGGAACAGTTGTTATCCCTATTTATTTTATTTATTTATTTATTTATTTATTTATTGTGTTTTTGAAACAGTGTTACTCTGTCACCCACTCTGGAGTGCAGTGGTGCGACCATAGGTCACTGCATCCTCAAACTTCCAGGCTCAAGCAATCCTCCCACCTCAGCCTCCAGAGTAGCTAGGGCTACAGGTGTCAGCCATTGTGCCTAGCCTGGTTATCGCCATTTTAAAGGTAGGCAGTGACACTGAGACACTGATAGGTTAATGAACTTGTAAAGTTCACATCATTAGTAAAAGCTGCAGCTGCCACTGGAGTTCAGGGTCTGACCCTGAACCTTAATCCTTCACTGCAGAACTAGCTACCAAGTGACCACTTTGACGAGCCTTGAGGAAAAGGCGGAGGGGGCTTTAGCACACACTCAGCTAACGAAAGTGTGCCGGTTCATTTCCCACAGCTCCACACAAACTCCCAGGGGTAGTAAAGAATAGCTTCTCCCTCCTCTGTGTCCCTGAGAAGTCCCAGGGGCATTCAGAGATTTACTGTCATCCCTGTCCAACCCATAGGAGTCTTCTAAGACCCATGCTTCTTCACCCATCTAGCCAGCCAGCCTTTATTGAGTACCTACTGAATGCCAAGCCTTAATTATGAAAACACAGAGCCTTTCTTCAAAGAGCTTTCATACTGAGGGGAAGATCACATGCAAAAGCAAGCAAAAGCAAAACTGCAGAGAGATACTTCTGCTGGTGACTAATTACCATGTGGATGGCGCAGAATTTCTGTCTAGTCAGGGAGGACTTCCTGTAGGAGGGGAGGTCTTCCACTGAGACTTAGAGGGTGAGTAAGGCTTGAAGAGATGGAGAAAGAAGTCAGGATACAGTCTTGGCCTGAGTGAAGAGGTTTAGTGAGAATAGAGAGGTCAGCTAGGCCAGAGGGAGGGTCTTGGGAGGAATAGCTGAAAATACAACTGGAGGGGTTGGTTGGGGGCATATTGTGGAAGGTCTTGAGGGCTCAGATGAGAGCCTTTTTGTATCTCTTAAACTGATGGCTTATGAATGGCTGGAAGCCATTCAAAGTGCATAGAAAGAGAGTGGCAAGAGGAAGCCAGTTCCTAGGAAATTAACATAGGCAAGCCTGTGCAAAAAGGAATGGAACTGGGGAGCCTGCAGGGGCAAGAAGAAGGGACCTAGTCCATGTGGAATGTTTCCTATGTGTCAAGTACTTAGTATTTAGCCTACGTTATGACAGCTAATTCTCCGTAGAGCCCTGAAAGATCTGTGCAGTTATCATCTCTGGTTTATAAATGACTAAAATGAGACACAGTGAGGTTAAACATGTTTCTCAAGGTTACCTGACTAAAACCAAAAAAGCTGAGTTTCAAACTCCCACAACCTAACACCAAAGCTCGCTTTCTTAACCACTATGCTCGACTGCCTTTATATCATGGGTCATGCAAAATCCAACCTAAGTCTAAGAGATATTTAACCTCATCTGAGACATCTATCAGGTTGGAAAACATTTAGGGCTCTTCCCTGAAAGATGCCACTGTGCTCAAAATAGGCAATGTCTCTAAACGAATAATTAGAGAGGCATTCTCAGTGTTAGAAGTGTGGAAAGCTGAGGACCATGCCTGGCTTGTGAATTCAGAGGCTATAGTAATAAATACTTGATAGTGTTTATTCTTTTAAGAGGCTGATGGGAATCACAGTGGCCCTCAGGAGAGAGAAGCCATCAGAGAAGGGCAGCAGTGGTGCCAATGCTAAACACCTCCATCATCTCTTCCTTGAAAGGCAGGGAGGGCATAAATACCTTGCTGCCACACTGGAGGCGCTCAGGAAGACCTGGAATAATTGGAGAGAAAGCACTCCTAAAAGCAAGTAGAAACTGCCTGCAGCTCTTTTGGTGTGGTTGGATGTGGTTGCAGATTTATCTGGCTTATCTTCTCAGGCATAGAATAATTGCTGTCCTGCAGGGCAAGCTCCGAAGAGATTTCCCCAGAAGCAAGCAGAGTCCTGTCTAAAGCAGAAATAGCCATGGCATAGCAGCAGCACCACCCCGCGGAGTTAGCTACTAGCGCTGTCACGCATGTTGGAGCTACTGCAGGAAGAGGTGGCAGCATGGGGGGAAAGAATGGGAGGTATCAGGTCTGCATGGAAGAAAACTGGAAACAAAGCCACTGGCTCGTGAGAGTTTGAAGCTCATGAGAATTTAGGGAAAACTTCCACATACACGGCTCTGTACTCTTCAGCTTTCAGAGCTCCAGAAGATCAGAGTCCAGGGTGGAATCTGTCATTGAGAGAAGAGACTTGGAAGACAGTGGCTGCAGGGAGGAAAGTGATGGCATTGTAGTGATGGAGAGCTTAGCCCTTGTCTGAATGAGGCTCTGACAGGTGTGGTCACCTATGACAAACCCGTGGGTAATGTATACAAGAAGGCTGATAGTTGTGGCACTGAGCCATCTTCTAAAAAGACCACATTTGAAGGGAAGAAGAAACCTTGCTCAGTGAGATTAATCAAGCAAGGACTTCTTGGTTAGGGAAGGCAAACTGTTTTGATGCATTGGTCAGGATAGGCTAGGTTGTGCTGCAGTAACAAGCTATCCCCAGACTTCAGCAGTTTTTAACATAAATGTTCCTTTCTCACTCATCCAAAGCACCTTTCTGGGCAAGGACTCTGTTTTTCATATTCCATCAGGGACCCAGCATCTGGGATGTCACCAGTTGCTGAGTCAAGGCAAGAAAGAACTAAGTGTCCTGGGCTTTAACGGGAAGTGATATCACTTCTAGCCACGGATTGGAACTAGTCACATGGACCCAATTAATGCAAGGGCAGCTGGAAGGTGTCAAGGAGCAGAGTGGGGTCTGGTGAGCACCACCTTCTCTGGCGTGCTTAGCAGAGTCTGGTGTCTGTCATTCCAAGAAATCTCTGACTGAGCTCCTAAGGATCTATGACTTATGAGCCCCTGGGGGACTCCAAATAAAAACTAAAAGAATCATTTTACTAAGAATTCTGTGAGGCATTGAGGTAGAGCCACACTGCCTGGACACTGCTTCTTTGGACAAGCCTCACACAAAGAGGGAAGATGCATGCCCTCTTCCTCAGAAACAACTGTACATCATGGCATTCAACATACCAGGAGCAGTGGCACCAGTGATCCCCAACAGAATGCCACTAGCCTTCTCAGAGCAGAGGCAGAGCCTGGCATAAATGGATGTGTCTGTTTGAGTGTTGGCAGCACATGAGAGCCCCACTGGGTCTGATTGTGCCTGGGGACTATTTCAGAAAGCTAAGATCTTTGTTATGCATGTGGAGAACAAGAGCTGGAGATGGTGACCTCCTATTGAGTCTAATAAGACTGGTAACACTGATTGGATTATGTCCATATTACAGATGAGGACCTTGAGGTTTGGGGAAATTAACGGCCTTTCCAAAGTCACCTGGTTAATGCATGGCAGAGCCAGAGCCTGTTGACCCTATTGCATGATTTGAAATCATCATGTTTGGGAGGCATGCACTGTGTAAGAAGACAAGGAACTGGAGCCAGGATGCCAACTTCCTGAGTGACCTTGGGCACATTATTTGAGGGCCTCCATTTCTCTATTTGTAAAGAGTAAAGCTGGATGAGATGTCTCAAAGTCTTTTCTGTTCCCACTGAAGGTCTGTTGCTGCAACCCCATTGGAGCTGATGACAGACTCCATCAGCTGGAAGTCTGCTCAACCTGCTCCACCTGCTCTACCACCTCCAGTACCTGGAAGTCCAAAATTAGGAGAACAGAGCCCACGGCCTCATGCCACCACACCTGCTTTCACCAGCTCCTGGAGAAGTTGGACAGCTAGAGAAGGGAAAGCATGCTGGGCTGGAGCCCAGTGGGGTCACACTGTGGGCTCCCTGCTACTGTCCTCTGCTCCAACCTGGCCAGCCACCAGCTCGGCCCTGGGGTGGGGAGAGGTGGCATCAACAGTCAGGAGCTGCAGCCTGGGGGCTGCCCTGCCCTGCAAGGCTTCTTGCTGTATGTCATTCTTGCTGTATGTCCTTGCATGCGGCCTGGCCCTGCCTTAAGCAGGGGCCTGCTCCTGACAAGCAGCTCAGCTAGGGAGGAGAGGCCATTGCAGCAGATGGGCGGATGAAGACCAGGTGGGAGCATGAGGCCAGATCACGAGAGTCCTGAGCCCCCCATGGAAGACCGTTCCAGGCCATCCCTGGCCCTGAGTGTCATCTCCCACTATCCCTGTCACTAAGGTCCCCCATAAGTTTGACTTTGCAAGCTCCCTCCCCGAGATTTAGGCATCCTTGGGACTTAGCTCCTCTCTCTAGCACCCGCGTGCACGGAGTCCTCCCCATCGCCGGAGCATGAGTCCATGCTTGAGACTAAGCCTTCTCCCCATGCCTGGCACTGAGTGCCATCCACGTTATGATGTGCAACTGAGCCCTGACATTGAGTGGCCTTTACCTACCTGACACCTAGCACCCCTGATGTCCCATAGTTAGTGCTTCCCTGATAGAAGAATGCCTCTTATCCTCCTCAGCAGGTGGCCTCCCTCCCACTTTGGCAGTCTCTTGCTGTGACCCTAGCCCCACTTGGCGTGTCATCTCACCATTACAGCCTTAGCTCCTCTGTTCAAATGTAGCCAGCACCTACTGAAGTTGTACCATGTGACAGTGATGTTCAATGCTCTTGTTAAACACACAAACCAGGCTCCCAAGCTTCTGTCTGTGCCCTTTCTCCTCTACTGCATGCCCTCATTCCCCTCGGCACACTGAATTCTCCCTGGGTAGCCTCTGCAGTTCTGGGAGAACCAGTACCCATCAGTGCTCTAGGGCTCCCAAGTCCTGCAGCCTTCTGGGAATGCCTTTCCTTTCCCATCTGCCATCACACTAATGATAATAGTCGGCCACCTCCAGGATGCCCTAGGATTCCCAAGGTATTACATTCTTTGTGGCTTTTTTCACTTCTGAGTCAGAAAGGCTACTCTGAGCTTTCCCTCTCACCTCTGAACACTTCTGCAAGCCAGACTTGAACCCAACATTTCCACCACCTTCCTCCTGGGCCTTCCCTACTGCAAAGCTAACTCAAGGTTGGGTGATGTCACTTGTATCATGAAGGTTTCAGCAATTGCCATGTGGGAGAGAAAACAGCTGAATGTTAAATACCAGGTTCCATTCTTGAGTCAATGGTCACCTTAAACCCCAACCTGCCCTAGGAACAGAGCCCCTTCTGCCATCTCTTTCTTTTTTTTTTTTTTTTTGAGACAGAGTCTTGCTCTTTTGCCCAGGCTGCAGTGAAGTGATGTGATCTCGGCTCACTACAACCTCCATCCCTTGGGGTTTAAGCGATTCTCCTGCCTCAGCCTCCAAAGTAGCTGGGATTTCAGGTGCCCGCCACCACACCTGGCTAATTTTTGTACTTATAGTAGAGACACAGTTTCACCATGTTGGCCAGGCTGGTCTCGAACTCCTGACCTCAGGTGATCCACCCGACTCAGCCTCCCAAAGTGCTAGGATTACAGGCATGAGCCACTGCACTCAGCCTCTGCCATCTCTTCCTTCCCTTGGGACCCACTCCAGCACTTACGCCCTTTAATAGAAACCAAAATGCCACTCACCCAAAAGTAACCTCAAGCAAGGAAGTTGTCCTTCCACTTTCTTACCCCCAGAAATGACCTCTTTATTTCTCACCCTCCCCTTCCTCATGAGGCCTTGAGATCTGAAACTGCTGAACAGCAGGGGCCCTGAAAGTGTTTTTCCAAATGGAATAACATGCTTCCTTCCTCATCCAGTGAGCTAGAAAGTGGCTGCAGTTTGTTTGCAGTAGCAGTTTTTTGTTTTTTATTTTTTACCGCTGCACATACATTTTCAAAGACATGGACCTCACTGACCCTCCCAGCATCATTTGGCTTCAGGCCACATCACCTACACCACTTCTTGACAGAGCCAAGAGTGATGCTGGAAGGGGAAGCAGGAAGCAGAAGAAGAAAGGGACCCAGAACAGTGGAATGCAGGAGCTCAGGGGCCACGCAGGAGTGTGGTTCTGCGTCTGGCCCAGGCACATCACACCTGCCTTGGGCATAGTATCCTCAAACCTGCTAGTTGAGGGGCGGGAAAAATTCACAGAATATTTTAGTGATTTCTTGCTCAGATAATCTGAGATTTGCCTCTAAATCATGAAAGTGAGCCTGAGGCCAAGCATCAGGCCTTCAGGGAATTGAGATTGGACACAATGATAAACTTGAATTCCCAGCCCAATAAACTTATCTCTCTGGCAGGAACTTGCAGAGGCAAGTATTCCAGACCAAGCTTTGAAGGAACACAGTGGAATAAGAAAGCAAGAAAATAAAAAGTTGCTGTGTATCACTTGTATGCCAAGTAATATTCATCTATTATATCATAGCATTATAAAATTGAGATATAATTTATACTATGCCATAATATTCATCCCTTTAAAGTGTACAGTTCAGTGGTTTTAGTATATTTACAATGTCATGCAATGACCACCACTGTTTAATTCCAGAACATCCTCATTACCCCCATACTTCTTTGCAGTCACCCCTACCTCTTCCCAGTCCCTGGCAGCCACTACTTTGTATCTTCTCAGATTAGCCTTTTCTGAATGTTTTACATACCATATGCGGTATTTTGTGATAAATACCTTTGACTTAGCATAGTGTTTTCAAGGTTCATACATGTGGTGGTATCTTTAATCTTTTACTCATTTTTATGGCTATACAATACTCTATTATACAGATATATGACATTTTATTTATCCATTCATCAGTTATTGAATATTTGCATTCCTTCTACCTTGGGCTATTATGAAAAATGCTATGAACATGCATGTATAATTTTTTTTATATGAACACATGTTTTACATTTTCTTGGGTAGATACCTAGGGTAGAATTGCAGGGTAATATGGTAACTCAATGTCTGCCTTTTTGAGAAACTGCCAAACTGTTTTCTGTGGTGGCTGTTCCATTTTACCTTCTCAACAACAATGTATGAGGGTTGCAATTTCTCCATATTCTCACCAATACTTAGAAATGTTCATCTTTTTTATTGTAGCCCTTCTTGTGGGTACGAAGTGGTTTGTCATTGTGGTTTCGATTTGCATTTTCCTAATGACTAATGATGTTGAGCATTTTTTCATGTGCTTATTGGTCATTTGTGTATCTTCCTTGAAGGAATGTCTATTCAAGTCATTTGTCCATTTAAAAAATTGGGTTGTCTTCTATTGTTGCATTGTAAGAGTTCTTTAAATATCCTGGATACAAAACTCATAACAAACATGATTCAGTTATATTCTCCCATTCTGAAGACTATCTTTTTACTTTATTAATAGTGTCCTATGAAGTACAAAAGTTTTCATTTTGGAGGAGTCCAATTTAACTGTTTTTTTCTTTTGTTGCTTGTGCATTTAGTGTCATATCTAAAAAACATTGCCTGATCTAAGGTCATGAAGATTTACTCATATGTTTTCTTCTAAGAGTTTAATAGTCTTATCTTTTACATTTAGGTCTTTAATTCATTTTGAAATAATTTTTTATATGGTATGAGCCAGGGGCCTAACTTTATTTTTTTGTATGTGGCTAACTGGTTGTCCCAGCACCATGCAGTGAGGGACTATTCTTTCCCCATTGAATTATCTTGGCACCCTTGATGAAAATCAATTGACCATGAGTGTGAGTTTGTCTCTGAATTCTCAATGTTATTTTATTGGTCTATACATCTATTCTTATGCCAGTACCACACAGTTTTGATTACTGTAGCTTTGTAATAAGTATTGAAATTGTTAATTGTGAGTCTTCCAACTTAGTTCCTCTTTCTTTTTTTTTTTCTTTCCTTTTTTTTTTTTGTGAGAGGGAGTCTCGTGCTGTCACTCAGGCTGGAGTGCAGTGGCACAATCTCAGCTCACTGCAAGCTCTGCCTCCCGGGTTTACACCATTCTCCTGCCTCAGCCTCCCCGGTAGCTGGGACTACAGGCACCTGCCAACACCACGCCTGGCTAATTGTTTGTATTTTTAGTAGACACGGGGTTTCACCATGTTATCCAGGATGGTCTCGATCTCTTGACCTTATGATCCACCTGCATCGGCCTCCCAAAGTGCTGGGATTACAGGCATGAGCCACAGCGCTCAGCCTCTTAGTTCCTCTTTCTTAGGACTCTTGAGTATTCTAGTTGCTTGAATTTCAATATAAATTTTGGGAGCAGCTTGTCAATTTCTACAAAAATGGCAGTGATATTTTGATAGAGATGGTGCTTAATCTGCTAAACAATTTGAGGAGTATGTTAGCCAGAGTTCTTCAGAGAGCCAGAACCAATGGGATACATAGGTAGAAAGATTAGATTAGATTAGATAGATAGATAGATATGAGAGGGAATTTATTAGAGGAATTAGCTCACATGATTATGATGGCTGAGAAGTCCCACCACAGGCTGTCTGTAAGCTGGAGACGCCTGGCTTAGTCCAAGTCCAAGGGACCCAGAATCAGAGAAAGCGGTGGTGTAACTCTCAGTCTGAGGCTGAAGCCCTGATAACCTAGGGGGGCACTGGTATGAGTCCTGAAGTCCAAAGGCCAGGGAGCCTGGAGTTCTGATATTCAAGGACAGGAGAGGAAGAGTGTATCCCAGCTCTAGCATATAGATGGACAAATACACTTCTGTTCTGTTTTTGTTCATTCTGGGCCCCTGCCAACTGAATAGTGCCCACCTACATGGAGGGTGGATATTTTCCACCTCGCTCAGTAAGAATCACATGCTAATCTCCTCTAGAAACATCCTCACAGATACACTCAGAAGTTATGTTTTACCAGCTTTTTAGGTATTCCTTAATCCAGTCAAGTTGACTCCTAAAACTAACCATCATAAGGAGTACTGCCATCTTAACAATATTGTTTTCTATTCCATGAACATGTTTTTTTTTGTATGCTTAAGTCCTTTTTAACTTATTTCATTGATGTTTTGTAGTTTTCAGTGTACAGGTTTTGCATTACTTTTATTAAATTTACTCCTAAGTACTTTATTCTTTTTGGTACTATTATAAATGGAATTGTTTACTTAACTTCACTAAATTTCCAATGTATAAAACCATAATTGATTTTTTCTTTTTATTTTTTATTTTTATTATTTTTTTTATTATACTTTAAGTTCTAGGGTACATGTGCACAATGTGCAGGTTTGTTACGTATGTATACCTGTGCCATGTTGGTGTGCTGCACCCGTTAACTCTTCATTTACATTAGGTTTATCTCCTAATGCTATCCCTCCCCCACCCCTCACCCCACGATAGGCCCTGGTGTGTGATGTTCCCCATCCTGTGTCCAAGTGTTTTCATTGTACAGTTCCCACCTATGAGTGAGAATATGAAGTGTTTGGTTTTCTGTCCTTGTGATAGTTTGCTCAGAATGATGGTTTCCAGCTTCATCCATATCCCTACAAAGGACATGAACTCATCATTTTTATGGCTGCATAGTGTTCCATGGTATATGTGTGCCACATTTTCTTAATCCAGTCTATCATTGATGCCCTTTTGGGTTGGTTCCAAGTCTTGGCTATTGTGAATAGTGCCACAATAAACATACATGTGCATGTGTCTTTACAGCAGCATGATTTATAATCCTTTGGGTATATACCCAGTAATGGGATGGCTGGATCAAATAGTATTCCTAGTTCTAGATCCTTGAAGAATCGCCACACTGTCTTCCACAATGGTTGAACTAGTTTACAGTCCCACCAACAGTGTAAAAGTGTTCCTATTTCTCCACATCCTCTCCAGCACCTGTTGTTTCCTGACTTTTTAAATGATCGCCATTCTAACTGGTGTGAGATGGTATCTCATTGTGGTTTTGATTTGCATTCCTCTAATGGCCAGTGATGATGAGCATTTTTTCATGTATCTGTTGGCTGGATCTATCTCTTCTTTTGAGAAGTGTCTATTTATATATTTTGCCCACTTTTCGATGGGGTTGTTTGGTATTTTTCTTGTAAATTTAAGTTCTTTGTAGATTCTGGATATTAGCCCTTTGTCAGATGGGTAGATTGTAAAAATTTTCTCCCATTCTGTAGGTTGCCTGTTCAATCTGATGGTAGTTTCTCTTGCTGTGCAGAAGCTCTTTAGTTTAATTAGATCCAATTTGTCAATTTTGGCTTTTGTTGCCATTGCTTTTGGTGTTTTAGACACGAAGTCCTTGACCATGCCTATGTCCTGAATGGTATTGCCTAAGTTTTATTCTAGGGTTTTTATGGTTTTAGGTCTAACGTTTAAGTCTTTAATCCATCTTGAATTAATTTTTGTATAAGGTGTAAGGAAGGGATCCAATTTCAGCTTCTACATATGGCTAGCCAATTTTCCCAGCACCATTTATTAAATACGGAATCCTTTCCCCATTTCTTGTTTTTGGCAGGTTTGTCAAAGATCAGATGGTTGTAGATGTGTGGTATCATTACCAAGGGCTCTGTTCTGTTCCATTGGTCTATATCTCCATTTTGGTACCAGTACCATGCTGTTTTGGTTACTGTAGCCTTGTAGCATAGTTTGAAGTCTGGTAGCATGATGCCTCCAGGTTTGTTCTTTTGGCTTAGGATTGTCTTGGCAATGCGGGCTCTTTTTTGATTTCATATGAACTTTAAAGTAGTTTTTTCCAATTCTGTGAAGAAAGTCATTGGTAGCTTGATGGGAATGGCATTGAATCTATAAATTACCTTCGGCAGTATGGTCATTTTCACAATGTTGATTCTTCCTATCCATGAGCATGGAATGTTCTTCCATTTGTTTGTGGCTTTTATTTCATTGAGCAGTGGTTTATAGTTCTCCTTGAAGAGGTCCTTCACATCCCTTGTAAGTTGGATTCCTAGGTATTTTATTCTCTTTGAAGCAATTGTGAATGGGAGTTCACTCATGATTTGGCTCTCTGTTTGTCTGTTATTGGTGTATAAGAATGCTTGTGATTTTTGCACATTGAGTTTGTATCCTGAGACTTTGCTGAAGTTGCTTATCAGCTTAAGTAGATTTTGGGCTGAGGTGATGGGGTTTTCTAAATATACAGTCATGTCATCTGCAAACAGGGACAATTTGACTTCCTCTTTTCCTAATTGAATACCCTTTATTTCTTTCTCCGCCCTGATTGCCCTGGCCAGAACTTCCAATACTATGTTGAATACGAGTGGTGAGAGAGGGCATCTCTGTCCTGTGCCAGTTTTCAAAGGGAATGCTTCCAGTTTTTGCCCATTCAGTATGATATTGGTGGTGGGTTTGTCATAGATAGCTCTTATTATTTTGAGATACGTCCCATCAATACCTAATTTATTGAGAGTTTTTAGCATGAAGCGCTGTTGAATTTTGTCAAAGGCCTTTTCTGCATCTATTGAGATAATCATGTGGTTTTTGTCGTTGGTTCTGTTTATATGATGGATTATGTTTATTGATTTGCGTGTGTTGAACCAGCCTTGCATCCTAGGGATGAAGCCGACTTGATCATGGTGGATAAGCTTTCTGATGTGCTGCTGGTTTCGGTTTGCCAGTATTTTACTGAGGATTTTCACATCGATGTTCATCAGGGATATTGGTCTAAAATTCTCATTTTTGATGTGTCTCTGCCAGGCTTTGGTATCAGGATGATGCTGGCCTCATAAAATGAGTTAGGGAGGATTCCCTCTTCTTCTATTGATTGGAATAGTGTCAGAAGGAATGGTACCAGTTCCTCTTTTACCTCTGGTAGAATTCGGCTGTGAATCCATCTGGTCCTGGACTTTTTTTGGTTGGTAAACTATTGATTATTGCCACAATTTCAGCTCCTGTTATTGGTCTATTCAGAGATTCAACTTCTTCCTGGTTTAGTCTTGGGAGAGTGTATGTGTCGAGGAATTTATCCATTTCTTCTAGATTTTCTAGTTTATTTGCGTAGAGGTGTTTGTAGTATTCTCTGATGGTAGTTTGTATTTCTGTGGGATCAGTGGTGATATCCCCTTTATCATTTTTTATTGTGTCTATTTGATTCTTCTCTCTTTTTTTCTTTATTAGTCTTGCTAGCGGTCTATCAATTTTGTTGATCCTTTCAAAAAACCAGCTCCTGGATTCATTGATTTTTTGAATGGTTTTTTGTGTCTCTATTTCCTTCAGTTCTGCTCTAATTTTAGTTATTTCTTGCCTTCTGCTAGCTTTTGACTGTGTTTGCTCTTGCTTTTCTAGTTCTTTTAATTGTGATGTTAGGGTGTCAATTTTGGATCTTTCCTGCTTTCTCTTGTGGGCATTTAGTGCTATAAATTTCCCTCTACACACTGCTTTGAATGCATCCCAGAGATTCTGGTATGTCGTGTCTTTGTTCTCATTGGTTTCAAAGAACATCTTTATTTCTGCCTTCATTTCGTTATGTACCCAGTAGTCATTCAGGAGCAGGTTGTTCAGTTTCCATGTAGTTGAGCGGCTTTGAGTGAGATTCTTAATCCTGAGTTCTAGTTTGATTGCACTGTGGTCTGAGAGATAGTTTATTATAATTTCTGTTCTTTCACATTTGCTGAGGAGAGCTTTACTTCCAACTATGTGATCAATTTTGGAATAGGTGTGCTGTGGTGCTGAAAACAATGTATATTCTGTTGATTTGGGGTGGAGAGTTCTGCAGATGTCTATTAGGTCCACTTGGTGCAGAGCTGAGTTCAATTCCTGGATATCCTTGCTAACTTTCTGTCTCATTGATCTGTCTAATGTTGACAGTAGGGTGTTAAAGTCTCCCATTATTACTGTGTGGGAGTCTAAATCTCTTTGTAGGTCTCTAAGGACTTGCTTTATGAATCTGGGTGCTCCTGTATTGGGTGCATATATATTTAGGATAGTTAGCTCTTCTTGTTGAATTGATCCCTTTACCAATATGTAATGGCCTTCTTTGTCTCTTTTGATCTTTGTTGGCTTAAATTCTGTTTTATCAGAGACTAGGATTGCAACCCCTGCTTTTCTTTGTTTTCCATTTGCTTGGTAGATCTTCCTCCATCCCTTTATTTTGAGCCTATGTGTGTCTCTGCACATGAGATGGGTCTCCTGAATATAGCACACTGATGGGTCTTGACTCTTTATCCAATTTGCCAGTCTGTGTCTTTTAATTGGAGCATTTAGCCCATTTACATTTAAGGTTAATATTGTTATGTGTGAATTTGATCCTGTCATTATGATGTTAGCTGGTTATTTTGCTTGTTAGTTGATGCAGTTTCTTCCTAGTCTTGATGATCTTTACAATTTGGCATGTTTTTGCAGTGGCTGGTACCGGTTGTTCCTTTCCACGTTTAGTGCTTCCTTCAGGAGCTCTTGCAAGGCAGGCCTGGTGGTGACAAAATCTCTTGGCATTTGCTTGTCTGTAAAGTATTTTATTTCTCCTTCACTTATGAAGCTTAGTTTAGCTGGATATGAAATTCTGGGTTGAAAATTCTTTTCATTAAGAACGTGAATATTGGCCCCCACTCTCTTCTGGCTTGTAGAGTTTCTGCCAAGAGATCTGCTGTTAGTCTGATGGGCTTCCCTTTGTGGGTAACCCGACCTTTCTCTCTGGTGGCCCTTAATATTTTTTCCTTCATTTCAACTTTGGTGATTCTGAAAATTATGTGTCTTGGAGTTGCTCTTCTTGAGATGTATCTTTGTGGTGTTCTCTGTATTTCCTGAATTTGAATGTTGGCCTGTCTTTTTAGGTTAGGGAAGTTCTCCTGGATAATATCCTGAAGAGTGTTTTCCAACTTGGTTCCATTCTCCCTGTCACTTTCAGGTACACCAATCAGGCGTAGATTTGGTCTTTTCACATAGTCCCATATTTCTTGGAGGCTTTGTTTGTTTCTTTTTACTCTTTTTTCTCTAAACTTCTCTTCTCGCTTCATTTCATTCATTTGATCTTCAATCACTGATAACCTTTCTTCCACTTGATCGAATTGGCTACTGAAGCTTGTGCATGTGTCATGTAGTTCTTGTGCCATGGTTTTAAGCTCCATCAGGTCATTTAAGGTCTTCTCTATGCTGTTTATTCTAGTTAGCCATTCATCTAATCTTTTTTCAAGGTTTTTAGCCTCTTTGCAATGGATTCGAACACTCTCCTTTAGCTCAGAGAAGTTTGTTATTACCGATCATCTGAAGCCTTCTTCTCTCAGCTTGTCAAAGTCATTCTCCATCCAATTTTTGTCCATTGCTGGTGAGGAGCTGTGTTCCTTTGGAGGAGAAGAGGCACTCTGATTTTTAGAATTTTCAGCTTTTCTGCTCCGGTTTCTCCCCATCTTTGTGGTTTTATCTACATTTGGTCTTTGATGATGGTGACGTACAGATGGGGTTTTGGTGTGGATGTCCTTTCTGTTTGTTAGTTTTCCTTCTAACAGTCAGGATCCTCAGCTGCAGATCTGTTGGAGTTTGCTGGAGGTCCACTCCAGAACCTGTTTGCCTGGGTATCATCAGCGGAAGCTGCAGAACAGCAAATATTGCAGAATGGCAAATGTTGCTGCCTGAACATTCCTCTGGATGCTTCATCTCAGAGGGGCACCCAGCTGTATGAGGTGTCAGTCGGCCCCTATTGGGAGGTGTCTCTCAGTTAGGCTACTTGGGGGTCAGAGACCCACTTGAGGAGGCAGTCTGTCCATTCTGAGATCTCAAACTCTGTGCTGGGAGAAGCACTACTCTCTTCAAAGCTGTCAGACAGGGATGTTTAAGTCTTCAGAAGTTTCTGCTGCCTTTTGTTCAGCTATGCCCTGCCCCCACAGGTGGAGTCTACAGAGGCAGGCAGGCCTTCTCAAGCTGCAGTGGGCTCCACTCAGTTCGAGCTTCCTGGCTGCTTTGTTTACCTACTCAAACCTCAGCAATGGCAGACACCCCTCCCCCAGCCTCACTGCCACCTTGCAGTTCGATCTCAGACTGCTGTGCTAGCAGTGAGTGAGGCTCCATGGGCATAGGACCCTCTGAGCCAGGCATGGGATATAATCTCCTGGTGTGCCATTTGCTAACACCATTGGAAAAGTGCAGTATTAGTGTGAGAGTGTCCTGATTTTCCAGGTACCGTCTGTCACAGCTTCCCTTGGCTAGGAAAGGGAGTTCCCTGACCCCTTGCCCTTCCAGGGTGAGGCAATGCCCCACTCTGCTCCGTGGGCTGCACCCACTGTCTAACAAGCCCCAGTGAGATGAACCTGGTACCTCATTTGGAAATGCAGAAGTCACCTGTCTTCTGCATCACTCACGCTGGGAGCTGTAGAATGGAGCTGTTCCTATTTGGCCACCTTGGACTGTTTTTTCCATACTTGATTTTTGTATATTGAGCTTGTAAATCCTGCAACCTTGCTGAACTCATTTATTAACTCTATTTTTTATTGTTTTTTTTTAGAGTTTTATTTTATTTTTTAAAAATAGAGATGAGTCTCACTATGTTTCCCAGGCTGGTCTCAAACTCCTGAGCTCAGGTGATCCTTTTGCCTCAGCCTCCCAAAGTGCTGGGATTACAGGTGTGAGCCACCATGCCCAACTCACTTATTAGCTCTAATAGAGATTTTTTTGTGGGTTCTGTAGGGTTTTCTATATACAGGATCATGTCATCTGCAAACATGGTTTTACTTCTTCCTTTCCAATCTGGATGGCTTATATTTATTTTCTTTGCCAAAGTGACCTGAATGGAGTCCCCAGCACAATGCTGAGTAGAAGTGTTGAGAACAGACATCCTTATCTTGTTTCTGATCTTATGGGGAAAGATTTTACTCTTCTGTTATTATGTATGATGTTATCTGTTAGCTGTTCATACTATTGTTCGTAGTATTTCCTTATAATCCTTTCCCTTTCTGTAAGGTCAGTAGTAATGTCATTTCTTCTATTCCTTATTTTAGTAATTTGGAGGATGTTTCTTTTTTTTCTTGATTATTCTAGTAAATGTTTGTCAACCTTGTTGATCTTTTAAGAGAACCAACTTATGTTTTGTCTATTTTCTCTACGGTGTTTATATTCTCTATTTTCTTTACTTTTGCTTTTATCATTATTATCTCCTTCCTTCTGTGAGCATTGGGTTTAGTTTGCTCTTCTTTTTCTAGTTTTTAATATGGAAGGTTAGATTTTTTAAATTTGAGAGCTGGTAAATCCAACATCTGGATTTCTTCAGGGACAGTTTACATTGACTTCTTTTGTTGTGTTTTATTTTATTTTCCTGTGTAGATGCCCTAATTTTTGTTTCTTTTCATGTCCCATAATTTTGGTTAGAAACTGGACTTTTTTTAAAAATTATACTTTAAGATCTGGGATATATGTGCAGAACGTGCAGGTTTGTTACATAGGTATACATGTGCCATGGGGGTTTGTTGCACCCATCAACCTGCCATCTACATTAGGTATTTCTCCTAATGCTATCCCTTTCCTAGCCCCCCACCTCCTGGCAGGCCTCAGTGTGTGATGTTCCCCTCCCTGTGTACATATGTTCTCATTGTTCAACTCCCACTTAGGAGTGAGAACATGCAGTGTTTGGTTTTCTGTTCTTGTGTTAGTTTGCTGAGAATGATGGTTTCCAGATTCATCCATTTCGCAGCAAAGGACATGAACTCATCTTTTTTTATGGCTGCACAGTATTCTATGGTGTATATGTGCCACATTTTCTTTATCCAATCTATCATTGATGGGCATTTGGGTTGGTTCCAAGTCTTTGCTATTGTGAACAGTGCTGCAATAAACATATGTGCGCATGTGTCTTTATAGTAGAATGATTAATAATCCTTTGGGTGTATACCCAATAGGATTGCTGGGTCAAATGGTATTTCTGGTTCTAGATCCTTGAGGAATCACCACACTATCTTCTACAATGGTTGAACTAATTTACACTTCCAGCAACAGTGTAAAAGCGTTTCTATTTCTCCGCATCCTCTCCAGCATCTGTTGTTTCCTGGCTTTTTAATGATTGCCTTTCTAACTGGTGTGAGATGGTATCTCATTGTGGTTTTGATTTGCATTTCTCTAATGAGCAGAGATGATGAGCTTTTTGCTTAAGTTTGTTGGCCACATAAATGTCTTCTTTGTGAAGTGTCTGTTCATATCCTTTGCCCACATTTTGATGGGGTTGTTCGTATTTTTCTTGTAAATTTGTTTAAGTTCTCTGTAGATTCTGGATATTAGCCCTTTGTCAGATGGATAGATTGCAAAAATTTTCTCCCATTCTGTAGGTTGCCTGTTCACTCTGATGATAGGGAAGCTGGACATTTTAAATAATATAATATGGCAATCCTGAAAAGCAGATTCTCCATGCAAATTTTGTTGTTGCATTTTATTTGCTTTTATGTTCAGGTTTAATGACTTTTACAAGATAATTCTGTAAAGTCTGCATTTTTTGTCACATGTGGCCACTGAAATCTCTTATCAGCTTAGTGTTTAGCTAGTGACTGGATAGAAATTTCCTCAGACACTTGGGGCCAGTAAGTCTTTCAGTCTTTGCCAGGGAGCTCTGTGTGTTGGGGCTCACTTTCAACAACAGAAGGGCTGTTTACAACTCTGCCCTAGTGGGCTGGACGTGGTGGCTCACACCTGTAATCCCAGCACTTTGGTAGGCCAAGGTGGGTGGATCACTTGTGGTTAGGAGTTTGAGACCAGACTGGCCAACATAGTGAAACCTCATCTTTAATAAAAATACAAAAAAAAAAAAAAATTAGCCAGGCGTGGTGGCAGGTGCCTATAATTCCAGCTACTCCAGATGCTGAGGCAGGAGACTCTTTGAACCTGGGAGGCGGAGCTTGCAGTGAGCCGAGATCACGCCACTGCACTCCAGCCTGGGTGACAGAGCAAGACTCCATCTCAAAAAATAAAAAACCTACTCTGCCTTAGCTTTCACTTCCTGTTTGCTCAGTGCCTCAAATTTAGTCAGAGGTGAGAGCTTAGGGTCTTTTCAAGTCTTTCTGAGCATTTATACAGCCCTAAGCAGGTACAATGTCATATGTATGTGTGTGGCCTTCTAGATTTTGCATAGCTTTGTGAGGTGTTGATAATATCACTCAATGGTCTTTGAACTGAGGCTGAAAGATATTAAGAGACTTACTAAAGTACTCCATCAAGCAGTGAGAGATGCCAGATTTAAATCCAAAGTTATGCTCTTTCTTTTCCAAGAAGCAAGACCTCTGCAACTTCCATGGGTGTTCCTCTTCTGTGCTTTTTGGCAATCCTAGCTTTCACCCAGCATGGAATTCCTCCATACCAAGTTTGGGACTGAAAGATGAGCTCTTGGGGGTTGGCAAGTGTCTGGGGACAGAGACTTAAAGCCAAAGCTGATTGTAAGAAATCTCAAGGATGGGGGAAGGAAGTCTTGCCCCATGTGTGATGAGTGAGAGACAAGTAACTGCCTGTGCATCTGAGGACTGGGAGGACATTTGGGGCCATCACAGATGACTGTAGTCCTTTTTAAGAGCCAAGTCATTTCTTGGGCATGCATTACAGGGACCTGGCCCTATGACAAACACTTAGACTACAGTAGGTCTATAAAACAGCAAAAAGGAAATAAACAAACAAGCAAATCTCAGCCAATGAGTTACTGAAGTGGCGTATGATTTTAGAGTCTAAGATCCTAACTCCAAAGATCTACCAATTTGTTTTTCTTGAGTCTTTTCCATGGAATCATTGACAGGTGGTCACCTTCAATAACAGGGAACATATTACTTTCCAATCAACTCATTCCTTCTTCAGGCTCCTCTGCTTGTAGATAGAGAACCCAATACAGTGGAGGGAGCAGACTCCTCTGACTTCCAAGCTTTTGTTCTTGGCTTCAACCCTTTTAATCCATGTGGCTTTGCCAAGTCACTTCCCTTCTTTAAGTCTGTTTCTTCATCTGAAAAATGGAGAAAAAAAATTCCTGCTTGGCCAGGTTGCTTGAGTGTTGATGACATAAAGCTATTGAACTTACCTGGTAGAGGAGCACAATAGCGGTAGCCATTGTTGAAGTTCTTCCCTCTAAGAAACTAAAATCTTTGTCGCAGCAGTTTTCACCCAATGTTGTTAATTCTGCTCCTTTAGACCACTTCCCCAACTCATGCTTTCAGATTACTGCATACAGTGACTGTATTGCCTCTTTTTGGGTAGGCTAAACCACTCCACTCTTTAAAAACACTCCTCAATTATATGACCTTAACTCCTTTTACCACCCAATTTCCTCTCCTTTGAAGATAAGGCCCACTCTCTCCCCAGCTCATAATGTGTGAAGGTTTTCAGGCTGTCCTGGCCAGCAGAACAAGAAGAGTGAGATCCACTCCCTCATTCCAAAGCTTATACTTCTTGTAAAGCAACCCAAGCTCACCTTCATTTTCCTATTATGCTCACCTTCATTTTCCTATCCTGGGTCACATGTTTGCACCTAAATTTGTGAAGTACAAAGTCAGTATCTTTCCTATCCCTGCTAAAATGCATCTTGTTAGAGACAGCACAGTGTCCCAGGCTGCTGAGACCTCGATTCTCACATCTGTCTCAAAGCCTATAAATTGGCAAAAATAATGAGAATACATCGTATTACATCACCCAAGTTCTCCTCACTTTCCCACACTCTTCTACCCACCAATCGCAAATGTCCTGGGTAGATGAGCACCTGAGGCTATTTTAACAAGATTGAGAGTGAAGCCTGGAAAATGCTTAATTTAAACTTAAACCCACAAGTATTTGTTGAGTGCCTGATATGCAGCAGGCATTTGCAAACACAGTCTTCTGACCTTCACAACACTCCTCAGTGTGGAGTATCATAAACCCATTTTACAAATGGGAATCAAAGAAGTCAAGCAATTTGTACAAGATCACATAGCTAATAAGCTTCAAGGATATGGCACAAGTCTGGGAGGTTTGTTTGACTCCAGAACCCATATTATTTTCCTATCTTGTCTAGGTTTCTCATGCTGCTAATGGAGTCTATAAGCAGTTCTTAAAGTGCATGCAAATCACCTGAGAAATATGTTAAAAATGAAAGTCCACCCTCACCCCCCACATTCTGATTCAGTAGGTCTGGAGAGAGGCTCAGTCACCTTTAAGAAATGCTAGGTGATTCTGAGGCTAGTGGTTCACAGACAACACCTGCCTTGCCAGCTCAGCTACTGGGCACCAAAAGTCAATTCCCAAATATTGCTTTTGGACCAGCATAAATAATAACAGCCAGCCTTTCCTAGCTGAGAGAGATGGTCAGAGCTCTCCTCAGCCATTGTCTCTCATTGCTCCCATGGGATTTTTCAGCCTAGAGCCTAAATATTGCCTCCTTCTGTGACTTTTGACTTGCTTTCTAGATCTGGCCAGAGGAAGCAAGAAACCCTAGGTGTGGATGTTGCAATGGCAGATTATGTAACACCTCTGGAGTGCTCCCTGCATCACATAATCTCTGACAGTGGAAATGAGACCTTCCCAGGCTGCCTGTCCATGCCTTGTCCCAAACCATGAAAATGTACATAGAGCAACAAATGGCTGCTTGGCGCACCATGGCCCATAATCACTGCTTCCCATCCCCCTCACACCAAGACACTGCATCAGTCACCATTGGCATTTAAAGACATTTGCTTCACTGATCTTCTACCCTCCCCTATCTTTTTGCCTGTGGTCATCCAGGGCTGTTTCTTAAAGTCACCCCTCTCGGTCATGAGATTAAAAAGAGAAAACTGCCTCTTCCTTCCTTTTGGGATGTGAGTAATGATTGAATCCTTCTTGGGGTTAGCATGCCGCAATAAGGTTTCCGCGAAAGGATCTGAAGTTTAATAAGCTCATGGGCTCTCTGACTGCATTTTGTTTGTTCTACATGGCATGAAAAATTCAGAGACCAGGCTAAAATGTCTATGTAACTTAGAATAAACTACCTTACCTCCCTGAAATCTAGTTCCTTTATCAGTAAAATAGGGATAACAACCGTAACTGCCTCTTTGCTGTTGAGATCATTGAATAGAAACGTACGTACAAAGAGCTCAGCAAAGTTGTGGCACGGAGTAGGTGCTCCATGCATATTGTCATTGTTCTCTACATCTTGCTACACACAGTGCAGTCCCCAATGAGGCAGCATCTGCATCACCCTGGAGCTTGTTAAACATGCAGGATTTCATCCCCATCCCAGACCCATTCAACCAAAGTCTGCATGTTAACAAGTTCCCCAGGAATTGCAACCCACATTGAAGCTTGAGGAGCAGTGGTTAGATCACTATCCAGCAGGGTGAGAAGGCTGGGAATGGGGACAGTGACAGCTTTCTAGCTAACATTTTTATCTTTTTGCACTGCTTGCCACCCCTGCCACCCAGTGCCAAATTCACATTCCATCTTCCTGTATGAGTGATGGTACTAAAACAGAACTCTGGCCTCTTCACTCTTGCACATATAGATGGTTCCCTGATGCCTAAAGGATAAAGGACCAACTCTGTGGAGTGGCACGCAAGGCCCATCAGCATCTGGCCAGATCTTGTCTTTTCATCATTGTTCGATGCCCACTCTACAGCTGCAGATACTGTGCTGTGGCTACAATGAGAAATGTCTGTCATTCCCAAAGGCAGCCTTCACTTTCAGGCCTCCACTCCTCATTCTAGAGATGGTCCCTTCCCCAAGGGACACTCGGTCCTCTCATCACCTCCAAGTTTCCTCATGCTCCACTTCCTGGAACGTTCTCTGCCTCCAAAACCCTGTTCAGCATTCAAGGCTCGGCTCCACTGCTATTTTCAGAATATGTGCAGACCAGTGGCCAGGTATAAAATGCCCATGATGGATGAATATCTTAGATGGGTTCTTCCTTGGCCCATCGGCAACTATTTAAATCTCCTTGGGCATGTCACCTAAACTTTTGAGCCTCAAGCACTCCTTCCAATCCCAGCTGGGTGAAGAAGATAAGAAAGGTGCCAACCTCAGAGAATTGTTATGAGGATCCTTGGGGGTCACTATACCTAACATAGTGACTGGTACACAGTAAATGCTCAATAAAAACTAGCTAAGCCCACTACAGTATAAACCTACTACAGTGCAATTTCCATAAAGTGCCTGGGTTTGTTTTCTTTACCAATATAATCCCAGTACCTGGCTCAGTTTCTGATACACAGTATATGCTCAATAAATATTTGCTAAATAAATGAATGCCTAAAATGTGTTATGCAAATTGCAAAGCTCTGTCTTGATTGTTTTTGTAATCAAGATTTAGATAACTTGATAAAGAGAATGAGAGGAAGAGATCATAAATATATTATTATTGTTAATTGCTGACTTATGGCTGTCTTCCAGATGCATATAGACAGGCTATGGCTTTTTCATGCACGATTCTAAGAATACACAACACGGGTTTTTTTCCCATTATTTCAACATCTTATCCAATCTGTTTTCAGTTCCCCCATCACCATAACAACTTGCACTTCCCATAATAACTGTTTAGAGCTGCAATATTCTCTTGATCCCCTGCAATCACCAATTAGGCTCTAAAAACTCCATTACTCTGTCCACCTTCAAGCTTCTAGGAGGTCTGTCCTTGATCATCCTCCAATCTCAAAAATGCTGACATCTTCTTTTCTAGGAAAAACAATGAAAGAGGTCCTGTGAAGATATAGGCCAAACACCTGAATGAGAGATAGGAGATAAGAGTTGCTTTATAAAGGAGCCTTTAATTAGGAAGACAAGCACAACAAAAGAATGGAAATAACCCTTTCCCAACATGATTACCATCATCTGTTTCTTCCAGGCCAACAGTGATGTCCTCACCCCTCACACTCTGCCAAGAGTCTTTCTCAAACAAAGAGACTTGGACTGAAGAGGCTGAAGATGGCCTCTATCCCAGGGAATCTCAGATGTTAATACACACAGCTTGTTAAGTGGTGGAATCACCTGCAAATATTGTAGTGGCAGATTCTGGAAGTTAGTAGATCTGTGGGGGAACCTGAGATTCTGTGTTTCCCAAAAGCTCCGATGTTGCTGGTGTGTGGAATATCCTTTGAGCAACAGGAGCTTACTCTATCTCTGAGCTATGAATACCATCATTCTTCTGGAAATGTATGAGCCAAGTCCTCACTAAATAACTTGTAACTTTTTTTTGTACACTTACTGTATGGTAGGCAGTGTGATAGGCATTTCAACTAGCTTACTCGATGGAATGTATTCACAACCCCATTTTATAGATGAAGAACTTGAGTCTCAGGGAAGTGAAATGAGCCTTCTTAATTGCTGGTCTTTCATTCCTTGGGCTGTGGAATTGTGGGCTTGAGCTTCAGCTGCGGAAGCTCTGGCTATGAACAAGAACCACTCTCCTGAGAACACCAGGATACTAGTGGGCATTTGTCTTGTGCATTTCCATTTCTGCCCCTACAAGACAATCTCCATGATCTGAAAATGATTTAGCACCCACTTGCTATTACTCACACAGGTTCTTGTGGATAAAACTTCCTCAAGAAAACGGGCTTCAAGCCACCTTTGTTAGAGTTACCAAAGATGGTTAGAATAAACGTGTATTTGTAACAGCATGTTGTAAGCCTCGAATATACATAATAAAATGTTTAAATGAACAAAAAAATGCATATATATCTGTTCCCATCCAGATCATGTCTATGACTGGTTAATTTTCCACCAAGTTGCCTTTTCCTCCTGGGCACATAGCTAGAGTACATCTCTCAGGCTCCTACCTGGGGTCATGAGACCAGTTCTTGCCAATGGGCTGTGAGTGGAAGTGACATGGCCTCCACACTGCGGCAATTAAGACTGGGGGTGTCTCCACATTCCCACCCCATTCTCTCACTTGTGGGATAGACATAGAAGACCCGGGATAGGAATCTGAGGCTATAAGAAATGATAGAGCCATTTGATGGGGGAGCTTGGGTCCCAGAATAAACCCAGAGTAAAATTGAGAACTCTGGCCCCACTGACCCATACTGGGTTGCCACATGGAGAAGAAGCCTTTACCTTACGCAGCCATTGAAACTGTCGGATTATTTGGTAAAAGTTGGCTTTTCCTAACTAATACATAGATTGAATGAATATTGGTAGGTGGAGCCCAGAAATCTGAATTTCTTAGAACACCTTCAGGTAATTCTGAAAAACTGAAGTTTCCTGAAAAGGATAATGGCTGGGACACAGGCCAGAAGTGTGTTTGTGTGGCCCAAATAGTTGTGTGAAAGATAACAATTCACAGTGACTCTTTTCCGTCGTGCGTTATCCTCATGCCCGCTCCTTCCTCATTCCTGTTTGTGGCACAAAACATCAGAAACTAAGCACACCCTTTATAGCCTGTTGTGCTAGCACTTGCTTTCTCGCAGATGGAAAAGTTGATTTCTAGAACATGAGCTCAATCTCAGAGCACTTGATAAGCTGATTGAAACGTAAGTCACAAAGCCTGGATGCACACCAAGTATTTTATCTATTGAAACAGCAAAGCTCAAAGAGGATTCATCTTTATCTTCATATTTATCATCTTTTCTGTCCATTCAGAGTCAAAAACCAAGCCTTGAGGCAGTGTGGGGGTTGGGGTTAAGCGAAAGAAAATGGCAGCATATCTATTTTAGGGAATGGGAAAGTACGAGTGGGTTTGGAAGTTTCTCTCAACTACCAATACTTGAAAGCAGGTACCTGCCAACCCCAAAATACGGGTCTTCAAGTGACTCTTGTTTCTCTCCTTACTGTGAGACTCCAGTGGCACAATAGCATAGCAGCTCCCTTCACCCCCAACACGCGCGCACGCGCGCACACACACACACACACACACACACACATTCACAGTTAAAGCATTCCCTTTCGGTGGCTCTTGAGTGGCACAGTTATGATTTAGTTGGAAACTGGTTATTGTTGAGAAACTGTTAGTCTTCCCCTTCACCTTCCTGGTGCCTTTAAGGGGGCCCACCTCTGTCCATGATTCACTATTTCTCTAAGTTATGGGTGAATTGTCACTACAGGGAGTCACCCTTTCTCCAGAACTGTCTGAAGCTTTAGTGAGCTCGGGCAGAGGATGGAAAAGGAATGGTCCCTGTCCAGCTCTGATATCACAGCATCAAGTAATCAGGACAGGGAAAAACTGGCCTCCTGCACATTCTGAAGTCAAAGGAGACAACATCCAAAGTCCTATGTCAGTTGAAGAAGGGTAATTCCCATTCCCAACTCATACACCCCATCCCAATTCTCTGCTTATTTCTGGCAAGTAGTGGGTATGGTGGTAACCTGAAGTCTTCCTGGCTCCAAAGGAAAGAACCAAACCCCAAGGTAAACCCGTCTTACTTAGCATAGACAGTATCAAGATTCTAAAAACTCAAAACTGAAGTTTTCTTCCTTTGGAAAATCAAAATACTGTATACAAACTCTCATGGCAGCAAGCATAGAATTGAAGTATAACAGGCTCTTTGGGGTTCATAGACCCTGAACCCCTTGATGGCAGAGACTTTACCTTACTCATCACCATGATACCAAGAGCATAACAGGTACCCAGTGAAATAATTGCCAAAGAAATGAGTGCATGCAGGAATGAATACATGTGAAGTGCTCAGTTTTCCACAGTTAATGAGACCCAACTCAATCATAAAGAGCTCCATGATGTGAGGAGATACAGTAATTAAGCACATGGACATAAAAGGCCCAAACCTCCAACTTTTCACTCAATGTATGAATCATCAGTGTAAAGAAGTCATGTCCTGCAGATGCTTGATGATTTGGTTTGAAGTTAAATTTACTCCTGTGACTTCATTATTTTAAGTAGCCTCAGGCATCTGGAACTAAGTAAACGAAGCCAGACACAGTAGCTCAGAAGACATGGAAAAAGTGTATAAACAGGTATGTGCAGTAAATTAAAGGCTGCCATGGCCTTGAAACTTACATTATAAAATCAGAAGAAAAAAACCCCAAACATCTAAGATTCTAATTGAAGCCACATTTCTGCTGCTAGGTGATGATAATTAAAGCATGAGACAGGGAGTCTTAAACTCACTTGCCCAGTCTCTGTTTCTAATGATACAGTTTAATTCCATTCATGGCTCAAGTCTCAACCTCCAGTGGTGAATACATTGGAACAACTGTTCTTGATGTTTCTGTGGTTTTGCGGTACCTGTTATTAAATTGGAGTTGATGATTGGGATGTATAGAATGCTCTACTTCAGGGATCAGTTTGTAGAATGTTTCAGAAGCAAGTGTGGTTGAGTGGAGAGATCTATGGACTTTGTAGTCTCATATCAAAGCTCGAATCTGTTCCCTGTTAGCCTTATTGCCTTGAGCAAGTTATTTAATCTCACTGAGTCTCAGGTTCCTTGTTAGTAAAATGAGAATAGTGGTACATGCTTAGTATGGGCATTATAAGGATTACATGAAATATTCAATATAAAATGCACCACCCCTAGTATGACACATAGGTCAGTGAATTTTGGTTCACTCCCTTCTCTTCTTTTCATCCCAAACTCTCCAAATATCACTTGTCTTTCTTCTCTTTATACAATATCCAATGTTTCATCTCCCTTCCAGGGTCCAATGCAGTGTTGAATATCTGGTAGAAATTAACTAAATGAACATTGAGATGAAATGCTTCCAGTCAAATACCTTTCTTTGGTTAACTCTCTCCTTTTGAAGTTCTGACTTTGATCTTCTGTAGTTCAGTTCATTTCAAACCATTTTCAGAAGCCCTGTTGTGCAGTGGATACTCAGGAAAGCATTGAGAAGAGCTATGCCTAGGTCCTGGTTCCTGTCATGGTTGCTGATAGTCTGGTGGAGGAGATGCCTAAGCAGATCTTTTCAGTGTTTTCTTTTCTTTTCTTTTCTTTTCTCTTCTTTTCTTTTCTTTTCTTTTTCTTTTTCTTTTCTTTTTTTTCTTTTTTTTTTTTTTCTTTTTTTTTTTAAGGTAGAGTCTCACTCTGTTTCCAAGCTGGAGTGCAGTGGCATGATCTTGGCTCACAGCAAACTTGACCTCCTGGGTTCAAGTGATTCTTGTCCCTCAGCCTCATAAGTAGCTTGGATTACAGGCATGCACCACCACACCCAGTTAATTTTTGTATTTTTAGTAGAGGCGGGGTTTCACCATGTTGGCCAGGCTGGTCTCAAACTCCTGGCCTCAAGAGATCTACCCAGCTCAGCCTCCCAAATCCCCTGTTGGGATTATAGGCGTGAGCCACAGTGCCCAGCAACTTTTCAGTGTTTTCTATGTGTGGTCTTTCTTCCTCCTGAAGTGGGCATGTTTCCCCAGCAGGCACCTTCTACTTCTCTGTATTGATCACTGCAAATAAACAAGAACTTTCCCCTTCAGAACACACACAGAACTCAGCACTTCCTCCTGCCACTATTCACATTGTAACCCAAAAATAAAATCTAAAGTCCCACCCCCACCCTCAACCACCTGAATGAACTCCCTCCTCTTGGCCAGGGCACTCTAAAGTTAACCTGAAAGACTGGTTCAGGCCATGATGGGAAGGGGGGTTGGACATGCCCCATTATGCCCTTCTCTCTTTCAGAATTCAGGAAAAGCCAACCAGCATTTAACCGCAGGAACTTTACGTCTGATAAGAAACATTTACTATGGATTCTCTCTGAAGCCTGCTATCTGGAAGTTTCATCTGCATGATAAAACTCGGTCCCCACAATCTCTTATTCTAACCCAGGCATTCCTTTCTATTGATAATAACTCTTTCAACAAATTGACAATCAGAAAAATTTTAAATCTACCTATAACCTGGAATCCCTGTTGCCCCCTCTTCAAGTTGTCCCCCCTTTCTGGACTGAACCAATGTGTATCTTAAATGCATTTGATTGATGTCTCATGTCTCCCTAAAATGTATAAATCCAATCTGCCTCCCAACCACCTTGAGCACATGTTCTCAGGGTCTTCTAAGGGCTGTGTCACAGGCCATGGTCACTTATATTTGGTTCAGAATAAATCTCTCCAAATATTTTACAGAGTTTGATTCTTCTCATTGACAACTTCCTGTCCCAGATGATATGTATCAGTGAATTTGTCTTATTCTTTCTCTCATTATCCCTTCCCACCTTCCCCCTCCTGAAGCAGCCTTTGCAAAATTATGACTGAGACAGGGAAAGCCATTTAAATTAACCGACTCCATCTTGCTTCTAACCTCCAAGTTGTCCTTGTTCATTCCTGAACAGAGGCTGAACTAACTTTGGGAGAAACTTGGTTTACAGTTTACAGTTTAAAACTAAGATGATAGCCCTTTCCCAAAGCAGACCTCTTTCTTGCTTGGGGACTAGATTGCCTTTGTAGGACTAACATTAGCCACAAGATTAGAAATTATGGTTTAGGAGTCATGCAACTGGAGGCTATAAGATTCTGGCCCTCCCTAAAATGCTCCTAAGATCAGTGCTTGAGATATTTTGCAGACTCTGCACTTCACGGATCAGCTGGCACCCCCAGATTGACAAACTGGCTCATCTGATCTTGTGGCTGCCACCCAAGAACTGACTCAGTGCAAGAAGACAGCTTGGACTCTCTGTGATTTCATCTCTGACCAATCAGCACTCTGGGCTCACCGGCTTCCCCCCGTCCACCAAGTTTTGCTTAAAAACTCTGCTCCCAAAATATTTGGGAAGACTGATTTGAGTAATAATGAAACTCTAGTCTCTCGCACAGCAGGCTCTGAGTGAATTACTCTTTCTCTATTGCAATTCCTCTGTCTTGAGAAATTGGCTCTGTCTAGGCAGAGGGCAAGGTAAACCCATTGGGTGGTTATACTCCCTCAACACACTCATGAAGGTGATAACCTACCATAAGGCAGACACACCAGGTCTGCTCCTCAATAGTTGTGCAAACTTGAACAATAACAATGAAAACATTTTCTTATCAATCTTCAGTTTCATGGTCTGCAGGACAGATTTTTTTTTTTTTGCAGGTATTGGGAAGGCTAAAAAGAAAAATAAATTGTGGTGATTTCTTTATTTTTTAAATTTACCTTTACATCTCTTAACCAAGTATCAAGCACCAGGAGGCTGAGTCCTAATTCACTCTCCCTCACTCTGTTACTTGGGAAACTGACCTGGAAATGAAACCACCTTTGCAAAAATTATAACAGTGAGAAAATTATGGCAATGAATGAGATCTTATTTAACTGACCCCCATCTTGCCCCACCTTGCCTTTAGCTGCCCTTAATTATTCCTGGCCTTAGGCCAAGCTAACTTTAGGTGACATTTAGTTCCCCTCCAAAAATTTAGTTCCCCTCTCCTCCTCAAAAATGCTTCTTGATCTAATATACAACTTCAGCAGTTTCAGGATACAAAATCAATGTACAAAAATCAGTAGCATTCCTATACACCAATGATATCCAAGCTGAGAGCCAGATCAAGAATACAATTCCATTCACAATAGCCAGAAAAAGACTAAAATACCTAGGAGAATACAGCTAACCAAGGAGGTGAAAGTCCTCTACAACAAGGATTACAAAACACTGCTCAAAGAAATCAGAGATGACAAAAACAAATGTAAAAATATTCCATAGTCATGGACAGGAAGAATCAACATTCTCAAAATGGCCATACAGCTCAAAGCAATTTACAGATTCAGTGCTATTCCTTTCAAACTGCCAATGACATTTTTCATAGAATTAGGAAAAAACTATTAAAAAGTTCATATGGGGTGGGGCCAGGCATGGTGGCTCATGCCTGTAATCCCAGCACTTTGGGAGGCTGAGGAGGGTAGATCACCTGAAGTCAGGATTCGAGACCAGCCTGGCCAACATGATGGAACCTCATCACTACTAAAAATACAGGCATGATGGCATGTGCCTGTAATTCCAGCTACTCAGGAGGCTGAGGTGGGAGAACTGCTTGAACCTGAGAGGTTGTGGTTGCAGTGAGCTGAGATTACACCATTGCACTCGAGCCTGGGTTTCAGAGTGAGATTCCATCTCAAAAAAAAAAAAAAAAAGTCTTATGGAACCAAAAAAGAGCTCAATTAGCCAAGGCAATCCTAAGTGAAAGAACAAAGCTGGAGGCATCACATTACCTAACTTCAAACTATACTACAAAGCTATAGTAACAAAAACAGCATGGCAACAGTACAAAAGCAGGTGCATAGATTGATGGAACAGAATAGAGAGCCCAGAAATAATATTGTGTACCTACAACCACCTGATCTTTGAGAAAATTCACAGAAGCTAGCAATGGCAAAAGGACTTCTTATTCAATAAATCATGCTCAGATAACTGGCTAGCCATACACAGAAGGTTGAAACTGGACACCTTCTTTACACCATATACAAAAATTAACTCAAGATGGATTAGAGATTTAAATCTAAAACCAAAAACTATAAAAACTCTGGAAGGCAACCTAAGAAATATCAATCTGGACATAGGAACTGGAAAAGACTTCATGAAAAAGACACTAAAAGCAACAGCAACAGCAACAACAACAAAAAATTGACCAATGGGACCTAATTAAACTAAAGAACTTCTGAACAGTGAAACTACAGGTTAAGCAGGCAACCTACAGAATGGGAGAACATATTTGCAAACTGCATCTGACAAATGTCTAATATCCAGAAACTACAAGAAACTTAAACAAGCAAAGAATAAACAACCCCATTACAAAGCAGGCAAGGACATGAACAGGAACTTTTCAAAAGAAGACATTCATGTAGCCAATGAGCATATGAAAAAAATGCCCAACATCACTGATCACGAGAGAAATATAAATCAAAACCACAATGAGATACTATCTCACATCAGTCAGAATGAATATTATCAAAAAGTCAAAAAAAAAATAACAGATTCTGGCGAGGTTGTGGAGAAAAGGGAATGCTTATGCACTGCTGGTGGGAATGTAAATTACTTCAGCAATTGTGGAAATCAGTTTGGCAATTTCTCAAAGAATTTAAAACAGAATTACCATTTGACACAGCAATCCCATCATTGAGTATATGCCCAAAGGAAGATAAATCCTTCTACCATAAAGACACATGCATGTGTATGTTCATCACAGCACTATTCACAATAGCAAAGACATAGAATCAACCTAAATGCCCATCAATGGTAGACTGTGGTCTACTATTGTGGCACATGTAGTACCATTGTGGTACAAATGTGGTACATGTATACCATGGAAGACTATGCGGCCATAAAAAGAATGAGATCATGCCCTTTGCAGCAACATTGTTGGCCATTATCCTTGGCAAACTAACGCAGGGACAGAAAACCAGATACTGCACATTCTCACTTACAAGTAGAAGCTAAACATGGCGTACATATGGACACAAACAAGGGAGCAACTGACGAGGTGCAGTGGCTCATGCCTGTAATCCCAGCACTTTGGGAGGCTGAGGCAGCAGGATTACTTGAGCTCAGGAGTTCAAGACCCACCTGGGCAACACACTGAGACCCTGTATCTACAAAAAAAAAAAAAAAAAAAAAAAAAAATTAAATTACCTGGGCATGGTGGCACATGCCTGTAGTCCCAGCTCCTTGGGAGGCTGAAGTGAAAGGATCTCTTGAGCTTAGCAGTCAAGACTGCAGTGAACCATGATTGTGTCACTGCACTCCAGCCTGGGTGACAGAGAGAAACCTTGTCTCAAAAAAAAAAAAAAAGAAAGAAAGAAAAGAAAAGAAGGGAACAACAGACAACAGACACTGGGGCCTATTTGAAGGTGGAGAGTGAGAGGAGGGTGAGGATTGAAAACTACTTATTGAGTACTATGCTTATTATCTGGGTGAGGAAATAATTTGTACACCAAACCCCTGAAACATGCAATCTACCTACATAGCAAACCTGCACATGTATCCCTGAGCCTAAAATAAAAATTTTTTAAAAAGAAAAAGCAAGAAAAATAAATTGTGGTCATTTACTTCTTTTTTTAAATTTACCATTACCTCTCCTAGCTAAGTACCAAGCCCCAGGAGATTGAGTCCTAATTCACTCTCCTTCACTCTGTTAACGTGGGAAACTGACCTGAAATGAAACCACCTTTGCAAAAATTGTAACAGTGGGAAAATCACGGCAGCGAAAGAGATCTGATTCAATCAATCCTCATTTTGCTTATAGCTGCCCTTAATTATTCCTGGGCTTACGTTGAGCTAAATTTGGGAGACATTTAATTTATAGTTTAAGTGATAATAGGCCTTCCCCACATCTCAGCTACTTTGTAAAGTTAATGAGAGACCACCAGGCTAGGAGGATAGAGGAGTCTGAATTCTGCTAAAGTGTAGACATAAATGATTGCCAGCCATTATTGCAGAAGTCACAGGATATGCAACTGCCCCAGTAACTCCTGCAGATAACATCACCATTGTAGAACCTAAGATTGGCCTTTTGAGATGTCTTTTCAGATTTTTTGGATGGCCAATGGCTCCACCTAGACCCACCAATTGCTCCTGTAATTTTATCTGTGACTCAAGCAATTAGTACTCCCCATACGCTAGCCCCCTGCCCACCAGACTATCTTTGAAAAGACCCTTGCTGGTCGCGATGGCTCACACCTGCAATCCCAGAACTTTGGGAGGTCAAGGTGGGCCAATCGTGTGAGCTCAGGAGTTCAAGACCAGCCTGGGGAGCATGGCAAAACCCTGTCTCTACAAAAAATACAAAAATTAGCCTGGCATAGTGTTGCATGCCTGTAGTCTCAGCTACTTGGGAGGCTGAGGTGGGAGAACCATCTGAGCCTGCAGAGGTTGAGGAGGCAGTGAGTTGTGATTGCGCCACTGCTCTCCAGAGTGGGTGACAGAATGAGACCCTGTAAAAAAAAAATAATGAAAGAAAGAAAGAAAGAAAGAAAGAAAGAAAGAAAGAAAGAAAGAAAGAAAGAAAGAAAGAAGAAAGAAAGAAGGAAGGAAGGAAAGGAAAGAAAGAAAGAAAGAGAGAGAGAAAGAAAGAAAGAAAGAAAGAGAGAGAGGAAGGAAGGAAGGAAGGAAGAAAGGAAGGAAGGAAGAGCAGAAAAGAAGGAAAACTCCTAGCCTCCAAGCCTTCAAGGAGATTGATTTGAGTAATAACTCTGTCTCCAGCGTGGTGTGGTCGGCCTCGCATCAATTAAACACCTTCTTTGCTGCAATGTTCTGGTTTCTGTGCATTGACTGTGTCTGTGCAGCATGCAGGAAGAACCAGTCCAGTGGTTAAAGACCCCTGAGTGAGATTGGTGCTGACAGTCTCTCTGAACACTACCCCCGAACTGTATCTTTCTCCCTCTTCTGAAACAGAGTCCTTCCAGTGATCCAACCCAGGGTCTGTTCTGGCTGGAGAAGTGCCCTCCCCTCTGGACTTGTCCAGGGACTTCTGGCTCCCAAGAGATGGATGTGAATTTGTTCCTATGTCCCAGGCCCCTAGCTTCCTACTCCCTCCCTCTGCTTCCCAGTCAGATTCAGCCACCTCATACTCAGTAACAGTTTTGAGCAGAGTGTCACCCAGGATACCCAGACCCACCACTGTGGCAAGTCCTAGCAGGTGCAGGTATAATGTCCCCTTTGCAACTTACTAAACATGTGACTTTCCTTCCCCATACCGCCACACTCCCGCTCTCTGTCTTGCGCGCACACGCGCGCGCACACACACACACACACACACACACACACACTGAGAGTCTGCTTCCTCCTCTATGAAGTAAGGTAGCTGGTGTTAACATTCTTGTGGCCCTATCATTAGTAAAAGACCTTTCTCTGTTTCTGTAATCAAATACCTCTGGGATCCAGCTCCTGCATGTTGGGCACTGGGTGCTGCCACTGGAAGGAGATAAAACACAGGGAGGGTGGCCCCCTGGGAGGGTTATAGGGGCCACTGCAGTCCGTCTCTGTCTTCTCAGGTCATTTCTCAGAAACATGCCCTTGGCTAGGTCTTTGTAGGGGGCGATAAAGCCAAGCCGAGGATATAAAGTGTGGAAACAGCAGTGCCAGACATATCTGCATACTCATTTCTCCCACAGACACACACCCATGGAGCCAGATGACTGATGGAGACTGATGACAACAATAACAATTAACATTTGTGGATTACCCTGGGGGCCAGTCTAAGGGCTTAACAAGTATTTATTTAACTTACTGATCCTCACAACAATGCTAGGAGATAGGGACTATGACTATTCTCATTTTACAAATGTTGAAACAGAGGAACTACAAGGCTAAGTAAATTGACCAGAGTATATAATATCATAAGTGACAGAGCTGGGGCTCAGACCCTGGAAATCAGGTTCTAGAGGTTGCTCATTGAAACTTTTAACCAGACAGAGAGCTTCAGACACATGCAGGCACTCACACACAGCAGGACTGGCTTCTTCCCGGCATTAGGATGGGAAGAAGGGGCCCATCCAGCCTCCCTCACCATACCTGGCCATGGTTGGCCCCAGCACCCAGCACTCTACCCACAAGGGTATCTATAGGGGAGGGGCTTGTCTCAGCAGAGGTACACAGATATTCACACCCTAGAGCGCCTACCATTCCCACCCTTAGTCCCTGGGAAGTAGAAACCAGGACAAATTCTCTCACACAAGTCCTTTGAAAAAGGCCTACTCACGCCTGTGGAGACATCTGACCACAGGGCCAAGTCTTATCCCAGACAACCTCTACATTCTCCAAAGCAGCCATCTCTTTGACCTTGAAAAATCAGGCAGTAATGTACTCTTTTCAGGGTAACACTGAGGCTTAGATGAGATGCTGTATTTAAAGCACGTAACACAGGGCTGTGCACACAGTAGGAGCCCAATAAATGAGGCACTAGTATGATGCCACTGCTATAATTAACTGAAAGCACAGCTGAATGCAGAGATAGACACCCAGACAGGGTGTTCCTGCAGCCTCTCTGCATCAAGACTGGCTAGGGGAAGATGTTCTGGAAAGCAGGCCTGGAAGGGTTTTGCTCAGCTAAAGCTGACCTGGGAATCAGACAAGAGGAACAGAGGCAGGGGGAAGGAAGGAAGATATTAGTCCAGGGCAGGGGCTGAAGTGTCCCGAGGGCCCTTCTCTTCACTAATTCCTGATGAAACTGGAGCTGGAAATTCACCGCCAAACTCTGAGGACTCTGGGAATGCCCCTCCCACCTGCTCCCTTTTCCACATTTTCACATGGCCAGATTCCCTGTATGCTCTGAGCCTTCAAGATAAAGTCAGTAATTTCCTCCCAGGCCCTGAAAATGGGAAAGTCCCAGCTATGTTGATTGTCCCTACAAGGCAAGACAAAGCCTGTTTACAGGCCTGACCTCTGAGCCCTGAAAGCAGGTCACACTGTGGCCTCTTTCCAACCCAGCTCTGGAGCTATCCAGCAGCCATAGGAAGGCCTGCCAGCTACATCCTTCATCCTCCCAGCCAGGCCTGCAGTCATTTGGGAAGTCCCAGGGATTCTCCCCACCCAGAGAGATAAACGAATTCTTCCCGGGTACTCCAGTGGAGCTTGGCACTTGCTAGAATAAGAGGGAGGTCAAACTGCCCTCAGTGTGAGGGCATCACTTCTGCAGCCTTTGTTTCTGTACCCCTAAAAGAGCAGAAATGAGTGACTTCACAGAGCTGTGGACTCAGATTTCACAGATCGAGTGCAGAGCAGGAAGTCAGGGGTACAGGGACTAACTGCGAGCTCATACCTTGTTGGAGGAAGCAGCCTCACCATCCCCACAATCCATATATTCTTCAGAGGGATGGCCAGGCCATGTGGGCAACCAGGCTGGTCTACACCCCCAACTTGGAGTGGGAAGGTCCAGGACCGCCCCCCAGGCTTGACATCTCTCCAGCTCTCCAGCTGTGCAGTCTTCATCAAGGCTTAGCCTCTCTGGGCCTTCATTTGCTTGCCTGCTGACTAGTAATGACTGAACCCTGAGTTGTGAAGCAGCTAAGGCCTGCGACACCCCTGCCTCTGTGCCTGGCAGGTGGGTCCCCATCAGTGTGTGCCATTCTCCCTCATACCCTAACCCTGGGTCTTACTCTGCTTGCTGCACCAACTGCCCTTTCATCAACTCCTCTGCCCACCAGCAGCACATTCATGTGGTTTTTCTGAGAAGATTCCCTTCTGTTTTGTGAAATAGCCAGCAAATAGGGGCTGTCCTGTCCCAGTAAAAGGAATTACTCCAGCCCCAGGGCCTTTCCCCACGTTAACGTGAAGATCTCTATACAGCCACACAGAGGGCCTCCAAAGAGGCTTCTCTTACTCAACGTTCTTCTAGGGGACAGCAGTCAAGCCCCACATTCCCCATCCCCCAAGTTCTGCCAAGAGCCACAGCTGGGCAGGACAAGACCGAGCCACATTTCTCTTGGGACTTCCTCATTACTGCTTATCACAACCTTGGCACGCCAAGCACACCATGCCATCAACCCACTATACCCCAACTCTGCCATGGTTGCTCAGCCTGGCAAGGCCCAAGTCTTCTGCACTACTCCAGCTGCCCTCAGCAGAATGTGTGTGTCTTCAGAAGGTCTTTTTGCCAGGGCATCAGCTCCATTAATCCCCATGGTGTGCTAATAGGGGACAATCACTCTGCTAAATACCCCATGTCAATAAATATATAAGGCAGGATACTCTAATCCATTGTTATCCCAGACCAGAACATTAGGCAGCAATGAATCACTAGCAGAGAAGGCATTCACGTTTCAATTATCTTTTAATCTTTCTGATTCCATCAAGAAGAAAACCTTAGTGCTTATACTCGCCAATCTGTCTCTCTGTCTGTCTGTCTCTCTCTCTTCAGTGAGAGAGTAAGCTTATAAGCTCAGTACTCAGTACACCAGGCAGGCAGCTGCATCAAGTTTGAGTCAAAAAACAAGTTTGTTTTGATTGTATCTATGGCAGGCAATACTGCTTCCAAATTTGTAACAGTTATACATTTCTTTTTAAAATGAATTTATTTAAGAAAAAAATGAGTCATTTTACATAAAACCACTAAGTATATAAGTGAACAGTGTTGCAAAGACTTGTCAAAAATCTCAAAGGTAGAATACCAAAATTGAGAATATGCTTTAGCTGAAAGGCATGCCACAGTAGTGAGAATTCCAGGCCCTGGGACTGGCTGGTAGACAAGGTGTTTGGGACACAGAGTTCCTTAATTTCCTTTCAAATCGCAGTTCCAAGGTTGCCATGTACCCATAGGATAAGCTCCACCTTTCATTCTTCTGTCCATTCATTCATTCAGGAAGTAGTTAAGTTTTATTTTCGGTGTTTTTTGTTAATACTAAAAAATTGCTGAACAGAGAGCTCTGTCCAGCACCAAGTCTGGATTCTATGGAAGAAGTTGGGGAAACAGGACACAAAGTTGTCCAGCAAAGTCTCTGTTGGTGACTGAGTGGCTGGCTAGGGTCCCTGGGCTTACCTGTCGGGTAGGACCTGGGCTGGCTGGATGTGGGCTGAGGTCAATGTGGTGCTGGTGCTGGTGGCCAGCTGCTTCTGTGGCATGTATCATGTCTGAGAAAGAATGGTGCACCCTGATAGGTCCACACAGTGTCAGAAGGCAAGGTGGCCAGGTCACAGGCTGTCACTTATTAAAACTGTGTCATAGAAAGACCATACAAATGGAAGTCAGATTCTAATTTCTATTCAGTTTTCACCTGGTTGCATGGCCTTGGGCATGTCATTTTGTCTCCCCAGACCTCAGTTTTCTCATCTGCAAAAGGTTAGGGGTCTTCTATTAGCTGAGAGGACTATTAGGAGAATTAAAAGTGAGCTTCGTCTAGGCAGAAATCATGTCTGTTCACGTAGAAGTTATGTATATCCAGTATCTGCCCCATGGTAGGTTCCTTTTTTTTGTTGTTGGAGTTTTGCTCTTGTTGCCCAGGTTGGAGTGCAATGGTGCAATCTTGGCTCACTGCAACCTCAGCCTGCTGGGTTCAAGCAATTCTCCTGCCTCAGCCTCCCGAGTAGCTGGGATTAAGGCACGTGCCACCACACCCGGCTAATTTTTGTATTTTCAGTAGAGATGGGGGTTTCACCATATTGGCCGGGCTGGTCTCGAACTCCTGACCTCAGGTGATCGGCCCATCTCAGCCTCCCAAAGTGCTGGGATTACAGGTGTGAGCCACTGTGCCTGGCCAGATGCTAATTATTTTAATAAATTAATATATATAAGGGTCCAGCAGAAATCTCCTGCATATGTAAGTTCTTGAACCTGGCAGGTCTGATGAGAACTGCCCCTCCCTCTACTCAGCACCAGAACTTTTCTGTGGTGAGGATGAATCAACCACAGGGCAACAATGGGGGAAGGTAATTGAAAAGCTCAGTGGTTCTCTGTGGATCCTGAGGACTTGGAAGGTGGCAGAGGGATGGATCCCAGTTCCTAGGTCCAGCAAGGCACCTGGGTGTAGGGCCAGCCCTCCGCTTCTCTAAGCTTTAGCATTGTCAGTTTGTCTGAGTGGGGAAAACAGAAATATTCTCAGCTAAAACTCTGACCATGGAGCAGCAAGAAACACTGGCTAGCAAAAGGGAAAGGTCAAATAGCTTATTATTTTCCTCTTGAAATCCGCCCAAGGCCTGGTATAAAGGGAAAAGCCACAGGAAAGCGTGTGGACTTTCCCAGTCACAATTACTAACAGCTGCTCCTGCATTCTGTAGCATCTGTGATATTGTAAGAGGCCCCTTTGTTCTCTAGAAAACCAGACACATTCCTTCCTCCTGAGCCCCAGCCACCCACGAGAGTGGGTCAAGTTGGGTGCATTTTGCAAGCTGCTTTGGAGCAGATAAGATAATTTCTTTCTTTGAAATTTCTCCTATGTCCATTCAACAGAGCATTAATAAGCACCTTCTTGAGCCAGGCATTATCTCTGCAGTAGACATCCAGGAGTCCACGGAAAAATCAGAGAGACAAGCAGGACCCAGACAATCAGTGAAATGTGAGTGCAATAGAGTAGAACCCTTGTGTGGGGTAAACGTCAATGTTGCAGAAATATAAAAGAAGGGTATATTAGTCAGAGTTCTCCAGAGAAACAGAACTAATAGATTACACATAGAAATACAGAAAGATGTGGCCAGGTGCCGTGGCTCATGCCTGTAATCTCAGCACTTTGGGAGGTCGAGGCGGGCAGATTACCTGAGGTCAGGAGTTTGAGACCACTCTGTCCAACACGGTGAAACCCTGTCCCTACTAAAAATACAAAATTAGCCAGGTGTGGTGGCACAGGCCTGTAATCCCAGCTACTTGTGAGGCTGAGGCACGGGAATCCCTTGAACCCAGGAGGCAGAGTTTGCAGTGAGCCAAGATTACACCACTGCACGCCAGCCTGGGCGATAGAGTGAGACTCTGTCAAGAAAAAAAAACAAAAAAAAAAAAGAAAGAAGAAAGAAAGAAAGAAAGAAGGAAAGAAAGAAAAAAGAAAGAAAGAAAGAAAGAAAGAAAGAAAGAAAGAAAGAAAGAAAGAAAGAAAGAAAGAAAGAGAGAAAGAAGGAAGGAAAGAAAGAAAAAGAAAAAGAAAGAAAAGAAAGAAAGAAAGAAAGAAAGAGAAAGAAAAGAAAAGAAAAGAAAAACAGAAGGATTTATTATGATGGGTTGGCTCATGTGATCATGGAAGTTAAAAAGTCCCACAATTTGCCATCTGCAAGCTGGAGGCCCAAGAAAACTAGTGATGTAGTTTCAGTCTAAGCCCAAAGGTCTGAACACTAGTGAAGCCAATGGTGTAAGTCTCAGTCCAAGTCTGAAGGTATGAGAACCAGGAGCACCAGTGTTCAAGGGCAGAGGAAGATGAATGTCCCGGTTCCAGAAAAGAGAGAGTGAACTTGCCCTTTACTCTGTCTTTTTGTTCTTTTGAGCCCTCAATGGATTAGATGATACCCTCACACATTGGTGAGAGTGATCTTCTTTACTGTCTGACAATTCAAATTGTCTTCTCTTCTGGGACCATCCACACAGACATTCCCAGAACTACTGTCTTACTAGCAATCTGGACATTCCTTAGCCCAGTCCAATTGACATACACAATCATTAACAAAAGCATCTTTTCCAGCCATGGTTTGCAGGGGGAAGGCCTTCTGACCAGGGTTTTGTGGGATAAGTAGACATTGGTCTGGTAAAGAAGATAACCGTGCAAAGATCCAGAAGTATGCCTTTGGTGGGTGGAGGGGAATAAAACTCTCTGCAACCAGTTTGGCCTTTCTGGAGGCAGGGTCCCTCAGGGGAGAGAAGAGAGGTGAGGCTGGAGAGGGAGGCAGTGGCCAAGCCACAGCCAAGTTCTGGACGGGCATGCTGAGGGCACAGGGGAGCCAACAAAGGGTTCTCAGCAGGGAAATGGCACAATTGGCTTCACATTTCAGTCTTTTGGTAGCAGGGTGGAGGATAGATTAGAGGTGTGAGATTGTAGGCAAAGAACCAAGCCAGGAACCTTGTGGTATCCAGGAAAACAGTTTTAAGAACGCAAAGATTAGGAGGGCAACGAGGGACTGTACTTGGAGTGTAGGGTAGATGAAAGAATCTAGGAGTCTTGTCATTTCTATTCAGTCTCCTGAACCAAAATTCAACTCCTGAAGTCATAAACCATGTTTCATCAATCCTGGTATCCCAAGTATCTAGCATAATGTCTTGCACAGAAGAGACCCAATTTTGTTAAAGGATGGGTGGATGAATGAATGAGTGAATGAATGAATAATGAATCTTTCTCTAAGACATCACTAATGTCTAATCAATGTTGGTTATTATTATTATTATTATTATTATTATTACCCTAGCTTCCCTGTAGGGAAAGTGGAGGCCCTGAAGAAGTCAGAGTCACAGAAAACTTTACTCTGCTCAGACTAGAAATTCCCCTCCTTTGCTCAGAGAGGGCCAGCTGGAGTCAGCGGGGAGGAAGAGCTCTGGGCAGGAAACAGAGTCCTTCCTGGCTGCTGTCCTGGCCTTGGCTTTCTGCCTGTAGGGCTTTCCGGGCCACAGCTGGAACTTTCCCGTTGTGCTGGGGACCTAGACATGGGAGGCAAGGCAGGGTAGTAGAAGATACCCTGAATTTGTGGTCCAGTTCAGCCACTTAATTGCTTATGGCCTGAACCTCAATTTCCTCTTCTGAAAAATGAAATCGACTTCATAAAATTGCTGTAAGGATCTAAAGAGGCAAGGCTATTGAAGATGCTTATTACAGATACATTTAACTAGTATGAGTTTGTGTGTGACAGCAGTATAGCAAAAATGCCCCAGATTTGGAGACTTGATTCTATTATCTTCCATCTATGTGGCCCTGGTCAAAGTGTTTAACTTCTCTGAACCTTATTTCTCAATTCTCAAAAGGGAAAATAAAGTGCCTGTTACGGCAGGCTGTTGTAAAGACCAGAAATCAGAGATTATAGACAAATAAGCTTGATCAACTGTAAAATGCAGCTTATCTCTAAATCATTATAATTGTAGTTATAATAATCATAATAGAAAAGGCAACTTGATGATTGTTTTTCTTTGGAAGCAGATTATTTGGTCGGCTTAGAGAGTTTTGTGAGCAGAGACAGGTGTCCTGGGAGCTTTGAGACTGGCATGTGAATGGCCATCAGTTAACACGTTCATGCTTCAGTTTCCCTTATCAATGCTTCAGGTGGCTGAAATCATGTCTTTTAAGAGCTCTGCACATCCTGTGACCAGCATGTGACCCAGAAGTATGTGACCAGACAATTTCTTTAAGGGTAAAGTGTATAAAATAAGAGTGACTGCCAGAGATTTATCCAGCATCTATGCTTGGGGATTTTGCAAATCATTTAGCAAGGACCCCTGATGCTCCAAGCAGCTTGTGGCAGAGGAAAGGCTTCTTCTCAGAAAAGGAATTAGACACCAAGTTCCAGCCCAATCCCTGGTCACTAATTTGTTTTGTGACCTTGGGCAAGTCACTGCTTTCTCTGTGTTTTAGGATCATCAATTTGCAAAACGAGGTTTGGATGCCAATGCCATGCAATGTTCATATCAGCCAACCCTCCCCAAGATGGCTGCACCCTCTGTTGGCAGGGTGGTATCTTAACTTATAGGATGTTAGTTACCCTGAGTTCTAGTCAGCTTGGAGAAAAGGCCACAAACAAAGGGTGAGGGGTCTGGAGTCATAGTAACCTCTGGATTTTCCCGAGAGTCTAGCTAAGGACCCAGCATCCAGCAAGATAGGAGACCAGTTTGTTTTGCAGAAAATGGAAGGAGAGGGACAAAGGCTTTTCCAGCTTTCTTTTTCCTAGAAGTCCTAGAAACTAATATCACCCTGGAAAAAATCTCTGTCATCCCTCAAAATGGGATATCTGATGTAATCGAAACTGCCAGCTTGGCTGATGACAAATTCCAAGGGGATGAAAATGAAATGAGAGAAAGACAAATGGGGAACTAGAAAAAAAAATAACTGTCAGAGAAAATAAGCAGCGGAAGCTGATGACCAAAAAGGGGAACCAAAGTCTTAATGTTTGGCCTGGAGTAGTGAAGACAGAAGAATTACATTACAAAACACATTCGAGAAATGGAAATGAGGAGGATGCGGTTTAGGCCAAGATGTGAGGGCAGACCCTATTGTGGGCCACACCAGGATTCCAGTCTGGGTGTCTAGACCCAACTTCTCACCAAGATGCCTGGCAAAGCAGTAGTTAAGAGTCCAAACCATGCTGGGCACAGACACAGAAGACCTGTTTCCCAGTCCTTGCCCTGTCATATTCTCGCACTACCACTTTGGGCAGGTCATTTGACCTCTCTGTGTAATGGCACGATAGTCTCTGTCTTGCTGTCTTACAAGGTTGTCGTGGGTATGCAGTGAAGTGACACTAAACACTGTGCCCTGAACACAATGCCTCATGTTCCATTCAATGGGAGAATTCCAAGAACTGAGATATTTCCTTCCTTTGCAGCTGTCTAGGAAGTGAAAAAGTAACGGAAATTATAAAGAAATTCAGAGATTTTTATTTCTCCTCTGCATATGAGGGCCTGAGACAGCCAGCCACTCAGCCACTGTCATACAGTGTTTCAGGCAAAGTGAGTCTGTGCCCAGTGTGGTTCAAACCCAGTCAAACCACAGTAGCCATTTTCAGATTTTAACCTTTTTCTTTAGCTAATATCTAACTATCCCCAACCTCTCAACTTATTCATTCAGCAAAAATGTGCCTGATATAGAGCTCATGACCAGCACAGACTAGGCACTTAATTACTGTTTATTAAATTAATGAATAAATAGGCAAATGAATGAATAAGTAAATGCCAGGCCCTGTCCTAGGTGCTAAGATAGATTCAAAGAAGAATAGGTAGATTCTACCATATATTTGACAAAGAAAACATACCCAGAAACCTTCAAAATACAGGGTGCAATCAAAGGCTGTCATAAAGGAATGCAAAGGTTTATGTGTCCAAACGAGTCTGGAAAGACTTCCTGGAAAAGGCTTGGCTGCCTTTTCCAGGCAAGAGAAACAATGCCTGCAAGGGCACGTTCTGGGAAAGATGAGAAAATTGGTTATTACTGCAGCACAGGGTATTTGAAAGAAGCGACTGATGAGACCTGACCTGAAAGGTGCTGTGGGCCAACATTTAGGAATGAACAGGAAGAGAAACCAGTGAAGATAGCATAGATAGAGAAGAGGCCAAGTCAGGCCTTCCGATGGCCACACTGAGGAGTTGGGTTCTAGTGCATAGACATGGAGAGTGGTAATTTCTGGGTATGAAGTCATTTAAGCAGATCAGACGGGTGGTTTGGGATAGATATATTTGCTATTAGGACTAAAGTTGGTCTGAAGCGTAGTGCTTCTCTTGGCAAAAAATGATGTGAAACTGTTTAAATAGAACTCAGAGTGAGGCAGAGTCTTTGGGGATGAAAAAAAGGAAATGAATGCTGAGATGCTTCAAGAGTGGAATGCACAGGTCTCAGGGACCAATTAGATGGGAAAGGAGATGGGGAGGAAATCAAAAGATGGATACCTGCTTTCGACCTTGACTATCTGGGTGGGTAGGGGTAGCAGATCTGGGAGTGGTGTAATGAGACCAGGAACTGCAGAGGACTTATTTGCCTTCCTGGCACTCAGCATGATGCCTGGCAACGTAGTGATGATGGCATCAAAAGATGGTTTGGGGAGCTTTAAGACCCCTCTCCTCAAAAATTCATCTTAGATTCTGCCCCTCCAAAGCCACCCCAAATGAATACACAAAGAAGGGAAATAAGTGTACCTCCTACACAAATGCAACCTCTACGCCAGTCCTCTATTACTTCTTCCAACCAAATTGATTTCTCAAGGCCCTCTTAAATAGGGATTTTGTATCTGCCATAGAGGTTTATTACATCTTGGTTGAAAAATAATAAAAGAAAAGAAAGAAGAAAGACAGGGAGAAAAAGGAGAACTGCAAAGAGGGAAGGATGAACTCATTGAAGTTGAGTGACATCCAAGTGTAAATGTTCAGTGGGCATATTGAAACACACATCTAGAACTCATCTAAGAACCATTTACTGAATTATGAGAGCTGAAATATGTGAGTTATAGGAAAAAGACTCTACACTCAACTACAATAGGGGCCAGGCAAATAAGTGAGTGAAATAGACCAACAATATGAAAACAGAGAAATTGTGGGTGAGGGAAGGGGAATTTCTGGTGACCTGTGAACATATGATTTACCTAGAGGGATGGCTGTCCCTCTGCTCTCATGGATTGTTGCCATCTAGGAATGTGACTTCAAATTGCCAAATCTGATTCCATCCAGGCAAACCAGAAATTCAGATTTTAAAATGAGAAATCTGCCCATTTGAAGTATTGGCAATTAGTTGTATTTGTTTTAAAAACTGTACTGGCCAAACAGGACATGCCTGCAGGCTGGAACCAGGTAGAGGCCACCAGTTGGCAAACTCTCACGAAGAGTGAGAATGAAAGTATGAATCTTGGCTGGAAGTGGTGGCTCCCACCTGTAATCCTAGCACTTTGGGAGGCTGAGGCAGCTGGATCATCTGAGGTCAGGAGTTCCAGACCAGCCTGGCCAACATGGTGAAACCCTGCCTCTACTAAAAATACAAACATTAGCTGGGTGTGGCGGCACGTGCCTGTAATCCCAGCTACTCGGGAGGCTGAGGTAGGAGAATCACTTGAACCTGGGAGGCAGAGGTTGCAGTGAGCCAAGACTGTGCCATTACACTCCAGCCTGGGCAACAAGAGCAAGCCTTTATCTCAAAACGAAAACAAAAACAAACAGAAAGTATGAATCCTTAGAGAAGACCAGCATTTAGGAATAAACAGGAAGAGAAACCAGAGAAAGTAGCATAGAAAGAAGAGGCAGAAAGTAATTTGAGGAGAAAGCAGAGCACAGACATAGAAGGGGGAGAAACAGTGGTAACTTGGCAGTGTTTTCAAGTTGGATCTGAGCTACGAAGAATCCTTCATATTAGGTAATGAGGAAATCATTCGTGAAACCATAAGAATTTCAGTTGAATGATAGGAGTGGAGGATAAATGGCAACAGGTTAAGGAGTTAATTGGAGGTGGAAATGGAGAGCCCCACAGGTAGAGATTGATCATTCAAAAATGTTTCTCAAGAAAGGAAAGAGAGAGAAGGGAACTGGTTGAAGGAAGATGAGGTTTAGGAAAATCCCCTAAGACTTGAGTGTGTCAGTTGGAAGAAGGGAAGGGAAGAGTGGAAAGAAGATGGAAATGGCATGAAGATAAAGGAAAGTTCCAGTTTCTGGAAGATACAGGAGGAAATCAAGGATCTAGATTGAGCCATGACCCTCAACAGGAGCGACCCGCTCTTCTGAGCCAGGAAGGAAGAGCTGTAATCACGTGAAGATGGAGTTAAGTTTTGATATGAGCACGGGATGGGCATGGAGAGAATTCTTATCTCACAGCCTCTGCCTTCACTGGGGAGGAGGCTGTCTCCTGAGAATGTTGAAGCCTGAGACAGGAGCCCAAGATGCTAGGGGAAGGGTGAAGGTGTGGAATGCCACTGTGGAGTATGGCAGCGCCAAAGAACTAGGGGCACATTGCGGAACAGCAGCAGCACTGAGGAGTCTGTCGCATCTGTGGACCTCTTGTCCTTAAAGATATCCAGGCCTTCCAGCAAGCCCAACAGCCTGGGAGTGGTCAGGAATCAGGGGGAAGATGATCCGATGACCTGGGTTTGGGCACTGGCAGGTGTGGAGATAGAATTGTAGAAATGAGAGCATCTGTATGCTGGTAGGAGAGTGGTCAACACTGGGCTGGACTGGGGAGGAAAGGAAGCCAGGTAGGGGCTAAGGGACCTGGAGGAGCTGATGCAGTAGATTCAGAGTTGCTGAAGGGGAAGGAAATAGAAGGCTGTGGTCAAAGGACTGGATTACTAAGTGGAACATTACAAAATGGAGAAGTTCAGGGAGATGACGAAGTCCAAAGGGTGGCCATGCAGCAAGGCTGATATGAAGTGGTGATAAGTTCACTTGAAGAGGGACCCAGAGGAAACTAGAGAACTTACATTCCCTAAATATTTCCTTCCCTTAACCTTCTGCTCCTTACCAAGCCTTCCATTTACAGCATGGGTGCAGGTGACCTTGAAAGGGGAGCCTTAGAATGAAAGGAAAAGAAAATAAGCAGGAGAAGAAAAGGCACGGATTTCAAGGAAAAAAACACTTGGATGGTAGATCATACAGAAGATTGGGCTTGGAGTGAGAACACGTGAATTTAAATCCCAACCCCTCCAGTCCCCAGCTCCCTTGTCCTTGGGCAAGTCAACCTCGAAGGCTTCATTTCTCTGTCTATAAAACAAGGAAATGACACCAGTGTCACCTACATAGCAATGGCTTTGTGGGAATCCCATGATTTAATGAATCATAGAGGACACATAAGGGGTTGTGGTTTTTGGCATCTCATGACCCACAATTTTAAAATCTTTCCTTGTTAACTGCACAGGTGTTCTAGAAGATATTCAGTAAGTATTTAAAATTAATGTTTATTGTCATGAAATCAGAATTGCATAATGACAAGGCTAATGCCATAATTTTGGAATGTAAATACATCCTAACTGCATTGGGAGCAGAACATGGGACAAATGTGGGCTAAGGACATGCTAGAGCAGCGAACTAGCCATAATAAATAAATATTTGTGTGTCACTTGCATAGTCCTTTTTGTCACCTCGGGGTACAAATAGTTCACATCTCTCTCATTATGTTCATTTAATTCCCAGGCCTCCAGGTTGTCCATATTAGGAGGAAGTCTAGTAATTCATGGTTAAGCCCCCTCCCAACATCCTTACAGTGTCCCCAGAACCTTGAGGACCTATTCAGTCAAGCTGAGAAAGCTTTGCTGCTAAGTTTCAAGCAAAGTGGAAGCTGGGTAACCTGACCCTCTTACCAGTGGCCAGGACTCCTGACTGCCATTGCTTCTGTCACTGTCCCCAGGGTACCTATGGATCCCTGGCCTCACACCACCTAAAGATTTTCCTGTTCCTTGCTCTCATGGTACCTCCTCCAGCCTTGGCCACAGTGTCATCCTTGGGCCCCCTAGGTTTCAGCCTCTTGAGTTTGCACTTGCAGGTTTGGCTGTTGCTCTCAAAGCAGGACTATTGCATCAACATGGCAGGTGCAGAGGTCTTCCCGCCTCAATCGTCACCCACTGATTTCTCTGCCATGGCCTTGAACTCAGGCGACCAATCCAGTTGGAACCTCCCCACACTCTCCGTGGCTAATAATTTTGGACTCAGAAGAAAAAGCCTCAATTTCTCTCCTCTCAGGAGGTCTCTTGGTCCTTGAGCAAATGTATCCATTTCTTCTCCTATCTCCAGTCTTTGGGCCCCCAAAGGTTTTTTTCTCCCTTTCTCCAGGACAATGAGTGCCTATTTACAAGTGCCTGTTTCTACTTGAATAAGGTTTCTATAAACTAAGAAGTGTTCCTTAGGGACACAAGTAACTGGCACTCCTGTTGGAAAATGCTAAGATCTAGGTCACGCGCACTTCCCCCAACAGACACATACACACATTCACACACACACACACACACACACACACACACACACATACAGCTTGTCTGCACTCTAGCACTGGCACTGACGCTAACGCTATAATCCTGGGCAACTTTATTTCCCCATCTTACATTAAGCAGTGGTGCAGGGATTTTCAACTCTGGGATCTCTATCACACCTCCCAGCTCTGATTGCTTCCTAATTTACATATTTATTGAGCATCTGATGCTAGGTCCTCATGCTGGTGATGCAGGAGTAAACTAGACAGACAAAAGTCCGTGCCCCACATTGTCTGACACCTACACACCTGCTGTTCGGACTCCATTACAAACAGCTCCAAGGGGAACAGTGCACTTGTAAAGTTTCTCTCATTACCATGGCCACATCCGTGAGCAATAAATAAGTTGCATAGTTGAATTATTTGATAATGCTTTGTTTTTAACTCCCTGCACTTAAGTCAGAGATGTGTGTGCTTTGGAAAACTATTTTTCCTGACTCATTAGACAAATACTATTTGCATTTTTATTCAGCTTCCTTCCTCAGACTCTAATTTACAGTAAAGGCAAGAGGATTTTTGAATGGAGCCAGTGCTTTGCAATGTGGGGCTCCACCAGCTAGCCGACTGAAATCATTAATAAAGAAGCCTTTTTAAGTGGCTGAAGTTTCCCCTTTTTGGCATGCAACATTTTGCAACCAAGCGGAAGAAACATCATCCGCAAAGAAGAATCCATGTGGCCCCTGAAAATCACTCTCTCTGCTACAGGCTCCCCACTCCCCAGTGCTCCCCTTAGCCCTGCCACTATCTCTCCTCCAGATGGAAAAAGTGAGGAACTCAGGGAACCAAAAGTCTTGCTTCTTTACTAATTTCCCTGTCTGACATTAAATCATCCTACAGTTCAGATATCTGGGGGAAGTGACTAGAGATTCTTGAACTGTTAATAATTAATTTAAATGATATTTGTTAAGAACCTACGACATGGAAGATACTGTACCAGGTGCTGGGGTCCAGCATGGGCAAAGGCCTCAAGGTGGAATGGAGCTATGGTGTGTTCTGGAAGCAGAGAGTGGGGCTGAGGGTGACATGAGGTGAGGAGACAGGAGAGGGCCTGGCAGGGTGGGACCTTCTGGTGAGAGCTGGCTGCTGTGTGAGGAGCTGAGGCCCTGGCTTGATTCTGGGGTTACTTCTTTGACCTTCAGCTTTTTGTCATGGGCAGACAGAATGGGGATGAAAAAAAGCTTAGGAAATGGAAACCTCCCTATGCATTATATAATAAAAATGGCCAACACATTTTCATAGCAAGATATCACAGCAGAAGCTTGTACTGGGCATCAGGACTGTAGGCATCCAATGCCCAGAAACTGGCATGTGCCCTGGGACATCCCCTGAGAAGGCATGCCACGAGCCCTCAGACTGACACAGCTCTTTACAAGTTGCTTACAGAGCACTCTTGGTTTATTAATTCATACAAGTCTCATGACAATGTCAGAAGCAGCTGTCTTACTAATCCCCTTTGACAGAAGAGGCCCAGAGAGGTCAAGGGACTTGCTCAAGGCCACACAGCTAGAAAGAGGCAGAGCCAGGCCTTTGGCCCTGGTGTTCTGACACCACCTGGGGCTCCTTCTGTTATTCCATGCTACCTCTTCTTTCTCTTCCGTATTCCCTTCTCGTTCCCTTCCTTCTTGTGTCTTGCTTCTTATCTGCCTGTACTTATTCCTGTTGGTGCCTCCCAGCTCAGCCAGCATAGCTCTGTCTTCAAATACCCCATGCTTCATTCTGGGGTCCCATACACAGTCTGACAATCATCTGAGGGGGCTGTGGGAGGACATAGAAAAAATACAGCTTTACATAGAAAAAAATGCAAATTGTAGCCAGGCGCAGTGGCTCATGCCTGTAACCCCAGCACTTTGGGAGGCCGAGGCAGGTGGATCACCTGAGGTCAGGAGTCTGAGACCAGCCTGGCCAATGTAGTAAAACTCCTTCTCTACTAAAAATATAAAAATTAGCCAGGCGTGATGTCATGTGCCTGTAGTCCCAGCTACTCGGGAGGCTGAGGCAGGAGAACCTCTTGAATCCAGGAGGCGCAGGTTGCAGTGAGCAGAGATAGTGCCACTGCACTCCAGCCTGGGTGACAGAGTGAGACTCTGTCTCAAAAAAATAAAATAAAATAAAAAATGCAGACTGTGATTCAGCAGGTCTGGGTTGAAGCCCAGAACTCTCTGATAAATTCAATGGCACTTAACTACTTGGAGGTCATGGATGCCTTTGCTAATCTAATAGAAGCTACTGACCCTCTCTCCAGAAAAATGCACAAAAACATAAATGTGGAAGACAACTCCTGATGGATCTGGGAGCCTATCCAAGGGCCACAGACAAGAGTCCTGGTCTGGACAAAATGAGCTGCTCAGTATTTTCCCACCTGGCCAGCATTTCCTATCCAAAGACAAATGTTAAAGTTGTTCTAGCAGAGCCATGCACCAGCAGCAGTATCATCACCTGGGAACCGGTTAGCAATGCAGAACCGCAGGCCCACCCCAAACCTACAGTCAGAATCTCTACTTTAGCAAGATCCTAAGGAGATGGGTAAGCACATTACAATTTGCAACCTTTGTAAGTTTGCCCAAAATGTGACCCCTCCTTCACCCACCGATCGCCAAGGTTCAAAAATCTGCCCAACCCTTGAGCCCATCTTAAATGTACCATCACGAGCCTTCCCTGGGCCCCTCAGCTGGGACTCTCACCGCTCTGTATCTTTCTGGTTAATGCAATTATTCTGTTCCCTTAGATGACCCCAGCACAGGTGCTAAAGGAGTCAACAAAAGGCTATTGTCAAAAAAGTGTTTCTGTCTCCACTCCATCTGATCTCTGTTTCCCTAAGACCTGCCCATCCCCCTCTCCCAGTTCGGCACCTTGACCCCCTCATCACACTGCTCAGGCCACCTTGTACAATGCAAGCCCCAAATGAGGAAAGCATTTTCTCCCCCAATGTGTAACACGAAAGTGCTGTAGAGTGGCTCACGCTGCCTTTAGCCTAAGAATTTATTTAACTCTTACCCCCAACCCACATCAGTCTCCTCCCTCTAGGGCTCAGGTGCTAATCTGTGAGGGCTGGCTCAGAAGACAATCTAAAGAACAAGCCTCTTGCTTCCTCAGGCATCACTACTCCTCACCACCATCACCCCCACCCACCAACTCAGGCCACTACTCTTTCTGTTCTCATATGCTATGCCCATCGCCACCCCTATTCCCATGCTCAGGAGTATTCTTGGCTACTGCATGCAATTAGACCTGGGGCAGATCCAATCCAGAAAGCAAGAAATCTTAGATGCTGGAAGCTTGGGGTAAGTACTGATCAGATTTATTCCTAAATTCAGTCCTACTTTCCATGGATTCTTACTTTAGCATCTCTTCTGAAAAGGAAGCATCATGTCTAATTCACTTCTCCCTCCCTGTGCAGTCCTCTACCTGGTGCTCTGCACAGGGTATGTGCTAATTGTATGAATGTTATAATAAAGAGATAGTGCAGTAGATGACAAAGGGCACTACATTGAGAGCCCAGAAATAAGCAAACCAGCACAAATGTAGCCATTCGTCTTCTATCTCACCTTGAGCCTGTCACTAACCTGTTCATGGCCTCAGTCTCCCCATCAGAGAAACAGGTAGATGGTCTCTAAGGTCTCGTTCATTTTCTGACATTCTGTGAAAAATTAAGGAAAGATTTTCATCCTTGACAGGAAAGGGATTGCAGAGTAGCGGCCCTGGGAAAATGGGCTCTATTCTACCTGGAGCTAGCCTGGAGGAGAGGCCTTGAGTGGGGGTTGTCTAGAAAGGACATGGTGAGTGCAGAGCTACGGTGCATCTCTCTTGAAGGCTGAGTGAAGGGAGCACCAGCAAGGGAGCCTGCACTAGGTGGGGAGGGACAAGTGAACCGCAGAAGTTGGTGGGAGCCCAGGCAGTGGCTTCAGATCTTTCCAGAGAGCTCACTTTTACTTCCTCTTTTTTTCACCCCTGACACTGAGTGGGAGTCTGCAGCGATGACCAAGGTTCATGCAGAGGATCTTAGTGGTGGGGTCAGACCCCGGGAGGAATGAAGAAAGCATTATTCACCAAGAGGAGCTTTTCCATTCTTTATCTATGAGTTGATAGAGAGGAGGCCCCGGGGTAACTGAGGATTCTGGACAGCATCAGAGCATTGACCCTCATTTTCCCCATAGCCCCTCTGGGGGCCTTTCCCTTGTGTGTCCCCAAGCGAGAGTCCAACCCAGGTTTGTGCCAGAGCCTAACCCAGGCTTGTGCCGAGATGTTCCCAGCACAGCCCCATGTGAGAGCTCCCTGGCTCCGGGCCCAGTATCTGGAATGCAGGCTCCAGCCAAATGCATTCTCTTCTACGGGATCTGGGAACTTCCAAAGCTGCCTCCTCAGAGTGGGAATTTCCACTCACTTCTCTCACGCCAGCACTGACCTCCCAGCGGGGGAGGGCATCTTTTCTTGACAGAGCAGAAGTGGGAGGCAGACAGCTATCACTTTCCAGAAGACTTTCTTTTCTGATTCATACCCTTCACCTTCCCTGTGTTTACTGTCTGATATATGCAAAGGCCAAGTCACTTTCCAGAGATGACAACTCCTTCCTGAAGTAGAGACATGCTTCCAACACTCAGAAGCCTATGTGAACACTCAGCCAGCAAAGCTGGGAAGTTTTTCTCTGTGACCATGGGCTAATTGGTCTCCTTCTCTGGATTGTGGCTTTATCAGATAAAAACAAGTGGTCATGCCACAGGATGTCTATAAGCCCATTGATTCTGGGATTCTATGAGTGATGCTGATATGACTAAGCCAGGAGAGACTTATTTAAAGATCTCAGCATCTTTCAGCTTGTTAACCTAGAGAAAACCCGAAGCATGACTGGATTATAAAGGGAAATTGAATGCGGTCCACCAAGTTCATGGTAAAGGATGCACTAACTGATTAGAGAGAGGTTTCCCCTGATATGAGGAAAACTTCTTGGAAGATGAGGTGAGATGGCCTAGGAAGAAATTCCTACACAAAGTTGCACAGTCTCTAGTCCTGGAAACATTTTATTCATTGGATAAGAATGGATTGAGGCATGAGCAGAGGACTGAGACAAACACAGAGAAGTTTCAACACTGGTTGGGGAGAAAAGGAGTAACTAGTGAGATTCAGGCAGAACAAGAATAAGGCTCCTCAAGAGGCACAAGCAAAGCAGGGCTCGAGTTGATTTGTTCTCTCTTCATCCTGCTTTTTGTAATTCCACCAGAGTCTGAAATGGCCACTCCATAGAGTCTCTGCTCTGGGATTCTCCAGGAAACCAATATCCATCATGAGACATCAAGTCTAGTCCCAGGAAGAAGAGATTCTGGAATGGAAACATCCTGGGTGGGAGTCTCAGCACATCTACTATTCTGTCTGAGTTACTGGACAAATAACTTCAGTTTTAACCTAACGAAAGCTGGGTTGGTTGGAGGACTGGGCAGGCAGCGCTGGAAAGTATGTCAGCACCATACCTGACTCCCTGAATGCACTCAACAATGCCATTACTGACCACTTACTAGAAATAAAACAGTCATTTGTTGAATACAACCCGTTTCTTTTTACAAGTGTAGTGAAAAGTGTTTTCTTTCAAGAAACCCCATGCATTTATAGACATTGCCTCAGTGACCCTTTATGAAAGAAGTCACTAGTCTTTGTATGCCCATTGGGCAAGGGCACCGCAAGGCTCAGAAGGAGGAGGCAGTGGGCTAGGAGAATCGAGAGATCAGAATTTTAAACTCAGCCCAGCCATTAACATGCCTCAAGTACTCCTATCATATTTGTAAGAGACAACAGTTCACTGAAATGAATTCTAAGGTCTTTGGGTTTTTATCAGTGTGCTTCTGTAGTTTCTGAGGAAATCTAAGGCACAACTGAGGAATGAAGTCAGGCTTTCCAATTCCCGAAATACTCCTCCACTGCTTACTCATGTCCCTTGGAAATTAAGAAGGAAGCCAGGAGAATAGCTGCCATAACCAGGGATGAACTTCTTGTCCACTGCTGCCTGCTATGCTAGCAACAGCCTCCTAACTCATAATGACTTAGCCATGAGGAATGTTTCTAGATTCTCCTTTAGCTGTCTGCCCATTTGGAAGATGCTGAGGACAGAGAGAGGACCCAAGCAGGCAACTAGTTGGAGGACTTGTACACGTTTCCTTCCAGCAGTATGTCAGAGAGGTGGCAGCCCACTGGGGACAGGGCTGCCTGGGTTCTGTGCTCGAGGGGACCTTGAGCAGGCTATTTAACCCTTCTGTGCCTCAGTTGCCTGATCTATAACATGAAAATTAGCAATCCCTACTAGATAAAGTTGGGGAATTTACAGAGTTAATATTTGTAAAGGTCTGAGAATATTCCTGGCAGAGTAAGCACTCTGTGAGTATGACACTGGCATTTCTTCTGCAGCACTACATGCTGTCTATGCCTTTGTCCAAGTCTGAAACCCTAGAACTCTTAGAATTCAGTTCAATGTTTACACAATCCTACAGTTCTGCTAGGCTTCTATGATGCTACTATTCTGCATTTGAATGAGCAAATGGATTTAATGCATTGTCAGGGAGCCGGCCAAAGCTTGAGAGCTCCTTCCTGGCTGGGAGGCCCCTTGGAATGTGGCCTGAAGGTAAGCTGGCAGCGAGCCTGACATGCTTTCATCTAGTTTCCTCGCTTCCTTCCTTTTCTGCAGTTTTCGCTTCAGAGAAAGCAGAATCCTTAAAAATAACCCTCTTAGTTCACATCTGTGGTCAGTCTGGGCTTAATGGCACCCCATCCTCCCCATTTGCTCATTTGGTCTCAGCAGTGAATGGAAAAAGTGTCTCGTCCTGACCCCCTGCTTCCCTTTCCTACTTCCTGGAAATCCACAGGATGCTGCATTTGCTCAGCAGATTTAACAGCCCACTTATCACTCATGGAAGATCCCTCCTCCTGCTTGACTCCGCCCTCTCTCCCTCTGCCCGCTTTCAATAAGAGGCAGAGACAGCAGCCAGAGGAACCGAGAGGCTGAGACTAACCCAGAAACATCCAATTCTCAAACTGAAGCTCGCACTCTCGCCTCCAGCATGAAAGTCTCTGCCGCCCTTCTGTGCCTGCTGCTCATAGCAGCCACCTTCATTCCCCAAGGGCTCGCTCAGCCAGGTAAGGCCCCCTCTTCTTCTCCTTGAACCACATTGTCTTCTCTCTGAGTTATCATGGACCATCCAAGCAGACGTGGTACCCACAGTCTTGCTTTAACGCTACTTTTCCAAGATAAGGTGACTCAGAAAAGGACAAGGGGTGAGCCCAACCACACAGCTGCTGCTCGGCAGAGCCTGAACTAGAATTCCAGCTGTGAACCCCAAATCCAGCTCCTTCCAGGATTCCAGCTCTGGGAACACACTCAGCGCAGTTACTCCCCCAGCTGCTTCCAGCAGAGTTTGGGGATCAGGGTAATCAAAGAGAGGGTGGGTGTGTAGGCTGTTTCCAGACACGCTGGAGACCCAGAATCTGGTCTGTGCTTCATTCACCTTAGCTTCCAGAGACGGTGACTCTGCAGAGGTAATGAGTATCAGGGAAACTCATGACCAGGCATAGCCTATTCAGAGTCTAAAAGGAGGCTCATAGTGGGGCTCCCCAGCTGATCTTCCCTGGTGCTGATCATCTGGATTATTGGTCCGTCTTAATGACACTTGTAGGCATTATCTAGCTTTAACAGCTCCTCCTTCTCTCTGTCCATTATCAATGTTATATACCCATTTTACAGCATAGGAAACTGAGTCATTGGGTCAAAGATCACATTCTAGCTCTGAGGTATAGGCAGAAGCACTGGGATTTAATGAGCTCTTTGTCTTCTCCTGCCTGCCTTTTGCTTTTTCCTCATGACTCTTTTCTGCTCTTAAGATCAGAATAATCCAGTTCATCCTAAAATGCTTTTTCTTTGTGGTTTATTTTCCAGATGCAATCAATGCCCCAGTCACCTGCTGTTATAACTTCACCAATAGGAAGATCTCAGTGCAGAGGCTCGCGAGCTATAGAAGAATCACCAGCAGCAAGTGTCCCAAAGAAGCTGTGATGTGAGTTCAGCACACCAACCTTCCCTGGCCTGAAGTTCTTCCTTGTGGAGCAAGGGACAAGCCTCATAAACCTAGAGTCAGAGAGTGCACTATTTAACTTAATGTACAAAGGTTCCCAATGGGAAAACTGAGGCACCAAGGGAAAAAGTGAACCCCAACATCACTCTCCACCTGGGTGCCTATTCAGAACACCCCAATTTCTTTAGCTTGAAGTCAGGATGGCTCCACCTGGACACCTATAGGAGCAGTTTGCCCTGGGTTCCCTCCTTCCACCTGCGTTCCTCCTCTAGCTCCCATGGCAGCCCTTTGGTGCAGAATGGGCTGCACTTCTAGACCAAAACTGCAAAGGAACTTCATCTAACTCTGTCCTCCCTCCCCACAGCTTCAAGACCATTGTGGCCAAGGAGATCTGTGCTGACCCCAAGCAGAAGTGGGTTCAGGATTCCATGGACCACCTGGACAAGCAAACCCAAACTCCGAAGACTTGAACACTCACTCCACAACCCAAGAATCTGCAGCTAACTTATTTTCCCCTAGCTTTCCCCAGACACCCTGTTTTATTTTATTATAATGAATTTTGTTTGTTGATGTGAAACATTATGCCTTAAGTAATGTTAATTCTTATTTAAGTTATTGATGTTTTAAGTTTATCTTTCATGGTACTAGTGTTTTTTAGATACAGAGACTTGGGGAAATTGCTTTTCCTCTTGAACCACAGTTCTACCCCTGGGATGTTTTGAGGGTCTTTGCAAGAATCATTAATACAAAGAATTTTTTTTAACATTCCAATGCATTGCTAAAATATTATTGTGGAAATGAATATTTTGTAACTATTACACCAAATAAATATATTTTTGTACAAAACCTGACTTCCAGTGTTTTCTTGAAGGAAATTACAAAGCTGAGAGTATGAGCTTGGTGGTGACAAAGGAACATGATTTCAGAGGGTGGGGCTTACATTTTGAAGGAATGGGAAAGTGGATTGGCCCCGGTCTTCTCCACTGGGTGGTCTCCTCTGAGTCTCCGTAGAAGAATCTTTATGGCAGGCCAGTTAGGCATTAAAGCACCACCCTTCCAGTCTTCAACATAAGCAGCCCAGAGTCCAATGACCCTGGTCACCCATTTAGCAAGAGCCCAACCCCCATTCCTTTTCTCACAGACCCTGACCCCTGCATGCAATTCTTCCCTTAACATATTGCAACTGCCCCCTAACTGGGCTACCCACCCCCCAATCTGTACCTCTCCAATTAATACCCCAACCTGGAGTAATACAGACACTGCCAGTATTAGGAAATAAGGAAAGAGTTAATCACCATAGATAAGATGATTAGATTGAAGTTTCATAGAGATGATGAGACCTGAACTTATTATTTATGAATGAAGAAGGCTTTTCTAGGAAAATTATAGGATCATTAAGAAAGGAGAAGGAAGAGTGGGAGCAAATACCTGGAGGTAGAAATGGTGATGATGTGTACATCAAGCAGGGAGAAAACCAATGAACCAGATGCGAATTCGGGCCCACACCAATGTCAAGGGATGACAATTAGAAAGGAAGGTTGAGTCAAGGGATTTGAATGTTAGGGTGAAAAGTTACTACTCAACTCTGTAGGTTAAAAGGAAACGTTGAGAATCTTCAGTCCAATGAGGAGGGATGTGCCATGTTTAGAGATTCAGAGATAAGTTTCAGGAAATGTAACTTATAGATTTTATACATACACAGAGAAATACGGACTAGTGAGAAGCTATTGCCATGGTCCAAGCAAGAGATGATGAAGGCCTAAATATGGAGCCAAAGAGGCAGCAATGAAGAATGAGCCATGCAGGGTGAAATGCTGCATGTTGTAAATGGAGGAGAAAGACCTGTGACTTCAGATATGAAAACCTCATCTTCAACCCACATTTTAAGGGGGCAGCTTCCCTGAAACCAGAATGTGTTTCCCTCCATTACTATACCCCCATCCCAATCTCAGGCACCTGGAATCATCCATTTAAACAGATGAGCCTTCTATTCCTAAATAGCCACCTGAAGTGTGTATTCCTTTGCATGATATTTGTCCCACCTAAAGCATTCGACCTGCCTGGGCACCCACACCACGCCAACACTCAGGAAAGCAGATGTCTTGCTCTGTTGAATAAACTGCATGGTTCTTAACTTCCCAGTCTGGTGGGGAAATGACCACTGTGTCAACCTAGAGCAGGCAGTGCTTTTGGCAGCATGAGGTGCTGGGGACAACTTTGACTGGCAAGAAGCACACTCAGGTTCTCACCCCGCATCCAGCGCTGACTCGCTTTGTCAGTCAAGACAGGTCAGATATTCTGAGCCTACATCGATCATACAGGTATGATAATGTGTTACAAATAGGAACCCAGAGGAAAGGTTCCCTTTCGGATCTGGGAGCACATCTGTTGGAAAACTTCCATTTCTACTAACTGGAGTTGCAGAGGGAGAGAAGGGATTCTGCTTCTACATTCCTGAGCCAGTCCAGGGTCCCTGAATCAGACTACCGAATCCCTTCAAAGCTCCAAGTACCCTGATATATCAGTCAGCAGACAATTTATTGACAGCTATTTAGAAAACTCACTGACCCTCACTCCAGGTCAAGCAGCGTCCCCTGCCTCTCCTCTACCCCTACATTCCCTGGCCTTGATCACCAGTCAGGAGTGAAATCTCAAATTGCAGTAGATGCCAAGAGGCAAAAAGAGAATAGAATGCAAACAAATGAGACCTCATCATACGGCTTCCGAGCAGCAACCTTTTGACGCCAGGCAGATTTGAGGCAGACAGTCTGGGAGGAGAGGAGGCAGAGAAAGGGGGGATCCACATGCTCAAACCCCAAATTAATCTGCTTACATTCCCCTTGCAGGCCACATCTCTTCATTTTCAGGAAGTCTTGACTCCATACTGTTTTCCACCCAAGCATGGAATTCCTTTCATGATGAAACTGAACACAGGGCATTGGCAGTGGTGAGACTCTGTTTTAGAAGAAAGTGCCAAGTGCAATGCATTCATTTCCTGTTGCTGCCAACAATCAGTTCCAGGAAATCTAGGCTTTTTATGTCATGCTCAAAATTCTTCCAGCCTATGCTCATTATTCAAATCCAAAGCCACATCCACATCTGTAGGTGTTAGTTACAGAAGCACCATATTTCCAGGTACCAAAATCTGTATTAGTTTCTTATTGTTACTGTAACAAATTCCCATAAGCTTAATGGCTTAAAACAACAAAAATACATTGTCTTATAGTTCTGGAGGTCAGAGTTATCATGGGTCCATAGGGCTATATTCATTCCTTCCAGAGGTTCTATGGGAGAATCCATTTTCTTGCTTTTTTCCAACTGCTAGAGGCTACCTCAATTCCTTAACTCATGGTCTCTTCCTGTGTCTTCAAAAACCTCTCTCTCTCTCTCTCTCACTCCTTTTCTTTCATAGTCACATCTTGTCTCTGACTCTGACTTTCCTGCCTTCATCTTAAAAGGTGATTATATTGTGATTATGCTGAGCCCATTTGGATAATCCAGGATAACATCTTCATCTCAAGATTCTTAAGTTAATCACATTTATAAAATTTCTTTTGCTATGTCAGGTAGCATACTTATAGAGCATAGGGATTCGATTAGGATGTAGGCTTTTTTTTTTTTTTTTTTTTTTTTTGGAAATGGAGTCTCGCTCTATTGCCCAGGCTGGAGTGCAGTAGCACAATCTCAGCTCACTGCAACCTCTGTCTCCTGGGTTCAAGTGATTCTCCTGCCTCAGCCTCCCAAGTAACTGTGATTACAGATGTGCACCACCACACCTGGCTAATTTTTGTATTTTTAGTAGAGATGGGGTTTTACCATGTTGGCCAGGCTGGTCTCGAACTCCTGACCTCAGGTGATCCACCCGCCTCAGACTCCCAGAGTACAGGTGTGAGACACCACGCCTGGCTACAAGGATGTGAGCATCTTTGGGAGGGGAGCACTACTGGGACAATCACAGCCAGGAGCCAGGTGAAGATTTACAATAGGTAGTTGGACACTAAGACATGGCCTTTGAGATCTGTATCTGGTTTGGTGACTAGATTGTCAGGTAAACTTTTGCAAGTCACCTTTTATCTATGGGTTCATAGGCTGTGGATTTAATTTGTGCATTAAATGCTTCCTAAGTGACCTAAGGTATATTGGAGTCACCTGAGGTCTTTCCAAAACATCACAACATCCTCAAAGATTCTGATTTAGAATGTTACAATGCAGGGAAGGCTCCTCTTCCCATTGCTGTATTTTACGAGTTCCCTAGAAGATGGATACTGGTGCACAGATGAGTTTGATGCCATGTGCTCCTCAGTTCTCTCATATTCAGGTCATTGGAGCCAACAGCCAGTCCTGGTAACCTCTGACTTGGGTTTTCATAGTGTCCTTTGTTCTGACCTAGCCTTGACCAATTTACAATCAGGAACAAAAGGGAGCATAGAGTCGAGACATTTAGGACATTGTAAAGTTTGAAATACAACTGTTCACCATCCCAGGCAGTGGAATGGAATTTTTAAAAATGATTTGAACAACAAAATATCCATAAAACCTTTCAGTTTGACAGAGTGGCTTCAGGAAGAGAGTGGGTTAACAATGTGGCATTCCCATTCTAGCCCGGCAGCCTGATCCTAAAAGACAGTTATGGGTCGGGTGTGGAGGAAGCACAGAAATATGTCAAGCACTGCGAGTAGAAAGAGATTTTACATGTCTTTACTGGCAGATTGGAAAAGTGCTAGTAATTTTTTGAGAAAATTATGTTGCCAGGAAAATCAGAAGCCAAGACTGAAAAAGCCTTTGACTATTCTATCTATAAAACAACTTCCGAATCTTCCATGAGCTAGAAACAAGCCATGACAGCCACTGAATTAGGAGGGCATGTCCACTGAGTTCCATGTACAGTATGGCCAAGGAGAAGAAATGGACAAGCAAGGGCCTCACAGAAGGTGGATCTGGGGCCCCGGACAAGGAAGCCCTTCCTGCAAGTGAGCTCAGAGCCCCTGTTCCTGTTCCAGGAAGAGTCCCTTTTGATGTCTGCCCAGCAGTATATCAGAATTGCTACAAGTCAGTCATTGCTGTGTGTCCCCCAGTCTTCCTTGTCCAATGAGAATGTTTACTTTAAGCATCTTGTTCCTATTCCACCTTGTAAATGAGTGTTTAAATTGAGCAGATAAATTGTTCATTTTTTAAAAGTACTGTCAATCTTTCATTTGGAGGCTATAAAATTCATTTCCATAAGGTATCATTATCTCTTTTTTAAAGTTTTCAATTTTGAAAAATTTTGGTTAAAAAATGCATACCATGAAATGTATCATATTTACCATTTTTAAGTGTATACTTCAGTATTGTTAATGTTCATATACTTAACATTGTTGTGCAATAGATTTCCATCTTGTAAATCCATCTTGTAAAACTGAAACTGCATACTCATTAAACAATACCTGCTCATTTCCTCCGCTGCCCAGCCCCGGCAACCACCATTCTACTTTCCTCTTCTATGAATTTGACTACTTTAGGTACCTTCTGTAAGTGGGATTATACAATATGTGTCTTTTGGTGAATGGTTATTTTATTTAGCATAATGTTCTCAAGGTTCATTTATGTTAAGGCATGTGTCAAAATTCCCTTCTTTTTTAAGGTTGAATAATATTCCATTGTATGTATATACCACATTTTGTTTATCTGTTCATTCAGTGATGGACAGCTGGGTTGTTTTCATCTCGTGGTTATTGTGCAGGATGCTGTTCTGAATGTGGATATGCAAATGTCTCTTCCAGATTCTGCTTTCAGTTCCTTTGGATATATACCCACAAGTGGGATTGCTGCATCATTTGGTAATCATATTTTTATTTTTTTAAGATCTACCATATTGTTTCCATAGTAGCTGCACCATTTTACATTCCCACCAACAGTAAACAAAGATTCCAGTTTTATCGCATCCTTGTCTTCGCTTGTTATTTTCTGTCTTTTTGATACTAGCCATCCTAATGGAGGTGAGGTGATACCTCCCTATGGTCTTGATTTGCAACTTTCTAGTATTAGTGATATTGAGCATCTTTTCAGATGCATGTTGGTCGTTTGTATATCATCTTTGGAAAATGTATATTGAAATCCTTTGCCTATTTTTAATTGGGTTATTTGTTTTGTATTGTCGATGCTGTAGAAGTTCTTTTTTTTCTTTTGAGACAGAGTTTCACTTTGTTGCCCAGGATGGAGTGCAGTGGTGTGATCTCAGTTCACTGCAACCTCCACCTGCTGGGTTCAAGCGATTCTCGTACCTCAGCCTTCTGTGTAGCTGGGATTACAGGCACACACCATCACACCCAGCTAATCTTTTGTATTTTTAGTAGAGACTTGGTTTCACTACTTTGGCCAGGCAGGTCTCTAACTCCTAGCCTCAAGTGATCTGCCTGCCTCAGCCTCCCAAAGTGTTGAGATTACAGGCGTAAGCCACTGTGCCCAACCTGAAATTCTTTATATATTCTAATGTTAACCCCTTATCAGTTACATGATTTGTAAGTATTTTCTCTCATTTCATAGACTGACTTTTCATTCTGCTGATTGTGCCCTTCAATACACCAAAGTGTTTAAGTTTGATGTAATTCCATTTATCTATTTTTGCTTTGGTTCCCTGTGCTTTTGGTGTTATATCAACAAAAAAAAAAAAAAAAAAAAAAAAAAACAGCCAAGCGCAGTGGCTTACGCTTATAATCCCAGCACTATGGGAGTCTGAGGCGGGCAGATCACTTGAGGTCAGGAGTTCAAGACCAGCCTGGCCAACATGGTGAAGCCCCATTTCTACTAAAAATACAAAATTAGCCAGACATGGTGGTGAATACCTGTAATCCCAGCTACTTGGGAGGCTGAGGGAGGAGAGTCATTTGAACCTGGGAAACAGAGGTTGCAGTGAGCTGAGATCGTGTCATTGCACTCCAGCCTGGGCAAAAAGAGTGAAATTCCATTTCAAAAAAAAAAAATTGTCAAATCCAATATCATAAAGATTTCCCCCTACTTTCTTCTGGGGGTTTATAATTTTACATCTTGCATTTAGGTCTTTGATCCATTTCGAGTTGAATTTTGTATATGGTATAATATAAGGGTCCAGCTTTTTTTTTTTTTGAGACGGAGTTTCACTCTTGTTGCCCAGGCTGGAGTGCAATGGCGTGATCTTGGCTCACTGCAACCTCCGTCTCCCGGGTTCGAGCGATTCTCCTGCCTCAGCCTCCCGAGTAGCTGGGATTACAGGCACGCGCCACCACCCGGGCTAATTCTGTATTTTTAGTAGAGACGGGATTTCTCCATGTTGGTCATGCTGGTTTTGAACTCCCGACCTCAGGTGATCCACCCGCCTCGGCCTCCCAAAGTGCTGGGATTACAGGCGTGAACCAGTGCTCCCAGCAAGGGTCCAGCTTTAATCTTTTCATTTGGATATCTAGTTTTCCCAACATCAACTGTTTAAGAGACTGACATTTCCTTACTGAGTGGTCTTGACATCCTTGTCAAAGATCATTTGACCATATACAAGAGATTTTATTTCTGGGCTCTCTATTCTATTCTACTGGTCTATATGTCTGTCTTTATGCCAATAACACATTATTTTGATTATTGTAGAATTGTAATATGTTTTGAAATTGATAAGAGTGAGACCTTCAAGTTTGTTTTTCTTTTTCAAAATTGTTTTTGACTATTTGGAATTATTTGATATTCCATGTGAATTTTAAGATGGGTTTTTCTATTTTGGCAAAGATACCATTGGGATTCTGATAGGATTGCACTGAATCTGTAGATTACTTGAGTAGCATTGTTAAGCTGTCAATCTCAACAATATTAATTCTTCCAATTCATACACCTGGGATGTCTTCTCATTTATTTGTATCTTCTTTAATTTTGGGCAATATTTTGTAGTTTTTGTTGTTCAAGTTTTTACTTCTAGATATTGGCTTATCCCTAATATTTTATTCTTTTCAATGCTATTGTAAATGGAATTGTTTTATTAATTTTCTTTTCAAAGTGTTTATTGTTCATGTATATAAAATGTCTGATTTTTGTGTGTTGATTTGTTGTGTTGTATTTGTACTCTGCCGAATTCCTTTATTAGGTGTAACAGTTCTTTTGCATGTGTGAAATTTTCAGGGTTTTCTACATATAAAGTCATATCATCTGGAAACAGATAATTTTACTTCTTCCTTTCCAATTTAGATGACTTTTTTTCTTGTTTTGTTCAGATGGGTCTCATTCCAGTACTATATTTAACTGAAATGACAGAAGCAAGAAAGTGCTTTCAGTCTTTTTCTATTGTGTATGTTTTTAACTGTGGGCTTTTCATACATGGACTTTATTATGTTGAGGTAGTTTCTATTTCCACACTATTTTCCTAGTGTGTTGAGTATTCTTATCATGAAAAGATGTCGAATTTTGTCAAATGCTTTTTTGTCATGAATTGAGATTATAATGTAATTTTTGTTCTTCATTCTGTTAATGTGGCATATTACATTGATTGGTTTTTGAATGTTGAATTATCCTTCCATTCCAGAAATAAATCCTACTTAGTGATGGTATATAATCCTTTTAATGTGCTTTTGAATTCGGTTTGCTAGTGTTTTGTTGAGGATTTTTGCATTAATATTCATCAGGTATATTTGCTGGTAGTTTTCCTTTCTTGCAGTGCCTTTGTTCAACTTTGGTATCAGGGTAATCCTGGTCTTACATAGTAAGTTTGGAAGTGTTTCCTTCTCTTCAATATCTTAGAAGAGCTTGAGGAGTATTGGTATTAAATCTTCCTTAAATATGTGGTAGAATTCTCTAGAGAAGCCATCTGATTTTGAACTTTTCTTGCTTGGGAGGTTTTTGATTACTGATAAAAGCTTTTTACTAGTTATAGGTCAGTTGATATTTTCTATTTCTTAATAACTGTGTTTCTAGGAATTTATCCATTTATTATGGTTATTCAATCAGTTGGCATACAATTATTCATAATATTCTCTAATAATCCTTTTTATTTCTGGGGCATCAATTGTAATGTTCCCTCTTTCATTTCTGATTTTAGTTGAGTCTTCTCTCTTTTCTTCTTACTTAATCTAGCTAAGGGTTTGTCATTTTTGTTGATCTTTTCAAAACAACAATTTTTTGTGTTGTTGATTTTTTCTTTTGTTTCATTTATCACTGATCCATTCTTTATTATTTTCTTCTTTCTGGTAGCTTTGGGTTTAGTTTGTTCTTTTTCTAGGTTCCTCAAGATATAAAGTTAGATTGTTCATTTCAGATCTTTCTTCTTTTTTAATGTAAGCACTTACAACTGTAAACTTCCCTCTTAGCATTGCTTTCTCTGCACCACACAAGTTTTGTTATATTGTGTTTTTAACTTTTTATTCTGAACAAACTTTAGGCTTACAGAAAAGTTGCAAAAATAGTACAGAGGGTTTCCTTATATTCCTTGCTCAGCTTCCCCTGATACTAACCTCGTACTTTCTTCATGTCTGGTAAACTTTGCTGTGTCTCTGCTCCATATATCTTCTGCAGTATGGCCTCTGAGTCAAAGGGGCACCCTCATCTGCGTCAAGTCATCCTCATAGTTAAGGGAGGGTGGAGGAATTCATGAGAATATTAACTTCTGCTCAGAGATGACATATGTGACTTCTGCTTGCACCCAACAGGGCAAAGCTAAATTACTGGTTGCACACAGAGAATGTCCTCACTGGGCTGAACGACCAAAATCCCACTAAGGCCCAGAATAATTCTCATCTCAAGTTCTTGCAGGACTTCTAGGACTTCACCTGTCCCTTCTTTCTAAGACACTCATCTCCTTTTCTTATATCCAATGCAGTATTTCCTGAAAGTCAATCCCCCTTTCAATATCTCTGTTTTGAAAAAACAAGACAGATTTAGGAACAACTTGCTCAGGAAGCTATCAGTATCAGTTTGAGTTCCTCCTTAGTATCTCTTCATCCACTACCCATCCTTATTTCCTAATACTAATAATAATGAGAGCTAGTTCTTACTGAGCACTAACTGCATTCTGATTATTTTCATTTCACTTTTAATTTTTAACTCATTCTTCACAACAACCAAGAAAAGAAGTTACTTTTATTATCTCTATTGTTACAGATGTGGAAACTGAATAACAGATAGAATAAGTAGCTTGACCATGGTTATGCAGGAAAACCAGGCAATGATGCAGGCAACCATTTCTTAATCACGTCGTTCAACTGCCTCTCCTGGCACTAAGCAGCAAATACTTTTCTCTGCCTCCTATTTCCCAAGACATTTTGGTCCTTGTTCAGATAACATAGAACAATGTGGCTCAAAGGAAACCTCAGCCTATCAAATTCACACCTGGTAAATGTAGGGTATGGATGGGACCATTACCTGAATCTGTGCTCATGGCAAACATTGCATGCCAGTCACAGCACCATGAACTCAAACTCAAAGCAAGGTCTCACAGTGCTCTCCAGGACATCTCTCTGGGCTGCCCTCACTAGTCAAAAGAGTTGATACCTGAATGGCACCCTATAAAGTCTATTGTCTATGGTGCACATAACAAAACAGAATGGTGGTTACCTCTTGGCCCCTGGTGACCACCGTTCTATTTTCTGCTTCTATGAGTCTGTTTTACGTACCTCATATAAGTGGAATCATTCAGTATTTGTCCCTTTGAAACTAATTCCACTTAGCATAATGTCCTCAAGGTTCATCCATGTTGTCACAAGTGGAAGGATTCCTTCTTTTTTAAGGCTGAATAATATCCCATTGTGTGTATATACCATATATTCTTTATCCATTCATCTATTGATGGACACTTATGTTGTTTTTATAACTTGACTATTTTGAATAATGTAATTACAAACATGGGAATGTAGTGGCATGCCATATTAAAAATACTGAAAGAAAAAAATCAATCAACAATTCTAGATAAGGCAAAGCTACCCTTTTCAAAAGTGAATAAGAAATGAAGACATTCCAGCCTTCCAAAAAATACTAAAGAGAGTTCTTCAGGCTGAAGCAAAAGATCACTAAATGATAATTCAAATAAATAAAGAGCATTGGTAAAAGTAACTACATAAGTAAATATAAAAGACAGTATAAATACTTTTGTTTATTTGTTTAAAATTATTTGTTTCTTGTATCTGATTTAAAAGGCACATGCATAAAGCACTAACTATAAATCTCTGTTCAGGGGGACACAATGTATAAAGGTGTAATTTGTTATGATAACAATGTTAAGATGAGGAGTGGCATGGAGCTACATAGGATCAAGTTTTATACACTATTGAAATTAAAATATTAATCTGAAATAGGTTGTTATAAATTATGATGTTAATGATAATCCCCAGGGTAGCCATTAAGAAAATAACTCAAACATATATAATAAAAATGGGAAATACAATGGTACAGTAGAAAATATTTATGGTTCATAAAGTAAAGTAGTAATTAAAAAAGTGAGGAACAAAAGAGACATCAATATATAAAAAAGGGAAAATATCAGATGGTAATCCTATTTCATCAGTAATTACACTAAATGTAAAAGTGTTAAAACCCCCAAGAAGCAAAGGTTGAGTAAATGAATTTTTAAAATAAACCAACTGTATGCTATCTATAAGATACATGTTGTAAATCTGAAATCTCAGATAACTTGAAAGTAAAAGTATGGAAAAGTCACCCCATGGAAATGATAATCAAAAAAGAGCTAGTGGCTATACTGTTAATAATATCAGACAAATAAATTTTAAGACAAAAATTGTTACTGGAGACAAAGAAGGACATTCTTTTGTGACTAAGTGTTAAAAATATATATTTTTTAATCTGGAAGGAAATTAACCACTTACATCTTCTGATGTTGATAATGTACAACAATTTTTTTAAATAAGTGTTTCTAATTTTGCCATATTTTCTACAACCAGCTTATATTGTTTTTAAATTATTTAAAAGTTTTTACAACATTCTGCAACAATTCAGCAGCCTTTTATTTTTACCATTCCCAGGTCTTGTAGGTGACAGGTACAGGTCTTTCCATCATAAATATAAGCAGGCATTTTCTCTGGGATCTTAGGCAGGGACATCTTGGGGTACTTCACTTAAGGATTTTCTGAAGGAAAAAGGTTTAACCAACTGGAACCCATGAGTACTTCCTTGAGCTCCTGACCTGTCTGGGCAGGACCCCCGTGTTCTACTCCAACTTCATCGATCATTCAGCAGGTTATCCATGATAGTTGTCTTCCAAAATAAAAGAAAAAAGAAAAAGAAAGAAAAGTCAAAGGAAAGGATTCTGCTTTTTAGAAGCATCAGGTGGATGGAACGTACACCCTGGGTTAGAAAATATGCTGTTCTAATGTGTTACATTAGAGTGAGCTGGGAAGACTCCATAAATAAGGAGATAGAAAGTAGGCCAACTCTTCACCAATTTCTGGAGCTGGGAGTAAAAACAATTTGAAAAAGAGATAATCGAGAGAATGAGTAGCCTGAGCAAAGTCATAGGGGTAAGATAAAACGACATAAAGCTAAAACCAGAATCAAAGCCTTGCATTGCTCCCAAATTAATATTCAAAGTTGTATAATGCTCAATTCCCCCATTGAATAATTTTCCTTTTTTGCATTCCATGTCCATGATCCATGGCCCAGTTATAGGCATGAGGACCCCACCCATGGTCTCTCATCAAACCCCTTTTCACTGATATGGAAGGCGATTAGTTGGTGATTTTGTAATGTGTATGTGAGATGAGGAGCTAGTTGTATGTGAGATGAGGAGCTAGATTAGTGGTTTCCAAAATTTATTCTTTGTATTTCTGAGATATGTGTGTGGGAAGAATGACAAGAAGTCTCTTGTCTCTGATTCAAACTGAAGGTCTCTGATTTTGTCGATAAATTTGCCTTCCCTATATTCTTTTACTTGGAAAAATATTTTCACAGCTCATTAGATGTTTTAGAAACACAGTATTTTAAGATCTTGATATGCTGTGCAGTTCCGATAGCCTATAAAACAAATAGTGGTTTTAAAACATATCCTCAAATTATTTTACACTCTTCCCATTAAGAGGTATGACTATGTTCCCTAACCTTGCACCTGGGATCCTTAAGCCATCATGCAAAATATCTAGCCATGTGGAGGGACCACTGGAAAGATCACACACACACACACACACACACACACACACACACACATACAGAGAGAGAGAGAGACACCTGAGAAATTCCATCTGGTCCAACTGCTGGCTGTTGAAGTCCTCCCAGCCCAGACCCCAGACACTGAATGAAGGCCTTGTGATATAGTCAAGAGCAAAAAAACCCAGAAGATTGTTATTGTTTTAAGTCACTGTTTTCAGATAGATTGCTATGCAGCAATAGATTATTGAAATAGACACTACAATTTTAGGTACTATTATTCTAAGAATATTGAATTTTATTTTTCTGCTAATGTTCTATTATTTTACTTTTCTCTGGGTTTTAGAAAGCCACCAGGATTTAAGACAGTGAAGAATCTTTGAGTCCTTTGTAGAGTTGAACCAAAGTTTGAATGTCTCTTTGTGGACTCGTGTCCTAGGGATACCACTCCAAAGGGAAAAGGGGAATATCCCTTACATATCTTTGACTTTGGTATCCCTGATTCCTTCCTTTTTCTATAGAATGTGTCTCATTTCAGAGAAACTGGTCTCTTGATAATAGCCATAGATTACATACTGTGGTCTTCCTCTACATAGACCCTACCTCACCTACCACTCCTGGTCTTAGCTGAAAAACAGGCTAGCCTCGACTCATACTGTCATTTCCTATCCTCCCACTGAAGTGCACTGGCTCAGCAGATTTATTACTCCATAGATTTATTACTCCATTCTATGATTCATCCTCTCTGCTTCCTATAAAAGGCAGAGACAGAGCTTCCAGAGGAGCAGAGGGGCTGAGACCAAACCAGAAACCTCCAATTCTCATGTGGAAGCCCATGCCCTCACCCTCCAACATGAAAGCCTCTGCAGCACTTCTGTGTCTGCTGCTCACAGCAGCTGCTTTCAGCCCCCAGGGGCTTGCTCAGCCAGGTAAGGTCCCTCTCTCCTTCTCCTTGAAGCACATTGCCCCCTCTCTGGGTTATCCTGGACCAATCAAGAAGACCTGATACCCACAGTCTCACTTTAACAGCTACTTTTCCAAGATAAGGTAACTTAGAAAAAGGATAAGGGGTGAGCCCAACCACACAGCTGCTGTTGGGTAGAGCCTGAACTAGAATTCCAGCTGTGAACCCCAAATCCAGCTCCTTCTAGGATTCCAGCTCTGGGAACACCCTCAGTGCAGTTACCACTCCAGCTGCTTCCAGCAGAATTTGGGATCAGGGTGATCAAAGACAGGAGGCTTCTGGGGATGGGTGTGCGGGCTGTTTCCAGATACCGGGAGACCCAGAATCTGGTCTGTGGAAGCCCAGCTTCCAGAAACAGCAGCTCTGCAGAGGTGGTACGTATCAGGGAAACTCATGACCAAGCATTGAATGCTCAGAGCCTAAAAGGGGATCCATAGTTGGGGTACCCTTGCTCTAAGGAATTGGATTATTATATTAGCCCCTCCTAGCAATGCCCAGAGTAGCCATCAATTCCTCTTCCGTCTTTCAACTGGTGATGGTGCATCCCTATTTCACAGTCCATAAAAGTGAAAGGGAGTTTATGAAATGCCTCAAAGGGCAGAGACATTGGGTTTGGGATGGGCAGCTTTTCCCTCCACCTCTTCCTTTCTTTCTGATTCCTTCTTCTTACCATTCCCTGTTTTACAAACAGAAAGACCCAGGACACACCCTCAATGGACTTTTCTTCTTGTTGTTTCATTGCAGTTGGGATTAATACTTCAACTACCTGCTGCTACAGATTTATCAATAAGAAAATCCCTAAGCAGAGGCTGGAGAGCTACAGAAGGACCACCAGTAGCCACTGTCCCCGGGAAGCTGTAATGTATGTGGACGATGACCACCCACCCCTCACACCTCAGTCCTAGGTTCTTCCCTGGGCAGGGAATAGGACTAGTATCAGAATGAGTTGGAGTCAAATACTGTGATGCATACAGCATCTCTAACCTTATCCCAGACATTTGCCAGTGAGAAACAATACAAGTAAAGAAAGTGGCTTCTCACTCTCAGCTCCCTTTCCAGCTATCATTTTACATCTCAGTTCGTTCCTTCATCCTGGAACCAAGAGAGATTCACTTGGGCTACCAAAAAGAGCTGCTTCTCTGAGTCCCCTTCCTTTGTTTTATCTTCTTCCTTCATCCCTGAGGCATCCCCATCAGCTAGGCTGATGGGCTAGACAGATTTCCCATAGACTTGGTCACACTCCCAGGCTGAACCCTCAAGGTGTTCCATCTGACTGTCTCCTTTCTGCTCCACAGCTTCAAGACCAAACTGGACAAGGAGATCTGTGCTGACCCCACACAGAAGTGGGTCCAGGACTTTATGAAGCACCTGGACAAGAAAACCCAAACTCCAAAGCTTTGAACATTCATGACTGAACTGAAAACAAGCCATGACTTGAGAAACAAATAATTTGTATACCCTGTCCTTTCTCAGAGTGGTTCTGAGATTATTTTAATCTAATTCTAAGGAATATGAGCTTTATGTAATAATGTGAATCATGGTTTTTCTTAGTAGATTTTAAAAGTTATTAATATTTTAATTTAATCTTCCATGGATTTTGGTGGGTTTTGAACATAAAGCCTTGGATGTATATGTCATCTCAGTGCTGTAAAAACTGTGGGATGCTCCTCCCTTCTCTACCTCATGGGGGTATTGTATAAGTCCTTGCAAGAATCAGTGCAAAGATTTGCTTTAATTGTTAAGATATGATGTCCCTATGGAAGCATATTGTTATTATATAATTACATATTTGCATATGTATGACTCCCAAATTTTCACATAAAATAGATTTTTGTATAACAGCTGCCATTCATGGTTTTTTAAAAGGATAAAGTAATAAAGCTGGTGGGGGTAACAGGGTGACAAGGTGAAGGGCGTGGTTGCAGAGGTTGGGCTCACATTGTGGAGAAATGAGCGCGTAATGGACTCTGGGCTTTCCCCCAGGCCAGGCTCACCTGCATGTTAGGGAGAGGCAGCCACAGGCTGGGGCCAGATGAACCCACCCCCCAGCTCCAGATCTGACATCTGCTTCAGCCACTTGTTCAAATACCTTTCTTTTTTCCCAAACTCATTCTTTTTCTCACCATCCCACGCTCTACCCAAAAGCCTGTCCCCTCTTCTATTCTATCAGCCTTGTGACTGGCTGGTTTTCCCCCTTCTAATCAATCCTCTAGTCTAGTAAATACAAATGTCACTTTCATTAAAAAATCAAGTAGGAGACCAACAGATGATTTGGCAAGTGCCTGCCATCATTGATTTCTGCCACCATTGGTGTTCAGACCAAGTCCAACATCCCTTTCTACCCCTTCTTCAGCCCACCAGTTCTCACCCCCAAACACCAAAGTCAACCTTAAACAATGAGATTCAGAAAATGTGAATAAGTATTCAGTTCATTCAAGGACAAAGCTTGAGGGTGGCCACTTGGAAAAGCATCAACTCCAAACAACCGGAAAAGTTTCAGTTACATAAGTAAAGACAGAAGTTCCAGCCAGATTACAACATTTTTCATACTAGACAAGGTGCATACACCACAGTGATTTGATTGGTTATAGGTTGCTATGTTCTAAGGAAGATTATTTGCTATTCCTTAAGGAGAGGTAATGATCTGAGGGGTCTTACCTCTGCCATGGCTCAGTCTTCTTAATTGTTTACAGGAAACAGCAAAAATGCAGAAGTTGTAGGTGCATGCCACACAACTCAGATTGCATAGCCACATTCCTCTCAAGGCTCAGAATAATTAAAGTCCTAATAGCTTTAAGTTTAAATTATTTGAAGTTTGACTTATTTAATTTAATTTCACACCAATAAGGAGGGTAATCTTAAATTCCAGGAGAGAACAACCAGCAGGCAGACCAGGAGTAGAGGTGAATGAATAGATACTGTGAGACACAGTATTTGATACATGCAAATATTAAGCAGAGTGTTTGATGGTAGGACAGGAAAGGAGAGAAGGGCTACATGTGCTCAAGGTCAAACAGAATCTGCTGAAACTTCATTTTCAAAAAATTATAAAATCATGTGTTTTCATGCAGGCCTTGTACTCTTGGGCACAGAGAATTAGAAAGAACAGGAACAGAGAGGCTGGTATATAACTGGGCATTGAGTTCAATGGGATTCAAAGATTAGGCTAGTTACACCAGCAATGTGCCTAGTAAATTTAGGCAAGTTACTTTACCTGAGCAAGCCTCCATAGATTGAGATGTAGAGTAGGTCAATGAGTCGTATTCACATCAACATCACTTAGATGCTAATAAAAAAACACAGATTTCCAGATACCATCAGCAAAGACTCTGATATGGAGTGTTGGGTGGGGAAGGTGTCACTTACACATTTTTAACTATTTCTCAGTCATGTCTTGGGACCAGTGAGTTTCCCTGACACTCTCTTTTTCAGATCAATGTAGTCTCCAGGCTTGATCTGTGACCTCTGGCTTAGGCGTAAGGAGTGTTTTTTGCTGGAACTTTCCCACCTCCTAGACTTTGCTGCTGGACATGTGCCAGTCATAAGTAGCAGAGACTGCAAATGTCCCCCAGATATCTGTGGGCTCTTCTATATTCTCCAGCCCAAATTGCATTTACCCAGGGGCTGTGTGATTGAATTCTAACCAGTTGGGTGAGGGCTAAAATGATATGAGCCACTTTCAGACCTTGTCCCTATAAACAGCTCTCTCTTCCTCTGTTGTGGTAATGTTAGGGGTAATGTGTTCCATATAGCTCAATTTCAAGATGGAAGCAGTCCATATCCACAAGTCACTGGTCACCTGGCCTACCTTGAACTGTGACATGAGAAAGAAATAAACATTTGCTGTGTCAAGCCACTAAGCCTAGTTTGGAGCCTATTTTAACCCTGATTAATAGAGGAATTAGTAGCACAATCATGTGCTACCATTAAGAACATGAAAAATGTAGCATTAACTAGATATTTAGTAGCAGGCAGTGAGGAAGCTGATGTCACAGTTTGAAGAAAATAAGAGATTCATGTTACAAACTGTCAAACCTGTCAGGTGCTATCTGCTGAAATAGCAGCTCCAAGGGGAAAGTTTGATAAAGATACATTAGTAGCATGTTGATTGTTTTTGTCTTCCTTTTTGAAGGGATTCCGAGAAAGAGATGAGCTCAGAAAAAAAAATCAACTGGTCATAAGGTAGAAATGAAAGATAATAAAATCCACAAATCCAGGACCTTATGTTGTTGGAAAAGCCATCTGTTTCTGGGTCCCAAATATTAAGAGAAGGTATTTAAGGATGAAAAAAAATCAGCAATAAAAGTCTATGGGGAAAAAAAAAAAACTCTTAGTTGGATGAAATAACATAGGGCAAAAATCAGATTGAAGTTGTAGCCTAACATTCAAGCCTCACAGCCTTCCCTATTAAGAAGAGAAGGAGAAGGAGAAGGAGAAGAAGAAGGAGAAGGAGAAGGAGAAGGAGAAGGAGAAGGAGAAGGAGAGGTAGAGGGAGAGGGAGAGAGAGAGAGGAAAAATAATTGGAAAATTATACCAAGAAAGAAACTTGGGCTGTGGCTGCTGGCATATGGAATTGACTGAGAGTGAAGATATCAGAAGCCCACTGTTATTACCAGAGCTGTACTATATTGTCAGTGAAACCATGAGTGGTCCTGACAAGTTCAAAAAGAAGACAAACTCCAGGCCTTGCTGTACAGCTTGCAGTCCTCAAAGACAGCAGAGCCCCCAAGAAGAGCATGTCTCTCTTCAATACTCACTTCAGAGGTGACCAAAGGGGAATAATGGAAAAGGAGGGAACTCACAAAGGAAACCAGAAACCAGGATCAACAAGACAACAGAGCTCCCCCAGAAAGAGAGAACCAGTCTAATCAAGGATGGGGGACTTTTTTTTTCTTTTTATTATACTTTAAGTTCTCGGGTGTGTGTGCACAACGTGCAGGTTTGTTACATAGGTATACATGTGCCATGTTGGTTTGCTGCACTCATCAGCTTGTCATTTACTGTAGGTATTTCTCCTAATGCTATCCCTCCCCCAGCCCCCCACCCTCCAAAAGGCCCCGGTGTGTGATGTTCTGGATGGCAGACTTTTATAACATCTGTCTGAAGGATTTTAGGCTTGGCACAGTGCATTGGCCATTGATGAATGCCATCTTTCTTTCCATAAATGAGAGTGTTGATTACAAGTACCCTGTCCTTTTCAAACTTGAAACTTTAGGTAAGTGACAAATTATTTGTCTTTTTAGCTCATAGGGTCACTGGACAAAGTAGATCCATAATCTCAGCTGATGGAGATAACTAACCATCATCAAGAGATCCTGTCCATTTAGGTTGGTGCAATGACTAAATGGCACCTTGGGTTGTCTCTCTTGTGGGTGGATTATTTGTGTATTCTACATGTGAGAAGAAGTAAGCAAAAGGCAGATTCTAACAGAAATTATTAGTCTTCACCAAATATTCATGTGATCCTCTTCATGTCTCAGCTCCTCTGCAGTTATTCTGGAGTTGGATGATGAGTGAAGGCCAATGTGAAGTAGGCAGAAGTGACGTAAGCAGCTTTTATGTCTGGTTCTTTAAAACATCCTACACAATCTATCAACCCTCTCTCCACTCACATCTGGGAACTTGGAAGCCATATGTTCCATAGGAAAGCTGTAATTGACAAACAGCCTGAATCTATGAGTCATTCCTTACAAGAGAGCACTTTTGGAGAGCTGCCTAACCAACATCAGGCTACAATACAAACAAAAAGTAAATATTGCAGTAAGCCACTGAGGTTGTTGTTGTTATAGAAGCCTAGACTAGCATTACCCTGGCCAGTTAGCCCAGAAAAGTAGCTATGACATTCTGTGCCTCAGTTTTCCACCTCTGTACAAAAAAGTAAAGTTGATTGCCCTAAGAGGATTATAACAAAAAGAACATTTTAGGCCAGGTACTGTGTCTCACTCCTGTAATCCCAGCACTTTGAGAAACCAAAGTGGAGGATTACTTGAAGCAAGGAGTTCAAGACCAGTCTAGGCAGCAAAGCGAGACCCCCATCTCTACAAAAAATAATATTAGACAGATGTGGTAGCACACCTATAGTCCTAGTGACTCTGGAGGCTGAGGCAAGAGGATCTCTTGAGGCCCAGGAGTTCGAGGCTACAGTGAGCTATGATGGTGCCACTGCACTCCAGCCTGGACGACAGAGTGAGACACCATCTCTAACAAAATAAAATATTTTAAAAATTTTTTAAAAAGAATATTTTAAATAAAAAGGCTTTGGGAAACCTCAAGGCAATCTGGGAAGCAGGCTTCACTTTCATAAATAATTTCACAGAAGAGGAAGATATTTAACTTCTCTAAGTCTCCTTTCTCTCATCTTTAAAATGGACTTAATTAGAATAAGTTTGTTCGGAGGATTAAATAAGTCATCTCATGTGAAATGAAGTAAGATAGAGCCTTGCATAGATTGCATAGGTTAGCATTGCCATTGATAACTTACTATCTGCTGGACACATTGTTAGCATGTTTACACTAACATCGAGTTTGGTGTAATTCTCTTCCAAAAGTGATAAGAAACTGCAGAAATGAGCTCAGTGATGCTTGAGAAGGAGGAGTAATGAACCCTACGTTGGTCCTCTTTTGCACAAAGGGAGATTGAGACTAAGAGTTACGAAACATTTCAGAAGACAGGGAGTCAACCAACAGGGGCTCTAGAATCAACTCAGCCTAAAGCACACAGTTCCCTTAAGGATTTTTTCACTAGTCTCCAAGCCTCTGGTGTCTATTCTTTTATTTTTATTTTTTAAAGAGAGGGTTGGAATAAAATCAACGTCAATGTCTCTTTCCAGTTTGTCTATAACTTTGCAATATTAGAGGAGATCTGGAACACAGCTACAGAACAAAGACAGGAGTCCTGATTCCTGGGATCCTTGTCTGCTGATCACTGATCACTCACCTCTCCCTGAAAAATTCCTTTTTTTCCTTTTTTCTTTCTTTTTTCTTTTCTTTTATTTTTTCTTTTTAGAAGTCAGCCGGGAAGTTCGTCCTGGGCAGAACCTACAGTAGCACAGCAAAGCCGCTGTAGCCTGACTGCCTCTGTTGTTTCATCTGGGCAGGGTATCTCTGAAAGAAAGGCAGCAGCCTCAGTTACAGGCTTATAGATAAAATTCCCATCTCCCTGGGACAGAGCACCTCGGGGAAGGGTTGGCTGTGGGCACAGCTTCAGCATACTTAAACGTTCCTGCCTGCCAGCTCTGAAGAGAGCAGAGGGTCTCCCAGCACAGCACTTGAGCTCTGCTAAGGGACAGACTGCCTCCTCAAGTGGGTCACTGACCCCAGTGCCTCCTGACTGTGAGACACCTCCCAGCAGGGGTCAACAGATGCCTCACACAGGAGAGCTCCAGCTGGCATCTGGCAGGTGCCCCTCTGGAATGAAGCTTCCAGAGAAAGGAGCAGGCAGCAATCTTTGCTGTTCTGCAGCATCCGCTGGTAATACCCAGGTAAACAAGTCTGGAGTGGACCTCCAGCAAACTCCAGCAGACCTACAGAAGAGGGGCCGACTGTTAGAAGGAAAATTAACAAACAGAAAGCAATAACATCAGCATCAACAAAATGGATGCCCACACAAAAACCCCATCCAAAGGTCATCAGCATCAAAGATCAAAGGTAGATAAATCCACAAAGATGAGGAAAAAAAAGAGCAAAAATATTGAAAATTCCAGAAACCAGAATGCCTCTTCTACTCCAAAGGATCACAACCCCTCGCCAGCAAGGAAACAAAACTGGACAGAGAATGAGTTTGACAAATTGACAGAAGTAGGCTTCGGAAGGTGGGTAATAACAAACTCCTTCGAGCTAAAGGAGCATGTTCTAGCCCATTGCAAGTAAGCTAAGAACCTCGATAAAAGGTTACAGGAACTGCTAACTAGAATAACCAGTTTAGAGAAGAACATAAATGACTTGATGGAGCTAAAAAGAAAAGCACGAGAACTCTGTGAAGCATATACAACTATCGATAGCCGAATTGATCAAGAGGAAGAAAGGATATGAGAGATTGAAGATCAACTTAATGTAATAAACTGTGAAGACAAGATTAGAGGAAAAAAAGAGTGAAAAGGAATGAACAAAGCCTCCAAGAAATATAGGACTATGTGAAAAGACCAAACCTATGACTGATTGGTGTACCTGAAAGTAACGGGGAGAATGCAACGAAGTTGGAAAACACACTTCAGGATATTATCCAGGATAATTTTCCCAACTAGCAAGACAGGCCAACATTCCAATTCAGGAAATAACAGAGAACACCACTAAGATACTCCTTGAGAAGAGCAACCCCAAGACACATAATCATCAGATTCACCAAGGTTGAAATGAAGAAAAAAAATGCTAAGGGCAGCCAGAGAGAGAAAGGTCAGGTTACCCACAAAGAGAAACTCATCAGACTAACAGTGGATCTCTCTGCAGAAATACTACAAGCCAGAAGAGAGTGGGGGCCAATATTCAACATTCTTAAAGAAAAGAATTTTCAACCCAGAATTTCATATCCAGCCAAACTAAGCTCCACAAGAGAAGGAGAAATAAAATCCTTTACCGACAAGCAAACGCCAAGAGATTTTTTCACCACCAGGCCTGCCTTACAAGATCCCCTGAAGGAAGCACTAAATATGGAAAGGAAAAACCGATACAAGCCACTGCAAAAACATACCAAAATGTAAAGACCAATGACACTATGAGGAAAGTACATCATGATGACAGGATCAAACTCACACATAACAATATTAGCCTTAAATGTAAATGGACTAGAGGCCCCAATTAAGAGACACAGACTGGCAAATTGGATGAGTCGAAACCCATTGGTGTGCTATATTCAGGAGACCCATCTCACATAAAAAGACACACATAGGCTCAAAATAAAGGGATGGAGGAATATTTACCAAGCAACTGAAAAGCAAAAAATAAATAAATAATTAAAAAATAAAAAAGCAGGGCTTACAATCCTAGTCTCTGATAAAACAGGCTTTAAGCCAACAAAGATCAGAAAAGACAAAGAAGGGCATTACATGATGGTAAAGGGATCAATGCAACAAAAAGAGCTAACTATCCTAAATATATATGCACAGAATACAGGAGCACCCAGATTCATAAAGCAAGTTCTTAGAGACCTATAAAGAGACTTAGACTCCCACACAATAATAGTGGGAGACTTTAACACCCCACTATCAATATTAGACAGATCAAGGAGACAGAATATTAACAAGGATATTCAGGACTTGAACTCAGCTCTGGACCAAGCGGACCTAATAGACACCTACAGAACTCTCCACCCCAGATCAACAGAATATGCATTCTTCTCAGCACCTCATAGCACTTATTCTAAAATTGAACACACAATTGGAAGTAAAACACGCCTTAGCAAATGCAAAAGAACGGAAATCATAACAAACAGTCTCTCAGACCACAGTGCAATGAAATTAGAACTCAGGATTAAGAAACTCACTCAAAACAGCACAACTACATGGAAACTGAACAACCTGCTCCTGAATGACTCCTGGGTAAATAACAAAATTAAGGCAGATATAAATAAGTTATCTGAAACCAATGAGAACAAAGACAAAATGTACCTGAATTCCTGAGACACAGCTAAAGCTTTAGAGGGAAATTTGTAGCACTAAATACCCACATGAGAGAGCAGGAAAGAACTAAAATCAACAACCTAACATCACAGTTAAAAGAGCTGGAGAAGCAAGAGCAAACAAATTCACAAGCTAGCAGAAGACAAGAAATAACTAAGATAAGAGCAGAACTGAAGGAGATAGAGACATGAAAAACCCTTCAACAAATCAATGAATCCAGGAGCTGGTTTTTTTGAAAAAATTAACAAAATAGATAGACTGCTAACCAGACTAATAAAGAAGAAAAGTGAAAAGAATCAAATAGAGACAATAAAAAATGATAAAGGGGAGATCACCACTGATCCCACAGAAATACAAACTACCATCAGAGAATACCATAAACACCTCTACACAAATAAACTAGAAAATCTAGAAGAAAAGGAAAAATTCCTGGACACATACACACTCCCAAGACTAAACCAGGAAGAAGTCAAATCCCTGAACAGACCAATAACAAGTTCTGAAATGGAGGCAGTAATTAATAGCCTACCAACCAAAAAAAGGCCAGGATCAGACGAATTCACAGCCGAAATCTACCAGAGATATAAAGAGGAGATGGTACCATTCCTTCTGAAACTATTCCAAACAATAGAAAAAGAGAGACTCCTCCCTAACTCATTTTATGAGGCCAGCATCATCCTCATACCAAAACCTGGCAAAGACACAACAAAAAAAGAAAATTTCAGGCCAATATCCTTGATGAACATTGATGCAAAAATCCTCAATAAAATACTGGCAAAGCGAATCCAGCAGCACAACAAAAAGCTTATCCACCACAATCGAGTCCGCTTCATCCCTGGGATGCAAGTCTCTTTCAACATATGCAAATCAATAAACATAATCCATCACATAAACAGAACCAATGACAAAAAAACCACATGATTATCTCAATAGATGCAGAAAAGGCCTTCAATAAAATTCAACACCTCTTCATGTTAAAAACACTCAATAAACTAGGTATTGATGCAACATATCTCAAAATTGTAAGAGCTATTTATGACAAACTCACAGCCAATATCATACTGAATGGGCAAAAGCTGGAAGCATTCCCTTTGAAAACCAGCAGAAGACAAGGATGCTCTCTCTCACCATTCCTGTTCAACATCGTATTGGAAGTTCTGGCCAGGGCAATCAAGCAAGAGAGAGAAATAAAGTGTATTCAAATAGGAAGAGAGGAAGTCAAATTGTCTCTGTTTGCAGATGACATGATTATATATTTAGAAAACCCTGTAGTCTCAGCCCAAAAACTCCTTAAGCTCATAAGCAACTTCAGCAAAGTCTCAGGATACAACATCAATGTGCAAAAGTCACAAGCATTCCTATACACCAATAATAGACAAACAGAGAGCCAAGTCATGAGTGAACTCCCGTTCACAATTGCTACAACGAGAATAGAATACCTAGGAACACAAATTGCAAGGGATCTGAAGGACCTCTTCAAGGAGAACTACAAACCACTGCTCAACAAAATGAAAGAACACAAACAAATGGAAAAACATTCCATGCTCATGGATAGGGAGAATCAATATTGTAAAAATGGCCATACTGCCCAAAGTAATTTATAGATTCAGTGCTATTCCCATCAAGCTACCATTGACTTTCTTTGCAGAATTAGAAAAAACTACTTTAAATTTCATATGAAACCAAAAAAGACCCCATATAGCCAAGACATTCCTAAGCAAAAAGATCAAAGCTGGAGGCATCATGCTACCTGACTTCAAACTATGCAACAAGCCTACAATAACAAAAACAGCAAGGTACTGGTACCAAAACAGACATATAGACCAATGGAACAGAACAGAGCCTCAGAAATAACACCACAAATCTACAACCATGTGATCTTTGACAAATCTGACAAGAACAAGCAATGCGGAAAGGGCTCCCTATTTAATAAATAGTGTTGGGAAAACTGGCTAGCCATATACAGAAAACTGAAACTGGACCCCTTCCTTACACCTTATACAAAAATTAACTCAAGATGGATTAAAGACTTAAAGGCAAGACATAAAACCATAAAAACCCTAGAAGAAAACCCAGGCAATACCATTCAGGAGATAAGCATGAGCAAAGTCTTCATGACTAAAACACCAAAAGCAATGGCAACAAAAGCCAAAATTGACAAGCGGGATCTAATTAAACTAAAGAGCTTCTTCACAGCAAAAGAAACTATCGTCAGAGTGAACAGGCAACCTACAGAATGGGACAAAATTTTTGCAATCTATCCACCCAACAAAGGGCTAATATCCAGAATCTACAAGGACCTTAAAAACATTTACAAGAAAAAAAAATCCCATCAAAAAGTGAGTGAAGGATATGAACAGACACTTCTCAAAAGAAGACATTTATGTGATCAACAAACATATGAAAAAAAGCTCATCATCACTGGTCATTAGAGAAATGCAAATCATAACCACAATGAGATACCATCACATGCCAGTTAGAATGTCAATCATTAAAAAGTCAGGAAACAACAGATGCTGGAAAGGATGTAGAGAAATAGGAACACTTTTACACTGTTGGTGGGAGGAGTATAAATTAGTTCAACCGTTGTGGAAGACAGTGTGGTGATTCCTCAAGGATCTAGAATCAGAAATACCATTTGACCCAACAATCCCATTACCGGGTATATAAGGATTATAAATCATTCTATTGTAAAGAAACATGTACACGTTATGTTTACTGCAGCACTATTTGCAATAGCAAAGACTTCAACCAACCCAAATGCCCATCAATAATAGACTGGATAAAGAAAACGTGGCATATATACACCATGGAATACTATGCAGCCATAAAAAGGAATGAGTTCATGTCCGTTGCAGGGACGTGGATGAAGCTGGAAGCCATCACTCTCAGCAAACTAACACAGGAACAGAAAACCAAACACTGCATGCTCTCACTCGTAAGTGGGAGTTGAACAATGAGTACACATGGAAACAGGGAGGGGAACATCACACACTGGGGCCTGTCGGTGGATGGCAGGCAAGGGGAGGGAGAGCATTAGGACAAATACCTAATGTAGATGACGAGTTGATGGGTGCAGCAAACCACCATGGCACATGTATACCTATGTAACAAACCTGCACGCTCTGCACATGTATCTCAGAACTTAAAGAATAATAATAAAAATAAAAGATACCTTTTCCAATTAAAAAAAAGAAAAAAAACTCTTTAGAAGTCAATATTTTGTTTTCACAAGGGGGGATCCATTTCCTGCCCATCACTCAGGATCATTCCTGATCAAGGCCCCTCATTCATCAGGCACCAAATCACAGGCAAGAAATTGGTCTACTCTACTTCATTGCTGAAAAGAAAGCCTCCAAGAAAGAAAGAGAAAAAGCCCTTGAAGCTGCCCCTGCTTGCTAGGGATGGCCAGTGAGCTGGATGAAACAGCTGCAGAGCTTGGATATCTAAAGATTGATTTTATTTATTTCCACTGAGCCACTGAGGTTTTTCAGGTGTAGAGTAAATCCAAAGCCCATTAACTCCAAAGCCATTTTTCAAGGAAAACACAAAAATGAATAATCGCTTGCTGATAATTCCTTTAAATTCCCGCCAGAGTTATGAAATTATTCTTACTACAGAAACAATCATTAAACCACGTCAGACAAACACCTCTGAGGTCAATAATATTCCAAATTTATTCTGCCGAGAATTTTTTAAAACTTCGTATCTGCCACATGTGCAACTCAGGCATTCTTGGAAACCATCCCTGCGGTAGCATATCTTTACTTGGAAGCAGTGGGAAAACTTGGAAGAATATTTGGAGAAATATCCAGACTCTGAGGTCTTTCCAGCATTCCCAATCTGCCCTTCTTTTTTTTTTTTTTTTGAGACACAGTCTCACTCTGTTGCCCAGGTTGGAGTGCAGTGGCATGATCTCTGCCCATTGCAACCTTTGTCTCCTGTGTTCAAGCAATTCTCATGCCTCAGCTTCCTGAGTAGCTGAGACTACAAACACCATCCACCATGGCTGGCTAATTTTTTGTATTTTTAGTAAAGACAGGTTTTCACCATGTTGGCCAGGCTGGTCTTGAACTCCTGACCTCAAGTGATCTGCCTGCCTCAGTCTCCCAAAGTGCTGGGATTACAAGTGTGAGCCACTGTACCCGGCCCTATTTCCTAATAATAAAAAACAGTAACTTCTACTCACTGAGTACCTACAGTGATTTAGTCATTCTTCTAAGCAGTTTAGATACATGAACTCATTTAATTCACACGACAATTCCCTAAAGTACACATGATTAGTATCCTGCTCTTACCCTAGCAGAGAGTGGTTAAGTAAGTTGTCCATGGTATCACAGCTAGTCAGTCACAGAGCCATCATCCAAATGCAGATATCCTGAATTCAGGTTCTACATTAGACTAACCCACCAGGAATGGAGCAGGAAAGAACAGGGAAGACTCCACATTTTTGGCCTCTATTTGGTAATTATAGTTAACTTTTTAGGTAATTATAGACCAATTATCCTAGATGGGCACTTAGAGACTTTGCAGGACAGCAAGAGCTGTCTCTAATCCTGTGCCCATGACAGACATCACCAGTCAACCACAACACAGTATTTAACTAACGCAAGTCAACTCCTCAGAATCTTTAACATTCTTGTTTGTGCTACTGTACCAATCAATCAATTTGATATGAGAGTGTGCAGGAAAAAACAGGAAACAGGTTTGCAGTACCTCCACACCAGTATTCAATGCTGTAATCCGCTGCAGTGACTCCATTAAAGACTTTGCCTCCCTTATACCCTCTCCAACTAGGGTGCCTAGTGTTATGAACAAAGGGATATGTATAGGTTCTTGTGTTGCCTCTCTCTTTGATATTTTTAGCCATCAGATACCTTGTCTGCAATGTGTGCTCAGAGAGTGAGGGGGGAACTAGATGATTGATTTTCCAAATGTGTTCCCTAAATGTGTTCCCTGGGGAATAAGGGCACGAGAGGCTGCCTATTCTATTTCAAACAAATCCCCTTCACTACAGTGTATTTGATGAGTTGGGGTTTGTTTTAATTCCATTTGGAAAAGGGCTTTAGCAGCTAAGCAAATGGTTTTAAAGTGCCTCAGAAGTCAAGATTAATAGAAACTATCCAGTTCTGATGTCCTATCATGCTAAAATTTCAGGGACTAAGATTCTGTGATCATTACATTGAAACACAGCAGCAAAGCTGTGGTGTGTTGTCCTTCCTGGTTCAGAGATGCAACTATGTGCAGGGCTGCTGAGCTCTCTCTGCATCTGGGTGGGAGCCTAATGGAAGTTTTGGGGCTCCTTCCTGGTCTCCAAAATCCTCAAGACCACCATGTGAACACAGGAATCAAGGAAGGTTCTTAGATCGACTCATCCCCCAGGCCTTTGGTTTCCTTGCTCCTTTCCCCAACTACAGGTGTTTCATTTCAACTCATCCCCTAGGGCCTTGGTTTTCTTGCTCTCTTCCCCCACTACAGATGTTTAACTTCATTTCATAACCACATATTCCCCTCCTTTTCCAAGGCAAGATCCAGATGGATTAAAAAATGTACCAAGTCCCTCCTACTAGCTTGCCTCTCTTCTGTTCTGCTTGACTTCCTAGGATCTGGAATCTGGTCAGCAATCAGGAATCCCTTCATCGTGACCCCCGCATGGGCAAAGGCTTCCCTGGAATCTCCCACACTGTCTGCTCCCTATAAAAGGCAGGCAGATGGGCCAGAGGAGCAGAGAGGCTGAGACCAACCCAGAAACCACCACCTCTCACGCCAAAGCTCACACCTTCAGCCTCCAACATGAAGGTCTCCGCAGCACTTCTGTGGCTGCTGCTCATAGCAGCTGCCTTCAGCCCCCAGGGGCTCGCTGGGCCAGGTAAGCCCCCCAACTCCTTACAGGAAAGGTAAGGTAACCACCTCCAGAGCTACTAGGTCAGCAAGAATCTTTACAGACTCACTGCAAATTCTCCATTTGAAAAATAGGGAAACAGGTTTTGTGGGTGGACAAGAAATGCCTCAACCTCACATCCAGTCACTGGAAGAGCCAGAACTAGAAAGCTCCCGAGTCTTTTCCCCACATTCAAGAGGGTTGCTGGGTGCATCCATACCCAGCTATCCTTACAGTGTTTGGGAATGGGGAATGGCTCTGTCTTACTGTGGGCATGGTGGGCATTTTTGGCAGTGGGAGAGAAGGAAAATCTGTTGATTAGAAGCTCAGTATGTTAATTCGACTCCAGGACAGCTTTCAGAGACAGTGGCTAAGAGAAGAACGAGGTCCCAGGGGGATCTCTTGAGGTGACTTATTTTGACACTCTTTGGGAAAGTTATCTAGGAGATTTGTTCCATAACTCATTTTCCCATACTCTGGTGACAAATTTACTGAGTGTATCGGTCCCACTGAGCCAGTGCATAGCATGGTAACAAACAGTTCTAAATTATCAATGACTTAACAGAATTAACTAAATTAACAAAAGTTACTTTCTCACTTGTACTAAATATCTATAATGTATGGGCTCAGGCTTCTGCATTTTATACTCAGGATTCTAGACTGATGGAGAAGTTGCCCATGTGGGGGAACATTGATGGATACTGTGATAAAGCAGAAGAAAGCTCTCAGGAGTCTTGCATAGGCAATGCACTGTGGCTCAAAAATGACACCCATCACTTTGTCTCCTTCTTTATTGATCAAAACTAATTAATGCCTCCAACCAAACAAAAGTGGCCAAGAAATGCAAGTCTACCTTGTGTCTCAAAACAGAGGATGGAGAATATTTGGTGAAAATTACCATGACCATCACATGGCCACGTAGGTCTTTATAATGACAGAGCTAGCATTTGTCACATTGACCAAGCTTTGTCCATACACTCTACAGTAATGATGAGTCCTCAGTGCACAGGGGAGGATGCTGAAGACACAGGACAGCATCCTCCAGACACATAAGACTTCAGAGCAGAGGGATTCTCCCTCCACCTCTCGCAATTCCTTGCTTTCTCCTAACTTCCTTTACAAAGTCATGCTTGGAAATGTCTATGTATCATCATGTGGCTCATTTTTTTCTCTGTTCATTTTTTTTCCCCAAAATTCAGCTTCTGTCCCAACCACCTGCTGCTTTAACCTGGCCAATAGGAAGATACCCCTTCAGCGACTAGAGAGCTACAGGAGAATCACCAGTGGCAAATGTCCCCAGAAAGCTGTGATGTAAGTAAATAAAGTTCACCCTCCCCTAGACAAAAAAATAATGTCTAGGGCACAGAGTCAAGAACTGTGTCACAGTTGCTGGGAGTCATAGACTCTGATAGTTTGACCTCTATGGTCCAATTCATTAATTTTCACAAGTGAGTGTTCACTCCCAGCTCCCTGCCTGGGAGATTGCTGTAGTCATATCAATTTCTTCAAGTCAAGAGCAAAGATGGTTTTACTGGGCCTTTAAGAGCAGCAACTAACCCAAGAGTCTCATCCTTCCTCCTCTCCGTAGCAACCCTTTGTCCAGGGGCAGATGGTCCTTAAATATTTAGGGTCAAATGGGCAGAATTTTCAAAAACAATCCTTCCAATTGCATCCTGTATCTCCCACAGCTTCAAGACCAAACTGGCCAAGGATATCTGTGCCGACCCCAAGAAGAAGTGGGTGCAGGATTCCATGAAGTATCTGGACCAAAAATCTCCAACTCCAAAGCCATAAATAATCACCATTTTTGAAACCAAACCAGAGCCTGAGTGTTGCCTAATTTGTTTTCCCTTCTTACAATGCATTCTGAGGTAACCTCATTATCAGTCCAAAGGGCATGGGTTTTATTATATATATATATTTTTTTTTTTAAAAAAAAAACGTATTGCATTTAATTTATTGAGGCTTTAAAACTTATCCTCCATGAATATCAGTTATTTTTAAACTGTAAAGCTTTGTGCAGATTCTTTACCCCCTGGGAGCCCCAATTCGATCCCCTGTCACGTGTGGGCAATGTTCCCCCTCTCCTCTCTTCCTCCCTGGAATCTTGTAAAGGTCCTGGCAAAGATGATCAGTATGAAAATGTCATTGTTCTTGTGAACCCAAAGTGTGACTCATTAAATGGAAGTAAATGTTGTTTTAGGAATACATAAAGTATGTGCATATTTTATTATAGTCACTAGTTGTAATTTTTTTGTGGGAAATCCACACTGAGCTGAGGGGGACAAAGATGGCTGTGGCCAAGAGGGGCTTGGTTAAGGGGGTGGGAACTATGTCCCTGGGAAATGAGTTTTTGGCTTAGCTGGTCTTCATTGAAATGCAGGGTGAAACTGACAAACCCATTCCAGCCCTCTATTCCCATTTTCAACAGTATTTCCCAGACCCCAAACTTCAGCCACGAAAATATCTGGAGCTTTGCCACCATTCCTTTCCTCCCCACCTCATACTTGCCTCTCCTGGGACCTATTTTAACAGCCCTGTGGTATCTCCCTCTACCCGACCCTGCTCCTCGGTCTTCCAACCCAGACTAGGCAGACATGACAGACACTGGAAATCAGAGGAAGGCTAGGTGACCTTTGACCAGAGGTTTAGGTGCAGGTTTTACAGGTGTGGTGGAGCTTAAAGTGGGTCTTGTGCATGCACAAAGTGGAGAGGCTCTGCTGGAGGTATTTCAGTCTAGGTAGAGGAGAAGGGGTGTTGCTTGGGCAAAATCCAAGAAGTAGGAATGATCATGCTGCATTTACCCAGTTGGGTGGGAGCCCATCAAAAGATGTCAGTGTTGGAGTATGTGTGAAATGGTGGGGAAATTTGGAAAGAAGTTTGAGACCAGGCTGTCTAGGTGGGGAGTTTGTGCTCCATGTAAGGTGAACATATGGTTCTTCCCAGCCCAGTTAGGATGCTTTTGAGAGCAGAAAAGTGGTATTATTCATAATTATTCTGGAACAACGGATATAAATTAACACTGTCCTAAGCAAACTGGAGCATGTGGTCACTCTAGGAATAGAATGCATTGCAAGTTTTGATTCAGTGGAGAGAAGTGCCATGACCACACTATGAGGGGCTTCAGGAAGGGCAGCCAGGTGGCCATGGGCTGAATTGGGAGGAGAAGGGAGAAGCACTTAGCTCACTATTGCAGTGTATGGAAGATATGGAACTGGGGCATTGGTAGTTGGGAGGGGAGAAGATAATTGGAAGAATGGCTGAGGCAGGGTGGAATGCCAAATGTTGTGGTTGAAGAAGTAGAACCAATGACATGGAAACTTTCTAAATGCCAAAGCTGCAATTAAAGGTTAGCTTCTTAGACCCAGAAAATTAATTTCTCTCTGTCACTGTTTACTCACACCTTAACTTTACTAGCTTGAGAGCTTTCAATCAAATGGACAGGACCTCATCTTCCTGTATAAGCAACTTAAATCAGGATTCCCTTTCAGCATACAAAATCAGCTTGCGTTTCCATTGGTCACATTACCTATGTACCTGAACGCAGAGACCAACTATGTCCCCAAGGGTAGAAAAGGGTCACAGGTGCCCTGCTGGTATAACTCTGCATGGTCTAAGGCCATTGATCTGGAGGGCCAATGGCCTACTGTGTCATGCATGCCCAGCAGGGTCGCTGCATGCAAAGCTCCCAGAGGCACCATTCATAAGGCTGTCCCCCTTGGACTGTGTGGTGGCAATGGCACAAGGCAATATAAAGAACAGAATGAGACATTAGGAAGGGCACTGATCTAGGAGGCAGATGACCTCAGTTTCATCACAGACAGAGAACTGGTCTCTGTCACTGTGTTACTTTTGGCTTTAGTTACCCCATCCATAATAGGGGTATATTAATATCTTTTAAGGGATCTGACCAATGACCCACCAAGATCTCCTGTTCTGAGAGCACTACCTCTTGGAAAGCATCACTACCTCCACCCATTGAGGGAGGGAATGTTGTCAGAGGGTTCCACACTCACAAGCCCAAGTCGGACAGGGGCCAGGATAACTGGCACACTTACTCTATTTCTAGAAGATTTCTCTGTGAGAGCCGCAAGTAGAAGCATGGATCCCTAGAACCATCAGAGAGCTTTTTGTATCTACTACAGAAGGGCTCCCACTCAGAGCAATCACTGGCCCTCACTCTGAGTACAAAAAACCTCTCTGCCTCTCCTATAGCCTAGCAGACTTTAGCCCTAAACATCAATCAGGATGTACCTCCAGAGGTCAGCATGTCCAGGAGGCATGGGATGGCCACAGAATAGCTCACTGGGATCAGTAGACCCTCAGGTTTCAGGTCAGTCTTCACGAGGAGATCAAGAAGGGGAGTAGAGGGAAGAGGTGCCCTCTGTTTGTGAAGGACTGAACAGAATTTGCTCATATCCCCTATTCCTCTCTCAAGGAATCCTGAACCTAATTACCCTACAATTGGGAATAGCATCACCAGGGCCTTGAGTATAAAACTGTGGGCACAAAGCATTGGAGGTGTTTAAGTTTTCTGATGGCACACAGATCTCAACCAGGAATCAGGGATGTCACCAACTCATTTCTCTGGAAAGCATACTATTAGATGAAGATGTTCATGCAGGGTTCACTGAGAGTATGGGGAAGCTGAACTAAGGAGAGGGAGAATTGATATTGTGGTGCAATTGCAGCCCAGGTCTCAGCAATCCCATAGGGAGCTTTAGAACTGGGATAGCACAAATGAGGTCGAGGGGCCAGGCTTTTATACCCCCATCTGAACCAGCCCTGGCTGCAGGATGCTCCTGGAAGAGGACACAACTCTGGGCAAGGCAGCTGTTTTTAGCTGACGGCGGGCCTCATAGAGGAAATTCCGCTGAGAAGCATTGGCTGCCAACACTTCTAGCAGCTGGGGAAGAAGCACTTTAGACCTGGGAGGGAAAAACTTGGGCAGCACACTATGAACTCCACCATGACCCACCCCTTGTGCCATTCAAATCCACTTGCTTATATACAAAGTTCTGGAAAACTCATCCAGAAATCTGTTGAGCCTCATTTTTTAAGGAAACTTGCAAGAGGAAGGTTGGTGGAGTGAACAGTAGCCACCTACAACAGCTGCAACTGGTCTTGAGGTTATAAATGATGCTTATCACCCCACTCCTAGAACACTCATTCTAGATTTTCCTCAACCTCAGCCCATGCCTCTGCTGGCCTAAGTGGCTTGCCTTCAGGATTCACCCAGACCCTCATCCCTGAGGGGTTCAGCCCCTGGTCTTCACACTCCTCTCAGGACAAGGATATGGCTGCTACTGTTGTCCATTTGCCATTAAAATTGGGTCAAGAGACATCCAAATGGGTCACCCAGATGCCAAACATATTCTTATCTAACCCCATTGAGTAAAAGCAGCTCCACTCACTTCTGATGACCAGGGCCCATTACCCTGGCCCGGATAGTGACCTCTTCCTCTCCTTGCCTGTTAGTTTCTTGGCCTGCAAGTCTAAAGAGATAGAGTGCAGCCACAGCTGAGGATTAATGAGACTCCCTCTAGGAACCAAGGGGTAAGCATTCTTCCTCTGGGAAACAGGATTTCTAAATCCGTACAGCCCTGATGTGCACAAATCCCCCAAAGTGGATCACTAGGAGTAATGGTAAGTAGGGCAATTTTACTTCCACCTTTGACATGAATCTATGAATTTTACCTATTGGGAATACAGCTTCACTTATTATTTGATTTAAGGTCTATATTGAATCCTAGAGGATAGTATTTCTTCCTTGTAGGATACTCTTTCCAAGCTGGTGCCTTAACTGTGCCTTCAGCAGGCCATTCCATTACTGTATCAGCCTGGAAACCTGTGGATAACACAGGTATATAGTGGGATCAGTGGATCCGATGACCATACACCCAGTGCTGCACCTCATTTGCTGTAGTGTGTCTTCCAGTCTATAGTGATGTTATGTGGCATGTTGCGCCAGTGAACAAACACTTGTAAGCTCTCAGATAATGGTGCTGTCTAAGGTACTGGAGACAGAAATGGCAAACTCATACCTGGAAAGTGTTTCTACTCCAGTTAAGATGAGTCATTGCTCTTTTCAGAGTAGAATAGGTGCAATGTAATCAAACATGTACTTTCCACCAAACGGCTGGTTAGTCTCCCTGATGGATGGATGATGCCATAGCCGGGGATCAACAATGGGCTATGTTACTGGCAGGTTGGACATTCAGCTACAGGGCCACGTGTCATCTGAACTCCTGCTACCATAATGACTTTGTTCATATTCTTACTGTCCCATTACTGTGGTGACAAATAACAGAAGCTGGCTGATGCCAACTGGCTGAGTCATCTTGTTACCTTAGTCATTCTGTATGTCCAAATTCCTGATGGGATTAGTACCACATCTTTACATACTGTGTCCTGTCTCATAGGTTCGTCCACTTGCCTCTCTGCCAGAACCCCTTTCCCCCAAAATTTTTACCTTTGTCTTTCCAGGCCCCTGCCCAATGATGCAGACCATTCAACACTATCTATCTACGAGTCCATATATATATATATATTTTTTTTTATTTTTTTATTATACTTTAAGTTTTAGCGTACATGTGCACATTGTGCAGGTTAGTTACATATGTATACATGTGCCGTGCTGGTGCGCTGCACCCACTAACTCGTCATCTAGCATTAGGTATATCTCCCAATGCTATCCCTCCCCCCTCCCCCAACCCCACCACAGTCCCCAGAGTGTGATATTCCCCTTCCTGTGTCCATGTGATCTCATTGTTCAATTCCCACCTATGAGTGAGAATATGTGGTGTTTGGTTTTTTGTTCTTGCGACAGTTTGCTGAGAATGATGATTTCCAATTTCATCCATGTCCCTACAAAGGACGTGAACTCATCATTTTTTATGGCTGCATAGTATTCCATGGTGTATATGTGCCACATTTTCTTAATCCAGTCTATCATTGTTGGACATTTGGGTTGGTTCCAAGTCTTTGCTATTGTGAATAATGCCGCAATAAACATACGTGTGCATGTGTCTTTATAGCAGCATGATTTATAGTCATTTGGGTATATACCCAGTAATGGGATGGCTGGGTCAAATGGTATTTCTAGTTCTAGATCCCTGAGGAATCACCACACTGACTTCCACGATGGTTGAACTAGTTTACAGTCCCATCAACAGTGTAAAAGTGTTCCTGTTTCTCCACATCCTCTCCAGCACCTGTTGTTTCCTGACTTTTTAATGATTGCCATTCTAACTGGTGTGAGATGGTATCTCATAGTGGTTTTGATTTGCATTTCTCTGATGGCCAGTGATGATGAGCATTTTTTCATGTGTTTTTTGGCTGCATAAATGTCTTCTTTTGAGAAGTGTCTGTTCATGTCCTTCACCCACTTTTTGATGGGGTTGTTTGTTTTTTTCTTGTAAATTTGTTGGAGTTCATTGTAGATTCTGGATATTAGCCCTTTGTCAGATGAGTAGGTTGCGAAAATTTTCTCCCATTTTGTAGGTTGCCTGTTCACTCTGACGGTAGTTTCTTTTGCTGTGCAGAAGCTCTTTATTTTAATTAGATCCCATTTGTCAATTTTGTCTTTTGTTGCCATTGCTTTTGGTGTTTTGGACATGAAGTCCTTGCCCATGCCTATGTCCTGAATGGTAATGCCTAGGTTTTCTTCTAGGGTTTTTATGGTTTTACGTCTAACGTTTAAATCTTTAATCCATCTTGAATTGATTTTTGTATAAGGTGTAAGGAAGGGATCCAGTTTCAGCTTTCTACATATGGCTAGCCAGTTTTCCCAGCACCATTTATTAAATAGGGAATCCTTTCCCCATTGCTTGTTTTTCTCAGGTTTGTCAAAGATCAGATAGTTGTAGGTATGCGGCGTTATTTCTGAGGGCTCTGTTCTGTTCCATTGATCTATATCTCTGTTTTGGTACCAGTACCATGCTGTTTTGGTTACTGTAGCCTTGTAGTATAGTTTGAAGTCAGGTAGTGTGATGCCTCCAGCTTTGTTCTTTTGGCTTAGGATTGACTTGGCGATGCGGGCTCTTTTTTGGTTCCATATGAACTTTAAAGTAGTTTTTTCCAATTCTGTGAAGAAAGTCATTGGTAGCTTGATGGGGATGGCATTGAATCTGTAAATTACCTTGGGCAGTATGGCCATTTTCACGATATTGATTCTTCCTACCCATGAGCATGGAATGTTCTTCCATTTGTTTGTATCCTCTTTTATTTCTTTGAGCAGTGGTTTGTAGTTCTCCTTGAAGAGGTCCTTCATGTCCCTTGTAAGTTGGATTCCTAGGTATTTTATTCTCTTTGAAGCAATTGTGAATGGGAGTTCACTCATGATTTGGCTCTCTGTTTGTCTGTTGTTGGTGTATAAGAATGCTTGTGATTTTTGCACATTGATTTTGTATTCTGAGACTTTGCTGAAGTTGCTTATCAGCTTAAGGAGATTTTGGGCAGAGACAATGGGGTTTTCTAGATATATAATCATGTCGTCTGCAAACAGGGACAATTTGACTTCCTCTTTTCCTAATTGAATACCCTTTATTTCCTTCTCCTGCCTGATTGCCCTGGCCAGAACTTCCAACACTATGTTGAATAGGAGTGGTGAGAGAGGGCATCCCTGTCTTGTGCCAGTTTTCAAAGGGAATGCTTCCAGTTTTTGCCCATTCAGTATGATATTGGCTATGGGTTTGTCATAGATAGCTCTTATTATTTTGAGATACGTCCCATCAATACCTAATTTATTGAGAGTTTTTAGCATGAAGGGTTGTTGAATTTTGTCAAAGGCTTTTTCTGCATCTATTGAGATAATCATGTGGTTTTTGTCTTTGGCTCTGTTTATATGCTGGATTACATTTATTGATTTGTGTATATTGAACCAGCCTTGCATCCCAGGGATGAAGCCCACTTGATCATGGTGGATAAGCTTTTTGATGTGCTGCTGGATTCGGTTTGCCAGTATTTTATTGAGGATTTTTGCATCAATGTTCATCAAGGATATTGGTCTAAAATTCTCTTTTTTGGTTGTGTCTCTGCCCGGCTTTGGTATCAGAATGATGCTGGCCTCATCAAATGAGTTAGGGAGGATTCCCTCTTTTTCTATTGATTGGAATAGTTTCAGAAGGAATGGTACCAGTTCCTCCTTGTACCTCTGGTAGAATTCGGCTGTGAATCCATCTGGTCCTGGACTCTTTTTGGTTGGTAAACTATTGATTATTGCCACAATTTCAGCTCCTGTTATTGGTCTATTCAGAGATTCAACTTCTTCCTGGTTTAGTCTTGGGAGAGTGTATGTGTCGAGGAATTTATCCATTTCTTCTAGATTTTCTAGTTTATTTGCGTAGAGGTGTTTGTAGTATTCTCCGATGGTAGTTTGTATTTCTGTGGGATTGGTGGTGATATCCCCTTTATCATTTTTTATTGCGTCTATTTGATTCTTCTCTCTTTTTTTCTTTATTAGTCTTGCTAGCGGTCTATCAATTTTGTTGATCCTTTCAAAAAACCAGCTCCTGGATTCATTGATTTTTTGAATGGTTTTTTGTGTCTCTATTTCCTTCAGTTCTGCTCTAATTTTAGTTATTTCTTGCCTTCTGCTAGCTTTTGACTGTGTTTGCTCTTGCTTTTCTAGTTCTTTTAATTGTGATGTTAGGGTGTCAATTTTGGATCTTTCCTGCTTTCTCTTGTGGGCATTTAGTGCTATAAATTTCCCTCTACACACTGCTTTGAATGCATCCCAGAGATTCTGGTATGTTTGTTCTCATTGGTTTCAAAGAACATCTTTATTTCTGCCTTCATTTCGTTATGTACCCAGTAGTCATTCAGGAGGAGGTTGTTCAGTTTCCATGTAGTTGAGCGGCTTTGAGTGAGATTCTTAATCCTGAGTTCTAGTTTGATTGCACTGTGGTCTGAGAGATAGTTTATTATAATTTCTGTTCTTTTACATTTGCTGAGGAGAGTTTTACTTCCAACTATGTGACCAATTTTGGAATAGGTGTGGTGTGGTGCTGAAAAAAATGTATATTCTGTTGATTTGGGGTGGAGAGTTCTGTAGATGTCTATTAGGTCCGCTTGGTGCAGAGCTGAGTTCAATTCCTGGGTATCCTTGTTGACTTTCTGTCTCGTTGATCTGTCTAATGTTGACAGTGGGGTGTTAAAGTCTCCCATTATTAATGTGTGGGAGTCTAAGTCTCTTTGTAGGTCACTCAGGACTTGCTTTATGAATCTGGGTGCTCCTGTATTGGGTGCATATATATTTAGGATAGTTAGCTCTTCTTGTTGAATTGATCCCTTTACCATTATGTAATGGCCTTCTTTGTCTCTTTTGATCTTTGTTGGTTTAAAGTCTGTTTTATCAGAGACTAGGATTGCAACCCCTGCCTTTTTTTGTTTTCCATTTGCTTGGTAGATCTTCCTCCATCCTTTTATTTTGAGCCTATGTGTGTCTCTGCACGTGAGATGGGTTTCCTGAATACAGCACACTGATGGGTCTTGACTCTTTATCCAATTTGCCAGTCTGTGTCTTTTAATTGGAGAATTTAGTCCATTTACATTTAAAGTTAATATTGTTATGTGTGCATTTGATCCTGTCATTATGATGTTAGCTGGTGATTTTGCTCGTTAGTTGATGCAGTTTCTTCCTAGTCTCGATGGTCTTTACATTTTGGCATGATTTTGCAGCAGCTGGTACCGGTTGTTCCTTTCCATGTTTAGCGCTTCCTTCAGGAGCTCTTTTAGGGCAGGCCTGGTGGTGACAAAATCTCTCAGCGTTTGCTTGTCTGTAAAGTATTTAATTTCTCCTTCACTTATGAAGCTTAGTTTGGCTGGATATGAAATTCTGGGTTGAAAATTCTTTTCTTTAAGAATGTTGAATATTGGCCCCCACTCTCTTCTGGCTTGTAGGGTTTCTGCCGAGAGATCTGCTGTTAGTCTGATGGGCTTCCCTTTGAGGGTAACCCAACCTTTCTCTCTGGCTGCCCTTAACATTTTTTCCTTCATTTCAACTTTGGTGAATCTGACAATTATGTGTCTTGGAGTTGCCCTGCTCGAGGAGTATCTTTGTGGCGTTCTCTGTATTTCCTGAATCTGAACTTTGGCCTGCCTTGCTAGATTGGGGAAGTTCTCCTGGATAATATACTGCAGAGTGTTTTCCAACTTGGTTCCATTCTCCCCATCACTTTCAGGTACACCAATCAGACGTAGATTTGGTCTTTTCACACAGTCCCATATTTCTTGGAGGCTTTGCTCATTTCTTTTTATTCTTTTTTTCTCTAAACTTCCCTTCTCGCTTCATTTCATTCATTTCATCTTCCATTGCTGATACCCTTTCTTCCAGTTGATCGCATCAGCTCCTGAGGCTTCTGCATTCTTCACGTAGTTCTCGAGCCTTGGTTTTCAGCTCCATCAGCTCCTTTAAGCACTTCTCTGTATTGGTTATTCTAGTTATACATTCTTCTAAATTTTTTTCAAAGTTTTCAACTTCTTTGCCTTTGGTTTGAATGTCCTCCCATAGCTCAGAGTAATTTGATCATCTGAAGCCTTCTTCTCTCAGCTCGTCAAAGTCATTCTCCATCCAGCTTTGTTCCGTTGCTGGTGAGGAACTGCGTTCCTTTGGAGGAGGAGAGGCGCTCTGCATTTTAGAGTTTCCAGTTTTTCTGTTCTGTTTTTTCCCCATCTTTGTGGTTTTATCTACTTTTGGTCTTTGATGATGATGATGTACAGATGGGTTTTCGGTGTGGTTGTCCTTTCTGTTTGTTAGTTTTCCTTCTAACAGGCAGGACCCTCAGCTGCAGGTCTGTTGGAATACCCTGCCTTGTGAGGTGTCAGTGTGCCCCTGCTGGGGGGTGCCTCCCAGTTAGGCTGCTTGGGGGTCAGGGGTCAGGGACCCACTTGAGGAGGCAGTCTGCCGGTTCTCAGATCTCCAGCTGCGTGCTGGGAGAACCACTGCTCTCTTCAAAGCTGTCAGACAGGGACATTTAAGTCTGCAGAGGTTACTGCTGTCTTTTTGTTTGTCTGTGCCCTGCCCCCAGAGGTGGAGCCTACAGTGGCAGGCAGGCCTCCTTGAACTGTGGTGGGCTCCACCCAGGAGCTTCCCGGCTGCTTTGTTTACCTAAGCAAGCCTGGGCAATGGCGGGTGCCCCTCCCCCAGCCTCGTTGCCGCCTTGCAGTTTGATCTCAGACTGCTGTGCTAGCAATCAGCGAGACTCCGTGGGCGTAGGACCCTCCGAGCCAGGTGTGGCATATAGTCTCGTGGTGCGCCGTTTTTTAAGCCGGCCTGAAAAGCGCAATATTCGGGTGGTAGTGACCCAATTTTCCAGGTGCGTCCGTCACCCCTTTCTTTGACTCGGAAAGGGAACTCCCTGACCCCTTGCGCTTCCCAGGTGAGGCAATGCCTCGCCCTGCTTTGGCTCGCGCACGGTGCGCGCACCCACTGGCCTGCGCCCACTGTCTGGCACTCCCTAGTGAGATGAACCCGGTACCTCAGATGGAAATGCAGAAATCACCCGTCTTCTGCGTCGCTCACACTGGGAGCTGTAGACCGGAGCTGTTCCTATTCCGAGTCCACATATATTTTAACCTCAGGCCACCTCTCTGTATATACAAGTCAATGACTAGTTTGAGAAAACTGCTCAAACTCTATCCATTGAGAGGATTTCCCCTCACTTCTCCCTTTCAAGGCCATCCCTGAGTTGATCTGTAGAGCAATTGTCATCGTTTTTTGTTTGTGTCCACATGCTGAGCTGAACCATCTTTGAACCATGCTCAGCCTTTTTCTTCCTCCATCACCTTGTCATAAGTGACTCCCAGGCAGCCATGGGTGTGAAGTGAGTGAGTGGCATGCAGTATGGATGACATGGGGGTCTGAGCCATCTGCTCATATGGTTTACTGTGCAATGCCCTTTGGCACTGCTGTGCCCAATCCCAATGCACTGCCTCAATCTTACCTCTGGGCCCACCTGGCATTATGATTTGGTAGGTTTGACTGAACCCAGATCATGGCGAGCAAATTCTGCAAAATTCTGGCTACGAAAATCATTTGATTTCCCATGGCCAGGCTCTCTGTCTCTGCAAGAGTTCAGTAGCACACCGGAAACTTTTTTTTCAAAAGGTACAAGTTCTCCTCTTCAGACAGCCTGACTTTTCTCCAAAACCCCAGGTTCTTCTACTAAAGCGTAGATTTCACAGGGCCCAGTGGGTTTCTTTTCCCATCCACGTTAACTCTAATACCATAAGGTCTGCCTGGTTTATGATCCAAGCCACAGGATCTCTTGTGCCACAGCCTGGACCCATTGCAGAGCCCATTCCTACTCAGCATCCCAGTCACTACTGGTAACCTTCTGTGTATGTGAGTCAGAGTAGCCCTGCCTCCTAAGTAGAGAAAATCTACCTACTGGGCACTGTGCTTCTTTTTAAATGGGTGGAGGCATGAGATGCAATTATTAGTCTTTTACTTTTGAGGAAGTGTCCCTGTATGCCCCTAGACTCATTGTATGGGGTATTCTGGAGCTGAAATGACCCTTCAGAATTGAACAGGCCCAATTTAGGAGACATGGAACTGGAGTTTCTATACCTACATCAACCAATTATTGCACGTGGACTACACCCAGAAATGGGACGTGACCTTGAGGAAGGCAGCTCTCTGCAGCCCAGAGCAACTCACAGAGAGGCACTCAGCAGACACTTATTGATCATTGATGCTGCAGAAGCCAAGAAAATGACTACCTTGGTCCAGGCAGGTAGGGGGGGCTCTAGGTAAAGCAACATAGCAACTACTATGTGATGCAGGGCCTGGGCCTCATGCATGATCTACGGCTCCTGGCTTTGCTGTGTAGCTACCTTGTAAGATAACTTTGGGAAACTTCTGTTTTCTCACTGGGCATTAGTTTACTCAACCATAAAACAGGTTCTGAAACTAGATATATGGCTTCTAATTGGCTGTGTATTAAAATCACCAGGGACTTGTCTAAAACTACAGATTCTAAATTATCTTCCCCAAAGATTCTAGTTCAATGTATTAGAGTAGGGATGGGGCTAGCGGATCCTGTTGTACCTCCTGGATTTGCTCCAGCTCTGGTGTGCCCCCAAATCACTTAATTTCCCTGGTAAATAGGGATAAAGACATCTGCCACTGGAGGATTATGTGAAATAATAGGCAAATAGCACTGTAAACAAAGGCATGTGGGTGCATGCTCAGCATAGTTAAAGAGTGTGTTCACGGGCCTTGTGAGTAAGATACTTGGCTTCTCTAAGCCTCAGTTCTCTTCTTCATGATAAGCACCATAAAAGCACTTACTTCAGAGTCAATCAGAAGGATTAAATTAGATAACACACATAAATTTGGTAGTTCCTGGCCTGGAGAACAATTCAATACAAGTAGCCATCATTATTTATTGAGTGTCTATTGCATGTCAGCTGCATCACTACATGCTATGCAAATAAGCTTATGGAATGTTTCTTCCAGGAACTTCCAAGCAACCCTGGGAAAGGCTAGTAGCAAATACCAGCTGGTTCTGTTTTGCGGAAGGGATAAATGAGGCCCAGGATGAGAGAGTACACTGTAGTAAAAGACTCGTGGGATATATCCAGGACCTGAGCACTGAGACACCTGGGCCTATTAACAGGGATATTAATCCTGAATGACTTTAAGGATTTTGTTTCTGTTCTCAGGTCTCAGTTTTTCTGAGAAAGGACAGGGTGGAAAACAACAGTTCTCAGGTCCTATTTAATTCTTCCTCTAATTGTGTAATCTCAGAGGGAATCTGAGACAAAGAACAAAGCTGGGAGTCCATGTTTTCAGGTTTACTTCCATCAAATGGTTCTGCATTCCAGGAAGCCAGGAGATCTGTTTTCACCATAAGTGACTCATTTCCAGCCCCCATCAGGAGTTATTTCTGACCACAGGTTTCTCATTCCCCAGCAGCAGAAAATGTGAATTGAATCACTTTAGATGGCTACTGTCAAGGAGTCACCAAAAATGAGAAACAGAAAGAAGCTGGACAGCCACCCACTCTCTGCAGAAGACAGCTGAGCTGGGCAGAACAGCTGAATCCAGATGGTCTGAAATGCTGGCTTAACATTCTCACATTCAACTTCTGCAGGTAGCATCAAGTTGAAGTCTGGGAAGGTAATCTGCAAAATGAAAATAGCAAACAAACTGCCTGTTGTCACTGAAGTCCTGCCTATTTATGACACTGATATCACTCAGAAGCTGCTGTTCCTGGACCACATTAGCCACATGCCTCTGAAGCCTGGAGTACTCCCGACGCTTGATCCTTGGCAAGATATCTGGGACCTCTTCCCTTTCTCTGGCATTCTTCATCATTTCTTTTCCACAACACAAGGCATTCCTTGGAAAACACAGCCCGCTGCAACATGTTTCAATTTGGAAACATGAGCTTCTGTTTGGGAGAAATCATGAGAATGTTATTGTCTTACACTTTGAGTCCCTTCCTAGCATTTCCTAGCCATACTTCTTCTGAAGTTCCTAAAAGTAACAACTGTTAAGCTTACTGAGAACTTAACTATGTGCTTGTCACTGTTTAAAGCACTTTTCATGTGTCTATTAATTTAACCGTTATAACACTATAATCCCACTGTTTCCAGAAGTATAAACTGAGATACAGCTTCTTATTTTTCATCCTTTCCCACATCCAGTGATTGATAAGCATAGGGAATCAGTCTAATAGATACAAGTGGGCATTTTGCCTGGCCTAGGGACAAGTACAACCTAAGGCTTTACCTAGAGGAAGTTCAGTTGAAGGTTATAAGCTGTTGACTTAACCTTGATCCAACATCCAAAAGAGAATGCTGGTCCCCTCTGGGCAAGGCTCCTGTGCCTTCTTCTATGCCCATATGTCATTCGCAGGTTTTCAATGAAGACTGCTGGTCTGTAGAGGGCCTGAGGAAAACCTCCTCTTTTGATTAGAAAAGAAAATATAGGCCTGGCCTGGCAGGTTTACTGTCAAATAAATGAAATGTACAACTCAGGCAGTAGAAAGGGTGTTGTCTAATGAAATCTGAGCAGTCTAGTAGGGCTACATGGAGGAGGGAGGAGGGAAGTCAAGTTAGCAATAATTTCTAGAATTTGGAATAGTGGAGGAAAAAAAAGACAAGAATTCAAGGAGTTAATGGTGAGTATCTTCATGAGCAAGATGGAGGCAGGGATGAGTGTGCAGTGCAGGGGTAACTAGACAAATATCCATGACACGCTTCCAAGCTGGCATTTGATGCAGCTATGCTACTGAATTTCTCAACCCTGCACCAACCGTCCACTGGAGCAAGTAGAAGCTATGTCAGTTTGTCTACTAACATTGCATCAGATACCTTGCCTTGATATGCATTTTTGGGAGAGAGAGCTTTAATGGATCAGTCCATCCCACACTTTGTTGTTCCCTGGAGCTGGGTGTGAGGGACAGGGGCCTCCAGCTCCTGCATCACACAGACCACTCCACTGGCCCTGGTGATATATTGGAATTCCCCTTTGATTTTACTTGGGGAAAGACTTTGACAGCTAAAGCAAGGTTTGAAAACCACAGCACTCCAAGATCTTCATGTGCTACCCAGCATCACATATCCTCTGATACCAAGATAAAGCTATAAGATAGCTTTATATCTGTAGGATTCCTGGAGTCCCTCATTCAGCCAAAGTTCTAATTAATACCACCCTGGGTTGTGAAGAGTGGTATTACTTAGAACCCTGCTAGCAAGGTTTAAAAATATACAGGTTTTCCTAATCTCTGGTTGGAATCCCAGCCACGGTTTAAGTCCATGATGAGGATGCTGACAGAGTTGAGGATAGTGCAAATTTTGTATCTACTCACCTCTCTGATGACCACAATTTACTTTCTTCCTCTCTTTTCTACAGAAAACATTTAAGTGCAAAGGAAGTGCAGCCCATGAGATGATCCAACTTGGAGCATTTCCTCTTTTTAGGCTGGGCATAACTGCACCTCCCTTTCCTATCCCATCCCCATTAGTCTCAGCAATGGATGGAAAATGTGCCCAGTCCCAGCCCACTGCTTCCCTTTTCCACTTCTTGGAAACCTCCCCAGGACCCAATGCCCACTCTGCAGATTTTGGATCTCATCTCATAATTCTTTGACAATAATTCTGCCAAGGAATTCTCTCTCTTCTCCCTAATTCTTTACATCCTATAAAATAACATCATGATTTAGTTTAAAAAATTAAGTAAAGCAGCCAAAGGAGCAGAGAGGCCTAGAAAATCCCAGAAACCTCCAACTCTTGCCCTCTAACATGAAGGTCTCCCCAGCTCTTCTGTGCTGACTGCCACCATGAGTTCCCAGGTGTTTGCTGAACCAGGTAAGGCCTCTCTCTCCTTTCAGGAAAGTTAACCTTCAGGACAATCTGATCAATAAGGGCCCTCAGAATGTCACTGCAATAAGGGTCTTCAGAATTTAGGGGAAATTTTTTTTCCCTAAAAAATGGGAATATGTTTCAAGAGAAACCAGATTGGTACAAGCTGGAACTGGAATTCTAGGCCACCGAAGCCAGTCTCTGGGCTCTTCCCAGGACACCAGTTTGGGGAACAGGTCTACTCTATTGTATAGCTCTGAGATTTTCAAGAGAACATTTTGTTTATAAAATTAGGCAGTTGGTCCGGCATAGTGGCTCACACCTGTAATCCACCATTTTAGGAGCCCAAGGCGGGTGGATTACTTGAGCCCAGGAGTTTGAGACCAGCCTGGGCAACATGGCACAGCCCTCTCTCTATAAAAAACACAAAAAGTAGCCAGGTATGGTGACACACACCTGTATTCCCAGCTACTCAGGAAGCTGAGGTGGGAGGATTGCTTGAGCCAGGAGATTGAGGCTGCAGTGTGCTGTGAACATGCCACTGCATTCCAGCCTGGGGAAAAAAGTGAGACCTTCTACCAAGACCAGTTCAGTCATGGAGGCCCCAACCCAGCGGTGCTAGAGGAATTGAAGATAAAGACACAGAAATAGAGTGCAAAGTGGGATCAGGGGGCTAACAGTCTTCAGAGCTGAGAGCCACGAACAGAGTTTGATCTACATATTTATTGACAGTAAGCCAGTGATACACATTGTTTGTATAGGTTATAGATTAGCTAAAAGCATTCCTTAGGGGAAACAAAGAATTCTTAGCAAGGAGTAGAGAAATAGGCTCTGGCTGATTATCCGCAGCAAAAACATGTTAAGGCGCAGGCCGCTCATGCTATTGCTTGTGGTTTGAGCAGTTTCCCGCTCCAGATGGGCCAGGCATTCCTTGCCCTGCTCCAGTAAACCAACAACTTCTAGCAGTGTGCATCATAGCCATCATGAGCATGTCACATTTTTGCAGAAATCCTGTTTATGGCCAGTTTCTTTAAGGCCTGTTTATGACAGGCTTAGGTCTGGTTGCCAGCAACCTTCTCTAATAAAGTATAAATAACAAAATAAAATTGGGTAGTTATATTTTCTTTCTGAAAAAGATGAAGCTGGAAGAATGAAGCTGGGGGTGAGGGCATGGCTTTAGGAAGTGGAGGTCATGATCCCATCGAATGGCTTTTGACTTGGCTGGTCTCCATGCAGGTTGAAGACAGACAAGACTGCCCTGGCACTGTGATTCTAGTCCCTAATTCCAACCTCCTGGGACCAAGGACTGTGGTCACTTGTTCAGCGTCAGCCCACAGCCATTTCCTTCCTCTCCTGCCCACCACACCTTCTTTCCTACCAGGGGAGCTTTCCCACCCAATCTATAGCAATAGCCTCTGAAATGTTCTCCCTGGCTGCAGTCAGTCCCATTCAACCTATCATGAACTCCAGAGGAACACCAATGGTGAATTGAAACATCAGAGGAAGAGCAGGTGGCAATAGATTCAGTGGTCAGGTTACACTTCTCAGTGAAGAAGAGGCATAAGCAGGACCTCTCTTAAATGATGGGGTGAGATCAAAGGAGAGGTTCGACTGAACTAATTTAGGGTGGACAGAAGAGTAGGCAAGAAGCAGAACTCTTGTCTGGCTGGAATTTGGTCCAGAAATAGGAAAAACATTTTAAAAACTTAGAATGCAAGCTTGGAGCTACATTTTGGAGGGTCTTGAATGTCAACATGGACAGTCGGGTTCAGTTCTGAATGTCATAGGAAGACAATGAAGGTGTGTGAATTAGTGGGGAAGAGACGCAAACTAATCAGAAGTATGCATGATGAAGACAGAGCTTCTGGCTGCCTGAGGATGGAATGTGGAAAGGAGGACCTGAGAGCAGGTATCCGCAATAATCCAGGCAAGAAGGGATGGTAGAGGTGGAGGAGAGGCAGCAGCTCATAGGAAGAATGGGGTCAGCTGGAGCTTACTGAAGATATTTCGTCAAGAGGACACAGTGGGAGGCCTAGGGACCCAGCTCCTAGAACTCACTACCAAAATATCACAAGGCAGTATTGAGAGACATGCCTACCCTGAGCCCCAAGTTCACGTCCCTCTCTCACTAGCCCTGTAAGCCCCAACCGCAGAGCTTTTAAAACATGGATTCAAAAAGACAGGGCCTCCTCTTCCTGGATGACCCCTAAGATTCAACTGCAGTCTATGAGTTTGGCCAGCTCCTTTTTCCAAACGGGGATCCATTTGTATGAAAATTAGCTATAATTTTACCTCCTCACCAACAGTAAAGACCAATAGCAGGGCCAATACCTGCCAGTCTTGGGGAGAGAATGATAGATTCTGTAGAAAGCAGAGCACTCAGAAGCATGGAGCACTAGAAAATCTCACCCTGTGAAGCAGGAGACATTGATGCTGATTGCAGGAGTGGCACTGACTCCCTGAGCATTGTGGAATATCAAATTCTCCTTCTGGGCCTCAGTTTTCCTCTCCATTAAATGGGGATAATGCTGTGTTACAGGCAGCAAGTGAAGGAATCTGGCAGATGATCTCACATGTTTTCCTAGCCCCAGGAACTATGTCTTGGCAAACATCACCACATGCACTGGCTAGAGAAGAGTTGGAAAGGAAAGTATTTCAAATCTGTCTTCATGTACCAGCCAGGACCTGGATTACTGTGAACCCACTCCTTTCTCAGGCATTGCCTGCTTAGACACAGATTTTTCATTAAGGCCCCCCATCCCCACCCCCAAATTCAACAAAAGTCCTGGGAGCAATTAGCAACCAGACAACTTCATTCGTCCTCATGCCAGATCAAGTAGTTCTGTATACTTCCCCTGCCACCAAGATCTCATCTCCAAATACCAATCAGGAGTGAACTCTAAAACTCTAACCAAGTGTAGAAGCACACAGTGAGTTGGAATAAAAAAAAAAACTAAAATATCACCATATGCATTGATACTCAGAAGACCCTCTGGCACTCAGCAAGGCTTGGGCAGGAGGCGGTGGAAAATGGTAAATGCTGTATGTCTCTATGTTGAAGAAGTTCTCAGGCTGTTTTTCCTCCAATTCCCATAGCATGAACCTGTAAACTCAAAGAATTGGAGATGTTGGGGCCTCTAATAGAGCAGTTTCCAGTAGGGACCAGCAACCAGACAGGAATGCATTGCACATCTTTGAGCATTGCATCCTCAGCTCTTTCTTTAGGCTGTGTGTCAGGTAAATCTGTGCAAATCATTTTTTCTTCCATGAAACCCAGCTTACCTTTTGCACTAGACTGATGGTTTCCAAACTGAGTATGAATCAGAATCACCAGGACTACCCCTGAAAATGCAGATTTCCTGGCCTTATCCCAAGATTCTGAGTCAGGACATTGGGTTGTGGAACAGTGCCCCCATCAGGATTTCAACCAGTTTTCCTGGGGATACAGAGGTATAGCTCAGTATAGCACTGGAACACCAATGCTCTCTGAGGTTCCTTTGTTCTCTCACATTTGAGTTCGGACCCCACGGCTTTGAACTTGCATGGCAGTCTTTGGAATGACCTGCCCAAGTCCTGTGTGGCCTCTCACTTCTTCTCCAGTCCTGGATTGCCATAAACCAGCTGTGCGACCTGCTGTGACTTCATCTCTCCCTCTTAGTGTCTCTTTCCATTACTTCTATGACTTTTGTGATCTCTGAATAAATCTGAGATGAAGATGAAGAATGTAGCCATTCTCCAGAACTTGCGATTTGCAGAACATTCTTCTACCTGACCCTGCTATGTTCCTTGGGAATCACTTAAGACAGAGAACAGCTTCCATTGCAGGAGATTTGTTTCTTTTCCAATGCTAATTGATCCCTGTCTTCTACTAGCTTATGGTCTAGACCATGGTCTCACCATTCACCACCTCCTAAATTATGAGCACGTTTTTGCATCCGCTTTAGATAATGGCTAACTAGGAAGGAGTTAGAGAAAAGGAGGAGAGAGAGAAAGGGCAGAATGGCCACCTCCCCAGGGAATGCATTCTGGCTGCTGGAACAAACAACTGCAGGAATTGGGCAGTCTTAAGTTTCATTTTAGTTTTTCACGCTAAGGTTTTTGAAATCCACATTAAAACCAAAACCAAAGGAAGGGAAATTGCAAAACACAGGGACTTTCCAACTGCAGGCTCTGAACCATCTGCAGAACATGAGCATGGTGTCTCTGGGTATGTGTCATACCTGGGATCTTTCTCCTATTCTTTCTGGGGTCCAGAGCATCCTGCACCTCTGGCTGATGTGAAGATCCTGGGGTCTCTTGCTTCCCTGTTTCCGGGAGACTCTTTTTATTTCCTTATTTACAGCACAGGCATTCCTGAAGGTCCATCTCTATCACATGTCTTCATCTGAATGCATGAAGACAATTAAGGGAGTCCTTCTTCAATAGTCCACATCCTGGGTCTCTGTTTAGCATCCTCTGATCACTATATTCTCACTATCAATATCTATAACAATGAGTTTATTAAATACTTACCATATGCTAACACCTCACTTTTCAATGCCCTTTTCCTGTGTCAACTAGTTTAATTCACACCTATTTTGCTGATAGGAAAACAGTGGCACAGAGACCTGAAATAAGCTTTCAAAACATCTAAGCATCCAAATCCTGGCAATCTGGCTACAGAGTCCATTGTTTTAACCACTATCCTGCCTGTCCTACAGCTAAACAGCAAAGAACACTTCTCTGCTGATTCCTAATGCCCTAAGTGTCCAAGTCTCAGATTGGACTCATTTCAAGATGATAATCAATCATAGGAAAATAAAATTGAGAGGAACACAGATAATCTCCTAGCCCACGAATGGCCAACATGTCCCAGAGCTGGGCTCCTCCCTGATCCTGTACTGATGGAGAATATCAGTAAAGAATCACATCACTATTTCTCATGGCCGACATAAGGCCTCATTATCTTTTCCAATAAACCTCTCGAGTTGACACTTGCATTGAAAACCTATTTGACATCCTTGATCTTGTATATCCCCACATTTGATACACGAAGCAGGTGGACCTAAAAATATCTAAATAGGTTCCATGGCTACTAAGCAGGCAAGCTGGGATTAGGCACTTGGCGTACACGCCCTGCATTCTACTAACCCACTTTGCTTTCTCATAATTGACTTTTACCACTATTTTCATTTCTTAGCTCTGAATGCACCTTTGTGTCAAGCCACATCACTGGAGAATGAAAATTTTCTGAGTTTATTTTTGTGTGACACTTGCCATGCATGTGGACTGGGGATTTATATAAACTCAATTTATAAAGAAAACTTGACTCTGTATCAGTGTTATATGAGGCAATTGGCAGGGACAGTCCCAGATGCTTTTGTGTAAGAGTGTAAGTTCCCTCTTGTGAGAGGAAATCCTGAGGTTAGGGATATGTTTCAAGTTCTGGAACTTCAGTATTGTTAAAAGATGATCCAGAGTTTTTTAAAAAAGAAATTAGATAAACAAGAGGTAGAAGATTTAAGGTCTCTTATAAATAAATTTAAAAAAATAATTGAACTCCTGAGCTAAGAAGACTACCAGATAATTCACCAGATAAAAACATAAACCATTGAACATGTACACAAAAATACCAACCAGTAGACACAAATTTAAACAAGCTCATACTGGAATAGTTTCTTTCTGCTAACTTTTAAATTGAGGCATTGGTTTCCTACAATAAAGTTCAAAGAAGTTAAATCACTTTTACATACATATGCCCCAGGAATCACCATCCAAATCAATATTTGCAGAACATTTCTAAACCCCAAAGTCTCCCTCACATTCCCTGCCAGTCAATACCCCACAACATCTAGTCTCAATGCTACCACTATAGGTTAGTTTTGCCTATATACAAAATAATACTTTTTATTAACAAAGTAGCATATACTTTCAGTTAATAATGTATTACTTTTCTATTTCTGCATTAATAAATTACCACAAAATTAGTGGTTTAAACAATATAAATGTATTATGTTATAATTCTGGAGTTCAGAAGCTGAACATAGGCCTCAGCAGGCTAAAACCAAGGTATTATCAGGAATGTGTTTCTGTCTAGAAGTTCTAGGGAAGGATCCATTTTTTCGATTGCTCTGGGCATTGGCAGAATTCAGTTCCTTTGGGTTATTGGTTTATTGAGCCTAAATGTTCATTTTCCTGATGGCTGTCAGACAAGAGATTTTCCCAGCTTCTAGACGCCTCTGTATTCTGTGGCCCAGAGCCCCCTTCTCCATTTTCAAAGTCAGCAACAGTGGGTCAAGTCCCTTTCATACTATGCATTTCTTCTTCTTCCATCTCCTCTCTCTGTTGAGACTCAGAAAAGAGTCTCCACTTTCAAGGACTCAAGGTATTAGATTGAGCATACCTGGATAATCTCTCCATCTCAAGGTCTGTACCCTGGATCCCATCCACAAAGATCCTTAGTGTGAAAAGTGAAAATGAAACTTAGGACTGCCCAAATCCTGTAGCTGTTTGGTCCAGCAACCTGAACTCATTCCCCAGAGAGATGGCCATTCTGCCTTTTCGCTCACTCCTTTTCTCTAACTCCTTCCCAGTTAGCCATTATCTAAAGGAGATATGATAAAAAACTCACCCCCTCATCCCTGGTAACAGAGTCACAGGTTCCAGGGATCAGGGAGTGAACTTTTAGGGGTTACTTATTTATTGAGACAGAGTCTCACTCTGTCGTCCAGGCAGGAGTGCAGTGGTGCGCCCTCAGCAACCTCCATCTCCTGGGTTCAAGCAATTCCCCTGCCTCAGCCTCCCAAGTAGCTGGGATTATAGGCATGTGCCACCATGGCCGGCTAGTTTTTGTATTTTTAGTAGAGGCAGGGTTTCACCATGTTGCCAGGCTGGTCTCGAACTCCTGACCTCAAGTGATCCACCCGCCTCGACCTCCCAAAGTGCTGGGATTACAGATGTGAGCCACCGTGCCTAGCCAAAGGGGTCCTTTATTCGCCTACTACAACTAATAAATGTTGTCCTGAGTAAAAACTTTATGGAAAGCGATATGGCAATATCTACTAAAGCTTCACATTTCAACAGCAGTAAAGACATGGGGGAGAATTTTTAAACTTGGGTTTTCAAAATAATGTTAATTAAAATTATTTTTAAATGAAAATATAAATTATATATGCCTAATCATAAAGAAATGCTTTAATTATGTATGACATTTTTATAATGAAGCAGTATGAAGCCACTAAATTCAACCAATTGAAGAATATTTAATGACTTGAGAGAGTGCATGACTCATTAAGTGAAAAAAGCTGTAAATATGATCATAAGTACATTATGTCCATATATGTGTGTATTTATATACATGTGTATATGTATATGTTTGTATATTTATATATACATACCTATGTACATATATATGCACACATATGTATATACACACAGATATACACACAGAGTGAGATGGAGAGAGAAGAAAGGGAGAAAATACATAAATAGAGCAGCCAGATCCAATCTTAGTGTTTAAAGCACAGATAGAGTGACCAACTGTCCTGATTTGCCCAGAACTGAGAGGTTTCCTGGGACACTGGACTTTCATTGCTACCGAGAAAGTCCAGGCTGAAGCAGAATGAACTGATTACCCTAAATGCAGATACATTTTTGTCCTTTCCTTTAGGGAACAATATATTTTATGTTTTCTAAAAGAAAAATGCAACCATTTAAAATTTATTACAAGTTCTTCAGGTACCTCATTCTGTGTTGGGGGCAATGCCAGACACATTTCAGAAGCTGTTCTTAGCAACAGCACACATCCTGGAAATGCTTCAGATAAGTGATGGAAGTGTAGTATCCTCCACCAATGAAATAGAAACCTCTTGACTTTTGAAGGTAGATTCTTGAAGAAACAGTATTTCTGCAGTTCGCAGCAGCCACATGTCAGTTAAAAAAGACTTTATCTCCTTTAGTTATGTATGATTAGACCAATCTCAGAAATTTGAATGGGAAAAGCAATGAAATTTAAAACCACAAAGCTGGAGTTGGGCACAGTAGTGAGTGCCTGTAATCCCAGCACTTTGGGAGGCTGAGGCAGGAGGATCACTTGAGCCCAGGAGTTCGAGACCAGTCAGGGCAACATAGCGAGACTCCGTCTCTAAAATTAATTAATTAATTAAAACCACACAGCTAAAATTGGGCTACTTGGAAGCTTCAAGTTGCAATTTCTTCTTGAAGATCCCTCTTGTGGGAGTGACTCTGGCATGGACTCTGCAGGCAAATGTTGGAGGCACATGTGGGAGCAGGCACCACACTGCAGCCGTCCATCGCTACATGCCAATGTTGGCAGGTGCCTTGAGAGAGATGTTTTACGTTTTTTTTTTAACTAGTTCATGTAGTCTAAAACACACTAATGTTTATTATACTGACCTAAAGACTCTGCAGTTGACTTCATATTGTACTTTCTTATCTTTAACAACATCGAATAGAAATGAACTGCTGATTTTCACACAAAGAAAATGAAACACTATTTGGCTCAGAATGCTATTATGGAGTAAAATACATATTAATCATATTAATAAATCAAGTAGACTACTTGGTTTCAGTTTTTAAAAAACAGTGATACAAACAAAACCGACTATTTTGTATGTGATGTGGAACATTTATTTGTGCAATGACTCCTTCACAGTGCCTAACAGATATTAACCTAGAGGCTGTTAGCCTTGATGAGCTTAATTGTGATCTTAATAAATAATGAAGTAAAAATACCACCCTGAGTACCAATTAACACCTTGTCATTGAGGGCTTTATAATAATTTCCCAATTTATTGAGTTGATGTGAATAACTTGTGGAATCATTAACACTATTCTCTGACATTTAGATAAAAGTCAATTGTGGGTTTGGTTTTTATGTCGACAAAATTAATATGTTTTATTTAGAATGCTGTGGAGTGCACTAAATATTATGAAATATTTTAGACCCATCACCCTGCCTCAAGTTAAAGTAAAAGACATTTTTGATAAATGAGTTGGACTATTTAAATGTGAAGTATGAGAAATTGCTTAGCCAAGAACGTCATAAGGCTCAAAGGTTACTAAGCTGACATGGATAACATGGAACATCTGGTAGTGATTAGAGACGTCTGATATTTCCAGTTCTTCCTCTTCCGTGCACAGGGCAGGGTTGTACTTCCAGGCCATCTTGAAAACCGACAACCTGTGTGATCCACTTTGGGCAATAAAATGTAAGCAGAAGTGGCATATGTCCTTCCAGGCAGATACATTTAAGAGCTAGGACAAGAGTCTCCATGTCTCTTTCACCTGCCAGTGACCAGGAGTGGTCCAGTGATAAAGACTCCAGCAGCCCAAATAAGGAGAAAGTAGACTGGTGAGAAAACTCTTGAAATCTGGATAAGAGGCAGCCCACATTATGCTGTGTCAAACCGTACCACACTGTTCCAGGCATTACAGTCAAAACCAGGAGCCCTGAGAAGAGCTTGGCCTGGACAACCAGACCCCTGGGTGCTCTGTTTCACCTCTAGCATATCAATTCCCTAATCTCATCCTCAGCTGCTCCATCAATAAAGTTGAGATGATAATCTGTATATTTAGGAAATGAGGGGATTCAACAGACAAATTCCATTTTCACCCCTAGTCCTTAAATGTGTGTCTTGGACCACATCACCATGGCCACCAGCAAAGACAGAGCGGGGGAAGACAGTAACCAGAATCTACACTACCAAGCAAGCCAGTGACCCAGCATTATGCAATATTTGCCCAAATAACCAGCAGGGCAGGCCAGGAGACTTCTACGCACATCCCGATAGCACCCCGAAAGCCCCAGGGGCAACTGGACAGTTCACTGTCATCAAGACAATTTCTTAGTTCTCATAATAAAACAGTTCTGCCCACCTCTCCTCCTTACACCTAGCCACATACCCAAACCTCATTCAAGAGTTTATCCTAAAATTCCAATTGATTCCAGGGAGTTACAAAGGACAAGAATAGACATCCCTGTACAGTTTATTGGGGTTCAGAAGTTCCCCTGTGCCAAGCAAATATTAGGCATTGAGTGGGGACTGGTGATACAAAAGCTTGAAATAGTAAATTCCGTGTTCCCAAGTCTGAATGGAATCTGTTCATGCTCCTTTGTTGAGACATGTTAAGTAACCCTCCTTGAAATTATTCATCTGTTTTCCAGCTGGGCCCAGGATTGCTTATCCTTGCAACATGAACTTACAGAGACAAAAAAATAAAGATTCTGGAGCCTCCATTACAATGAAGACTCTACCAGGTACCAGGGACCAAACGAGATAGTCCACTGTGTAACAGGGCATGGTGACCCCGTCGCTGAATTCTGGTTTTGATTCTTTACTAAATTGTCAAAGTGACTTTGGGGAAATCATTTTCCCACTCTGTGCCTCAGTTTATACATCTGTAAATGAGGCATTTGAACTAGATTAATGACTCCCAAAATGGCTTTGGTTAAAAATTACCTGGTCACCTAGACCACTTCAGAAATAGAGAATTCGGGGTTTCATCTCTGAAGATTCTGACTCTGTATTTTGGTGTAGGTTAAGGCATCTCTTCTGCATTATTAATAATTGCCCCAGGCATCTGGATATTCCAGGAGGCAGGTCTGAAAAGACCAGTGCACTGGAGAGTCTCTGAGGTTTCTAGACACCTCACTGTAGGTTTTCTGCATGGTTCTTGCCCTCTAATTGGAATTCCATGATGGCTTCTGTTCTGACATTCCCACTTGCCAGTGCTAGCTTGTCATGAAGTAGCCGCACAACCTACAATAAATCATTTCACTTCTGTTGTTGTTTCATTTGTAAAGGGAAATACTTGAATAAATTAAATGCAACTGCCTCTTTCAACTCATTCTATAATATTGTGATCATTAAGGACAGTTGGAGCAGAGCTGAAAAATGAAAGCAGAAATTCTGCTTCCCAGGATGCTCTCCCACCTAATTTCACTCCTTGAGAACCAGGTAAGAATCTAGAAGGTCTGGTTCCATAGCAAGGTATATATTTCCTGCCCTTCATTCACAGACCGTTGTTTCTGATCTCAGGCTCTGCTCCATTAGCCACTGAGCCACAGACATATTTGTTCTATATGTCCTATTTCACATAGTTGTGAAGTCCACCTTAGGAAACTGCTCATGAGGAAGCCACCGAAGAGAAAAGAAACAGGAAAGGCAGAAGGACCACTTCTCTGAACAACACAGCCAGGCCACTGGACAGAACAGCTGCTGAATTTGCATGCCCTAAGTTTCGTTTTAACTTTTTACATAAGGATTTCTCAAATTCAGTTTAAAAACAAGAGAGGGAAATTGCGTAATGAAAGCGGCTTGCCAACTGAGATTCCTAAACTCCCTGCAGAATTAGAATTCTGATGCCCCTTGGCATCTGTTAGCACTGGGATCTGACTTCCATTCCCTCTGAGTTCCCAGAGCCATCTAGTATTTTGGTTCATGGCAGGATCCCAGGATCTCACTTTGCTCCCGTTCCTGGGAGACACTTTTTTTTCCTTCATCCACAGCACAAATATTCCCCAAGGTCCATCCCTATAACACATCTATATCCACTTATCTTCTGGACACTACACCCACCTTACTTAACTATTGATTACAGTTAGTTTATTGATCACCTACCATATGCTACTCACTCTTCAAAGCAAGTTTTGGGTATCAGATAATATTCATAAAATGCATAAAAATAAATATCAATTTCCGCACAAGAAAATTAAAGAATAGGTAGGAAATTGGAATATAAAGAAGTTAAATAACCTAAGCCTTCTCTGACAAATATATTAACCAGTGTTCCCAGTATCCAAATGAAGACTTTTAACCATCATGCTATTCTGCCTGTCTATTTTAGGACTGACAGCCAGGAACACTTCTCTGACATTTCCTAGCATCTGAGCCTCTCTGCTCTTTGATTTGATTATTTGCAGACAATCACAGGTGAATCAAGTTAGAGAAGAGCTTAAGTACTATTTAATTCTGGAATAGGTTACATAGATGGTACCACTCCTTATTACTGTACTAATAGCAGACATCACTAATCAATCACAGCATTATATTCACGGTAATGCCTCATTGTTTTAGTTTTACAACAAAACTTTCTAGTCATCTATCACCAATTCATAAAGTTGGCACATGATCAAAAACTACTTGTCATCCCAAAACCTGTCAAAACCCCATACTTCATAGATGAGGATAGTGAATCTCAAAGTCAATAAGACTTGCCCAAGGCCACTTTGGGCAGGTTATTGGTGAAATCAAGACTAGACTCAAGTTCCTTGACACTTAATTCCCTTCATTTTTACTAGCCTTTTTTGATTCCCAATAATTATAATTTTCATGACTATTTCTGTTGTCTGTGCATGGATGCACTTTTCGTTTGAAGTCAGCTCAGAGGAAAATTAACAAAGTCCTCAGGGTATTACATAAGACAATGGCTTTATTGCTGCTTGGAAAATACACACAAACTCCACCCCTAAACCAATACCCCCACCCCATGCACACACTCAGATTGATGCTACACAGTACACCTGGCAGAGAACCATCCCCTAAAATGATTAAAAAGCTGCCATCCTGAAACAACTCAATTTCCTTTCTGATTAAAGGAAATCCAAATGACACACATGTTCCATATACTGCAAATTCTTTACTGTTAAAAGTTCACATAGTAATTGTAATAAATGAAAAATGCATGAGGTAAATGTTTAAAAATCTCTTCTGAATCAAAACAGTAAAAACCCACCTGATTTAAGAACAGGAGCATATTAACCACAAGAAAAAAATAAAGCAACTAACATACATATTCAAAAGCAAATAAAGTAAAATGTAAGCAAAATAATGGTGAGCCTTTTGCTTCGATTTACTTTATTTCGAAGTATAATTCAATATACTGTCCAGTAAAGTGCAGGCATTTTAAATGTAGAGTTTCATGAATTTTACATGTGTAGTTAACCATTTAACTACCTCTCTGATCAAAATCAGAGAGGGAAGCTTCCAAAAGTTTCCCTCATGATGTCCATACCTGCAAAGGAACCACTGTTCTAACCTCTATCACTGTACGTTTCTTTTGTCTTTTAACAAGAAAAATATCTTCTTCTTAGCAACTATAAAATGTTTTTAAGAATAATACACTCACATTTAAGTGAAGGGGCAAATTTTCCAGCAATGTGTTCATTTGATTAAAAGTCTTAATAATATCCACATATTTTGATTTATTAATTCTTTGGCTAGAAAATTAAACGAAGACATTAATAATAATGTTATATCAGCTTTTCCACAAGTATTGTGTAAAACCATAAAAATGGAAATGGTATGATTCCCAACTATGGAGAAGTAAATTCTTAAGTTAATTATGGTGCACTGATATATATGAACTCCTATAGAGCTTTTAAAGTTCAAGATTATTGGGGAATATTTACTGTCTTGTGAGAAATCTAAACACACTAATTGAAAAGGCAGTATTCAATCTTGGATTTGGTGGTGAAATTTTAGATATACACCCTATAGTTCAACAATACATTGCCAATTACTAACCGATGTTATTTCTATAAAACAATGAGAATTCCTGAGGAACAAATTTTGTAATTGCCCCCTCTCCTCCCTTCCTAATTCATTCTGAGTCCAGAATGACCCTAACATCAAAACCAGATAAAGACATTACAACAAAAGAAAACTATAAACCAACAGAAATCTATAAACCAAACTCATGAACAAAATTCTCAACAAAATATCAGCAAATAAAATCCGACAACATATAAAAAGAATTATAAGCTACAACCAAGTGGAATTTATTCCAGGTATGCAAGGCTGATCCAGCGTTCAAAAATTGGTTGATATAACCCATCATATCAACTTTCTAAAGAAGGAAAATCTTATTATAATATCAATAGATGGAAAATTTTTTTTGACACAATTCAACAGCCATTCATGATTTAAAAAAAAAAACTCTCAGCAAACTAGGAATAGAGGGATACTTCCTCAGCTTTATAGAGTGCATTAAAAAAGACCTACAGCAAATATCATACTTAATGGTGAGAAACTAGATATTTTTCTCCTAAGATTGAGTATAAGGCAAGGATGTTTCTTCTCACCACTCCAATTCAACATAATACTGGAAGGCCTAGCCAACACAACAGCACAAGACAAGAAAATAAAAATATATACAGATTAGAAAGAATAAATAAAACTGAATTTATTTGCAGAAGACATGATTGTCTGTGTAGAAAATTACAGAGAATCAGCAACAAAAAAAAGTCATGCCACTAATAAGCAATTTTAGCTACAGGATACAAGGCTAATAGATAAAATTCAATAACTTCCTGTATATCAGCAATGAGCAACTAGAATTTGAAATTAATACACAATACTATTTACATTAACACCAATAAAATGAAGTGTTTAGAAATTAGTCTAAGATGTACAATATATATGAGGGAAACTACAAACTTCTGATGAAAGATTAAAGACGATCTAAATAAATGAAGAGATATTCCACATGTATGGATAGGTGGAGTTAATGTTGTCAGCATGTCAGTTCTTCCCAACTTGATCTGTACCTTCAACACAATCCCAGTCCAAATCCCAGCAGGTTCTTTTTGGATGTGATAGACTGATTTTAATGTTTATATGGAAAGGTTAAAGATCTAGAATAGCTAACACAGTACTGAAAAAGAATAGTCAGAGGACTAACATTACCCAACTTCAAGATTTACTATTAGGAAACAGTAATCAAGACGGTGTGGTATTGGTGAAAGAATAGACAAATGGATCAATGGAACAGAATAGAGAGCCCTCAACAGATGAATGGATACATAAAATGTACTATATACATACAAGGGAATATTACTCAGCCTTAAGGATATGTAGCATATCATATGCTGCCACATAGATGAACCCTGAGATCCTTACGCTAAATGACATAAGCCAGTCACAAAAGAAAAATACTATATGATTTCACTCACATGAGGTAGTTAGAGCAGTCAAAATCAGAAACAGTAAGTAGAAATGGTGGTTGCCAGGGGCTTGGGGGAGGGGAAACTGGAGATCAATAGGTATAGAATTTCTGTTTACAGATGAAAAGAGTTATTGAGACTGTTGCACAACAGTGTGAATGTTCTTAATGCCACTAAACTATGCACTTAAAAATGGTTAAGATGGTATGTGCATTTTTACCACAATAAAAATAATAAATGAATAAAGAACAAAGGAAGTAATTAGCTATCAAACCACAACAAGGCACGGAGAAACCTTAAATGCATATTGCTTAGTGAAAGAAGCCAGTCTGAAAAGGCTGCCTACTATATGATTCCAACTATGCATATGATACTTGGGAAAAGACAAGCTCACAGAGATAGTAAAAAGATCAGTGGTAGCCAGAGATTTGTGGAGAGGAAAAAGGATGAATAGAAGAATACAGTGAATTCTTAGAGCAGGAAAACTTCTATATGATATTGTAATGATGGATAGATCAGGCCTGCAGGGGGAGTAGATGAGGTCAGTCTTTTGCAAACCTGGTTCCTTCTTGCCACGCCCCGCCCACAGCCCCACTGTGTGTGAACCAAGAGAGTTGGAAGGCCTTCTGCAGACGGACCCATTCCACCTGAATCTCCATGACATATTGGACTTCTCCATATAATTTCATTTGGAAAGAAACTTGAGCATCTAAATAAAATGTTTGGAAACCACCATGCTACAAGACCAGCATGTGCTGTCTAGTTCTTACCCTCTGCAACAGTAAGATTCTGGGGCATTAAGACTTAGTTCCAGGATTCTGTCATTCTGCCAACGTTCTGTGGCTGGGGTTCTAAAGGAGCTTGCCTGGCTTAGAACTGCAAGTGACTCTAGTGTGATGGAGAGCACCAGCAAAGCCTTAGGGCCCATCCCTGGCCTCCTGTTACCCACAGAGGGGTAGGCCCTTGGCTCTCTTCCACTATGACGTCAGCTTCCATTCTTCCTTTCTTATAGACAATTTTCCATTTCAAGGAAATCAGAGCCCTTAATAGTTCAGTGAGGTCACTTTGCTGAGCACAATCCCATACCCTTCAGCCTCTGCTCCACAGAGCCTAAGCAAAAGATAGAAACTCACAACTTCCTTGTTTTGTTATCTGGAAATTATCCCAGGATCTGGTGCTTACTCAGCATATTCAAGGAAGGTCTTACTTCATTCTTCCTTGATTGTGACCATGCCCAGGCTCTCTGCTCCCTATAAAAGGCAGGCAGAGCCACCGAGGAGCAGAGAGGTTGAGAACAACCCAGAAACCTTCACCTCTCATGCTGAAGCTCACACCCTTGCCCTCCAAGATGAAGGTTTCTGCAGCGCTTCTGTGCCTGCTGCTCATGGCAGCCACTTTCAGCCCTCAGGGACTTGCTCAGCCAGGTAAGACCTCTCCCTTTTTAAGGGGAGACCAAAAGAGGAATTAAGAAGAGCCATTATGTCACAGCTCATTAGGAACAAAACCAGAACTAAAGGCTCAGGTCACTGAGGCTGGTTCCCTTGATCTTTCCTGACCCCAGTTTTGGGAGGAGACAGTGGAGCCGCTACAGCAACAACCCTCCCATTGTTTGGGGAAATAATCCAGAACGAAGAACTGTTTCTCACTGTGGGTGTAAAGGACATTTCAGGCCGTAGTGGAGAGGGAGAAACTATTGCCTGAAGCTTCAAATTTTGGTTATGGTTCAGTGTACCTTCCAGAACAGTGGCTGTGTAAAGAGGATGAGGACCCAGAGGAATCTCAGCGTATGGCATAGGCTAACTCTAAAGCCCATGAGGATGAAAGACTGGGAAGCAAGGTATTGGAACTTATGTTCCCAGTGTCAGAAGTTTTGGGTTAGTAGACAAGGACTAGCTTGTTACTCAAAATGTTTCCAAACCCAGTCAACAATGACGGGCCGCAGAGTTCAATAGAGGAAAGAGACTCACAGGCAACATTTTATCTCTGGGATCTGGACTAAGACACTGAACTTGGGATGGTGACTTCTTGGTCTTCTCCTTCCTTCTCTTCTTTTCCTTACAAATGCACACTTACGGTGGGTCCTAAATGTCTCATTCTTTGCAAAATTTCTTTCAGATTCAGTTTCCATTCCAATCACCTGCTGCTTTAACGTGATCAATAGGAAAATTCCTATCCAGAGGCTGGAGAGCTACACAAGAATCACCAACATCCAATGTCCCAAGGAAGCTGTGATGTGAGTGGACAGTGCCTGGCACCCCCATTCAAAAGTTCTGATGGACAACATAGAGAAGTCAAGATTCATGTCCATATGAGTCGGATGCATATAACTTCTATCCAAAGGGCCCCTCTACCCCATAGAGAAACTCAGTCCATGAGAAGGAGTCCATAACTGCTCTAGGATTCCCTTCTAGGGGCTTGGTGAAACTAACCCAATATCTGTAGCCAGGACCCTGGAGGGTTTCACCTGGACAGCAAGAGCAGAGCTTCCTTCTGGAGCTTCTTCCTCCCACTCTTCCCCTCCCTCCTCTCCCGGGTCCGGGTCCTTCACCTAAGGACCAAGGGCTGATCAGTTCTAGGGACCAATGGCCCACAGTCCTGTGCAGGATCTTCAAAGTCTTCCATCTAATTGTGCCCTCTCTCCCCCACAGCTTCAAGACCAAACGGGGCAAGGAGGTCTGTGCTGACCCCAAGGAGAGATGGGTCAGGGATTCCATGAAGCATCTGGACCAAATATTTCAAAATCTGAAGCCATGAGCCTTCATACATGGACTGAGAGTCAGAGCTTGAAGAAAAGCTTATTTATTTTCCCCAACCTCCCCCAGGTGCAGTGTGACATTATTTTATTATAACATCCACAAAGAGATTATTTTTAAATAATTTAAAGCATAATATTTCTTAAAAAGTATTTAATTATATTTAAGTTGTTGATGTTTTAACTCTATCTGTCATACATCCTAGTGAATGTAAAATGCAAAATCCTGGTGATGTGTTTTTTGTTTTTGTTTTCCTGTGAGCTCAACTAAGTTCACGGCAAAATGTCATTGTTCTCCCTCCTACCTGTCTGTAGTGTTGTGGGGTCCTCCCATGGATCATCAAGGTGAAACACTTTGGTATTCTTTGGCAATCAGTGCTCCTGTAAGTCAAATGTGTGCTTTGTACTGCTGTTGTTGAAATTGATGTTACTGTATATAACTATGGAATTTTGAAAAAAAATTTCAAAAAGAAAAAAATATATATAATTTAAAACTACTTAGTCTTATTCTTCTTGGGGTAACATTTAGCTGGGAGTGAGTTTTGGGCATCATGGGTGACAGTTTGGGCATGGACGGGCCATTTTTCAAGAATGTCTTCTGGCTACGCTGGACTCAACCAAGGTTCTCAGAGAACTTGGTGGGACCAGGCCAGGATGTTCCAGCTCTCTGACTCTAGTCCCTAACTTCAGCAGCCCTGATTCGCTAGCCTCTCTTGTTTCTCTTGTTTATATATTATCCAGCCTAAGGTATTTTGTTATAGCTGCCCAAAAAGACTAAGATAATCTCCATCACTCTACCCCCAACCCCAATCCCAAGAACTTGCAAGCATCCATTTAAAGGCGTGGAACCTCTTCTTTTTGACAGCCTTTTAAGGTCAAGATTCCCCTGTACTTAGTGAGCTTAGCTGAATCTTCTTACAAACATGTGACCCGCCATATTGAGCCATACATACCAGAGCTTATTATTTTTCCAGCTTATTGGGAAAACACGTCTAAGGCAAACAAATTTATTGTACTGTTGAACCAACTCTGCAGGGCCTACTGTTAATGTTCATGTAAAGGTGCCACAATTCCAGTATATTTGGAAGTATAGAGAGGAAAGAGATTTGGGTTCTGCTCCTAAGAGTAACCTTAACTCTCTTGGTCACTTAGGGTGACATAATTTTTCCCTTCAGCATTAAGATGCCCCATCCAAAAATCAGGATCATACTGTGTCACAGGCAGGAAGTGAGAGGATCTAGCAGATGACTACACAAGTCCCTCCAGCTCTAGAGCCATGTCTCTTAGAAACAAGGTCATGTTTGTTGTCTGGGGTAGAGTGGGGACATAAAGTTCCTGGGATTAAAGCCATAAAGGCAGCCAGGGCCTAGCTTATTGGAAAAACACATCTAAGTCAGATACCCCTTATTTGGAGACAAGCTTTCCATTAAAGTTCAAAGTAGTACACCCACAGTTCCAAGAGCAATAAAGCAGCTAAGTGTCAGATGGACTAGAGGGGCACCTCCCAGGCAGGGTCCACAAAAAAGCTCCATCAAACTCTAAGCTCTTTCTTCAATAGCTTCAAGGTCAATTGGGCACAGATATGTGGGTCCTGGGCTTCATGAAATCCTGGACCACAAATCCCAAATTCTAAAGGCAAGAACACTCACACAAAACTGACACCAGGCCACAGCAAAAAGACACAAATTTGTTCTTCTCAAATTTTACCCAGCTTCACTTTGGGATTATGTCATTATATTTCAAATGACAATGAGCATAATACACCTTAAGTAACATGTCATCTTATTTAAGTGGTTGATGTTTTATGTGCCCTGACTTGAATATATGTGTTTTAAAAATCCACATCCTTCCATAAACTGGTTCAGATCTGTAAGCCCTGCTTTGCTGTCTTGTAAACTGGGGGAAAGACCTGGAAAGGTCACTCAAAGCTGACATACAACCTCAGGCTCACCTCAGTTTCACCCTCAGCTAAGGCTGACCATTTGTGGCAGTCCATGACTCACTTGATTCACTCAATATCTGCTTTCTGCCTCTTCTCACTTCTCACTTGCTGCCCCCAGGCTTCTCCTGGGTGTCATCTTGGGTCAGGAGTTGACTCCACTGCACACTTGTCCAAGTTTCAGAAGTGTGGAAGAGTGAACATTTTGGGTGGTAACCGTCCACAGTGAAGGGTGAAGGCAGATGTTCAAATGCTTCTGCCATCCCTTTTACCAGTTCTGCTCTGATCTTGGTTATTTCTTTTCTTCTGCTGGGGTTGGATTTGGTTTGTTCTTGTTTCTCTAGTTCCTTAAGGTGTGACATTAGATTGTCTATTAATGCTCTTTCAGACTTTTTCTTTTAAATATAGGCATTTAATGCTATGAGCTTTCCTCTTAGTACCGTTTTTGCTGTATCCCAAAGGTTTTGATAGGTTGTGTCATTATCATTGTTCCGTTCAAAGATTTAAAAAATTTTCATCTTGATTTCATTGTTGACCCAACAATCATTCAGGAATACATTATTTAATTTCCATATATTTGCATGGTTTTGAGGTTTCCTTTTGGAGTTGATTTCCAATTTTATTCCACTTTGGTCTGAGAGAGTACTTGATATAATTTCAATTTTCTTAAATTTGTTGAGACTTGTTTTGTGGCCTATCATAATGTCTATCTTGGAGAATGTTCCATGTGCTGATGAATAGAATGTATACTCTGCAGTTGTTGGGTAGAATGGTCTGTAAATATCCCTTAAGTCCATTTGCTCTAGGGTATAGTTTAAGTCCATTGTTTCTTTGTTGACTTTCTGTCTTGATGACCTGTCTAGTGCTGCCATTGGAGTATTGAAGTCCCCCACTATTATTGTGTTGCTATCTCATTTCTTAGGTCTAGTAGTAATTGTTTTATAGATTTGGGAGCTCCAGTGTTAGGTGCATATATATTTAGGACTGATATTTTCCTGTTGGACTAGTCCTTTTATCATTATATAATGTCTCTTTTTGTCTTTTTTAATTGCTGTTCCTTCAAAATTTGTTTTGTCTGATATAAAAATAGCTACTCCTGCTCATTTTTGGTGTCCATTTGTATGGAATATCTTCTTCCACCCCTCTATCTTAAGCTCATGTGAGTCCTAATGTGTCAGGTGAGTCCCCTGAAAACAGCAGATACTTGGTGAATTCTTATCCATTCTGCCATTCTGTATTTTTGAAGTGGAGCATTTAGGCTATTTACATTCAATGTTAGTATTGAGATGTGAGGTACTACTCTATTCATAATACCATTTGTTGCCTGAATACCTTTTTTTCATTGTGTTATTGTTTTCTAAGTCCTGTGAGATTTATGCTTTCAGGAGATTCTAGTTTGGTGTATTTTGTGGATTTGTTTCAAGATTTAGAGCTCCTTTTAGCAGTTCTTGTAGTGCCGGCTCGGCGGTGGCAAATTCTCTCTGCATTTGTTTGTCTGGAAAAGACTATCTTGCCTTCATTTATGAAGCTTAGTTTTGCTGGATACAAAATTCTTGGCTGATAATTGTTTTGTTTAAGGGGGCTAAATATAGAACCCCAATTCCTTCTAGCTTGTAGGGTTCCTGCTAAGAAATCTGCTGTTAATCTGATAGGTTTTCTTTTATAGGTTACCTGGTACTTTTGCCTCACAGCTCTTAAGAGTCTTTCCTTCCTCTTGACTTTAGATAATCTGATGACTACTTGCCAAGGTGATGGTCTTTTTACAATGAATTTCCCAGGTGTTCTTTGAGCTTCTTTTATTTGGATGTCTGAATCTCTAGCAAGTCTGAGGAAGTTTTCCTCAAATATGTTTTCTAAACATATTTGGGGAACATATTTCTAAACATTCCCTCAAATATGTTTTCTAAACTTTTAGATTTCTCTTCTTCCTTGGGAACACCAATAATTCTTAGATTTGGTCGTTTAACATAATCTCAAGCTTCTTAGAGGCTATATTCATTTTTTAAATTCTTTTTTCTTCACCTTTGTTGGATTGGTTTAATTCAAAAGCCTTGTCTTCAAGCTCTGAAGTTCTTTCTTCTGCTTGTTTGATTCTACTGCTGAGACTTTCCAGCACATTTTGCATTTCTCTAACTGTGTCCTTCATTTCCAGAAGTTGTGATTGTGATTTATTTATGCTATCTATTTCACTGGAGATTTTTCCATTCATATGCTGTATCTTTTTTTTTATTTCTTTAAGTAGGACTTCACCTTTCTCTGGTGCCTCCTTGATTAGCTTAATAATTGACCTTATGAATTCTTTTTCTGGCAATTCAGAGATTTCATCTTGGTTTGGATCCATTGCTGGTGAGCTAGTGTGATCTTTTGGGGGTGTTGAAGAGCCTTGTTTTGTCATATTACCAGAACTGTTTTTCTGGTTCCTTCTCATTTGGGTAGGCTGTGTCAGAGGGAAGATACAGGACTCAAGGACTGCTGTTCAGATTATTTTGTCCCACGGAGTGTTCCCTTGATTTGGTGCTCTTTCCTCTCCCCAAGGATGAGGCTTCCTGACAGCCAAACTGTAGTGCTTGTTATTTCTCTTCTGTATCTAGCCACCCAGCAGAGCTACTGGGCTCTGGGCTGGTACTGGAGGGTGTCTGCAAAGAGTCCTGTGATGTGATCTGTCTTCAGGTCTCTCAGCCATGGATACCAGTACCTGCTCCAGTGGAGGTAGCATGGGAGTGAAGTGGACTCTGTGAGTGTTCTTGGTTGTATTTTTGTTAAGTGCCTAATTCATTGTTTTATACAGTTAATATTTCTTTCCCTTCTCTTTGGTCAATACCTGGATCTCAAAAGGCAAGCTCACTAGAGTCAGGGCCAGGAACTCAGTTGGGTACTTGGTTGGTGTGTTCTCCAGGGTTGGGGATAAGACTAGGACTGGGGACTTACCCAGCATGATCTTTGGAGCCAGGACTGGGGCTGACATTGCAGACTCAGTCGACGTGCTTGGTAGGTTTGGGTTCAAGAGGACAGCCCACAAATCAGGAGCAACAGGGCTGGGGCCAAGTTAGCCACATAACTAGGAGTATGAAGACACAAAAATGGATTGAGCAAATAATGGAAATGGAAATGTATCAAAGATAATGGAAGTCAAGTCACTCAATGTTGAAGAAGCTTCTATAAAAAATACAGAAAGTTGGAGGGAAAAAAAATAAAGCAAAACAACAACAACAACAAAAAACTCTGGGATGTTGGCCTGGAATTGGAGGTGAACTCACTGTTCATTAACTTATTAGAGGTAAACTCATGGTTTTAAATATAGATAGGTAGATGGAAGGAAGGAAAGAAGAAAGGAAGGAAGGAAGAAAGGAAATGGTGATTAGTGGGAACACATAAACATAGGTATACTAGTTATGTTTACTGAGAAAGCCTAGAAAGAATGACACATGGGGTGGTAATGTGCGCTTCAGTGCCCAGTTTATAAATACTATCCTCCACTATAGAAACAAGAGCTCCTGGGATAAGTGGCTGACTCCAGAATTAGAATATTCTATCGTGTCAAAGAGAAAGGGATTACTCAAAGAAAGATGGAGACGTGTCAAAAACATTTAAAAACCAATCTGGGCTGGGTACAGTGGCTCATGGCCAGGCTTGGTGGCTCATGTCTGTAATCCCAGCAACTTAGAAGGCCAAGGCGGGAGGATCACTTGAGGCCAGGGGTTCAAGACCAGCCTGGCCAACATGGTGAAACCCCATCTGTACTAAAAAACTACAAAAAGTAGATGGGTATGGTGGTGCATGCATGTAGTCCCAGCTATTGAGGAGGCTAAGGCAGGAGTATCGCTTGAACCCGGGAGGCAGAGGCTATAGTGAGCCGAGATCGTGCCACTTCACTCCAGCCTGGGTGACAGAGTAAGACTCCGACTCAAAAAAAAAAAAAAAAAAGAGCCAACCTGAAGAGTCTCACACTGGCCAATTTGGGACAATTTGATAACCAAAATAAATACATTTTTTATTACAAAATAATTTATTTTAGCCCATTGAATAAAATCAAAGAAGATAAAGTTTTATCGTAGAATAAAATGCTAACCAATGCATATAGATGGAATGGTGAAGTTAGAAAATCACCAACTTCTAACCATCAGAGTAAAAATTGATTCAGGCAAGAATCATCTATGGATACTAAAACTCATGGGTGAAAATTTAACTATTGACATAGCCTCAAAGTATCTCCCCACAACATAATTAATAACATGAATTAATAAGTACAAAACACTTATTAATTAACATATATAATTAAGAGAAGAGAAGAGACTTGACAACATTTTAACCAAGTAATAAAAGCTAACATCACCAGTAATGGGGCAAATCAGCCTGAATATCTCCTGATAATGGTGCACTGAGAAGGACACAGCATTACTTCAATTACTTTCCTGCTAAAAATACATCAACTGAATCTAATCAGGAGAAAATATCAGGCAAATCAAATTGAGGGAGATTCTGCTAAGTAACTGATCTTACTGTCAAGGTCACAAAATATAAGGAAAGACTGAGCAACTATTTCATATTGATGGAAACTAAAGAGACATGACAGCTAAATGCAACATGATCTTGGATTGGACCATGAACCTGTAAAGGATATGATTAGGACAATGAAAAAAGCCTTAATGAAATATTTGGATCAGATGGTGACATTAAACTGATGTTAATTTCCTGATTTCATATTTTTAATGCCGTTGTTCTGTAGCAGAGTATCTTTGTTTTTAGGAAATATACTGAACTATTAAGGTATAATTAGGCATTCTGTCTACAGTCTAATCTCAAACGGTTCAAGACACAAAACACTCCCTTTAAAGATAGAGAGATAGATCATTCTATATCACATATTTATGTGTGTGTATGTTTGTAAGTGTGTGTGCGTGTGTGTGGGGGGGGGCGTGTAACACCAGATGCTCCACATCTGGTATTGCAACACTTGGTATTGTTGTTCTTTTAAAAAAGCTGGCCGTGCAGCCATAAAAAAGGATGAGTTCATGTCCTTTGCAGAGACATGGATGAAGCTGGAAACTATCATTCTCAGCAAACTAACACAGGAACAGAAAACCAAACTCTGCATGTTCTCACTCATAAGTGGGAGCTGAACAATGAGTACACATGGACACAGCGAGGGGAACATCACACACCAGGGCCTGTTGGTGGGTGGTGGGCTAGGGGAGGGATAGCATTAGGAGAAATACCTAATGTAGATGACGGGTTGATGGGTGCAGCAAACCACCATGGCACATGTATACCTATGTAACAAACCTGCATGTTCTGCACATGTATCCTAGAACTTAAGGTATATTTTTAAAAAAGCTAGCCATTATTATTATGTGCATGGTTCCATCTCATACGGTTTCAAATTGCATTTCACTCATGAATAATGAGGTTGAGCACCTGTTCAAATGTTTGGTGGCTATCCTGTTTTATAAAGTTCAAGGCCATGTCTTTTGTCATTTTTATTTGGGATTGTCTGTCTTTTCATTATGAATTAGAAGTATTTTCGACATTCCAGATTGGAACCCTTTGTCAGGCATAAGAATTGAAATATCTTCTCATAATCTGTGATTTGACTGTGTACTCCCTTAAAGATGCTTTTTGATTAAAAAAAACAAGTTCACAATTTTAATATAGTCCATTTATCATGTTCCTTCATGGTTTATACTTTTGTTTTCTGTTTAAGAAAACTTTTTAAAACCTAATGTCATTAAGGTATTCTCTTATGATATTTTCTAGAAACTTCATTTCTTTTTCTGTTCACATTTAGAGCTACAATCTACCTGGAATTAATTTTTGTGTATGCTGAAAGATAGGAAAGATAGGAATCAAGATTATATTTTTTCCTATAAATATCTGATTCCTATAAATATCTTTACTAACTAATCAAAGCACACGAGTTATTTAAAAGACTATTTTTCCTAACTTCTTTAGAATGCAAACTTTGTTATAAATCTGATGTCCATATACGTATGATTCCACTTCTGTACCCTCTAATCTGTTCCCTTGGTATATTTTCTATTCTTGGAGTAATGGCACATGTTTTAATGACTACAACTTTATAATAAGTGTTAATATCTGGTAGTATAAGTTCTACATCTTTGTTCTTTATGATTGTCTTGATGATTTTTGGCTTTGTATTTCTCCTTATATAAAGTTTAGAATAAGCTTATCAATTTCCATGAAATACTTGCTTGGATTTTAATTGAGATTACATTGCATTTGTGGGGGAATTGACAACTTGATTATTCAGAGTCTTCCAATTCGTGTGCATGCCATATCCCTCTGCTTATTCAAGTCTCTTGATTTCTCTTAGTAATGCTTAGTAGTTTCCGAGGTATTGCACGTGTCTTGTCAGATTTATTCTTAGGTATTAAGGTTTTTATAAACTATTGGAAATCGTGTCACTTATGAAATGTCATCTCTTAATGTTAGTTACATGTAAAAGTAAAATCAATTTTTGTATTATTAATGAGCAATTGTGCTAAATTCACTCAATTATTTATAGCTTATGTGTAGACTCAGATGTTTTTTATGAAACCCATGTTTCATGCCAAAATATGACAGCTTTATTCCATCCTTTACAATCATGATAATTTCATTTCAGATTCTTATATCTCATTTACTAGGACCTCCAGTGCAATGTTGAATAAAAGTGGACAGCTCTTGTCTCAGTCCTGCTCTCAAAGGGAAGTTTTCAATATTCTACTATGAAGCGTTATGCTTGCTGGAGGTATTTTGTATATGCTGTTTATCAAATTAAGGAAGTTTCCTGTATTTGTTAGTTTGCTTAGGGTTTTTTTTTTCTTTTAGCTTTGAAATGGCTTTGAAACTCAATAAATGATTTTTTAATTCAAATGATCATATGATTTTTCTACTTCATTTTATAATTGTGATAAAATACATTCATTGGTTTTTCCAATTTTAAAACAAGCTAATATTTTAAAAATCAAACCAACCTAGTTACAATGTATCATTTTTTCAGGTATTACTGGATTCCATTTGCTATTATTTAATTCAGGACTGTTACATCTATGCTCATGAAAGATACTGCCCTATAATTTTTCTTTCTTGAAAGTCCTTCTCAGGGTTTGGCCTCAACATTATAATGATTTTATCAAATAAACTGGACTGTGTTTCTTGTTTAATTATTGTCTGAATATATTTTTATAAGAATTCATGTTTTTGCTTCCTTTAGTACTTAGAAGTAAAGCATTCTGGAATTTACCTGTCAAAAGTTTTTAATTACAGATTCCACTAATTACTAGAATTGAAATATTAAAATGTTCTATCTTTCTTGGTTCTCTTTAATAAATTGTGTTTTTCTCACATTTTATCCATTTCATAAAATTTTAAAATATATCTATCTGAAGTTGTTCACTTTTTTTATTATTTTGTAACATCTGTAGTCTCTGTAATAATGTCTTCCTTTTGATCTCTGATGTTGCTAAATTGGAACTTTTCACTTTTGATTCCTTGGTCAGTCTTGCAAAGGGATTAACATTTTATTAATCTTTTCAAAGAGCAAACTTTTTGCATTGGCATTTTTCTTCATTGCATGTTTATTTTATGTTTTCATTAATTTCTGCTTTTATTTTTTTTGTTCCATTTTTTGGATTTGATTTTCTACCTTTTTTCTAATTCTTGAGAAAAATACCTAGATGACTGATTTTAAGTTTTTCTTTTTAATACATGCATTTAATTCTATGAATCTCTGTCTTTTTCATTGGGTAAAACCACTTTATTAACTGATCAAAGTACTTCATTTTGTTTCCTGATTCGAGGTTCAACCATTAAACACAGTTCACAAGAAAATACAATGATTACTTAACTAACTGCAATTACAAGAGTTAGAAATCTCCCTAGTTGTTCACATAATACTTGTACAAATTCACACAATCGTGTGGACCACTTAAGCTTAGTGTGAACCAAAAGAGCAAACCATAGTCATGGCTAGAGTTTTGTAATAACAGAAGAGTAATTGTTACCTTATGAATATACTTTAAAAATCACTTGGCTAGTAATTGTACTGTTTCCTCATTGCTCTGGGGTGTGTATGAAGGCTCTTAGGAGAGCAAACATCTATTTCTGTTCTGTATGCCTCTCTCTCATTTCAAACTGTGTAAAATAACTATTGCCCCACCATGAACATTGGGGATTGGAAAGATAGTCCTACAATCTTCTTCATAGGTTTTGGCTTTTAGGCAAGCCGGCTGGTTTTCTCCAAAGCTTTCTTTTGAATCTTCAGATACTATTTTAATCCTAAATGTAGATTACTGTGTTTGTGAGGGTATCTAAGTGACCATGTGATGGCAAGGACAACAAAGTAGTCCAGGAACACAGTAAGTGAGTGTGTGTGTGTTTGTGTGTGTGTGTGTTTCCAACTGAGCCCGGCTTTGAGATTTCATTTTGTTAGTTGACAGCTCTTTAATCAATACCAAAGACTCTGGAACACTGCAGATTTGCTATGGAGGTAGATAAAACAAATCAGGCAGTTAAGTCAATTGAGAAAAAAAGGGATTTTCCATCTTTAGATAATATCACGACTAACAGTTGATTCTTTATTCTTGGTGCACATTTAACATTTCTACCTATTTTGGGAAATATTCAAGTCTTCTTCTTTTTTTTTTTTTTTATTGTTCATTCTTGGGTGTTTCTCGCAGAGGGGGATTTGGCAGGGTCATAGGACACTAGTGGAGGGAAGGTCAGCAGATAAGGGTCTTCTTACCTGTCTCTCAGAACAAACACATTTAAATTCAGCTTGTATTAACTACAGATAAAAGAAAAAAACAGTATTAACATTTGTATGACAGCACTGCCGTTCACTTTCTGGATTTGTGACACACAAACATCATGCATTCTAAGACAGAAGTTAATTTTATCAGTGTCACTAGTGTTGTTAATTTTAAAAGATACAGCAAGTTCAAAGCTTTTCCAAAAATTGAAATCACCATGTTTTAAGACAGACTGGAATGTTACAAATGATTCTGTAAAATAATCATTTTTCTGTACATTCTCATCTTTTGGTTCTTCCTTATCTGAATCCACAGTGGGTACCTCCCATCCTTCAGCAGTTTATCCAGGTGAGAATACTTGAATGTGAACTGAGAGGCCCAGTCACTCAGGGTCTCCTCCTGGGCAGGAGGGAGGTCAGAAAGGTCATCATGCTTGTCCTGCAGTGCTCCCTTATCCAGGCAAAATGTGGCAGGGCCCCTGGATGTATCTCTTTCGGCAAAGATCCTGTGTGGCCCCCTGGCCCTTGGAACTTGCAACCTCTGGTCACGCTGAACACTTTGCCCTTGCTGGTGTGGCCATGAGAATGTGCAGGTCCTAAACCCCATTGAAGTGCTGCAGCTCGGCAAGGGAGAAGTTGTACCTGTTGCCACCACATCTTTGGCAGCAAAGTTTAGGCCAGGCTAGGCAGGGCTCTGGAGCTCCCTGCTTTCTCCTCCCTCTCAATGAGTGAGTTGCCGCTATGAATCTCTTTTTTTTTTTTGAGACGGAGTTTCACTCTGTTGCCCAGGCTGGAGTGCAATTGTGCGATCTCAGCTCACTGCAACCTCCACTTCCTGGCTTCAAGCGATTCTCCTGCCTCAGCCTCCCGAGTAGCTGGGATTACAGGCGGCCACCACCACGCCCGGCTATTTTTGTATTGTTAGTAGAAACAGGGTTTCACCACGTTGGCCAGGCTGGTCTCGAACTCCTGACCTCAGGTGATCCACCCGCCTTGGCCTCTCAAAGTGCTGGGATTACAAGCGTGAGTCACTGCAACCGGTCGCCACTATGAATCTCTTAAACACAGCTTTTAAAGCTCACACATTTTAATATGACACATTTTCATCATAATTTACCTCAAAATATATTCTCATTTCCATTGTGATTTCTTCTTTGATCTATGAGTTATTTAGACAAAATTGACTAAAGTTTTAAGCTTTGAGATATTATAAAAATAAATCATTTTATTGTTGGTGTTAATTTAATTCCATAATGGTTAAAGAACACATTCTATGTGTTCAAACCTTTTCTATTTTTGAGATTAGCTTTGTAGTCCAACATAGAGAGTCAGTTTGATAAATGTTCCACGTGTATTTGAAAAAATGTATATGCTGAAGTTGTTGGTTACAGACATGTCAACTAAGTAAATTTTGCTTGTAGTGTTTTTCTACTCTAATGACATTTTCAGAAAAAAAAATGAAAGCTGAATGAATTTGTTACTAGAATAACAATATTTCACTATGAGAAAATCTGAAGGGAAATGATTCCAGTGGAAACACAGATCTTCAGGAAGTAAACAACAGCACTGTAAATGATCAGGAGCAAGACAAGAAGCATCTCCTATTCCTTTTCAACATTGTTCTCAACGTCCTAGGCAGTGCAATAAGGTAAGATAAAAAGAAACAGAGACATAAGGATTAGAAAGAAAGAACTTAAAATGTCATATACAGGTAACATGATTATATACATAGGAAATACAAGGAGATCTACAAAAACTACTAGAATGAAGTGAATTTCTCAAGATCACAGGAATTAAGCTAATATACAAAAATCACTTGAATTTCTATATACTAATAAGAAATTAGAAATTAAAGTTTTAAAAATCCATCTATTGTATCATCAAAAATAGAATAAGAATAAGAATAAATTTAACAAAAGATGTGTAAGACCTCTATACTGAAAACTACCACACATACTCAAGGGAAAATGAAGAAGGACCTAAATAAATGAAGAGCTATATACCACATTTATGGAGCAGAAGGCTCGATAATGTTAAGCTGTCAATTTAGGATGGAGCTGGAGGCCATTATCTTTAGCAAGCTAACACAGAGACAGAAAACCAAATACTGCATGTTCTCACTTATAAGTGGAAGCTAAATGATGAGAAGACATGGTCACATGCAGGGAAACAACACACACTGGGGCCTTTCAGAGGGAGGATCTGAAAGATCCTACCCACACTGGGCGGAGGGAGAGGATCAGGAAAAATAACTAATGGGTACTAGGCTTAATGCCTGTGTGACAAAATAATCTGTACAACAAACTCCCATGACAGAAGTTTACCTATGTAACAAACCTGCACTTGTATCCCTGAACTTAAAAGTTTAAAAAAAGTCAATATAATCCCAATTAAGTCCCCATGGTCTTTTTTTTCTTAATTTTTTCCAACTGTTATTTTAGGTTCAAGGGGTACATGTGTAGATTTGTTACATGGGTAAATTGCATGTCGTGGATGTCTGGTGTACAGATTATTTTGTCACCCGAGTAATGAACATATTAATCAGTCGTTAATTCTTCAAATTTCACCTTCCTCCTACCCTTGACCCCCAAATAGTCCCTGGTGTCTATTGTTCCCTTCTTTGTGTTCATGTGTACTCAATGTTTTCCTCCCACTTATAAGAGAGAACAAGCAGTCTTTAGTTTTCTGTTTCTGTACCAATTTGCTTAAAATAATGACCTCCAGCTCCATCTATGTTGCCTCAAAGAATACGATTTTATACCTTTTAATGGCTGTATAGTACTCCGTGATGTATATGTACCAAATTTTCTTTTTAAAAAAATTTTATTTAACTTTAAGTTCTGGGATACATGTGTGGAATGTGCAGGTTTGTTACATAGGTTTACACGTGCCATGGTGGTTTGCTATGCCTATCAACCTGTCATCTAGGTTTGAATCCCTGCATGCATTAGGTATTTGTCCTAATGCTCCCCCTCCCCTTGTCCCCCACCCCTGATAGGCCCTGGTGTGAGATATCCCCTCCCTGTGTCCATGTGTTCTCATTGTTCAACTCCCACTTATGAGTGAGAACATTCAGTGTTTGGTTTTCTGTTTCTGTGTTAGTTTGCTAAGAATGATGGCTTCCACCTTCATCCATGTCCCTGCAAAAGACATGAACTCATTCTTTTTTTATGGCTGCATAGTACTCCATGGTGTATATGTGCCACAATTTCTTTATCCAGTCTATCATTGATGGGCATTTGGCTTGCTTCCAAATCTTGGCCATTTCAAATAGTGCTCCAATAAGCATACATGTGCATGTGTCTTAACAGTAGAATGATTTATAATCCTTTGGGTATATACACAGTAATGGAATTGCTGGATCAAATGGTATTTCTGGTTCTAAATCCTTGAGGAATTGCCACACTGTCTTCCACAATGGTGGAACTAATTTACACTCCCACCAACAGTGTAAAAGTGTTCCTATTTCTCCACATCCTTTCCAGCATCTGTTGCTTCCTGACTTTTTAATAATCACCCTTCTAACTGGTGTGAGATGGTATCTCATTGTGGTTTTGATTTGCATTTCTCTAATGACCAGAGGTGATGAGCTTTTTTTTTTTATGTGTTTGTTGACTGCATAAATGTCTTCTTTTGAAAAGCATCTGTTCATATCCTTAACCCACTTTTTGATGGGTTTTTTTTTTGTAAATTTGTTTAAGTTCCTTGTAGATTCTGGATATTAGACCTTTGTCAGATGGGTAGATTGCAAAATTTTTCTACCATTCTGTAGGCTGCCTGTTCACACTGATGATAGTTTCTTTTGCCGTGCAGAAGCTCTTTAGTTTGATTAGATCCCATGTGTCAATTTTGGCCTTTGTTGCAATTGCTTTTGGTGTATTAGTCTTTAAGTCTTTGCCTATGCCTATATCATGAATGGTATTGCCTAGGTTTTCTTCTAGGGTTTTTATGGTTTGGGGTTTTACATTTAAGTCTTTAAGCCATCTTGAGTTAATTTTTGTATAAGGTATAAGGAAGGGATCCAGTTTCAGTTTTATGCATATGGCTAGCCAGTTTTCCCAGCATCATTTATTAAACAGGGAATCCTTTCTCCACTGCCTGTTTTTGTCAGATTTGTTGAAGATTAGATGGTTGTAGATGTGCAGTGTTATTTCTGAGACCTCTGTTCTGTTCCATTGGTCTATATATCTGTTTTTTGTACCGGTACCATGCTGTTTTGGTTACTGTGGCCTTGTAGTGTAGTTTGAAGTCAGGTAGCATGATGCCTCCAGCTTTGTTCTTTTTGCTTAGGATTGTCTTGGCTATATGGGCTCTTTTTTGATTCCACATGAAATTTAAAGTAGTTTTTTCTAATTCTGTGAATAAAGTCAATGGTAATTTAATGGGAATAGCAAAGAATCTATAAATTACTTTGGGCAGTATGGCCATTTTCATGATATTGATTCTTCCTATCAGTGAGCATGGAATGTTTTCCCATTTGTTTGAATCCTCTCTTACTTCCTTGAGCAGTGGTTTGCAGTTCTTGAAAAGGTCCTTTATGTCCCTTGTAAGTTGTAACGTTGTATTGCTAGGTATTTTATTCTCTTTGTAGCAATTGTGAGTGGGAATCCACTCATGATTTGACTCCCTGCTTGCCTATTGTTGGTATATAGGAATGCTTGTGATTTTTGCCCATTGATTTTATGTCCTGAGACTGCTGAAGTTGCTTATCAGCTTAAGGAGTTTTTGAGCTGAGATAATGGGGTTTTCTAAGTATACAATCATGTTATCTGCAAACAGAGACAATTTTACTTGCTCTCTTTCTATTTTAATACTTTTTATTTCTCTCTCTTGCCTAATTGCCCTGGCCAGAACTTCCAATAAGATGTTGAGTAGGAGTGGTGAGAGAGAGAATGCTTGTCTTGTGCTGGTTTTCAAAGGGAATGCTTCCAGCTTTTGCCCATTCAGTATGACATTGGCTATGGGTTTGTCATAAATAGCTCTTATTATTTTGAGATATGTTCTATCAACGCCTAGTTTATTGAGAGTTTTTACCATGAAGGGATATTGAATTTTATTGAAGGCCTTTTCTGCATCTATTCAGATAATCATGTGGTTTTTGTTACTGGTTCTGTTTATGTGATGGATTACATTTATTGATTTGCATATGTTGAACCAGCCTTGCATCTCAGGGATGAAGCTGACTTGATCGTGGTGGATAAGCTTTTTGATGTGCTGCTGGATTTGGTTTGCCGGTATTTTATGGAGGATTTTCACGTTGACATTCATCAGGGATATTGCCCTTAAATTTTCTTCTTTTGGTGTGTCTTTGACGCATTTTGGTATAAGGATGATGCTGGCCTCATAAAATGAGTTAGGGAGGAATCCCCCTTTTTCTATTGTTTGGAATAGTTTCAGAAGGAATGTTACCAGCTCCTCCTTGTACATCTGGTAGAATTTGGCTGTGAATCCATTTGTTCTTGGGCTTTTTTTGGTTGGTAGGCTCTTAATTACTGCCTCAATTTCAGAACTTGTTATTGGTCTATTCAGGCATTCAACATCTTCCTGGTTTAGTCTTGGGAGGGTGTATGTGTCCAGGAATTTACACATTTCTTCTAGATTTTCTTTTTTTTTAATTACAATTTATTTTTATTTTTTATTTTTGAGACAGAGTCTCCCTTTGTTGCCCAGGCTGGAGTGAAGTGGCATGATCTTGGCTCACTGCAACCTCCGACCCCCAGGTTCAAGTGATTCTCCTGCCTCAGCTTCCTGAGCAGCTGGGATTATTGGCGCCCACTACCACACCCGGCTAAATTTTTTTGTATTTTCAGTAGAGATAGGGTTTCACCATGTTGGCCATGTTGGTCTCAAACTCCTGACCTCAAGGGATCCACCCACCTTGGCCTCCCAGAGTGCTAGGATTACAGGCGTGAGCCACCATACCTTGTCTCTTCTAGATTTTCTAGTTTATTTGCATAGAGGTGTTTATAATATTCTCTGATTATAGTTTCTATTTCTGTGGGATCAGTGTTGATATCCCCTTTATCATTTTTTCATTATCACATTTTCCTTATTTTGTCCACTGTTGATAGGCATCTAGGTTAATTCCACATCTTTAATATTGTAAGAAGTGCTGTGATGAACATGTGTGCATGTGTTTATGGTAGAATGATTTGTATTCCTTTGGGTATATACCCGTTAATGGGATTGCTGGGTCAAATTGTAGTTCTGTTTTAAGTTCTATGAGAAATCTGCAAACTGCTTTCCACAGTGGCTGGATGAGTTTACATTCCCAGCAGCAGTGCATAAGCATTCTTTTCTTCACAACCTTGTCATCATCTGATATTTTTTTGACTTTTTAATAATAGCCATTCTCAGTGATGTGAGATAGTATCTCACTGTGGTTTTAATTTGCATTTCTCTGATGATTAGTGATGTTGAACATTTTTTCATATGCTTGTTGGCCACATGTATGTCTTCTTTTGAAAGACATCTATTCATGTTTTTTGCCCATTTTAATGGGTTGTTTTATGCTTTTTAATTTAAGTTCCCTATAGATTCTGCACATTAGACCCTTGTTGAATGCCTAGTTTGCAAATATTTTCTCCCAGAGAACAAAGACTGTCTGTTTACTCAGAGATGATCATATGGTTTTGTTGATAATTTCTTTTGCTATGCAGAAGCTCTTTGGTTTAATTAGGTTCACTTGTAAATTTTTGTTTTTGTGGCAATTACTTTCGGAGACTTTGTCATAAAATCTCTGCCAGGGCCTATGTTCAGAATGATATTTCCTAAGTTTTCTTCTAGGGTTTTTATAATTTTAGGTTTTACATTGAAGTCTTTAATTCATCTTGAGCTGTTTTTTGTGTATGGTGAAAGGAAAAAGTCCAGCATACACCTTCTGTATATGGCTAGCCAGTTATCGCAGCACCATTTATTGAATAGGGAGCCCTTTCCCCATTGCTTGCTATTGTCGACTTCGTTGAAGATCAGATGGTTGCAGGTGGACAGTTTTATTTCTGGGTTCTCTAACCTGTTCCATTGGTCTATGTGTCTGTTTTTATATCGTTGCCATGCTGTTTTGTTTTGTTTGTTGTAGCCTTGTAGTATAATTTGAAGGCTGGTAATGTGATGCCTCCAGCTTTGTTTTTTGTTTGTTTTTTGTTTGTTTGTTTGCTTAGGATTGCTTTGATTATTCAAGCTCTTTTTTTTTGGTTCCATATGAATTTTATAATTCTTTTTCTAATTTTCTGAAAAATATCATGTGTATTTTGATAGGAATACCTTTTAATGTGTAAATTTCCTTGGGGAGTATGGCATTGTAACAATATTGATTCTTCCTATCCGTGAGCGTGGAATGTTTTTCCATTTGTTTGCATTACTTCTGATTTATTTCAGCAGTATTATGTAATTCTTGTTGTAGAAATCTTCACCTCCCTGGTTCGCTGCATTCCTAGGTATTTTATTCTTTTTTGTGGCTGTTGTGAATGTGATTGCATTCTCAATTTGGCTATCAGCTTGAACATTATTAATGTATAAAAATTGCTACTGATTTCTGTACACTTATCTTGTATCCCAAAACTTTGCTGAACTGGTTATCAGATCTAAGAGGCTTTGGGCAGAGAATATGCAGTTTTCTAGGTGTGGAATCATATCGCCTGTGAGTAGAGATAGTTTGATTTCCTCTTCTTATTTGAATACTTTCTATTTCTTCCTTTTGCCTGATCGCTCAGGCTAACACTTCCAGTACTATGTTGACTAGGAGTGGTGAGTGTGAACACCCTTGTCTTATTCCAGTTCTCAAGGGAGATGCTTCTTGCTTTTGCCTGTTTTGTTTGATCTTATCTGTGGGTTTGTCAAAGAAGGCTCTTATTATTTTGAAGTATGTTCCTTTGATGACTAGTTTGTTAAGGTTTTTAACATGAAGGAGTGTTGGATTTTATTGAAAGCCTTTCCTGCATCTATTGAGATGATCATGTGGTTTTTGTTTTTAGTTATGTTTATGTGATGAATCACATGTATTGATTTGCATATCTTTAAACCAACCTTTCATCCCAGGAATAAAGTCTTCTTGATTATAGTGAATTAGCTTTTTCATGTGCTGCTGGATTCAAATTGCTAGTATTTTGTTGAGGATTTTTGAATTTATGTTCATCAGGAATATTGGCGTGAGGTTTTTGTTGTTTTTTTTTGTGTCTCTGCCAGGTTTTGGTATCAGAATGATGCTGGCGGGGGAGAAATCAGTTAGGGAAGAGTCCCTCCTCCTTAATTTTTGGGAATAGTTTTATTAGGATTGGTACCAGCTCTTTATACATTTGATAGAATTTGACTGTGAATCCATCTGGTCTGGGTTTTTTTTGGTTGGTTGGTTTTTTTAACTGATTCCATTTTGAAACTCATTATTGGTCTGTTCAGGGATTCAGCTTCTTCCTGGTTCAGTCTTGGAAGGTTGTATGTTTCCAGGAATTTATTCATTTATTCTAGGTTTCCTAGTTTGTGTGCGTGAAGTGTTCATAATAGTCTTTGAGGGTTTTTTTTGTATTTCTGTGGGGTCAATGATAATGTCCTCTTTGTCATTTCTGATTGTGTTTATTTAGATCTTCCTTCTTTTTTTCTTTATTAGTCTAGCTATTGTCTGTCAATCTTATTTATTCTTTCAAAGAACCACCTTTTGGTTTTGTTTATCTTTTGCATGGTTTCTCATGTCTCCATTTCATTCAGTTCAGCTTTGCTTTTGGTTATTTCTTTTCTTCTGCTAGTTTTGGGGTTGGTTTGCTCTTGTTTTTCTAGTTCTTCTAGATGTGATGTCAAGTTGTTAATTTGAGATCTTTCTCACTTTTTTATGTGGTTATTTAGCCCTATAAACTTCCCTCTTAACACTGCCTTAGCTGTGCCCCAGAGATTCTGGTGCAATGTATCTTTGTTTTCATTAGATTCAAATAATTTCTTGATTTCTTCCTTAATTTCTGGTTTACACAAAAGTCATTCAGACCGAGATTATTTAATTTCCATGTAATTATATGGTTTTAAGAGCTCTTCTTGGTATTGATTTCTATTTATTGTACTGTGGTCTGAGAGTGTGATTGGTATGATTTCGATTTTCTTTGATTTGTTGAGAATTGCTTCATGGTTAAGCATGGTGTCGATTTTAGAGTATGTGCCATGAGCGGATGAGAAGAATGTCTATTCTATTGTTGTTGGGTATTCTATAGATTTCTGTTAGGTTCATTTCATCAAGTGTCAAGTTTAGGTCTCAAATATCATAATTAGTTTTCTGCCTCGATTATGTCTAACACTGTTAGTGGGGTTTTGAAGTCTCCCATTATTATTATGTAGCCATCTAAGTGTCTTTGTAGGTCTCTAAGAACCTGTTTTATGAATTTTAGTGCTCCAGTGTTGGGGGCACATATATTTAGGATAGTTAAGTCTTCTTGGTGAATTGAACCCTTTATCATTATGTGATGCCATTTTTTGCCCTTTTTGATCATTGTTGGTTTAAAGTCTATTTGTCTGAAATAAGAATAGCAACCCCGCTTTTTTATTTTCTGTTTTCTTGACAAATTTTTCGCCATCCATTTAATTTGATCCTGAGGGTGTCACTGAATGTGAGAGATGGGTCTCTTGAACACAGTATACAGTGGGTCTTGCTTCTTTATCCAACTTGCCATTCTGTATCTTTTAAGTGGGGTGTTTAGCCCATTTACATTCAAGGTTAATATTGATATGTGCAGATTTGATCATGTTATCACCTTGTTAGCTGATTGCTATGCAGACTTGACTGTAGAGTTGCTTTATAATGTCAATGGTCTATGTGCTTTGTGTTTTTTGCCACAGTCTTTTTTATAGAGAAATTGATATGTATGTGAAAAGGACCTAGAATAGCCAAAACAATCTTTAAAACAATAAAATAGAAGGATGGGCACTACCAGATTTCAAGACTTCCTATAAGGTGATAATTATTAGGATAGTATAATATAGGCATAAGGATAGACAAACAGATCAATAGAGCAAAGTAGAGAGTTCAGAAATATACATATATATGTATGTATGTATCTAACTATATATAGATTAGGTATCTATTGATAGATAAATAAATGGATCTGTATTAGTCGTGACTCTTCAGAGAAATAGAACATATACATACATACACACACATATGTATTTATCTATCTATCTATCTATATATATATAGAGAGAGAGAGAGAGAGAGAGGTTGATTGATTGATTGTAAGGAATTGGCTCACAGAATTATGAAGGCTGACATGTCTCAGGATCTACAGAATGAGTCAGGAAGATGGAGACCAGGAGAACCAATGAAGTGGCTCCAGTCAAAACCCAAAGACCTGAGAACCATGAGAATTGATGGGTAGTTCCACTGCAAAGGCCAGCTGGCTAGACACCTAGGAAGAGCTATTGTTTCAGTTTCAGTCCAAAAGGATGGAAAAAGCTGATGTCCCAGTCCATAGGAAGTCAGGCAAAATAATTCTCTCTAACTCAAGTGAGGGTCAGCCTTTTTGTTTAATTCAAGCCTTCAACTGATTGGACGAGGCCCACTCACATTAGAGGAAACAATCTACTTTACACCGTCTACCTATTTAAATGTTAATCTCATCCAAAACACTCTCATAGAAATACCCAGAATATTGTTTGACCAAATATTAGGGCACTCCATGGCCCAGTCAAGCTGACACATAAAAGTAACCATAACTATAAGTACACACCCAGACACATTCACATATTGATTTCATTTTTAAGAAAGTCATCAATCCAATGAAGAAATAAAAAGTCTTCCAAATAAATTATGCTGGAGCAACCAGATATCTGTATGAAAAAAAAATAAGTTTCTCCCTTACCTCACACTATAGACAAAAATTAATTTAAGATGGATGATATACCTAAATACAAAAGCTAAAGCTAGAAAACACCTAGAAGAAAGCGTAGGAGAGTATCCTTACAACTTGTGGCAGAAAACCTGTCTTTTTTAAGCAAAACAGAACACATAACCTTACACTTTTAGAAACGTATATATTAGACTTTATCAATATTGAAAATAATTACTCATCAGAAGATACTATGAAGAATGTAAAAAGATAAGTTAAAGATTAGGAGAAAATATATTGTATTACATAGAAAATACTTTAATTCAGACTGGATAGTAAATTTTAAAAATTAATAACAGAAACAGAAAACAACCCAAATAAAAATAGGAAAAAAAATGTGAACAGGAAGTCCTAACCAGAGCAGTCAGGCAACAGAAAGAAATAAAGGGCATCCAAACTGGAAAAACGGAAGCCAAACCAATTCTGTTTGCCAATGATATAATGGTATATGTAGAAAACCCTAAAGATTCCTTCAAAATACTCCTAGATTTGATAAATGAATTCAGTAAAGTCTTAGGTTACAAAATCAATCTGCACATCAGTAGCACTGCTATACACCAACAACAACCAAGCTGAGAATCAAATAAAGAACTGAGTCCCTTTTACAATAGCTGCAAAAATAAAGTAAAATATCTAGGAATATACTTAACTAAGGAAGTGAAAGATCTCTATGAGGAGCACTACAAAACACTGCTGAAATAAATCATAGATGACTCAAAAAAACGAAAATACATCTGATGCTAATGGATTGGAAAAATCAATACTGTGAAAATGATCATACTGCCCAAAGCAATATACAGATTCAATCCAATTCTTATCAAAATACTAACTTCATTTTTCACAGGATTAGAAGAAACTATTCTAAAATTCACATGGAACCAAAAAAGAGCAAATTCTAAGCAAAAGGTACAAACCAAGAGGTATTGCACTGACTTCAAATTATACTACAGGGCCATAGTAACCAAAACAGCATGGTACTGGTGTAAAAGTAGATACTGAGACCAATGGAATAGAATAGAGAACCCAGAAATAAAGACAAATACTTAAAACCAAATGATCTTTGAAAAAGCATACAAAAACATGCATTGAGGAAAGGACACTCTATTCAATAAATGGTGCTGGGAAAATTTGATAGCTACATGTAGAAGAATGAAACTGAATCCCTATTTCTCAGCATATACAAAAATCAACTCAAGATGGACTAAAGATTTAAATCTAAGATTGAAATCATAAAAATTCTAGAAGAAAAGCCAGGAAAAACCCTTCCGGATATTGGCCTATGCAAAGAATTCATGGTTGAGACCACAAAAGCAAATGTAACAAAAACAAAAATAAAAGAAATGGGACCTAATTGAACTAAACAGCTGCTGCATAGCAAAAGAAATAATTATCAGAGTAAACAGACAACCCACAGAACGGGAGAAAATATTTGCAAACTCTGCATTCAACAAAGGGCTAATATCCAGGATCTTCAAGGAATTCAAACAAATCAGTAGATAATATTAATAATAATCATCCCAGTTAAAAGTGAGCAAATGTCATGAATAGAGAGTTCTCAAAAGAAGATAGATAAACGGCCAAGAAATATGAAAAGAATGTTCAACATCACTAATCATCAGGTAAATGCAAGTTAAAACCACAAAGAGATACCACCTTACCTCAGCCAGAATGGCCATTATTAAAAAGTTAAAAAACAATAAATGTTGACATGGATGTGGTAAGAAGGGAACACTTGCACACTGCTAGTAGGAATGTAGATTAGTACAACCTCTATGGAAAACAGTATGGTGATTTCTCAAAGAACTAAAAGTAGATCTATCACTTGATCCAGCAATCCCACTACTGAGTATCTACCCAAAGGAAAAGAAGTCATTATATCAAAAGATCCTTGCATGCATATGTTTATCGCAAAACAATTCACAATTACAAAGATATGGAACCAACCTAAGTGGCCAGCAACCTATAAATGGATAAAGAAGATTTGATATATATCACCATGGAATACCACTCAGCTATATAAAAAAGAATGAAATATCTTCTTTTGCAGCAATTTGGATGGAAACGGAAGTAACTCAGAAATGGAAAACCAAATGCTATATGTTCTCACTCATAAGTGGGAACTAAGCTATGGGTATGCAAAGACATACAGAGTGGTATAATAGACATTGGAGATTCAGAAGGGGGAAGGGTGGAAGGAGGGTGAGGGATAGAAAAGTACATATTGGGTAAAATGTACACTAATGGGTGCACTAAAATTTCAGACATCACCGCCATACAATTCATCCATGTAATCAAAAACCACTTGTACCCCTAAAGCTATTGAGGTTTTTTTAGAAAAAATGTGAACAGTCGTTTCACAAAAAATATTCAAATAACCAATAAAAATATAAAAAGGAGCTGAACATCACAAGTCATCAAGAAAAGGCAATTGAATACCTAATAAAACACTACTACAACCCATTAAAATGGCTACAATAGGGAAGATTGATAATACCATGTATTGATGGAAATATAGAGCAAAAGGAAATCTGATATGTTGCTGGAGGAAAGTTTGCAAAACTGTTTAGTGCTTTGTGATAAAAGTAAACATATGTTTACCCAATGACCCAGAAATCCCACTTCTAAGTAAGTATTTCAATCAATGTATTCCTATATGCATAAAAAGATTGGAACAACAGTGTTCATCACAACTTTATTCATAACAGCAGAAAACTAGAAGCATTTCAAAGATCTAGGAGAATGGATAAAGTGTGGCGTATTCATCAAATGGAATATTACCTAGCAATAAACACAACAAAAAACTGACATTTTTTTAAAATTACATTGAGCAGCTGGAGTGCAGTGGCGTGATCTCGGCTCACTGCAACCTCTGCCTCCTGGGTTCAAGTGATTTTCCTGCCTCAGCCTCCCAAGTAGCAGACTACAGGCGCACACCATCACACCCAGCAATTTTGGTATTTTTAGTAGAGATGGGGTTTCACCATGTTGGCCAGGCTGCTCTCGAACTCCTGGCCTCAGGTGATCCGCCTGCCTCAGCCTCCCAAAGTGCTGGGATTGAAGGCATGAGCCACCGCGCCTGGCCTGTAATAACTTCATAACCATAGTAAAGTTATTTTAGAGCTCTCTTTGAAGGAAACACATTTTGATTGATTAAATATCTGAAACTTCAGAAAGCCTACATTTTTCTTCCTTAACCATGTGACATTAGTGTGAGTGGAAACCAAGAGTATAAAGCTAAGCCCTATGTACTAAAGAAATAACATAAGTTAACCTATTACTACCACATCTTACATTTGGATTTAAATACGAAAAACACAACACAGAAAACAGAAACTTTTTTTTTTTAATTAAGATCATAAATAGGTCATTGTTGTCACAACACATTTCAGAATTTTAAAAAAACAAACATTTTGGCTTTCTAAGAAAAAAGACTTTAAAAAAAAAGTCAATTCCCTCATCACTGAAAGGACTTGTACATTTTTAAACTTCCAGTCTCCTAAGGCACAGTATTTAATCAGGATGCCAATATTACCACCCTGCTGTAGCAGGAATAAGAGGCAAGGTATTAGCACCAAGAAAAACAGCAAAATTTCTGGACAAAATCATCTGTCATTAAAAAACAAGAGAGAGAAAAAGATAGACTAAGTGGTAAGCATTTTAATGAAGAAGGTCCAGTGTTGTTATTCAGTACTTTCTGTTAAAAAAAAAAAAAAAAAGAAATCGAAGTATTTTAACTCAAGTAGGTTTAATTCACCACAAAAGAGCTATGAGAAAAGAGAGGGGGTTGGTAAAATACAGTATACTTTCTTTAAAAAGGACTTGGGAGGAAAAAAATCAGCTTAGAAGATCATATGAAAGGGCAAACATCGCATGGAACCCAGTTAGTGTCCTAGTTTATTACTAGTCTTCAGACAGATCCAGAAAATAGAGTAAGATACTAGGTGTTATGTCTACCTAGTATCTTACTCTATTTTCTGGATGTCTGAAGACTAGTAATAAACTAGGACGAGTTAATGGGTGCAGCAAACCAACATGGCACATGTATACATATGTAACAAACCTGCACGTTGTGCACATGTACCCTAAAACTTAAAGTATAAAAAAAAATTTCACTGAGCATAAGACTTCAGACACAAAAGAGTGCATGCCATATAATTCCATTTATGTGAATTTCAAGAACAATCAGTGATGACAGAAGTCAAAGTAGTGGTCACCTCTGGAAGGTGGGACATTGACCAATAAATATTTCTTATGTGTATCATAGCATCAAGCATCACTTATTGTCCCAGTAAAATAGACTAAATGCCAAATAGCACTGTATGGTCATAGATAAGTTCTAGTTCTCCCATTTAACGGAACACTATTCAATCATTAAGAAATTCAGTTATGGACATATGTAAAATGACTTTTGACATAGCATTAACTAACAAACGGAGACCAACATTTATCCAGTAAAATTCCTAATATGCTCACATGGAAAGAAAAAAAGAACAACAGAAATTTTACTGTGATTCTGTGTCAACATTGAGTGTACATGTTGTTTTATAATATTTTTATGATTTTTGAGATATACTTTTCAAGAGTTCTAAGTCATCGTACATTATTTTTAAAAACATAAATGTGTTTCTACAAAACGCTGCTCCAACAGAAAAGCTTCTGCTTCTTTGCTTATTCTTAGTACCAGCATGTGCTGAATACACGGTTGTTCCTGTTGGCATTTTCCACTTGGTCATGGGAAGGGGCAGCTCCAGGCAACCCCCCTCGGAGTTCCCCAGAAGGAAAGGGCAGCAGAAGCTAGAAATGTAAACAACTAAAATGATGATGCAACAACTGGTAAGATGCGAAGTCCCCACTGGAGAGGAAGATGGTACACCTCAATTTGTCTGGGACAACCCTGGTTTATTCCTGTCTGGCTTGCAAGATAAAGTATATAATAGTTCTCATACAGAGGAGAGCCCTTATGGCTTCTTAGACACTCATATCATAAGTAAGTATTCATTTTTGACTGTGTGCTTGTCCAGAGAATGCCCAGAAAAGGGACTGGATTTTCTAGAGTAGAAGCAGTAAAGCTTGCCCTGGGAGGTGACCAACAATTTATTTCAGATTTGGCCTCCTTTGACATCTGTGTAGTTTGAGAAGTCTTCATAAATGAGACATGATTTATACCAGGTCTCAAATGATTCCTGTTTGGGAAGGAATTACGGGTTGATGGAATATTATAAGCAATGCATATAGTGATGGATATAAGAACTGCAGGTGGTATGAAGGAAGAAGTAAGGAAGTGGTCTTGTAATGTTTTCATGGGCAATGCATGGGTTTTTCTCCCCCAGCATACCAATGGATGTCTCCTCTTCTGCAGGCTTGCCTTTCTGGAGAGATTCAGCCCTGGAGGCTGAACATATTGATTAGTGCTGGCTTCCTCCCCTTTTCAGTAGCCACTCCAGCAGTTAGACATGTTTCCTATAAAATGAAAAATTTGCACCATCGTGGTGCTCCTCAGAGCCTTAACAAGTGAAATGAGATAAACAGGGAAAAGTAAAGGCACAAGGTGCCCCAGCTCTGCTTCCCTGAGCAGTTTTGGTTTTAATCTGTTACGTCAGAACTTACCAATAAGTTACTCCTTGAGAATAGACTTTAGAAGGTAAACAAATATCTGAAAACCACAACATTACATACATTTGCCAACACTATTATGTTACTCTCTAAGATTGTGGGCACTAAGATTGCCTAGTACTATAGTGGGCAAGATGGCAGGATGCTTGGGTTCTAAGATTCTACAGCAACATAATGATTCTAAAATAACAGGATTCTATAGATCTTGGAGACTTCTGTTATATAAAGATTATTGGGTTGGGAAACAGCTGGCTGAACTTCTACTCTAGACATAACTGCATTACTAACATAGGACCTTCGAAAGTTCTCACTCTGATTGGTGAACCAGGGTAGATTTTCAGGTCTTCATAGGACATCATCCATTCAGAACCATCAGCAAATAATCCCAGAAGGTCTCTATTTCTTTCCCCAGTACAGAGTCTCCCTGATTTATGGCAGCAGGTTCTTCTGGAAAAGGCATGGAAGAAGATTTATAGTATTAGACCTATGAGTTGCCAGATTAAGCAAAAATATTGCAAGAGGTATATCTATGCTTAAAAAGAAAAATCACTCCCTGTTTATTTGCAAGTCACATTTAACTAACTGCCCTGTATTTCATCTGGCAATCCAGCATTGCAGGGCCCTTCCTCAAAAAGACCTGGCCTACCCATCCATCAGGAGACTTCAGGTCTATAAACTGGCTTAGATCTGATAACTGGGTAAGAGATATGAGCATACTAGCTTTCTGCCCACTAGAATTTTCTACCTTAAAGTCAAGAAGCACCTTAGTAAGCATCTCATCTATTTCATTTCTAGGGATTCCATAGTCTTAGCTACAAATCCCTGCCAATCAAAGCACTCAGATTCCAACTCTGGACCTGTGGCTTCTTGGGGTAATTGTGTCCACCCTGTCTCCGCTGTTTAATAAACATTGCTGCCTGGCTTTTGTTGCTCCTGGAACCCATTTCTCTCACTGAGATCAGCAACCCCAGTCTCATTGCAGCAGTGATTCTCCAAGAGTGGTCCTCAGACAAGCCTTATCGGTATCACCTGAGAACTTGTTAGAAATACACAATTTTGGCACTGTTCTAAGAACTCTCCATGCATTATCTTATTGACTCTCCCAACATCGTAATGAGATAGCGATTACCAATCAGTTTCCTCATGGAGGTTCAGAGAGGGAAGTAATTTGCTCTGAATCACATAACCAGTAAACGATGGATATAAAACTTGAACCCATGCTTAACTGACCCCAGTTCCCAGGCTCACATTCTCCTATGTCGTATTAAGTCCTGAATCACAGGAAAGGACAGACAGGAGATTTTACAGCTGGGAAGATTTGAATGTCCTCTCACTCATCCAGTTTATAGGAAAGTTTGGGGCATATGTGTGTGAGTCAATTTTAAGAGTGTTAGACTGAGAAAAATAACATATAGGGTTCAATCGCCCAAATTCAGAATTTAATGTACTGGCACAAGTACCTGGAAGGGATATTAATGGTCAGCTAGATTGGCTAATTGAAGTCTAGACTTAAAAAGAAGTCTAAGAGAAGGAAGCAGAGCAAGATGGCTGAATAAAAGTCTCCACTGATCATCCTCCCTGCAGGAACACCAAATTGGACACCTATCTACACACAAAAAGCACCTTCATAAGAACCAAACTTAGGTAAGTAATCACAGTACCTGGCTGTAACTTTGTATCACTGAAAGAGGCACTGAAGAGAGTTGGAAAGACAATCTTAAATTGCCAACACCACCCCTCCCCTATCTCTTGGCAGTGGCTGCATGGAGCGGAAAGAAAATGTGGGCGGGGGGAGGGAAAGTGCAGTGATTGGGTGACTTGCACTGGAACTCTGTGCTGCCAACACTGGGCAGAACTCAACCAGCGCCCACAAAGGGAGCATTTAGACCTGCCCTGGCCAGAGAAGAATTATCTGTGCCAGGAGTTGGAATGTTAATTCTGGCAAGCCTTGCCACCATGGGCTAAATTGCTCTGGCTAAATTGTTCTAAATAAACTTGGAAGGCAGTCTAGGCCACAAAGACTGCACTTACTAGGCAAGTTCTAGTGCTGTGAACTGGTGGGCAACACGCAACCTAGTGAGACATCAGCTGGGGCAGCCAAGGGAGTGCTTATGTTACGCTTCCCCCAACCCCATGTGTCACAGCTTGCAGCTCTGAAAGAGACCCCTTCTTTTCACTTGAAAAGAGAGGTATTAAAAAAAAAAAAAAACTTTGTCTTACAAGTTGGATGCTAAATAGCTCAGCCACAGTAGGAAGCCACAGTAAGGCACTGGGGAGGGTTGTGAGGCTCCCATTCCAGGGCGTAGCTCCAGGATATTTCCAGATACACCCTGGAGCTGAAAGGAATCCACTACCTTGAAGGGAAGGACCCAGTCCTGGCAGGATTCATTACCTGTTGACTAAAGAGCCCCGGGGAGCTGAATAACCAGCAGCCATAATCAGGTAGCACATGCTATAGGCCTTGGGTGAGACTCTGAGACATACTGGCTTCAGGTGTGACCCGGCACATTCCCAGATATGATAGCTACAAGAACAGGCCCCCTTGCTTGAGAAAAACAGAGAGAGGAGTAAAGAGGACTTTGTCTTGAACTTAGCAGCTCAACTACAGTAGAGAAGAGCACCAAGTGGGCATTGGGGTCCCCCGTTCCAGGCCTTGGCTCTTGTACAGCATCTCTGGACCTACCTTGGGCCAGAGGGGAGCCCACTGCCCTAAAGAGTGAGTCCCAGGCCTGGCAGCATTCACCACAAGCTGACCAAAGAGCCCTTAGGCCTTAAGTGAACATTGGAGGTACCCTGGCAGTACTCCTTATGGACCTGTGGTGGTGGTGGTGAACATGAGGAGAGACTCCTCTACATAGGGAAGGGGAAGGAAAGGATGGAAAAAACTTCATTTTGTGGCTTGGGTGCCAGCTCAGCCACAGTGGAACAGAGCAACAGGTATATTACTAAGGTTTCTGACTCCAGACCCTGGCTCCTGGACAGTATCTCTGGACCTGCCTAAGGCCTGGAAGAATTTGCTGCCCTTAAGGGAAGGACATAAGCCTGGTTGGTTTTACCACATGCTAATTGTAGAGCCCTAGGGCCTTGAGTGAACATAGCCAGTAGTCAGCTAGTGGTTCCAGTTGGTGCTGCTTTTAGGTCCAACCCAGTTCAGTCCCAGTAGTGGTGACCATGGGGGTAGTTGTGTAACCTCTCTTCCAGCTCCAGGCATCTCAGCACAGAGAGAGATAATCTGTTTGTTTGGGACAAAGTAAGAAAAAAGAACAAGAGTTTCTGCCTGGTAGTCCAGAGAATTCTTCTGGATTTTATCCAAGACCACCAAAGTGGTACACAGAAAACCACAGAATAACATTGTAATTGTGGTGTGTAAACTATGCATAAGTTACGTAGAAAGACAAAAAGATGAACTGATCCAAATATCTGCAACAACTTTTGAAGACATAGATAGTACAATAAAATATAAACAGAAACAACAGAAAGTTAAAAAGTGGGGAGATGAAGTTAAAATGTAGAAGTTTTATCAGTTTTCTCTTTGTTTGTTTATGTAATCAGCATTAAATTGTAATCAATTTTTTTAAAATGGGTTATAAGACACTATCTGCAACCCTCATGGTAACCTCAAATCTAAAAACACACAACAGATACACAAAAAATAAAAAGCAAGAAATTAAATCATACCACTAGAGAAAATAATCTTCACCAAAAGGAAGATAGGAAGGAAGGAAGGAAAGAAAGAAGAGAAGACCACAAAACAACCAGAAAACAAATAACAAAATGGCAGGAGTAAGTCCTTACTTATTAATAATAACATTAAATGTAAACAGACTAAAGTCTCCAATCAAAAGACGTAAAACGTGGCTAAAAGGATGAAGGAGCAAGACCTGATGATCCGTTGCCTACAAGAAACACACTTCACCTATAAAGGCACACAAAGACTGAAAACAAAAGGGATGCAAAGAGATACTCCAAGCAAATGAAAACCAAAAAAGAGCAGGAGTGGCTATACTAATATCAGACAAAATAAATTTCAAGACAAAAACCATAAAAAAAGAGACAGAGGGAGTTATTATATAGTGATAAAGGGGTCAATTTAACAAGAAGATATAACAATTATAAATATATAGGCACCCAACACTAGAGCACCCAGATATATAAAGCCAATATCATTAGAGCTAAAGAGAGAGATAGACTCCAACAGGATAACAGCTGGATAATTTAACACCCCACTTTCAGACCCTGAAACAGATCATCCAGACAGAAAATCAACATAGGAACATCAGACTTAATCTGCACTATAGACCAATTGGATCTACTAGATATTTACAAAACATTTAATCCAACAGCTGCAAAATACACATTTTTCTCCTCAGCACATAGATCATTCTCAAGGATATATCAGATGTTAAGCCACAAAACAAGTCTTAAAACATTCAAAAAATTGAAATAGTATCAAGTATATTCTCTGAACACAATGGAATAAAACTAGAAGTCAATAACAAGAGGAATTTTGGAAACTCCACAAACACATGGAATGTAAACAATATGCTCCTGAACAACTGGTTGGTCAATGAAGAGATTAAAAGGGAAACTGAAAAATTTCTTGAAACAAATTATGATGGAAACACAATATACCAAAAGCTATGGGTTACAGCAAAAGCAGTTCTAAGAGGTTAATTTATATAGCTCTAAGTGCCTACATCAAAAAAGAAGCAAACCTTCAAATAAACAACCTGAAAATAAACGCTTGAAGCAATGGATATCCCATTTACTTTGATGTAGTTATTACACATTACATGACTGCATCAAAATATCTCATGTAACCCATAAAAATACACACCTATTATGTACTCACAAAAATTAAAAATTAAAAAATAAGAAGCCTACAGTTAATGAAGTTGAAATGCCAGAAATTCTCTGGAATGACAGGAAGGAGTCCAGAGACTCAGGGAAGTGGATCTGTTGGAATGGATCTAGTCTATCTGTTGGATCTGTTGGAATGGATCTAGTCTATGTGCAAGCTGCTGGGAGGCCCAGGGGGACACTCCCTTCAATCCAGGTATTAGGAAATGTTTTGATGAGTTGTGGGAGGAGGGCAGGATGCTTAAGAGCTCTGTAGTGGCTATTCTTTATAGATCAGTGATGACAGTGGGACATGATATAATCCCATAGTTCTCAAACTTTTGTGTATTTCAGGATCACCTAATGGGCTTGTTAAAGCAGTCTGCCATGCTACTACTGGTGGTAATTAAAGTAATCATGATATGTTGACAGATCCTATTCCTGTGCCCCTTTCCATGGTGCACCTAAAACATACGAGCAATCCAATCCCAGAATCCCATTTGGAAGTTCTATTTTATGGGGCCAATTCAATGTCAGTAAGTGTCCCAGCAAGAAATAGATAACACTTAAAATGGAAGACTTGGAGAAAGGTTTAGTAAAGAAGCTATTTACAAAGATGTAAGTGGGTGAAAAGAGACCACAGGGGTGTTTGGTACCATGAGGCTATTAAGAACATGGTTAGACTGCAAAAAATTTCTCCAGTTCTGTAGGATATCTGTTCACTCTGATGATAGTTTCTTTTGCTGTACAGAAGCTCTTTAGTTTAATTATATCCCATTTGCCAATTTTTGCTTTTGTTGCAATTGCTTTTGACATTTTCATCATGAAATCTTTTCCTGTGCCTATGTTTTGAATGGTATTGCCTAGAGTTTCTTCTAGGGTTTTTATAGTTTTGGGTTTTACATTTAAGTCTTTAATCCATCTTGATTTCATTTTTGTATGAGGTGTAAGGAAGGGGTCCAGTTTCAGTGTTCTGCATACGGCTAGCCAGTTTTCCCAGCACCACTTATTAAATAGGGAATCCTTTCTCCATTGCTTATTTTTGTCAGGTTTGTCAAAGATCAGATGGTTGTAGATGTGTAGTCTTATTTCTGAGATCTCTATTCTGTTCCATTGGTCTGTGTGTCTGTTTTTGTACCAGTACCATACTGTTTTGGTTACTGTAGCCTTGTAGTATAGTTTGAAGTCAGGTAGCATGATACCTCCAGCTGTGTTCTTTTTGTTTAAGATTGTCTTGGCTATTCCACTGCGGCCTCTCAGGGAGTGAGGGAAAGGGAGAGCGTCAGGATAAATAGCTAATGTGGATGGAGCTTAATACTTGGGTGAGGGGTTGATAGGTGCAGCAAACCACCATGGCACATGTTTACCTATGTAACAGACCTGCACATCCTGCGCATGTATCCCAAAATTTAAAATAAAATAAAAATTTTTTAAAAAGAACATGGTTATATTCCTAAATCTAAAAAGGAAAAACAGGGGATAGCTCAGCAAACCTGGATAGGAGAGTCATGGAGAAACCACCTTGAAAGAAGTTAAAACCATTAGTTGAGGGATGTATCCAGGTTGAGGAACACAGGGAGACAACAGAGGAGAAGAACCTCAACTTAACTCTTCTCCCTGCTCTAATGTCCTCAGAAGCTCCCTTGTGCCTAAACCCAGTCAGAAGCTAGAAGGTCAGCAACCTCACTGATGTAACCCACCAAGATTGGCTTCCTAGGGCAGAGAATAGAATGGAAAAGAATGGAATGTGTGTCTGAAGGGACAAGCTTATAATATCCTTTTCTCAGGTGAGTCTTGACACATTTTTGTGTCAAAGTTAGGTAGGTCTCAAAATGAATTGAGTGGTGTACAATCTTTTGATATTCTCTGGAAGAGATTGCACAAGATTGAAATGACCACTTCCTTCAGTGCTTGGAGGAATTAGCTGTTTGTGCCCTTTGAGCCCAGAGAATGTTTTGTGGGAAGATTTTCAATTCCTGATTCCATTTCTTTAATAGCTTTAGAATGACTTTCTATTTTTTATTTATTTGTGCACCCTGGTCAGTTAGATTTTTAAGAAATTCATCCATTTCCTCTAAACTAAATTTTTGGCATAAGGTTCTTATCATTTTCTTTTTGGTGTCTGCAGGCTCTGCAACTGGTTATATGTACCTTTTTCCTTTTTTCTTTTCTTTTTTTTTTTTTCTGGGACAGAGTCCTACTCTGTCACTCAGACTGGGGTGCAGTGGTGCAATCTTGGCTCACTGTAACCTCGGCCTCCCAGGTTCAAGCAATTCTCCTGCCTCAGCCTCCCAAGTAGCTGGGATTACAGGCATGTGCCACCATGCCTGGGTAATTTTTGTATTTTTTTTAGTAAAGACAGGGTTTTACCATGTTGTCCAGGCTGCTCTAGAACTCTTGACCTCAAGTGATCCCCCCGCCTCAGCCCCTTTTTTCTTTTTTTTTTCATTTTCAGTTCAGGAGAGTTTTAGCTTAATTATAGGCTACAGAACCAGCTTTGGGCTTCATCTATCCTTTCTAATATTTACTGTTTCCTATTTCTCTAATCCTAGCTCTTTATTTCTTCCCTTTACTTTCACTGGGCTTATTTTGCTATAGTGGAATGCAGAGGGATGAGTATTCCAGGAAGGCACAAAAACTGTGCCAAGTCTTGGAGCTAGGGATGAGTGGGAAAGGGACATGTTCAACCATTTTAAGCCATTCCCTCCCCACCTCCCAGCTCCCAGATATGTGCCCCTCGCAGGAGGAGCCCAGGAATGGGCCAAACACCTCACTTCTTTGCTCTGAGGGCCACCCCAGCCCTCCCATCAACAGCTCTAGAAACCCAATGGTCCTTCCTGGAAACACGGGGCCTGCATCAATCAGAGGTGTTTGAACCATGTCCCTCTGGGCCTGAGGGGCAGAAGGGGACACAATATGTAATGTAAGGAGCCCCTGTCATCAGAAATCTGACTTAATCTGTTTCAGATATTAGACTTCCACATAAAAGTTGACTTGGAAAAAGACTTCTGCTGCTAAACAAAAGTTGAAACTGCCTTGGTGATAAAATATAAGCAGACCAGCTTTCTCTTCTAGCTTTCCCTCTCATTTCCCATAAGATTTTGGTCAAGTTATTTAATCTCTCTGCATCCGTTTCCTCTTCTATGAAATGGGCATGATAATAATGGTATGTACCTCCTCAAACTAAATATATAACGTGAACAGAGTCCTTAGCACAGCACTCTTTCTCTACAGGAGTTAATTTTCATTGTTTTTCTCTTTCCTGTTGGAGAAAGTAAGAAGAAAACAGCTCCTTTATGGCTTCCCATGGTGAATGGCTGGGGCGCGTCTGTGTCCCTTTCTCCTCTCTGGCTCCTTGTGGCCTGAACAGCCAGAAGGAAGCCATGCCATGCTGTTTCAGCCCTCAGCTTCCCTCTTGCATTTCCTAGAAAAGTCTTTGGTGCCCAGCTCCAGCTCAGCAGATTCAGGATCCCCCTTCATCATGACTTGGTCAACGCCCTGCTCAGGCCAAGGTCCTCTGAGAGTTCCAAGCTTCTCCACTCCCTATAAAAGGCCGGCGGAACAGCCAGAGGAGCAGAGAGGCAAAGAAACATTGTGAAATCTCCAACTCTTAACCTTCAACATGAAAGTCTCTGCAGTGCTTCTGTGCCTGCTGCTCATGACAGCAGCTTTCAACCCCCAGGGACTTGCTCAGCCAGGTAAGTCACCTCCCTTCGACTCTCCCTCTCTTTCCCTCTGTTTCTCTATTCAAGGAAGACCTAAGCCCGAGTGCTCCTCCACTTTTTTTTTAGATTGAGTCTCATTATGTTGCCCAGGCTGAAGTGCAGGGGTGCGATCTTGGCTCATTGCAACCTTCACCTCCCAGGTTCAAGCGATTCTCTTGCCTCAGCCTTCTGAGTAGCTGTGATTACAGGCACCCGCCATCACGTGCAGCTAATTTTTGTATTTTTAGTAGAGAAGGGGTTTCACTATGTTGGCCAGGCTGGTCTCAAACTCTTGACCTCAAGTGATCCTCCCGTCTCGGCCTCCCAAAGTGCTGGGATTACAGGCGTGAGCCACCAGGCCCAGCCAAGTGCCCCACTTCTAAGCCCACCAGAATAGTAAGGCTCCTCAGAGGTTCACTTTAACATCTAATTTTAAAGATAGAAAGCTGAAGCCCATGTTGGAGGCAGAAGGGACCCTAGCCATCCACCTCCAGGTTATTGCAGAGCAAGAATGAAACCTAAGCTTCTGACTCCAGATTTAGGGCCTTTTCTTTGACCTCATCTGATCGTCCCAAACTCTGCAGATCTGGGACCACACCCAGGACCTTTCCCACTGGCCTTGCCCGTGGCCTCCCCTAGATGGCTGTGACATGTCTCCACCATGCAGCTGAGCCTTTGAGATCCTGAGGCACATGTCACAGGTCCCACCTCACCTCAGGGTCTAGGGTGGGAGTGCTGGGCTTGGGGGTGAGTAAGATCTATTTCTTCCTCTTTGCTTTGCATCCCATACAGATGCTCCCTGCTGTATTCAAGCTGAGAAAAGCCTAACACATCCTCAAAGTCTTTTTCTTTGTAACTATTTCTAGATGCACTCAACGTCCCATCTACTTGCTGCTTCACATTTAGCAGTAAGAAGATCTCCTTGCAGAGGCTGAAGAGCTATGTGATCACCACCAGCAGGTGTCCCCAGAAGGCTGTCATGTGGGTAGAAAAATCCCTGCTCACCTGGCTCCTCCCCACTCCCACATTCCCCAATCCAAAGTTCTGCCCCAGGAGACAGACGTCAGACTGACTTGAGATCTTAGGATGAGATCTAGCCAGACTGTGTGATGCAAATCCTCCAATTTTGGCTGCACAACAGGTCCAAAGAGGACCTATAATTTCCCACACCTTGTTTCCTGGATGGGCACCAGCCCACACCCTTTAGCAGATGCCAGGATCAGTTTCCCAGGGGCAGCAAGAGCAGTGGCTGCCTCCAGAGACCCCTTCTGTCCACACACCTCCTACTTCCTGTCCTGGAGGGGTGCCCCTTCACCTGTAGTAGGTGGACCAGGCAGGTTTAGAACCCAGTGTGTCATCTCCTGGGTAAACCCTCAAAGGGTTCCATCTAACTGTGCCAGATCTCCTTCCTCCACAGCTTCAGAACCAAACTGGGCAAGGAGATCTGTGCTGACCCAAAGGAGAAGTGGGTCCAGAATTATATGAAACACCTGGGCCGGAAAGCTCACACCCTGAAGACTTGAACTCTGCTACCCCTACTGAAATCAAGCTGGAGTACGTGAAATGACTTTTCCATTCTCCTCTGGCCTCCTCTTCTATGCTTTGGAATACTTCTACCATAATTTTCAAATAGGATGCATTCGGTTTTGTGATTCAAAATGTACTATGTGTTAAGTAATATTGGCTATTATTTGACTTGTTGCTGGTTTGGAGTTTATTTGAGTATTGCTGATCTTTTCTAAAGCAAGGCCTTGAGCAAGTAGGTTGCTGTCTCTAAGCCCCCTTCCCTTCCACTATGAGCTGCTGGCAGTGGGTTTGTATTCGGTTCCCAGGGGTTGAGAGCATGCCTGTGGGAGTCATGGACATGAAGGGATGCTGCAATGTAGGAAGGAGAGCTCTTTGTGAATGTGAGGTGTTGCTAAATATGTTATTGTGGAAAGATGAATGCAATAGTAGGACTGCTGACATTTTGCAGAAAATACATTTTATTTAAAATCTCCTACACAGTGGTGTTTTCTTCAGGAGTAACTGCCAACCAGTAGGGGCTCTCAGAGGTGTGGGTGGATGGCATGCCAGTGGAAGGCAGATGTACAGAGGCCCTGGCCATGGGGCTAGCCTGGCTCATCTGAGTTTCAAGGAGGGCCTGCCTCACCAGCCCAGGCTGTTCTGGAACAATGGCTCCAGTCCCCAGCATGGGCGCTCCTGGCTCGCAACTCATCCGTTTCATATTCAGTTCATTTCTTTCTTTAAAACCACACTCCTGCCAAAAGTAAACCCATCCCTCCCCCTCTAGTCTCCCACCCCAATCTATGCCTCCCCACTCCAAGCAGCAAGTGATTCAGACTTCATGTGCACCTGACACTCAGAGGGAAACCAGATGACCAAGTCCTAGTGAGCCTCAGGATTGGTAGGGAAGAGGGTGCTTGGGCCTAATGGACTTTAGAGGATGGGGAAGTATGGTCATAGCAAAGATTCTTTTAGGGGAGGTCCAAGATAGCAATGTGGGGAGAGGGCCTGGGGGGAATATCCCCAAACGGTCCGATATGGGCTTCCAGAATGTAAAAGTTGGAGACATGTAGAAATGAAAGTTGAGGGCAGGTTCTAGAGGAATTAGAATATCAGGGTGGGGAGTTTAGACTCAGTTCTGAAGGCAGGAGGAAGGTGCAAAGGTTTTTGAGTCATCCAGAGGGAAGAATGGATGCCAGGAAGACTAGCTATTGGCTGTGGATAAGATGGAGTTGAGAAGGGAGGGCGGAAAACAGCCTACTGCAATAGTCCAAGCAAGAGAAAATAGGGGCTGAAGAAGGGCAGTCATGGGGGTGGAGAAGAGGAGGCAGATTAAGAAGACTGGGCCAGATGTGTGACATGTTGAATGGGGAATGAGGGAAACACAGCATGAGACCTTTGCCCTCTAAAAGTGATCTTTAAAGGCGTGCCAACCCCAAGACCTAGAAATACTTCCTTCCTTGGCTATTCTTCCTTGAATCACACGTTGTACAAATTGAAGCTTGTGATTGTCCCTTTTAAAGCGTTGGCCCTCCTCTTCCTATATGTCCACCAAGGGTTTATCCTGCTCTTCCCAAGACAGCCTCACTCCTCCAGATAAGCTGGGTGGGCATCTCAATCAGACCCAGAACCTACCCATGCCTGGACACCCACTGAGATCTTCCTCAAGAAGAGATGGGCACTGCTGACAACAGCAGGGCCTGTCCCCCAGATCTGGTACCACACTGCATCAGGCAGTACACTTGGCAATGTGGGACACCTGGAGGAGTTGTCCTAGGAGGCAACAGCTCTAGGCTCTAATGCCAGATCTGCCCCTGAATTGCTGCATCTCTCTTTAGCCCTCAGTCACCTCATCTATAAAATGGGTTTAGCAACATTTTACAGGCAGACAACCTCACATGATCCCCTCCAGCTAGGGCAGTTGTGATTTGGTGATAACATCACCCCCCAAGCCCTCTGGGCAGGGCAGGGAGAAGAAGAGTCCTGCACCCAAATGTGGATCCAGCTGTGAACCCCAGCTTTCTGTTCCACTGTACCACTCCTGGCAGCCAAATCTGGAGGCAGAGAATCTGCACCACCACCCTGACTCAAAGCTTACACCCCAGGACAAAGGCAGTCACTGAGAGCTAGTGAGTCACTTATTAGCCCAGTTCCCCTGGCACCAGGTGCAACATGTCTCCCTCCTCCTGACCCATCCTTCAGCCCCTGGCTCCCACCTCTCAATGCCAATCAAGTTTTCACTCTGAAATCCAAGAGACCCAGAGGGTTGGGGGTTGATGATTGTATAATTTAAATGTTTAAAGTGCAACAACATAGCTTATCAAGACCAAGCAGATCCTCTGTGACCTAGCAAAAGCAGGGCAGAAGGAATGGTGTAGGGCTGGTAGTTTCGGGGACAGGTGAAGCCATGTGGTTTCCAGAGCCCACAATGGAAAGAAATCTGCTCATTTTCTTTTTGACGGGCAGTGCCTCAGCATTTTTCTGTGCCTCTGAACCCATCCAACTGTGTCCAAGGCGCAGGCCTCTTTGCCTCTCTTCAGCTTGAATCTGTGAACAGAGAATAAGAGAGAAGGCTGAGCCACCCAAGCCACCACTGGGTGGGCAACGCACAAGCCCCGCCTCCTCCGGCTGCCAGGTCCCCTAAACTGCTCTTGCTAGGCCTTGGGCTCCCCTCTGTAAATGAAGTTGCTGCACAGGATGTGTGGTTTGCACGCTGGGGAACAGCCAAAGCACCAGGAGCTTATGAATTGAATTTCCTGGACCCCTCTCCTGGTTTCAATTTGGTGTATCAGGGTGGGGCTGAACAGCCTGAAAACATTCTGACGATTAGGTGAGATGAGAAATTCCCATCCTGGAATAGCTCTTTGCACCAACTTTAATGTTTCTGTGTCCATCTGGGGCCTTACTTGTTGCGTTGGACTCATGTGTTTGTGTGTGTGTGTGTGCGCGCGCCTTGTGTGTGTGTGGGTGTGTGTATTTTTCTCTTCTGATCTGTCTACTTCCTAAACTGGACTATTGTCCAATCTATAGACCAACTCTATCTCTTACTCTCTGGTTGATCTTAGACAAATATCTCTACCTTCCTGAACCTCACTTTTCATGATAACAAAAATATGTGCCCCAAGAGGATCGACAGAGAGAATATACATGAAAAAGCCTTAAAATACTGACTGGTTTGTGAAAGCTACTCCAATTAAGTTTGTAAAGACCCTGTGATACAGCTATGTTTATGACCCTTCACAGATAAGGAATACAGAAGGATACACAGACAATTCAGTACAAAGGAGTTACCTGTCCACGGTCACCCAAGACTATGGGTTCCAAATCCAGGGGCAGGAACTCATCCTGGTTCCCTTGCTCTTTCCAGTGCACAATAACCCCTCATGCTTTTGTTAAACCTCTGAGCTCATAATGCTGGGATACAATACTTGGCACCTTGGAGTTTCAGGAAACACAAGCCACTGCAGGAGCACAGATGCATCCTTCCTCACACCTGCTAGGAAGCTCAGCGCTCCCTCTAGCGCCCAAGTGTGGCTTGCACCCAGGTGCTGGCAGCTCTGGGTTTAGAAACCTTATTCTGGTAAAATACTGTCATCTAGTGTCTACTCTTGTAATTCCAGGCTGGCGGGGTTCTGTTCTCTAGGGAGAGATTGAGCAGGTGATCACTTACATTAAGCCCTCATTGGAGCAGATGGAGCTGGTATTTCTGTAACACAGGATTGCCCTCAGGGGAATCTCTTGCTCCGCAAATGAGAAGCAACATCTGGAGAAGGGTACCTGCACTAGAAGAGGAACACAGACGATGGTTTGCATCCATTTCTCAACCTCTCACCTGTAGCACAATTTTTAAAAAACAAACAAAAAAACGCCTCCCAGGACAAGCCCTGGCTTGGGGACCACATCCAGACGGTGCCGGCATAGCTCTGCCTCATCAGCCACCTTGTTCTGGGGCTAGGTAAAGAGTCAGAAGATTGGGGTTCAGATCTGAGCTCCCCGCACCCCAGCTGAGTGGCCCTGAGGAAGATGTGCCTTCACCCTGGCCCCAGACTTCCCATCTGTAAAATAAAACTTTTTGGAGCCTGGTTTCTAAAGGCTCATCCAGTTTTGGTATTTCACCACATGTGCATGGTTCTGCCCCAGTATTCATGTCCAAGGGCTCTGGACCCCACACCCTGGGGACCTGGTTAGTCTGATGCAGGACACAGTGGTCCACAGTTCACAGACCTGATCTGGGGAAGATTAGGAATTGTTCGAGGAGTCCAAACTGATGAGATGACAAGGGAAGAGCTCCCAGGAACTAGCTAGCTGCCCTACTCAGTCTCTTGAATCCCCTCCTGCCCTGGTCCTTAGCTCTTTCCCAGCCCCCAACCCCCACTCTGTCCATTTGTGCATTCTCCTCCCACACCACATCCCGCAAGAGACCTGCATTCCAATCCCAGCTTCTTCCTCCTAGTTTTTCTGTTTGCACCCCCTTTCATGCCTCTTACTAGGTTGGTATTCTCCAAACAGTCTTGGAGGGCAGACATCATCAACTCCATTTCACTGATAGAGAAAGTAGAGTTTGAGAGCTAAAGTGACTTGCCCAAGAGTGACCAATTGTTAGAGCCCGGTCTTGCCTTCTGACTCTACTTGGTGTCTGTCACACTGTAGAAGCTACACCCAGGCTGTCCCCTGGACCTTAGGCCTCCCAGCTTTACCCGAGTAACCTCACAGGTTCCCTTCCTTGGGTCTGGATGAAGCAGAGCCTCCTTGTACTGAAGCTGTCAGTTCAGTTCTCTGTGTTTGCCCCAACTCATGGTTCTCCTACTAGCCCTCACCCCAGCCTGTCCAAGTTCACCATTCCTCCTCTTTAGGTAGGAAGAGGGGAGATAGAGTTGGTGAGTTCAAGGAGAAGCCTGCTCCAACCCCAGAGTGGCTGACCACGTTTCTGCCCTCCCCAGAGAGAAGCAAAATGATGCCTGCCACACTCACTGCTCTTGCTGTCCACATCTTCCGGCCACATCCCAGCTAGCAGCAAGCACACCAGGGCTGTGGTGATGATCTGCATGTCTTCTGGTCTGGCTTGGGCCTTCCTGGAGCAGCTTTGATGAGCCTGGTGAAGCTAAGAGCTCACCACTGTGCCGTCCTGCAATGCTGAGGGCTTTTATTTGAAAAACTCCACCCAAAACTCCAGGCCATGGTGGGAGCCACAAGTGGGAAGCCATAGGGACAGGGAACAGTTGCTCACACCCAGCGACCATGTGGTAAACTCCTTTCCCCACCTCTCCTGGCTGGTATTCGTGGTGGTGATGGATTGATAGGTTGCATTGGGAACTTCCCTAAGTGTGGGAGCAGATAAGAATCTTGAAAAAGTGCGTGGGAACTGTCCTGGTTGAGTGGGAAGCAAAGAAAAGTAAGTGAGAGGAAGTGGCCTCTGTGTGGCTTGTCCAACCCTACGTCATTCCATCCAAGTACTACTGCTTCAGGGCAGAAGAGTCTGGACCTGAACAGAGATACACCTGCATTTGAATCCCAGTTCTGCAGAGGAGGGATTACATAAACTTACCCAAATTCATATTCACACAAAATGCAAATAGCAATACATGTCTCAAGGACGTGCGATAAGAATTAAATAACATTCTCTATGTCCAGTGACTGGCCTAGATATTTGCCATTTCTATTTTTTCTATTTTTTTAATCCTCAACAATTTTCAATAGCTTATTCTGTTCTAGGTCCTTGGTTAGCCCCAGAGAAGGCAGTTACCAATGAGGAGCACTGCCTGACCTCAAGCAACTTCTCTTCAATTCACAGATAAACAAGTGAAAGCCACCCAGTGTAAGCACAGAGATAGATGTGTTATGTTTGGGTTACAGAGAGGACTGAGAGCTACTCAGCAGCATCTGAGAGTCCTGCCAGGGGAATTTTCCCTTTTTGTTTTTTTTTTTCTAGAGTCTCACTCTGTCACCCAGGCTGGAGTGCAGTGGCACACACTCACTGCAGCCTCAAACTCCTGGGCTCAAGCAATCCTCCAGCCTCAGCCAGGGAATTTTTCCTTTTTGTTTTTTTTTTTCTAGGGTCTCATTCTGTTGCCCAGGCTGGAGTGCCATGGTGCAAACTCACTGCAGCCTCAAACTCCTGGGCTCAAGCGATCCTCCCGCCTCAGCCTCACAGTGGGTGGAACTATAGGTGTGCACTACCTTGCCCAGATAATTTTTTTATTTTTTATTTGCGTAGAGATGGAGTCTCACTGTGTTCCCCAGGCTGGTCTTGAACTCCTAGGTTCAAGCAATCCTTCTGCCTCGGCCTCCCAAAGTGCTGGGATTACCAGTGTGAGCCACCACCCCAGCCAGGAGAATGTTCTTTAAGCAATATCTCCTGTGTGCTGATGTGGAGAGGGGAAAGCTAAGTAGAGGCAGGGTCTTCTATGAGGACAACAAGGCATAAGGGAGCACACTTCATTTCAAATCATCAGGAAAAGCAGAAGTGTAGGGTCCAAGGAGAGTGACAGGAGTGAGAGAGTGGTTGCAGAGAGATGTGGCTGTACAGCTACAGAGAAGACTGGGTCATAAAGATGTATGCAGTACTCGGAATAAAGAGCACATAGTAGGTGCTCAAGAAAAAGTAGCTGAGCCAAATCTAGGCATTGAAATCATGAAGCCTGTGTGCATTATATAGAGTGATGGCTAGACTGATCTACTCTGATTGTGCAGTCTTTAGCTCAAAAACCTGCAGTGGCTCCACACCATCAATTGGGTGGAGCACCGAGCTACTCACCTGGATATTTGTGGTTCTTCATGTCATGCCTCAGTGGAGGCCAGCACATTCGGGTAATTGCAATTCCTGATTGCAAGTAACTGCCACTTGCTGTACTATCTCTGGGATTTTGCTCCTGCTGTAACCTCCACCTGCAGAGCCCACCTCTCTGTCTCACTCTGTGAACATCCTACCCATTGCAAATGTCATTGTCTCCACAAAGGCACTTCTGCCATATCTAGCAGATAGGATCTCAGCCTCTTGTGAGAACTCTCATGCCTGGATTGCCATACAATTCCTGCAACACTTTCCTTTAGTCCACTCTCCAAACATGGAAATGTCCAAGTTGAAAGGGCTCTTCCAGACTATCTACAACAGTGGCTCTTGAAGTGTTTTGGGAGAGCTTTTGTAAAAATCTGAATATCTTAGTCCCATTTCAGGATGAGAATCAAAACACATGTGCATGTACATGTTGGAAAGAAAAAATTTTCAGGTAATTTTCTCAGACACCAGAAGATAAGAATCACATATCTCGTATAATCACTTCATATTATGATGAAATGAGAGGAAAGTAACTTGTCCAAGGTCATGTTGACCTCAGGGACAATGGAACTTGAGCCCTGGTCTTTTGACCTTCATGTGCAGCTGCCTCTGAGAACACACTTTTTGCACAGTCCACAACTAACTTCCTCTGCTCAGCCCAACCAAGTACCATTTATCCTTTCAACTGCTTCCTGCCACCTGAAAAGTGGTTGAAACCACAAACTGCTGTTGTTTCTATCCTATTCTCTTTGTCCTTAGAGATGGATAAATACTATGTGCTATTCATCCTACTATGCGCTATGCATCCATCTTTTTCTTTCAACTTTTATTTTAAGTTCCAGGGTACATGTGCAGGGTGTACCATTTTCTTTATCCAGTCTATCATTGATGGGCATTTGGGTTAATTCCACGTCTTTGCTATTGTGAAGAGTGCTGCAGTGAAGGTTCATGTGCCTGTATCTTTATAATAGAATGTTTTATATTCCTTTGGGTATATACCCAGTAGTGGGATTGCTGGGTCAAATGGCATTTCTACAAGAGATGAATACTTTTTTATTCCTTTACCATAGCGTGTCAGGAGAGAGAGAAGATGCAAGTGGGTGGTCAGTCAGCCAAATGTAACTGTAGGTCCTTTAGATGTAGGAAACAGACAGGGGGAAATGTGGCCACCTTGGAAATTCTTTGTTCTTCCCCTCCTCCTGGGGTTGCTGCCCAGCCCAATCAAGAAGGGAAACCGGGCTGCCCACTCCACCACCCCCTTCCCCTCCCCCCACCTCCCTGTGGCCACAGTCAGACCAGCACAGGCAAAAAGAGAACAGCAAGATTTAGTCATGCTTTTCCTTTCCAGGCTCCCTCAGCACATGGAAGGAACTGACTGGAGGCTCTTATCACACAGGAACTTAATGTTTCTCATGGGTATCTCTTCCACCCCAATGTGACTGTCAAGGACACAGACTTCTCTAGGCTCTAGCACAAAGGCTAGGACCAAGTAGTAACTCAATTAAACAGTTGTGTAACTGAACAAGCTGGAACAGATGGCATAGGATGGACTGATGTATAAGAGATGCTCTCAGAATAAACACTGAACCAGTTATTCATATGAACACATTTCTTCGTTAGAAATTTGAAAATCAGAACTGCTTGGAGATAGGTTTTCTTAGTCATCTTTTATGAAATAAGTACTGATTACAGAGGACAGGTAGAGACCAGATAGAGTTCAGCCCATGCAGCTGCCTCTTAAGACATCTCCTCCAGAGGCGCCCAGTGGTGTCTGAGGGTGTCCAGGAGTGTTCCAGCCCTCTTTCCTCCTCCTGGATGGCCCGAGTGGCCTGGGGCTTGACCCTGCCTGCTTGCCTTGCAGTTAGAGTTCAGCCTGATCCTTGCAGATCAGGGCATAGAAACTGACAAGGGAGAAGTCATTTGCCCAGCAACATACAACCACAGAAATACTGGTCTTGCTTTGTCCAGCTCTGGGGTCAAGCCTTCTGAGTTCCCTCACTTAGGGAGGAAGCAAGCTATAGAGGAAATGCAGGATAGTCAGACACAACTGGGTCAGATCTCAGCTCCACCGCTAGAGCCTAGGCAAGTAATTTACACTTTCTGAGTCTTTGCTCTCTCATTGTAAGCTCCACAGCTAGCTGGACTTGGCACAACTCTCCTCATTGTTTTTAAGATAAACTCCCCAGGCTGAGGCAGGAGAATCCCTTGAACCCGGGAGACAGAGGTTGCAGTGAGCCAAGATCGCACCACTGCACTCCAGCCTGGGTGACAGAACAAGACTCCAGTCTCAAAAAAATAAAGTAAAATAAAATAAAAATCAATAAATCAATAAATAAACTCCCCAAACCTTAAACACATTTATTTGAGGTTATCCAAAGGATCAAGTGAGATTTAAGAGGAGGGAGGGGAGAGAAAAAGAAAAAGTTGAATCATTCAAAATCATTGTGGAGCACCGAATATGTACCAGACACTGGGGATACCGCAGCGGGACAAGACAAACATGGGCCCTGGTATTGGGAATTGTGGTAAGTCAAGATTAGTGCTTCGAGGAGACGGACAATGTCCTGTGAGCTGCAGAGTGTGCGGAAATGCTCACCACGGGGCCGGACACATGGTAGATGCTCAATGAAACTGTGTCCTTTTCCCCTCGATCCTGGACCATTCTCAGCATCAGCACATGAACCCAGGCAGTACCACCCTCTCCCCTACTGGGGCCCATTTCCTGGTCTCTTTCCCTTCTCATCTGGTGCTGCTTGAAACCCACACCAAGCCTTGTTTCATTGCCCACATGAGCAGGGTGTCCTCTTGGGTCCTCAAGTCTGCACCAGACCCCCTACCTACTGCAAGCACAAATTCAAATCCACAGCAAGGACCCGAGCACCAAAAAACACCTCGGGATTCAAAGCCCTTTTTCATGTTTTCCAGCACCTCCTTATACTCTGCCCACATTCCCTTTCCCCCTATGTTTTCCGCTGACATTTAGCACTTTTTTTTTAAGGAGGCCTCTCGTATTTACATATCAGAAACAATGTGAAGGAGGCATGGAGAACCCCTCATGGCAACAGGAAAACTGAGGGGTGCCCCAAAGGATGTCACAGGCACCCAGCTTTTCAATGTGCTGCTGATTCTGACACAACATGGCCCACCAAGCTCAGGGTGACATGCAACTGACTTGGTTGGTCTCACAGGGTCCTGCACAGCACAGTCGGCAGACTTGCAGCCACACAATCCCGCTTGTTGTCTGCACATACACTGGGATTTACTGCCCCTTCTGCCTGGAACACTCTTTCCTGCTTTATGTGCCTAACTTCTTGCAGGCTGTCCAACTCAGAGCTCCCAAAGTGAACCCAGCCCACTCCTCACAGCGGGTATCTCACACTAGTGTAATTTCGTGGTGGTTCACACTCCTTCCTGTCTAGAAGCTCCCAGAGAGCAGAAGTCCCTCTGCTATGGTCAGCATTTCATGCTGCAGCGTTTAACACTGCACTGATGTGCAGCAACTATTAGCTGGAAAAGAGAGAAGGAGAGATTTTAACATCACTATGGCTGAGCTCATGTCACGGAGGAGAAATGAAGACCCTGGAGGTTAGCAGACAGACAGGAGTTCACACAGATTGCCTGGATCAGAATCAGGATAACGAGCTCTGGCCAAAATCCTGTGCTTGGTTATACTGCACTGTGCAGTAGAAGACTGCAATTTCCATGTGTGCTAAATGGGCACCATTTGACACGTAAGATTCCAGTGACAGATTGCAGTTCAACAGTGTCTTCATTCATTCATTCATTCATTCATTCATTCATTCAGCAAACACCTTTCAGCTGGGCCTGCAAGGATGAAGGCATGATTTATCAGGAGAGGAGAAGGAACAGGGGCTAGCATGGTGAGCAGTGGTTATGAGGGTGCGGTCTGAAGCCAGAATGCCCTGGTGCCCAGTCCCAGCTTCCCTGAACGCTATTTGCGTAACTTCTTTGAGTTACTTAACCACTGAGCCTCATCTATAAACAGGGATAATAATAGCATCTGCTTATAGGCTTGTTGTGAAAATTAAATATAAAGTACTTAGAATAGTGCCTGACATATTTCTCCGGGAAAATGGGAACAGTGACATCACTGTATGAAAGTGTGTAGGCTGCTGTCTTCAGAGCTTGGGGGTGTGTGAGGCTGCATGGCAAGGGGTGGCTAGAAATGAAGGGTGAGTAGGGCTGGGTTCAGTTGTGCAAGATCCTGTTTACTGAGCTTTGCCTTGACCCTGTTGGCGATAGAGGGCCTGAGCTAACCTTTTGCTCAGGACAGAGGATGGCCCGATATGTGGTGAGGGCTGAGGGCTGGTGCCAAAGGCTAGGACAGATTGAAAGGAGGCAGCCAGGTTGGGGAGGCTGGGAAAGAGCTCCAGTGAGAGATGAGGAGGGTTGAGGTTGTGTATGGGAGCATGTGAAAATCAGGATATGAGCTGGCTCTGCCACCTGCTGTCTGTAGGATTTGGGCAAGTTCCTCTCTCTAAGCCTCAATTTCCTTACCCAAAAAGTGGGAAGGTTGGCCTAAATCAGCGACTCTTGCCCTTGAAATAGGATTCTTATATGGATCATTCAGGAAGCTTTGGTCAAAAGGACACATGCTTGAATCCCGCTCTAGATCCCCATATTCTAAATGCAGGTCAGCCTTTTCCAAATGAAAAGGCTTCTCATATAATCCAATCCCACCATTTCTCTACCCTGTCAAAAGCCCCTAACCTGGATGGCCACTGGGACACTCTCTAGCTTGGCATTTATTGACTCTCAGGATCTCCAAGCAAGGGCAGACTCCTGCCCACCAGCCATGCTCAAAGCACCACACTTGCCCATTCCTGCTGGGACCGGCAGTCGGATCTGGCCTGTTAACAGCAAACACTCATGCGGAGGGGGCCTGCTGGGGAGGTTACCAGAAATGCCCCTTCCCCTTCTGATGAGGCTCAAAGGCAGTGAAACCTAATGGGACTGATCCTGGCCTTTGAGGTATTTAGGTCCCTCACCCACTCTGAGAACCACACTTGCAATCCTTCCATCTGAAACTTAGCAAGCACCTTGAACTGGGAATGTGTTGTGAACTCTGCACTGTGGTTCTTGAGCTGTTTGATGCTGTATCAAAAATATTCACCTTGCAACATCTCTGTGAGTATGCAAGGGGTCCCTGGGGTCAGGCATACGCCATATACAGCTTGGTGCCCAGGAGTACACCGGATGAAAGTGTCCTTTCATCTTCTCCCTCCTGGCCCCCACTCCCGTAGAGCAGGAAGAGCCCTTAGGAAGACCTGGGGTAGACCGGGTCATATTACAGATGAGTAGCCTGAGGCTGAGAAAGAAAAAGTGAACTGTCATGTGGGGACTTGGTAACAGGACCCTGGAGACAGCCTTCCTCTTAATTCCCAGGCCAGGCTCTTTGTCTTGTGATTTGCTGGCCATGTGCTGATATCTGGAGGGCTTGCTATGGACAGAGAGAAGGTGAGGATGCTGAAGTTCTGCAGGATTCCCACAGCCCACCTGGAGGCCAGGACACAGTGACTTTGCAGGGAGTGGTGGGGGGAAAGCCCCTACATTTTCACCCCACAGAGCAAAGATGCCAGGGGCAGGAAGTGGCACCACTGACTTCAAAATATGCCCACTAAAACCAACAAGGCCACCCATCATTGAGGTGACACACCCACAGGCTACTGGGAAAGTCCCCCAAGGAGTCCTTCCCTTTCTGGGGTGGCAGGTGGAACAGCCTGGGACACTCCATGGCTCACAGCCCATTTCCCAATGCATCGTAGGCCCACAGTCCTGGGATTCCATCTGTCCATGTCTCTCAGGACTGGCCCACTTCGTAAGAAGCCCCCGTCACCTGGTCTGGCCTCCTGGGCTCTGGAGTGAACTAAACTGACCACAGATCCCGCAGTAAGCTCAAACTGCTCAACCTCAGCAACTGAAGCTGAGCCTCAGACACACCATCCTGCACCTGGCCTCCTGGCCTTCTTCTCCATCCTCTGATGGCGTGCTATCCAGACATCCATATTTTAATCCAGGTTGCCACCCATTAGTACCTGGTCAATTCTGCTTATCACCCTAAACCTCTGAGTCATCATCTGTTAAACTGGGTTTACAATGCCTCTGTCTCAGGAATGTCGTAAGGACTAAATATGGAACTACATGCAAAGGCTTTCTAGCACAGAGCCTGGCTCAGAGGTTGTGATTTCTCTGTGTTCTGTGTTTCCTCCCTGCCTGCGTGGTTTGCCTGAGGCATCTTTATAAATGCTCTCAAGAGCTGATTCTAAGTGAGTCAGGTCCTATTTCTCAGCTGTGGCTGGCTAGTATTGCTTCCTTAGAAGAGTGTGAGTTTCAGGAACCAAGTTTACAAGGGAGCACCTGAAGTCAGGACTGCTGCCTGCCAGATGTAACTAGACCCTGCAGTCTGTGTTCCACCCACCCTGTGACCCTGACCAAGACAGGTGACATAATTTACATGGTTCAGTGCAAAACGAAAATGATGACTCTCTTCTTCAAAAACTAAGAATTTCAAGACAGCACAAGTTAAATGCCATGAAACCAGGCATTACTACTGCGTTACTCTCTGGAGTCACCTCTGCCCTGGCCTGCAAGGTAACTTTCCAGAATCCTACTGTTATGGTTTTATTGGCCTGTTAAAGTCCTTGACATAAAGATACATCCTAAATGAGTCAGAGAGATGCATTTCACTTCCCCCTAAAATAGCTCCAAGTGGCACATCAACCCTCAAGTCATACAGCACCCCCAGCTACTCTCCCCTGCTCCCCAGCGGAATCAAAGGCCAGAGCTGCTGTCAGCAAATCAGATCTAAGGTGGGGCAGAAGGGATTGTGGAGAAGGGACAGATGTGAAAAACATGAAGGCATTCATTCTGCTGATCTGGATTCCTTCTCGGCCACTGTTTCCAGCCAGAGCTAATCTCAACTAAAGACTCCTTGTACCACCCAGATATGGGATGATTCAGCAATGGGGTGTGTTGGGTGCCCAGCACAGTGTCTTGCATAATAAATAAGGGCCTCAATTAAAGGAATCTGTCACCAGTGTCCTCTGCAACCTCTTCTAGCCACCTTCAATGGATGGGTCCTCTGATATCCAGCTGTGACAAAGCAGGCAGATGGCTCTGAACACCCCACACCCCATCTCCTAGGCCCTCTTGTACATGGCCATAAACAGCACTGGGGAAAGAAAAAGGAAATAGGGAAGCTAGCTTTTGTACTGGCTCTCCCACCCTTGGCCTCTGTCTATATCAGTGTCCTCATCCATAAGAGGTGGATTTTAGTCTTTTTCTAGCTTAGGTGACCAGAGGTTGTGAGCCTCACAGAAGACAATGACTGGATGGAAGTGGTGTTTGGCTGAGCAGAAGGTTATCAACACTACCATCCTTCTACCATGACTGCCTCTCACTCACCTTCCTTCCCAGCCAAGAGATTGAAATAATTCATGCCACTCTCTCCAGTTTCTCACCTCTCACTTTCTCAACATGCTGCAAACTGGCCTCTGCCCCCTGCTACATCACCAAAACTGCAATGGCATCACCAGTCAACTGCCTGTTGCAAATCCAAGGCCCCCCTGGCTGTCATCTCGTCTGACCTCTCAGCACCCTTGATCTGTTGACCATTCCTTCCTGAAACGTCCCTTGCCATGGTTTTCATGGCCCTCCTGGTTTTCCTTCAACCTGTATGGCTGTTACTCTGAGACTGGTTAGGGGCTTCTCGTCCTCTGTCCACTCCTTAATCTTGATGTTCCCCTATCCCTCTGTAGCATTAAGATAGTTAATAGCTAATATTTACTAAATGCTTCCTGTGTGCTAGGTAGTTCTCTAAGCACTTCACATGCGTTAATGTGTCAAATCTTCTAAAGCCCTGGAAGTAGATGTTATCATTGTCCCCCACTTTGCAGATGAGAAAACTGAGGCCCAGGGTTGTCTGAGATTACTTAGCTAGTCATCAGGGAGGTGGTATTTAAACACAAGCTGTCTGCCTCCAGAGTTCTGAACCCGTCCTCCACACCGCCTCTCAGCAGACTTGTTCCTGAATGCTGTCCAAACATTTTAGCTTATCCTGCAAGCTTCCTTCTAATCTGGCCACAACCTACACCACCTATAACATCATATACAGAGGATGTCCCCTAGGCCGAATTTCACACCGTTCCACCTGACACACCTTGCTCTTTGCCTGTGCTCCTCCTCTCTCTCTGGGGAATAAACTTCTCTTTGTTTTATCAGCTAATGAGCTTCCACTCTTCTGACAACCCTTGTTCAAAATTGCCTCCTCTGTCACAGAGGCCTTCTCCACCTCTTCCCAACTCTCCCTCTTCTCTGAGTGCCAGGCACTTTGCTCTTCTCTCTGTGGTTATGCATATTGCCTTATAATGTAATTCATTCATTCCCATGCCTGCCATCTTGGCCAGACTCTGAGCTCCTTGCCTAACACAATGCATGGATGTAATAAGCATTGGCGAATGCTGAATGAACATGTAAATGAACGAATGAGCTGGCGCACATCTACATAGCACCTGAGACTTTCACCTGGCCTACTCCGTGTTTTAACAAACTGAGCCAAAAAACAAAACACAAAAACCCTAAGCCTTTACACCCATATCTATACAGGCTATCACATGCATGCAGCGACACATGCATGCACACATTCCCTCCTGAGCCCTCATTCACTTCCTGGCTCAGCTCCCTTAGGCTATCTTAGCCTTCGGGCCATTCTCCCCATCTGCACAGGCTTCCAGGCATCTGAAAATCCTGCCTTTCCTACAATGTGTCATCTCAATTCTGCAAGGACTGTTTTCCATTCTTCCATAATATCCATTGCATTTCATGGGGCCTAACAGTTACAATCTCACCACAAAGTCATGTACCATGTCAGACAAGACAGTCTCCAAGCAGAAATCAGTGGCTACCAGTTGTCATAACAGTCTTTTATATGTTCACAACGACTTGTGGCTTCCTTAGCCCCTTAGACCCATTTGTAACTTTGAGCCTTTCAACCAGATATGGAATAGTTAATATAAATCTACTTTATAAATAAGGAAATCGAGGCTCATACAGATTAATATATCTCTCTCACACACACACACCCCTCCACCCAAATGCCCTGGGCAAAGTATTGGGCTGAGTGTTTAATAGGTAGCTAGTGATGGTTCACTGTGTCTTCTCTTTCCCCAATGGGTCTAAAGTCTCCTATTGGAGAACCCGTCAGACTCCACATGATTCTGTTAATATATGGTCTTATCTCCCCAACCACAGCCCCTCAAGCCCGAAAGACTGCTTGTTCCACATTGAAGTAGGTCCATGCCAGGTGAACATGCGATGGGTCAAAGCCATGTAATAAGATAGGTCTCCTCCAAAGGCCTGCAAAGGAGCATTTCTTTTTAGCACCCACAAAAGTATTTCCCAGGGCAAGCCTCTGCCAATGTCTCCCCTGTGTAAACAAGTAAGCAGGTGAATGCATTCTGGCTTTACTAATTCAGGTACATAAACAGAAAGGCAAGATGAATTTAAGATTATTATTAAATAAATGTGGTTCTCTTACTTTCAACCATATATAATTCTTCTAACAGTATTATCGGGTTGAAGGTACTTAGAAGATATGCTTTAATGGAGGTTTTTATCAGGATTTGTAATTAGCCGAGCAATTGTGAGCACTTTAAAGTACTTGGAAGCAGATTAAACCCATTAAAGAGAATCAACCACTCAAAAACACAAAAGCAGTATCCATTTACATGCCGGCAATTGCTGTGCCAATTGGAAATGCATATGCTCAAGCAGCTACTGTAAATCTTACTCCTGATGCAGTATTTGACATCCCTCCCAGCAAGAAACACTCATTCATTAAGTAAACAAATATTTAAAGGATGCCTACTCCGTACTGGGCACTGTTCTATGGGCTGGTAACTGAAACACACAAGACACTTGTTTTTGTAGAGCTGACACCTTGCGAGAAAGGCATCGTTTTCATGCAAGCTAGTATGTGAACAAGATAATTTCAAACAGGATAAGTTGATGAAGGAAACATAACAAAAGGATATAACTAGAGAAAGGATTACAGAGTTTGCATTTGAGCTGAGACCTGAATGACAAGAAGATGTGAAAAATGAAGAGGCTGAATATTCCAGGCAGAGAGAATTGCAAACATGAGGCCTAATTCATCTTTGCTTGTGCTACCTTCTGAATAAGACAAAGATTTAGGTAAAGGTAGTTGACTGAGGAGGTGCAGGGAAAATTAGTAAGAGAGTAGGGGAGCAAAACAGGGAAGGGACACACTTAGTAAAGGCTGTCTTATCAAGTCAGCCCCATTGAGGTTGAAGTCTGAGAGGAAGGCCAGGGACCAACTCACGTAAAGCCTGGTAGGCCATGAAGTATTAGAAAGTCAGTCTGTGCTGGGCATGGTGGCTCACGCCTGTAATTCCAACACTTTGGGAGGCCGAGGCAGGTGGATGGCTTGAGGTCAGGAGTTCAAGACGAGCTGGCCAACATGGCAAAACCCTGTCTCTACTAAAAATACAAAAATTAGCTAGACATGGTGGCGTACGCCTGTAGTCCCAGCTATTCTGGAGACTGAGGCAGGAGAATCACTTGAAACCAGGAGGCGGAAGTTTCAGTGAGCAGAGATGGCACCACTGCACTCCAATCTTGTTGACGACAGAGCAAGACTCCGCCTCAAAAATAAAAAAAAAAAAAAGAAAGAAAAACGAAAGTCAGTTTTTGTGTATTAGAAAGCCAATTATGAAATGCAGCCAGGGATAGGAACTGACTTCTATTTTTTAGTAAGACTTCTCTCTCAGCTGTATGGAGAACAGATTTTCAGGACAATAAGAACCAGTCAAGAGGCAATAGCAAGAAGCCAGGCAAGGGAGGGCAATGGCTCCGGCTGGCCCGGGGACAGCGCAAAGTGGATGGATCCAGGTATGTCATAAAGGTAGAGCAGGACTGACTGGTGAGTTAGATGTGAGGGACCAGGGGAAAGAAGGATGCAGCTTTGGCTCAGGTGTGCCAGTACAGAGTAAGAGGAAGACAAGAGAAACAAGTTTCATCTCGCCAGTCTCCAGGATGGGCTCTGCCACTCTCATTGATTGTGTAATCGGGCCAGCCACTCTCCCAAACTGGGCTTCAGTGTTCTCATTTGGAAAATAAGAGAGAAGAACTAATCAACTTCTTAGGACCCTTTCAACGTTAATATGCTATACTTCTAAAAAAAAATCAGCCTTTGAAGTTTTAGTTATTTTTAATAAATCCATAAACCCATGTAAACCACCACTCAAAATAAAAGCAAGGATCTTGACAATAAGATACATCCACCATATTTTCCCTCTATACTGCTTTCCCTGACTCCCCCAACCTAAGGAAACCAAGACCTCAATCTCCCTTACTTTCTCTTTTCCATATATTTGACCAATGTGTGATGTGTGTTTCTAAAATGTATATATATATTTTTTACCTTAGTTATTTTTACTTTATAAAAAGGGTATCATACTGTTTATTTATCACACTGTTTATAGGGACTTATTTGTTGAATAGTATTTTGTTAATATCTAGGACATTATCATTATCATGTATCATTATCGCTGCAGTTCATTTGTTTTAAATGCCATATTATATTCCATTGGATAAACATTCTATTGTTTATATAGTCACTCTCTTTTGATGGGCATTTGAGTCTTTTCCAGAATTTTGTCATTGTAAACAGTTCTGAACATTCTGACACACGAACATTCTTATATATGCAAGACTTCCATTAGGTATATATGAAAAGCAGAATTTCTGGGTCAGAATATTCACTGTCATGAGAAAGTTATATCTATCAGCTCTAAGTGTCCCCTCCTCTGTGAAATATCTATTCCTAGTTTTTCCCATTTTTCTTTTGGGTGTTTGTATTTTTCTCATCAACCTCTTTGGCCTGCTTCCTGCCTGTAGAATACTATCGCTCAAGATCCTTTCATGTCCTTAAAAATCAGTCTTATTTAACCTAGGCTGGCAGCACTTTCAGCAATGTAACTCTCTCGAAAACCCTTTTCGAAATGTCAGTAGCCAAATCCACAATTCATTTTGAGACATGTCTTGCTCTCCCTCTATATGTAGTTTCAAGTACTCTGACATCATCAGGCTTTAGGAGACCTTTCCATGAGACATTCTGTCTAATGGACAGGATTCCCTGGGAGTGCCGTATTCTTATCAGAAGTCTTAACAAAGGCAGTGACAGTTGTGCCCTGGATTTGGTCTTGGTCTCCAGGCTAAGTGTTCATAGCCATGCCTTTGTTTTGTTTTGTGCCTTAAAGCTATGTATTATTTTGAGAATTTTTTTAACCACAGAGGTTGGAAGTGAGAGATTATTGCATCTTTCAACACTCTTAGCCCTAGCATTTCTAGACTTTCTATATTCCCTTTCAGTTCCACTTGCAAATGAGCCTGCCCTTTGCTGACATCATTTCTTTCTTGTAGTACCTCATGAAATGTAGCTAGTAAAAGCTAACTCACACTAACCAATTCTGTCTCAAAACCTCTTCTCCCAAAGCTATAAATTCAGTAGGTTTATTTTCTGCCCTCCGAGTTATCATATGTGACAGTTTTACCAAATGTTTCACTACAGCATTCCATAGGTTGCCATTTCTCTAGCCCCTATAATAATTTCTCTGCTGTCTGCCACCCAGCTGCAAAGCCAAATCTGTACATCTTATCCTTTGGTTAGAGCAATTTCTCTCTTCTAGGTATTAATTTCTGTATCGGCCAGCTTTTGCTGCAGCAACAAGCAACCCCAAAATATCTGTGGCTGATAACAAGAAACATTTCTCTTTTTTGCTCTTAAGTCTGCGGGCCAACTGCAGCCCTTCATTAAGCTGTGGGTCATGTCAGTCTTTGTCACAAGTCTTCCCAATTCCAGGGTCCAGCTAAAGGAACAGCTCTTGCTCAGGACAGGACATTCTACTGGCAGAGGGTCCAAGAGAAAGAGGATTATCAGAAACTTGCAATGCTTTCAAAGCTTCTGCTGGGATCTGGCATGTCATATCTGCTAACATTCTTTTTTTTTTTTCTGAGACAGTCTCACTGTGTCACCCAGGCTGGAGTGCAGTGGCGCGATCTCAGCTCACTGCAAGCTCCACCTCCCGGGTTCACACCATTCTCCTGCCTCAGCCTCCTGAGTAACTGGGACTACAGGCACCCGCCACAACACCCGGCTAATTTTTTGTATTTTTAGTAGAGACAGGTTTTCACCGTGTTAGCCAGGATGGTCTCGATCTCCTGACCTCATGATCCGCCCGCCTCGGCCTCCCAAAGTGCTGGGATTACAGGCCTGAGCCACCGTGCCTGGCCCATATCTGCTAACAGTCTATTGGCTCAAGGGAGGTACATGGCCAACCTCAAAGTCAACGGTGTGAAGAAATACATTCTAAACCCTTTTAAATGAGAATAGAGCCTCCTGCAGATTTGAAGGAGCTCTTGATATGTTCTTATATTAATCCTTTTGGTATGTGTATTGCAACATAATCTCCCATTTGTAACTTGTTTTTAAGTTGTCTCCTTAAAAAGTATGTTAATATTTTTATTGAAAAGATGTATAGGTTTAACAAATTGTAGTAGCTCCACTATCCAGACAACCATTTTCATTTTTATTGACCTTCTAGTCCCTGTACACATTAAACAAACTCCACCCCAGAGTTACATACTATAATGAGTAACTCAATGCAATTATCAATTTCTACAACATGCAATGCTACCCTAAGAACTGCCGCAAATTTTAAGTCCAGAAGATAAAGAAACAGAAACTTAGCAAAAGATAAATATTTACAAATACAGTGTAGAAAACTGCAAAATATTTCAACAGTTTTAAAAAATGCTTTCTTTCAGGCAGACTCCAGGGACAACAGTGAGCAGGGAACCGCGGACAGTCTCCAGATCTCAGAAAGAGGAACTTGAGCAAAAACGAAACAGAAAAAAAAAAAAACAAGAAAAACTATTCTTTCGAAACCTTCCAGCCACCTCAAAGTGAGACCCGTAAGCAAACAGGTATACTTCAGAAGTCTCTAATTCTCATTAGTTGACTTTCAGTAATCGATGTTGGCCCCATGCAGATGTTTTAAATCACTAACACAAACATTGCTGTCTTTGGTATTCTTGCAGTGTTTTCATTTATGAGAAAACCTGCAGAAGAAACTGCTTGAACCAAAGCAAAGTAGCAAGGAAACAGGTTACTATATAATCAGAAGGCCCTAAGAAAGGTAGCAGCAGGTCATATAATTACCTCCTTGTGGATAAAATCCCTGTCCTCAAACTACGCAACCTACTACCTGTACTTCTTCCTTAGGAACCAATTTTTTCTTGCCAGTCTTCTACTTGGCAGATGCCCTTTAAAGAAACCTGTGAAATTAAGCCACCTTTTTTGATTTTTTTTTCCAAATTCAAACCAGTTAGAATTGTTTCACAGATGCTTTTAAAAAGTTATTGGCCATATGATGTTCATCAAAACCACAAATGCATTTGCTTAAAACCAAACTTCAAATAAGTTAGGAAGGGGCGAAAGTAATTCAATTACATTAGAAGATGCAAACCAGTAGTCTAAGCCTCAGCCCACCATATATTGTTGGAGCACATATTTTATTGAAAGCGTTTAATCTTCAAAATTCAAACATCAAATCTCATAAAATCTCCGGCCTTCCTTGATCAATTAGAAAAGTAGATGACACAATGTAACTCCTGCTTGCTGCCTATCACCTGGAGCAAATTAACACCCTGCCTGTCCCCTTTAGATGCCATGCGTTTTCTAGTCATAGTCAGCTCCTCCTGGGACTCTGAAGGTATTTCAGCTTTTCAGTTTTTGACCCCTGAATTATAGTAAATGGAAGCAAATTCTGATCATGATTTTTGTCAACATTAAAAACAAGCTTTTTGAAACTGTCACTCTCTCCGCAATGGTACTTTTAAGTATTTTTACAAAATGTACCCATTCTCCATAATTTGGTCCACTTACTCCGCCTGGCTATTAAGGCTGTAAAATGGACCCTTATGTAATTAATGAAACATGTAAATTCATTTTTCTCCAGGCCTTACTTAGTTAATTAGTTAGAAAAAGATAAGTTTCCAACTGCAGAGTAGTAGTAATATCTACAGTGGAGACACATGTCAGAAAACCACAAAATTCCTGTGAATGAAAGAATGACTGTACTTGCCTCATGTTCTGCAGGCAAGTTATGCATGTTGTCAGTTTAACTAAGATTATGCCAAAGAGAATTTCGTGAACATTCTCACTTTTCTTTGGCATACACCGAAAGGCAACAAATGTAAGTTTGTTTTTTTTTTCCCCAATGTTTACGCAATTTGGAACAAAGACCAATTATCAATGTAGGTGCCCTACCATACGTCTGGGAATACATAAAAAGCACAAATGTGGTCCAGGATACATCACTTTTTTTGGGCCCACCCAAGGGAGAGTTTGATGTTTCCTCTTACGTAAAGTTACTGTTGTCAATGGCACTGCACTAGATATTAACATTCAAGATAAATGAAAATATTTGTGAGGTGGTAACCTTTTCCTCACCTTCACACTTTGCCCCTTTTCCCTCTTGTCCCAAAATAAAATAAACAGCAAACACTTAAAACAGGGAGCTTTTAGCCTTGCTTGGCTATAAGGCACAAGGTAGAATATGGTTTGGCTATTGGAAGAAAGCTGAAACATGGACCTTTCACAGGTATTAAAATTCAAGGTAACCTTTTTAGCATTTTGCTTCTATTTTATTTAAAGCAACAAATTATAGATGTCTCATCTGACATTTTCAAGTAATTCCCCCTTTGTGAATAAAGGACCACTTCAAGTTTAGGGAGCAAAGTTCAGAGCTTAGCGACTTACCAGGGAGCAAGGGTAGAGCGCAGAGCCCATGTCTCCTTTTCCAGGCTGGTGGCGAAACTGCCTAAATCAGCACAGCAATGCGGCAGTGCTCACAGCATTCTCCAATGCCATCCAAAACCAAACTGGGAATGAATCATAACAGACATGACTTTCTTTCAGCTTAGAGAGTGCTCTTCAATTTGTATTTACCTTTACCCCTCAGAACCTCACCTTGGACACAGATATCAGGATGTAAGGCAGTGAACCCACTGACAATTCCAAAGGGACCTAGTCCCCTATTAAGATTTCTCGAGGAGTCCTTACTTTCTCCACTCTTTGAGATTGTTGCTTAATTTCAAATTTCTGAAATATACCATATGTGAAAATTGTAAATGTTAAATCACTGCATCTATTGTACTACAGTTGAACAGAGAAAATTAACAACTGATAAACTGTAAATACAAAAGAATGTCAAAATTTATTACTCTGAGTTTTAATATCATCTAGATAAAAACAAACAAAATAATGTAGCAAGCCTACTCCTCAGTCAAGTTGTCGTTTTATGAAAGAAAAATCAATTTTAATACACATGTATCAATCTCTTATTTTATAGTCAAAACTCCTCTGTCTTAAGACACAAGGTTAAATTGTCACCCTTAGCAAACTAACACAGGAACAGAAAACCAAACACCGCATGTTCTCACTCATAAGTGGGAGTTGAACAATGAGAACACATGGACACGGGGAGGGGAACATCACACACAGGGGTCGGGGGAAAGGGGAGGAAGAGAGCATTAGGACAAATATCTAATGCATGCGGGGATTAAAACCTAGATGATGGATTGATAGGGGCAGCAAACCACCATGGCACATGTATACCTATGTAACAAACCTGCACATTCTGCACAAGTATCTCAGAACTTAAAGTATAAATAAATAAATAAATAAATAAATAAACACATATATATATTTAAAAGTTTTAAAACTAAAAAAAACCCCTATTCTCCAATATTTAAAAAATATTTCTATTAATATTTTCTATTAAAAATTTTAAAGACTTTTTAAACATTTAACCATGTGGAGTTGATTTTTATATATCATGTAATGTAAGGATCCAATTTAATTTATTTGATAGGGATTACCATTTTTCCAGGCCTAATTTTTGAATGGTCTCTCCTTTCCCCATTAATCTGACACACAAACCATATCATATAACATAGCTTTATACATACGTGCTTTTGTTCCTGGACTTTTGTATATCATTTTATTGGTCAGCTTGTGTATCGCTGCATTGACGTACAACTCATAACAAGTTGTGGTATCTGGTAACGTAAATCCCCTCTGGGATTTTTTTTGTTTTAACTGGAAGTGTCTGTCTATTTTTACCCTTTTGTTCTTTTTTTTTGAGACGGAGTTTTGCTCTTATTCCCCAAGCTGGAGTGCAGTGGTGCGATCTTGGCTCACTGCAACCTCTGCCTTCCGGTTTCAAGCGATTCTCCTGCCTCGGCCTCCCAAGTAGCCAGGGTTACAGGCGCCTGCAACCATGCCTAATTTTTGTATTTTTAGTAGAGGTTTCACCATGTTGGCCAGGCTGGTCTCGAACTCATGACCTCGTGATCTGCCCGCCTCTACCTCCCAAAGTACTGGGATTACAGGCATGAGCCACCACACCTGGCCCCTTTTATTCTTCTTTAAAATTTTTTTAGCCATTTCATCAAGTTCCAGGAAACACTCTGTTGGGCACCAAGCTATGCTGTTACTATATACTGGCTTATTGAACCCCAACAGTTACCCAGTGAAGGTCAATATTATTCTCCCCATACTATAGATGAGGTGCACAGAATAGACTGGCTCCACAGCTTCAAAGTAGAAGCTCCAAGATTCAAACCCAGGCATGTCTGACTTGAGAGCCCCTGTCATGCCCACATCACACAGTTTGGGTTGGCATGTGCCCAGCTAGGAGATGCTGAGTCAATCCTGCCCTCTGGGACCCACAGAAAGGGGAGGTTGTCAAAGGTCTCATGGAACAGCTGGTGTTTCCTGTCATTGTTCTGCATGCCTCCCTGTCCCCAGTTCAGCCATGCAGCGCCGGGGGTGGGAGTGGGACGCCTGAGCCCACAGAACCTGGTAGGTCTGCAGAGTCACTAGCGGTGTATGTCTGTCACTTTGCTGAGGATTCCTAGCGACAGCAGAAACCATGCAGGCTGCGTTTGAGGCAGCTCATTTTCGCTAATTAAGGAAAACAACAGCAAACAGAAGCCTGACATCTGGAGGTGATTCATAGTCTAAGAAAAGGGCAGTTAGTTGGTCTCCACAGTAGAGGAGTCTCTCTCTCTTTCTCTTTCTCTCTCTCTCTCTCTATCTCTGTCTCTCTCTTTCCTCCTCACCCCCTGCACCTTAGGACTGGGGAGATGAGTACATGTGAGTACCTACAGTTCTTGAAAGAGAAGAATATCATCTTATTACTCCCCTTACATACAATGAAACAAAGATGGTTAAATAACTGGCCAAGTGATTCCATTTCTCTATCCCCTTGGTAGAGGATGTCATATTAAGGCAGCTCATTTGCAAAGTTGTCATGAGCAATGAGAGCTTGTAGTTAGAGCAGTGGCTCTCAGTACTGTGCCAGCAGCTTCCGCATTAGCTGGGAACTTGTTAGAAAGGCCAATTCTTGGGCCCTACTGAGCCTTAAAGTTTTGGGATGAGGCCCAGTAATCTCTTTAACAAGTCCTCCACCCCGAGTGATTCTGATGCTTCTCACATTTGAGAGCCACTGATAGAGGGGATCTTCCACAGCACCTGACAGAGCGAATTCTCAATCAATGGTAACTATTTGGGCCAGAGCTCAAAATGCTCATTCATGAAAAGCCAAAGTCTCAGCCTCTGGCTCTGCTGACTCCAGACAACTGTTTCCATCAAGTGTCGTCTTAATTCCTAGGAGTAAGACCTCTTTCTGGGAAGATTTGTCCCAAGGTCAGACATCGGTGTATTGGTAGAGATTACCTGGAGATATTCCACTTTAGGGCATGAAAGAATAACAACAGGGCTGAGGTTCAGGCATGTGAAACACTGTGGTTCCTGTGTAATCTTATTTAAGACCCTTGGAGGTTGAGTCTGGGACTCTCACCAAGTCAAATGTGCATGTGACATTATTATATATGCACACACCTATACATACAGCTTCTCATTCATACATAGGGGTTGTTAAGTCTCCATTATCCACAAGTAGGTTAGATCTCTACTGAAGTTAACAGGTTGGTTTAGGTTTGACTTAACTTTTATTTGACAGATAGCCTTTGGAATTGAAAATCATTGTGATAAAACATTAGAGTACATGCAAAAAGATTAATAGTCCTATCAATTTCAAAGAACTACTTGTTTCTCACTTTCCATTATTTATCTTTTTCTACATAAATCTTCATATCATCTCAATCATCATGAATGCCAAATTTTGTGTCTTCTTTTTTCACTGAATATCATAAACATTTTCTGTGATGCCCCTTAGTTTTCATAACTGCCATTGTGATGACAGAAAAATATTTCATCAAGCTGAAGTTACACGTCTCAATATATAGATATTTAGCTGGTTATTTAGGTTTTTGATATGTAGATATTTATTATAGATATTTAGCTTGTTATTTATAAATAACACTTCTGTGACTACTTTTCTGCAAGTCCCATTTTCTACTTACAATAGTTTTCTTTAGATTAGCTTCCTAGAAGTGGAATTACAGGAAGAGAGGGCATGACACAACTCTGACTACAGGAACATACAGAAAAAAAACATTAGTTAACTCTGTTGGTAGCAGTATTAATACACCTGATTTACAAAATGTAGTCTTTATCCCTGAGTGGTATTATTTCTCCCCCTTTTTGACAATTAAATGAGAATGCAATTGTATCCTAAGTTATTGGTTTAATTTTTCCTTTTGTAAATCCCAGCTCTTCTTTTTTCCTAAAGACACAGCTGTTCAAATTGGGTTTCAAAGAAAATTTATTTCAATTAGTTTGTACCTATCTTCACATGCATGTGTTTCTGGATACATGTGTGTGTCTGGGTATATGACCATCTCTCCGCATGTGTACCTATATCCATGTGTATGGAAGAACACATATGTTGTAGACTGTATTTGCCTGAGGTTCCACTGCAGATGCTGTTTCTGAGCATGCATTGGTTGGAATATGTTTACGTGTATGTGCAAATATCTACATCTAAGTGAGACTGTGGATACAATACAACTAATGAAATCAAACACAGACTACTTGTGGCTTAACACGGTTCTTCCGACTGCACTTTCTTGTTGACTGTCACCTTCTTGCATAGCTCCACTAACATAGGGTAAAAACTAATGAATTCCAAGTAACAGTGAAGCATCCAGCGGAATTGAAGTCATTTGATCAGCAAAAGCAGACAGATCACTACAAGGAGGAAACTGGCTTCCTTCTTTCCTTCCTTCCTACCTTCCTTCCTTCCTTTTTTTTCCCTTTTTTCCTTATTTCTTTCTTTTGTGAGACAGGGTCTCTCTCTGCCCAGGCTGGAGTGCATTGGCACAATCACAGCTCACTGCAGCCTTGACCTCCTGGACTCAAGCAATCCTCCCACCTCAGCCTGTCGAGTAGCTGAGACCACAGGTATGCCACCATGACCAAGTAATTAAAAAACTTTTGTGGTCTCACTATATTGCCAGACTAGTCTCAAATTCCTGGGCTTAAGCGATCCTCCCGCTTCGGTCTCTCTGAATGTTGAGATTATGGTCACGAGCCACTACACCCAGTCCTGGCTCTTCTTTTCATGCAGAGAATAGATATGTCCTCAGTGGACTTGGTATCCAAAAACCACTTGTCAGGTTAATGACACTGGGCAAGCCACTTTACATTTCCCCAAACCCCAGTCCTGACCCTGTGTTCTCTGAGTCTAAACTAGTGGTCAGAAGGAAGGATGCTCATGAAAGCTAAATAAGATAGTGCCCATGCCCACAGCTCCTTGTCCGCAGAAGGTGCTCAGAAGCCACGGCCTCCTATAGGAAAGGGAGCCTTTCTTAAGTCCCTGAAAGAGACAATGAAGGCTCATAATCTTAAGGGTTGCCAAAAGTCTTTGCAAAATTCTGCCTTGACCAGCGCTAAAGCCTCACACACCATTGCTGAGTACGTGCAGTGTGAGGGTAGACCAAACTCTCTATGCCATGGGGACCTTGGGGAGCTAGTCAAAAAGTCCACATGGGAAGTGGGAGGGAGTTAGAAATCACTGGGACAAATCTGTACACTCAAGCTTTTAAAAATCCAACAGAACTGCTCTCCTCCTTACACCTTTATCCAAACAACTTTTTCAGGGAACCCCAAACTATGACACAGACAAGGGGCAGGGACTGAGGATGGGTGGGCTGCCTACTCACCCCCTCCCTGTCCTCTGACAGGGGCTTCTAGGGCAATGCCACACTCTGAAAGCCCCCTAGCTGAAAGCCATGCAACTAGATGGCCCCTGAGTCTCTTTCAGCATTGCCAGCCATTTGAAGGAAAGCATTCTAAGTCATGGTCTCCAAGCAGTAGCAACAAGGCCAACTAACACTTATTCAGCGTTTTCTACATCCCGGGTTCCACGCTTCACTTTTTAGATCCTTTCTCTCACTTTATCCTCGTGTATTCCCCAGGAGGAAGACCCTGATAGTATTTTGACAGCACCGCGGCTGCTGTCCTTTTTCCATCATGGCCCTAGTTACCCAGCCCTGCTAATGCCTGTCTCAGGGCTACCTCCCCCACTAACGAGGAGCCCTTGGAAACAGAGCGCTGGTGCACTGATGAGCCTCTGTGCAGCTTTGCCTGTGGAATGAACACCCCAACCTAGACCTCCAAGGAGCTGAACAACCCTCCCTAGCACTGCTGGGCTCCAGGCATTTGCAAAGGGCCCTCAGTTCTGAGAACCCCTCAGGCCTCTGAAGACTCATTCTTCCTCCCTCCCACATATGGTAGCCCTTCTCCATCTCTGGGAAATCCCAGGGCAGCACCTATTGGGTGCAAAGTGGGTGTTCAGTGGACAAATTTCTTCCCCCGCCAAAACTGCATGGGGGAAGGGACATTCAAACTCTCTTAACTGTAAGGACTCCCCTATCTGTCCCTCCCTCTGCTTTAGAACTTAATATCACATAGGAGGGTTTGCTTAAGAGCCTGGGCACTGGAGTCAGCTGGACATAAATACAAACTTGCTGATGATGTGATTTGGAGCAAATTCTTTAACCTCTCTGAACCTCTAAGAGAAAACAGTTACTAACTCATTATGACCACATAGTGACGTGAGAGTCAAATAAGATAATGCACGGAAAGTGCTTCGAACAGTGTCTGGCTCACAGTAAATGCTCAGAGAGAGCTTGGAAAGAAATCCTGCCCTGCCTCAGAGGCTCAGAGCAGCAAGCAAGAAAGAGCCAGGTGGTCAGAGTGGAACAGGGAGCAGCTAAACTTGATGGGAGACAGGAGCAGGAAGACTGCCCAATTCATGAGAAGCCCAATGCCCAGTCAGTGGGAGCAGGGGAGGGGACAGTGACTCACCACAGTGACTTACTCAAATAATCTGCCCCACCACCACCACCACCGGCAGACAAAAAAGGAAAATCTACCCAAATATTATTAGCCACAGGAAGCAGCAGAGTTTAGGCAGAAAGGCCTTTTGGTGGTAGAAACACATGGACAATGTGCTAGCAAAGCAGAAAAAGAGTGCCAGGCAGGCAGGAAGGAGAGAAGAGATTAAAAGTCAGGCTGGCTGCAGAACAGAGAGGAAGTCATTGGTAACAGCTTCTCCAGGCCCCACAGCTCCAGAGAGCAAGGTCAAGGAAGCTAAAAAGATGAAGCCCCTAGGGACCCAGGAAGGTGCCTGCTTCACTCCAGCAAAATGTCCCCTTTCCTTTAATCCAAGATCTTTTTCCCATGGTCTGAGGCGTGGAAAGAGAAGAGGGACATTTAGCTGGACTAAGCCCCTACTCTGTGCCCAGGACCAGGCTGCAATAAGCTTTACCTCCTGCTATCTCTCTTGCCTCCAAGAACCCAACAGTGCAGGGGGTAGCACCCCCCAGGCACAGCTGAGAAGCCTGTCGCTAGATACAGGCCAGAGTGGGGATTTAAACACAGACTAATGGCATGCTTAGCTCCACGCTTTTCCTTTCAGGCAGGTAAAGCATCATGCTGCGGCACTGGGGTTGCCAGTAGCCACTTCCATCAATTATGTGTGACCTTGGGCAACCAACTCGTCTCTTTGGGGCTCAGTTTCCATGGCTATAAACCATCACCTACAGCATATGGTGTTGAGAGGATTGAAGGAGCTAGAGCTGAGCCTGGCTCAGAGCTGGCACTCAGTTTGTGCCACCTGTGGAGCTTGTATTCATCTCAAGAAAAGCCATGCCTCAGGAGAACAGAAGAAAACATGCCGTTCCCAGCCCACATTGGTGGTAGTGGAGAGGGCACTGGGCTTGGAGTTCAGAGACCTGAATGGGAGCCCAGGTCAACACCTTCCTAGGGCTGTGATCTTGGATGAGTCACTAGACTCCTCCAAACCTCAGTGTCCTCATCTCTGCAGTGAAGATAATGGCTGGGAATAATACCGGTATTCCTAAAGCTTTGGAAGGCTGAGGCAGCAGGATTGCTTGAGGCCAAGAGTTTGAGATCAGCCTGGGCAACAAGCAAGACTCTATCTCTACAAAAAAATTTAAAAATTAGCTGAGTGTAGTGGCACATGCCTGTAGTCCTAGCTACTCAGGAGACTGAGGCAGGAGAATCACTTGAGCCCGAGAATTCAAGGCTGGAGTGAGCTAGAATCACACCATTGCACTGAAGCCTGGTATCACAGCAAGATCCTGTCTCAAAATAAAATAAAATAAAATAAAATAAGGACGGGCCGGGCTCATGCCTGTAATCCCGGCACTTTGGGAGACCAAAGCGGAGGCATCAGTTGAGGCCAGGAGTTTGAGACCAGCCTGGCCAACATGGAGAAACCCTGTCTCTACAAAAAATACAAAAATTAGCCAGGCGTGGTGCACACCTGTAATCCCAGCTACTCGGGAGCCTGCGGTACGAGAATCGCTTGAACCCAAGAGGCAGAGGTTGCAGTGAGTCAAGATTGCACCACTACACTCCAGCCTGGGCAAGAGGGAGACTCCATCTCACAAATAAATACATAAATAAAATAAAACAAAATAAGGATAATGACTCTCCTGACTGCACAGGATCATGGTGGAGGGACATCGTGGAGATGACAGCACCTAGCAGGGATCGGGGGGAGCAGAGACCAGGAGGCACGGACTGGCCTTTCCCCGTGGTGGCAGGGACTGATCCACTGGTGGCCAGTGACAGGGAGAGGGGAAGGAGCATGGGAGAAGATGCAGATACCCAGAAAGATCCAAACCTCTACCGCAAAGTCAAGGTAGACATTTCCCCAGCCCCGGGGAGTGAGCCTGATATGCATGGAGCAAAGGTAAATGGGGAGGCTATCAGGCTGGGGTCTCTGTCCTTTTCTTTGTCACCCTCTGCTCAAGGCAGCCACTAGGGAGCTGACTGGCCACAGGGACTTTCTTGCCATGTAATCCTGGGGAAAGCTGCTCACCCACTTTGTTCCTTCTCTTTTTGTTGTCCACACTAGGAGACAGTGATTCTCGCCAAGCTCCTGTGTGGGCAGGATGAGAACGAGGAGGAATAAACCACTCAGAAGGAAAGAGATGGAAGATCACATAAATAACCACCCAGTGGGGCATTCAACAGTATCTCCCTGGCTGAGGGGTGGGGGTAAGGGCACATCACAGGAAGGTGTGACAGAGGAGGACCAAACCACAGAGACGAAAATTAGCAACAAGGCTGGGAAGGGAAACCCTTGTGGGTAAAACTTTGCCTCCACCTCAGCAGCATACATGGGGAGGCAGAGCTGCTGTAGGGCAAAGTGGGTGTGGGTGGCGGTTCCTCAGCCCCCTGCTCTCTCCCAGCTTCCATCTGGTCTGCGTGAAACCAGAATGGAATTGGAGGGCATGAAAGATTTGGGATAATAGACCATTTGTGTCTTTCCTAGCTGTATGGCTATAAGCAAGACCTCACCTTCTTGAGCTTTCATTTTCTCATCTCTGAGATGGAAAGGTGATATCTACCTTACTGAGTAGTTGGGAGGAGAAAATACAGCTGTAAGAATAGTAACTACTGTTACATGCTGGGGTGCATGCAATTTCATTAAACTTTCACGACAACTCTATCCAATGAATGTTTTCATATCCATTTACAGAGAAGGAGACAGACTCAGAGAAGTTAAGTGATTTTCCTATGACAAACAGCTGATAAACAGCAGGATTAATGTCAGGCCCAAGGGTTGTCAGACTTCATCCACACGTTGGAGCCTGACATAACGTAACTGATAAATAATGATTCATTCACCCCTCCAAAATCCCTTCCCTGGTTCCTACTCCATTCCCAGTGGCTGCCTGTGGCTGGGCTCACTCCTCGGTCTTGGTCCAGGACTGTGGTTTCTGTGCAGGCTGCCAGTGAAGAAGTCTAGGCCTGTGATCCACTTACTCCTGATATCACCTCTCCCTGGAAGTGGCTCCTCAATTTGACCCCACACGCTGATGACAAATACTTAGGGAGGTGATCTAGCAGGAGGAGGTCTAGTGATACAGGATGCATTCATATCTATGATCTTGAGCCCAGGCTGCCTTCATGTAGCTTCTTTTGTCTGCTGCTGTACAGAGGTGGGAGATCATGAACCCAAAAAGGAGACAGTTGAAGGTGTGGAACCCAATGCTGCATCAGGAGAGTTCATTGCAAAGATCACTCGTGACCTAATCCTCCCCTGAAGAAAACAAGCAGCCACTGGTCTTTACCCTTGAAGTCTCTCTGCTTTCCCTGACAGGATATTGCAAGAATGCTTTGGGATGGAGGGACGAAGGGTGATGGGCTTTCACCAAGCCCCTGCTGTCTGCCAGGGGTTACAATAGGAACTTGACGTGAGTCTCTTCATTGAGGTGCCTCAGCAGTCCTGAAGGACAGGCATGGTATATTCTTAAAAGAAAGCACTCAGGCTCAAGGAAGTTTGTCAAAGTGCCAAAAGCCACCTAGCTGGTAAGGGTCATCAAGGCCCGTCTGACTTCATGTCCACGCTCTTTCCTTTCCACCAGGGCCCCAGTGGATCCGCCTGGTTACCATGGGAGACCAGTGCTTCAGACCAGCCATGCCAAGGTAGGTGGACCTTGCTTGGTGATGTTCTTCATTGTAGACCTTCCTGCAGATTTCAGTCTCCTTTTCATCTTGAGCCCCAACATGACTGTATCCACAGATCACCTATCTGACATGTTTCCTGAGCACTCACTCATTACGCCCAAGGCCCTGTTCTAGAAGCTGGGCAAGGTTATAACATGAAGACTGAGAATCTGTCTTCAGAGAATTTAGCAGAGAAGAAAGATCTAAGGAAAATGGGACCATAGTGCCAGGGGGGTACGAGTGAAATGCCTTGAGCAATTGAGGGGACAGACAGATCACCACCTCTCTGGTGGGAAGGGAATAGCCAAAGAGGTACAGGTCAAGCCAAGCATCTGATTGATAGCTTAGTGTTCAGAGTTGGAAGGGATCTCAAAGGTTTTCTGACCCAAACCTCTCATTTTCTACATGAGAAAACGGAGGCCCAGAGGGGAGGGTCATTTGCATAAAGCCACATGACATATGGTCAGCATCAAAGCCAGGTGAGGACCAGGTTCCCTGACTCAGCACTACCTTTGTTCCTCATATGCCCCCAAGCAAGGCTGACAGGTAATCTAGCAAGTGGAGCCCGGTGCAAATCCACTGCCATAACTGTAAGAACTCAGCATGCTTAACATGCCAGCCTTCTGTATCAACTAAAATTGGATTCAGCTGCACAAAGAAACCCAAAACAATCCTAGCTTAAGCATGAGAGGAGTTTTTAATCTCTCAGATAAAAGTCCACAGGCCTGAGGTCCAGGCTGGTTCTGCAAAGTTGTTAAGGACCAGGCTCCTTCTAGCAGCTTCTCTCTGCCCCAGTGTATGGCCCCCATCCAACAACCCAAGCTGAGGGCACCTGCACTCCAGGCAGCAGGGGCAAGATGAGGAAGAGGGGCGATGGGGGCATACCCTGCCTTTCTACTAGGGTTGCTGAAGGCCATCACAGGACACATCCCTTTCCAGCCTAGAAGTTAGAGCCTTGCTGGATGGGAGGCTAGAAAATGTGGTTTTTATTCGGGGTGGCCATGATCCCAGTCAAAATTTCTGTTACAATCGAAGAAAGGAAGAATGGCTATTTGCCTTCGGTTTTCACTTCTAAGTTTGCTTTCTGTATCCTGCCTCTTTCAACCTCTCCTTCCCCAGGTCTAGATACCCTGGGTAGCCCCTGCCTTGGTATTCATTGCCTTATCAACAGTTTGAGGTGTGGTCACCTCCCTGCCCTACTCCTGCACCTTATTCAGCCCAGCAACAGTTGCATTCTCTCGTCGGCCACAGAGGCCACTTGGAATGGGCAGGGCCGCTGCTGGGCTTGGGGACAACGAGCCTGAGCTCTAATTGACATAGCTCATCACTCACTCTGTGCCCTTCACCTAATTACACCCTCTCTCTGAGCCAGGAGAGAGAGAGAGTGTGTGTACATTTCATATCCACAGAAAGACAAAATGAAATGAAAGGGAAAACATCCCAAAATGTATCCTACAGATAGGCCCGTAAGTAAGATATACTGTAGCATCTTTGAATACTCAAGAAAACTTTTATAATGACAAAATATTGGAAACAAGCTAAATAGCCATTAACTGAAAACTAGTTACTTATATGTTAGCTCTATATAATAGAATATTTTGCAACTATTTAGAAAAATAAAGCCACTTTATGTGTGCTTATATGGAACAATATTCAAAATACATAAAGTACTAATGGAAAAGGATGGAACTGCATGCATGGTATATAACCTTTAGGTGAAATCATATTCACTCAAATGTGTGTGTGAGTGTGTGTGTGTGTGTGTGTAAACTTCCTCTGGAAGGATACGTGAGAAAGTGTCTCTAAGAAGAGGGACTGGTGTCGAGGGACAAAGAGAGACTTGCTTTTCAGTACATGAAATTTTTGAATTGTACACCAGGAGACATCTAAAATAAAATATAAGAAAGGAAAGGGAAACATCGAGTAATAATTATTTAATCTTTGACCCAGAGACAATTTTCTTCTAGACCTTACATGTCCCTTTAGAAAAAGCAAGACACTGGGTAAACCAGCTGAACCCCCATCTGGTTCAGCTCTATCCAAGGTCATTGTCACCACTGCCTTCCCTGGAGTCTATGACCCCTCTCCTTCTGACACGGCCCTTGGAGGAAGAGATTTCAGTGCTGAGAAAGAGAAAAGAACCAGACAAGGAGGTTTGGAGTCTTGCTATGTTGAGCTTCTCTCAGGGAACCCCTGCCTGTCCAGCCCACTGTTCCTCTTATGGGGTGAAGGGGATTGAGCAGGATGCTTGTATTGCAAGGGACAAAAAATTTCTAAGTTGACCTAGCCTAAACCACTGACCTAGTTCATCAGCCCATATAGCCCAATTTATTGCCTCAATGCAATAGAAAACTCAAGAAAGGAGTAGAACTGAATCTGGGGGGCACTGGAACAGGGACCTCACAGCCTGTCAGAGCTGCCCTGCCCCCATAGGTCTAATGTCCTCTTCATGGGGCCTTGATTCTTTCCTCCAATGGCAGCCTTCACACCAGCAGCTCTGGGCTCATGGCCAAAAGCTCAGGCACTTGAGAAAAAAAGAGTCACTTTCTCCCATCTCCAGTTAGAAAACCCCCAGGGAATGACAGTCACTGGCCTGGCAGGAGTCAGATACCCACTTCTGCATCAATCAGTGTGACTAGAGGAGCAGGCTTCTATTTCAGGTCCAGCAAGCGCACATCTCCCCATCCATCCCAGCTTACAGGAAGTGTCACTTCCTCCGAGAAGCCTTCCCAAATGCCCCCGATTAAACCCTCATTGCACTGTTTTCTCCCTCACTGCACTTGTCTGAGCTCCAGTTTCATTCATGTGTCTGTGATTATTTATTTGATTAGTGTCTGTCTCCTCCCCTAAATACAAGCTCCGTGAGAGCAAGGACCAGTCTGGATTTGCCCTTCTTGAATACATAGCCCTTTGCATGGGTCTGGCACACGGTGGCAGAAAGTGGAAATAGGGGGTTTGAAAAACATAATGACAAATATGCTGTGGCTGCTTTAGGCCTGGCTGCATTTCTCTGTTGACTGTGGCAGCCCTTATTTTCTCCTTAGAAAACAAGCCCCCTGAAGTTCTTCTGGCAATATCCATCCTCCCACAAACAGGCTTGGGCCTGGTACCTAGTTATTTGTTCAACAGGTATGGATTGAACACCACTATGTGCCTTATGCTTTTCTGGGGTGGGATATGTCAATGAGGGACATAGAGAGAAATTCCTTCCTGGTTTGGGGAGACTGAAAAGAGACAAATGAATTCAGGAAGGTTGGAGAGAGGGATGCAATTTGGAAGTGGATAGTCAGGGAAGGCCTCACCAGAAAGTGACATGTAAGCAATTCTTTTTTGTTTTCAGACAGAGTCTCACTCTGTTGCCCAGGTGGGTGGAGTGCAGTGGTGCCTTCTCAGTTCACTGCAACCTCTGTCTCCCGGGTTCAAGCAATTCTCCTGCCTCAGCCTCCCAAGTAGCTGGGATTACAGGCAGGCACCACCATGCTCAGCTGATTTTTGTATTTTTAGGAGAAACGGGGTTTCTCCATGTTGGCCAGGCTGGTCTCAAACTCCTGACCTCAAGTGATCTACTCGCCTCAGCCTCCCAAAGTACTGGGATTACAGGCTTGAGCCACCACACCCAGCCAACACATAAGCAGTTTTGAAGGCAATAAGGGAGTTAACCATGCAGCCATCCAGGGAAGAAGAGGTCCAGGAGAAAAAACAGCCAATGCAAAGCCCCTGTGCAGATGCACTCCTGAAAGAACAACAAGGAGGCCAGTGTGCCTGGAGGGAAGGAGAGGAAGAGTCCAGGGTTAACATCAAGGAGGAAGTAACAATCAGTTATCTGCAGAGACTAAGATGCCATTGTAAAGACTCTGGCTTTGACTCTAAGTCAGTTAACCCCTGGAGAAGTTTTCAACAAAGGACTGACATGATGTAAGTTGTGTCTTAACAGGAGTCATCTGGCTGTTGGGGGGTAAAGGACAGAAGCAAGGAGATCAGTTAGGAGGAGATGGCATAAGCCAAATGAGAGATGATAATGCCTCGAGCCAACATGTGAGAGGGTTGGATATACTGTGATGTCAGAGTCCAGAGGATTTGCAGGTGCCCTGGAGTTGGCAATAGAGAAATAGAAGATCCAAGGGTAACTCCAAGGATTAGTTTTTAGCTGAACAACTCAAAAAATGAACTTACCATGAACTGAAATAAGCAAGAATACAGGAAGAACAGATTTGATGGAGGGTGAGGAGAATGGCAAGGGGTTATCAGTTTGGTTTTGGCCATGCTATGCTCATAATTCCTCTTAGACACCCAAGGGAAAATATTAAGCTTGATATACAGGTAGATGAGGGTATCTGGAGTTTGTGAGCAATAATGTTTGAGAGCCATTAGGTTTAACCACATGAAAATATCAACATCCAACCATTTTGACCTACAAAATGGTAATCTCTTATGGTTTAACCTACAGATGGTTATTAAAGCCATACCACTGGGCCTGATCAACAGGGCTCGGACATAGGTGAAGAAGACATAAGGTCTATTGACTGAGACCTGGCATACTCCATTGTTAAAATGTCAGGAAGATGAGGAGAAACCAAGAAAAGACACTGAGAAGGAACCATGGTGGGGAGGTGGTGGTGGCATGATAGAAAAACCAGGAGAATATGGTGTCCTGGAAGTCAAGGGAAGAAAATATTTCAGAAAGGAAGGAGTGATCAACATAGTCAAATGTTTTGCATAACTCAAGGAGAATGAAAATTGAGAATTGACCACTGGTTTTAGCATTGGTCCCTGGGGGACTGGGTAAAAATTATCTGAGTGGATTCAAGAGAAAATGGAAGAAAAAAATTGGAGGCAGCAAATATAGACAACCGTTTACAGCTTACTTTTTTTTAATACCTGAAAGGACTGTTATATTTGAGTCTTTGAAGATAGGCAAAGGACTGAGAATAGAGTATTTGCAATCACACACTTTAGAGTAAAATTCTAATAAGTAACTCCCAATTCCTCCTCCCCAGCAACTAGTGAATCTCTTAGCTAAGGAAATTATTTCTATGTGTTGAGCCCATTCAGGACCTGCTGAAACTTGACTCAAGCTATTCTGATCCCATACTAGTCTGAGATGAGAAGATTCACTTCCACATGTCAATATGTTTAATATTAATTACAAAGAACTATCAGACTCTCAGTGTGCAATTGTTCAGTTTTAATTTTAAGCAGAGTCTTACTCCCTGTGTTTCTCAAGAGGGTTGCTCTCTCCAGGATGCCTGCAAAACACCAGCCTCTGGTTGCTGTTATCTAGAAAGGCTTCACTCTCTGGCCCTATGGCTTCCTCTGGGAGCTTATTAATGACACCAAGACATGAACCCAGGTCTTCAGACTTCAAGCACCATGGCCTTTCCACGGTGCAACACTGGCTTTTGATGCTTTATTTGAGATCTTTGGGGAGATAGCACCTGCAATTTAATTGATTTTTTTATACAGTTCTCTGTGTACCAACCCTGACTCCCCTCCAGAGTGTACAGATAAATCATAGCAGATAGAAGGTTAAAATGAAATTTTTACAACCGTAAAAAATGGGAAATATTTAAACCATCTTATCTCAGAAGAACCCAGGACTGAATCGCCCCAAACACACGTGGTCCACAAGAATCTGTTAGATCCTAAGATCTAGTACCAAAAATACTGACAATTTGGGCAAATAAATTTATATTGTCAGCGGTAGAATGTCCAGGCTGATAAAGTACACATGTCTTCAGTATCAGAGCTATTTGTTGGCTTGAGTTTTTTTAAAGGTCATTGTTGAAAGGGTAGCCCCCTGTGGGAAAGAATGCATGAGAATTGTGTTGAATTTTTAAAGCCTGTGGCATTTAGGCCTTAAATGATATTTGAAAGTACTCTCTCTCTGTCTGTCTCTGTATTTGTCCTTTTCTCTCTTCTCTTTCTCTCTTTCCCTCCCCCAGGTAATTTATAGGAAAAAAAAGAGAGTATTTAAATAATATATGTTTTCTTATTTTGCAAGATATTAAACTTTTTAAATTACACATAACCTTGAGATTTAAAAAATTCACTTTGCAGCTGTCCTTGAAGGGTTTGTTGCTTTGTGATCCAGGGTGAGAGACAGTTCTAACTCAACCCGTTTACAGAGATTAAACAATTTGCCTCCCTTGAGACCTGCCATGGATTTCCCTCTGGGCTTTAGCTCTCCTCCATTCCTTAGGTGCAGGCTCCTTCCCTGCACTCCCACCTCCAATGATATTAACCATATGGAGGCTGAAGTGCATCTGCCAACATGAACAACCTTGAATTGATCTTCATTAGCATGATTATCAGCATCCCCTTAACACAATAATCACTGAACACTAATTGTTTTCCAGGCATGTAAAGTTCAGTGCTTACATGCATTGTCTCATTAAATCCTATGACAAACACAAGTTGTAGTTATGATTATAATTCTCCCCATTTTACAGAGAAGGGCACTGTGGCTCAGAAAGTAAGTTAATTAAGATCATCTACTCAGGAAATGGCAAGGTGAAAATTTGAGCTTAGATTTGTTGGCCCCCCAGAGTCCATTTTTGTAATTACTATGCAGTGCAGCTTTAAAAGTTAAGATCATCACCAAATTACTCAATCTTAACCAAGACATTTTTAATTTATCTCCCATGGGATAACACATTATGAGCATTTACTTTCTGATCTCAGTAGAATGCAGAGAAGGTTAAACTATTCCCTCCCTGAGACAGCATAATGCAGTGGAAAGATCTCAGACAAGGATGTATTTCCTAGGTCCACCCTGACTTCTTAAGGGCTCTTAGTTTGGGCTTCCATGTACCCCCTTGGTACCCACATTCATATCTGTAAACTAAACATAAAAATACCTGGTGTCTTAGCTAAGATACTTTGGGTTATGAGTAACAGAAACAGAAGCCGATTCAAGTTTTCACTTAGCACAGTGTTTAGCAAATAGTCGATGCACCATAAATAAGTGGTGAATGAATGAATGAGTGTCTTAAGAAAGTAGGAAAGGTATCAGAAGAATCCTGGGGCGTCATGTGGTATCTAAAAGAAACCTGGAAATCAAAGCTTCAGAAAGATCAGAAATCATAGGCAGCTCTGGTGATCTCAGCAGGAGTTTGTGACCAACGAGTACAGAGACCAGGATCACCAGTTCCTCCTGCCACACCTCTGCCCCAGCCCTGGCAATGCCGGAGAAGTAGCCTGGTGTTCACGTTTGTGCATATGACTGAGTGTCTTTGACAGGTTGAGTCCCCATAGAATGTGTTACATGAGATGCTAAAGAGATGGAAAATAGAGGTTGCTTTTCAGGTTCCATTTCCAGTCAAGATTCATAACAAGCACGGATGCTTAACCTGCCCCCCAAGATCAACTCCAGAGGAACACAAAGGAAGGGAAAACTGAAAACCAGGAGGAACCATGGGGGTGTGGTCCTATTTTGAATTGGACGGTAGGGCGGAAGGTGATGGTGTGGCCTGGGCAGGACGTATCCCAGCACAGCAGCAGAAGTGTAAAAGAGAGGGGGAAATATTAGGAATTCTGTTCTTTCTTCTCCCCAGTCACAGCCTTGGGAAAAACCTGTGGAGACTAAATCTTATGCCCTCATTATTGTCAGGAGTAAAATCAGAGCTGTACAGAAGTCCTGTGCTAAAGGGAGGCTGAGCAAAGCAGGCAGAGTGACTGACTTGGGCCGTTACTTCCTCTCCCGTCCTATCTGAACTTCTGGGGCTGTAAAATTACTGTCTAAAGAGTGGATCCTCTCTATGGGTGGCAAAGGGTTAAGATTGAGCTGAGAGGTGTCTTGGTAAGTGTTTTCTCATGCCAGGGGTTCCGCACCTTAAGGCTCACCTCTCCCTACTTCCTGAGTTCACTGGAATTGAAGTAGATAGAATCTGGCATCTCACCACCAACACTGCCAAAAGGAGTAACCAATACTCTCAGGGAAAAATGAGCTCACAAGTCAAAACAACAGGACAATTGAGGAGCACAAACATTTCAATAGAAAATAGTTATGTTTCTGGGCCCAGAGGCCAGGCTGGGTTGGGGACCAGGATCCCAACCCTGTGACAATGGGAGAAAAGGGGACTGGAACTGTTCCTGAGCAAATACCTCATGGCAAGTACCATGTGGGCTTCTCTGTACACCATCTTGCTTAATCTCACCTCTGTCCTTTGAGATAGGACTTGTCACTACCACGTCACAAGTCAGAAGCTGAGGCTCGGAGCAGTCACATGGCTTCTTAAAGGAGACCCAATTTACAAATAGCATGACAGATTTTAACCTAGACCTAAGCTCTGGAGTCAGACCATCTAGATTTAAGTCACTTCCTAACTGCATGAACTTGACCAAATCATTTAACTTCTCTGACCTCAACTTCCTCTTCTGCAAAACAGGGCTAAAAATTGTACCTAACTCATTGGATTGTTGTGAGGATGCAATGAATTTAGAATAGCTCCTGATAGTTATGTGGTACTCAGTAAACATTGGTTGTTATTTTAATTATTTCCAGCTGTGTACCTGTGCCTTTAACATTCAGCCTTTCTGGTAAAATGTAATAAATCTCCTCTCTTCTTGTTTAAGTAGCAACCAATTGGAATTGTTACACATTTGCTTCTTAAATAGAGTCCACCTACATGGTCTAGAAAGGAAGAAACAGGGTGAGTTCTGAGATCAAATCCTAATTTTTAACAGAGAGCTCAAAATGAGAGAGTATGTCCTGCTTTGGAAAAGAGATTTCTCTAAGCACCCAGAAAGGACACAGGTATTACCAGAGAAAGGATTCTGTTCCAAGATCTAAACTTATCCAGAAGGAATCAAAAGCAAAGGCTAAAATATTAAACATTAGGGAATGCTTCCTTAACTAATTAAACACCAATGCAACGGAATATTATGAAACTCTCAAAACTTATCTGTACACATAAGGCATTAAACACACTCACACACATACTTGTGAAACAGTTAAATGCAAAAAACACAGCACAAAACAGTGGGTAGACTATGATTCAGTTCTGGAAAAATACAGCTATCTGTGTAGACACAGAGAGAAAATTACAAGGGAAGTGTGCTAACATGCAGGGAATGGGGGTAACTTTTTTGAGACTTTCCTTGAAGTTATAGTCCTTTCAAAAGAAATGCAAAATATTGAGGAATAGAACTATGTTGTACATTTATGTTTTAAAAAACTCACACCAATGCAAATCTAATTTATTTTTCTTTTGCAGGAAGTTAATCTGAAACATATATGGTCTTATATTGATGTATTCTAACTATATAAAAATACACAAAGTCACCTACACACAAATCCACACCCATAGAAGCTTGCAGAAGGACAAGCGATTCATAAGCATCACTGGAATGGGAAGCTGTTTCCAATCAAAGACCCAGAAAGGATTGATGGGAGAGAGGACCTACGATGTGCCTAGAACTTTACAGCAAGTTTCCTATAGGAATTTCCATATTAACCCTTCAAAGTACTTAGCATTATCCCCATTTGCAGATGAGGAAGTGAGGCTCGGAGATGTGAAGTGACTTGCCAGGCATCACACAGCTCGTGGGTGTGGCTTCCACCTCACCACACTCTGATAGGCACCAGTGTCAGGCACAATCAGATACAAAGTCAGTGAGTTTGGAGCTTTTCTCAATTGGCCTCAACACCTCCTAACTGTCTCTTTGCAAAGCAGCCCACTCTTACCAGAACAGCAGCTTCTTCCTCTGCCCTCCCCCAGTCGAACCCTGCACTTTCTCATCTTTGTATCCCAGGGGCTGGCACCGGCCTTGTCATGGGGAGACACCTAGGGAAAGATGGGCAAAGAGACAAGAATTTCCAAGTTTCCTCTGACTGCTCCCCTGCAACACGGAGAGCCTGAGCTAGCACAAAGGTCCCCTTCCACATGCTGGCCATCACACATCTGTGGGGGAGATGTCACTGTGGCCACAAACTCCGTCGTCTGTGATCGATAACGGATGACTGATGTGAGTGGAAATTTTGAATAAAGGAACATGATCGTGCCAGAGAAGATATGAGAAATAAACATGGCAAAGCGGGTCCTCTTCTGCAGGAGCAGGCTCTTGCCTGTGCCAGGACCTGGCACATAACATGGTCACATTAAGCATTGAATAAACATTTGTTAAATGGATGGATGGATTATGATTATCCTGTGAATCCACACAAATTTGGTAGTACCACAGGTATTTCAAAATCGATGTGCCACAATCTGAATTCATCATCTCCGCAACATTCTCTTTTCTCTCATGGTCCATTGGTTATCCAACCAGGACATAGCTGCCAGCCTTGACTCCTCCCTGTCCCCCACTCCGCCCCATCCTCCCTGTCACCAAAGCCTGGCAAGTCTGTACACGTTAAGTCTCAAATGTCGTTAAACCCCTGTCTTTCCCCCACCCTGGAGGCCACCCTCTTGGTCAGGAGAGATTGAGATCACAAGCTCAGGAGTAGGCATGCCTGAACAAGCATGTGCCAGCTTTACGCCCTTTGGTAAAGCACTCAACCTCTGGAAACCTCAGGTTTCTCTTCTATAACATGGGGCAAATAATGGTTCCTACCTCAGTAGAGGATAATTATGAGAGCACAATGTGACAAGTAGATCATCTTCCACCTGACTTAACCCAAAATCCTATTACTGAGTCTCCCTGTTTCAGGTCCCAACCCCTTCTCCCCAGGCAGTCAGAGGGCCCAGTCTGAAATTCAAGTCTGTTCTCTCACTCCTGGTGTCTAGTGAAAGGAGCCTGTCTTTTGGAGTCATAAAGTGTAGATTCATGTGTGCCTAGGAAGCCCAGTTATTTGGCTTTCTCATGCCCTCCATTTATGCATCTCAAAGCATCACCAGGCATTGCTGTATGCTGAGGGTTACATCTGACAGCACAAGTGAGAGCCTTAGCCCAGGACCTGGCACCCACTGGGCACTCAGTAAAGCTTAGCTCTTTTTCCTCTCCCTTCTTTCTTGTCAGGAGAGTGTAGGAGGAAGTTGGGATCAAACCCTGGAGGGAGAGGTCCCAAAGGGTGGAGAAAGTGAAGGGGAAGAGTACCGTGAAAGTCAGGCTGGCAGCCCAGCCTGTTTCATCAGGACACCCCCAGAGAGCTGCCCCTTGCTGAGCAGAGGTATCCAGTGAGCCATCCATCAGAAGCACTGGCAGTGCTGGTAAAATCACAGCTTCCATAGCCCCATCACACTCTATTCTCTAAATCCCCATGCAGTAGGCCTGGGCATGACCTGGGAGTCAGCATTATAACATATATCCCAGGAGGCCCCACTGCTTAGCTGGGTTTGGGAAGCCCTGCTCAGTGAATTTGCCTTTGATAAGCAGCCCAGAAGCCTCCTTAAACTGAAGCTATTCCTTGGCCATCTTTTTGGTAGATAAAAAGTGGCAGCAACAGGGAATTTGATTTCATATGGATGGATTTACATTAATTGGAGAAAACAAAGTCTAGACATTTTGAAAAACCAAGGGACAAGGTGGCCAAGAATGCTAACATTGTACTGTGGCCTTTGGGCTCTCAGCACCTGATTAGAGACCAGGACAAACCTGCTCAGGCCTGGCCTGAGGCCGGGATGGTTCTAGGTTGACTTCGACCAGCAGGTGATCTTCTCTCGAGCCTAGAATAACATCTTTTGTCAGCTGTCTGATGCCACTCTTCTGTCTTGGTACCAGGTTAAATGGCATTTAGAGAAACAATTTGGCACCTGAACTCTAATATTGGTGCTTAGCAGCTGTAAAAGGATGGTGGGGGGGCATCATCTAGAGACCCCACGGCAATAATTCTTCAGATCACATGGAGCCTTAGAGGCTACCATAACTCAATACTAAAGAAGGCCACACAGTTGCAGAAAGGGTACTAAGACTTTCCAAATTCTGACCAGGTATCAGGCCCTGTGCTAGGCCATGTGTATGTGTACTTACATAAATGAATGCATAAATATATATATATATATATACACACACACACACACAAGCATGTACACACATATACGTGTTTATGTGTATATATATGCACATATTTATTTTCTATATATGAATATGTATGTGAATGTTCATGTGCATGTTTATATTCATATATGTATTCATATACATATGCAGGTGTCTACGTGCGTATATGTGTGTATATATAGGATATACTGTATATATCTTCACAGTAGCCCTCATTATCAGGCTTATTTTAGAGTTAAGAAAACTGAGGTGTAGAGAAATTAAGTAACTTCCCAATGTCACAAAGCTGAGTTTGACTCCAAATGCTTATGAAACCAGTGTCCTTTCTACACTGCTTCCTCTCCTAAAAATAAAACATAAAGAGGCACACAGCAGTTCTAGCTCTCTGGAATATGTGTTGTAAATCCTGGGTACAATGACTATAAGAATCTCCAAAACGTGCCTTACTATATCTAGGAGTAGGGGAGACAAGCTCTGGGCATAGCCAGGTAGCCCAGGTGTGCCGGGCCAAAAGATCAGAGACCCAATTCCCAAGTAAGCAAACTGATGAGCTCACTCTTTCTCCTTCCCAACCTTTCTCTGCCTGCCCTATGTTATAGGAACCATGTAATCTATAATAGAACTTTTAGACTCCCATGCATGCGTCGGCTTAGGAGAAGGTGTTTGGATTTAAGAGTCTGGAGCAATAATTTCCTTTTAGTTTCCATTGTAACTTTGAATAGTTACAAATTGCCTCATTGTAGATTTTAAATAAATAATGCATGTCTCTCCAATAATTATTCAAGAGAAGATTTGTTTCTTACCTACCCTGTGGTCTATTACTTGCCTCTGGTATTTTAATAATCTTAATCATCATCTGTTTAGCATCTCCAGGCTGCTGTGCTCACTGCAAGGTAGCTTATACCTTAACCCTGACATGCACAATAATCTGGCCAGTCAAGTTGCTTGTCCCACTTTCTTGTCTGTGTGTCCCATGGGACTGTAAGTTCCATGCAGATAGAGTTGGCATAGAAATGGTTCAGATGCATGGAGCCCCAGGACCTAGCACAGTGCTTGGCACACGGTAAGCATTCCACATTTACTGAAGGAAAGGATGGGTGAATGGATGGATGAGTGCTGGGAGGCTGTATTGTAAATAACAAAAGTGGGATCTGAAGGAAGGTATGGGACTCTGAAGTCTGCATTCCTTTTACCTTTTGCTATATTTTTCTGTCTCACTATTATATTTTGTTTTCTCTGGGCCTTTTTCTTCAGTCACACTTTTCCAAGTTCATGTGTGCTATTTCTTGGACTGGTTCTATTTATTTAGCTGGAGGCAGATTTGCATTTTTAAAGTTCATGTGTTTGTTTTCGAGCCAAGGTCGTTTTTATGTGTGTCATTTCTCTGGGCCTTCACTTTTCACGTTTTATGACCATATCCAGAATTTCCCACTTCTCCAAGAAGTAACTGGGTGGTTGGGAGGGGGGACAGTCAAGGGTATTGGTCCAATGGGCAATGAGATGTGGGTGAGATTGGGGCCAGTTCCTGGGAAGCCCCTCTGAGGCCCCCACACCTCCATGCCTCCATGGCCTCCATGGGCACGGATGGCAGGCCCAGCACATAAGCCTCTCTGCCATCATCCCACCCCAACCCCCACTTGGAGAATAGAGGTCAGGTCTGCTGTATCAACTGTCCTATCTTGAATGCTGGTAGTTGTAATAGAGTGAACGAGAGCTGTATAGGGTCTTATACCAGCAATAGATGCTTCGCCCAGAAATAACACATCACTTCCACTCATATTTCACTGTTCAGCTCCATCCATGGGGTCCTGTCCAACCACGGGGAGCCGGGAATTGTAGTCCCACCAAGGGCCCAGAAAAAAAGAGAGACAGAAGTAATTAATGAATAGCAATAATAACTGCACAACCTCCAAGACAACTTCCCATCTTAAAACCCTCCTGCTTTTCTCTCACCACCAAGAGTCCCAGATCAGAGCCCCTGAGGTCATGAGAATGCAGCCTTTGCCACCCTGCCAGCCTCATTTCTAGGCCTCCATCTCCAGTAACCCAGCTGATTAAGTTCCCTTGGCAGGCCATGCATGGCCCTTCCACATGGTCTTCCTGCTGTCCGATCTGCCCAGGAACTCATTCAGGGTGACTCGGGGCAAATGGCTTCTCCTCCAAGCTAGCCTCCACCAACATCTCCAATTAGAGCTGAGTCCCCGTCTCTGCAATCCTTAGTAACTTGTTCACTGTCCTTGGCATTTTACCCTCTCTGTTTATTCATGAGCATGTATCTTCCACCAGCCTGACCCAAGAGACAGTGACTAAGTTCTACTTGTCTCACAATGCTCAGACCTCACAGCACCCCCAGTGTGAGATGTTCAGCCTACACCTCTCAAATATTTAGTGCTGACTACTTTGACAACACTTATTATTTAGGCATGGCTTATCAATTTTTAAAAATGTTATTAATATCTTTTACAGTTTATTATTTATTCCGTAACTTTCCAAAGGATGGGCCGTCTTGATCTTGCTGCTGCACTTTATGCCTATCCTCATGGCTACTGGGCTACACAGTCTAATTTGACTTTAAGATTCAGGAGGGTGGCCAGGCATAGCTCACGCCTGTAATCCCAGCGCTTTAGGAGGCCGAGGCAGGCAGATCACCTGAGGTCAGGAGTTTGAAACCGGCCTGGCCAATGTGGCAAAACCTCTTCTCTACTAAAAATATAAAAATTAGCAGGGTGTGGTGGCTCATGCCTGTAATCGCAGCTACTCGGGAGGCTAAGGCAGAAGGATCACTTGAACCCAGGAGGCAAAGTTTGCAGTGAGCTGAGATCAGGCCACTGAACTCCAGCCCGGACGGCAGAGAGAGATTCCCTCTCAAAAAAAAAAAAAAAAAAAGATTCCAGGAAGGTATGTTGCCGAAAAGAAAGTAGAGTGTCTTATGACAGACCTGTATCACACCCAGACCAGGAAGCATCAATGTCATCAAAGCATGGATGGCGTGACTATTGTCACTATCTCCTTCCTATGCTCCTGGAAGGATGAATGTGTGGGTGGTGATCCTGGGAGCCTGTGCCTGGAGAGGAGGGAGCCAAGTAAGGCTGTGAATTAGCCAGGACTCTTTTGGTACATGGAGCAGGAACCCTGTTCAAGCCAGCTTACACATGCAGGGAAAATGATACCTGAGAACATCTCTTAGAAACCAAGGACATAGGTCTGGCACGGTGGCTCACACGTGTAATCCCAGCATTTTGGGAGGCTGAAGTGGGTGGATCAACGGAGGTCAGGAGTTTGAGACCAGCCTGGCCAACATGGTGAAACCCCATCTCTACTAAAAATGGTGCGTGCCTGTAATCCTAGCTACTCAGGAGGCTGAGGCAGGAGAATCGCTTGAACCCGGGAGGTGGAGGTTGCAGTGAGCTGAGATCACACTACTGCACTCCAGCCTGGGTGACAGACTGGGAATCTGTCTTAAAACAAAAGAAACCAAGGACGTAAAAGCATCTGAGTCATAAGAGCAAAAGGAAGCAGAGACTTGCATGACGCTGGGATTCTTCTCCCTGCCTCTCCACTTCTCTCTATATGATGCCTTCAACCTTCTCTCTCTGACGATCAGCTTCCTCCTCTTTTCCACTCCACAGGCTGGGAAATACGGTGTCAGGGAGCCCACTGCTTCACATATAACAATCAGGGCTATGAAAGGGAGGCTGCACAGCTCTCTTGGTTCCAAATCTGAAAGTCCCAGGAAAGAGGCACTTGGGCCCAGTTAGAGTCAAGTGTCCACTCTTGGACTAACCAACTAGGTCCAAAGGCCAGAGTGCCATTGTGACCTACCTGGTCCCACTATATGGATGGAGAAGAGAATAAAGGTCACCAACAGTGACAGTGGCCAAGAACCCCTAAAGCTTCACAGGAGAGAATCCGTGTAGGCCTGGCTCCCAACACCAGAAGGACAGAAAGATGGCTGAGCTTGCTGCATAACAACCACGAGGGGAACTTGTCAGAAATACAGATCCCAGGTTCCAGGTCCCAGGTCCCAGTGAGTCTCACTCAGTAAGTCTTTGCTCCTGCCTAGGAATCTGTGGTTCAAGCAAGCATCCCAGGTAATTACAATATATTGTCAGATTTGGGAGGCATTGGTTTAGCTTGTGCTCCAAATTTAATTTTATGTCTGTTTTATTCCTTTCTGCTTTGGGGTTTATTATTCTTTCCACTTTCCTTTCACTAAATAATTTGTACCCCTTCTAGGTTATTTAAGTAGAGACTTAATTCCCAGTTTTTCTTCTTTCTTACTAATAGATGCCATCATAAGCAACAGTTTTTTCTTTAAGTACCAGCGTGACAGCATCCTATAAATTTATATGATATGCTGTGTTTACATCCTTGTTCTTTAAATACTCTGTTCTGAATATCTTCCCTTTCCATGGCATTATTTAGGAGTGTTTTTAACTTCTAAGTGACTGGATAACCCCTTCTTGTTTATTTCTAACTTCATTGAACGAACTGTAGTGTTAGAATACATAAAGCAGAATGTTTCTGTCTTTTCTTATTGAATAAATGTCTTTGCATCATAGTAAGTAAAAAATCTATCCATAAAGATTTCCTGAAAAATCTATCTATAAAAACTCACTGGTCAAGTACAAGATTTGGGTGTTGGGTGTTGTGTGTTGCTGCTCTACCCCAGCCCTCATCAAAAACAAACAAACAGACAGACAAACAAATCACCCTTAACAAAGGCCATAAAGAGCAGGTCTTTGGAGTTGAACCTGGCTGGGCTTCTAACTTGCTCTGTGCAGCCTTAGACAAACAATTCACCTCCTCGGAGTCCATTCTTTTGCCTAGGGAAATCATGAGTGAAGACAGGCATGTACTGGACACTTGATCTTAGTAGCATCCTCTAGGCAGTGTTTGCCCTGCAGGACCAGCTGGGTTATTTAGAGGAGTGAAGACACAGAGAGGTTTAGAAGGAGGCACAGTCCTCAGTATCCCAGGTCCCTGGTGTGCATCACAATCTTTCAATAAAATGGAGCTGATCATGGGTATGAAAATTGTTGGTGGAAACAGACATAAGGGTTGTGCCTACTTAGCTGCTATTTGGCGCATAGAAGAGTCTGAGCATCTTTCCCCTCTTTCTTTCCCTATCCAGTTCTTCTTTATTATTTTAAAAACTCAGCTCAGAGTCAATTCCTCCAGGAAGTATCTGCCCATTCTCTCCCCAGCCCCTATTCCACAGCATTGACTCCTGTACACACAGATCAGCTTGTGTTATTTCCATCATCATTACCTGATGCCTCATCCCTCTCCACAGCTGTACTCAGCTTCTTAATGGCAAGTACTGAGAGTTATTTAGAGGAGAGAGAACAAGAGAGAGAAGGATACCCAATATCCCGCACCAACTGTTGAGTAGGGCAATTAATTGAAGAACATGGAGATAGTATGCATATTGTCAAAAATATGTGATACTTTTCCAGCAAATATTTATGGTGTATCTGCTATGTGCCAAGCAGTGGACATACAGGAGTGAACAACAGGGTCATGATTCCTCTGTGGGAAATATGGATTTCCCAAGAAGGTGATGGAGGCCCAGTCATGGGTGAAATACAGGGTGCTGGAGAGCACTTAGGTCTAAGCACCTCTTCTCCCATTGAAAGGGTGGACCAGCTGTCCAGGATATGGCTTTTAGCATGAGACCGCAAAGATAAGGAGTTAGCAATGCCTGGAAAGGGACAGGAAGAAGACTGTTCCAAGCAGAGAGAACAGCAGGTGGAACACCAGAGAACATGTGAGTGCAAGAAAAGGAGTGATGTGGCTGGATGTTAGGCAGTGAAGGAGCACAAAGAGAAACAAGCAGCACCAGACCAGACAGAAACTTGGTTTTGTTTTGTTTTTTTGTTTTGAGACAGGATCTTGCTCTGTTGCCCAGGCTGGATGCAGTGGCAGCATCAGGGCTTATTGAAGCCTCAAACTGGGCTCAGGTGATCCTTCTGCCTCCAGCCTCCCGAGTGGCTAAGGCTGCAGGTGCATACCACCACGCCTGGCTAATTTTTGTATTTTGTTGTAGAGACAGAGTCTCACTATGTTGTCCAGCCTGGTCTCGAACTCCTGAGCTCAAGCAATCCTGCCACCTCAGCCTCCCAAAGTGTTGGGACTACAGATATGAGCCACCATGCCAGGCAAATAGGAACTTGTGAACCATGCCAAGGGGCTTGGAGTTTAAGAACAAGAGGGTCTTGCCAAAGAGTTCGTGCAGTAAACCTAAACGAGAAATGGTGGTGGCCAGAGTAAGGGTGGGGGCTGGGGGTGTGGGTAGGAAGGGGTGAAGAGAGATGTCGAGGAGGTAGATACATGGACTTGGTGATTGATTGGTCAGGGTTGAAGAGAGAAGGACAGTCCAGGTGGTCCAGGACTTCAGTGGCATCCTTCACCAAAGGGAAAGGAAGACATTCCTTTGATGATGGTTGCAAGGATGGGTGGAGATGGAGGCGAACTAGATTCAGGCTAGTCACATTCCATATGTCTTTGGGACATGTGAAGGAGACAACATTCAACAGGCAGTTGACTGTGTAACAGTAATAACAAAAACTCAACTAAGCCCTCACAATAACCTCAGGAGAAATGAAACTAAGGTACAGAGAAGTTGAGTAACTTGCTCAAGGTCACACAGCACATAGTGGCAAAGGCAGTTCCATACACAGACATTCAGGTTCCAGAGCTCATGTGAGGGCTCTGAAACTCAGGAGAGAGCCAGCCGGGTCCACATGTGGCTAACTCACCACCGAAGCCACAAGAACAAGAATGATGAGTGAGGGGAACGAAGGGGCTAGGCAGAACTTGAGGAACACCAATGCTAGAGGCCTGGGCTGGGACAGGAAGCCAAAAAAAGAGCTACAATAATCTGATCTTCGACAAAGCTGACAAAAACAGCAATGGGGAAAGGATTCCCTAGTCAATAAACGGTGCTGGGGTAACTGGTTAGCCATATGCAGAAGACTGAAACTGGACTTCTTCCTTACACCATACACAAAAATCAATTCAAGATGGATTAAAGACTCAAATGTTAAACCCCAAACTATAAAAACTCTGGAAGACAACCTAGGCAATACCATCCTGGACATAGGAACTGGCAAAGATTTCATGGCAAAAATGCCAAAAATAATCGCAACAAAAGCAAACATTGACAAGTGGGATCTAATTAAACTAAAGCGCTTCTGCACAGCAAAAGAAACGATCAACAGAGTAAACAACTTACAGAATGAAAGAAAATTTTTGCAAACTATGCATCTAAGAAAGGTCTAATATCCAGCGTCTGTAAGGTACTTAAATAAATTTACAAGAAAATAAACCAAACAACCCCTTTAAGAAGTGGACAAAGGACATTAACAGACCCTTTTCAAAAGGAGATATACATGTGGCTAACAAGCATATGAAAGAAAAATCTCAGCATCACTGATCATTAGAGAAATGCAAATAAAAACCACAGTGAAATACCATCTCAAACCAGTCAGAATGGCTGTTTTTTAAACATCAATAAAATAAGATGCTGGCAAGGTTGTGGAGAAAAGGGGATGGTTATATACTGTTGGTGTGAGTGTAAATAAGTTCAACCATTGTAGAAAGATGTGTGGCGATTCCTCAAGGAGCTAAAAGCAGAACTACCATTCAACTCAGCAATCCCATTACTGGGTATATATTCAAAGGAATATAAATTGTTCTACCATAAAGATACCTGCATGTGTATGTTCACTGCAGCACTATTCACAATAGCAAAGACATGGAATCAACCTAAATGCCCATTAATGGCAGACCTTTGCAGGAACATGGATGGAGCTGGAGGTCATTATCCTTGGCAAACTAACACAGGAATGGAAAACCTCTGCACATTCTCACTTATAAGTGGGAGCTAAATGATGAGAACACGTGGACATAAAGAGGGGAACAACAGACACCAGGACCTACTTGAGGGTGGAGATTGGGAGGAGGGAGACGACCAGAAAAAATAACTATTGGGTACTAGGATTAGTACCTGGGTGATGAAATAAATCTATGTAACAAACCCCTGTGACATGTACACAGTTTACCTATATAACAAACTGCACATATACCCCTAAAGCTAAAATAAAAGTTTATTTTTTAAAAAACGAAAGTAAGTATGTAGTCAGAGAAAAGGGTTTCTATTAAATAGAAAAAAAGCTTAATTAGAAATTTAAAAACAATCATCTCTGTGGAGTGATGGGGTGAAATCCTTAAGGCAACGAGTTGAGAAGTCAGTTGAGATTGAAGGAACCAGACAGCAAGGATAGTCCAGAGTTAGTGAAGGGGAGATGAAAGAAGGCAGCAGCTAGAAGTAGCTGCAGGGTTAAAAGAGAGTTTTATAATAACGAAGACAGTAGATTATATTAAGTATTGATGGGAAGGAGCCAGTAGAGATGAGTTTGAGGCTCCAGGACAGAGCCTGTATAATCAGGAGAGTGAGGTTCCTTCCTGACTAGGCTCCAGGAGGAATAGATCCACACATGTGCAAGGATCCCAGTGTGACCGGGAGGAGAAACGAAAGACAGGGTTGGGAAGAGAATGGGGATGGTGGAAGCACCAGAGGATCCCCAGCCTCACTGAGCTTGGACGCTGCACACTTTCTGCAGCAGCAGTTCATGCGGCTGTGTGATCTTCCTTTGAGAGTGCTGAGCAGCCCAGGTGTGACTGAGGCGGTGCTGGACATTTGGATAGATTCTGATCTGGGGCTTTGCTAGGAGAGCAAAACCAAAGGACAGTGAGCCAAGGGAATTGAAAATACTGGCACTGAAGTGGTGGAAAGCATGTTCTGTGAGCTCCAGACTGACTGAAGGAGCTGTGAATCTTCTATTGTCATCCTCTGCCCAACCCATCACCCTCCCACCAACATATTTACCACGGGACTTTTAGAGTACAGTCAAGATTCCCTTTTGGTTTTCTCTCTCTCTGGATATCGAAACCAATTTCCTGGGATGGGGGTGGGGGAAGGCTGGAGAAAAATGACATTACAGAGAAGGATCAGCCTTGGGACATTCCCCAGGCCAGACTCATTTGAAGAAAACTTGAGTTTTTCCCTTGTCTAAAGCTCTGAGGTCTTTGGGGAGCTTTCCAGCTCTGGTCTAATTGTAATCCCTAAGTACATATGCTATGTTCCAAAGTCAATATATAGAGTTAGTGCAATACCAATGTAAATTCTTCTGAGTCCTTTAATAGAATTTGACAGCTCTGAGTGTAGGATGCTTATTCTTCCAGGTAAAGAACCATCAAAGCATTTGTCTTTTAATGGCAGTGATAGCTGATCCCTCCTGAGTGATTAAGATGTGAATTGTCAATCACTGAAACCATCCTGTACTGAGTTAAAAACCACAAAGGTCACCAGAAGAGAGATTCCTGAGATGGATTTGAATTCTGGCAAAACCAACGTTAGGCCAGCCAAGGAGCATATTGGAGAAAGAGATTGGTATTTAATAAGCATCGCGGGGACAGTTGGCTAACAGGCCAGGGGAGAGTTAATTTAAATTCATACAGCATACCTGTCAAGTTCAGCTATATCGTACTGCTAATCTGTGACAAACCTGGAGACAAGGAACTGGCATTGTTACCCCTGCTGCTGATAAGGAGATAAATTCCTGGCTATTGAAGAAAAAGATACCATCAGGGCTCTGATAGATGGGTTCAAATATGTGAGAATAAAAATGTTTGCATTGCAATGTAATAAAAATAAATACCAAAAGGAAAGCTACGGCATCCGTTACGTCTGTCTCATTCTCCCTCCCAGGCCTGCTTACTGCCCAAAACAGATAATGGATAGGCCGTTATGTGATTCTTCCTGATAAGTGGTCAAAGGAGATGAACAAAATTAAACCAGGAAATGGAGATAGTAAATCACCACGTGGAAATAGGCGCGGTCTTGCCAGCTATAAAATACAATTTAGATCCAGGCAACTTTCAGGTCCTGTTACATGCCTACTAAAGCCACAAAAATAAGTATGATAAAACCCAGGATAGGCAGCCAGTGGAAACACATCCTTCAGCATTGCCTTTTAGAAAGACTGGACAAATTTCCATAAGCAATCAGGCAACATGAATGAGAGCCACACTGCTGTTGAGAGGCTCTGACCCGGTAATTCCTTCTTTGGTTAAAAAAAAATCCTACAGTGTTAGCTCCAAAGAAAGAAAAACACATCTATAGCAGCATTATTTCTATAATAACTATAAATTGCCAACAACACAAAGGCCAAACAAGAAGGGGCTGACCAGGCAAAGGGAAATGTGTTAACACAATAGAATAACACTGTGCTACTATACATGACTAATACGGGGGGCGTGGTAGGTTCTGGAAACAGTTTTATGAAATATGCATAGTCATCATTAGTGTGCATATCCAAGGCCTTCCTGGATATTGATAAAGAAGAGACTTTGGATGGGGCTTAATTCACTTAATGTTCATTAAGGTTTCATGATAGGCTGGATGCTAATTTTAGTCATTCATTCAACATTCATTGAGTGTTGACCACACACCAGATGCTAAGGATATTAAGATGAGAAAGAAATGCTTCCTACTGCGGAGGGCTCTGTTGTCAAATGAGAAGATAGACAGACAGACAGACACACACACACATACGCAAAATGATCAAGTGTGGGAAGAGGTATAGATAGGGTGTCATATAGAAAGGGGAGGGGGCCTAGACGTCACTACAGATCTTCATATGCAGGATTAGGATAAGTCACAGGTGGGGCAAACATGGAGGAGAACATTGTTCTAGGGAGAGGGAATGGCATTGCACAGGCTGTGACCGTATAGATCTGGGGTGTGTTTGTGTGTGTGTGTGCGTATGTGTGTGTGTGTGTGTGTGTGTGTGTTCTCCATCCCAATAGATCTGCAGTCTATAGCCTAGGATACTTCTTTCATGGGACCCAGAACCCAGTGGCTGCCTTCCCAGAACCAACTCACCCCTGACATTTCCCTTCACTACCACCCTCCCACAAACCGCTCCTCCCCCGTTCCTCTGCCACGCGCAGCCTCACTTCCTTGCTGAAATCATGCAAGGCCGTTTGCCCTGGGTAAAAATGCTCATGTTGTGCCGTATGCTGTGTGAATAGAATTATTCTGAAGGCTGGTTTAAACTGGAAAGGATTCTTGTTATTTTATATAGTTCATATCTTATTCATTGCAGAGTGTTCTTTCCTGAAAGAACACTTTCATATCAGAAAGGAGACGTAGAGCCTTAGGTGAAATTTCCCTGTTACTGGTTTCCTGAAAGTGCTGGATATGGAAACTGTTGTTAATAAATTGAGTAAAGTGGGGAAAGTAAATGCAGGAATGCAAGCCCCCAGCTCAAGTTCATATTAACCAATAGGTGGTGTGCGGAGTGTCGTGAGTAAGAAATCATGGCAGCAGGTAGCCACAAGTTGCCATTTGAATGTTGATGTTTTGAAAGCTGTGGGTGCTATTATAGCTTAACATATAGTTTGATTTGACGATGTGTAGCTTAGCATTTAGAACGTAGTGTATGCAAGAGAGGAAAACTGGAAGCTTCGGAAAGGGAACGAGGACATGAATCAAGAGGTTCTCAGGTAAGAATGACAAAGGAAGAGGCTTAGTGGAATGGTGTGATTACCAGCACATCAGCATGAACTCATGACTTTGAAAACAAATCCCTCTCTCTGCTGAGATGACCTAAGCTGCCGATAGCATTGCCTAGCACATAACCAGGAAGCAAGCAAAGCAATCCAAATGAAAGCAGCCCTCCCTCACTGCCATTCTCAGAAGACCAGGAATAGATTCAGGGGAGAAATCGGAGTCAGAAGCCTTTCATGGTTGGAGAGATATAATGTTTTATGAGACCAATAATGCTTTGGGGGGCCATGTTGCACAGAAGTGGGGGTGAGAGGTGCCCACCTAAGAAGCTAGCCCCCACTTGTGGAAGTTGTCACGCAGCAACAAGTAGAACTTCACCTTGAGCAACAAGGCAATAATTATTGCCAGCTGAATGGGCTAAGAGTCTGTGAAAGATACTTGAATCTGAGATGATCCTTTGGAAATGAACGTTAATGTGAAGTGAGCTGCCAAGATTGAGTAACAACAGCTGAAGTGTTGTTAACCGAAGTCAGAAAATGCTATACATTGATCACACTGTGTTATCAGAAATCCATCCTCCAGTTTCAGTCTGTCTCTGAGTGACAAATCACACTTTCTCTCACCCTACAAGCCTCAGACCTCCTGAGCAGTTGGGTTGAAATTTCATAATGTATCCAGATGATTCTATCATGATGTCTGCAGGTTATGTGTAGTGTTTGTGTGTGAGGAGCAAAAAGTGGGGTGCACTGATCCAAAAATTCTTCTCCAGGGCTTATGCCCCTTGCCTTTGCCTTGGGAGTGATTCTTGGTAACCAGGGGAGGGCCTTGTACCCGGACTTGAGGGACGGCTGGAGAGGAGTCTCAATGGGAGGCCCACCCAGCCAACCATGAGAGACCCTGGTACACATGTTATCAGTATTCTCTCTAATATGCCAGCCCAGTTGCAATGGCAGATGATCAATGGATTGCTTGGCTGCCTGGCCACCCTCTAGCCCACACCTTTCTTCTCTGGACATGGACTCATACTTTCCCTTCTCCCCTTGGAATGGTCCCTTTTCATTCAGGCTTGGAATTTGGATTGAGATTGTGCGACAAAGACTGCTCTCTGCTCACCAAAATCTGTGCTCCCTACTTCTTCCCAGCTGCATAGCTAGACTGTTTTCCCAGCCTCTCTCTCTCTTTTTTTATTTTTGAGATGGAGTTTTGCTCTGTTGCCCAGGCTAGAGTGCAGTGGCGTGATCTGGGCTCACTGCAACCTCTGCCTCCTGGGTTCAAGTGATTCTCCTGCCTCAGCCTCCCATGTAGCTGGGATTACAGGTGCACGCCACCATGCCCGACTAATTTTTGTATTTTTAGTAGACATGGGGTGTTACCATGTTGGCCAGGCTGGTCATGAACTCCTGATCTTAAGTGATCCTCCTGCCTCAGCCTCCCAAAGTGCTGGGATTACAGGCGTGAGCCACTGCACCCGGCCTGTATTCCCAGTCTCTCTTGAAGTCACATGTAGCCTTGTGACTAAGTTCTGCCCTGACCCATGGGAGAGGAGCAGAAATCAGTGCCACTTCCAGGACTGCCCTATACACAACCCCCACTTGACTCCTCTTTGTTCGTATTCCTCTCTGGGCTGCCTGAAATAAAGACAACCTTGGGGTCACCTTGGAAGCCCTTAGCTAAAGGTGGCAAAGCAGCCAGCAGCCTGGGACCCAGAGACAACTTGAAGGACAGTGCCCTGCTGACCTGAGGCAAGAAACAAGCATCTATAGCAGAATAAATCCTCTCACATAGGCAAGAAACATAGTTCTGTAGCATCTGAGCCTCTACATTGGGTTCTATTTGTTACAGCAGCAAGAATTACCCTAACTCACTCAGATGGCAAACAGTTTAAACTGTGGCCATCAGCTTTGACTCTGACTGAATCCTTCTTTGCTGTGACCATTAGAAACATGATGCTATTATACACTTGGGTCTCGCCAGCCAGGGAGAATTGGTGGCTGTTTGAATGGCAGCCTCCTCGGGCTACAGAAAGAAAAACATGGTGTCACACAAAATGCTGTAGGAACTACAAGACAAGAAGATCCATCCCTGTGCTACCTGGGCTATGATCTGCTAGGCCCATATGAGCTGCACGCTGTCCCAAAGGTCAAGACCAGCTCTGAGTGACTGGGCAGCAGAGACAGGGAAGGCAGCTTGCTGGGAGGCCCACCCAGCCAGCTCAACAGCAGGTGCCATTTTGCTTGTGGCTGGCGTATAGAGTTCTCTTCTTAGAAAGGGACCATTTCAGTTAAATGTAATAAATATCCTCTTAAGTAACACATAGTTGAAATTCTTATTTTGCTTTCAGGGCCTGAAATTGGTTAACAGAACAATTCACATAAGTCACAAAGTAGGGGATAACTCAGTACCTGGACTGGAGCCAAATTCCCCTGGAGCTGTGCAGCATTTTAGAGAGGAGACCTGGGTAGCCTTTATGGGGACTTCTCTTTGGGATAGGAGGGGGATGTGTTTGCAGGACTCTTCAGGTCCAAAATGCTGTGCTTCTGAGACAAGAGTCTTTCCCCAAATAGAGCGGCAGCTGTTGTTTTGTGTTTCCTTCTCCCTCCAGGATCCATTCCCTTTTCTTGTAACTAATGCCCCACACACGCTTTGCAGGAATCACCTCTCCTAACCTATGGGCTCTGGGACAAATGAGCTAACCCCAGCTCCACGCACAAAGTATTTTATCCAAGCTCTCTGAGCTTAAGGTGAGGCCATGTCTCTGGTGATTGATTATTTCAGGAGAGAGTGAGCAATCTAAGTTAGTCCAATCGGAGTGAATTCTGGGGCTTATGTAGGAGGTACCAGAGAGAAAACTTTGCTCTTTTCTGCAGGCCTGGAAACAGGCACGCTGAAACTGATCTACAACCATTTTGCCAGTATGTAGGGCTTGAGGATTGAGCCAACAGAACCAGGCTGAGAGGCAGTATAAATCCAGGCCCTGATCACATTACTTAAGCACATGGATCCAGTTACACCTGAAGCTAGAGACTTTTCAGGTTATTGAACCAATACATTTCATTTTTAATCAATATAATTTTGGAGGTAATTTTTTTTTCACTCACTTTCAGTGGAAAGAGTGTCCTGGCTAATGGGACAAATTTTAATGGAATTGTCTTGGGAAAGAACTCATGGGTTCTAAGGGAGTAAGTGAGAATAAGAAATCATCATAGACTTCAGGAAAGGTTGCAGAAAGAGGAAAGGGGATCTGTTAGCTCTCTGCCTAGGACCCCCACAAGCCTGGGTCAACCATGGCAGAGCCAACCATAAGAGACCCTGGCACACATGTTACCACTATTCTCTCTAATATGCCAGCCTGTAGACATGTTAAAAGTATTCTCTCTAATATGCCAGCCCAGGAAAATTATCCTAAACATTCAAAGCCATCTTACATGAAGCTGTTCTTTGAAGCATTGCGTGTAACAGTGAAAAATTGAAAACAGTCTAAATGTCCAACAATCAGGGGTCGGTTCAGTGAGCTTGTTGCCTTCAGAACAGCATTTATGAAGTACGTGTAATAACATGGAAAACACTTATGATAGTGTGAGTGAAATCAGGATATGGAGAATTTGTACAGTCAGTATGAACTCAACTATGTGAAAAAGGGGGAAAAAAGAATTACAAGCAGGCAAAACAAAGAAAAGTAAATGTACCCAAAAGTTAATGCTTGGCAAGCGGGATAATTTTTTCTTTCTACTTTGCTTTATTTTCTAAACTTTTGTAAGTGTTATTTTTACAATGGAATAAAATTCTGCGTAATGTTAGCTGTTGGCGATGTTGTACACAGACAGTGTAATGTACGTGGATGGATAGTTTTTGAAGTAAAGGAGGAATGAGGGTGTATGACTGCTCCTCTGCCAGGCATCCAATCGGGTTCCAGGTGTTTCACTGTAGCTGGATGACCTGTGGCAAATCCATTTGTCTCTCCAGACCTCAGCACTCTCCTCTGTCAATGAAAAGGCTTCAGAATAGATGTCCCAGAAACAGACCCAAATAATATCATAATGTCCAGGTTCTGCCCCCGCATACTCAGCCTTGTACTTGCCCAAGGAATTCACCTCTCTGAACTTCAGTCCCATTCATGGGGACCATCTCCCCACTTTGCCCTGCCTGTGGGTACACACTCTTTAAGCTGTAAATCACTATACATAGCTGGGAGTTTGTCTTGTTAGCCATGCTGCTCCCGCTCAGGCCTGCCTCAGCCCATCTGCTGTCATTTCTGCCCACTCGAGTTAAGCCATCTGCAAATAGCAAGAGAGTGTTCTCTCTGATGGCTCTTGGGGCTGCGCCCTTTCTGCTTTTTCTGTGGCAAAGCCTGTTTGCCCTCTCTCCAGAAACACGGCTGGGCAGACAGGAGCCCTGAACAGCTCCCTCAGACATGTACCAGGCTCTCTCATGCTTGGCTCTGCCATGGTTGACCCAGCCTTGTGGGGGGTCCCAGGCAGAGGGCTAACAGCTCCTTGGGAGTCCACAGCTGTATGGTCCAATACAGTCCATAGATTTCAGCAGTGGTCTTGATGACCCATGCCCCGAAGCACTGCCTTCTCTAAGTGGATAGACTTGTTCTCATTTCATTAAAGACCCAGGTCCTGGGAAGAGAAAGTGGCCCCTACTAGCTGATCACTGAGGCACTGAGTCATGACAATCTGGCTGCAGAATCCACTCCTCAAGGGGGTTCAGGATTAGAATGTGCAAGAACATAGGAGGTGAGAGCCTGAGAGGCCTTTGGAGACAATCTGGTCCACCTGCTCCTGGGACAGATGGAGAAACCAAAGCCAGAAAGAGCTGTGATGTGCCCTAGGTCACATAGCTGTCAGCAGCAGAGTTCAGACAGAAGCCCATCCTCCTGCCTGACCCCTACCCCTGGCTTGTGCACACAACCCAATCATTACCTCTGTCTGAGAGGGTAGGAGGAGGAAGGCCCAGCAGAGGCCCAGAGAGGCCAGATCATCTCTCCAGGCCTCCGTGCCTTGGAAGGGAGAGTTCTCGTGTCTCCTTATCCCTACCCATAGCCCTTGGCCCTATTGTCTCCAGTGCTTCCTGAAGACTGGGATTATGGGAGGCAAAGCACTGGGCGGGTTGCTCTAGACATCTGCCCCTGGGTCTTTATGGCAGCCTCTCCTCTGGCCTCTCTGAGGCAAGACTATTCTTCCTCATCCTGTTTGCCCGGAGCCTGCCGGGCACAAGGTGGCCATAGATTCTATCTTCCAAACTGGGACACATTGAAGCCCAGAGGGGACTCAATGAATAGTTATGCGGGAACACCTTGTGTAAACTGAGGCTGCCCCAGATACACCTGGACCTGTGCTTTTCCTGGCCAAGCCAGGTTCTTTTGTGACATGATTTGAGTAATGTTTCCATCATCTATTTTTTCATCCCTCTTCTTTCTACCTGGCTAATCTCTACTCGTCCTTCAAGACAAGTTGAAACCTCACAGTTTCTAAGAATTATAGCCTTCCTTACGGCCCAAAAACAAGTTTAATTCCTTTTGCCTCTGCATCCAAACGGCTTGGCTAATACCTTTATTATAGCACCTGACACCTTTTCTTGGATCACAGCTTCTCAACCCTGGCACTTATTGACATTTTGGGCCAGATAATTCCTTGTTGCAGGAAGATGTCCTGCGCATCACAGAATCTTTTGTAACATTCCTGGCCTCTACCCACCAGATGCCAGTAGCAACCCACCCTACCCCCATCTGATTGTAACAACTGAAAAAATGTCTCCAGATACTAACCAAATCATCCCCAGCTGAGAGCCACTGTCTAAATGTTGTGTTTGTGCGTCTTTTTTTACACTATGTGGTGATTTCTGAGAGAGTATTTTATCATCTTCTGTGCTTGTCAGTTCCCAGCACATAGTAGGTGCTTAGTAGAAACTGTCTGCTGAATGAATGAGTGACTTGAACAAGAAGAAACGCAGAAAGGTGGCTAGGGTGCCAGCTCGGTTGGATGCATTCTCAGTCATGACCACTAGAGGGCAGAAAAGGCCTGCCAAAAGCACACAACGGAGTCCAGGAAAGAGGAGATCCCAATGCCAGAGCCAGGGGTCCTTGCCTGGCTCTTGGGGCTGCGGTGACAGGGCCACAGTCTCTCCTGCTAGTTCCTTGTCATCTCCCCGATCTATAAATATTGCTGTTCCCAGGGCTCAGTGCTCAGACCTATTCTCTATTTCCTATCTATTCTCCTTGTGTGTTCTCATCTAGGATCATGATTTTAAAAATCATCTACATGCTGATAACTCCCAAATTTATATATCTAGCCCACACATCTCTTAAATGCCATACATGTATTTCAATCACCTACCTGAATCTCCATGTGAAGATCTAATTAATAGGCCTCTGAAGCTTAACACAGCCAAACTTGAACTCCTGGGATCCTTCCCTTCCCTCCTCCCCAAACTCACTCTATCCCAGTCCTTACCATCTCAGCAAATGGTGACTCCATCCTTCCAATGGTCCAGGCCTAAAACCTTGGCCTCACTTTTCCTCTCACTAACCTATATTCAGTCTGTCAGCAGATACTCCAGGCTCTACCTCTAACCCGCATGAGCATCTTATCTGCGCTAACACCTTGGTGCAGGCCACCATCATCTGTCACCTGGGCTATCTATGGCAGCAGCCTCCAAACTGATCCCCTGATTTCACCTCTTGCCCTTTGTCTATTCTCACGGCAGCTGAAGGAATCCTAAGCCATGAGGACTCTGGTCCTACCACTTCTCTAGTGAAGAGTCTGCTAATGGCTTCCATCTCTCTCAGACAATGACCAAAAATCTTACAAGGCCAACAGGGCCCACCATGCTCCACTCCCTCCATCATCGCCTCTCTGACATCTCCAACAACCCCCAGCCCACACCCCAGCATGCTGGTTCCCTCTTCCTCCAGACACGCCAGGCACAAGCCCGCTTCATGTTTATTCCTGATGTTCCATGGACCTTCCCCAGCTTCCCCTCCCAGCCCTGTTTCTTGGCTTATTTTCTTCCATAGCAGTTATGGCAAACTGATCTACTAGATGTTGTAGTTTCTTATCTGTTGCCTTTCTATGTCCAATTGTGGTCTCACTAGGGAAAGGGATTTTTTTTTTTAGTCTAATTTGTCCACTGCTGTCTCTCCAGGGCACGGCACACAGTAAGTGATCAATAAGTAGTTATGGAGTGATGAATGAGTGAATGAAGAGAGTGAGTTCCGACAAATCCTGAGTTTACTAGGGAGAAATCCAGTCTCAGCCCAGTTGGCTTTCCTAAGAAGATCTTCCAAGAAAGAGTTGACTTTGTCCAAAACAGAACAGAGAATTTCCCTGGAGTTTGAGAAAAGTGGAGGGAGGGAGACTGACAGTTATTGGACACCTATTAGGGTTAAGAGGATGGACTCTGGAGCCCAACACATTGGGCTTAAATCCCAGTTTCACCGCTTACTTCCTGTGGGACTGCAGTTAAGTCCGTTAATATCTTCATGCCTCAGTTTCACAACTGGAAATTGAGGATAGTAACAATACTAGCCTGGTAGGGCTGTTATGAGGATTAAGTGAGTTGATATATGCAAAGCACCCAGAATAATGATTGACACTTAGTAAGAGCTCTCTAAGGATCAGTTACCACTGTTGTGTGCTTTACATATCCCATTTGATGCTTATAATAATGCTGTTGGGTAAATAATGTTACTAGCCCATTTTGCAGGTGAGAATGTTGACACTCAAAGGCAAACAGTTGCTTATCCGAGACCTCACAGCTAGTGAGAGGTGACCGCAGTGCAGCTCTTTCTGACTTCATTCCCATCAAAAAGGGTGTGGGTGTCCCCTGAGCTTCTCCTTCCTCTCATCCCTCACTCTGTTTTCTGCTGCTGCCACCACCATCAAGGTGGCCTGTGCTTAACAGCCCCTGCTTTTTAACTCCTGCCCAAGGGAGAACACAAACTCTTTCCGACTCTACTAGCACCAGCAAAGCAGGCTGCATCTTAAAGAGAACTGTGATAAACATCAAAGCAGCCAGATTCCTCAGGTGGGGGATTCTGATCCTAAGCTGATGCCCCCCTCATCCCTCTGTCCCCAGGAAGAAGAGACCACCAGCCCACAGGCAGACAGCACCTGTCCCTGCTGCACTTGGTACCCATCCCCTTCCCAGGCACTCCCCGGCCAACTGAGATTCAGTGGGTCCAAGAGGGAGCTGGAATCAGTATTTTAGCAGGCTCCCAAGGCAATTTTTGTCTTGGGGAAGTTTGAAAAAGACTGGCATAGACCTTAAGGGCATGGACTCTGGAATGAAACTGCCTAGAGTTCAAACTCTAGCTCCATCCTTTCCTGTGTGACCATGGACAGGTTTCTCGACCTCTCTGAATTTCTATTTTCTTCTATGTGAGATGTGGGTAATAAAACTGTCTAGCTTATAGAGTTGAGAGAGGATTAAATGAAATCATGCATGTAAAGTGCTTAACACAATAGCCAGCACTCAACAAACATTATTATGATCAATATTGTTGTTTTTAGTATTATCCAAAGTGAAGCAGCCTAGATTTTCAGATTCCCTTGGACCCAAAGTTCAGTGCAGGTGCCTTCACACCTTTGGAGGGGGGGGAGCTGACACACACCGTCACTCTGGTCATGTCTCCCTGGACCTCACAGACCCCACATAACCAGAACTGCACATGCAGTAGGGTGAGGGGCCAGCTCTGACACTCCAGCCCCTGCACTGAGGTGGGAAGTTACACAGTAGGGTGAGGCCAGCACTGGGCCCAGAGCCTGGCACAAAGCCCAGGTGCCTGGGAGGGCCTGAATAGCACCTCTTTGCCTTAGGGAGCCGGGGCTAGATGCTGCTGACTGGCTCCAAATGCAGCCTCTTTACCTGGAGTCACACAGCCCTTCAGAAAATCAGAGGTGCTCCCCTTCCTGTGTCCATGTGTTCTCATTGTTCAATTCCCACCTATGAGTGAGAACATGCGGTGTTTGGTTTTTTGTCCTTGCGATAGTTTGCTGAGAATGATGGTTTCCAGCTTCATCCATGTCCCTACAAAGGACATGAACTCATCATTTTTTACGGCTGCATAGTATTCCATGGTGTATATGTGCCACATTTTCTTAATCCAGTCTATCATTGTTGGACATTTGGGTCGGTTCCAAGTCTTTGCTATTGTGAATAGTGCCGCAATAAACATACGTGTGCATGTGTCTGTTGTGGGGTGGGGGGAGCGGGGAGGGATAGCATTAGGAGATATACCTAATGTTAAATGACAAGTTGATGGGTGCAGCACACCAACATGGCACATGTATACATATGTAACTAACCTGCATGTTGTGCACACGTACCCTAAAACTTAAAGTATAATAAAAAAAATCAGAGGTGCTGAGGCTCAGAAGGTGCTGACCCCCGCTTTGGGACTGCGTGACACTCGGAAAGAAAACAGAGAGGAACTGACTTCCTGACGGGCATGGAGGCCACCTCCTGCTGCCTCCACCCCCAGGGTGGTGTGCTCTGACTCCGCCCCTCCTTCAGGAAGGGCAGAGGTGACCACTTATTGGGGTGAGACAGTGCAGGGCAGGCAGCCAGGTGGAGCAAAAAGAGTCTCAGACAGGGAGTCAGAGTGGAGACGGAGGGATGGAGGATCAGAGAGTGCGAGAGGGAGAGGAGGGGAGGAGGAGGAAGCAGCCGACGCCCAGCCCCAGCCCGGCATGCAACACTGCCCCTGCAGCCTGCCCGCTTCTCTCCTCTGCTCCTGAGAACGCCTGCCATTCGCTGCTGGGCCATCCTCTCCCTCTAGTCCAGGCGGTTCGCTTATGCTGTTCCCTTAACAGGAACCCGTCTCCTCGCAAACCCTCTTTTACTGACTTGGCTAATTCCTGCTCGTCTCTCGGATTTGGCCTGACATCACGCTCTGGGGAGCCTCCCTGAGTGCTGCCTCCCCCGGTCTGGTTGAGTCTAGTGGGCGACCCCAGCAAGCTGTACACCAGACAACCCCTGCCCTGCCCCCATAACAGTGTTTCCTGAGGACCAGAACCACCTCTTTGCGGGGCACCTCCTCACTCCGCGGAGAAGAGATGTGCTGTTTCCCGGCCTCATCCCAGCACCTCCCAGAGCCTGGCGCTCCTAGCTACTAATGGAAGTTCCCAGAAGGAAGCCCTCGCCGGATGCCACTCACCTGGCTTCTCAGTAGCACCTGAGCCTAAGCCCTTCCTACACCGCAGGCCACATTCCCTCTGCTGCTCGTCCCACCAAGCCCCCAAACCCAAAGCTGCAACCCCTCGAATTCTACACAAGTGAGCTAAAGGCGGGGGCGGGGGGGGGGGTGTCCCAAGGTGGGGGAAGAAGTGACCTAAGATGCAAGGAGAGATACCTGAGACCCAGGGAGGCCCCAGGGAGCAGCTGGGAACATCCGGGTGAGAGAAAGAGGGTGGGGGAGGAGAAGGGCAGGAGCGCAAAGTGACCGCCAGCTGAAAGAGCCGATCCGCAGAGCTGCAGCCAGCAGGGCCTGGAGACATCAGACCTGGCAACTAAAATGCCCCATGAATATTTAACAGCCGTCAATATTTAATTAGTGCAGACAGATTAACTCTGAAATCACACATACTTGGGCTGGGCTCCCCAACTCCTGGAGGGGGAGTCAGAAGGAGAGGGATGGGCCCAAGGGAGAGGCTCTGTTCATCACCATATGGCCCCTAGCCTGCTCACCTTCCCCTCCCTACCACCTCCCCCTGCAAAGAGCGGGCAACACTCACAAAAGTCAGAGGGGCAGCGACACCCTGAGGAGCCAAGGGGAAGGTCTGCATCTCCAGAGGGTTGGGGGTACGGTGGGGTGAGGGCAGTGCCGGGCAGAGGGGCCAGGTCAGCAGCTGGGCGGGAGGAGGTGGCACAGCAGCCCTTTCCACCGCAGCTCCACCAGCTCAGCCGAGGGTGGGCTCCACATCAGCAGCCCCGCACAGAGCCTGCCAGACCCCAGCCTGACTTGCAGGAGCAGGTGTCATGGTGTAATTACTTCTGTGCCTGTGCCATGCCTGGATTATGCTGTTTATTGCATCAGCAGTGGGACCAAGAGTCTTTTTATTCTCTTCTTGTTTCTTTGAGGTTTATCACATCTTGTGCCACTTTTTTATTTAATGGAGTATCCCTGGACTTCATCATCTGGTCATAAATTGCCACAGTTGATGTCCTTTTTTTTTTTTTTTATAAAAAACATTTGGCCCAGGACTTGTAAAATGTCCTAGCCAGGCCTGGGCTCTGCCCGCCTCTCCATGCTGGAGTTTACATTCCAGCACAAAGATGGTCTTAGGTTCCACAAACAACCCAGCTTGCTTTATGACCTTGTGCCCTTGTGCATCCTGTGTGTTCCACCTTGAGCACCCTACCCCTTCCTCCTACTTTAAGGTTTGACTCAGAGGCCTTTTTCCTCCAGGATACTTTCATTGATGTCCTATCTCATAACAATTTGTTTGCTTTCCTGACTCCCCCAGGATGAGCGCCTCAAAGACAGAAATCAAAACCTGTACATACATCCTGCCTAACCTTGGAAAGGGCACCTAGTGGGTGCTCAGTAATCTTCTTTTAACTTTAATGAATTAAAGTAAGAAGAGATTTCAGATAGGGACTGGAGAACTGTCAAACACATTGTGTAGACGGCTTGTGTATCCGTTAGCTATGGCCGTGTAACAGCCACAAAAGTCTCAGTGGTGCATATAAATTAGCCTTCATTCTCAAAGGTATTCAAGTCAGCTATGGCTTGGTGATCTAAGTTCAGCCAGGCAATTCTGCTTCAAGCCACAGCCCTGCTTCTCGCTGCAAGATGGAGGGTTGACTGGAAAAGCCTCCTCCAAGCATCTGTCACCCACCCTGGGCTGGTGGGCTAGCTGGGATATGCTCATTTTATGGCAGTGGGAGAGGTACAAGAGGAGATGCCCAAACACATAAAAGCTTCTGTCATATTACTAACATCTCCTTGACCAAAGCAAGTCACATGGTCAAACCCAAAGTCAGGAAGCAAGGAAGTAAACAGGACATGAGAAGACATCATGAAAAGGGTTAGGGGAGGGGGTGTAAAGAAATGGGCCAGTATTTCAACTGATCACAGGTGGGTCCCCATCACCCCATGCACAGGATCCCAGAATGGTAGGACCCCAGTGGGACAGGAAAGAGAGGAATGAATGGGCTCACACTTGTAGTCTCATGAGCTTCTCCTTCTCACCTCCTCCCCACCCTTTTTTCCCCGGGCATCTGGGTTAACAAAACAGCAACAGAGACAAAATAAGTTTATAGAAGACACTAATGTGAGCCACAGGTTATGGTACCAAAAGCAGAGAGAAGGGGACAGAGCCGATGCTGAGAATGCAAGCCGAAGACAGACACTGGATGGTGGAAGATAGAAGCCAGGGACCAGGACAAATGATGACCTTTAGCCACACAGTGCAGGGAACAAAGCCTTAGCCCTCAAGTCAGCAGGCCTGGCTATGGCTGTTTCCCACCGGTATGATAAGGACTTTGGACTCTAAGAAACTGAAAACCCCGATGACCCTGATGTCATGATTCCTCAACCTCTGCCTCGTTTCTTTCTCCTCAACAGGCACATTCTGAAATCTTCTCTAAACCCCTCACAGTGAAAATAAGACCACCCTCTGTCTATGTCATTAGACTCCCAAGGCTTCAAGGCAAAAAAGGATTGTCAGAAGTAGGTCATTGGCAGGTGGGTGGTTGTCTTTCCTTCTGAGATGTGGAATCCAATATTTAGAGTCAGAATAAGCAGCTGGTAGATGGAAAAGAATCCTCTTCGGAATCAGAAAAATACGGGTTCAAGTTCTGGCACCACCATCTGCTAGTTGAGTCATCTTGGAGAGTCACATAAACTCTTGAGCCTCAGCTTCACTGCCTGTCAAATGGGCTGATCATAGTAACCACTCGGAGCTGCAGAAGGGGTGGGGATTAAATGATAGAAGGTGTGTAACACACTCAGCCTGGTGCCTGGCCCAACAAAGGAGCTCAACCTATATCATTTCCTCTCCCTTTTCTATCCCCAGCTCCTGAATCTTCATTGATTCTGCCTCCCCTGCCCCCAAATCTATGAAATTAAAATTCCTGCCAACAGTTTAATAATTTCCTCAGCTAATTCCCTTCAGACCCCAAGGCCTATATCCGGACATGGTGATTTGGTCCAGGTAGGCGTCATCCAAATGTTCTAAGTATTCTCTTTCCTACCTTTAATCAACTATATTGACAAGCCTTCTGTCCCTTTCTAATTGCCCATCCCTAGGATTTTTTTCATTTCCTTGTTAAAGACCAATATTACAAAGCACTTCAGCAGCTCAGCCATTTTTATCATCATCATTAATTTTATTTCCCTTCTCATTTATTAATGGGCCAGGCGGCTTTCAAGTATCTCTTTTCCCCTGATATATTTGTAAAACGCCCTTCTTATTCCCTTTGGAGGCCCCAAGGCTCTCTGCAGCTTTTATTTCTTCCCTTGGCTGCCCTTCTGTTTCTCTGAAGCCTTTGCTGACTCCAGATCTTCCTTTTGTGCCCCCCGCCCACCTTCCTCAGCCCTCCACCTCTCCTCCCTCCCTCCCTCCCTCCCTCCTCAGACTTGGTCGGAGGCCTGGTCTCTAAGCCTGTCTCTGTGTTGAGGCCCACATGGCTCTGAGAGCACCAAGGATTTGCCAAGCTCCTGCCCCATCCCTATTCTGCTCACACTCTGTGAGCAGAGAGGAGCTTTTATCCATGTAGCTGATCAGGAGGAAAGGACCAGAAAAGCCTATGTCCCCCTTTTATTCCCGCCCACCCCACCCATCCCCTTACCTCCCAGGACTCCTGATTAAGGGCTCTGTACACAAGGGGCATCCATTCATTCATTTACTTAAAACAACATCATTGAGATATAATTTACATACAATACAATTCACCATTTTTCTTTGTTTGTTTGTTTTGAGACAGAGTCTCGCTCTGTTGCCCAGGCTGGAGTGCATTGGCGCGATCTCAGCTCACTGCAAACTCCACCTCCCAGGTTCACGCCATTCTCCTGCCTCAGCCTCAGCCTCCCAAGTAGCTGGGACTACAGGTGTCCACCACCACACCTGGCTAATTTTTTGCATTTTTAGTAGAGACGGGGTTTCACTGTGTTAGCCAGGATGTTGTCGATCTCCTGACCTTGCGATCTGCCTGCCTCGGCCTCCCAAAGTGCTGGGATTACAGGTGTGAGCCATTGCACCCGGCCACAATTCACCCATTTTTAAGCATTTAATTATTAAATACAATGATTTTTTAGGAAATCTACCAAGTTATGCAACCATCACCAACCATCCCCCTTTAGAACATTTTTATCACCTTCATTTACAGTTAATTCAACTTCTCACCTCCATCCCTAGATGACCCCTAATCTGCTTTCTGTCTCTCTAGATTTGCCTTTTCCAGGACATTTTATATGAGTGGAGTCTTACAATATATGTTTGTGTGTGTGTGTCTGCCTACTTTCATTTAGCATGTGTTTGAGATTCATCCATGTTGTAGCATGCATCAGTATTTCATTCCTTTTGATTGTTGAACAAGATCCCACGGTATGGATATACCACATCTTGTTTAACCATTCTCCTGTTGATGGACGTTTGAATAGTTTCCATTTTGGGCAATTATGAATAAAGCTGGTGGGAGTATTTGCATACAAGTCTTTGTGTGGATAAAAGGCTTCATTTCTCTTAGGTATATACCTAGGAGTGGAATTGCTGGGTGGTATAGTAAATTTATGTTTAATTTTTTAAGAAACTGCCAAACTGTTTTTGGAAATTGGCTGCACCATTTTACAATCCAGCCAGCAATGCGTGAGGATCCCATTTCGTCCCATCCTTTCTAGCACTTGTCATTGTATGTTTTTTTGATAATGACCACTGGAGTACTATGAAGTGGTGTCTTGCTGTGGTTTCGATTTGCATTTCTTGATGACTAACGGTGTCAAGCAGCTTTTGGTGTGCTTAATTCATTCATTGTCTCAACGAATATTTGTGGGGCACCTCATATGTGCCAGAACTGTTCTAGGGACCAGTGAGCAAATAGATAAAATTTTGCAGGGCACTCATATTCCTGTTGGAGAGACAGACGATACACAAGACAATAAATACATACAGTATCAGATAAGGACAACTGGCAGGCCAGGGAGAAAAAAGATTAAGCAGTCAAGGGGTATATAAAATGTCAAAGGTTGAAATTTCAGGGAAAGGAGTCACAAAGACCTCACTGCATCAAGACCTGAAGAAAGTGAGGGAGGTCTTCATGGGAGCATCTGGGAGAGGAGTGATTCAGGGAAACAGAACACATTCCAAAGGCCCCAAGGTAGAAGCAGGACCTTCAAGGACTAGCCAGGAGACCATGCGTGAGAAAAAAAAAAGGAAGAAAGTACCACGCGATAAAGTCGGAGAGGAAAGAGGGAGCCAGACCTTGTGGAGTCTGTAAGTCATGGTAAGGTGTGCATGTGTGCATGCATTTGCACGTGTAGAACAGAGAAAGAAGGGAAGTCACTGAAAGGTTTGGAGTGAGCAATACAATCTGGCCTGTGTGTTAACAGAGTTGCTCTGATGGAGAATGGACCATGATGCTGGGTGCAGGGACAGAGTAGAAACTCGGACGGTGGGGAGATCAGTTAAGAGGCTCTTCGGTGACCCACAGCACAGAGATGATGGTGGCTCAGACCAGAGTGGGGTAGCAGGAATGGTGGGAGGTGCTTGGATTCTGGAAATATTTTAGATGCAGAGCTGGCAAAATTAGCTGGCTGATTATAGCTTGGGAGAAAAAGAGAAGTCATGAATGACCCCAAAGTGTTCAGCCTGAGCCCCCCCAAAAATGGACTTGCCATTCACTGAGACAGGGACAATGCAGGAAAGGCAGGTCTGGAAAGGCAGGGTCAGCAGCTAAGCTTAGGGCACGTGGCATGAGACGCCCAGAAGGTGGCCTAAAGAGATGCTGAGTAGACCGATGGATATACAGATCCCGAGCTCAGGCGCACATCCTGGAATCATCAGCGTATAGCTGGCATTTAAAGCCATGAAACACAGCAGGCTGGGAATCAAAGAATTATTTCATTAGTATCTGAGGCAGTGCTCAATAACCCCCATGGAGGTGTTTCTGGGATAACTGAGCTGGAGAGCATGGCTGAGCCTGGAGGTCTAACCAGACTTTGATTTCCTCTTCTGATTCTGAAAGCAGGCCTGAATTATTCACCTGACATGGGGTCTAGAGGATGAGGCGAGGCCTTCCTCTTGGGGACCTGCCTTGTCTTCTTGCCAACTTTATATGGAACTCAGAAATAGGGCCTGCCTTGGGATGTGTCCATGAGGATTGCTATGGGCTGAACTGTGTCCTCAGTCCAAATTCATATGCTGAAGCCCTAATCACCGATGGAACTGTATTCGGAGATAGGGCCCATAGGGAGGCAATTAAGGTTAAATGAGAGGATTAGGATGGGGCCTGATAATATAGGATTCTTGTTCTTATAAGAATAGACACCAGAGCTCATTCGCTCTCTCTCTCTCTCTCCCACCCTTCCCATGCCCCCCACCCCCCACCCCTCACCATGTGAGCTCACAGGTAGAAGACTGCCGTCTGCAAGCCAGGAACCAAATCAGCCAGGAACTTGACCTTGGTTCCCCAGCCTCTGGAACTGTGAGACATGAATTTCTAAGGTTTAAACCACTCAGTCTTTGGCACTTAGTGACAACAGTCTGAGCAGTTTAAGACAAAGACACATGCAGCCCCACAGGGAATGTTACACCTAGGTGGCAGCATATCTGCCTACTTTCTAATGTTCCCAGGAGAGTCCAGAATTTGACCTGTCACTTTACAACTCCTCTTCCTTTGTGGTGGAAGGAGGGAAAGGAAAAGTGGAGAGTGAGAAGCAAGGTTGCAGTTCTTTCCCCAGCAAAACTCTCTCAACAGAAAGAAGGAAATAGGGGGCTGGGCGCGGTGGCTCACGCCTGTAATCTCAGCACTTTGGGAGACCAAGGTGGGAAGATCACAAGGTCAGGAGATGGAGACCATCCTGGCTAACACGGTGAAACCCTGTCTCTACTAAAAATACAAAAAATTAGCCAGGCATGGTGGCGGGCACCTGTAGTCCCAGCTACTCGGGAGGCTGAGGCAGGAGAATGGCGTGAACCCAGGAGGCGGAGCTGGCAGTAAGCTGAGATCGCACCACTGCACTCTAGCCTGGGCTCCCATCGTATGTAACATAGCAGTGTTACTAATGTTACTAGGTCATATCCCTAACTACTATTGTTACTAGTGTTACTAGGTCATAGCCCCTACCCTGCCCAGGAGCACATGCAGCCTCTGCACCCAGGCTTCTGACCTTGCACCGTCCACCAGTAATGTAGGAAGGCCATAGCGGATGGGAGCCCCTGCACTCCTCACTCTCCATTAACACTCTTTCATGGATCCCTTTAGCATCCACCATGACTGATCTCTCTAACACATCCTCCTTACCTTGCTTTTTGAACTTGGCTCTCATCATTGACCTTCCCAGCCCTAGACATTTGGCAGCCTCTTGCCCATGATTTTGCTTTTCCCGTATCTGAGCTGTCTCAGGATACCTTGGGAATTCATCATCTTTCTCTTCCATCCTTCTACCCTTCCACTCTTTCACCAGCCATGCACTGAATATTTGTGCCCATCCGCCAACTCACCCCCTTCAACTTATGTTGAAGCCCTAATCCCTGTGTGATGGTATTTGGAGGTGGGGCCTTTGGGAGGTAATTAGGTCATGAGGGTGGAGCCCTCATGAATGGGATTAGTGCCTTGATAGGAAGAGGCCAAAGAGCTCACTCTCCTTCCACCATGTGAGGACACAGCAAGACGATGGCTGTCTATAAACAAGGATAAGGCGCTCATCAAGAACCCAGCCCTGCGGCACTCTAGCTAGGACTTCCAATCTCCAAACTGTGAAAAATAAATGTTTGGGGTTTTTTTTTTGTTTATTTGTTTGTTTATTTGTTTTTGAGACAGAGTCTCACTCTTTTTTGCCCAGGCTGGAGTGCAGTGGCATGGTCTCGGCCCACTGCAACCTCTGCCTCCTGGGTTCAAGCAATTCTGCTGCCTCAGCCTCCCAAGTAGAGTAGCTGGGATTACAGGCACCCACCACCACGCCGAGCTAATTTTGTATTTTTTTTAGTAGAGACGGGATTTTGCCATGTTGGTCAGACTGGTCTTAAGCTCCTGACCTCAGGTGATCTGGCCCGCCTTGGCATCCCAAAGTGCTGGGATTACAGGCAGGAGCCACCACACCCGGCCAAATGTTTGGTGTTTAAGCCACCCAGGATACAGAAGTTTGTTATGGCAGCCTGAGCTAAGACACCCCCCTCCTCTTCACACCCACCTCCCCTTCACACTCATCACCTAATTTGAGCCTATGGGGTTGTGTATGGAGTCTTTATAGGACTGAACATGCTTCAAACCAAGTCATCATACAGACACAGAAAAGCAAAAAGATATGATCTTGTAAAAGAAATGTCTCCTTCTCCCAAATTACCAGGTATGTGGAATATAATATATGTTACCTTATGAACATTTTTTAAAGATTATTAAATTTAAACACAGATTGAGGTATTTGAATTTCAAAGACTATCTGTACAAAGCAAACAAAAAAAAAAAGTCCCAAGATTGGGAAAGGAGTTGATATAAATGATAACTGACAAAGTACAGCCCCGTGGTTCTCAGACTAGAGGATTCTGTAGTTCAGCAATTTTTTTTTTTTGTAACAGCAAAAAAGGAGGTTGACAGATACATCATTGGTATGAATGGAGAAGGAAGAAAATAAAAGTCATAAGTGTGAATGAGATGACAGTTAACAAGCTAAGGAGTTTGTTGTGGTTTATGTATATACTTTTAAGTTCTGGGATACATGTGCAGAACATGCAGGTTTGTTACTATACATTGATGGGTGCAGCAAAATCTTTAAAGAGAAAATTGGAGGATTCACATAGCATTACCAGCTTTATGCAGTTCTAAGTGTAGATACCCGAGAAATCATCTCAAGTCTATAATCACTATCTTTTCACGGGTGACAGGATATTTTCAAACCAAGAAAGCAGGAAAGATATAACTCCAGGGAAAGGACAATCCTGTTGATAATGAATAAATTTAACTTTATGAAAGACTCACTCATGTTTTTCTCATTTCTCCACAAGCTGATGAAAACTTTGGCACGAAGCACTGGAATGCCGAAGTTAAACCCATATTAATTCCTACAAAATATGCAGTCTCGTAAGTCTTCGAGCTTCACCCAGATGCTGTGTTGCCTTTTAGAATCTGCATGCATGTTGGAAAGGTCCCTTGATGACAGGGAGAGGGAAGGGAGCCCTACCTTGCCCTGGGGGTCTTCTTTCCTTTAAGAACTGATTCCCTTTGGATTTTTTCATGGGTCATTATTCTTGGTCTTCCCAAGTTGCAAACAAGCTATTTTTCCATGACAATTTTCTTTTCTTTCACAGGTTTCTGATAAGACCCAACATTCTAAGTCACTGGTTGCTAGCTTTCCAGGAATAACTACTTCTTGGCAAACATTAGTTAAGTTTTGGATTAAGGTTAAGCTGCTTTCTGTTGGGTTCCGCATGTGTGTCTTAGCTTTAGACAGGCAAACACCTAGTTCTCCATTCCCACGATTCTTATTGATCTATGCTATTTTTCACCATGATCCAGGTTGCTGTTCATAAGCGTGGTCAGCATACCTTCCTGGAGAAAAGCACACAGTGGGAGCCAATGGTATGAGGAAGGAAGTTGCCTTAGAGTTTACAAAAGTCCAGCTGTCACAGAATGATCTGATTGCTGAGTCAGAAGGGATGTGAAACTCTCTAGGTCTTTCTGGGCCCATGAAAAAGAAGCTTCTGAACTGAGAAAGTGGACCCGGTGTGCTCTAGAAGAGGTCAGGCTTCTGTGTGCTCCATCCCTTGCTCCACTGGCCGCAGGAGTCCAGCAAGTCACTTAACTTGAGTAACCTTGGTGTTAGCACCTCTAACAAAACACAATACCACCCGCCTCTTGGGCCATGTGAGCATGCAATGGAGTTGCACACAGGCTCACTGACACTGGCCTGGTCCCAGCATGGGCTCCTTTCTTTCCTTCCCTGTTCTCTTGATTCCAGGGGAGGCTGCCCAGGCAGAGCAACCTTGGAGAAGAGAGACTTGTTAATGGCTCAAGGCCAACATCTAGACAAAGATGGGGAAGAGTCAAGAGTATCATGAGTGGCTTGTCCCTGGGTCTGCCTCGCTTGTCACCAGGCTCTGTAGCACTGAGTTGGTTGCACATACCTGCCTCCTATGCTGAGGTTCTCCTGTGATGCAGGGAGGTCCCTGCACTAACTGCATGAACTTGGGTCAGGATGGTGCCCTCCTGCTTACACACAGGGGCTCCTGCAGGGCAGATGTTACCATCATCCACACTGCATACAGAGAGGAGCAGAGAGGTCTGGAATTGGCCCAAAGTCACCAGCTGACACCTGAGAGACTCCACATTCAAAACCAGGGTTGTCCTTATCCCATGCACTTCCTGTGTCACCACCACCTAGGAAAGGAGAATCTACGAGAGAGAAATGACCTGGTGGGGAGAGCCCTGTCCCCAAGGTTGCAGGCCAAGGAGAGAAACCTCTGAAGTGTTCAATGTGTCCCCAGGTTGAATGTGGGGACAGGGTGGGGGAGGAGTTCCTTGGGGAGGGTGCTATTTAGGTGTAGAATCAGACATAAGAGGAGGTTGAGATGTCAGGGAAATGATGAAGGGTGAAGAATGGAAGTCAGAATCTTTATCACCACCACTTTCTCTCCTCCCTCTCTCCACTTCCTCTCCCTGTTTCTGTGTCTCCCCTTCTTCCTCCTTCCATCTCCTACCTCCTTTCCCTCTTCCCCCCCTTGCCCTTCCTGCTCCCTCTCTTCCCACAAGCAACCCACACACGCTCCTCCACAGCTCTTCCTCCACCCTCCTCTGCATGGCCTCCTCCTCCTGCTCACCCCTTGGCCCCAGAGAGCATTCTGCCACCTTCCATTCCTTCTGTCATCTTATCTCTTCTAATAATTGCACATTTCCTTGAGACAAATTCGAAGGCCAAGGAGAGATAAAATGACTTCTCAGTCAGTAACCCCCCGAGCAAGTTTCTCTAAAGTATGCTTTCTTGACAAACTAGCAGGCCTTGTGTTCTTTGTGATTTCAAAAGAAAGTAATGCCACTTGTCCTCAGTGGTTACAGAATTAATCCATTAGTCATCACTGAGTGCCAATTATGTGCTTGACACTGAGCAGGGCACTTTACCTCTACAGTGGCATTTAATCCTTCCAGTAATCCAGGAAGCCTCCCTCCCCTCATTATACAGGAGAAAAAACGAGGTGCAGAGAAGTTAAGTGATGTGCCCAGCGTCACAAAACAAGCAAGTAATAGAGACAAACATAGAAGCAGTTAATTAAAAAGAAGTTTCTACACGCTATCATTGAGCTGCCTACAAGGCATCCAGCCAGGACCTTGGATATGAGCAACAGAAGCATTCTAGTTCACT